>NC_000001.11:15534236-16799163 GCF_000001405.40 Homo sapiens
GCATCCTGACAAAAACAAAGATCCTGGAGCAGAAGACAAGTTCATTCAAATCAGTAAGGCTTACGAGGTATCGTGTCCAGCTTTGTGATGCATCCATTAGCTCTTACAAAATATGCCTTAGGAGGTGATGAGTTTTGTAAAGTTGTCAGAAAGGTCATGTTCCCCATGCCCTTGATGCAGTTTCTAGATTATAATAGAGAGAACAGGCTGGATGCGGTGGCTCATGCCTGTAATCCCAGCACTTTGGGAGGCCGAGGTGGGTGGATCACGAGGTCAGGAGTTCGAGACCAGCCTGACCAACATGCTGAAACCCTGTCTTTACTAAAAATACAAAAAAAATTCGCCGGGCGTGGTGGCACGTGCCTGTAATCCCAGCTACTCAGGAGGCTTAGGCAGGAGAATTGCTTGAACCCGGGAGTGGGAGGTTGCAGTGAGCAGAGATCGAGGCCTGGGTAACAGAGGGAGACCGTCTCAAAAAATAAAATAAAATAAAAAATAATAGAACATATTTGGCCACATCCAGTATATTGGAACAAGTGCCTGAACACTTCAGCTCTTGGAAAAACTGGCCTATTTTAAAGGCTTTAACTAGAATTGTAGAATTACCCTGAGTATGTCTGTATGTGTCACTATTGCCTTCTTAGAAATATGCATTAAAGAATCACATACCAAATCGCCTATATTTATTAAAGTGGCACGAGGTAACAAATACATTTAAACACAAGATTTTCAGTAATTTTCCAGTATGTCAGCTCAAGTAGATTGGTCTGGAATATGCATCAAAGAGAATTCAGTGGCTTTCTGATTTGTATAGGGAATGCCCTTCAGCAGACAGTGCTTAGCTCATAGAATAACACGTCATCATTCTAAAACAGATTCCTGAATTTTAGACTTCAAAGTTATTTTGTAAAACAAAGTAAATTAACAGACAAGGCACTAGACTATAGCTATTTGGTGTTCATAGCTTTTCTTATCTTGGTTTGAATTGGTCCAACTCACCAGGTATGACCAGGTCAATTTTCTTGTCATTGAGCCCTGGTGATCAACATTATGTTATTTTATTTGTTTTGCTGAAGTGTTTAATGTTGTGGTAGTTTGAAATCTTTAATGCCAAGATGAGCATGAGTACCTAAACTGAAATATTTTAGTCTTGAATGTTCTTTAATGTTTCTCTAGTGAAAGAAGAGTTTCTCATTCTTTTGAATGACTGCATTTAGAATATCTAATCGGCTGGACCCAGTGGCTGCTCACGCCCTGTAATCCCAGCACTTGGGGAGGCTGAGGCATGCAGATCGCTTAAGCTGAGGAATTCAGGACCAGCCTAGACAACATGGTGAAAAATACAAAAATTAGCCAGGCATGGTGGCATGTGCTGATGGTCCTAGCTACTCAGGAGGCTGAGATGGAAGGTTGACCCTGAGAGATGGAGGCTGCAGTGAGCTGTGATCACGCCACTTCACTCCAGCCTGGGTGACAGAGTGAGACTCTATCTCGAAAAGAAAAAGAATATCTAATTATGTCATAATCTTTTTTCTTTTTTCTTAAGAGACAGTCTGTCTCTGTCACCCAGGCTGGAGTACAGTGATGCGATCACAGCTCACTGCAGCCTTCAACTACTGGGCTCAAGCAATCTCCCACTCACCTCACCCTCCCAAGTAGCTAGGACTATAGGCACGCACCACCATGCCTGGCCGATTTTTTTTTTTCTTTTTGTAGCAAAGTCATGCTATGTGGTCCAGGCTGGTCTTGAACTCCTGGCTTCAAGGGATCCTCCAAACCTTGGCCTCACATAATCGTGTCATAATTTTTACATTTCTTTTCTTTTCTTTTCTTTTCTTTTTTTTTTTTTTTTTTGAGACGGAGTTTCGCTCTTGTTGCCTAGGCTGGAGTGCAGTGGCACCATCTCGGCTCACCTCAACCTCCGCCTCCTGGGTTCAAGCAATTCTCCTACCTCAGCCTCCCGAGTAGCTGGGATTACAGGCATGCGCCACCACTCCCGGCTGATTTGATTTTTTGTATTTTTAGTAGAGACGGGGTTTCTCCATGTTGGTCAGGCTGATCTCAAACTCCCGACCTCAAGTGATCCACCCGCCTCAGCCTCCCAAAGTGCTGGGATTACAGGTGTGAGCCACCACGACTGGCTGCATTTATTTTCTTCCTATGTCTTTCAAGCTGCTTACAAAAAAGTCTTTTGGATGAACCTTTTGTTGTTGTTTAGATTTTTTTCTTCCTTTATAGATTCTTTCAAATGAAGAAAAGAGATCAAATTATGATCAATATGGAGACGCTGGAGAGAACCAGGGCTACCAGAAGCAGCAACAGCAGCGAGAGTATCGCTTCCGCCATTTCCATGAAAATTTTTATTTTGATGAATCCTTTTTTCACTTCCCTTTTAATTCTGAACGGCGGGACTCAATTGACGAAAAGTATTTATTGCACTTTTCACATTATGTGAATGAAGTGGTTCCAGATAGCTTCAAGAAACCCTACCTCATCAAGATCACCTCCGATTGGTGCTTTAGCTGCATTCATATCGAGCCTGTGTGGAAAGAAGTCATTCAAGAACTGGAAGAATTGGGTAAGATAATTTTATTCACTGAAAGATATTTATATAGATGACTTTTTTTTTTTCAAGATGGAGTCTTGCTCTGTTGCCCAGGCTGGAGTACAGTGGTGTGATCTCGGCTCACTGCAACCTCCACCTCCCGGGTTCAAGTGATTCTCCTGCCTCAACCTCCCGAGTAGTTGGGATTACAGGCACCCACCATCACGCCCAGCTAATTTTTGTATTTTTAGTAGAGACAGGGTTTCACCACGTTGGCCAGGCCGGCTTCAAACTCCTGACCTCAAGTGATCTGCCTGCCTCGGCCTCCCACAGTACTGGGATGTCAGGTGGGAGCCACCATGCCTGGCCCCAAAGCAGGTTTTTTAAATTGCCTATTCTATAAACCCTTTTTGAAAATCTTTCTTAAATGTATTAGTCTGCTTTCTTCAACTCTGTGACTCCGAAGCACCAATTTTTTACTTATTGTGAGCTGAGCCTTGAAGGGGGTTGGAAGTCAGCTAAGGAATCTTCAGTCACACACTGGTAAAAACTAGTGTGTAAAAGCATCCAGTGTTTAAAGAGAAGTGTGCTGTGGAAGAGGGCCCAGAACTAGCACCATCCCTGACCTTGAGTTCACCATTTGGTTGAAGAGAAAATATATACACAGAGAATTAACACTGACCTCACATTTGCAAGCACAGAATAATGTTTTACTGAAGGAGTAGACAAAGATGACAAGAAATTCCTTCTGTATTTTCTAACTCCTTGCCCATGAAACAGATACCTTCGTTTGAAACTTTTTTCTCAGTCAACTTTCATGTTCCAATTACTGTATTAGACACTAAAGGATATATAATAATAATAATTTTTATTGAACATTTCAGTTCCCTTGCATTGTGGTAAATGCTTTCTGTGCATTATTTTTGTCCCCAGAGCAACTCAATGAAGGAGAGACTATTATTATCTCTATTTTACAGGTGAGGGAACTAAGGCATTGAAGGTTAAGGAACTAATTCATTATTACACTACCCATAAGCATCAGTATTGGGTTGGACCCAGGAGTCTGACCGTCTTAAACACTGCGCGCGTACTGCTTCAGAAATAAGTAAATCATGGTCCTTGTGCCCAGGAAACTCACATAAGAAACATACCTCAATCATCTCAGCACATTTAGTGCTTGCTGGAAGGTGCAGGCAGAGCTACCAGCGTGGCCCAGAAGTTGAGCATCTTGAAATCAAATATCATTTTAGGGAAACTCAATTTGGATGATCAGGCAGTGATTACCTGGGTTTGGCAATTTATTCACCATGACTTCCTGTTTAAAAAGAGAGACTGCTGGGCACGGTGGCTCATACCTGTAATCCCAACACTTTGGGAGGCTGAGGCAGGTGGATCACAAGGTCAGGAGTTCGAGACCAGCCTGGCCAACATGGTGAAACCCCATCTGTACTAAAAATACAAAAATCAGCCAGGAGTGGTGGCGGGTGCCTGTAGTCCCAGCTACTCCGGAGGCTGAGGCAGGAGAATCGCTTGAACCCGGGAAGCAGAGGTTGCAGTGAGCCAAGATCGTGCCACTGCACTCCAGCCTGGGTGACAGAGCGAGACTCTGTCTCAAGAAAAAAAAATAAAAAGAAAAAAAGGAAGACTAATTCCTGGCCAGGCGCAGTGGCTCATGCCTGTAACCCCAGCACTTTGGGAGGCCAAGGCAGGCGGATCACCTGAGGTCAGTAGTTCGAGACCAGCCTGGCCAAAATGCTGAAACTCTGTCTCTAGTAAAAATACAAAATTAGCTGGACATAGTGGCACGTGCCTGTAATCCCAGCTACTCGGGAGGCTGAGGCAGGAGAATCACTTGAACCCTGGAGTTGGAGGTTGCTGTGAGCTGAGATCACACCATTGCATTCCAGCCTGGGCAGTGAGCGAAACTCTGTCTCAGAAAAACAAAAAAAAGACTAATTCCTATCTTTTAAGGATTTCTAAGTATATAAGAGTCTCATACTGTCTAGAAAAAAAGTCATCCTAAATACTGGCAAAAATAACGCATTTTTCTGCTTTAGCTCTGTGTTCTTGATTTTGTTTCATTTCACGTTATTTTGCATCTTGTGGTTAGTGTACCAGCATGTTTGTATTTAGCCACATTCGAGTGGCGTGTTCTTCCAGTTGGCTCTGTGCCATCCCCTAAGGCCTATTCAAAGGTGGAGAGAAAATTAATGTGTATGTGCAGCTGAGGGGGGAAAAAACTTCCCTAAAGGGTGTGATATGTGTTTAGGATTGCTTAGTGAGAGCTGTTTGGCATCTCAAATTATGGGTATGACAGATGTTTACTAATGCACGGAAGACCCTCTCACAGCCTCAGTATAGTATTTTTAATTCCCGAGGGTGTGCAGATTAGCCAGAAGCATCAATTTATATAAACATCAAATAATGTTTCTGAAATAAGTCACATATGCCTTTTTATTTTATTTTTTTTTTTTATTTTTTTGAGACGGAGGCTCTCTCTGTCGCCCAGGCTGGAGTGCAGTGGTGCGATCTCTGCTCACTGCAAGCTCCGCCTCCCAGGTTCACACCGTTCTCCTGCCTCAGCCTCCCTAGTAGCTGGGACTACAGGCACCCATCACCACGCCCGGCTAATTTTTTTGTATTTTTAGTAGAGACGGGGTTTCACCGTGTTAGCCAGGATGGTCTCGATCTCCTGACCTCGTGATCCGCCCACCTCGGTCTCCCAAAGTGCTGGGATTACAGGTGTGAGCCACCACGCCTGGCTTTTTTTTTTCTTTTTCTTTTAAGAGACATCATTCTGTCACCCAGGCCAGGGTGTAATAGCATAATCATGGCTCACTGCAACCTCAACCTCGTGGGCTTAAGCAGTCCTGCTGCCTCAGCCTCCCAAGTAGCTGAGATTAGAGGTGCCTGCCATTGTACCTGTCTTTAAATATCTTTTCGGGAAGAAAAATACCACAAATTGGCCAGGCATGGTGGCTCACGCCTGTAATCACAGCACTTCGATAGGCTGAGGTGCACAGATCACTTGAGGTCAGGAGTTTGAGACCAGCCTGGCCAACATGGTGAAATCCCGTCTGTGCTGAAAATACAAAAATTAGCCAGGCGTGGTGGTGCGTGCCTGTAATCTCAGCTGCTCAGGAGGCTGAGGCAGGAGAATTGCTTGAACCCAGGAGTGGAGGTTGCAGTGAGCCAAGATCGAGTCACCGCACTCCAGCCTGGGCAACAGAGCAAAACTCTGTCTCAAAAAATAAAATAAAGTGGCCGGGCATGTTGGCTCATGCCTGTAATCCCAGCACTTTGGGAGGCCAAGGCGGGTGGATCACCTGAGGTTAGGAGTTCGAGACCAGCCTGACCAATGTGGTAAAATCCTGTCTCTACTAAAAATACAAAAATTAACTGGGCATGGTGGTGTGTGCCTGTAATCCCAGCTACTGGGGAGGCTGAGACAGGAGAATTGCTTGCACCAGGGAGGCAGAGGTTGCAGTGAGCTGAGATTGCGCCACTGCAGTCTGGCCTGGGCGACAGAATGAGACTCCGTCTCAAAAAAAAAAGAAAAGAAAAAAACCACAAATGTAAAACACCAAATATTTATCATTCTTTATTCTATTTCTCCAACCACAGCCTCCCACGTAGCTAGGACTAGAGGCACACACGGGCATGCCCAGCTAACTTTTTTTTAGACTCATCACGTTAATCGTCACAGATCCCAGAGCCAGACTTCCTGGGTTCAGATCCCATCACCGTCACTTGCCAACTCTGTCACCCTGGGACTTCACCTCTCCATGTCTCAGTTTTCTTATAGGTAAAATAGAGATGGTGAAGATTGGTCTTAAACTCCAGGAGATACGAAAGAGATGGTGAAGGCTGGTCTTAAACTCCTGGTCACAAGCGATCCTCCCGCCTCAGCCTCCCAAAGCACTGGTATTACAGGCATGAATCACCGTGCCCAGCCAACTTTTCAGTTTCTAATTCAGGTTTCTGTGTGCGCTCGGTCTGGTATAACGTATACTGAATGGCACAGTTACTAGAAAGGCATATTTCCCAGGATCAGTTCATAAATTGGCATTCAATCTATATAGCAATCCCTGGTAAGGTCATTTAGGGTGAGTCAGTCACTGAGAAATTGATCCCTCTAATGTTCAGAACCTGGGGCAGAACTGGTCATTGGAGGCAGTAAGAAGTCCAGGCTTTGTGGTCAGCTAGAACTAGATTCAGATCCTGGTTCCACTGCACACAAACCATGATGCCTCACCCTCCCCCAGCTTCAGTTTCCTTAGCCATAAAGATAGCAATACTTACCTTGCAGAATGATTGTGAGTATGAAAAGTATAATGTATATAAAGCTCTAGGTGTGCTAAAGAAGGCACTCAAGAAGTGATAATCCCTCCCTTGGGCCTTTGTCTTGTAGCCAGTTGACCTCCCTAGGTGATGTCTCTTCTGTCTTTACGAATGACCAAATCTCCCAATGTATGTGCCTGCTTTATTCTTTTTCTTTCTTCTGCTCATATAATTCTCTGTATGCTTCCATTTATTGACATTGTTCCATAGTTATTTTTAATGACTGCAGTGTGATATAGTATACTGTACTTGGCTCTAGAGAAGAGCCAAGAATCCAATTTGGATTCTTGTTCTGCAATTCTGTCAGCTCTGCAACCTGGAAAAAGTCACTTTACCTCTCTGAACCTCTCTCTGTATCTGTAAAATGAGGGAAGCGGACTATACAATTCCTAAGGCTCCTCCTTTCCTGCCCTTGAGAGACTGCAACAGTCAAAGTCAGGTAGCCTACAGAGAGCTTGGTTTAGTCTGCTCAGCAGTTTTAAAACATTAAGTTTGGGATCCCTGCCATTTACTCAGCAATTTCATTTTAGGAATTTACTAATTAGAAAATAAGCGCACAAGAGCACAAAGATGTATGCACAAAGATGTATGTACAAAGATGTACAAGGATGCCCGTCAGCATTCCTTATAATGTTAAGAATTAGGCTAAAAGCAACTTTAATATTGTGCTTTATAATAAGAAATATATGTATATTTTGGTGTTTGTTCCCAGTTCCTGGCACAGATCTCCTAACACCCTTGAGATTGCCTGATCAATAGGGGTGCTAAGATAATCTTTTGCTCTCGTATTTGATCTTTGACTCTGATTCCTGAGATGGAGCACCTAATCCTTGGAATTTCCTGCAGGATGGGAGCATCTTTTGTTCTATTGAGGCGACTCTTAGTGGGCCCCTGTGTGGGAGCTGGTCACCAGAAAAAACAAACCATGATTAGAAGTTTGAAAGTTTCACCCTCATCCTCCAGAAAGAGGAGAGGGGCTGGAGATTGAGTTAATAATTGATCACGCCTGTATGATGAAGCCTTCATAAAAATCCCTGAACTCTGGCTCGGTTTCCTGGGGGGTGGGCTCAGTCTACACCACCTCCCCTCAGCCAAGCCTACAGTAGAGGGCCCAGGCATCCTCCCGTATGGGAGAGGCGTTTGAGTAAGGAGCCTCACCTGGGGTGTCCTAGCCTCACATTTACTGGCAAAAAAAATGAACATATATATATATTTAATCCCTGAACTACTGGGTTTGAGAGTTCCCAGGTGGCTGAACACATGGAGGTGCCTGGAGGGTGGTGAGCCCTGGGAGGGCAGGATGCTCCCACCCTTCCATATACCTTACCATGTACCTCTCTTCCTTCTGGCTGATCATCTGTCTCCTTTGTAATATCCCTTATACCTAATGAGTAACCATAAGGAATGTTCCCCTGAGTTCTGTGAGCAGCTCGAGCAAGTTAGTTGAACCCAAGGAGGGTCATGGGACCCTTTGATTTATAGCCAGTTGGTTGGAAGTACAGGACACAACCTGGGACTTCTGGCGTCTGAAGTGGGAGCAGTCTTACGGGACTGAACCCTTCACCTGCAGGACCTGATGCTTCCTCTGGGTAGATAGTGTCAGAACTGAGTTGATACCCAATTGGTGTCTGCTGGAGGATTTATGGGGAACCCCCACCCCCACAGCGTGTGGTGTCAGAAGGGAAGCATTGAGTTGGGCATAGTGGCACGTGCCTGGAATCCCAGCTACTCAGGTGGCTGAGGCAGGAAGATCGCTTGAGCCCAGGAGTTTGAGACCAGCCTGGGCAACATAGTGAGACCCCATCTCTTACACAATGAGTGTCAGGGAAAGCATTGTGTTGAGTGTGAGTAGGAAAAACAGGTTGGTTTTTCCTCTCTCACAACTTCAGTGTGCAACAATAAATGAATTAAATAGATTGATGGCCCAGTTTCAGTGAGCTCCTACTATGTGCCAGGCTCTGGTCTGGTGTTGGGGATACATCAGTGGACTACAAAGGGATCCCTATCTTCATGAGGCTTACATTCTAGAAGGGGAGACAGACAATAAACAATTGACAGAAGGAAAGTGGGTGGTACCTTAGAAGATGGTAAACGCTGTGGAAAAAGTTAAAGTGAGCAGGTTGTGTGTGGACCCTGAGTGTGGGGAGTACTGTTTTAAATATGGTGCCAAGGTAGGCCGCATTCAGGACTTGAAGTTGGTAAAGAAGTCAGCTACGCAGAAGTCACGGAGATGCACACTTCAGGCTGAAGGAACAGCCAAGGCCCTGAGGCAGGAGCATCCACTGTCTTCATAGCACAGCAAGGACGCTGGGGACTGGCGCAGGCTGTTGGAGGAGTGGAAGAAGAGGGCATGGGGAACCAGGGGCCAAACACAAAGGGTCTTGTTGGCCTCTGTGAGGATTGTGCATTTTATTCCAGCTGAAATGGGTCTTTGCAGGGTTTGGGCAGAGGAGTGATGTGATCCATTTTTATGTTTTAGGAGGAGCAGCCTGGCTGCTATGTTAAGAACAGACTGTCAGGAGACAGGGAGAAATAGGGGGAGAGCATTTAGGATATTATTGCAGCAACATAGGCAGGAGAGATAATGATGACTCAGAGCAGGGCATATAATGAAAGTGATGAAAAACAGTTGAATTCCAGACATTTTCTAAAGAGAAAACCAACAAGACTTGCCGACAGATTGGATGTGGGGTGCAACAGATAAGAGAAGCCAAAGATGACGCTTACAGTTTTTGCCCTGAGTAACTGGAAGGATGGAGCTGTCATCAACTGAAATGGCAAAGACGTGGGTAGGACAGGTCTGTGGGAGGAGATTAGGGGTTCGTTTTTGGAAATGTTAAGCTTGAGAAGTCTAGTAGACATCCAAAAGAAAATGTACATTTATCGGCCTTTAATATTGAATGTGTCTCCAGTGTTAGCAGAGTAACTGGCCCTCCAAATATATGGTTGGATGAAAGAACAAGAAAAGTTGTTCAAGTATTAAGTGAAATAAGTATGAGATGACCCCATTTTGTTTTATGTATATGCATACACACACACACACACACACACACACACACACACATTTGTAACTCTTCTTACATATTGCCAGATTGCTCTACAGAAAAACTGAACCAATCTAGAATTCCAGCAGTGAAAGAATGCTAGACAGTCTATTAGGAAAGACATCTCCTATGAGGTCGGGATTTCAATTTCACACCAAAAAATTACTTAGCACTTTTTCCAGCTGCCATGGAGACATAAAAAGGCTTCATTTGGATCTTCCATTCTTTTCAGGTGTAGGAATTGGCGTGGTCCATGCTGGGTATGAGAGACGCCTGGCCCATCACCTAGGGGCACACAGCACGCCCTCTATCCTAGGAATCATTAACGGGAAAATCTCCTTCTTCCACAATGCAGTTGTCCGTGAAAATCTGCGACAATTTGTAGAAAGTCTTCTTCCAGGGAACTTGGTGGAGAAAGTAAGTATCTGTCAAGGAAACTATGGCTGAGAAGTAGTTTAAGAGGTACCTAGGACTGTTAATTGCCCAGAACATTTTCTGTAGTCCTCTCAAACCTGAGTTTCATTGTGAGGAAGGCATGACACTTATTAATTAATTAATTACTCAAACTAAATCGTTTAAGTGAAGTCTGTAGGAGACTAATAATTGAAACAGATGAAGTACAGAGACTGAAAGAATTAATTCCTATTAATACCCATCTTGCAGAACTTACACTGTCATAGGAATCTGAGCCTAAAATGACAGTGCCTATTTTCTAAACAAAAAAATTAAATCACATGTTAGAAAGAATTAGGGATTTCTTTCTGGCTCATAAATTTGTTCATGTGAAGATATTTGTCTTTATGCAAATTTAATTATATTTGGTTATATGTTTAACGATCATATCTATGGAAAATGCCAGATTCCATGAAATCAAATATTATTTTTGAAACTTCAGAAACTTACAGTGACAATAATATGAATGAATTTCACAAAGAAAAGGTTGAAATAGAGAAGCCAGATAAAGTTCACATTGGTCTATTATTTCCATATTTAAGCACCTAATATGTTTTTTTCAATATCTTAATTTAGGGATCAAAGTAACTAGGAACGGACTCTCATTTTGCTTTAAATAATTCATTCTCTTAAGAATACAGGGAAAGTGAACATAAAAAATTTTCATCGTATTTCTACATGTGCTATTCCTAGACTGTCCTACTGGGATCATTATCTATAGGAGAAATATTTGTTGGAATTAACTTAAAAGTTTGTCAGAGAATATTGGAGGCTTCTAAAATGGTGATAGATTGTCCTGATAGATCCTCAAACATTTACATAAAATATCTCTTCTGTGCCCGGCATAGATTAACATAGCCGTTTCAAGCAGCTCCCAAGCGGGTGGTTATTTCCAGTATGTTGGAGCCCATCGTAATGAGTTGGGAAAGGCTTCCTGGCAGAAGTGACCCTTGGACCAGGTTGGGTTGCAGGCAGGCAGAAATCTGGAGACATGAAATAGCCCGCTTTGTAAGAAGTTTTCACTGGTGAGCAGCAGAGGAGGGGGATGGAGAGGTTATTAGGAATCTCCCTGTGAGGGCCTCAGAGCACCTTCACGCTCCTTTAAGGAACTTGGGCCTTGGCCCACATGGAGCCGTTGTAGGGGTTTGAGCAGAAGAGTGAAATGATCAAATTTGAGTTTTATATAAATCATTCTAGATGCAGTATGGAAAGATAAACTTTTTTTAACGACTAAGAAAAATTTCTAGCTAGATAATTTATTCATGTTTTTAATTTCTCTCAGGAATATTTTAAGATATCAGTGGAGGAAAGTAACAATTCAGATAACAATAAATGAAATTATATAATGTATAGAGGGGGTGGACCAGCTTATTTTTATTTACGCCGTTTAAAAAGAGCAAGCTGGCCTGGAGTGGTGGCTCATACCTGTAATCCCAGCACTTTAGGAGGCTGAGGTGTGAGCATCGCTTGAGTCCATAAGTTCAAGACCAGCCTGGGCAACATACTGAGACCCAATCTCTACAAAAAATGCAAACATTAGCCAGGCATGGTGCCATGTACCTGTAGCTCCAGCTATTCAGGAGGCTGAGGTGGGAGGATCACTTGATCCTGGGAGGTTTGGGAGGTTGAGGGTGCAATGAGCCATGATCATGCCACTGCACTCTAGCCTGGGCAACAAAGCAAGACCCTGTCTCAGAAAAAAGGGTGAGGGGCAAGCTGGGAGACTGAGGTGTGATAGATAGATGGGAGACTGAGGCATGATAGATAGATGATAGATAGATAGATAGGTAGATAGATAGATATTGAAAGGGGCAGTTGTGTGTTATTTTCTGCTGGCTAGTATATTAAGAAGTATACTCTGTAATTAAGCAAGAACCAACTCTGGAAGCTCAGTTTTTATAATATGGTCAGTAATTGTTTCAGACAGGATTATGATTTCAGTCTGTAAGAGTTCAATGAAAATATGAAATCAATATCACCATTCTTTTAATAGCTTTAGCCAAATGAAGACAAAAAGATTAGTTATCTGCATTTTTATTTTTTGCAATCTTTTACACTTACTTGATTTGTTTATTTTCTCCTGACTGGAGTATAATACAATTGTTAAGAATTAAATATTGAGACTAACATTCTATTTTCAATTTAAGGTTACAAATAAAAATTACGTCAGATTCCTCTCTGGCTGGCAGCAAGAGAATAAGCCTCATGTCCTTCTGTTTGACCAAACGCCCATTGTGCCACTGTTATACAAGGTACTTTCTATGCTAGGATAATGGTTTCTTTTTCTTTTCTTTTCTTTTTTTTTTTTTTTTTTTAGCAGAAAGTAATCTCTGAGTTGGAACTTATAGCCTATTTGTCTTTTTTGTAAGAAACAGTTTCATCCATGAGAAATGTTTGAAGACCAGAAATTTTACATAACCATCATACATTGAGTACTGATTAATGCCAGTTACTGTGTTAGTGCTTTCTATGCACATATCATGTAATCCTCAGAAGAACCCAGTGATGGAGATACTATCCCTGTTTCTTTTTTTTTTTTTTTTGAGACAGAGTCTCGCTCTGTCGCCCAGGCTGGAGTGCAGTGGCGCGATCTCCTCGGCTCACTGCAGCCTCCATCTCCCAGGTTCAAGCGATTCTTCTGCCTCAGCCTCCCAAGTAGCTGGGACTACATGTGCGTGCTACCATGCCCAGCTAACGTTTCTATTTTTAGTAGAGACAGGGTTTCACCATGTTGGCCAGGCTGCTCTCGAACTCCTGACCTTGTGACCCACCTGCCTCAGCCTCCCAAATTGCTGGGATTACAGGCATGAGCCACTGTGATGGGCTTTTTTTTTTTTTTCGGAGACCAAGTCTCACTCTGTTGCCCATGCTGGAGTGCAGTGGTGTGATCTAGACTCACTGCAACCTCCGCCTACCGGGTTCAAGCAATTCTTTCACCTCTGCCTCCAGAGTAGCTGGGACTGCAGGCACACACCACCACGCTCGGCTAATTTTTGTGTTTTAGTGGAGATGGGGTTTCACCATGTTGGCCAGGCTGGTCTTGCACTCCTGACCTCAAGTGATCCGCCCACCTCGGCCTCCCAAAGTGCTGGGATTAAAGGCATGAGCCACCACGCCTGGCCACTATCCCTGTTTGCATAGAGCAAGATACTGAGGCTTAGAGCAGTCATATAACCCACCCAAGTTCTCACTACAGCATGGTGAGCGCGATTCCCACTGACTTCAGACCTGCCCTGTGAATGATTCCCCCACTACACTCCCAGCCTACCTACACTCCCCACTACCTCTCATGTCACTGTGACATGAGACGGAGAGGAAGGTGTTATCAGTGGCATGGTCACTGCCATCTTACCTAATTACGGTACAGGTAATCCCCAAACTCATGCCTCCTGACCAGTACAGATTTCAAGAAGATCGTTATTTTGCTTTAGCTATGAAAAAGAAGAGAGTTGTTTGTATTTACTTTGTTGGTACAGTTTTTGCACATGGAACACCATAGAATGGAAGTATACAAGGATACGGAAGACCTAGTGGAGCTGTGTAAGCTGGCATGTACCTCTCTGCTCAGTGATGTGAAAAAGCCCTACTTGATTTGTCATTTACATCTTTGCTGTAGTTTTATTTTCTTCCTCTCTATTATGCCCTAACAGTTGACTGCCTTTGCATACAAAGATTATTTATCATTTGGATATGTATATGTGGGTTTGAGAGGGACGGAAGAGATGACAAGGCGGTACAACATCAATATCTACGCCCCTACCCTCTTGGTCTTTAAAGAACATATAAACAGGCCTGCCGATGTTATCCAGGTACGTGAGGGTCACCTTGGTTAAGATTTTCTTCACATTTTATCCCAAGATTTTATGTAAATAAACAGCAAAATTGAACAAAGTGGCTGAAGGAAAGGATCTTCCTTCAGATGCACAAAATTTTTTAATGAATTTTTTTATCTAACTTGGTACCGTTTGCTTTAAAATTTTTAATTTAAAACGTTTAAAAATTTTAGCACCTTTAAAGGGCTCCTGTTGGAAAACCAACAATCTTTTTCCAAAATGAATTTAAAAGTTAAATGTAAAACAGTAATAAAAAGGAATAAGAAGAAGCCACAAACTAACTGAGAGAATGTACAGATGAATATTTATCTGATCTTAAGGTAGGAAAGGGTTAAAAAGCATTGGGGAAAAATCTTGGAAAATCTTGATAACTTGACTCTAAATTTTATGTTTTTATGTAAATACTTTAAAATGTAAAGTTAAAAAACTGGGGGAATATTTATAACAAATATTAAAATGTTGATATTTTTAATTTCTAAAGAGCTTTTAATCAAGAAAATCATAAAATTCTGAGAAGACTAATAACCATTTTTAAAAATTAAATCTCACAAGTAATCAGAGAACATTAACCTTTTTTCACCCATCCAACTGTCAAAGATTTTCTAAGTTAAAATAGTACTGTTGAGGGTATAGAGAAACAAGTACTATCTTGCTAGAGGCAGTCCACTCTAATGGCAGCTCAGGTGTCCTGTGAACACAGAAGGGTACCTGAAACCATGGAAACCAGATGGGAAAGTGGACCGTAAAGAAAGAAGAGCAGGTTTAGAAAGATAAGAACTTTGGCTGTGGACATACTGAATTAGAGCTGCCTGTAGGAAATAGAAGGGGAGAAGTCCTTTCTACAGTTGGGTATAGGAATCGAGATCTTAAGAAAAGCATACAGGCTGGGGATAGAAACTGGTGTATCATCAGTAAATGGTTAGTGGTTGAAGTCCTGAGTAGGGTAAGATCTTCCCGGCATAATACCGTAGTCTCCCCTGATCCACCCCACTTACCCCTTTTTCAGTTTCTGAGGTTTCAGTTACCCACAGTCAACCAGGTCCAAAACATAGGTGACTACAGTGCAAGAAGATATTTTGAAGCCGGGCGTGGTGGCTCACGCCTGTAATCCCAGCACTTTGGGAGGCCGAGGCGGGCAGATCACGAGGTCAGGAGATTGAGACCATCCTGGCCAACGTGGTGAAACCCCGTCTCTACTAAAAATACAAAAAATTAGCCGGGCGTGGTGGTGGGCCCCTGTAGTCCCAGCTACTCGGGAGGCTGGGGCAGGAGAATGGCGTGAACCCAGGAGGCGGAGCTTGCAGTGAGCTGAGATCACGCCGCCCACTGCACTCCAGCCTGGGCGACAGAGCAAGACTCCGTCTCAAAAAAAAAAAAAAAAAAAAAGATGTTTTGAGCGAGGGGGACCATGTTCACATCACTTTATTACAGTATATTGTTAGAATTGTTCTATTTAAATATTGTTGTTGTTAATCTCTTGCTGTGCCTAATTGATAAACTTTATCATAGGTATGTGTATAGGAAAAAAACATAGTTTGTATAGAGTTCAGTACTATGTGGTTTCAGGCACCTACTGGGGGTCTTGGAACGTATCCTCTGCAGTTAGGGGATGACTGCTGTATGTAAAGTAAGGCCAAGGAGGCCAAGGACAAAACTCAGAACAGCCACCGGCACACAAGACAAGGGGGTGCCTGATGGAGACGAGAAGGTGCTGCAAGTCAGGAAGAAAACAAATACCAGTGTCCGAATAGAAAAGAGAAGATAATCTCAATCCAGGGTAAATGGATGAGGATTTCCTAAATTGGTCTTTCGGAACAGTTTATAGTTCTGAGAATTATATTTATTTATCCCACTGGGGAAAATTGTAAATCAAATACATTTACAAAATTATTGGTAGAATGGCTGCTTTACCAGCTTGCTCTTTGTGGATATCAAGTGTATGCTTAACAAACTCAGTTTTCACAACAGCAGGTGGCTTAATGATCACTAGTAGCACCAGTGGTTTCCTGTTGCTCTAGGTAATTTGTTGTCATTGCTATATGGTATTTATGGCCATTATAATTTATTGAATCATTCTTCCGTTGGTGGACATTGGGGGCTTTGAGGAATAGTGTTGCAATGAATATCATAACCTAAGTACAGAGTTCTCTAGGACAGCAGTTTTCAGAATGTGGTTGATAGACTCCTGGGGATTCTCAAAGATCCTTCAAGAGAAAGTCTGTGAGATCATATCAAGACACGATTTGCCTTTTTCACTGTGTTGACATTTACACTGATAGTACCAAAGCAGTAGTGGGTGAAGCTGCCAGTGCCAGTGCATGAATCCAGGCAGGGCACCAGGCCACCTACCATCATTGTGTGCTTCACCCCCAATCACTCGCAGCAAAAACAAACCACTAGATTCACTTCATGTATTTTGTTTTCTTTTGTTTTTGGAGACAGAATCTCACTCTGTCGCCCAGGCTGGAGTGCAATGGCATGATCTCGGCTCACTGCAACCTCCGCCTCCCGGGTTCAGGCAATTCTTCTGCCTCAGCCTCCCGAGTTGCTGGGATTACAGGCACCTGCCACCATGCCCGGCTAATTTTTGTATTTTTAGTAGAGATGGGGTTTCACCATGTTGGCCAGGCTGTTCTTGAATTCCTGACCTCAGGTGATCCGCCCACCTCAGTCTCCCAAAGTGGTGGGATTACAGGCGTGAGCCTCCGTGCCCGGCCTCACCTTATATCTTTGATGAAGCAGTAAGAAGTGTTAATTTTATTAAACCTTAACCCTTGAGTGCATGTCTTTTTGATGGATTTAATATTCTGTGTGATGAGCTGGGAAGTGTGCATAAAGCTGTCCTGCTGCACAACAGAGTACAAATGTCCTGAGGACAAGTGCTTACCTTGCCACTTTTCTTAATGGAATATCATTTTTACTTGGAAGAATGACAGACAACTATGGTTATTTAGACTCGGGAATTTGGCAGACATTTTCTCTAAAACAGATGAAGTGATGTGGCACTTTAAAACAAACAACTGGTGGTATTTATTGCCAGTGATAAAATTCAGGCTTCCAAGAACATTAGAATTTCGAAAAATTTGTACTGGCCATCATGACAGCTTCTCAGAATTTTCTGATGAGATTGGTTCATCAAAGTGATGTGGTTTTTTTTTTTTTTGCTTTTGTTTTTGTTTTTTAGAGGATCTCACTCTGTCACTCAGGCTGGAGTGCAGTGGCACAGACTCGGCTCACTGCAGTTCCGACTTCCTGGGCTCAAGTGATCCTTCTGCCTCAGTCTCCCGAGCAGCTGAGACTACAGGCATGCACCACTGGCTAATTTTTTTAAAAAATTTTTTTTGCTGAGGCAGGCATATCATCTGAATTCAGGAGTTCAAGACCAGCCTGGCCAACATGGTGAAACCCCGTCTCTACTAAAAATACAAAAAAGCCGGGTGTGGTGGCATGCACCTGTAATCCCAGCTACCCGGGAGGCTGAGACAGGAGATTCACTTGAACCCAGGAGGCAAAGGTTGCAGTGAGCCAAGATTGTTTCACTGTACTCCAGCCTGGGTGAGAATGAGACTCTGTCTCAAAAAAAAAAAAATTTTTTTTGTTTGAGAGACAGGGTCTCACTTTGTTGACTAGGATGGTCTTGAACTCCTGGCCTCAAGTGGTCCTCCTGCCTGGGCCTCCCAAAGTGCTGGGATTACAGGTGTGAGCCACTGCACCCAGCCCGTTCTTTTTTTAATAAGTATAATAAAATATGTTGGCCAGGCGTGGTGACTCAAGCCTGTAATCCCAGTACTTTGGGAGGCTGAGGCAGGTGGATCATGAGGTCAGGAGTTCGAGACCAGCCTGCCCAATATGGTGAAACCCTGTTTCTACTAAAAAAAAATACAAAAATTAGCTGGCGTGGTGGCATGCACCTGTAGTCCCAGCTATTCGGGAGGCGGAGGCAGAAGAATCACTTGAACCTGGGAGGCGGGGGTTGCAGTGAGCCAAGATCGCGCCACTGCACTCCAGCCTGGGCGACAGAGTGGGACTTCATCTCAAAAAAAAAAAGTTACTGTTTGGAAGATCAGTGGACCAATATTCACATACTCTGCATTCAGATGACCAGTGCAGGGTATTATGAAATAATACATGAGTAAAAGATCCATTATAAGTGCAAGGAACACAGATTTCTTCTTTTTTTTATTTTAATTTTTTTGTTTTTAATTTTTTTTTAAATTCTTGTCAACAGGAAGTCATCTTCTCATTTGTATATGAACCTTTTGGATGCCCTCATTATGATATGCCTACCTGTTATGTGTCTTTTTATTATTATTATTTATTTTTTTTTTTTTTGGAGACACAGTCTTGCTCTGTCTCTAAGGCTGGAGTGCAGTGGTGAGATCTCGACTCACTGCAACCTCCGCCTCCTGGGTTCAAGTGATTCTTGTGCCTCAGCCTTCGGAGTAGCTGGGACTACAGGCACAAGCCACCACACCTGGCTAATTTTTTTGTATTTTTAATAGAGACAGGGTTTCACCATGTTGGCCAGGCTGGTCTCGAGCGCCTGACCTCAGATGATCCGCCCACCTCCGCCTCCCAAAGTGCTGGGATTACAGGTGTGAGCCACCGCGCCCGGCCTGTCTATTAAGTCTTTTACCCATTTTTTAATTAGATATCTGCCTTTCTGTAATTGATTTGTAGGGGTTATTTATATGTTCATCTCTTTTTTTCCTGTTTTTTTCTCATAGTCTTTTGTTTATCTCCGTGGCAAATATCTTCACCCATTCTGTGGCTTGTCTTTTGTTTTGTTTTGTTTTTTTGAGATGGAGTTTCACTCTTGTTGCCCAGGCTAGAGTGCAGTGGTGTGATCTCAGCTCACTGCAACCTCCGCCTCCCGGGTTCAAGCGATTCTCCTGCCTCAGCCTCCTGAGTAGCTGGGATGTAGGCACACTCCACCACGCCCAGCTAATTTTTGTATTTTTGGTAGAGATGGGGTTTCACCATGTTGGCCAGGCTGGTCTCGAACTCCTGACCTCAGATGATCCACCCATCTCGGCCTCCCAAAGTGCTGGGATTACAGACGTGAGTCACCGCACCTGGCTGTTTTTATTATTTTTATGATACTCACATTTTAAAATTATTTATTGACATATAATACACATGCAGAAAGATGCACAAGTCAGAGGTGTGAAGCTCAGTGAATTCTCACACAATGAACACATCCATGTTAGCTTCACTTGATCAAGAAACAAAATATTGTCATCAGCCCAGAAGGCCCCTCCCTCCCCCTACCTACTTACCTCCTTCCCAAAGGTCAGCACTATCCTGTTTTCTAACAGCATAGATTCGTCTTTGCATTTTTGGATTTTATCCAAATGGAATAATGTAGTGTATATATCTTGTATCTGGTTTCTCTCAGCTTATGTTTTTGAGATTCATACATGTCATTATTTGGAGTTTTATCTTCATTCTTGTTGTTGAAAATTGCATGGCCAGGCACAGTGGCTCACACCTGTAATGCCAGCACTCTGGGTGGTCGAGACGGGCAGATCCTTTGAGCCCAGGAGGTCGAGACCAGCCTGGGCAACATGGCAAAACCTTGTCTCTACAAAAAATACAAAATTAGCTGGGTGTGGTGGTACACACCTGAAGTTCCAGCTACTTGGAGGGCTGAGGCAGGAGAATTGCTTCAGCCCGGGAGGTCAAGGCTGCAGTGAGCTGTGTTCGTGCCACTGCACTACAACCTGAGCAACAGAGCAAGACCCTGTCTCAAAAAAAAAAAAGAAAGAAAATTGCATGATAGGAATAGACTATGGTGTGTTTGTCCAGTCCATTCTATTGTTGACAGAGTTTTTCCAGTTTTTGGTTATTTGAATAATGATGCCATGAATATATTATTGTATTTGATGTCTTTTTGATGAACATAAATTCTTTTAGTATATTCACTCATATCAATATTTTCCTTTGTGATTGGTTCTTCCTTGTTTCTATTTAAGATATACTTCCCCTACATCAAAAATCATGAAGGTATTCTTCTCATAGAGCTTCTAAAAGCTGTATAGCTTTGCCTTTTATATTTAAGTATTTAAAATCATTTGGAATAGTCTTGATATCTGATAGAACAAATCTCCTCACTTTGTTTTTTAGATTTGGGGAAAGGTTTTTTTTCCTTCAAAAGCATTATAGCTGTTGGTCTTTTGTACTTTTTGTATATATTGGTCTTTTGTACTTTTTGTATACATTTTAAATTCTGTCAACTTCCATCAAAACAAACCAACCCAAAAAACTTACTGGTGTCTTATTGGGTTTATACTGATTGTTAAGTCGGTTTGGGGAGGATAGAGATCGTATAAAAGGCAAAGCTATACGGCTTTTAGAAGCTCTGAGAAGAATACCTTCATGATCTTGATATAGGGGAAGTATGTCTTAAAGTGATTCTATCCTTAGAAAATTGGGCCTTCCAACCTTTGAACATGATATATCTGTTTCATTTGTTTAGGTCTTCTGTAATATGTCTTCATAAATTTTATAATTTTCTCTGGAAAGAACATTTTTTTCAACTTATTTCTAGGTGCCTCCTATTTTTTATCCTATTAAAAAGCTTTTTTTTTTTTTGTTTGATAGTTTATGCTGCAGAAAAAATTTTTTTAAAAAAGAATGTAGGCCAGGCGCGGTGGCTCACACCTGTAATCCTCGTACTTTTGGAGGCCGAGGCAGGTGGATTGCCTGAGACCAGGAGTTCAAGATCAGCCTGGGCAACGTGGTAAAACCCCGTCTCTACTAAAATACAAAAAAAAAGAAAAAAAAAAGCCAGGTGTGGCAGCATGCTCCTGTAGTCCCAGCTACTCTGGAGGCTGAGACAGGAGAACTGCTTGAACTCAGGAGGCGGAGGTTGCAGTGAGCCAAGATTGTGCCACTGCACTCCAGCCTGGCTACAGAGCAAGACTCCATCTCAAAAAAAAAAAAAAAGAGGCCGGGTGCGGTGGCTCACGCCTGTAATCCCAGCATTTTGGGAGGCTGAGGCGGGTGGATCACCAGGTCAGGAGTTCGAGACCAGCCTGGCCAACATGGTGAAACCCCGTCTCTACTAAAAATACAAAAATTACCTGGGCGCGGTGGTAGATGCCTGTAATCCTAGCTCCTTAGAAGGCTGAGGCAGAGAATTGCTTGAACCCAGGAGGCAGAAGTTGCAGTGAGCCAAGATCACACCACTGCACTCCAGCCTGGGCGACAGAGTGAGACTCCGTCTCAAAAAAAAAAAAAAAAAAAGGTAAGGCCAGGTGTGGTGGCTCATGCCTGTAATCCTAGCACTTTGGGAGGCCAAGTCGGGTGGATCAGGAGTTTGAGGTCAGGAGTTCGAGACCAGCCTGACCAACATGGAGAAACCCCGTCTCTACTAAAAATACAAAATTAGCCGGGCGTGGTGTTGCATGCCTATAATCCCAGCTACTCAGGAGGCTGAGGCAGGAGAATCACTTGAACCCAGGAGGCGGAGGTTGTGATGAGCCACGATCGTGCCATTGCACTTCAGCCTGGGCAACAAGAGCGAAACTCCATCTCAAAAAAAAAAAAAAAAAGAATGTAAAGGGAGCCGGGTGCAGTGGCTCACCCTAGCACTTTTGGAGGCTGAGGTGGGAGGACCACTTGAGCTCAGGAGTTCAAGACCAGCCTGGGCAACACAGTGAGACTTTATCTTTTTTTTTTTTTTTTTTAATTTTGGAAAAAAGAATGAAGACAGTATCTTTTTGTTGTTTTTTCTGTTTGCTGGTATAAGTAATACAGTTGTTGGTTGTTTTGTTTTGTTTTGTTTTGTTTTGTTTTAAGACGGAGTCTTGCTCTGTCGCCCAGGCTGGAGTGCAATGGCCTGATCTCGGCTCACTGCAACCTCCAACTCCCGGGTTCAAGTAATTCTCCTGCCTCTCAGCCTCCTGAGTAGCTGGGATTACAGGCATGCACCGCAATGCCCCGCTAATTTTTGTATTTTTTAGTCGAGGAGGGGTTTCGCCATGTTGGCCAGGCTGGTCTCAGGTGATCTGCCCGCCTCGGCCTCCCACTGTGCTGGGATTATAGGCGTGAGCCACCGCGCCCAGCCTTGATTTTGAAACAAAAACTTTGTATCATCCAGCAACCTTGCTAAACTCTTCTATTAACTTAAATAATTTATCTGTACCATCTTTTAGATCAGCTAACTATGTAATCATATCATCTGAGATTAATGACAATTTTACTTCTTTTTTTTTCCAGCCCTCATTTTATTTCTTTTTCTGACATTACTCCTGACAGCTGACATGATGTGGAATAGAAGTGTAGTAATCGGGGGCTGTCCTTGTTCTTGATTTCAAAGAGAGGGAAGGCTTTCAGCATTTCCCCAATAAGTGTGTTTGCAGAAGGCTTTTAAAATGTGGATACCCTTTATCAGGTTAAAGAAGGTCCTTCTACTCCTTGTTGACTAAAAGTTCTAACCACAATTGGTATGATTTTTATCAAATACTTTTTCTACATCCATTAGATTATTCTGATTTTTCTTCTTTAATCTATATTGTGCTAACTCATATTAATTCATTCTCTAATGTTAAACCTAACTTGCACTCATGAAATAAATCCAACAAGATTATGATTTCTATTATGCTTTCAATATATTGCTGGATTCCATTTGCTAACATTTTGCTTAGGACTTTGACATTCATGTTCAGAAATGAGATTGACTTCTAACTTTTCCTTATCGTGATACCCATGTGTTGCTTTTTCTCTTCTCAGGAAGACTTTATGTGAGATTGTCTTCCTTGAAAGTTTGATTGAAAGCATCTGTAATGCCATTTGGGCCTTGAGCTTGGGTTTCTGGGTTTCGCTTTAAGGAAAGATTTTTGACTACTGATTATTTAGGTTTTCTGTTTTAACTTCTGCATTGTAGGTAGTGATTCCTTCTTGTCATCTTTGAGAATGATTATTTTATGCCTTCTCTTTTGTTTTCATGGTTGGTTTTACCAGAGGCTTGTCGATTGTATTAGCTTTTTCAAAGAACCAGTTTTGTCTTTGTTAATTCTTCTTCTTATATTAATATATTCATTTCTTGTTTCATTAATTTCTATTTTTATCTGTATTATTTCCTTTCTACTTTTATATTTTTGCTGTTTTTGACTTGACAGATGTTTATTTCATTAACTTCTTTTCTATTATGTTAATTGTAAAATTCCCCTTCAAGTACTACTTTATATGTATCTCAGAGTTCTTATAAATAGTATTTTTCATCAGTCATTAAAGTTCAAAATATTTTCTAATATCTGATAGGCGTTCTTGTTTTGGTTTTTTTTTTTTCTTTTTTAGTCAGTCTTGCTCTGTCACCCAGGCTGGAGTGTAGTGATGTCATCATGGCTCACTGCAGCCTTGGCCTCCTATGCTCAAGTGATCCTCACCCTTCAACCTCCCAAGTAGCTGGGACTACAGGCACATGCCACCATGCCCAGCTAACAACTTTTTTTTTCCTTTTTTTTCTTTTATGAGACAGGGTTTCACTCCCGTTGCCCAGGCTGGTATGCTCTCCCAGCCTCAAGCAGTCCTCCTGCCTCAGCCTCCTGAGTAGCTGGGACTAAGGCCACGCCTGGCTAATTTTTGTACTTTTAGTAGAGACAGGGTTTCACTATGTTGCACAGGCTGGTCTTGAACTCCTGACCTCAAGTGATCCACCTGCCTTGACTTCCCAAAGTGCTGGGATTACAGGCATGAGCCACCATACCCAGCCCTTTTTTTTTTTTTTTTTTTTTTTTCTTGAGACAGGGTCTCAGTCTGTCACACAGGCTAGAGTCCAGTGGTGTGATCCTAGCTCACTGCAGTCTCTTAAGTCTTGGGCTCAAGCAGTCCTCCCACCTCCACCTCCCAGGTAGCTGGGATTGCAGGCATGCACCACCATCATGCCTGGCTAATGTTTTTTTATTTTTAGTAGAGACAAGATCTCATTATGTTGCCCAGGCTGGTCTCGATCTTCTAAGCTCAAGCAATCCTCCTGCTTCGGCCTCCCAAAGTTCGGGGATTATAGGAGTGAGCCACTGTGCCTGGCCTTTTGTTTGTTTGTTTTTAATTTTTTGTAGAGATGGGATCTCTCCATGTTGCACAGGCTGGTCTCTAACTCTTGGGTTCAAGGGATCCTCTTGCCTTGGCCTCCCAAAGCATTTGGGTTAGAGGAATGAGCCTCCATACCTGGCCGTGTTTCTTAATTTCCAAACATAAAGGGAAATGTTTACATTTCTGGTTTGCATTTTAAATGGAATTCTAGGTTAATTACCTTGTGGTCAGAATACCTGCTGTCAATGATTTCAATCCTTTGAAATGTGTGAAAGTTAGCAATAAAATGGTCACACGGTTTTGTAACCTGCCTTTTATACTTTGCAACATTGTTGCTTTGGGATTTATTTTTAATTGCCCAGTTCGCTACAAATCCTGAATGGAAATAATTTTGCCTAAAATTCAAAATGATTGACTTTTCGTTTTGGGTTTTTGTTTTGTTTTGTGTTTGGTTTTGTTTTGTTTTTGAGATGGAGTCTCGCTCTGTCGCCCAGGCTAAAGTGCAGTGGCGTGATCTCGGCTCACTGCAACCTCCGTCTCCCAGGTTCAACTGATTCTCTTGCCTCAGCCTTCCAAGTAGCTGGGACTACAGACACACGTCACCATGCCTGGCTAATTTCTGTATTTTTAGCAGAGACGGGGTTTCACTATGTTGGCCAGGCTGGTCTCAAACTCCTGACCTCGTGATCTACCCACCTCAGCCTCCCAAAGTTCTAGGATTTCAGATGTGAGCCACCACGTCCGGCCATGACTGACTTTTTTAATTTGTCAGCATAAAACAGTGAATAAAAATTCTCCAGTGGAAAGTGTACTTGATTTTCCCTTTGACCCGAAATAGCTGCATCATTGCTTTCAGCCCTGCATTGCTGAAATAGATCACCACATGTTTATTCGCTCAAACAGGTCTGTCTTGTTTGGTTATATTACTTTAGCCAAGGTCAGCTACGTTTTTATTAAGCTGGTAAGTAAAGAAAGCCCATCTATTTGCATTGAGAACACTGCATAAAATCTAGCTGATTCTTGGTTTTTCTCTAGGCCCGAGGTATGAAGAAGCAAATCATTGACGACTTCATCACCCGAAACAAATATCTATTGGCAGCCAGGCTCACCAGCCAGAAGTTGTTCCATGAACTCTGCCCTGTGAAACGGTCGCATCGACAGAGGAAGTAAGGACTTAAGGCTTTGCCTCTGCTTGTTATTACAATAGAAGGATCATGATTCATTTTACTATAGGGTGACTAGACATCTGCCCTGTAACATTGAGAACTTATTCTTCATTTAACAAATACTGGGCCGGGCATGGTGGCTCATGCCTGTAATCCCAGCACTTTGGGAGGCCGAGGAGGGCGGATCATCTGAGGTCCGGAGTTCAAGACCAGCCTGACCAACATGGAGAAACCCCATCTCTACTAAAAATACAAAATTAGCCGGGCATGGTGGCTTATGCCTGTAATCCCAGCTACTAGGGAGGCTGAGGCAGGAGAATCACTTGAACCTGGGAGGCAGAGGTTGCGGTGAGCCGAGATCATGCCATTGCACTCCAGCCTGGGCAACAAGAGTGAAACTCTGTCTCAAAAAAAAAAAAAAAAAAAACACTGATTAGTGACTGTGATGGTAATCATACTAATATGATGTATTAGTCCAGGGCACTTTAGCACCAAATTGTCAGATGTGCCAGCCTGTCCTAGTGGTCAGAGAAGATTTCCCTAAGATGTAACATTTCAGCTGAGACCTGAAGGATGAGCACAGTTTAGCCAGGCGTCTGGGATAGACTGGGTCACTTTACAGAAGCACAGAATATGGAAGAGTGACTGTCCCTACTAAAGCATTCCACACAGGGTGAGTCTTTGGAGGTCTTGGGAAGGAGCAAGGATAACAATTAAACAGTAGGGAAGTACAGAGTATTGAGGAAATGGATTGGTGGGAATCGGGAAGGCTAAGTTACATGTATTCAATAAAGTAGGAAGAGTTATTATACAAAGTATCTAAAAAGTCTAGAAATTCAGGGAATGTATTCATTACACCTTCTCAGGTGAATGAATCAGTAGCTTTAAATTTAGGGCTGTTTCATCTGTAAAAGGTATCTGGATATGGAAGGAAAACATATCAATCATGTAACTTGAAAATATAAAACATAATTTCCCTGTGTGTCTAGGCTTTTCAGATTCCTTTATAGTCTTAAGAGCGAAGAAAAAAATGACTTAAATATAAAAAAAGAATATCCTGGACTGTAAGGATTGTTGTTTACACAGCCTTCAAAAAATATCCCAAATCCACACACTTCTCACTTTTTTTAACCACTGCCACCCTGGAACAAGCCACCATCGTCTCCCAGCGAGACCCCCCTGGCAGCCTTCTAACTAGTCTCTCTGCTCCATTCCACTCTTGTACCCTCCAGGCAGATGTCCACACGTCAGCCAATAATGTTTGAAAATGCAAATCAGATCCAGTCACTCCCCATCCTGGGGTCTTTGCACTTGTAGTCTCTCTACCTGGGATGCTCTGACCCCATTTCCTGTCATAACAATGTCACCTTTTCAGTTGGCACTTCCCTGACCAACCTGTCTGATGGAGCCTGGCTTCTACCCACTCTGGCCTCTCTCTGTCCCCTTTTCATCTTTTTTTTTTTTTTTAATATATAGCACTTGTTGATACCTGTCATAATATATCTGTTTTCTGTCTTCCCCACTGGAATATAAGCTCCATGAGGGCAATAATATTGTCTATATTACCTGACATATACTAAGTGCTCAGTAAATATTTTTGGGAGAATGAATAGCTAAACTTTCCATTGGAACCTTGCAAAGGAAGCCGTTCAGAATGAGGCTCAGTGGCCTCTGGCCTGAGAGAGATTTGACCAGCCCTCCCTATACTGGAAGAACTAGGACAAATAGTTTCTAAAAGGCCCTGCCGGCCAGGAACAGTGGCTCACGCCTATAATCCCAGCACTTTGGGGGGCTGAGGCAGGCGGATCACTTGAGGTCAGGAGTTTGAGACCAGCCTGGCCAACATAGTGAAAACCCGTCTCTACTAAAAATACAAAAACTAGTTGGGTGAGGTGGTGCACGCCTATAATCCCAGCTACTTGGGAGGCTGAGGCAGGAGAATGGTTTGAACTCAGGAGGCGGAGTTACAGTGAGCCGAGATCACACCACTACACTCTCCAGCCTGGGCGACAGAGCAAGACTCCATCTCAAAAAATAAAATGAAAGGCCCTGCTGCATCAGAGATTCAGTGACCAACCCCTTAAATTCCTGGCAGGCACGATGGCTCATGCCAGTAATCCCAACACTTTGGGAGCCTGAGGTAGGAGGATTGTCTGAGGCCAGGAGTTCAAGACCAGCCTGGGCAATATAAACAAAACTATATATATATAGTTTTCATATATATAAAATTTCATATATATAAAATTTTAAAATTCGTAAATGTGGTAAAGAAGTTTGGTTTGGGAAAAACATCACAGATTGGGAAGAGAAACAGTTTGTTAATGACTTGGAAATCCTCCCTTAGTTGAAATGTCAGCTTTCACTGGGCACAGTGTATTCACTTCCATAAGATGAGCTCCTCGTCTTCTTCACCTTCACTTGCCATTATAGGTGCTGGCCCTGCCATCAGGGATTGGTTATAAAGTTTTGTCTTTTTGTTGTGCAGGTACTGTGTGGTTTTATTGACTGCTGAGACTACCAAGTTGAGCAAACCCTTTGAGGCTTTCCTGTCCTTTGCCCTGGCAAACACTCAAGACACAGTGAGATTTGTGCATGTCTACAGCAATCGGCAGCAGGAGTTTGCCGACACCTTACTACCAGACAGTGAGGCGTTTCAAGGGAAATCAGCGGTAAGCCACAGAGTCTCTCCTCATCCCAGGCTCTTCATAACCATGTGGCACTTGATTCTGTTTCCTTCTTCCTTGAGAGTGTTGAATACAGATTCTAGGAAATCTGAAACTCTGAAGCCTATTTTCAAAGTCTACTCTTTTGTTTTTCCTTTTTCTTGATTTTTTTTTTTTTCTTTTGAGACAGGGTCTCACTCTGTCTCCCAGGCTGGGAGTGCAGTGACATGATCTCAGCTCATTACAGCCTCGACCTCCCAGGCTCAAGTGATCCTCCCACCTCAGCCTCCCACATAGCTGGGACCACAGGCACACACAACCACGCCTGGCTAATTTTTTGTATTTTTTTGTAGAGATAGGGTTTCGACATGTTGCCCAGGTTGGTCTCAAACTCCCGAGCTCAGGCAATCCTCCCGCCTCCCAAAGTGCTGGGATTACAGGCATGAGCCACTGCTCCTGGCCTAAAGCCTACTCTTAAAACAGTTTTTGACCTGGTCTTTTTACATTCTGGATGTCAGCCTCAGGCCCCCACAGAAACCATGTTTTCTATCAGTGAACGGTAAAGGTCATCAGTGCTTTTCACCAGTTTTTTACTAAGGCAAGTCTGGTCTTGCAGCATCCTAGATCCTAGATTTTACAAATCCTTAGGCCACTGGTAATGTGCTCTGGAAATTTCTGCCCCCCTCTGCCTCTTTAACTTCATCCTGGTTGATCTCTCCTGCCTTTCTCCTGCATTGTCATCACTTCCTACAGAAACAAGAAATTCTCCTCTGACTTTTCATCATTTTCGCAATCATGGAAAATCTCTCTAAAAAACAAAGGTTTCCATTAATATTAAGTCAAGGTTATAGAGCAAAGTCTATTGAGAAAAAAGAGCTTTAACTTTTAACAAAAGCTTAGGAAAGTCACCATAAAAGTTATTTCTTAGGCCGAACGCGGTGGCTCACACCTATAATCCCAGCACTTTGGGAGGCCGAGGCGGGTGGATCACTTGAGGCTAGGAGTTTGAGACCAGCCTAATCAACATGGTGAAACCTCATCTCTACTAAAAATACAAAAATTAGCTGGTGTGGTGCACACCTGTCTGTAGTCCCAACTACTCAGCAGGCTGAGGCACGAGAATTGCTTGAACCTGGGAGGCAGAGGTTGCAGTGAGCCAAGATCGCACCATTGCACTCCAGCCTGGGAGACAAGGGCGAAACTCTGTCTCAAAAAACAAACAACTGGGCCAAGTGTGGTGGCTCACAGCTGTAATCCCAGCACTTTGGGAGGCCAAGGCAGGCAGATCACGAGGTCAGGAGATCGAGACCATCCTGGCTAGCATGGTGAAACCCCATCTCTACTAAAAAAAAAAAAAAAAAAAAAAAAAAATACCAAAAATTAGCCAGGCATGGTGGCAGGTGCCTCTAGTCCCAGCCACTTGGGAAGGCTGAGCCAGGAGAATGGCGTGAACCCGGGAGGCGGAGCTTGCAGTGAGCCAAGATCACGCCACTGCACTCCAGCCTGGGCGACAAAGCAAGACTCCGTCAAAAAAAAAAAAAAAAGCAAACAACTGTAACTTAACCATGCTTTTGAAACTTCTGATGTTTTTTCTCTACTTTTCTTCCAGGTGTCTATTTTAGAAAGGCGCAACACAGCAGGAAGGGTGGTGTATAAAACCCTGGAAGACCCTTGGATTGGGAGTGAGAGTGACAAATTTATCCTCTTGGGCTATCTCGACCAGCTGCGTAAAGATCCAGCTCTTCTGTCCTCTGAAGCAGTGCTTCCTGACCTGACCGATGAACTTGCCCCTGTGAGCATCGGGGCTGGGAAGGGTGGGACACCAGGAGGGCTTGTGAGTACACAGTGCTGGTGGCGGATTTCTGCTCAGAGCAGAGGTCCAGCAGCAGCACTGTGTTGCAGGGTAGAGGGACTCTCCCTTCCGGCTTTAGTCCTGACCATCATCCATTTTCTCTCTACATAGGTTTTTCTCCTTCGATGGTTCTACTCTGCTTCTGACTACATCTCAGACTGCTGGGATAGCATTTTTCACAACAACTGGTAGGGATATTGCCAGGCTGAATTTCTTTTTCTCTGTTAATACTGATATCACTGTTTTTCTTTTGAAAAGAGTTCATCATTATTAAATTTCAAGGTACACTTGATGGGGCAAGTGGAAGAACGTTTACACATTTTCTATTCCCCTTTTTCTTTCTTTCAGTAACTTCCCTTTTTTTTATTTTTTACTTTTTTTTTTTTTGAGACAAAGTCTTGCTCTTGTCCCCCAGGCTCAATCTGGGGATCACTGCAACCTCCGCCTCCCAGGTTCAAGCAATTCTCCTGCCTCAGCCTCCTGAGTAGCTGGGATTACAGGCACCTGTCACCATGCCTGGCTAATTTTTGTATTTTTAGTAGAGATAGGGTTTCACCATGTTGGTCAGGCTGGTCTCAAACTCCTGACCTCAGGTGATCCACCCGCCTCGGCCTCCCAAAGTGCTGGGCTTACAGGTGTGAACCACTGCTCCCGGACATTTTTTATTTTTTATTTTTTTTTGAGACAGAGTCTCACTCTGTCACTCAGACTGGAATGCAGTGGCACGATCTCAGCTCACTGCAACCTCTGCCTCCCAGGTTCAAGCGATTCTCCTGTCTCAGCCTCCCGAGAAGCTGAGATTACAGGCACCCACCACCATGCCCAGCTAATTTTTGTATGTTTAGTAGAGACAGTGTTTCACCATGTTGGTAAGGCTGGTCTCGAACTCCTGACCTCAGGTGATCCACCCACCTCAGCCTCCCAAAGTGCTGGGATTACAGGCGTGTGCCACCATGCCCGGCCACTTCCCTTTTTTTATATTGGCTGACTGACCCTTTCCCACTGGCTAGGAAAGGATCACCCATGGCTGCCATTCTGGGCAGCAGAGCCTGGGACTGTCTCTTCATCAGGGAACCTCTGGTGCCCAGCACAGGGCCTGACACACGTGGAGTCCAGTGTATAGATGTAAAAGGAATGAGTGAATTAACCTCAAGAGGGATACCCACTCCCACCTACTGATGAGACCATGAGCCCCTGAAGGACAGAACCACATCTCATTCGTGTTTGTGATTCCTGGCACCCAACACAGCACCTGACAAATGACAGCCTTTGATGGGTGTTGGTAGGTACATAAAATTTCAGAACACCAGTCCTAGATGAAATCTTGAAAGATCAATTTTATCTCCCTACTCCACCCCTCTGGGCTACATCTGAATTTTTCTGGCCAGAAAAAAATCAGTAAAGTTGAGGAAATAATTCCACAATGTCAGAAAATTCTTCCATGTTTACACCTTAAGTCCTTTATTATCCCTTTTATTGTTTCCTCATGCAGAACTTATTGAGCATAGCCTATTATACTGAGATACAAAATCAAACTTTTAGAATAAGCTGTCTGTGAATTAGAACACTGAGCAATCTCTACCTTCCCCTCCACCACCTCCACCCGCCAAGAAAAGCTCTGTTTGCCTGAAATTAGTAAGCGTTTATTGGTGTGAAGAGTTTTTGGTTTGGGATTTTTATTTTATCTTTTTTTAGCTGGAGAGAAGAAATTTTAACTTGAGCTAATAGTTTGTTAATTTGGTTTTAGGAGGGAAATGATGCCCCTGCTGTCCCTGATCTTCTCTGCCCTCTTCATCCTCTTCGGCACTGTCATCGTTCAGGCTTTCAGGTAAATGTCCTGTGGCTTCTCGGTGCACCACCATGGTTGGTGTTGACACTTTTTTTGTAAAACTCCTTTTTTCTTACTTTAGCGACTCTAATGATGAGCGAGAGTCAAGCCCTCCAGAAAAAGAGGAAGCCCAAGAGAAGACTGGGAAAACTGAGCCAAGCTTCACCAAAGAAAACAGCAGGTTTCTCTAACAAAACACCAGACTCACCTCCCCGGCACCTGCCCCCCAGATCCTGTCATCTGATAACGCAGCATTGGAACATAGAGTGTAGAGAAGAACTCTCATGCACCTCCTCCCATGTAAACTGTGGCTACAGGGAAAAGTCACTGTGATTTGTGTTTACTAAGACCCTGTAGGTGTTTAGATGCCTTAGATTTCATAATGAAGGCAGAAGGAAAGAAGCCTATCAGGCAAGTGTTAGGTGAGCCAGAAGCAGGACGTGGTTTATCCCTGTAAATGTCAATGAACGTAACCAGTCTTGTGCGCACACACACCCAGCAGCAAGAGGCCAGGGTCTCCGAGACAAAGAACATAGACTGAATGATAGTTGTCTTCTTCATTCTGTCCTAGAGCAACTTCTGCACCTGAAAAGCAGCATCAAGCAGGGCACAGTGGCTCACGCCTGTAATCCCAAGACTTTTAGGAGGCCTAGGTGGGAGGATTGCTTGAGCCCAGGGTTTGAGACTAGCTTAGGCAACATGGCAAGACCCTGTCTCTACAAAAAACTTATAAAATTAGCTGGATGTGGTGGCAGGCACCTGTAGTCCCAGCTACTTGGGAGGCTGAGGTAGGAGGATCACTTGAGCCCAGGAGGTCGAGGCTGCAGTGAGCCATGATCATGTCGCTGCACTCAAGCCTGGAAAACAGAGCAAGAACCTATCTCAAAAAGAAAAAGAAAAGCAGCACAGAAAGGCTGTTTGTAGGTCAGGGATTACCAAGTCAGGCCATCCCCATCCTACCAATGTGTTAGACTCAAGAATAGTGAATAACATACCTAGTCTGGTTAGAACATAGCATTTTCTTTCAGCTGTTTCTTTTCAAAGTAACGGCTTTCCCCCTATCCTGACAGCATCTTAACTCCTCAATATTTCTCCACAGCAAGATTCCTAAAAAAGGCTTTGTGGAGGTAACTGAACTCACAGATGTAACATACACCAGTAACTTGGTACGTCTGAGGCCAGGCCACATGAATGTGGTCCTCATCCTGTCGAATTCTACCAAGACCAGCCTACTACAGAAATTTGCTTTGGAGGTCTACACATTTACTGGGTAAGCATGTGTGTGTGTGCATGTATGTATGTGTGTGAGAGAGAGAGAGGCAGGCACACTGAAATTGCACGCTTTTCTCTTTGGTCTTGTGGGGCTTCATCCATACAGCAAGATGCTGGCTGTGACCTTTCCAATCCAGACATCTGAGCCATTGCGACAGGGACCTCTTTTCCCACTTCACTTCGTGTTTTGTTGGTTCTGAACAGAAAAGCTTGAACTCAGTGTTATTCCCTGAGCCCTTTCAGTTACTGTTCTCTAGCCCTTGTGTATTTTCCAGAAGAGCAATGTTAAGTTCCACCGAGCAAGCGATGGGGGAATGGGTGATTGAAGTGTCGCAGCTGCTGGAGAGGCACTGGCTCCCACAGAAGGCCTTCTTTTTCTCTGTGTTCAGGCCCCATCCAACACAAAGCGTTTTCCTATTATTTTAAGTCTCACTGGGGTATTTATTTTCTCAGCAATTAAATGTGTCAGGAAATGCCCTGAGTCCTCAATTCTCTTCTTCCTACAGGAGCAGCTGCCTACACTTCTCCTTCCTGAGTCTAGATAAACACAGAGAATGGCTAGAATACTTACTAGAATTTGCTCAAGATGCAGCTCCAATCCCAAACCAATATGATAAGCATTTCATGGAGCGTGACTACACTGGTTATGTACTGGCTCTGAATGGCCACAAGAAATACTTCTGCCTCTTCAAGCCCCAAAAGACAGTCGAAGAGGAGGAAGCCATAGGGTCGTGCAGTGATGTTGACTCTTCCCTCTACCTGGGTGAATCTCGAGGGAAACCTTCCTGTGGCCTTGGATCCAGGCCCATCAAAGGAAAGTTGAGCAAGCTCTCTTTATGGATGGAACGCCTGCTGGAGGGCTCCTTACAGAGGTTTTATATCCCATCATGGCCTGAACTAGACTGAGAGGATTTTCCAAAGAGATTTGAACTCTTCAGACTTTTTAACATGCCCCTGTGAACAGGTATTTTCAGGACTCAAACTACCACAATGAACAGAGTATAGATTTTAGATTGCTCTTCTAGAACCATGGCTAGAAGAATCTTTCCTTTGTCCTGTTCTAACCTAGGAATGAAAAACACCACCAGTTTGAATCGCCTAGATGAAAATCTTTTCCTCTGGGTGTTATTTTTCCCCACTGAATGCCACACCATTGAAAATAGACTGCTCATCCCCTCTTCCTTTCTTGTCCTTGTCCCATGCTCACCCCACCCTCCTGTCCTGTGTCTTGGAGAAGCACAGGGCTCCACCCTGCAAGCGGCATCTGGCGGACCCTCATGAGCCTGTCGTGCAGGCCAGGTCATTGGCCCCTTCCCCAATCCCGGCCCTGCTGTGCTGCTGCCATGGCGCATGCTCCTAACTCTGAACAACCCACGGCAGCTTCTAGCCCCGCATCTGGAAAAAGGCCCCTTTCCAAGCAATCTCACGTTTACTGGTTGTTCTGGGAGTAAGTGGCTAAATGTATATTTTGGGGGTATCCCCCAACAACAGTTTGTTGGCCACAGGTTGAAAAGGAAAGGAATAAACGGGAGTTCTGCATGTGAGTTCTCAAGAAAAGGAAAGGGAGGCTGAGCAGTGGCTGAAGCGATGCAGCCTTGAGACACGCTGTGAGCATCCCATCCGCCGCCCCAGCGCTGCTGGTAGCCAGGGGAGGGGTCTGCACAGCGAGAAGTACTGTGATGACTTTGAGCCGTTGACATGTATGTCTTCAGATGCCTTTCTGCCTCTGTCGATTTTAGGGTATGGATATTAGGAGCCATAACTTGTAATCTTGTTCTCTGAACGTAGAGATAAGCTGCTATAAAGCCAGTAGATGTTAAACTGAAGAGAAATTATTCCCACCTGCTATGAGTCAGGCTTAAGGAATCTCTTCAATAGTGTCTCTTTAGTAAAATACCAAACATGTCTTTGTATCAAGGAACTTAAAATTTCTCAACAATTGTATTTTGAACACTGTTACCCTAAAAGTGCTGTCTCTTCAAGTCATCTTTTGCAGGAAGTGAGCCAAGATTTGTTCTAGACTCCCATTTTGCAAAAGGCTTACTTTCCACTTCTGGGCTGTATTTTGATGTCTCATCTTCATTGTTTTCACTCTTAACTTAGAGCTGCTTCACCAGTATTGGGGTCAGACTGGCCATCAGCACCTGAGCGTGCTGAGCTCCAGGTATAGTGGACCCCAGGGTGCCTCATACCAGCCAGTTAGAGAGCATACCTTTTATTTTTCAGGGCAGAATGACCAGTGGTTCTGAGTTTGAGTTTGGACAGCTTCAAAGAGTGGTCCGTTCAAATGTCAAAGCAAGGTGCCTTTGGTGGCTTTGTGAAGGGTGAAAATCAGTGATGGGACATTTACTAAGTATTTCTTTTTTTTTTTTTTTTTTTAGTTGTTGAGACAGAGTTTCACTCTTGTTGCCCAGGCTGGAGTGAAATGGTGCGATCTCGGTTCACCGCAACCTCCACATCCCAGGTTCAAGTGATTCTCCTGCCTCAGCCTCCTGAGTAGCTAGGATTACAGGCATGTGCCACCATGTAATTAGCCCGGCTAATTTTGTATTTTTAGTAGAGACGGGATTTCTCCATGTTGATCAGGCTGGTCATGAACTCCTGACCTCAGGTGATCTGCCTGCCTCAGCCTCCCAAAGTGCTGCTGGGATTACAGGCGTGAGCCACCACTCCCGGCTAAGTTAGTATTTCTTTAATCTTAATGCTTTAAACTAAGCCACTTGGATCCTGAATAATTTAAATCTTGAGCTACATTGGTAAGTAATAAATTATTTAAGGCCAGGAATTCCTGTAGTTTTCATGGAGTCTGTAGCTTTATTAAAAAATAAATCACTGCCAGGCTTCATTCTTCCATATGATCCTCTAAAAATGGACACTTCCTCTGAATGCTGTATCTCATGGCACCTGGTCCAACTAGAAATGGTCAAGGAATTCATTTGGCTCCTTGATACATCAGTCCTCAATATTACTTTCTAGGTATTTTATGGCCAGATTGCTTATATGAGTGGTCTTTTGGTTTGGTAGTAGGTTTTTATTTTTAATTTCTGTACTAATGAAATTCCTGACTTTAATTTCTGAAAACCAAAAACTCTCCAAGTGTATTTATTTATATTTTTTTTAATAGAGACGAGGTCTTGCTATGTTGCCCAGGCTGGTCCCAAACTCCTGGCCTCAAGCAGTCCTTCCACCTTGGCCTCCCAAAGTGCTGGGATTATCAATATGAGCCACCATGCCAGATTTGTTCATTTTTAAACATTTTTATCTCTTCAAGTCATCTTTTGATCTTTTAAAAAGCACCTTCAAACAGCTGCACCTTCCATTTGCACTAGGAAATGAAGGTAGTGATGGGATTGGCAATGTTCCTGGCAGATGTTTCAGCCCAAAAGCTCTTCTACAGACCGGTTTAGAGCTGGTGCCCTATGAGAATATTAGGGAGCTTTTATTTTAAATTGAACTTTACCCTTGTCCATGCAAGGCATTCCTCCTGAATGCATCCATGAATTTGTTTACTTTTGCGTCAAACATATGAGCCATTGTCATGCTCAGCCTGTGCCACCATTGCTCTGTCTGATGTATGTAATCATACAAGACCTGATTTTGGTTCTAACACAGTGGTCTTTGACTATCAACATTGATGTTTTTAGAGATGGGTTCTTCTGGTTGATACAGACTATGCATTGCGTTTAGCAGATGGGGTAAAACTGGCCTAAAACAAGTCTTTGCAGAATACATGCCAATTTCCAAAAAAAAAAAAAAATTTGTTGCTCAGGTGTTGCACAATTTTTATCTAACACTGAGGCTATCAGCTCCAACTAAACAACATTTCAGTGGGTGAGGCTGCCCTAACTTCCATTAGGGGCCATGGTCTCACTGCCATCACTTATTAGCCATGAGAATTTGGTTGTAGTTTTCAGGTAGGTTGGTTTCTTCCTCATTTGCAGCTTGTTGATACTTGTTCCTTTTTATTTATTAACATCCCAATCAATTTGCAGCTGCCATCATTACATAAATATTTTTCTGTTATAAAAAGAAGTGTGATCTGTTTTTTTAGTGATTTCCTTTGTTTGGGAATAGAGATTGGAAGCACATACTCAGACCTGTTTTGTTAACTAGAATTCTTTAAAAGCTGATGCCAAACATCTTTACAGAGGAACTGTAGTTCACATCCACCTGTCTGACATTGTCCCCTAAAAACAAGTGCAGTGTGGCAGCTGCTGAATCTGTCTGTTCAGTTTGTCAAGGAGGATAATTATGCTTGGGAGAGATCTGAAAAGAAGGTGAATATTTTGCACTTTTGATACTCTTAGGAACAAATAACTTATTTGGCAAATTGTTTCTTTTTTATGTTTTGGGTGTTGTTTTTGTTTTTTGACTTTTTTTGTATTGTGAACAGGCACTGAAGCTGATGTTATTTTAAGATTACAGAATGGAAAAAGAAATAAACTATTTTAATGTCTGATAATTATGGGGTAGCCCTTGCATTGCAAGATGATGATTTGATTATGGACACATTATCAACAGAATTGAATTTGCATGGAACTCAAGACACGCTTAAGATCACCACAGCATAACTGCAGATTTCAGGAATTACAGTCATAGAGGGTACATCAACTTGAAGAGTAGATTGAGTCTTACAGGAAGTGAGTTACAATAAGTAACATTAAGAGCCCAGCTGCCAGCCTGGCCAACATGGTGAAACCCCGTCTCTACTAAAAATACAAAAATTAGCCGGGCGTGGTGACGCATGACTGTAATTCTAGCTACTCAGGAGGCTGAGGCAGCAGAATTGCTTGAACCCAGGAGGCGGAGATTGCAGTGAGCTAAGATCGGGCCACTGCACTCCAGCCTGGGGGACAGAGCGAGACTCCATCTCAGAAAAAAAAAAAAAAAAAAAAGCCCAGCTGACATTTTCCAGTTTTGTTTTGTTTTCTGGGGTTTTTTTGTTTTGTTTTGTTTTGTTTTGTTTTTTAGTAGAGACGGGGTTTCACCATGTTGGCCAGGCTGGTCTTGAACTCCTGACCTCAGGTGATCCTCCCGCCTAGGCCTGGGATTACAGGCGTGAGCCACTGGGTCCGGCCTGCTTTTTTTTTTTTTTTTTTTTTTTTGGAGACGGAGTCTCACTCTGTCACCCAGGCTGGAGTGTAGTGGCATGACCTCAGCTCACTGCAACCTCCACCTCCCGGGTTCAAGCAATGCCCCTGCCTCAGCTTCCTGAGTAGCTGGGACTATAGGCACGCGCCACCACGCCCAGCTAACTTCTGTATTTTCAGTAGAGATGGGTTTTCACCATGTTGGCCAGGCTGGTCTCGAACTCCTGACCTCAAGTGATCTGCCCACCTCCGCCCCCCAAAGTGCTGGGATTACAGGCATGAGCCACCGTGTCCAGCCTTAGGTTTTCTAGTTTAGAAGACATTTTGTGTACCCTTCTAGGCCTCTGAGCAAGAAGTTTCTTCATTAGGCTCTCCGTGTTACTTTATACTTTTTACTTACGTTCACAGTGGTCCTAAAACCAAGATGCAGCCCTAAGCACCTCATAGGAGAAGCTGTATTTTTTTTTTTTTTTTTTGAGATGGAGTCTTGCTCTGGCACCCAGGCTGGAGTGCAGTGGTGCGATCTCAGCTCACTGCAGCGTCCGAGGAGGAGCTGTAGTTTAAAGGAAGATACTCAATACTCTAGGAAGCAGATCATCAAAATTTTAAAAAGCGGCTGGGTGCGGTGGCTCATGCCTGTAATCCCAGCACTTTAAGGAGGCTGAGGCGGGCGGATCACCTTAGGTCAGGAGTTCAAGACCAGCCTGGCCAATGTGGTGAAACCCTGTCTCTACTAAAAATACAAAAATTAGCCAGGCGTGGTGGCAGGCACCTGTAATCCCAGGTACTCAGGAGGCTGAGGCAGGAGAATCGATTGAACTCGGGAGGCGGAGGTTGCAATGAACCGAGATCATGCCATTGCACTCCAGCCTGGGTGACAAGCAAAACTCTATCTCAAAAAAAAAAATGTTTAAAAGGAAGATATAGAAATATGGAATGCTTATACAGTATTATTTCATAGTTTTTTTAAATGTCATGTTTCTAATGTTTAGATAATCTTGAAAGAAATTCTCCTCACTTCCCCTTTATCCTCCATCTTTCATCAAAGGAAAAAAAATCAAAGCAGTACAAGTACTCCTTTTTTTTTCCCCCAATTAATCCAAGTTCCTTAGAAATGTTGCTGTTTGGGTGAGAATTCTACTGATTATCCCGACTTCACAGCCAGCAATGACACTTTCAGCAGAAAGTTTTCTTGGCATAAACTCTTTAGTTCTCAGACTGCTTACTCATAAGTTCTTCTTGAGAACTTGTCAGCGACGCAATCTGTTTTGTCTTGAAGAGCACAAGACTCAGACGGTTGTCACTTTGGGGAGAGCACATAGCATCTCAAACAGCAGGTTAGCCGCCAGCAGGGCTGTGTTCCCTAAGAAAAAGTAAAACCTCACATGAATACCCTGCAGACGACCCGCTGAGCCAAGCCTTGGGACTCCTCAGCTTTCTCTTCCCCTTGTGCCTCCTTTTCCAGAGCCCTGTCTTGTGCACCCCTCTAGGGTGCCCGCCAGCTGTGAACACGCTTGCCCAGGCTCTCTGCCTCCATCAAGCATCATTTGGGAATCATATTTTAAAATTCAGAAAGTTCTTTGTTTACTCTGAGAACAGATTTTTCCCAAAGGAGAACCTATAATAATGATGTGTACTGTATTATCTATCCTCTGAGGTCGATAGGCCTAATTCCATAAGTTTGTCTACATTAAAATTATTGGGATGGCGTCTGCTTTGAAGATCTTAACCAGCTAAGTTCCTATTTGATAAATATTAACATATATTATTTATGCTTTAGAATTCACTTTGCAATGAAACATCAAAGGAGACGGGGATTGGGCCACCCTGTCACTAGACTACAGGCTGGTTTCTTTCTCTTCTGCTGATTGGTGGGCAAGCTAATGATACTTAACTACCTCCTGGGGGTTTTGTTAGGGTTAATGAGCTCATGTTTGTAAGGTGTGCAGTAATAGGTGTGTTTTCTTCACCATTGGACATGCTCAGCTGCTTCCCCAAGTCATATAAGGGACTCATCTTTTTTTTTTTTTTTTTGAGATGGAGTCTCGCTCTGTCACCCAGGCTGGAGTGCAGTGGCGCAATCTCAGCTCACTGCAACCTCCGCCTCCTAGGTTCTAAGCGATTCTCCTGCCTTAGCCTCCTGAGTACCTGGGATTACAGGTGTGTGCCACCACACCTGGCTAATTTTTATATCTTTAGAGAGATGGGGTTTCGCCATGTTGGCCAAATTGGTCTTGAACTCCTGACCTCAGGTGAGCTGCCCACCTTGGCCTCCCAAAGTGCTGGGATTACAGGCTTGGGCCACCATGCCTGGCCCCATTTTCTACTTATTAACTAGCTTCGTGTAATTTAAGCTACCGGCTGCCCATGGATCTCAGTCTCTTTGCTTACTCACCAGAAAGATCATACGGTGGTGAAACTTCGACAAGATCACAGCCCATCACGTTCAGGCCTTGACAACCCCTGATGATCTCCAGAGCCTATTCAAGATCAAGACTGAGTTGTCCACAGTGGTAATCATTTACAGTGAAAAGCACCCAGTAGAGCTTTTCCCAGCCCACGCCACCCTTTGACTTGGAATTGGCTTTCCCTCCATAAACATTTGTTGACTGCCAGGCACACTGGCAGGCCTCCCAGAGAAACAGATAATGCGTACACAGTCCCTGCTCCTCAGGGCTGCATGGTGTGGTGATGGAGACAAGGAAACCAATCGTTTCAATGTCATGCACCAAGGGCTTCAAGGAAAGCAAGCCCAGAATGGTATCAGCATAGGTAATAGCCTGGAGAGGTGGGTAAGGCTTCCCCAAGGTGGAAATACCCAGTTCAAGGGATAGGCCAGGCAGAGGGAAAAACACAGGCAAAGGCACCAAGATGGGAAAAGTTCAGGTAGTAAGATGTGGCCAGAAGACAGAGTAAGTGAGGGAGACTGATGGGAAGAGAGTGACCTTGTCTGAAAGGGTTCCCATCCTGCAGGTGAAAAGCCCAGAAGGTTGCTAAGCAGAGGGATGAGGAATGTGTTTCAGAAATCCCTCATGAGAAGAGAGGATGGTTACAGCCATTTCAAGAGAGAGAGTTATGGCCACCCTCCTTTAAGATCTTAGAGGATGTAAGGTACTTGATTAGGTTTAAGCAGTCTTCATTCATTTACTCTCAAATGTCTTTGAGTGCCTACTATTTGTATTAGGCACTGTCCTAGGCTCCAAGGACAAGGTAGGGAACAATACATAGGTCCTGCCCTTGGGGAGATTCTAGTCATAACCATTCTGCCCCCGTGCATTTACTCCCAGCACACATTATTGGAGCTTTATTTGGGTGTTTCTAAAACTCTTGAGCTTACCTTGGCAGGTAATTGTGCCATCACATGCACTTTTATTTATTTATTTATTTATTTATTTATTTATTTATTTATTTTTGAGACAGGGTCTCTGTCACCCGGGCTATAGTGCAGTGGTATGATCACGGCTCACTGAAGGCTTGACCTGCCAGGCTCAGTTGATCCTCCTGCCCCAGCCTCCCTAGTAGCTGGGACTACAGGTGCACACTAGCACACCAGACTAATTTTTATTTTTATTTTTAGTAAAGATGGGATCTCACTATGTTGCCCAGGCTGGGCTGAAACTCCTGGGCTCAAACGATCCATCCACCCTGGCCTCCCAAAGTGCTGAGGATAGTGCCTGAGCCACCGCGCCTGGCCCGTTGTATGCACTTTTATTTAAATTTAACCCTAAAAAGATAAGTTTAGTGTTTTTGTTTGTTTTGAGATGGAGTTTCACTCTTGTTGCCCAGACTGGAGTGCAATATCATGATCTCGGCTCACCACAACCTCAGCCTCCCAGGTTCAAGTGATTCCCCTGCCTCAGCCTCCCGAGTAGCTGGGATTACAGGCATGCGCCACCATGCCCGGCTAATTTTGTATTTTTAGTAGAAATGGGGTTTCTCCATGTTAGGCTGGTCTCAAACTCCCTACCTCAGGTGAACCACCCGCCTGATGCCTTGGCCTCCCAAAGTGCTGGGATTACAGGTGTGAGCCACTGCGCCCGGCCAAGTTTAGTGTTTTTGTTTGGTTGGTTGGTTGGTTTTTTTTTTGAGGTGGAGTCTTGCTCTGTTGCCCAGGCTGGAGTACAGTGGCACGATCTCAGCTCACTGCAACCTCCGCCTCCAGGGTTCAAGCAATTCTCCTGCCTCAGCCTCCCAAGTAGCTGGGATTACAGACGCCTGCCACCGTGCCGGGCTGATTTTTGTACTTTTAGTAGAGACAGGGTTTCACCATCTTGGCTAGGCTGGTCTCGAACTCCTGACCTTGTGATCCACCCGCCTCGGCCTCCCAGAGTGCTGGGATTCCAGGCGTGAGCCACGACACCTGGCCAAGTTTAGTGTTCTTTTTTTTTTTTTTTTTTTTTTTTTTTGAGATGGAGTTTCACTCTTTCGCCCAGGCCAGACTGCAGTGGTTCTATCTCGGCTCACTGCAAGCTCTGCCTCCCGGGTTCATGCCATTCTCCTGCCTCAGCCTCCTGAGTAGCTGAGATTACAGGCACCCGCCACCGCGCCCGGCTAATTTTTTTGTATTTTTAGTAGAGACGGAGTTTCACCGTGTTAGCCAAGATGGTCTCGATCTCCTGACCTCGTGATCCACCCACCTCAGCCTCCCAAAGTGCTGGGATTATAGACGTGAGCCACCGTGCCCGGCCAAGTTTAGTGTTCTTAAGAGAGGATACTATAATGTTGTTCCTATGAACTGTTGTTTTCATGACAGATGAACTGAAGGCAGGAAGAGCAAATAAAGGACAAAATAAGGGACTATTATATCCCAGATAGGAAATGAAGGCCCTTGCCAAAATCAATCACCCTTCAGTAAGAGGGTATTCAAACTTATCCTCAGCCCAGAGAACAGAAAAGGCCTAGGTGCTCTGCTCTTAAAATCCTACCTTGGCAGCCAGGCGCGGTGGCTGACACCCGTAATCCCAGCACTTTGGGAAGCCGAGGTGAGTGGATCACGAGATCAGGAGTTCAAGACCAGCCTGACCAACATGGTGAAACCCCATCTCTACTAAAAATACAAAAATTAGCCGGGCGTAGTGGCATGTGCCTGTAATCTCAGCTACTCAGGAGGCTGAGGCAGGAGAATCGCTTGAACCTGGGAGGCGGAGGTTGCAGTGAGCCGAGATCGCACCACTGCACTCCAGCCTGGGCGACAGAGTGAGACTCCGTCTCAAACAAACAAACAAAAATCCTATCCTGATTCCTAAAGATTCGCTTCAAGTCCCAGGAAAATGGGTGTTAAGTGTCTCCACCCCCAGGATCTTCACTGGTGGAATCTCCTTACCTGACTAGGAGTGAGACCAGCAATTTCAGGTGTCCCTGTCCCTGGCGCATAGGCAGGATCCAGAGCGTCAATATCAAAGCTGATATAAATGGGTTTGCCTCCCATCTGCTGCCTGACTTCCCCCATCAGAGGAACCAGCGACTTCATCCAGCAGTCTTCAGCCAGGACTACCCGGAAGCCCTGCAGAGACAGGGACTGAGGTTTCTGTCTGGCAGCATTTACAGGGCATTTCCTGTTTGCCAGCCCCATGCTCAGCTCTGTGTGCACATGACACTTGACCCTCCATCTCCATGAAGAGGGAACTATCCTATTTTACAGGTGAGGAAGGGAGGGACAATGAGTGGTAAGGAAGCAGGGTCAAAGCTGACTGATGGAGTTGGAATCAGAGAGAAGCTTTGCTAAAGCAAGAGTGGGAAACAGCAGCTCACGCTAGCACCTTTTGAATTGCTCTGTCCAGAAGACTGGCCTTGGCACGCTCTAAAAGCAAGGGATTTGGGTCTGTTCCATTGGGGTCTTGTCATACACGTCTATCTGAGAGCCATTCTGCCTAGAGGGTACGAGGACCAGAACTAAGAAGGTGGCAACTCATCTTGGGTCCGGACTTCCTCCCCTCTTTTTTTTTTCTTTTGAGATGGAGTCTCACTTTGTCACCTAGGCTAGAGTGCAGTGGCGCGATCTCAGCTCACTGCAACCTCCACCTCCCACGTTCAAGCAATTCTCCTGCCTCAGTCTCCCGAGTAGCTGGGATTACAGGTGCGCACCGCCACACCTGGCTAATTTTTGTATTTTTAGGAGAGACGGGGTTTCACCATGTTGGCCAGGCTGGTCTCGAACTCCTGACCTCAGGTGATCCACCCACCTTAGCCTCCCAAAGTGCTGGGATTACAGGTGTGAGCCACTGTGCCCGGCCTCCTCCCCTCTTCTAAGCCAGCACCGTCCGAGGGGTTGGTCGATTTCTGCTTGTCTCCCCCGCCCAGCGATAGACTTCCCATGGCCCATAAACCAACTTCCTCACTCCTATGCTCCTTATGCCCCTGATGATGCAAACTCAGCCTTGTATCCCTGCTTCAGACTTGATTAGTAAAGCCCCCGCTCAATCCCTGGCTGCCACTGGTGAGGCAACGGAGAGGAAGACATTTTGAGGGGCAAGGGTGGGGGGCATTCGGTCTGTCACCTGGCTCCGGTTGTATCTGTAGGGATCCAAGGTCGTGGAAGAGCCCCGGATGCCAATCTGCACCACACGCTTACAGTCCAGGAGACCCTCATCCACACACCGGCGGAAGGGCGCCCCGTGGTAGAGCTTCTCTCCTAGGGCCTTGTCGGTCGTGTCCGTGTGCGCATCCACGTGCAGCAGCCCCACTGGGCCATGCCTGATGACAACAGGGCAGCTCAGAGGCCAACCCTCCCTGTGGGGCCCTAGCACAGCCACCCTTCGGGCCACCAAAACTTGGTGACAATTCACAGCCAAAAAGGGGAGACCTGGCATCCGTTTTCTGCCTTGCAACTGGTTCCTGTCTTCTTGAGATCACTTTGCATCTCAGAGGAACAATAAACTCACAGAAGTCAGGCAGGAAATAGACATGTTTTGGCTGCCACCCACACCTATCACCCAGAATTTGCTTCACTTAGAGACAGGATGAGAATCAAGGGTGGTGGCACAGGGGAGCTTGGCTGAAGGCTTAACTAAACCAAGACACACCCTTTCTCCAACCGAGGAAGAGGAAGCTTTAATCCAGCTCTCTCCATAACCTCCATCAACCCCTGCCAGCCACCCAAAATAAACATCTGATCCAAATCCGTGAGGAATAAATGCAGCTTTGAGCAAAGACCTGCACCCTCCCACCTCCAACCAGAATGCCACCCACATGTGCTTCCACAGACACATTCTGGAGCTGCCACCCTCCACCCGGGTCCTTCTGTCTCTTTCTCAAACTAAATTAGCCAAAGTCGGCCAATCCTGGGTAGACTTCCACTACTGGCAAATCAGTCTTTTGATTGAGAAAGGTGCCCTTTCAGGAGGAAACAAGGGCCTCTCAGCAAGGTCCACCATTGTGCCTGTCAGTGTTTGTTTTTGGCCATTGAAGCAAAACAGAAACTGAAGTTAACTGAGGTTGTGTATTTCACTAGAGGCTCATCTTCCAAAAACAGAAGCAAGTTGAAAATGCTGAGCACACATACCAGGAGAGATCTAGGGCAAGGGAGGGTGGCCAGAACTGTTAATAATAAATTGTCTTGGCTTCTAGCTGCTGACTGACAGAGACACCTGGAGCTCAACCTTAATTTTGATCCCCAGAAGCAGCTCATAACCTGAGCCAGCAGCAGTCACCTAATGCCACCAAACAGCAAATAACTCATTCCCTAGCTTCTGGCTTTTGAAATCTTGCTGGGCCCAAGCCATTTGAGACTTACTTTTTTGCCATCGCTTGCAATATGGGATATGTGATTGTGTGATCTCCACCTGCAAAGAGGAAGAAGAAAACATCTGGAAAGTGAATTGGAGGATTACATAGAATAATCTTTTTTTTTTTTTTTTTTTTTTGAGATGTAGTTTTGCTCTGTTGTCCAGGCTGGAGTTCAATGGCACAATCTCGGCTCACTGCAACCTCTGCCTCCCAGGTTCAAGCGATTCTCCTGCCTCAGCCTCCCGAGTAGCTGGGATTACAGGTGTGTACCACCATACCTGGCTAATTTTGTATTTTTAGTAGAGACGGAGTTTCACCATGTTGGTCAGACTGGTCTCAAACTCCTGACCTCAAGTGATCCACTCGCCTTGGCCTCCCAAAGTGCTAGGATTACAGGCATGAGCCACCATGCCCAGCTGAATAATCTTAACTCAATTTTCACCCTTTCAGCCTGGGGGGAGTTATAACCACAGCTACAGTAAGATCTTATAGAATGGCAGGATGCTGAATGAGCCTGGGAGGTCAAGGCTGCAGTAAGCTGTGATCGTGCCACTGCACTCCAACCTGGGCGACAGAGTAAGACACTATCTCAAAAAAATGAATAGCTTGCTGGGCACGGTGGCTCATGCCTGTAATCCCAGCAGTTTGGGAGGCCAAGGCGGGCAGGTCACCTGATGTTGGGAGTTCAAGACCAGCCTGACCAACATGGAGAAACCCCGTCTCTACTGAAAATACAAAATTAGCCGGGCATGGTAGCGCATGCCTGTAATCCCGGCTACTCTGGAGGCTGAGGCAGGAGAATCACTTGAACCCAGGAAGCGGAGGTTGCGGTGAGCCAAGATCGCGCCACTGCACTCCAGCCTAGGCAACAAGGGTGAAACTCCATCTCAAAAAATAAAATAAAATAAATAAATAAATAGCTTGAGCCTAGAAGTTTGAGACCAGCCTGGGCAACACAGCAAGACCACGTCTCTAAAAAATAAAAATAAAAATAGACCAGGCGCAGTGGCTCACACCTTGGGAGGCCAAGACAAGCAGATCGCCTGAGCCCAGGAATTCAAGGTCCACCTGGGTAATACATTAAGACCCCGTCTTTGCAAAAAATACAAAAATTAGCTGGGCATGGTGACAAACGCCTGTAGACCCAGCTACTCGGGAGGCTGGAGTGGAAGGATCACCTGAGCCCAGGGAGGGCAAGGTTGCAGCGAGCCATGTCGGCACCACTGCACTCCAGCCTGGGTGACAGAGTGAGACCGTGTCTCAAAAATAAATAAATAAAAGAGGAAATTAGACAAGTTAAGAGCTACTCTAGGAATTGCCTTTTCACAGTATTCTAGGAAAATGCCTAGAATAGCTCTGTTCAATAGAACCTTCTATGATGATGACAATGTTCTATCTGCACTGGCCCATATGGTAGCCACTATCCACATGTGACACACATGTGACATACATGTAGCTAATATGACTTAAGAAACTGAATATTTTATTTTAATTAATTTGAATTTAGGCCGGGCGTGGTGGCTCACGCCTGTAATCCCAGCATTTTGGGAAGCTGAGGCGGCGGATCACCTGAGGTCAGGAGTTCGAGACCAGCCTTGCCAACATGTTGAAACCCTATTTCTACTAAAAATGCAACAAATTAGCTGGGCGTGGTGGCACGCGCCTGTAATCCCAGCTATTCAGGAGGCTGAGGCAGGAGAATCACTTGGACCCAGGAGGCGGAGGTTGCCGTGAGCCAAGCGGGACAACAAGAGCAAAACTCTGTCTCAAAAAAAAAAAGAATTTAAGTAGCCACATGTGGCTAGTGGCTACCTTACTGGACAGCACAGACCTAGGAAAGTATTCTTTCTGATAATAATAACAGTTAACATTTATTGAAGCTTCAGATATGCCATGCATAGGTCGGGCGCAATGGCTCACGCCTGTAATCCCAACACTTTGGAAGGCCGAGGTGGGCAGATCACCTGAGGTCAGGAGTTCGAGACCAGCCTGACCAATATGATGAAACCCCGTCTCTACTAAAAATATAAAAATTAGCCGGGCATGCTGGCGGGCGCCTATAATCCCAGCTATTCAGGAGGCTGAGACAGAATTGCTTGAACCCGGGAGGCGGAGGTTGCAGTGAGCCGAGATCGTGCCATTGCACTCCAGCCTGGGCAACAAGAGTGAAATTCTGTCTCAAAAAAAAAGAAAAAAAAAAAAGATATGCCATGCTTGATGCTGGGCATTTCATGTGCACTTTCATTATATGCCCCTCACATCATGCAGTGAGTAGGTGTTACTGTGATCATTCCCATCTTACAGGTGAGGGTGTGAAGCATCAAGCACGGTATACAGCAACATTGCTAGGGAGAAGTGCAGCTGAGACTTCAAACCATGCCATCGGGAAACCACACTCCTCCCACTATGCCATGCAGGCTAGGCTCTCTAACTTGGCAAAAATGAATTTGGATATTTAGGAAAAGATCCCTGTCATTTTAAGTATTTGTGAACAAGAGAAAAAGTGAGAGTGGGTCAGGGGTGAGGATAAGGGGAAAGCTGCCCTATAGGTTGATGTAGACCCTGAGCAGGACAAAAACACCCTCTTTGCAGTTCTCCTCGCAAATAAAGTCATTAGAAACATCATCTTGGCCAGGCGCGGTGGCTCATGCCTGTAACCCCAGCACTTTGGGAGGCCAAGGTGGGCGGATCACTTGAGGTCAGGAGTTCAAGACCAGCCTGGCCAACATGGCAAAACCCCGACTCTACCAAAAATACAAAAATTAGCCAGGCATGGTGGTGGGCGCCTGTAATCCCAGCTACTTGGGAGGCTGAGGCAGGAGAATTGCTTGAACCCAGGAAGTGGAGGTTGCAATGTGCCGAGATTGCACCACTGCACTCCAGTCTGGGTAACAGAGTGAGACTGTCTCACACACACACATACACACACACGTGAAATATTCTCTCCCCAGGGATTAAAATAAATGAATTACAATGCTCTCTTTCCTACTGTCTGCACATTTGCAGTGGCTTGCAGGGGAGAAGTAGCTGTACTCAAGCCCCTGAGTACAGGATAAGTAAACCCTGAGTGCAGGGAACTACTCTGGCTCTTGCAGACTGACATTACCCAAGGTCAGAGGAATACAGCCAGCTGCTACAATTTTCTCATAGGCCTCTTGAATTCGCCGGCAGCTGTCCTGAAGGTTGTAAAGATTGACATTCACATCGCCTAGGTCTGCAACCATGAGGGACTGGAAGGGGAGGGCCCCCGTGCTAGGATTGACTGTCCCAAGCATCACTGATTCTTCCCGGATGCGGCGAGGTCCGAATCTGCAGAAGGAAGAATCATCCTGTCAGCCATCATCTGCAGAGATTTCAGGCTTTGCTTAGGCCAGGGCTTCTCAGCCTCAGCAATTTGGGGCCAGATGATTCCGTGTCGCGGCATTGCATAATGGAATGCTTAGCAGCATCCCGGCCTGTACTCACTAGGTGCCAGTAGCACCCTTCCTCCAAGGTGTAACAACCCAAAACGCCTCCAGATACTGCCAAATGTCCCCGGAGTGCAAAACCGCCCCACTTGAGAATCACCGATCTAGGCTATGTATCGAAGAGACTAAATAAGTGTACTAAATGGCATTAGTGAATTTCATGATCTACCTGAGTCTCAGTTTCCTAATTTGTAAAATATTTACCTTGCACTGTAGTAAAAATTAAATGAGGTAATCTATGCAAAGCACCTTGCACTTAGGAGACATTTAATAAGTGCTGGCTTTCATAATTCAGATCAGTACGGTCAGATATAGTGTTGCTGAGCTGAATCAGAAATTGCTGACGTTCAATAACTAGGAAGATGAATTTTGCTTCCTCCGACTTGATCCTAGGAAAATTGCCTTCATTTGAGCATTTCTTGAGTCAGGTGACATCTTCAGATTTGGGGAAGGGGCAGCCAGTTTCTGCTCTCAAATGCAATGTCACCTGCCACTGTAAGCTGGGGAGAGGAGAGGGGAGGAATCCACAGCAGCCATCCCAGCAAGGCCCCAGGATGGGGACACAGAGAAGGTTCAGGCTCCAGAATCCCTTCTTTTTTCTTTTTTTGAGACGGAGTCTCACTCTGTTGCCCAGGCTGGAGCGCAGTGGCGCAATCTCAGCTCACTGCAACCTCCGTCTCCCGGGTTCAAGCGATTCTCCTGCCTCAGCCTCCCGAGTAGCTGGGATTACAGGCCCGCGCCACCATGCCCGGCTTTTTTTTTCTTTTTTTTGTACCTTTGTAGAGACAGAGTTTCACCATGTTGGTCAGGATGGTCTCGAACTCCTGACCTCGTGATCCGCCCGCCTCAGCCTCCCAAAGTGCTGGGATTACAGGCATGAGCCACCGGGCCGGCCAAAATCCCTTCTTGACCAATGATGACACTAAGATGTGGGAGGCCACGCCCATGTTGAGCCCTGGGGTTTGCTTATTGAGGGTCCAGGTAAATCAACCATCTCAAACCATAAGGGGCATTTTGGAGCCGGCCACCAGCTTCCAACTCGACCCGGGGCCAGCAGGGGCGCCTGTCTCGGTGCTTTCCATGCCCGACAGCCAGCAAGCAGTCCCTCCACGTGTACCCGGCCCCCGTCCTTCCGGCCTTACCTCGCCCCAGGCCGGTTGGAGGTCCCAGTATCCAGGGGCACCCCGATGAAGGCAGCGTCCAGCCCCTCGGGGGAGGTCTGCACCGGCAGGCGCATCATGGAGCAGACGCCCACCGGCCGGGCCACGAACTCGGGGCTGGGGGGCTGGTTCCGGGGCGCGTCGGAAGCCTGGCGGCTCTGGCGGCGCCCCGGATGAAAGAGCCCTGCGGCAGGACGCGCGCCCACGCCGGGCCCCGGGCCCCGGGCGCACCCGGACGCCAGCAGCCTCAGCATTGCCGCGCGCGGCCAAGACCTCACCGACCAAACCGCCCGCGAGGCCGCCGCGATCTGGCTGGTCCCGAACGGCGAGGCGAGTGTGCACGCGCCAGAGCCGGAACCCGAGCCGGCTCAAAGGTCAGGGGCGCCCTAGGATCAAGGCGGGGGAGGGGCCCCAGGACCTGCCGTGCTCTCCCCTCAACCCCTCTGGACTTCAGCCTCTGGCAAATAGAGTCAGGCTGGGGGTGCCCACTGGCCGGCACTGTGCCAGGGGTGTCTGCGCCCTGCTCCCCACTGTGGCCTTCAGCAGCCTCTTCTCCCATTCAGAGTAATTGTTTGTTTTTATAGAGACGGTCTCACTGTGTTGCCCAGACTGGTCTCCAACTTCTGGACTCAAGTGATTCTCCCACCTTGGCCTCCCAAAGTGCTGGGATTACAGGTGTGAGCCACAGCAGCCACCCCAGAGTAATATTTTTAAAGCCAGAAAGATATGAAGGAAAATGATCTTTCTCTAAGCCAGAAAAATAGGAAATGCATTTTTTTAAATAATGTATTTTTAAATGTCCAGGGATAGGAATCTCAAGAAGCAGTAAAGTTAGTTAGCTACTTAGCTAGCTAGCTAGTTATTTTGAGACAGGGTCTTGCTGTGTTGCTCAGGCTGGAGTGCAGTGGCACAATCATAGCTCACTGCAGCCTCAAACTGCTGGGCTCAAGCAATCGTCTCACCTCAGCCTCCCGAGTAGTTGGGACTACAAGCGTGAGCCATCGCGCCTGGCCAGTAAAGTCTTTTTAAATAACCTTGTTAAAAAAGGACTAGAGGCCAGGGGCGGTGGCTCACGCCTGTAATCCCAGCACTTTGGGAGGCTGAGGCGGGCGGATCACGAGGTCAGGAGATCGAGACCATCCTGGCTAACACGGTGAAACCCCATCTCTACTAAAAGTACAAAAATTTAGCCGGGCATGGTGGCAGGTGCCTGTAGTCCCAGCTACTTGGGAGGCTGAGGCAGGAGAATGGCATGAACCCGGGAGGCGGAGCTTGCAGTGAGCTGAGATCAGGCCACTGCACTCCAGCCTGGGCAACAGAGCAAGACTCCGTCTCAAAAATAAATAAATAAATAAATAAATAAATAAATAAATAAATAAAGGACTTACAGGCAAGCTGTAAGGAAGGTCACAGTGCCAGAGAACCTGTTACATCCTCTTTATTTCTAAGGGGAAAGAAAAACACACGTGGAAAGAAAGAAGTGATTTGTAATGGAATTATGTGAGCCATTTAGCAGTATTATATATATTATTTTTTCTGATCTCTAAATGTTGAGATTGAATGGAAAAGGCTCACATTTGCATTTACGTTGCAACCTCTACACAAAGGTTGCACATTAGGCCAGGCGCGGTGGCTCACACCTGTAATCCCAGCACTTTGGGAGGCCGAGGTGGGCGGATCATGAGGTCAGGAGATGAGACCATCTTGGCTAACATGGTGAAACCCCATCTCTACTAAAAATACAAAAAATTAGCCAGGCGTGGTGGTGGGCACCTGTAGTACCAGCTACTCGGGAGCCTGAGGCGGGAGAATGACGTGAACCCGGGAGGGTGGAGTTTGCAGTGAGCCAAGATCGCGCCACTGCACTCCAGCCTGGGCAACACAGCAAGACTCTGTCAAAAAAAAAAAAAAAGGTTGCACATTAAACCCCACACCACTCCAGCCTCCACTCTGGAGTGGAGCCTCCACTCTGCAGGTCGGGACAGAGTTTCCTAATGGTCAATTATCAGTGCTTAGTGTTGGCCTTGGGGCAGGTCCCAGCCATTTTCTGGAACAAATGCAACAATCTCTCAGTTATTTTTTCCTTTTTTTCTCCCTTATGCCACTTAAAGGGTCTCAGTTATTCTCTTGACTCCCAAATTCAACTGCTATTTCTTTCATGTTGCTTGTCCTGAATGTATCATGTTCTTACTCCGGGTTTTTCTTTCATTCAGCTCACAAATATTGAGTGTCCGCTATGTGCCAGGCGTTCCAATGAGGTGTCCCCAACATCCACTACTGCTGAGCACCCTCTCTCCTTGAAACGTTCCTCAGGCGGCCTCTTGACTGGGACTCCCCTGGTCTCCTTCCACCTTCGTGGCTCCTTCTCGGCTGGCAATCCCTTTTAATACGGAGGTGATGACTTTCACCCATAGGCAGGTCAACCACAAGCCCAAATCCCAGCCCTGAGCTCCAGGCGACCAATTTCTAACCCTGACCTGGATGCTTGACAGCACCTGGGGTGGGCTGCAAGTTCAGCCAGCGACTTTCCACCTCCCTGTCTCTGATCCTGCTCTACGCCCCCAAATTTAAGAAGTCCTGATGGTTTCCTGCCCCCAAGCCTTCTGCTCATTTCCTCTGCTGTTACTCTGGTCCAGGCCTTCCCACCCCAGCTTTCCAGCTGATCTCACTCTCACTAGTATCACCATACATATGCCTGCCCGGTAATGCTTCCTGGAGCCAATTCTTCCTGTGTTTCCCCTTCTGCAGCTCCACGGGCTTGTTCCTCCAGCCCATGGTCAGCTGCCTCAGCCCCCACTTTCTTGCCTCCTTTCCTTTGTTCATGCTTTTCTGTCTGCCTGCAGTGCTCCACCCCAGCCCTCAGCTCCACATGTCCAATGTTCAGTAGAAGCCCACCCTCAAAAGACCCTGAACTTTTTTTTTTTTTAAGGGAGATAGAAGTCTCGCTCTGTCATGAAGGCTGTGGTGCTGTGGTACAGTCATAGCTCACTGCAGCCTCCACCCCCTGGGCTTGAGCAATCCTTCTGCCTCAGCCTCCCAAGTAGCTAGGACTACAGGTGCACACAACTATGCCCAGCTAATTTTTGTATTTTTTGTAGAAATAGGGTCTCACTGGGTGCGGTGCCTCATGCCCGTAATCCTAGCACTTTGTGAGACCAAGGCAGGCACATGGCTTGAGTCCAGGAGCTTGAGACCAGCCTGGCCAACATGGGGAAATCCTGTCTCTACAAAGAATACAAAAGTTAGCCAAGACTGGTGGTGCACACCTGTGGTCCCAGTGTATCGAATTGGTGGGTTCTTTGTCTCGCTGACTTCAAGAATGAAGCCACAGACCCTCGCGGTGTTACAGTTCTTAAAGATAGTGTGTCCGGAGTTTGTTCCTTCAGATGTTCAGATGTGTCCGAAGTTTCTTCCTTCTGCTAGGTTCGTGGTCTACGCTGACTTCAGGAGTGAAGCTGCAGACCTTTGCAGTGTTACAGCTCTTAAAGGCGGCGCGTCTGGAGTTGTTCGTTCCTTCACGGTGGGTTCGTGGTCTCGCTGGCCTCAGGAGTGAAGCTGCAGACCTTTGCGGTGAGTGCTACAGTTCGTAAAAGTGGCGCGTCCAGAGTTGCTGTCCCTCCCAGTGGGTTCGTGGTCTCGCTGGCTTTAGGAGCGAAGCTGCAAAACTTCACGGTGAGTGTCACAGCTCATGAAGGCGGCACAGACCCAAAGAGTGAGCAGCAGCAAGAGCTATTGCAAAGAGCAGAAGAACAAGGTTTACAAACAACGTTTCCACAATTTGGAAGACTCCCCGACCAGCTTGGTGCCGCTGGTTCCGGCAGCCTGCTTTTATTCCCTTATCTGGCCCCACCCACATCCTGCTGATTGGTCCATTTTACAGAAAGCTGATTGGTCTGTTTAGACAGAGTGCTGATTGGTGCGTTTACAAACCTTTAGCTAGACACAGAGTGCTCATTGGTGCATTTACAATCCTTTAGCTAGACAGAAAAGTTCTCCAAGTCCCCACCTGACCCAGAAGCCCAGCCGGCTTCACCTCTCACTAGCTACTCAGAAGGCTGAGATGGGAGCATCACCTGAGCCCAGGGAGGTAAAGCTGCAGTGAGCTGTGATTGCACCACTTCGTTCCAGCCTGGGAGACAAAGTGAGACCCTGTCTCAAAAAAACAAACCAAAAAAAGAGATGGTGGGCCTCACTACGTTTCCCAGGCTGGTCTTAAACTCCTGGATGCAAGCAATACTGCTACCTCAGCTTCTCAAAGTGTTGGGAATACAAGTATGAGCCACTGTGCTCAGCCTTTTTTTCTTTGTTGTGTGTGTGCCTGTTTTAATTTATAATCCTGTATATATCAACAGATATATCCCACATAACAAAAGCTTTCTGAGATCCTCAGTAATTTTTTTTAACTTTTTTGAGAGACAGGGTCTGGCTCTGTCTCCCAGGCTGCAGTGCAGTGGTACTGTCGTGGCTCACTGCAGCCTTGAATCCTAGGACTCAACTGATCCTCCCACCTCAGCCTCCTGAGTAGCTGGGACCACAGGCTCATGCCACCTCAACTGGCTAATATTTTTTAAATTTTTTTTGTAATTATGAGGGTCTCACTATGTTGTCCAGGCTGGTCTTGAACTCCTCAAGGGATCCTCCCACCTTGGCCTCCCAAAGTGTTAGGATTACAGGTGTGAGCCACCACACCTGGCCTCAATAATTGTAATAGTGTAAAGGAGTCTTGAGATTTAAAAAAGCGAAAACATCTGAGAACTGCTAGCTTCAGTCAGTGGTTTCATAGTATTGTTTGTGAGAAACATTTACATCGATTTCCTGGAGTGTCTGTTAAAATTCAGATTCCTGGACCCCATCCCAAACTACAGAATTAGAATCTATCAAATGTTTTCAGCTAGGTGTGGTGGCTCACACCTGTAATCCCAGCACTCTGGGAGGCCGAGGGTGGCAGATCACTTGAGGTCAGGAGTTCAAGACCAGCCTGGCCAAGATGGTAAAACCCCATCTCTACTAAAAATGCAAGAATTACCGGGGCATGGTGGCAGGCGCCTGTAGTCCCAGCTACTCAAGAGGCTGAGGCACGAGAATCACTTGAACCCGGGAGGCAGAGGTTGCAGTGAGCCGAGATAGTGCCACTGTACTGCAGCTGGGCGACAGAGAGAAACCCTGTCTCAAAAAAAGAAAAATGTGTTTAGCTGGGTGTGGTGGCTCATGCCTATAATCCTAGCACTTTGGGAGGCCAAGATGGCAGGATTGCTTGAGACCAGGAGTTTGAGACCAACCTGGGCAACATAGTGAGAACTTATCTCTACGAAAAAATCTAAAAAAAAGTTAGCTGGGCATGGTGATGCATGCCTCTTGTCCTAGCTACTCAGGAGACTGAGGTGGGAGGATTGCTTGAGCCCAGGAGGTAGAGAGATGCTGCAGTGAGCCATGATCGCACCACTGCACTCCAACCTGGGTAACAGAGTGAAAATCTGTCTCTAAATAAATAAATAAAAATCCAGATTGGGCCAGGCGTGGTGGCTCACGCCTGTAATCCCAGCACTTTGGGAGGCCCAAGGCAGGCAGATCACGAGGTCAGGAGTTCGAGACCAGCCTGACCAAGAGACTAGTCTGGCCAATATGGTGAAACCCCATCTCTACTAAAAATACAAAAATTAGCTGGGCGTGGTGGCAGGCACCTGTAATCCCAGCTACTCAGGAGGCTGAGGCAGAAGAATTGTTTGAACCCGGGAGGCGGAGATTGCAGTGAGCCAAGATTGCACCATTGCACTCCAGCCTGGGTGACAGAGCGAGACTCCGACTCAAAAAAATAAAAATAAAAATAAATAAATAAAAATCTGGCCAGGTGCGGTGGCTCACACCTGTAATCCCAGCACTTTGTGAGGCCAAGGCAGGCGGATCACAAGGTCAGGAGTTTGAGACCAACCTTACCAACATGGTGAAATGCTGTCTCTGCTAAAAATACAAAAATTAGCCGGGCATGGTGGTGCACGCCTGTAATCCCACCTACTCAGGAGGCTGAGGCAGGAGAATCACTTGAACCCAGGAGGTGGAGGTTGTAGTGAGACGAGATCGCACCACTGCACTCCAGCCTGGGTGACAGAGTGAGACTCTGTCTCAAAAAAAAAATTAAATAAAATAAAAAATAAAAATCCATTCATGTTATCACAAGAAATTTCAATTGTACATTTGTTAATGAAAGAAAAGACAATTTCAACTTCTGTAAATTTTTGAATTTAACATTTATTTTAGGATTTGTATTACCTCCTTGAGCTCAAGGGTATCAAGAATTTGAAGAGATCATTCTTTAAAAGTTCTGATTATTATTCCATGTAGCAAATACGCAAATATCAAGCATAAAACTTGATATTGGTCCAGGCACGGTGGCTCACGCCTATAATCCTAGCACTTTGGGAGGCCAAGGCAGGCAGATTACCTGAGGTTAGGAGTTCAAGACCAGCCTGGCTAACATGGTGAAACCCCGTCTCTACTAAAAATACAAAAAATTGGCCAGGCACGGTGGCTCATGCCTGTAATCCTAGCACTTTGGGAGGCCAAGGCGGGCAGATTACCTGAGGTTAGGAGTTCAAGACCAGTCTGACCAACATGGAGAAATCCTGTCTCTACCAAAAATACAAAATTAGCTGGGCGTGGTGGCACATGCCTGTAATCCCAGCTACTAGGGAGGCTGAGGCAGGAGAATCGCTTGAACCTGGGAAGTGGAGGTTGCAGTGAACTGAGATTGCACTATTGCACTCCAGCCTGGGCAACAAGAGTAAAACTCTGTCTCAAAAAAAAAAAAAAAATTTAGCCAGGTGCAGTGGCACACACCTGTAATCCCAGCTACTCGGGAGGCTAAGGCAGGAGAATCGCTTGAACTCCGGAGGCAGAAGTTGCAGTGAGCTGACATCGCGCCACTGCACTGCAGCCTGGGTGACAGAGCAAGACTCTGTCTCAAAAAAACAAAACAAAACAAAACAAAACCTGATATTAAACAGCTACCTTCACAGAAAAGCTAAAACTTGGCCAGGTACAGTGACTCATGACTATAATCCCAGCACTTTGGGAGACCAAGGAGGGAGGACCTGTTTGAACCCAGGAGTGCAAGACCAGCCTGGTCAACACAGCGAGATGTGAGACGCCATCTCTTTTTTTTTTTTTTTTTTGTTTGATACAGTCTTGCTCTGTCGCCCAGGCTGGAGGTCAGTGGTGCGATCTTGGCTCACTTCTACCTCCGCCTCCCGAGTTAAAGTGATTCTCCTGCCTCAGCCTCCTGAGTAGCTGGGACTATAAGCATGCGCCACCATGCCTGGCTAATTTTTGTATTTATTATTTATTTGTATTTATTTGTATTAATTTTTGTATTATATTAGCTCAATATTTAATGCTTTCCCTAATAATTTGATTTTTTTCCAAATCATAATTATACAATATGTAGAAAACATCAATTTTTTTCACCAAATCTGATAGGGATCCAAACTCCCCCCAGTTAACTTCAGTGAGAGATATAAATTGTATCATTTTCTATGTATGCCATGACAGGAAGAAGGTTGAGAAGTACCCATCTAGTAAACTATAATTTCCAATATCTACTTCAACCTTTTGGGTGTCCTCCAAGGGCAGTACCTTGTAAAACACAAGGAATAAATGTTTTGTGAGTGAATGAATGATTGAACAGATCTTCTAGAACTGTGAAAAGCAGCTCTGGGGTGATGAGTATCTCAGTCAACAAAACTGACAGCCTGAGTGTGGGGAAAACACCGTGTGCATTTCAGCTGTCTGCATGGATTGATTCCATTTGGCCTGCTGAATGGTGAGGTAAGGGCTCTGCAGAAGGTGTCAACGCTGAACTTGTCTGTGCTTGCGGAAGCTCAGAAATGATCCTGCCGCAACTCCAGCCTCCCCAGGCTGCCTGGCTGGGGGCTTTCTGTGACACTCATTCGCCTTGCTACAACCTCAACACTCATCTTCACCTTCTTTGTCCCCTAGCCCTAAATAAAAATATATTGTTTAGCATGTTCAGAATGCTTTCATCTGTTAAAGGAAAAAATTTCCTGGCCGGGCGCGGTGGCTCACGCCTGTAATCCCAGCACTTTGGGAGGCCGAGGTGGGCAGATCATCTGAGGTCAGGAGTTGGAGACCAGCCTGGCCAACATGGAGAAACTCTGCCTCTACTAAAAATATAAAAATTAGCCAGGTGTGGTGGCGTGTGCATGTAATTACTCCCAGCTACTCAGGAGGCTGAGGCAGGAGAATTGCTTGAATCCAGGAGGCGGAAGTTGCCGTGAGCTAAGATGGCGCCACTGTACTCCAGCCTGGGTGACAGGGTAAGACTCTGTCTCAAAAAAAAAAAAAGAAAAGAAAAAGAATAAGAAAAAGAAAAAAATTAGCCTGGGCAACATAGTGAGACCCTGTCTCTAAAAAAAAAATATATTTTTTTTTAATTAGCTGGGCACAGTGGCGCACACCTATAGTCCAGCTACTCAGGAGGCTGAGGTAGGAGGATTGCTGGATCCCAGGAGGTGGAGACTGCAGTGAGCTGTGTTTGCACCACTGCACTGCAGCCTGAACAACAAATCGAGACCCTGACAAAAAAAAAAAAAAGATAAAAGTATCTAATGATCCTTGTTAAAGCATGGTAAGGAAAAATATTCAGGACCCTTGAGATAGGTATAGTGACCACTGCAATGGAATCTTGTAGTTGAGGAGAGCGACTGGACTCTCAACCCAATATAGTGTGAAAGGAAAAGAAAATCCCGGGACCCCAGACTCACTATGCCAAAGGAAAAAGTTAAGCTTGGGAACTGAGTATGTAAAACATTGCACTTTTTTTGGTTCCTAAACAGGTAGCTGCAAGACAGAGGCCACATATCTCCCCAGGTGACCTCCCTCATCCTGACAATGTAAATTAACAGCTTATTTTCACAAGTAAGGGACAAAGATAAGACTGGGGATCATTCCCCCGACCCCCACCTCCGCCAACCTGGAGACAAACGCATATTTGACTTCTTCCTCTACTCTATGTTTAGGTTATTTAATGTAAAATGTGGATTTTCTGAATAATTTTATGAACAATTGACTGTCCTCTTTCCCCTCCTGCCCAATTTTCCCGTTTAAATACTGAAGTTCTCAAAATCCTCTTGGGAAAGAGCGCAGGCCACAGATACCACTGTAGCTTGTGTCTTTCCCAGACACATCCTCAACCTTGGCAAAATAAACTTGTCTGAGACCTGTCTCAGACATTATTTGGTTTACAACGGCATGGCAAGTGGGAATTTATAGCCAAAAAGCCAGGTGGGGTGCTAAAGTTTGGCCAAGCAAAGAATCTTTGTGGCCTGGCACGGTGGCTCACGCCTGTAGTCTGAGCACTTTGGGAGGCTGAGGCGGGTGGATCACTTGAGGTCAGGAGCTCGAGACCAGCCTGGCCAACATGGTGAAACACTGTCTCTACTAAAAATACAAAAATTAGCTGGGCATGGCGGTAGGCGCCTGTAATCCCAGCTACTCCGGAGGCTGAGGCAGGAGAATTGCTTGAACCTGGGAGGTGGAGGTTGCAGCGAGCTGAGGTCACACCACTGCACTCCAGCCTGGCCAACAGATCGAGACTCTAACTCAAAAAAAAAAAAAAAATCTTTGTGACATTAAAGCTTGTCAAAATCCCCAGTATTCTATTCACTTTGCCTATAAAGTTACACACTTATCAGCTGGGCACGGTGGCTCAAGCCTGTAATCCCAGCACTTTGGGAGGCCGAGTTGGGCCAATCCTTTGAGGTCAGGAGTTTGAGACCAGCATGGCCAACATGGTGAAACCCTGCCTCTACTAAAAATACAAAAAATTAGCTGGGTGTGGTGGTGCATGCCTGTAGTCCCAGCTATTTGGGGGGCTGAGGCAGGAGAATTGCTTGAACCTAGGAGGTGGAAGTTGCAGTGAGCCAACATTTCGCCACTGCACTCTAGCTGGGTGACAGGGTGAGACTCCCTCTCAAAAAAAAAAAAAAAAAAAAGCCAGGCACAGTGGCTCACGCCTGTAATCCCAGCACTTTGAAGGCCAAGGCGGGTGGATCATTTAAGGTCAGGAGTTCGAGACCAGTCTGGCCAACATGGTGAAACCCCCATCAATACTAAAAATAGAAAAATTAGCCCAGTGGGGTGGTGTGCACCTGTAATCCCAGCACTTTGGGAGGCCAAGACAGGCAGATCTCTTGAGGCCAGGAGTTTGAGACCATCCTGGTCAACATGGCGAAACCCGTCTTTACTTAAAAAAAAAAAAAAAAAAAATTAGCTGGGCGTGGTGGTACATGCCTGTAATCCCAGCTACTGGAGAGGCTGAGGCACAAGAATGGCTTGAACCAGGGAGGCAGACGTTGCAGTGAGCCGAGATGGTGCCACTGCACTCCAGCCTGGGCAACAGAGTGAGGCTCCATCTCAAAAAATAATAAAATAAAATAAAATATAAAATAAAATAAAATAAGCCTCCTATGGGCAGGAGAGAGGAAGGGGAGAGCATGAATTTATCTCAGAGACCCACCCAGTGAGGCTGAATGTTATGCAGTTTCAGAATCAAGCCAGGAGAGGGCACAGAAAACTTCTACTTGATGATCTAACAAAGGAAAAAAGATAATTCAGGAAATGGACAGAGTTCTCCTTCAATTAGTCAGGTGACACAGTTTATGTCACCTCCTAAATCACTGGAAAAAAATTTAGTCAATGTAATTTCATCCTGAAATCTCAACAGTTTTATTATACAATGGGTATCATAATGTCATCTGTGTACCATTTAATTTTTTTTTTTTTTGAGACGGAGTATCACTCTGTCACTCAGGCTGGAGTGCAGTGGTGCAATCTCAGCTCACTGCAACCTCTGCCTCCCAGGTTCAAGCGATTCTCCTGCCTCAGCCTCCTGAGTAGCTGGGATTACAGGCATCCGCGATCATGCCTGGCTAATTTTTGTATTTTTAGTAGAGACGGGGTTTCACATGTTGGTCAGGTTGGTCTCGAACTGCTGACCTCGTGATCCACCCGCCTCGACCTCCCAAAGTGCTGAGATTACAGGCATGAGCCACCGCCCCCGGCCCTCATTTAATTTTTTATTGAAGAAAATATTCAGATTTCTTTCAAGCCCCAGCCAGTCACCTATGCATTCTTTTAGATGGCATTTCGCTTTGCCCAAGGAGGTCAGCTGCTTCTGAGTAGTCCTTCTTCCTCTGCAAAGTAGGGACTATAACCTTTCCTGACTTTCCAGTGATGATGTTCACCATCAACCTGGTCCTTAGAGAGGAAGGAAGCATTAGACAAATGCAAGAGCTAATTATTAATTATGAACTATATGCTCTGGGTACATAGATCTGACTCAAGTTATTAGTAAGAATGAATACTTGATAATTGATGATTAACAGGACTGTAGCTTAAAACCAAGGTTCTAAAGTGCACAAAGGTCAAGGACATGTAGAAAAATGCTGTTTAGACAAATCCAAATATAAGCCAACTTGTGCTAGGCAATTAAACCCAGAAAAACATTATTAAGCACTTTTGGAAGGTAAGAATTAATGCTTGAAGTGCAGATATAGACATCTCATACAAATAAAGCATGTATGATACATTTCCTATAGTATAACATAAATGGTTTGATAAAGTATTTGTTCTCTTCTTTTTTTTTTAGAGACTGGGTCTCTAAAAAAAAAAAAAAAAAAAGCTCAATGATCAATCATTTCGTTACTCATGCTTATGTAATGAAACCTTCATCAAATCTTGATAGAATGGGGTTCAAGGAGCTTCCAGGTTGGTGAACATACGGAGCTGCGGGGAGGGTGGCGTGCCTGAGGAGGGCATGGAAGCTCCAGATCCCTTCCCATGTTCCTTGCCCTATGCAGCTCTTCCACTGGCTGTTCCTGTTATATTCTTTCATAATAAATGGCAATCTGGTTAGTAGACCGTTCTGAGTTCTGTGAGCTGTCCTAGCAGATGATCAAACCCAGAGAGGAGGGAATGGTGGGAACTTCTAATTTATAGCGAGTCTGCAAGAAGTACAGGTGACAACCTGGGACTGGCACCCAGTGTCTGAAGTGGGGGCAGTCTTAAGGGACTAAGCCTGTAACCTGGGGAATCTGATGCTATTTCCAGGTAGATAGTGTCAGGATTGAGATAAATCATAGGACACTGCTAAAGTTTGGATGTTTATTCCCTACAAATCTCATGCTGAGCGTTTATCCCCTAATGGCAGGGTGTGGGTCATGCGGGTAGATCCCTCATGAATAACCAATGCCTTGTTGCGGGGAAGGGGTCAGTGAGTTCTCACTCTTTTCCCTCCCACAAGAGCTGATTGCTAAAAATAGCCTGGCGCCTCCCCTGTCTCTCTCTCTCTTGCTGCGAGATCTCTGCACACACTGGCTCCATTTCACCATTTGCCATGAGTGGAAGCAGCCTGAAGCTTTCACCAGCTTCTCCATCTTCCAGCCAGCAGAATTGTTAGCCAAGTTAACTTCATTTTGTTGTTGTTTGTTCGTTTTTTGTTTGTTTGGTTTTTTTTTGGGATGGAGTCTCACTCTGTCCCCAGGCTGGAGTGCAGAGGCACGATCTCAGCTCACTGCAACCTCTGCCTCCGGGTTCAGGCAATTCTCCTGCCTCAGCCTCCCGAGTAGCTGGGATTACAGGTGCCCACCACCACACCCAGCTAATATTTTTGTATTTTTAGTAGAGATGGGGTTTCACCATATTGGCCAGGCTGGTCTCAAACTCCTGATGTCAGGTGATCCACCTGCCTTAGCCTCCCAAAGTGCTGGGACCATAGGCATGAGCCACCGCGCCAAGCCCTTAACTTCATTTTTTGATAAATTACCCAGCCTCAGGCATTCCATTATAGCAAGAGACTGACAGACACCCTCCTAAGGTCTGCAGAGAATTGTAGAATTTTTTGGTGTGAACCCCCACGCCCCACCACCACCACATTAGGAGCCAGTGGAGAAGGAAATGGAATCTTCCCTTTCGATCAAATAAGCCCCTTTTCTCTTGGAATTGCCCTTTGATTTTTCTCAGTGTTAGTCTTTCTTTTAAAATCTTTAATATTTTCCTGATTACACCTAATACATATGTATTGTACAAAGTATAAGTTGACCATAGTCTGCTCCTACTCCTGCTCAAGGTTGTTTGTTTGTTTTGTTTTGTTTTGTTTTGTTTGAGATGGAGTCTTGCTGTGTTGCCCTGCCTGGAGGGCAGTGGTGCAATCTTGGCTCACTGCAACCCTCCGCCTCCTGGATTCAAGCAATTCTTCTGCCTCAGCCTTCTGAGTAATTGGGATTACAGGTGCCCACCACCACAGCCAGCTAATTTTTGTATTTTTAGTAGAGAAGGGGTTTTGCCATGTTGGCCAGGCTGGTCTCGAACTCCTGGCCTCAAGTGATCTGCCCACCTCAGCATCCAAAAGTGCTGGGAAAAAAGTGTGGGGATTACAGGCACCTGGCCTCAAGGTTGTACTTTAATTCATATGAGACTTTGGAAAAAGTACAGGTTTCTCCTGTACAAATTGTTGGCAATGTGTCCTTTTTTCACCTTAAAATGCCTGGAAATCTTTCAGATAAGCTTTTTAAAAAAGCTTTTTTTTAGGTGTAATTTACATACCACAAAATTCACCCATTTTTAAGTGTACAAGTTAATGATTTTTCGTCCCCTTGTGCAACCATCACAACTCAGTTTTAGAACATTTCTATCACCCCCAAAAGTTCCTTCATGCCTATCAAAGCTTTTTAAAGGGTGCGTTTTTGTGGATAATTACAATCATGAGTAACAAGTCCCAGAAATGTCCATTTTGCCTGGCTTCCTTTTGCTGCCGGCAGGCAAAAAGAAAATTGCAAAAGCCCATCAACAAATGTTGGAAGAAAACACCATAAGCTGATCAACAGCTGTCTGCTAAAAATAGTTTATTCATGCTCTCCAGCTTTTAGTGAATGTCAGCCAAGTGCCAGGCATTGGTTAAGTCTGTTAGGGATATCAAGACAGGATAATAGCTTCCCCTGGAAGTAATTGGATATGAGTTCAATAGTATACAACCTCACTTAAAACAGTTTCCATATTCAATGGTTTGGGGTGGTAAAAGTGTGCCAGGTGGGTGTGATATTTGGACTTCCACTTCCAGAACTGAAGATAAACAGGGGCTAGATTTACTTTCCCACATAAACAACCAAAATACGGATCCCCAAAATGTAACAAATGGTCTTTAAGACACCGGATATCACGCAACAAAGGACAGAAATCCCTGAAAAAAGTACAAATGGCTGGGCGCGGTGGCTCACGCCGGTAATCCCAGCACTTTCGGAGCCCGAGGCGGGCGGATCACGAGGACAGGAGTCCGAGACCAGTCTGGCCAATATGGTGAAACCCCGTCTCTACTAAAAATACAAAAATTAGCCGGGTGTGGTGGTACACGCCTGTAGTCCCAGCTACTCGGGAGGCTGAGGCAGAAGAATCGCTTGAACCCTGGAGGTGGAGGTGGCAGTGAGCTGAGATCGCGCCACTGCACTCCAGCCTGGGCAACAGTGCCAGACTCCGTCTCAAAAAAAAAAAAGTACAAGTGAAGTGAGCCCTATTATTGCTCCAGCTTACTGCCTTGAGGGTTTCCAGGCTCTACTGCAAGAAGAGCAAAGTGAGGAAGGGCCTGGTGGAATCCCGGAGCTGAGGAGACAGAGCTGAGTCCAGGGAGACCAAGGTAGCCAGATGGAAAGGACAGAGTACCAGAGAAAGAGAGTTGTTCAGACAGAACCCCAGAGATCTGTAAAAGGTCCCCGCCTCTAGCATTCAGCAGAGTACTGTTCAGGATACATATGTAAGAAAACTACACAAGGCTGGGGAAAGAACCACGTAAAAGGATTACTACAGCGATTCCTAACCTTTTTGGAGTTTCGGGATGAAACTCTTCCACCTCAGTTCATCAGACGTTCGTTAGATTCTCATAAGGAGTGGGCAACCTAGATCCCTCACGTGCACAGTTCACAATAGGGTTTGTGCTGCTATGAGAATGGAATACTGCTGCTGATCTGACTGGAGACAGAACTCAGGCAGTAATGCTCGCTCGCCTGCCACTCACCTCCTGCTATGCGGCCCGGCTCTTAACAGACCACCAACTGGTACTAGTCCGCGGCCTGGAGACTGGGACCCCTGGATTAGAAGGAATAGTGCCTACTCCTATGATCCAGATTGGAAAAACTCGTAATGTGTGGGGCATTGGAAAGAGTACTTATGAAGGTCTTGCCTCAGGGGAATAATTAGCCCTAGAGTTGGCATTGCTCTGGTCCTGCCTAACAAATCTTTTTTTTTTTTTTTTTTTTTTGAGACACAGTCTCACTCTGTTGTCCAGGCTGGAGTGCAGTGGCATGATGTCCGCTCACTGCAACCTCCACCTCCGGGATTCAAGTGATTCTCCTGCCTCAGCCTCCCGAGTAGCTGGGATTACAGGCATGTGCCTCCACGCCCAGCTCATTTTGTAATTTTAGTAGAGATGGGGTTTCTCCATGTTGGTCAGGCTGGTCTTGAACTTCCGACCTCAGGTGATTCGCCTGCCTTGGCCTCCCAAAGTGCTGGGATTACCGGCGTGAGCCACAACGCCCAGCAGTTAAAGACTTTCTAACAACAAAAAGCTTAATACTTTTTTTTTTTCTTTTGAGATGGAGTCTCTCTGTCGCCCAGGCTGGAGTTCAGTGGCGCAATCTCGGCTCACTGCAACATCTGCCGCCCAGGTTCATGCGATTCTCCTGCCTCAGCCTCCCGAGTAGCTAGGATTACAGGTGCCTGCCACTGTGCCCAGCTAATTTTTGTCGTTTTTATTAGAGATGGGGTTTCACCATCTTGGCCAGGCTGTTCTTGAACTCCTGACCTCGTGATCCACCTGCCTTGACCAGCCAAAGTGCTGGGATTACAGGCGTGAGCTACCGTGTCGCTGGATACTTTTTTTTTTTTCGAGATGGAGTTTTGCTCTTGTGGCCCAAGCTGGAGTGCAGTGGTGCCATCTTGGCTCACTGCAAACCCCGCCTCGTGGGTTCAAGCAATTCTCCTGCCTCAGCCTCCCGAGAAGTTGGGATTACAGGCGCCCACCACCATGCCTGGCTAATTTTTGTATTTTTAGTAGAGATGGGGTTTCACCATGTTGGCCAGGCTGGTCTCAAACTGCTGACCTCAGGTGATCCCCCCGCCTCGGCCTCCCAAGTGCTGGGATTACAGGCTCGAGCTACCACACCCAGCCAGCTTGATATTTTTAAGCCCATTATTTCCAATATTGTGAATTCTCAGATTTTCAAGTAATAAAATAAGCAAAATGAATCCTTAATAAAAATTCTATCTTGGCAACGCTATTTGTCATTTCCATCCTATGACTTTCTCTTCATATGTAACTGAAATTTCATAAATATTAAGAAATTGTTGTTTGGGCATAAGAATCAGATATGGAAAGGAGGCAATTGTGCTATTAACCGTGTCACTTAGGGCTACTGCTATTTGAGGCGTGCATCACACCAGCAGAATCATATACACCTGGGAGCTTGTCAGAACTGCAGAAATTCTCAGGACCTGCTCCAGACCTAATGAATCAGAATATACAGTTTAACAAGGTTCCTGGCCGGGCGCGGTGGCTCACGCCTGTAATCCCAGCACTATGGGAGGCCGAGGGGGGTGGATCACGAGGTCAGGAGTTCAAGACCAGCCTGGCCAAGGTGGTGAAACCCCGTCTCTACTAAAAATACAAAAATTAGCCGGGCGTGGTGGTGTGCGCCTGAAATCCCAGCTACTCAGGAGGCTGAGGCAGGAGAATTGCTTGAACCCGGGGGGCAGAGGTTGCAGTGAGCCAAGATCGCACCACTGCACTCCAGCGTGGGTGACAGAGTGAGACTCCGTCTTAAAAAAACAAAAGATTGCTAAGTGGTTACTACACACATTTGAGAAGCACTGGCCCTCTCCATGCAATACATTGAGCAAATACAGTCACATGTCACATGATCTTTAGTCAACAACAGACTGCATATAAGACAGTGGTTCCATCAGATTACAATATTGTATTTTTATTGTACCATTTTTAGTGTACCCTTTCTATGTTTAGATACAAAAATACCAACCATTGTGTTACAATTGCCTACAGTATACAGTACAGTAACATGCTGTAGAGATTTGTAGCGTAGGAGCAGTAGGCTGTATCATATAGCCTAGGTGTGCAGTAGGCTATACTATCTAGGTTTGCGTAAGTACACTCTATGGGCAGGACTCAGTGGCTCATGCCTGTAATTCCAACACTTTAGAAGGTCAAGGCAGGAAGACTGCTTGAGCCCAGAAGTTGGAGACCAGACTGGGCAACAGAGGGAGAAACCCTGTCTATACAAAAAAAATTAAAATTAGCCGGCTGTGGTCTAGACATGGTAGCTCAGGCCTGTAATCCCAGCACTTTGGGGGGCTGAGGCAGGTGGATTGCTTGAGACCAGGAGTTCGAGACCAGCCTGAGAAACATAGCAAGACCCTTTCTCTATAAAAAGAAAATTAAAATATACAAAAATATATAATTTAATTTTAAAAAATTAGTCTGGCATGGTGATGCAGGCCTGCAGTCCCAGCTACTCAGGAGGCTGAGGCAGAAGTATCACAGCAGATCGAGGTTGCAGCGAGCTGTCATGGCACCACTGCACTGCAGCCTGAGCGACACAGCAAGACCCTGTCTCAAAAACAAAACAAACAAACAAAAAAACTCTATGATATTCCAATGATAGATTCACCTAAGATGCATTTCTCATATCTCTGTTAAACAATGCATGACTATAATTTCTCCGGTCATGTTTCCTTATGTCTGAAAACAAAGGGCACTGAAACCTGTTTGTTCACTTTAGTTCACAGGCTGATTAGAAAAGTAAGTAAAATCCAATCCAAATATAAATTAAATACACGTGAAATACCAAACCCTCTAGTAAACAGCGAGCTACATACAAGTCCCAGACACTCCACGACCGTTTCTAGATTGAAAATCCTAGGCCAGGCGCAGTGGCTCACACCTGTAATTCCAGCACTTTGGGAGGCCGAGGTGGGTGGATCACGAGGTCAGGAGTTCAAGACTAGCCTGGCCAAGATGGTGAAACCCCGTCTCTACTAAAAAAAAAAAAAAAAAAAAAAAAAAAAAAAAAAAATTAGCTAGGCGTGGTGGTGGGCGCCTGTAATCCCAGCTACTGGGAGACTGAGGCAGAGAACCCGGGAGGCAGAGGTTGCAGTGAGCCGAGACCGCGCCACTGCACTCCAACCTGGGCGACAGAGCGAGACTCCATTTCAAAAAAAAAAAAAAAAGAATATTTAAGTCTTTTCACTTCTGGGAATACACACACACACACACATATATATTTAATCGAAACACGTTACCTTTCACTCAACAACTATTCAAGACAGAAACCATTTCGGGTAAGCAGACTCCTACAGGGTCCCTACTGCACATTTCTCATCGGTGGTCAAAGCAACAAAACGTGAACTAAGCCACAGGGTAGCTGCAGGAAGCTCTATGCCTGGGACCACTACAGGCAGGCACTAGTTTCCCTGTCCACCACTGCCCGAAATGGAGTCGGGCCCGGTTCTCCTGAGCTGAGCAGGCCAAAGCAGGGAGTCCGTGAGTGGACCGGGCATAGCCAGAGCGACGCCGCAGCACCCCAGCCGCAGGGTCAGCCCCAAAAGCAGCAGGGCCCGCTTGATCGCGGATGCCGGGACGCCCTCGTGCAAGCCTCGAAGGGGGGCTGCCACCCCGAACATTCGCCAGAACGAAAGCGGCAGCCAGGAGAAGCCCTCGCAGGTGCTGTAGGGATCCAAGCGCTTGAGCTGAGTCCGAAACTCGCACAGCAACCTCGGGAGGATAAACTCCAGCAACCAGAATCGGGTTGGCGTCGCCTAGCAACCAGGAGCCAAATGCGCGGACGCCAGGCATTGGCCTGCACGTGTCACGTGAGCCAGCGCCGCTGCCCAGTGGGAGATTACGCCGCAGGCACGTGATGCGGCGCAACCGCCCTTTGGCAGAGCTTTTCGCGAAGGCAGTTGTGGCTCTGAGCGCATAGGCGAGGCATTCCTGGGGTTTGCGCCGTATCCTTTTACAAAGTCCTGGCTTTGGCTGGTGCGACCAAAGAAAGGAAACCGGCGCTTGAGACTTGTCTGGGCTGGCTATGGTGAAGCAGTGAAACGGTGCAGAATTGTGTCAATGAGGCTAGTTCAGTTGTGCAAGAGCATTTCCTCAAAGTAAGACAGAAGCTTTTAGTTACGTCAACACCTGCTAATGTTAGGCTGGCCAGAAATTTCCTGACAAATAATGGGTGAAGGTCGGGCGTGTGGTCGCTCATGCCTGTAATCTCAGCGCTTTGGGATCACTTGAGGTCAGGAGTTCGAGACCAGCTTGGCCAACTAGGCGAAACCCCATCTCTACTGAAAGTACAAAAATTAGCCGTGTGTGGTGGCGCGCATCTGTAATCCCAGCTACTCTGGAGGCTGAGGCAGGACAATCGCTTGAACCCAGGAGGCAGAGGTTGCAGTGAGCTGAGATCACGCCACTTAAAAGAAACGAAACTTTGCTGGTGACCATGTGGTGATGAAACTGAGCGTTTTGGAGCGCAGCAAGGTGACTCCCCATGTAATTAGTATAGACAGAGAGTTTGTGCTCTAAAGGTTAGAAATAAATGTTTTCGGCCTGGTGGCTCATGCCTGTAATCCCAGGACTTTGAAAGGCTGAGCCAGGCGGATCACCTGAGGTCAGGGTTCGAGACCAGCCTGGCCAACATGGTGAAACCCGTCTCTATTAAAGATACAAAAATTAGCCAGGCGGAAGAAGTCACTTAGCTCTTCGCTGGTTGTCACACGTCCGGAGGCCGAGCCGTCGCGTACCTAGGATACCTGGAAGCCGAAGCCACACCTCCCGCATGGCCCCTCCGGCCAGCCGGGCCCCTCAGATGAGAGCTGCACCCAGGCCAGCACCAGTCGCTCAGCCACCAGCAGCGGCACCGCCATCTACAGTTGGCTCTTCTGCTGCTGCGCCCCGGCAGCCAGGTCTGATGGCCCAGATGGCAACCACTGCAGCTGGCGTGGCTGTGGGCTCTGCTGTGGGGCACATACTGGGTCATGCCATTACTGGGGGCTTCAGTGGAGGAAGTAATGCTGAGCCTGCGAGGCCTGACATCACTTACCAGGAGCCTCAGGGAACCCAGCCGGCACAGCAGCAGCAGCCTTGCTTCTGTGAGATCAAACAGTTTCTGGAGTGTGCCGAGAACCAGGGTGACATCAAGCTCTGTGAGGGTTTCAATGAGGTGCTGAAACAGTGCCGACTTGCAAACGGATTGGCCTAATCAAGAAGTTCAACCTGGAGAGATGGAAAATCAGCTCTCATACTAATTAATTTAGTATAAAAATAGAATTGGTAGTGAGGGTATAAAGTGTAAGCATCAGTTAAACTTCTCCTGTCATTCCTAGCTTCCTTGCTTCAGAATTGAAATGGAAGGGAGGGTGTTCCTACTCTGTAGAATCTGGGACTGGGCAAATGTTTGTGTGGCCTCCTTAAACTAGCTGTTATGATTTTATTCTTTGTGAGTTAATTAGAATAAAGTCATTTTCTTCCAAAAAAGAAAAAAAAAATAGCCAGGCATGGTGGTGCACGCCTTTAATCCCAGCTACTAGGGAGTCCGAGGCAGGAGAATCGCTTGAACCTGGGAGGCAGAGGTTGCAGTGAGCCGAGGTGTGCCACTGCACTCCAGCCTGGGCAACAGGATGAGACTCCGTCTCAAAAAAAAAAATAATAAATATTTTCACTCCACAACTGTCTTCCAATTTGGAGAGTCTGCCGTTTACTAGCTATGTGAACTCGGGTACATTAATTAAAATCCCCATGCCTCAGTTTCTTTATCCATGAAATGGGAATGATTACTCACAGTTCCTGTCTCTGAGGACTTCTAGAAGGATGAAATGAGGTCTTACATGTAGCAATATAAACTGGTGGTGAGGACTGAGCTTGAGTCAGATTACCTGCTTTGAATCCTTGTGCCGTCATGTACTGCTTGTGTATCCTTAGACAAGAGACTGTCCCTCCTCTATCCTTCAGTTTCATCTGTAAAATGAAGATAATACCTCCTAGGATTTCTGTGAGAATTAAGTGACTCAATACACATAAAGTGCTTAGAAGAGTGTCCGGCACAAAGTCAATATTTGGAAATGTTAGCAATCATTTGGAAGGTGCTTGACGCACAGCGTTGATCGATAAATGGGACCTATTCTTCTTGGTAGCACTGCTGGTCTAGAGCAGGATTCTGGTTTCTGAGCTCTCCCTGCTCTCAACCTCCACTCCACCCCATCCTGACTTAAAATTAAGGACTGGAAATATCTCTAGCCATTTATGGTCACAGGTAATGGAGGTTCAAAGTGTGTCTCATAGAGTGATGAGAAAAGTAGGAGTCTACACTCTGAGCCAGATCCCAAGACGCTATTGAGCAGAGTCCAAAAGGGGTGAGGCCCAAGAGGAAAGCAGCTGAGGGGCAGAGCTGTGGGAACTCTGCTACAGAAGTGATTCTCTTAAGAGAGGCAGGGGGTGGTGGGGAGAGTTCAGTGAGCAGAACTGTGAGCAGGCGGGTCTGCCACAAAAGCTTGTTGGATCTAGGTGGGAGGGTGTTGTAAAATATCCTAAATCCAACCCTAACCCATTCCAAGGAGTTGAATCTTGGATCTGAATCCTAGTACAACACAGAGTACTTCTTGGATACTGGGATTTATTGATCGTGTATCATTTCTTGGGTTTACTTTCCCTCAACTCAGAAGTCATTCCTCCCTCTCCCTCATTCTCCAGGTCCAACCCATTGGCAAGTCCTGTTGACTTTTCAAAGTATCTCTCTAATTCACCTGCTTCTCTCTCTTTTGTCACCACCTTTCTAGCCCCATTAACATTTTTGTGTTTCTCCTTTTGCCCGGTACAACCCATTCTCAACAGCCAGTGTGAACTTTTCAAAACTAATTTTTAACAACTTTATTGAGATTAAATCACATATCACAAAATCACCCATTTAAAATGTACAATTCAGCCGGGCGCAGTGGCTCACGCCTGTAAACCCAGCACTCTGGGAGGCCAAGGTGGGTGGATCACCTGGGGTTGGGAGTTCAAGACCAGCCGAACCAACATGGAGAAACCCTCTCTCTACTAAAAAATACAAAAGAAGCCGGGCATGGTGGCACATGCCTGTAATCCCAGCTACTAGGGAGGCTGAGGCAAGAGAATCACTTGAACCCAGGAGGCGGAGGTTGCAGTGAGCCGAGATCGCGCCACTGCACTCTAGCCTGGGCAACAGAGCAAGACTCTGTCTCAAAAAATAAATAAAATGTACAATTCAGTGGTTTTTGGTATATTCACAGGTGTGTATAACAAACACCACAAATCAATTTTAGAACATTTTCATTACTCCAAAAAGATATTCTATACCCATTAGCAGTCACTTCCCATATACTGCCATCCCCCGATTCTCCACAAGCCCTAGGCAACCACTAATAAACTTTGTCTGCCAGGTGCGGTGGCTCACACCTGTAATCCCAGCACTTTGGGAGGCTGAAGCAGGTGGATCATCTGAGGTCAGGAGTTTGAGACCAACCTGGCCAACATGGTGAAACCCCTTCTCTACTAAAAATACAAAAAATTAGTCAGGCGCAGTGGTGGGCACCAGTAGTCCCAGCTAATCGGGAGGCTGAGGCAGGAGAATGGCGTGAACCCGGGAGGCGGAGCTTGCAGTGAGCCGAGATCACGCCACTGCACTCCAGCCTGGGCAACAGAGCAAGACTCCATCGCAAAAAAAAAAAAAAAAAAAAAAAAAATTACCTGGGCGTGGTGGCAGGTTTTATTTTTTTTCCTCAAAAATAAATAAATAAATAAAATAAACTTTGTCTCTTATGGACTGCCTTTTCTGGATATTTCATATAATTGGACTCATACAGTATATATCTCTTGTTACTGGCTCCTTTAACTTAGCATAACATTTTCATGGTTAATCTATGTGATAGTATATATCAATACTTTTATTTTAATTTTTTTAAAGGGGCTTTCCAGTGAAGACCAGAAAACCTGCTAAACAAATTCTTTTTTTTTTTTTTTTTTTTTTTTTGAGATGGAGTCTCACTCTGTCACCCAGGCTGAAGTGCAGTGGCACGATCTTGGCTCACTGCAACCTCTGCCCACCGAGTTCAAATGATTCTCCTGCCTCAGCCTCCTGAGTAGTTGGGATTACAGGCACCTGCCACTGCACCCGGCTAATTTTTTGTATTTTTAGTGGAGATGGGGTTTCACCATCTTGGCCAGGGTGGTCTTGAACTCCTGACCTCGTGATCAACCCGCCTCGGCCTCCCAAAGTGCTGGGATTACAGGCGTGAGCCACCGCGCCTGGCCCTGCTAGACAAATTCTAAAAGAACTGTAGCACTAATACTTCTTTTTCGGTTGCCAAATAATATTCTTTTATATGGATATACCACATTTTATTTATCCATTCATCAGTTGATGGATACTTGTTTCTACTTTTGGCTATTACGACTAATGCTGCTATGAACATTTATGTACAAGTTTTTGCGTGGATATATATTTTTATTTTCTTGGGTATATTTTGGGGGGTAGAATTTCTGGATCATTTGGTAACTCTTTGTCTAAGTTTGTTTGCTTGTTTATCTGTTTTTTAAGACAGGGTCTTGCTCTGTTTCCCAGGCTGGAGTGCAGTGGTGCAAGCTCGGCTCACTGCAAACTCCACCTCCCAGGTTCAAGCAATTCTCCTGCTTCAGCCTCCCAAGTAGCTGGGACTACAGGCGTGTGCCACAACACCCAGCTAATTTTTGTATTTTTAGTAGAAACAGGGTTTCACCGTGTTTGCCAGGATGGTCTTGAACTCCTGACCTCAAGTGATCCACCTGCCTCAGCCTCCCAAAGTGCTGATATTACAGGCGTGAGCCACTGCACCTGGCCCCCCCACCTTTTTTTTTTTTTTTTTTAAGAAATGGGGTCCCATAATGTTAACCAGGCTGGTTCCAACTCCTGGGCTCAAGTGATCCTCCCACCTCAGTCTCACAGTGCTGGGATTATAGGCATGTGCCACTGTGCCTATCCTGTATGTCTAACTTTTTGAGGAACTGTCAAACTTTTTTCCAAAGTGGCTGCACCATTTTACATTCCCGCCAGCAGTCTATTAGGGGTTCCTATTTCTCCACATCCTCATCACCACTTGTTATCATCTGCCTTTTTTTTTTTTTTTTTTTTTTGAGTATCTTTTTGGACAGAGTCTCCCTCTGTCCCCCAGGCTGGAGTGCAGTGGCACATTCTCGGCACGCTGCAACCTCCACCTCCAGGGTTCAAGCAATTATCCTGCCTCAGCCTCCAGAATAGCTGGAGTTATAGGCGCATGTCACTATAGCCGGCTAATTTTTATTTTTTTATTTTCATTTTTTTGAGATGGAGTCTCACTCTGTCACCCAGGCTGGAGTGCAATGGCACGATCTCGGCTCACTGCAACATCCACCTCTTGGGTTCAAGCAATTCTCCTGCCTCAGCCTCCCAAGTAGCTGGGATTACAGGCACACACCATCATGCCCAGCTAATTTTTATATTTTTAGTAGAGACGGGGTTTCACCATGTTAGTCAGGCTGGTCTCGAACTCCTGACCTCGGGATTCGCCCTCCTCTGCTTCCCAAAGTGCTGGGATTACAGACATGAGCCACCGCATCCGGCCTAATTTTTATATTTTTAGTAGAGATGGGGTTTCACCGTGTTGGCCAGACTGCTCTCGAACTCCTGGCTTCAAGTGATTTGCCTGCCTTGGCCTCCCAAAGTGCTGGGATTACAGGTATGAGCCACCACGCCCAACTCTGTCTTTTTTATTATAGCCATCCTAGTGAGCATAAAGTGGTATCTCATTTTGGTTTTACTTTGTATTTTTATTTTATTATGCTTATAGTTTCTGTAGGTCAGAAATTCAAAGGCAATACAGTGGAGACGGCTCCATAATGTCTGAAGCCTCATCTGGAAAGACTCATAAGTTGGAGATGATTCAACATCTGGGGGTTGAAGTCATCTGAAAGTGTCTTCACTTCTGTGCTTGGTGAGTTTTCCCGCTAATCAGCTTTCCCCTCAGCTGAGCAGCTTTCTGGAACAACCACACGTATTTTCTCCATGCGGTCTCACCGTGTGGTGTAGTTTGGGCTTCCTCACAGCATGGCTGCTGGGTTCCAAGAGCAAGCGTTCCAAGAGAATCACGGAGAAGCTGTACTGACTTTTTTTCAGCCATTGATTTATTTTTATTTGCAGTTTGTATTCAATACAAATCAATTTCATAACAAGTTACTATGAATCAAAGCATACACACACAAATATACAATCCAAAATAGATGTACAGCATTTCGGCATGGAGCAAAAGGGAGTGTTCATTCACACACACAGTGGAGTGGGTTCAGATCTGTTCCATCTGCTGTTCCCGTGTAGGTTTCTAAAGATGGAAAAAAAAAGACTACTGTGGCCATATTAGATGCTGGAACACATAAGCATCAGTGTGTGACCTTGTGAACAAAGGACTTCAGGGAGTGTCTATTTTTAAAAAGGTTTCTGTGTGTCAAGACAGTTGTAAACATTTTTATTACAGAATCAAGCTTACTTTGCGGTTTAGGACCAGGTTCTAACTATCTAAAAATATTGACATAACAAAATGTGTTTCAAACAGGGCATGATGGCTCATGTCTGTAATCCCAGCACGTTAGGAGATGAGGTAAGAGGATTGCTTGAGCCTAGGAGTTCAAGAACAGCTTGGGAACATAGAAAGACTCCTATTTCTACAAAAAGATAAAAATTCGCTGGGAATGGTGGCACACGCATGTAGTGCTAGCTACTTGGGAGGCTGAGGCAGGAGGATTGCTTTAGTCCACGAGGTTGAGGCCGCAGTGAACTCTAGCCTGGGTAACAGGGTGAGACCATGTCTCTTAAAAAAAAAGGCCCCAGCTGGGTGCGGTGGCTCACGCCTGTAATCCCAGCACTTTGGGAGGCTGAGGTGGGCAGATCACGAGGTCAGGAGTTCAAGACCATCCTGGCCAACATGGTGAAATGCCGTCTCTACAAAAAATACAAAAATTAGCGAGGTGTGGTGTTGTGCACCTGTAATCCTAGCTACTCGGGAGGCTGAGGCAGGAGAATCACTTGAACCTGGGAGGCGGAGGTTGCAGTGAGCCAAGATCGCTCCATTGCACTCCAGCCTGGGCGACAGAGTAAGACTCTGTCTCAAAAAAAAAAAAGCCCCAAAATGTGTTTTAAATGCAGCTATTCTGATCCATAGTTGTTGTTTGCAAAAAGCATTTACAGAAAAAGAGTATAGCCTGGGCACGGTGGCTCAGGCCTGTAATCCCAGCACTTTGGGAGGCTGAGGCGGGCAGATCACCTGAGGTCAGGAGTTTAAGACCAGCCTGACCAACATGGAGAAACTCCATCTCTACTAAAAATACAAAATTAGCCGAGCGTGGTGGTGCGTGCCTGTAATCCCAGCTACTCAGGAGGCTGAGGCAGGAGAATCGCTTGAACCTGGGAGGCGGAGGTTGCGGTGAGCCAAGATCATGCCATTGCACTCCAGCCTGGGCAACAAGAGTGAAACTCCATCTCAAAAAAAAAAAAAAGAAAGAAAGAAAAAGAAAAGAGTATAAAAGTTTTTGTGACTTTAATGCAAGTTAACTTTCAGTCTTTACTTTCCAAATACTTGATATACAGTTTTTGGCTCCTTTACATTTTTGCCCTTTTAATTTCAAGGTTTATAATTTTACCTTCAAAACAGATCTTTTTTTGTTTTTTGAGATGGAGTCTCACTGTGTCTCCCAGGCTGGACAGCAGTAGCATGATCTTGGCTCACTGCAACCTCTGGCTCTAAGGTTCAAGCAATTCTCCTATCTCAGCCTCTGAGTAGCTGGGATTACAGGCACACCACCATGCCCAGCTAATTTTTGTATTTTTAGTAGAGACAGGGTTTAATCTTGTTGGTCAGGCTGGTCTCGAACTCCTGACCTCAAGTGATCCACCTGCCTCAGCCTCCCAAAGTGCTGGGATTACAGGGGTGAGCCACCGCACCCAGCCCCTTAATGAATCTGGTGTCCTTGTTGAACGAAAATAGGTGAAATGAAATGCCTACCATTTGACTCTCTAAGGATAAACAAGAGTTATTGATGATGCTTGGACTTGGGGGTAGATTGCAGTCTATCATTGCCCTGGCACATGTCAATTACTAAATAAAAGGTCAAATGCAATGTCAAATCCAAATCCTCAGAGGAAAAAGAATTCAGTTACCAAAAGAACAGTGATAGCCTAACAATGTAAAACTTAATATATTGGCATTAAATTAGTACTGCTGAAATAATACATTGAGGATTTATAGAATGATGGAAGCTTTTTTTTTTTTTTTTGAGACGGAGTCTCACTCTGTCTTCCAGGCTGGAGTGCAGTGGTGCGGTCTCAGCTCACTGCAGCCTCCACCCTCCGAGTTCACACGATTCTCCTGCCTCAGCCTCCCGAGTAGCTGTAATTACAGACACTTGCCACCGTGCCCAGCTAATTTTTTGTATTTTTAGTAGAGATGGGGTTTCACCATCTTGGCCAGGCTGGTCTTGAACTCCTGACCTTGTGATCCACCCGCCTTGGTCTCCCAAAGTGCTGGGATTACAGGTGTGAGCCACTGCACCCAGCCGATGGAAGCTTTTTTAAACTTTAAGACAGGATCTTGCTCTGTCACCCAGGCTGGAGTGCCATGATAATGGCTTACTGCAGCCTTGACCTCCAGGGCTGAAGTGATCATCCTACCTCAGTCTCTTGGGTAGCTGTGACCACAAGTGTGTGACACCATGCCCACCTCTTTTTTTAAATTTGTGGGCCAGACACGGTGGCTCACACCTGTAATCCCAGCACTTTGGGAGGACGAGAGAGCTGGATCGCCTGAGGTCAGGAGTTTGAGACCAGCCTGGCCAACATGGTGAAACCCCATCTCTACTAAAAATACAAATATTAGCTGGGCATGGTGGCATGCTCCTGTAGTCCCAGCTACTCAGGAGGCTAAAGAAGGAGAATGGCTTGAACCCGGGAGGTGGAGATTGCAGTGAGCTGGGATCGTGCCATGGCACTCCAGCCTGGGGGACAAGAGTGAAACGCTGCCTCAAAAAAAAAAAAGGAGATTATGGCCAGGTGCAGTGGCTCATGCCCGTAATCCCAGCACTTTGGGGGGCCCAGTGGGTAGATCACCTGAGGTCAGGAGTTTGCGACCCGCCTGGCCTACATGGTGAAACCCTGTCTCCACTAAAAATACAAAAATTAGCCAGGTATGGTGGTGGGTGCCTGTAATCCCAGCTACTCAGGAGGCTGAGGCACAAGAATCACTTGAACCTGCGAGGCAGAGGTTGCAGTGAGCTGAGATCGCACCACTGCACTCCAGCCTGGATGGCAGAGCGAGACTGTGTCTCAGAAAGGAAAAACAAAAAATAAAAATTAGCGGGGCATGGTGGTGCAGGCCTGTAATCCCAGCAACTTGGGAGGCTCAGGCAGGAGAATCACGAGCCAGGGAAGTGGAGGTTGCAGTGAGCTGAGCTCGCACCACTGCACTCCAGCCTGGGCAACAGAACAAGACTCCATCTCAATAAATAAATAAATTAATTAAATTAAAATAAATTTTTTTTTGTAGAGATGGGGTCTCACCCTGTTGCCCAGGGTGATTTCAAACTCCTGGGCTCAATCGATCCTCCTGCTGTGGCCTCCCAAAGTGCTAGGATTACAGGTATGAGCCACCCCCACCCCTGCCAATGGAAATCTTTTATTTTACTGGTTTTACTGCCGTATAGACTTAATGAACCAAATGAAAACTGAATCTCCACTCCATATTACATCTTTATTTCTAAACAAGATAAAATCTATTATTTATTATTATTTTTTTTTTATTACCCAAGTTTTGTCTCAGGATCTACTATTCTTATTTTCAAGGTAGTTTTAACTGTCCACATTTCTTAAGCCACATTCAAGAAATAATGTCTTCAATTTTGGATGTTGCCTCTCTTCATCTTGTACATGACATTTAAGCAGATTTAATATTGGCATCCATCATCTAGTCAAACCCTTCACGTGTTCTTCAAAGCAATTAAATTTGGGGTTCTCAACCTTTTCTTTCTTTCTTTCCTTTTTTTTTTTTTTTGAGATGGAGTCTCACTCTGTCGCCCAGGCTGGAGTGCAATGGCGCGATCTCGGCTCACTGCACCCTCTGCCTCCCATGTTCAAGCCATTCTCCTGCCTCAGCCTCCTGAGTAGCTGGGATTACAGGCACACACCACCACGTCTGGCTAATTTTTATATTTTTAGTAGAGACGGGGTTTCACCATGTTGGTCAGGCTGGTCTTGAACTCCTGACCTTGTGATCCACCTGCCACCTGCCTCGGCCTCCCAAAGTGCTGGGATTACAGATGTGAGCTACCGCGCCTGGCCTTTTTTTTTTTTTTTTTTTTTTTTGAGACAGAGTTTTGCTCTTGTTGCCCAGGCTGGAGTGCAATGGCGCAATCTCGGCTCACTGCAACCTCTGCCTCCCAGGTTCAACCAATTCTCCTGCCTCAGCCTCCCAAGTAGCTGGGATTACAGGCATCCACCACCATATCTGGGTAATTTTTCTGTACTTTTAGTAGAGACGGGGTTTCACCATGTTGGCCAGGCTGGTCTCAAACTCCTGACCTCAGGTGATCCACCTGCCTCGACCTCTCAATGTGTTGGGATTACAGGCATGAGCCACCACACCTGGCCAGGTTCTCAACCTTTTCTGTATCAGTAAAAGAAGGTGTGAAATTAATAGATTTGATGAAGACCCGCTTTTTTTCTTGCCACATTGGACTCCTAGATGCCATTTGGAATGGGTTTAGAAGACACGGAAGTATAGATGTTTCTTAACAGTAGAAATATAGAAGAGAAAGCAAGACCATGAGGAGACTGGCAGTTGACTGCAGGGCACAGCCAACTGCCTTGGTGGTGGCATTAGCTGGGTTTGGGGCAGACAAGGTACCCTGGGAGGAGTTACTTGAAAACGTTACAATAGTTTGATTTGAATAAATCTGCATAAGTAGGAGCAGTGCCAGAAGCAGCAGCCCCAGCCTGAGCCTGTCCACCATTGCTTTGTCCCCTCCATTGGTGTCTGGCATATATTGCTGGATGCTGGGTGAGAACTGCTGGCTCCAGGTGGACACAGGCGAGACCTAGCCTTAAAAATCACACAAAGTGGCTGGGTGCGATGGCTCACATCTGTAATCCCAGTACTTCGTGAGGCCAAGGTGGGAGGATCACTTGAGGCCAGGATTTGGAGATTAGCCTGGTCAACATAGCAAGGACTCATCCCTATTTTTTTTAACTAAAAATAATGTAAAATCATAATAAAAAGGAAATCAAGCCTGGGCAACATAGCAAGATCTCATCTCTACTAAAAAGAAATTAGCTGCGTGTGGTGGTGCACACCTGTAGTTCCAGCTGCTGGGGAGGTTGAGCTGGAGGGATCACTTGAGCCCTGGAGGTTGAGGCTGCAGTGAGCCATGATCGTGCCACTGCACTCCAGCCTGGGTGACAGAGCCAGACCCTGTCTTGATAAAAAAAAAAAAAAAAAAGGAAATCACATAATGTCACTTATGCCAGAGTTAGTCTGCCGAGCCATGATTCAAAGGGAGGGACATTCACCCCACTTCTTAATGGGAGGGTTATCCAATCATGTTGTAGGAAGAGCATAGACGATGGGAGGCACTGTCATGGTCATCTTTGGAGAACAAAATCTGCCAGACCTGGGAACCTGAGCACCACTAGACCAAATATAACAATTAATCAATGATTCAAGCCTCAACTGATTCCTTGATACCACCACTGGGCAATCCTAGAACATTTCTCAGCTAAACTTGCTTCAATTTGCAATGGTTATTTCAAACATTCACTGTAGAAGGCACTGTGTACATCTTTCCTAATACCCATTCCCAGCCCCCCTTTTCCCTATTTATGTCCTTTAGGCAAAGCTAAATACTTGCGTTCCTAGCCTCTCTTGCATCTATGTGACACAATTCTGTCCAGTGAGATGTAAGCAAAAATGTGCACAGGGACTTCTGGGCAAGCTTTTTCCTTGAATAGGAAAATGATGCGTGCAGTGGAGGCAGCCAGCCATATATTGCAACCCTCAGGAAAAGGTCAAGACAATTACAAAAGTATTGGCCCTGATTTCAGTGAGCCACTCAACCAGTGCTGTTGCTACCTCCAGGCCTTCTCTCCTGTGAGAAAACAAACCCTTGTTTGTTTAAGCCACTGATAGTCAAGCTTTCTGTTGCTCCTAGGGGATATAAGCATTCTCACTCCCCTGTGCCTCTACTTTCTCTTTTTTTTTTTTTTTTTTGAGACAGAGTCTCGCTCTGTCTCCCAGGCTAGAGTGCAGTGACCTGATCTCGGCTCACTACAACCTCCGCCTCCCGCGTTCAAGTGACCCTCCTGCCTCAGCCTCCCGAGTAGCTGGGACTATAGGTGTCCGCCACCATGCCCGGCTAATTTTTGTATTTTTAGTAGAGACGGGGTTTCACCATATTGGCCAAGCTGGTCTCGAACTCCTGACCTTGTGATCCGCCCGCCTTGGCCTCCCAAAGTGCTGGGATTACAGGCGTGAGCCACCGCGCCCAGCTCCTCTAATTTCTCTTTGTAAAAGCCTTCAGCTGCTAATTCTCCCTTTCCTGCCACCAACAGCCTACTTACTACCTACTTACCTGCACCCACAGCCATCTTATTTGCTCCTTCTCTCCTGTTAAAATGGAAAAGGGCTCCCTACCATGGAGGGGGAGTGGGAGTAAATGGAAAGATGCTAATCTGGCATCCATTACAAGTTCATCTTTCAGTTTTGGTTTTCTTACTCATCCGCACCTTAGTTCTGGGCCTCTACCACTCATCAGCTGTGTGCCTTAAAAACAGGCCATTAAAGTAGCAAATATTTATTGAGTAGATTCTAAGCTGTGCCCAAAAAGGCACTGCGCTAGGTGGTAGGAGTTGCTAGGGCTAGGAAACAGACACAGTCCAAGTAGAGAGAAAATTATTTACAAGACAGGGGAATGGAGCCTTGGAGGAACTGACCTATGTGGCTGGGAGGGCAGAGAATGTGGGAAGAGCTCGGAAGAAGGGGCTGGGGAGGTAGGCGTGGGCCACAGCCAACTGGCTTCTGTAGACTAGGGAGGGTAATGATTTTGGTTTCAATCCTAAATCACTAAGACAGGAAGTGAATTACTCTGTCGGAGCCTCAATTTCTACCTCGAAAAATATGTTTTATTACTAACTCCTGTACTAGATTGAGAGTTACGGAGAAGGATTTATCCTTTTATTCATTTCTGCATCGCCAGCGCCCGACACATGGTAGGCGCTTAATCAATGCCTGTTCGGTGAATAAATAAGACCGGGGACTCCTCCACAGACTTCTGTCATTAAGTCAACCAGTCAGCAGAGATTTCCTTCTCCGCGTTCCTTTCCTTCCCTCCCCTTTTCTTGCCCTTCCTCCCTCTCCTCTTCCACGCCCCCTTCCCACTCCTCCCCCTCCTATCCTCTCCTGGCTTCCTCCTCCTCTTCCCGGCCCCGCCCCCCGCTGCGTTGCGAAGGCGGGGAAGGCGAGGCGGGCTTTACGGCAGCCGCGTTGCGGCGGGGCGGGGCGCCGGGCGGCCGGCGCGCTTGGCGGCAGCCGTGGGAGGCAGGCCGGCAGGCAGACGGACTCGCAGGCGTGTGGCGGCGGCCGTGCTTGCTAGTGAGGGCGGGAGGGAGTGACTCACTGAGCGTGTGTGAGGGAGGGAGCGAGCGAGCGAACGAGCAGCCGGCGCCGTCCTCCCGCAGCACCAGCCAGGCCACGCCGCCGCCTCTTCCCCTGCGCCCCGCGCCCAGGCCGGGCCGAGCCGAGCCGAGCCGGGTCGGGCCCGGGCCATGCTGCTCACCGTGTACTGTGTGCGGAGGGACCTCTCCGAGGTGACCTTTTCCCTCCAGGTCGACGCCGACTTCGAGCTGCACAACTTCCGCGCGCTGTGCGAGCTCGAGTCTGGCATCCCCGCAGCCGAGAGCCAGGTACGCCGGGCAGCGAGCCGGGCCTGCCCCGGAGCTAAGCCCTCCCCGCCTCGGGGCCTCACTCCCTCCCTTTGCTACTGGTGAAGAATTGGGGGCTGGGGGGAGCAAGGATAGCCATTCTCAGGTCACCCCCGCATCCGGAAAGGAGCTGGGGAGCTGGCATCAGTAGCTGCCCTCACACACTCCGAGCATGGGGTGGGGTACGAGGAGAGGGAGCGGAGAACCTGACCGCAGACGCACCCACTGCAGCGTGAGGGGCGCGTGGACTGTTGAGCAGCGCTAACCCTCCCCACCTTTGGCTCTTTGGCCCTTCCCTGTTTCTAATCCCGAGTGTAGGATATCGTTGTGGACCTCAGAAGCAGCCCTGGGTTTGCTAGGATTCATACATCCTGCAAACCAGAAATACCAGTTTGGATCACTGTGGTAGATAGATGTTCCTCTGCTTTTTTTTTTTTTTTTTTCTGGAGAGGGTTTCTGCTTAAATATACGCAGTTTACCTTTAAATGCACAGATTTGCACTTCCGGTGAAAGAAAAAGTTTAAGACTTGCACTACCTCATTTTGGGGTCTTTGGAAATGCTCTTTACCCACCACATGCGTTTCTGGTTAAATTCTTTTGAAAAACAGTACCTATTGGTTCAACTCAAGCTGTTTGTTTGTTTCGGTTCTACCCTGGTAGTAAGCCAGAAGGCCCTTTTTCTTTCAGGTCACAGTTCAGAGTTTGGGTCAGTTCAAAGCTCAATGCTTTAAAAGGATATTTGCTTGGAAACGGCCTAGTATCAGTGCTGTTTGGTGGTTTCATTTCCCTACTCAGCTTGCTGGAAAGAAGTTCAGCCTCTCATATTTTAACTAAGCAAAGTAATTCTCAAAATGCTTTGGGGCTGCCCCTAGTCTTTATCAAACAGAATCGGTGACACTAACGCTGTAAACTTTACACTAAAACACTTAGATCATGACTTAATAAATTTAGCCTGGAGGAAATAGTCTAAACATTAAGAAAATTATAGAGGTCTCCCAAGTCTCCATCAAGTAAATCTTGATTTTCTACTGCAGTTATGAAATAGTTTACAAAACGATTGCCCAACTGCAGCTTGTTCTGCTGTCTTATGGTAAACACGTGTCAATACTTTGTTCAGAAGTATGATTCCTTTACACAATGTGAACTTTAGAACCTTGGCATAAAGCTGTTCAGAAAGAATTTAAAAAGTTAATCCACAAAAGCTCAGGAACCAGTTCTGTCAGTGAATGCCTCATGTGGAGAACTAGGAAAGGACTGTTTAAATAGAGAAAATAAACTCTTCAATTTTTTTTCTTTTTTTGTTTTTGTTTTTGAGACGGAGTCTTGCTCTGTCGCCCATGCTGGAGTGCAGTGGTGCGTTCTCGACTCACTGCAACCCCAGTCTCCCGGGTTCAAGCGATTCTCCTGCCTCAGCCTCCTGAGTAACTGGGACTACGGGCGCGCGCCACCACGCCTGGCTAATTTTTGTAATTTTTTTTTAGTAGAGACGGGGTTTCACCATGTTGACCAGGCTGATTTCAAACTCCTGACCTCTAGTGATCTGCCCGCCTCGGCCTCCCAAAATGCTGCGATTACAGGTGTGAGCCACCGTTCCCGGACAACTCTTCAATTTTTGATAGTGGCTTTTTCTTTTCTTTTCTTTTCTTTTTTTTTTTTCGAGACGGAGTCTCTGTCGCCTAGGCTGGAGTGCAGTGGCGCGATCTCGGCTTACTGCAAGCTCCACCTCCCGGGTTCGTGCCATTCTCCTGCCTCAGCCTCCCGAGTAGCTGGGACTACAGGCGCCCACCACCGCGCCCGACTCATTTTTTGTATTTTTAGTAGAGAAGGGGTTTCACCATGTTAGCCAGGATGGTCTCGATCTCCTGACCTCGTGGTCTGCCCGCCTCGGCCTTCCAAAGTGCTGTGAGCCACCGCACCCGGCCCGATAGTGGCTTTTTCAATTGTTTTTTCCTCTAGCTGTTATATTACCCTGGTTATGATCACCGGCTGGTAGGGAAAATAAGAAATTAAAATGTAAATTGATTTTGTTGTTAGGGCTTGGGAAAAGACAGAGGTTGAGGTTGTTTCCATTCCTGCACTTTTTGTGATGGCTGAAACAAGAAATTTAAGTCAAAGGGATACCTGACACCCCCTTTAATTGACTTAAATTTCTTGTTACAGCCATCATAAAAGACGATTTATTGTGTGGTCAGCCAGACATTGCCCTCTGCCAGTTGGTAAAGTTAGGAATACCTTAGTAATTGAACATAGGCTAACTCCAAATTATTTCTTGTTCATTATGTCAATGTTTCGGCATTTACTTCCTTCCCAAGCCAAATTAGCATATAGAAACTTGGGCTCCAACTGGTGTTAAGCCTGTATTAGATAGCCATAAACAGCTCCTGTTTTTCCAGTCTGTTCTGTTGGCTCCATTGTAACCTGACAACACAGTATCTATTTTAAGGTGTCTGGTGGTCGGTTGTCTTTCACTTGCTTGCTTGCCCATCAGGCAGGAACAGGATCCACCCTAGACACTTGAGTCATTTCCTTTCATCAAATCATAATAGTAAACATCACTATAGTTTTTACCCATAAATATATCATGTTTACTTACTTGAGTGTCCCCCCCCATTACCTCCCAGGGTTCTCTCATATTACTCATCTTCCCTTCCTTTCCTAGACTGTTTAACTCCTCCTCTTGTTTACATTCTCCATTCCCATTCCTTCACCTCTCATTTCTGATTCCATTTCTTCAAGGAAATATATATATTTTTATGTTCTGGCTATTTTTTCCTGCCACTATGTGTCCACACCACTGGTGTCCAAACTTTCATTCATGTATCCCTATCAGTAAAATGTTTCAGATTATGCTTCTGTTATGTATATAATACATTATATACATGAACTGATACGTTGTATACATTATATATGGCCACATGTGCATATAATACACATAACGTGCATTATATGCATATATAATATGTTATCTGTAAAGTAACATTGTACACACACAAAATGGAGCTTAAGGAAGGACGAACTAAAATAAATGGAAATGAAAATTCTAATATTTTCAGTTTCTTCCTCCACCGTTAAAGAATTGTCTTGCATGGCTGCCCTACATTGGTGATCAATGGTTTAGAATTCAGTCTTTCACCTGAGTGTCAATTGCACATAAGCATATAGTTGGAAAAGGTGTTAATTTTTAACAGCTCTAGTCTGATGATAGTAGTTACAATGCAGTGATAACAAATTTAGAACAAGCCATCTCTGCTTGTACATGTGATTAAAGCTGGGCATGTTCTGTCTCTTAATAGAAGTGTGGGCTTGGAAGCCAGTCATGGCTCTGTTTGATGCTTTGATGCAGACTTGCCTGGGTGAACTTCAAACAGTTATCAGAACTTAGCTTCACTTTAAATTAATGTCTTCATATTTTTGAGACATGATAATTTACCTCTGTAGGTGGCATATGGAAAAAGTAGGCACAACATACAAGGACCCTCAAATGAAAGGCAAATAATAGCAGTAATTGTATGATCTTGGAAATGCACACAGCATGATTTGTGGTTTGTAAACCACTATTTTATCTTCTGTGTGTTTGTTTTTTTGAGACAGGGTCTTGCTCTGTCACCTAGGCAGTAGTGCGCTCACAGGTCACTGTAGCCTCAACCTCCTGGGCTCAAGTGATCCTTCCACCTCAGCCTCCTAAGTAGCTGGGACTACAGGTGTATGCTACGACATATGACTAATTTTTTTGTTTTCTTTGGAGATGGGGGTTTCACTGTGTTGGCCACGCTGGTCTCAAACTCCTGACCTCGGATGATCTGCCTGCCTTGGCCTCCCAGAGTGCTGGGATTACAGGCGTGAGCCACCGCATCCGGCCCCAAATTGATAATTTTAAAGGCTACATAATATACCATCATATAGATGTGTTGTAATTTAGCAATTTCCCTTTTGTTGAGCATAATATTGGGGAAAATTGGAAGCAGTTGTAAGTAACATGCCATGAACATCCATATACTTAAGACTGTAGCCTCCATTTCTGTTTTCTCAGGATGAATTCTTAGATATGCAGTTGCCAGATCAAAAGCATAAAGTCTTTGAAAGGTTTTTAGTAAATTTAGATTATACAAGTCAAATTGGCTATTACATGGGGTAGTATATGTAGATAACTTGGTAGATATTGGGTATTTGATTAATGGTAATACTATTATGAAGCCATTCAGATGTAATTCCAAATGTTTTGTGGCCGGTTTATGGTCCTTATTTTATCTTTATTCTTTATATTTTAGAGATGGGATCTCGCTCTCGCCCAGGCTGGAATGCAGTGTTGCAATCACAGCTCACTGTATCCTCAACATGTTGGGGTCAAGGGATCCTCCCAAGTAGCTGCGACTTTTTTTTTTTTTTTTTGAGACGAGGTCTTGCCAGTGCTAGGCTTGAACTCCTAACCTCAAGCAGTTCTCCTGCCTCTGCCTCCCAGAGTGTTGGGATTACATGTGTGAGCCACTGCACCTGGCCTACTAGTTTATGTTCTGTAATGCTAGAAATTTATTGTTAAGCTTTTTGTTAATAGAAGGCTCTCATTCAGAGACCAGAAAACACCTGACCTCATGCTTAAAAGTTCTGAAGTTTTATTAATTAGTCTATTGTTAAATGTTGATTAAGATTATAATTCAGTCTCTGGGGTGCCTCCTCTGGAGTAAGTACCAGCAGTTGTGCCAGTTTTGCTGATTAAGACTCATAGCTGTATACATTTTCTTGTTGTATGTTCTTATAACTGGCAAAACTTGAATTTTGGGCTTTGTAGCTGTTGAGTTGGGTAACATGAATGGTGGAAGGATCAAGAATGCCGGCAGCGGATCCCCTTTTGTTTTTATTGGTAGAGATTTGAAGCCATGTCTAATAGATACTGAATGTTTGGTTGGAAGATCACATGGATTTATTTTGGGACTTTTGCTGCAAAATAATTGTCTTTCTTGGACTCTTAAGCCTATTTAAACAAAAAGAAATCAGTTCTTTGTGGCAATTACAATTTTAGCTAAGCTTTAGTTGATCTCATTTATGTCCTTAGATTAAAATGGAGCACAGCTGCTGCTTCGTCAGTGTGAGGAACGTGTGCGCCTCACCCAGGTTCTTCAGTCTAGTGTTTCCAGGAAATTGGCGCTGAAGCAACATTTCATATTTCATAGACATGCTCAATGTGGTGGTTATCTAGATTTTACATTTTTATTGTTAGATCATGCTGCCTTCCTTTAAAAAATGCTATTGTCTGCTGAGGAAATATTGTGGCAACTAAGCAGTGATGGAGTGAAGTATGGCATCTGTGAAGTGGGAGTCAGAGCGGGCAGTTGGTGGTGTTTCTTCATGTCCAGGGCATGGGGATGCGTTGAGCAGTGGACAGTATTTTGATCCTCTTAGTGGATAGAGTCTCTTAGTGGCAATGGATGGCTTAGTAGTACTTGTTAAAATCACCCAGCTAATTCACCAGGCCACTTTAGGGTTATGTTCGGGAAAGCTGTATATGATACTCCTGGAGTAATGGGCTTTGAAATTAGACAGTTCCAATTGCAGTTTTCTTCTTCTTTTTTTTTTTTTTTTTTTTTTAAGAGACAAGATCTTATTCTGTTGCCCAGGCTGGAGTGCAGTGGTACAATCATAACTCACTGCAACCTCGAACTCCTGGGCTCAGGTGATCCTCCAGCTTCAGTCTCCCAAATAGTTGAGACTACAGGCATATGCTACCATGCCTGGCTTATTATTATTATTATTATTATTATTTTAGAGATGGGGTCTTGCTGTATTGCCCAGGCTGGCTTTGCATTCCTGGCCTCAAATGATCTTCCTACCTCATCCTCCCAAAGTTTTGGAATTAAGGCGTGAGCCATGGCACCCAGCCTGCATAGGATCATTTTGATTCTCCTGAGTTTGCTTCCTCCTTGTAAATAAATAAATTTTCTCTTATAAATAGTTAGTGGCCGGGCGCAGTGACTCACGTCTGTAATCCCAGCACTTTAGGAGGCCAAGGCGGGCAGATCACAAGGTTAGGAGATCGAGACCATCCTGGCTAACATGGTGAAACCCCGTCTCTACAAAAAATACAAAAAAAAAATTAGCCGCTTGTGGGGGCAGGTGCCTGTAGTCCCAGCTACTCAGGAGGCTGAAGCAGGAGAACCTGGGAGGCGGAGCTTACAGTGAGCCGAGATCCCGCCACTGCACCCCAGCCTGGGCGAGAGCGAGACTCCGTCTCAAAATAAATAAATAAATAAATACCGTTAAAATGTGCCTCTGCTCCCAGGAGACTGTTCATGTATCTCTAAATATACTGATAGTTGAATTTCTGAAACTGGAAAATTAAAGAGTAGGTTGTTGACAGTGGCTTCACAGTGTTGATGCTATGCTGTAAGAGCCTGCCTACCTGCCATTTCTCTTGACATACCTCTTTTTTCTTGTTGCACACCTCAACCTGTGACGCTCATCACTTCTGGTTTATGTGTTTTTTCCAAGCAGTCTCACAAGTTATAATATGACTCTCAGTTGTTTTGCTGAAATTCTGTGTTGATGGTGATGTACTTTTACTGTGAAATTTGTGTTTAAATGAGGGTGTGTGAATGGGATGATGGGAGTGACAGTTGCAGTCTGTTGAAATGTGGTTCTTTTTTTGTTTGTTTTTGTTTTTTAAGAGACAGGGTCTTACTCTGTTGCCCCAGGCTGGAGTGCAGTGGTGCAACCGCAGCTCACTACAGCCTGGACCTCCTGGGCTCAAGCAATCCTCCTGCCTCAGACTCCTAAGTAGCTGAGACTACAGTCACATGCTACCATGGCTGGCTATTTAAAATTTTTTTTTTTTAGATATGCGGTCTCACTATGTTGCCCAGGCTGGTCTCAAACTCCAGGGCTTAACCCATTTGTGCTTAGCCTTCCAATGGAACGCTAAGCTTGTGGGAGTTATATCCTACTACTCAAGGTCATTGCCAAGGTATGATTTTTTCACAAAAGAAAATTTGCAACCTCTGGCCTAAATGGGTTAAGTGATGCTCACACCTCAGCCTCCCCAAGTGCTAGGATTATAGGCATGAGCCATCATACCAGATCTGAAATGTGTTTTAACTCAGCGAGTTGAGCATTAAGGACTTAATAGTATTTTTTTTCAAGTCATGCATAAAACTTGTATAATTGGGCCTACAAATTTGCTCATATTCAGAAGAATTTGATTTTGGTAGGAACTCATTTTCCTGTTCTGTTCCTCATGTCTATAAATTCTGAGAGCAGATATGGCATAATCACTTTTTTTCCAGTTTAAATGCTGTGTTTTCAGTTTTTATTTCAGGTAACCTTACTATGAAAGCTGTAAGGAAACATAGAATGATAATGTTAGCAGAGAGAACTGGAAGGGACAGCTGTAATGATGATCTAGCCCACCTGCTTGCTTGACACATGGGAAGGGTGAGGTCTGGACCTGCTGAGTGTCATGCCCCTCGCAGGGAGTTACTGGCAAGGATAGAACTCATGTTCCTCAGTTCGCATGTGGCCTGGTGAAAAATCATTAGGAGGAAAACCTTTCAAAGCCTGAGTTTGTTCTGAATGCCTTTCTGGAGTATGTAATAATGCAGGGCAGATTTTATGTTTTTTCATGATAAAATTATAGTGTACCTTTGTTCTTTCTATCTGCAACACATTATTTCATCTATTTGTGCTGTCAGGTTTTTTTCAGTTTGATTACACATCATAAAATATTTTTATTAGTAGTACATTCCTAATTCTTTTTTCCACTTGTATTTAGTTGTTATTTTCTTAGTTTCACTTTATTTTCCAGTCTCCCCCCTCCCACCACCCCACCAAGATGGAATCTTGCTTGCCCAGGCTAGGGTGCAGTGGTGCGATCTCAGCCCTGCAACCTTTGCCTCCCGGGTTTAAGCAATTCTCCTGCCACAGCCTCTGGAGTAGCTGGGATTACAGGCACGTGCCACGACACTGGGCTAATTTTTGTATTTTTAGTAGAGACGGAGTTTCACCATGTTGGCCAGGCTGGTCTCGAACCCCTGACCTCGTGATCCACCCGCCTTGGCCTCCCAAAGTGCTGGAATTACAGGCGTGAGCCAGCGTGCCCGGCCCAGAGTGATAAAACTTTGGGGGTGGTAGAAGAGAAGGAAGATTGCAGTGCAGGAAGGATGATATTTGGGACCCTTTTGCCAGTGTTCAAGATTATTTCAAAGTGCACACTTTATTTAATAGTACTGTAGTTAGTTAGCATACCCAGAATAAATCATTCCCTTTTCCTCCCTGCTAAAAATTAAATCTAAAATTATATCCATTTCCATAAATTCATTCATTCTTTAGTTCAACAAATATTTGAGCATCAGTTATATAACAGGCCCTGTTCTAAGCATTTATGATCTCGTGAATGAAACAAAGTCTTTGTCCTCAAGTAGTTTACATTTAATGGGGCAGAAGGACAATAAGTAAATATATATTGTGTTAGTTGAGAGTACATTTTAAATAACATAGTAGGGAAGAACTCTAAAGAGTAATGTTTGATCAGAGACGTAAAAGGAAAAAAATGAGTGGAAAAAGAACATTCCTCAGGTAGAGAAAACAAGAGAAACAGCCCTGAAGGGGAAGTTGATCCCTGTTGTTTGAGGAACAGCAGTCATAGTGAAAGGCGAAGTCAGGAGAGCCAGGGACCACATTGTTTGGTCCTGCTAGGTGACGGGAAGGACTGTGGGTTTTGTTCTGGATGTGGTGGGAATCCACTGGAGGGTTTGAAAGGAGGGTGACATCTGATTCAGGGGAAAACTGGTCCTTCTGCCTTGCGCTGTGTTACTTCTCAGTGCTTTATACTGTTGTATATCTTTTCTTGTTGTAGATCGTCTATGCGGAAAGACCTCTCACAGACAACCACAGATCATTGGCTTCTTATGGCTTGAAAGATGGGGACGTTGTGATTTTACGACAGAAGGAGAATGCAGACCCTCGACCTCCAGTGCAGTTCCCAAGTAAGACATCTGGTGGTTGAGCATCCCCCAGCAGAACCATCAGCAGGTAGCAGAGCATAGCACCTCAGAGTTTTGGATTCGCTTTGGATTCAGACTACAGAATACAGATCCTGACTCTGCCTTTTCCCTGCCGTGTAACCTTGAACAAGTATTTTAATGTCTCTAAATTGGTTTCCTCTTCTATAAGTTAGGTGCCATAATTAACCCCAACTCCTAAAGCTGACGTGAGGCTAATGCATGTAAAATCTTAGCACACAGCAAGCCCTCAATAAATGTTAGCTTCTGTTATCAGTGATAATTATACAATAATCTTTATCCTTGGGAAGGACTTGAAAGAATACATAAGCCTATGATTTTGCTACTTTGTGTCTGTCCTTCAGTGGCCAGCCTTTCTGGAGCATTTTATAGCCAGCCAGGCACTTGGAGCTGCATTTCACATGATCTCATAACTTGGTTGTGGGGGGATTTACATACTAATTTGCATAATAATTTATAATTATGAAGCTCAGATTTTAAATGGTGTCTTTAAAGTTACATAGCTATTAAGTGAGGGCACAGGAATTAAAATTTGATGCTTTTTCCATTATGCTGAACTTGATAAACATTAAGCAGCTTGACCACCAAGTTGTGGTTCTTTCCTACCAGCTGTGTTAATCACATACAAAGAAACGTTTATCTATCTTTGATGCTGCTTTTATAATAGATGTTTATAGTCTGAACTCTGTGCATTGGGATTTAGTAGGTTCTATGTCACTGAAATAATATGCAGAATTGTGTGGATGTGAATGTGTGTGTGCACTGGATAGAGAGAGGGTCATAGCTTTGTTCAGATACTTGAAGTGGCTCATGATCCACAAAATGATTATAAGGTCTTAATGTGAAACAGCTTGGTGAAATGTGTGGTTTTTTTCCATTCGCTGCCATATTCAGATAGATTTTCTTAAATAGTGTTTAGCCTGTAGGTCACCAGTTTTAAAGTTTATGGTGACAGATGCTGGCAGAGTCTGGGTGATGACAGACTGACTGCAGTTTTAACCACAGTGTTTCCATTCAGCCTGAAACTGGAACTTACTGAGACCATCAAGGACCGGCTCCACCAGATCTGGAAGACATTAGTCCCTTGGGGCCACAGTTAAACTTTAGAAAGAAGTTAAAACTTCTTTCTGAAGAAGTTAAACGTATTTAAACAACTATGACAATCAGTAAAAACCACATCTTCCTTTGGTTAATTTGATGAGATTATTAATTCCGGAATTTACTTCTTTTTTTTTTTCCTCTGCATTGTTGTTTATGGACAAGAGAGCCTGTAACAGGTTGGGGCAGGAGTGATCTGGTCTATTAAGTAAACATGTTTTTGAGAATTATTCTGAAGTGAATGGACTCTCAAGATAATGTATAACAGGAGTGGAGATAAAATTTCTTGACCTGCAAAGAGGGCCCACCCATATATGTTTTTCTGGCTGGTATAGATTAACTACCTCACAGAGATCATCCTCTTCACTTCACCATTTCCTTGGTTGGGAGTTGAAGAAAGTGGCTAGTTGAACCCCTGCTAAAGGGTAGAAATGTTACATCATGAGTTTAAGCATTCTCTTTTTCTATCTGAGGTCCAAAAAGGCTTCAGGATAGTCCCAGACTTGAGACAAGTTTGTTTGTTTTTTGATTTTTTAGTTTATTTAAAATCCTTAATAGTGCAAGGATTGTGCTATAATTCTGATCACTGTGGAATTGCTTAGTGTACTGTCATTTATAACATTAAGCACAGTTATCCTTAAGAAAAGTATTCAGTTGTTCAGACAAGTTTGACCATCAACTATATTTTTTGGAGTTGAAGGAATGTCGATTGACTCAGGCCTAGCCCCTCATTCTGGCTCTCCTTGTTTACTTTTCTCTTTTTCATTTTTCTTTTTTAAATAACAGTTTTATTGAGATAGAATTCATGCATTTAAATGATTTTTTTTTACTATATTCATGAGTTGTGTAACCATCACCACAATCCATTTTAGCGTATTTTCATTACCTTAAAAAGAAATCCTATACCCATTTATAGTCATTTCCCATTTCCCCCTAGTCTCCGCAGCCTAGACAACTACAAGTCTACTTTCTGTCTCTATGTATTTACCTATTTGGAACATTTCATATAAATGGGGTCATACAATATGTGAGTCCGTTGTGTAAGGATTAAAATTCCCTTTTATCTTCCTTTCATTTTAGTAAGGTCAGTTCCACCTGGCATATAGAACCTGGGAGTTGTAGCTTCTAAACTGTGGTAGCTTTTGGTGTATTCAGCACTGAGAACCTATGCAAGTCCCTTTTCTTCTTTCTTTTCTATAAAATGATGACACTGTTTAGCTCCCCAAGGGCATGAGAAGAGTTAGCAGAGATGCACAGATTAAAGTATAAATTCAGAGAACTATTAAGAACTTCCCTGAGCCAATACGTTTAGCACTGACTTGCAGAATTTAGCATCTAATATTTATGCTGCTCACTTGACATATATAATATCCTTTGATCCGGCCGGGCACAGTGGCTCACACTTATAATCCCAGCACTTTGGGAGGCTGAGGTGGGTGGATCACCTGAGGTCAGGATTTCGAGACCAGCCTGGCCAACATGGTGAAATCCCATCTCTACTAAAAATACAAAAAATTAGCTGGGCGTAGTGGCACACGCCTGTAATCCCAGCTACTCGGGAGGCTGAGGCAGGAGAATCACTTGAACCCAGGAGGCAGAGGTTGCAGTGAGGCAAGATCGTGCCATTGCACTCCAATCTGGGCAACAAGGCAAGACTCCGTGTCAAAAAAAAAAAAAAAAAATTCTTTAATCCAAGCGTCAAGGCTGTTTGAACCATATGTCAGACCAGAGTAGGATTTTTCTCAAGAACAACATCCAGACTTATGCAATTATATTTATTGAAACTAGCTTTAATTTTTTTTTTTTTTTTTCTTTTGAGATGAAGTTTCGCTCTTGTTGCCTGGGCTGGAGTGCAATGGCGCCATCTCGGCTCACTGCAACCTCCACCTCCCGGGTTCAGGTGATTCTTCTGCCTCAGCCTCCTGCGTAGCTGGGATTACAGGTGACTGCGACCACGCCCAGCTAATTTTTGTATATTTAGTAGAGACAGAGTTTCACTATGTTGACCAGGCTGGTCTTGAACTTCTGACCTCAGGTGATCCAGCCACCTTGACCTCCCAAAGTGCTGGGATTACAGGTGTGAGCCACCACGCCTGGCCACTTTAATGATTTAAAAACATAAATTAAAAACCTGATGTCTATTGTGAGATATTTTATAAGCTAAAAATTTGGAGTTACTACCATCACCTTCCCCCTATTTTTCTTCTTCTATCGATTCACTCTCAGCCGGCAGTCTTTATATTCAGAGTCATCATGAGAAAGAACAAGGTTAAAGTCTACAGTTACCTTTGCTGCTGTCATATACCATGTATGAGCAAGTGTTCTGCTGTTTCCTTCAAGTGCTTGTTTTTGTAGAGTAATTTGAGTAAACTGAATTGATTTTCCCCAACAGACTTACCCCGAATAGATTTCAGTAGTATAGCTGTGCCTGGCACATCAAGTCCCCGGCAGCGCCAGCCACCAGGAACACAGCAGTCCCACTCATCTCCTGGAGAAATAACTTCATCTCCTCAGGGCTTGGACAATCCAGCCTTGCTCCGAGATATGTTGCTGGCCAACCCGCATGAGCTGTCCTTGCTGAAGGAACGCAATCCACCCCTGGCAGAAGCTCTGCTCAGTGGAGACCTTGGTAAGCTTATAAATTTGGAAGGCTATTAGGCTGGCCTGAGGTGAAGAAGCTGTGTCATAGCAAATGTGAAGAGACTCAAGCGACACTGTGTCACATGATTTATTGAACATACCAGTTTTTTCTCTGTGAGAGGTAAATTAGTGCTAAAGTCAAAGGCTGAGTTACTTGGAAACAGCAATAGAGTTTTAGCAGTGAAATCCATCTAGGCCACCCCCCTTGGTTTACTTTTTGTTTTCCTCATTGTTTTTGGCAGCAGATAACCTAGGTACTGATTTTTGTTTGTTTCTTTGTTTTTTCTTTGAGACGGAGTCTTGCTCTTTCGCCCAGGCTGGAGTGTAGTGGTGCAATCTTGGCTCACTGCCAGCTCCGCCTCCCGGGTTCATGCCATTCTCCTGCCTCAGCCTCCCAAGTAGCTGGGACTACAGGCGCATGCTGCCACACCTGGCTAATTTTTTGTATTTTTATTAGAGACGGGGTTTCACCGTGTTAGCCAGGATGGTCTCGATCTCCTGACCTCGTGATCCGCCTGCCTCGGCCTCCCAAAGTGCTGGGATTACAGGTGTGAGCCACCATGCCCAGCCAGTACCGATATTTTAACCTTAGTTAGATCTTCAATTAAAGAGATCATCAACAAGCCAGCTGATGCCAGCTGATGCCAGGAAGGTTCAGTGCCCTGTATGGCAAAATGGAATCACCATAACCTCAGTCCACTCCAAGTTATTTTTTGTATTTTTTGTAGAGATGGAGTTTTGCCATGTTGTCCAGGCTGCTTTCGAATTCTTGGGCTCAAGCAGTCTGCCTGCCTTGGCCTCCCAAAGTGCTGGGATTACAGGCATGAGCAGTTGCACCCAGCTAACTTGTAGCCATCTTTATGAATCGAGTTTTCTCTGTAAATTACTCTCATTTTACTCTTGGGTTTATGAGTTAAATTGGGTTAAGTCTAAAAACATAACAGACACTTAATGACTCATTCCTCAATTGACTGTCTTTAAATTGGCAATCTTTACCTTAAGCGAAGTACTCAGATTTTAAATATACAATTCCTTGAGTTTTGACAAACTCCTGTAACCCCAATCAAGACACAGGACATTTCTCTCACTCCAGAAAGTTCCACTGTGTTGCTTTCTAGTCAATCTCCTCTCCTTATAGGTTACTACTGTTTTGATAATCTTATGGTTTAGTTTCCCGTATTTTTAAACTTCATGTATATGGAATAATAGAGTGTCTGCTCTTTCGTGTTAGGCTTTGTTTTTTTTTTTCTTGAGACGGAGTTTCACTCTGTCTCCCAGGCTGGAGTGCAGTGGCGCGATCTCTGCTCACTGCAACCTTCGCCTCCTGGGTTCAAGCGATTCTCCCGCCTCAGTGTCCCAAGTAGCTGGGACTACAGGCGTGCACCACCACACCCGGCTAATTTTTGTATTATTAGTAGAGATTGGGTTTCACCATGTTGGCCAGGCTGGTCTCAAACTCCTGACCTCGTGATCCACCCGTCTCGGCTTCCCAAAGTACTGAGATTACAGGCGTGAGCCACCACTCCCAGCTCGTGTTAGGCTTTTCACTCAACTTAATGCTTTTTAGATCCATCTGTATTGTGTGCATTAGTAGTTCAGATAACCATTGTCATAATATCTTTTAATCTCTTATATCAGCATATCTAATCACCAAAGATGGTGATGATGGGGCATTTAAGTTTGCACACTTAAATGTACCACCATTTAAGAAATTGCAAAATAGGCCGGGCACGGTGGATCACCTGAGGTCAGGAGTTCAAGACCAGCCTGGCCAACATGGTGAAACCCAGTCTCTACTAATAATACAAAAATTAGCTGGACGTGGTGGCAGGTACCTGTAATCCCAGCTACTTGGGAGGCTGAGGCAGGAGAATCACTTGAACCTGGGAGGTGGAGGTTGTAGTGAGCCAAGATTGCGCCATTGCTCCCCAGCCTGGGCAACAAGAGCGAAACTCCATCTCAAAAAAAAAGAAATTGCAAAATAGGTTCTTGTTGTAACATACATCTTATAGCAAGCAGTGTTTTCTCTACTAATTTTCCTGCCTATTAATTCATCAGAACACACACAAAATATAGGTAGACTAAAAATAGTTTATACTTAATGTATCTGGCTTAAGGCAGGGCATGTTATAAAAGAAATGAAACTAGAAGAGGAAAAGGAGATTATATAATGCTGTATTTTGTTTCTAGGTAGTAGGATAATGAGAACAATGAGGAATGGAGGAGTGGAGACATTGATCTGCCACATGGTCACTCCCCACCATTTTAAATTGGAAAGTTGTTACCTCTGAGTAGAAACAATATGATAGATAACTTCTTATAAAAAATTTTTGCAAATACTTTTTTTTTTTTTTTTTTTAAAAAAAAAAAAACAGGGTCTCACCATGTCACCCAGGCTGGAGTGTGTGGTGCGATCACAGCTCACTGCATCCTCGACCTCCTGGGCTCAGGCCATCCCCCCACCCTTGAACCCCCATCCAACAGTAGCTGGGACTACAGGCATGCACCACCACGCCCAACTAATTTTTATATTTTTTGTAGAGACAAGGTCTTGCTATGTTGCCCAGGCTGGTCTCGAACTCCTAGGCTCAAACGGTCCTCCCACCTCAGCCTCCCAAAGTGTCGAGATTATAGGCATGAGCTACCACACCCAGCCACAAATACTTTCTTTACACTGAATTTAAATGATGAAATAGCCTTGACTCAGAGAACAGAAAGTAAATGTAATTGCTCATTTTAAATAAGCTTTAGGCATCCTCTCTGCATCTCTTACAGATGTAGTTTGATAAATTGTTTGGTGTGGAAAAGTACTGATAAACGTTGAAAATATAGTGATATTTAAGATTTTTCTCCCTTATTTTTGTAGAGAAATTTTCTAGAGTCCTGGTGGAGCAGCAGCAGGACCGAGCCCGGAGAGAGCAAGAAAGGATTCGTCTGTTTTCTGCTGATCCCTTTGACCTTGAAGCTCAGGCAAAGATAGAAGAAGATATAAGGTAAAGACCTGTTCATCTAAAGAACAAAACTTAGAGACTCCAGATTTCCCAGACTGCAGGTTATCTGACATTGGTTGGGCATCTGCTTGGAGGTAGCTTCTCTGTTTTGCAGTTGAGATAGTAACCTCAGTCTTTTAGGTTAGTCTCTCCTCTTTCATTTTCTATGCATTTCGATTTGACATGACAAAGATATAGGTGCTTAGTTTAATGACTTTCTTTCTAAAATTTTAAGGAGGACTCCCTGACTAGCAGACAGAGCATCATAACACAGCTTTAGATAAATGACCCCCGGACTGAGCAGAAGCCACCATCTGGTGAGACCACAAGGCTGGTTGCATATTACATGGGCTGATTTGACTCTCTTTCTTTAGACATATTGTATAAGTCCTGATTAAATCCAGGGCTTAAACATGATTGGATTAGAGAGGGCTCTGCGCCGATGGAACGTTGGTAGTCCTAAGTCTGTTTTCCTGCTGCATTTCTTGTACTGGCCTCAGTGGATAAACTGAATGCTGGACATGTTTCCAGCTCTCAGTTTCTGTAATGCGGTGGTTCTCACCTGGGGCTATAGTAAAATCACATGAGAAACTTTTAAAAATGCAGATGCTTGGACTCTTCTCCCAAATCTGATGAATCAGAATTGTCGGGCATGGAGCTCAAGCAAGGACAGTGACGCTGTTCCGGCCTCAGTCACACTGATAGTCACAAGCAAGATTCTGTTCAGTCATTCTCTGAAAAAAAGGACAGCTGCTTTTCCTGCCTCAAGTCAGTTTTTGTTGCTAATTGTGAAGAACTTAGTATAACTAAGAAGAAGATAACAGCAACGATACTTACTACACTTAGACTGCTTGGCCTTTTAGGGACCGTGTCATCATTCCGGTTACTTAAATGAAGCCTAACTTGGTCATTGTATTACACTATCTATCAACTTAGAAATTAAATCATGCTTTTTTAAACTTCTTATTCTTTTTATCTTTTTTTTTTTGAGACAAGGTCTCACTCTGTCACCCAGGCTAGAGTGCAGTGGCACAATCACAGCTCATTGCAGCCTGGACCTCCCCGAGACTGAGGTGTTCTCACCTTAGCCTCCCGAATAGCTGGGAATACAGGCATCTGTCACCACGCCCAGCTAATTTTTTCATTTTTTGTAGAGACAGGATTTCACTGTGTTGCCCAGGCTGGTCTTGAACTCCTGAGCTCACGCAATCCACGCGCCTCAGCCTCCCAAAGTGCTAGGATTATAGGGATGAGCCACTGCACTTAGCCCGTCCTTCTTCTCAATTGATCTTCCTTCTGACCTCAATTGATCTCCTACCTCAGCCACTCAAAGTGCTGGGATTACAAGTGTGAACACCATGTCCTGCCTCTTACTCTTCTTACTACATTTGAAATCAGAAATACAGGCTAGTCCTGGTGGCTCATGCCTGTAATCCCAACACTTTGCTTGAAGCCAGGAGTTTGAGGCCAGCCTGGGCAGCAAAGTGAGACTCTGTCTTTACAAAAAATAAAATAAATTAGCCAGGTGTGGTGGCATGCACCTGCAGTCCCAGCTACTCAGGAGGCTGAGGCAGGAAGATCACTTGAGCCCAGTAGTTGGAGGCTGCAGTAAGCTATGATTGTACCACTGCATTCCAACCTGGGCAAGAGAGTGAGACCCCCATCTTAGGAAAAAAAAAAAAAGAAATATAATTGTACACTAGAATTAATTGACAGCCCTAAGTCATTACGAAATTCCATCTCAAAAAAATAAATAAGAATAGAAGTGAAATAGAGAGTGTCCATAAGGCTCATGTTTCTTTCTAGGGCTTGAATGAAGGAAATAGGGTGACACATCTATTCTCTTCCCCACCCCAGGCCCAAGACGGAGTCTTGCTCTGTCGCCCAGGCCTGAGTTCAGTGGCACGATCTCGGCTCATTGCAGCCTCCGCCTCCCAAGTTCAAGCGATTCTCCTGCCTCAGCCTTCTGAGTAGCTGGGATTACAGGCATGTACCACCACGCCCGGCTATTTTGGTATTTTTAGTAAAGATGGGGTTTCACCATCTTGGCCAGGCTGGTCTCAAACTCCTGACCTCAGGTGATCCACCCTCCTCATCCTCCCAAAGGGCTGGGATTACAGGTGTGAGCCACTGCGCCTGGCCACATCCATTCTTTGAAAGGTGAAAACCTTGTACCTCTGAAGAGACTCTCTACATATGGACCCCAGAAAAGCCAAAGTAGCTGGTGTTATTGCAGAGGATTTTTTGTTGAAACTCATTTGGGTTGGAGTCCATGCAAGATGAAGTATACAATTAATTTTAGGTTATTTCTATGTTTAATAATGTGCAATAGCATAAAACCTGTGTAATTATATAAAATGTCTATTAAAGTTTCATATGGCTTGCTACACCAGTGATTACACAGGGTAGGTGAACACAGGTTCGATAGCTTTCATATTTGCCTAAAGGAAGGTGCTTTTGACTTTCTGAGTTTAAATTTTGTTGCAAAATGACTGATAAAGCTATCAGTTCACTTGAGCTAGATGATTATTATGAAAAGAACAGAAACTGTAGTTAGAGCAGGAGTCAGCAGAGTTTTTTTTGTTTGTTTTGAGACAGGGCCTCCGACGTTTAGGCTGGAGTGTAGTGGCACGATCATGGCTCATAGCCTCAACTTCTTAGGCTCAGGTGATCCTCCCCCATCAGCCTCCTGAGTAGCTGGGTCTATAGGCACACCACCACACCTGGCTAATTTTTCTTGTATTTTGTAGAGACGAGGTTTCGCCGTGTTGCCCAGTCGTGTCTTGAAGTCCTGGGCTCGAGTGATTTGTCCAGCTCCCAGAGTGCTTGGATTATAGGTGTGAGCCACCACGCTTGGTGTGAGGTTTATTTTTTGTTTGTTTGTTTGTTGAAGAGACAGGGTCAGCACCATAAAACAGGGCAAAAAAAAAAAAAGTATCTTGCTCTGTCGTCCAGGCTGGAGTGCAGTGGTGCCATCCTAGCTCACTGCAGCCTCAGCCTCCCAGGCCCAAGCAATCTCTTGCGTCAGTCTCCTGAATAGCTGAGACTACAGGCTTGTGCTACCACGCCCAGCTAATTATAGTGATAGGGTCTCACTGTGTTGCCCAGGCTGGTGTCAAACTCCTGGCCTCAAGTGATCCGCCTGCCTTGGCCTCCCAAAGTGCTGGGATTATAGGCATGAGCTGCTGTGCCAGGCCTTAGTGGACTTTCTATAAATGGGCAGATAGTAAATATTTTAGTCTTTGCAAACCATACAATCTGTGTTGCTCATGTTCAGCTCCGCCACTGCCATGTGAAAGCAGCCATAGACAATAGGACAATATGTAAATGCACTATATCACTGTGTTTCCATAAAACTTTTTTTGCCTAAACAGCAGGCTATGATTTACCAACCCTGGATTTACAGTGTAGGTTATCCCAAATCTTAGAAGCTGTTCTGTTAGTGTCTCAGTCTTCAGGTAAGTTGCCCAACCGCTGACCTAGTTTCCATTAATGTTGGTAGTATTTGATAATGTTTTTAAAAGGAGATTGATTCATGCTGTTTTAAGGGAGTAGAAAAAAATTGGGAATAAACATGAGATGTTGGAGTAAGCAAGAACTCCCTTTTGTTGCTTTTCTCGTGTAAGAATTAGAGTTGTGTTGATTTTTTTGTTTTCTTTTCCTTCCTTTTGGTGGGGAGAGATGGGGTTTCACCATGTTGCCCGGGCTGGTTTGAAACTCCTGAGCTCAAACTCCTGAGCTCAAGGGATCCACCTACTTTGGCCTTCCAAAGAAAGTGCTGGGACTACAGGTGTGAACCACTGCACCTGGCATGTTGATTTTTTTTGTTTTTGGTGTCTCGCTCTGTCGCTCAGGCTGGAGTGTAGTCGTGCGATCTTGGCTGCAACCTCCGCCCCCCGGGTTCAAGCAGTTCTACTGCCTCAGCCTCCTGAGTAGCTGGGATTACAGGTGCATGCCACCATGCCCGGCTAGTTTTTGTATTATTAGTAGAGATGGGGTTTCACCATGTTGGCCAGACTGGTCTTGAACTCCTGACCTCCGGTGATCCACCCGCCTTGGCCTCCCAAAGTGTTGGGATTACAGGCGTGAGCCACCGTGTGCGGCCAGCATGTTGAATTTTTAAACAAATTATTTCATGGATCAAATGAACTATGAAACACATGTAGTTTTAAGTGATGGGTGCAATTTTTTTGTAGCATAAGCTGTTATATGAGCACTGTATACTAGATGCTTTGTACCTCTTGGCAACCTAGGTAACAGTTATCCTTAGTGTACAGATTAGAAAACCCAGTCCTGGAGATGAAGCAGCAGATGCAGCACAAGACGTTGAAATATTTGTGTTTTCTGTTTGTGAACTTTTTGTAATGTTCTGGGCTTAGGAAATGTATTCAGATACCCAGTAAATCCTCAGTTAAAATTGGAACATTCCCGAAATTCTAACATTCTGCCAGAAAAATGGGGTTGTAACCCTTGCTCTCCAGTTTCTTATTTCTGAGCATAGAAAGGCGGCTTAGTGTTTTACAAAGGGTAATTTTTATGCCTTTAGATTTTCTGCCAGCTGTTCATCTTACTGCCTCTTTGGAAATGATCTCTTGCCCCATATAGCACCAATTTTTCTATGACTCGGCTGCTGTGCTTGGGGCAAAAGATATGTACAAATCTGTTTTTTAATATTGTGACTTTGAAACTGATTTCTCTCCATGGAATTAATGCTTTCAGTGTCCCTGGTCTTGTTCTGTTACAGGCAACAGAACATTGAGGAAAACATGACAATAGCTATGGAAGAGGCTCCGGAAAGTTTTGGCCAAGTAGTGATGCTTTATATTAACTGCAAAGTGAATGGACATCCTGTGAAAGCCTTTGTTGACTCAGGTGACGTCTCTGTCTTTTATTTCTTGGTCTCCCCTCCAACATCTTTACCTGACACGGGAGAAGGGGAGGCTCAAGCATCCGTTCAGATGGCTGTACTTTTTTTTTTTTTTTTTTTTTTGAGACAGAGTCTTGCTCTGTCACCCAGGCCAAAGTGCAGTGGCGTGATCTTGGCTCACTGCAACCTCTGTCTCCTCAGTTCAAGCGATTCTCCAGCCTCGGCCTCCCACGTAGCTGGGATTACAGGCGCCAACCACCACGCCCAGCTGATTTTTACATTTTTAGTAGAGATGGGGTTTCACCGTGTTGGTCAGGCTGGTCTTGAACTCCTGACCTCAAGTGATCCACCGTGCCTGGCCCAGATGGCTGTAGTTCTTTAGGCTGCTAACTCACTAGCGTGGGACTTACTGTTTCACTTGCGAGGCATTCTGTTGGTATTAGGTTTCTTTCTTTAATCATTTCTTAACCAGTTTTGTATTTTGTGGTGTCTCCTTTTTCTTCCTAACTCCCCTTATCTAGCATCCTGAATTTCTTGGATGTTTCTGTAAAAAACTGGGAATACATAGGTTTAGAAGAAGGAGCTATAAAAGGAGCTGTGTAGAGTATAGGTCAAACACATTTCAGCCTGGCCTGTGCACCAGCACTTTGCCAAGATTTGGGAGGAGTGTAAGGCTATCTGGGTATGGTTCTTACCCTTAAAGAACTTAACAACCAAGTAAGGAGACAGGGATTCTTCTGCTTGAGGGTTCAGTTAATTCACATACTAGTTGGCACCTTTTCTGTCAGTAACAACCGTTTGCTTTTTAGTAAGACTACACCATGCAGCATTTTGTGGGTGTATGACTGAGTGGTCTCATACATCTTAATTCTGGGTTGTCTCACTCAAGGCTGTAAGATAGGTGAGTTCCTAGAGTAGAAAAATTCCTTGCTCAAATAATATTTTCCCCCTTCACTGTGTATTTCTATATAAAAAGAAAAAAAGTATTTTCTTTCATTTGTTCATCTACACATTCCTGAGCACATGCTGGGTTTCAGCTCTCTCTCTCTCATTTTTTAAAGAGAGGGTCTCTGTCACCCAGGCTAGAGTGCAGTGGTGCAGTCAGCTCACTTCAGCCTCCAACTCCTGGGCTCAAGTGATCCTCCAGCCTCAGCCTCTCAAGTAGCTGGAACCACAGGCATGTGCAACCATACCTGGCTGATTTTTTAACTTTTTGTAGAGACAGGGTTCCCCTGTATTGTGTAGGCTGATTGGGAACTCCTGGCCTCAACTCTCATTAAGAGTTTGTACCTTGAGACTGGGTGTAGTGGCTCATACCTGTAATTCCAGCATTTTGGGAGGGTGAGGTGGGAGAATTGCTTGAGCCCAGGAGTTTTGAGACCAGCCTAGGCAACATGGGGAAACCTCGCCTCTACAAAAAATACAAAAATTAGCCGGGTGTGGTGGTGCGTACCTATAGTCCCAGCTACGGGGGAGGCTGAGGTGGGAAGATCACCTGAGCCTGTGGTGACGGCAGAGGTCAGGGCTTGCAGTGAGCTGTGATTGTGCCACTGTGCCCCAGCCTGGGTGAGTGAGACCCTGCCTTCGGGGGAAAAAAAAAAAAGAGTTTGTATCTTGAGATACAGACATTCCTGGGAGTTTAAAAAAAAACTGAAATTATTCAGTTTAAAAAATATCTGTTGTGGGTAGGGCCTTGTGCTGAGTGCTTGGTGATAAGACTTAGTGACTGGAGCCTCAGAGGTCCCCGTGTGAGTGAGAGACAAATACATAGAAGACGCTAATAGAATACTCAGTGTGTATTGATTCCTTATTGTGTGCCAAGCACCATGCTAGGTGCTTAATATAATCATCTTACTCAATTTTATTTCATCCTCAGAATATCTCTATGTACTTTGTTCTATAATTCCTGTTTTATCCATAAGAAAACTTAGATATAGAGAGGTCACATTCTCTACTCTGTCTTTTACACATAAGGAAACTTAGAGGGATCAAGTCACGCTTCCAGGTATACAGAGTTCGTGAGTGGTGGGCTTTGGATTCAGCCCCAGGTCCCCTTGATGCCAGAAATCTCAACCACTGTGCAAAAATCAGGTGAATGTTGGATGGCTGTAGAGACCACATTCTCACTCTGACCGAGGTGCTCAGGAGAGTCTTTCCAGAAGACAGCATTTGAGCTGAGGCTTTGGAAAATGCAGGAGAGCAGTGAAAGGGGCCCTTCTCATCCTGGGTTGCTTACTTTAATAACTTGGCTTTTGTAAATTAAGAAGGAGGAAGAAAAGAGAGAATTGCCTTTCCAAATTCCCTTTTCCTTCATTATTTCTGGGCCTTTTTGAATCTAATCTTTCTCAAATGCCAAGAACTTTTATTACTTATAAAGTGTAGGGTACCTGTGAGTAATATGAGCAGGAAGTGTTGGAATTGAGTGAGAGGCGAGGTCATTGCAAAAGGGCAGTCAGTTAGGGAGGAAGTGGGTCTTGAGCTAGATCTTGAAGCATCGGTGGAATTCAGGAAAAAAAGCAGGGCAGGGACCATTTTACAGGAGGGTCAAAGTGAGTGAATGGCAAAGGGGACATATTCCTCCTGCTGAAGCAGAGGGTTTAGAGTAGTTAGAATGTACGGCTGGAAAGAAATGGTGGAGCCAGGATGGGGTGGGATCTGAAGCTGTGGTGATGGTGGTTTGAAACTAATCTCATAAGGAGTGGAAACCATTGAGGACTTTTAAGCAGATGAAGAAGTAAGTGATTTGAAAATGGTGCTATTGGCCCAGTGCAGTGGCTCAAACCTGTAATCCCAGCACGTTGGGAGGCTGAGGCGGGTAGACCATTTGAGGTCAGGAGTTCAAGACCAGCCTGGCCAACATGGTGAAACCCCATGTCTATTAAAAACACAAAATCAGCCAGGCATGATGGTGGCACACCTGTAATCCCAGCTACTTAGGAGGCTGAGGCAGGACAATAGCCTGAACCTGGGAGGCAGAGATTGCAGTGGGCTGAGATCACATTACTGCACTCCAGCCTGGGCAACAGAGCAAGACTGTGTTTCCAAAAAAAAAAAAAGTGACATTTTAGGAAAACTAAAGGTAGACACAGATCTGGAAAATTCTGTACCCCTAAGGGTCACAACAATATCCTTGCTTTAAATTACGCATCCACGGAGTGGTTTGGAAGCCAGAACAATTGTCCTTTTGCAAGGGAATGGCAGTGTGAGCCAGGCTGATCACTATGGTTAGAAGAAAGAGCATCAGGACAGGCACAGTGGCTCAAACCTGTAATCCCAGCACTTTGGGAGGCCAAGGCAGGTGGATCACCTGAGGTCAGGAGTTCAAGACCAGCCTGGCCAACATGCTGAAGCCCCATCTCTACTAAAAATACAAAAAATAGCCGGGCATGGTGGCACTTGCATGTAATCCCAGCTACTCGGGAGGCTGAGGCAGGAGAATCGCTTGAACCCAGGAGGTGGAGCTTGCAGTGAGCCGAGATTGCACCATTACACTCCAGCCTGGGCAACAAGAGTGAAATTCAGTCTCAAAAAAAAAAAAAAAAAAAAAGGAGAAGAAAGGGCATCAGAAATAGCAGAAATTGCATAGACCTTATTTACAGGTTTGAGAGAAGAAAGACTAGGAGAAGAGTCAAAAGTGAACAGTGCCCAGGTTTTATGGCTGCAAGAAAATAATCCCATTGGCAAACACAGAGAAATCCAAAGTGAGAATTATTTGGGGAGAAAGAGTTTTATGCCTGTTGGCTTTGACAGAAATGTCCAGTGCACAAGAATGTAGAACTAGAGTTTCAGGGAGAAATTAGGACTGTAAAGATTACAGAAGCGACTGTCTTCTACATAGGCCAACCCGCCGTGTACATGTTTCTGGGAGAGAAAATAACCTAAGTGCCCTCATATTTAAAGGGAAGAGAGTCTGATTGTTGGAGCAGAGTATGGGAGTCCACTTCTAAATTTTGGAAGACTGCATGATTTATTAATAGTAGACTATAGTGTCCCAGTGTGGGGTTTTTGTTTTTAATTTTACTTTTTGAGCAGATAAAGTAGTAAATAATGTACTTACTTGTTTACATAGTGAGACGGGATATTGCTATGTTGCCCAAGCTGGTTTTCCACTCCTTGGCTCAGGTGATCCTCCCGTCTTGGCCTCCTGAAGTACGATTACAGGCATGAGCCACTACACCCAGCCCAAAATTTGATATAAAAACAACTTGATAGGGCCAGACACTGTGGCTCACACCTGTAATCCCAACACTTTGGGAAGCTGAGGTGGGCAGATCACTTGAGGTGAGGAGTTCCAGACCAGCCTGGCCAACGTGGTAAAACCCCATCTCTACTAAAAATACAAAAATTAGCTGGACGTGCCGGGTGCAGTGGCTCACGCCTGTAATCCCAGCACTTTGGGAGGCCGAGGCAGGTGGATCACGAAGTCAGGAGATCGAGACCATCCTGGCTAACACAGTGAAACCCCACCTCTACTAAAAATACAAAAAATTAGCCGGGTGTGGTGGTGGGCAACTGTAGTCGCAGCTACTTGGGAGGCTGAGGCAGGAGAATGGTGTGAACCCGGGAGGTGGAGCTTGTAGTGAGCTGAGACTGCGCCACTGCACTTCAGCCTGGGCGACAGAGCGAGACTGTCTCAACAACAAAAAAAAAAACATTAGCTGGACATGATGGCGCAAGCCTGTCAATCCCAGGTACTCAGGAGGCTGACGCAGGAGAATCGTTTGAAGCCAGGAGGCGACGGCTTAGAGATACTCGGTAAGAAGTGCAAAGTACTGCTAATTTAGCATTGCCATCTGTAGACGCAGGACATCACTGCTTTCTACTGGTAAAGTCTTAAAATGTCATTTAATTATTGCATCGCTACAGAATATTCTTCCCTCAATGTCAAATTGTACATCATGTTTCAGATTACAGAGTAGAACTGAAAGTTGAATTAGGCAGGCAGGGCACTTGCTAGGTAGAAATGAGTTTATAGAGACCAAAGCCTTGGGGTGTGCTTGGTTTTCGCTTTGTTATTATTTAGTGCTATATTTTGAGTCTTCTCACAAAGTGGATTTTGTTTTTATTGTCTGATGTTTCTCTACTCCTCCAGGTGCCCAGATGACTATCATGAGCCAAGCTTGTGCAGAAAGGTGTAACATAATGAGACTGGTGGACCGTCGGTGGGCAGGGATTGCCAAAGGAGTGGGCACCCAGAAGATTATTGGAAGGGTACATCTAGGTGAGCAAAAGGCACTGGGGCTTGCTGTCTTTCTGTAGGCTATTTGTAGGTAGGGTAGTCGATTTTCAAGTTTTTAGAGGGTCTTTTGTTGTTATTTTGTTGTTGTTGTTTTAAATTTCTTTTGTGTGGGTATGTCTGAGCTAGCAAGCCTAATTTCTAGAAGTTTTAAATCCTGTGTTCCGTCAAAGTTATGTGTTTCTGCTGGTTGCAAACAAGTAGTCTCCTCTACGTTTCTATTTCCTGAAAATATAATCCCTTTCCGTCATTTTAGCTGATTTATTTTTATACTTACCTCCATATTTCTAAATAACATGTTTATTTTGCTGTTTACTCATATGACTGTGTTTGAGAGCTGAGCTATCTAATTGAATGTGATTGCTTTTCTTTCATGGCTAGTATTATTTTCTCTTAGAATTAATAATTGTCCTGTTTTTCTTACTTGGTTTCTTGCGTAGTATTCATCCCAGACATTTCCTAATTATGTAAATCTCCCTTCAAGCACATCCAATAGCCTCTACATTTCATCCTATCAAAGATACTTCTTGAGCCTGGACTGGCAGTTTCAGGCCTGCTTCAGAGCTGCTGTTTTGGAATTTAACTTGACTGAGTCCTACAGATTCCTTTCTCTTCTGTCTTGTGTTGGATTACATGAATCCCTTGTCTTCCTCTTTTTTATCTGCCCCTCAGTTTATTGGAGTGCATCATCCAGTAACTTTCTTAGAAGAGGTGCATGGGAGTAAATTGAGACTAATTATCAGACATGTCTTTTTTCCCTACATTATACTGGTCTGCCTAGGTTGGAAATCATTTTCCTTCACAATTTCGAGGCATTGCCCCTTAACCTTTTCACTGTCAGTGTTGCTGTAGTGAGGCTGGATTCTGTTCCGATTCTTGATCCTTTATGTGAAAGTTTTCTTTTTCTTTTCAGTTTTTTTTGTTTTTTTTTTTTTTTTTTTTTTTTGAGACGGAGTCTCACTCTGTCGCCCAGGCTGGAGTGCAGTGGCGCTATCTCGGCTCACTGCAAGCTCCGCCTCCTGGGTTCACACCATTCTCCTACCTCAGCCTCCTGAGTAGCTGGGACTACAGGCGCCCGCCACCGCACCCGGCTAATTTTTTGTATTTTTAGTAGAGACGGGGTTTCACCGTGTTAGCCAGGGTGGTCTCCATCTCCTGACCTCGTGATCCGCCCGCCTCGGCCTCCCAAAGTGCTGGGATTACAGGCGTGAGCCACCGCTCCCGGCCTCTTTTCTGTTTTTTTGAAACAGTCTTTGTTCTGTCGCCCAGGCTGGAGTGCAGTGGCACGATCTCAGCTCACTGCAACCTCCGCCTCCCGGGTTCAAGCGATTCTCCTGACTCAGCCTCCCTGAGTAGCCGGGTCACAGGCGTGCACCACCACACCTAGCTAATTTTTGTATTCTTAGTAGAGACGAGGTTTCTCCATATTGGCCAGGATGATCTCTCTCAAATTCCTGGCCTCAAGTGATCCGCCCACGAGGCCTCCCAGAGTGCTGGGATTATGGCGTGAGCCACCGTTCCCAGCCTTCTTTTTCTTCTTTGAAGCTTGTAGATCTTCCCTTTGACCTCAGTGTTTTGAATTTTCACAATGCATGCTTGGGTGTGGATCTCTTCTCATATACTGTGCTAGGTACTTGGTAACCTGTGCAGTCTAGACGCTCACATCCCTCTGTTCTGGGGACTTTCTCTGAATTATTTTGACGATGATTTTCTCCCCTCTGGAATGTCTGTTATTCAGGTAGGATAATCTCTCCTGGACTTGTCCTCTAGTTTTCTTCTCTTTTGTTTTTCTGTGGGATTTCTTCAACTTTGTCTTCCAACCTTTGTGTTGGATTTTGTATTTGTTTGTATTTTACTTTAGATGGTTTTCATAAATGTCTTGTGATCCTTGGCATCAGCTCACATTGAAGAGTGGGCCACTGGCTGGCCGGGATGGCTCACACCTATAATCCCAGTGCTTTAGGAGGCTCATGTGGGATGATGGCTTGAGGCCAGGAGTTTGAGACCAGCCTGGGCAACATAGGGAGAATTCGTCTCTACAAAAAATTTTTTTAAATAGCCGGGTGTGGTGGCAAGTGCCGATGGTGCCAGCTACTCGAGAGGCTAAGGCAGGAGGATTGCTTGAGCCAGGGAGATAGAGGCTGCAGTGAGCTGTGTTCATACTACTGTACTCCAGCTTGGATGACAATGAGAACTCGTCTCAAAAAAAAAAAAAAAAAGAGTGGGCCACCAAAAGGCTTGTTTGGTAAATGACCTGGGTAGGCAGCCATGGCTCTTGTGGCCTTCACTGTAGGGTGGGTCTGAAAGTTGGGAGGGAGAAAAAGGCTGGCATCTCAGTTGGATTTTATTTATTCCCCCTGGTTTTCAGTTGGATACTTGTTCTGTCCCTGTCTCCCTCCATGCTCACCTCTGTTAAGAGTGCCTCTGTTTCACCCTCTCCAGAAAATAAGCCTCTAGTCTGCTACTGGGGTGAAGGGTCTCCTGGCCTAGCAGAGTGCGGGAGGGACACCCCAAGGGCTAACTGTGCCTCTGCGGCCTTCCCGCCAGCCTTGCTGCTTTGGGTCCATCTCTCCTCCTATCTGCAGAAGTATTTATGACCAGTTCCTATGCTCCATAGGAGTTCTGTGATGTCAGTTGGGTTACTGCTCAGTTTTCCTCACTGTCATCTGCTTTTTAGCTCTAAAATTTTGTTCCTGTGGTCTCTACTATTATATTTGGCCTTAAAAATGTATGCCTTAGGGCTGGGCATGGTGGCTCATGCCTGTAATCCCAGCACTTTGGGACCCCGAGGCAGGTGGATCACCTGAGGTCAGGAGTTCGAGACCAGCCTGGCCAACATGGTGAAACCCTGTCTCTACTAAAAATACAAAAATTAGCCGGGCGTGGTGGCGGGTGCCTGTAATCCCAGCTATTCGGGAGGCTGAGGCAGGAGAATCGCTTGAACCTGGGAGGCAGAGGTTGCAGTAAGCTGAGATTGTGCCATTTCACTCCAGCCTGGGCAATAAGAGTGAAACTCCATCTCTAAAGAAAAAAAAAAATGTGTGCCTTAGACAAAACCCAAAAACCTTTTTTGCAATGTTTTAGGAGTAAATGTAGATAAATGCATGTGTTCAGTCATTCATCTCTAATCAGAATTGTTTTTGTTTTCTTCTTCCATTATCCATTTAATAGATGCTTACTGTAGAGAACTTCAAAAGTATAGAAATGTGAGATGAAGGAAAAAAACATCCCTTAAATTCCTGTAGTGAGAATCAACCACCAGTATCATTTGGGCATATCTCCTGGTCTTTTTTCTGTGCACTTTTTTATCTTATAAAAGGTGATTATTTCTGTTTAAAATTTTATATTCTGCTCAAAGAAAAAGTGAAACAACATTTTCCCAATGTCACCATGAATTTCAAAAGAATTATTTAAATAAATGAATAAATGTATAGCATTCTGTTGCAGGTTTAAGGATCAGCTTTTGGGTTGTTTCTTTTTTTCTTTTTCTTTTTTTTTTTGAAACAGAGTCTCACTCTGTTGCCCACACTGGAGTGCGGTGGCGTAATCTTGGCTCACTTCAACCTGTGCCTCCCAGGTTCAAGTGATTCTCCTGCCTCAGCCTCCCGAATAGCTGGGATTACAGGCACCTGCTACCACACCCGGGTAATTTTTGGATTTTTAGTAGAGACAGGGTTTCACCATGTTGCCCAGGCTGGTCTCGAACTCCTGAGCTCAAAGTGATTCGCCTGCCTCAGCCTCCCAAAGTGCTGGGATTACAGGCGTGAGCTGCTGCGCCTGGCTGGTGATGTTTCCTATTAGAACATGGCAGTATAGTTTTCTGCACATTTTGATTTTTTCCCCCTAGTCAAGATTCCTATAAGTGAAACTACTGAATCAAAGTTACGGATGCTTTAGGACTCTTGATATGTTGCTAACCTGTACCAATCCAGTTTATCCACCACTGAATGAATATTCATCTTAGTGTCCTATACTGTTAAGGAATATTAGTTTTCCCTCTTAAATTTACAAATAAGGTGGGTGTGGTGGCTCATGTCTGAAATCCTAGCACTTTGAGAGGCCAAGGTGGGCAGATTGCTTGAGCTCAGGAGTTTGAGACCAGCCTGGGGGCCATAGCGAAACCACATCTCTACTAAAACTACAAAAAATTAGCCGGTTGTCATGACCGTACGCCTGTAGTCCCAGCTACTCAGGAGGCTGAGGTGAGAGGATCACTTGAACCCGGGAGGCAAAGGTTGCAGTGAGCCGAGATCATGCCAGTGTACTTCAGCCTGGGCAATAGAGCAATACTCTTTTCTCAAAAAAAATTTTTTTTTACAAATAAAAGAGTGGTTTCTTATTGTAAGTTACTTTTCTTTCATTGTAAATGATAGTTTTTCTGCACATTTGCTCTTCCTTTCTTTTGAAATATGTATGTCTGTTTATTAGGGTCTTTGTGTTTCTCTTATTGATTTGTGTAGGATAAAGATAGTTCAACTACCTTACACTTTCCTAAACACAGTAGGACTAAGAGTTTTGCAGGAATACCATAAACTGGTTCCTTCAGGGGCTGAGTTCTCAGATTTTTGATGACTTTAAATGAGAAGATAATAGGAGGAGACAAAATAAGTACCAAGCTCTGTGGCCATCCTTGTGGATTTTACAACCGTGGCTATGATCAGCATGAAAAAACCCTTATAGCAATAGGGGAAACCTAAATAAAAGGAAAGCTTTACCATGGATTAGAGATTCAGTATGTTGGGGGTGGCAGTTCTCCCACATTAATCCACAGAACCATTGAGATGCCATCAAAATCCTGGTAGATTTTTTGTGAGACTGGATGTGCTCATTTTAAATTTGGCGTGGGCCCTATATTGTGAGAATGGGCAAAATACTCTAGAAAAACATTGCCTTCTAGATATCAAAGGACTATCTAGAAGATATGAGTAGAAACAAACCCATGATTCTATGAACATTGATCAATGAGAGGAAGTCTTACAGAGCAATGGGGAAATGTTAGGAAATGTTGCTGGGACAAGAGGTATCCATGGGGAGAAATGAATTAGAAATCGGACCCTACCCACACCACACAAAAGCAAATTCAGAGTAAACACCTAGATGCAGGGGAGGGAGGATTGCTTGAGCCTAGGAGTTTGAGACCAGCCTGGGCAACGTAGCAGACCCTGTCTCAAAAAAAAAAAAAAAAAACAACCCTAAAACCTAGATGTGGAAAGGAAAATTAAAGATTTTAGCAGAAAATACACAATATCTTGTGTAAGGAAGGAGTTCTTTAAAAATAGGTCATCTGCTGGGTGTGGTGGCTCACTCTTGTAATCCCAGCACTTTGGGACGCCAAGGCAGGGATGACTGCCTGAGGCCAGAAGTTCAAGACCAGCCTGGTCAATATAGCGAGACTCAATCTCTACAAAAAGTTTTTGGCTGGGTGCAGTGGCTCACGCCTGTAATCCCAGCACGTTGGGAGGCCAAGGTGGGTGGATCACGTGAGGTCAGGAGTTCAAGACCAGCCTGGCTAACATGGTGAAACCCTGTCTCTACTAAAAATGTAAAAATTAGCTGGGCGTGGTGGTGCGTGTTTGTAATCCCATCTACTTGGAAGGTTTAGGCAGAGAATCAGAGAACACAGGAGGCAGAGGTTGCAGTGAGCCGAGATCACGCCACTGCACTCCAGCCTGGGCAACAGAGCAAGACTCTGTCTCAAAAAATAATAATGAAAAGAACTTTTCAGCTGGACACGGTGGCTCATACCTGTAATCCCAGCACTTTGGGAGGCCAAGGTGGGCAGATAACCTGAGGCCAAGAGTTTGAGACCAGCCTGACCGACATGGCAAAACCCCGTCTCTACTAAAAATACCAAAATTAGCCAGGCGTGGTGGCACATGCCTGTAATCCCAGCTACTTGGGAGGCTGAGGCAAGAGAATCACTTAAACCCGGGAGGCAGAGGTTGCCATCAGCCAGGATTATGCCATTGCACTCCAGCCTGGGCAACAAGAGCGAAACTCCGTCTCTGTTTTGAAGTACGTAACAATAACCTTTTCTCTTCATGTGCTTTTTAGCTCAGGTTCAGATTGAAGGAGATTTTTTGCCATGTTCCTTCTCTATACTTGAGGAACAGCCCATGGACATGCTTCTGGGACTGGACATGCTTAAACGGCACCAGGTAATTAAGAGCTTCACTTATTTTTTTTGCATCTGCTTTTTGTAATATGGTCATTATCACATTATTTTTATTGGTTACATATACTGGAAAACTAAGAAATAACGACTTTTCAAACCTGGAAATGTCCTTAAATTATGTTGCTATACAGAGGTTGAAATGATGTGTCGATATAGATAGAATCTGTTTTTGTGAAATCTCTCTGTGAATCTGTTAAATCTTGCCAAATGTTTTGAGATTGTAAAGGACAGTTTGGTTCCCTTGTATAATTTTCAGATTCTGGTTAGATCCTGATTAGTAGTTTTTTGATGACCTGACTAAAAAGTGTGAGTCAAGTAAGTCTTTAGCATTCTCTGATGCTGATCAAACAGTACTTGGGAAGAAGACCTTCAAGGTTAAGGAAGGTATATGTTGGGAGTGAAAGTGTTTATTTAGTACAGGGTGCATAATTAATATATTAATTTGTGTTGATATTTATCTTTCTACTCTAAAGCACAATAATTTGAGATATACTGCCGTCGTTGAAGAAGCAGTTAGTCCACTGGGTATTTAGATGAGATTAGGCATGCTCAGGGTGGTATGGCTGTAGACCTCACTGGGTACTTCACATTTTTCACAGTAGGGTTTTATATCCAGTCAACCTGCCAGGTACAGTGGTACATGCCTGTAATTCCAGCATTTTGGGAGGCCAAGGAGGGAGGATTGCTTGAGGCCAGAATGAGTTTGAAACCAGTCTGGGTAACTTAGTGAGACCCTGTCTCTACAAAAAGTACAAAAATTAGCTAGGCGTGGTGGTACATTAGCTACTCGTGAGGCTGAGGCAAGAGGATCCCTTGAGACCAGGCTGCAGTGAGTCAAGATTGTGCCACTACACTTCAGCCTGGGTAACAGAGCAAAACCACATCTCAAAAAACAAAATTGAGTTAAAAACAATTGAAAATATAGCTAATCAATATTTTTATGTCACTATTTTAAAATATTTCTGTAAAAGTAGATGCATCATATTGATAATAAGACACAGCATTCTATTTATTTATTTATTTATTTATTTTGAGATAGCGTCTCGCTCAGTTGCCCAGGCTGGAGTGCAGTGGTGCAATCTTGGCTAACTGCAAGCTTCGCCTCCTGGGTTCACGCCATTCTCCTGCCTCAGCCTCCCGAGTAGCTGGGACTACAGGCACCCATCACCACGCCCGGCTAATTTTTGTATTTGTAGTAGAGACGGGGTTTCACCTTGTTAGCCAGGATGGTCTCGATCTCCTGACCTCGTGATCCGCCCGCCTCAGCCTCCCAAAGTGCCGGGATTACAGGCGTGAGCCACCACGCCCGGCTCACAGCATTCTAAATAGAACGAATGAATGAATGAGTGTATGTATCAATAAAACCTTGTCACTGCCTTTCCTTATTTTTTTAGTCATGGTATAGACCAGCAGTCTCCAACTTTATAGATGTAAATCATATATGTGCACAACTGTCTATTAAGTAGTTATAAAATACACAAAAAAGGAAGTTAGCATTAGCATGGAGTAAAGAATACTGTGGAGATTGCCTTGCGTGGCACAATCTTGGCTCACTGCAACCTCTGCCTCGCAGGTTCAAGTGATTCTCCTGCCTCAGCCTCCCAAGTAGCTGCGATTATGGGCATGTGCCACCACGCCTGGTTAATTTTTGTATTTTTAGTAGAGGTGGGGTTTCACCGTGTTGGCCAGGCTGGTCTGGAACTCCTGACCTCAGGTGATCTGCCCTCCTCAGCCTCCCAAAGTGCTGGGATTACAGGCATGAGTCACCGTGCCTGGCCATTTGTGATTGGAGTTTTAAATTAAGGAGCATAATTTTTCTGCATGGTGTTTTATCTGCTATTATTCTTTGGTTTCTTTCTTCCAAGTGTTCCATCGACCTGAAGAAAAATGTACTCGTGATCGGCACCACAGGCTCCCAGACCACCTTTCTTCCTGAGGGAGAGCTACCAGAGTGTGCCCGGTTGGCATATGGGGCTGGAAGAGAGGATGTACGGCCAGAGGAGATTGCAGACCAAGAATTAGCAGAAGCCCTTCAAAAATCAGCAGAGGATGCAGGTATTTGGGATGGCCAAACTCTTCAATACTTGTTATTGATGGGTAAGCCCGGGAAGTGTGGGCTTCAGAAGGGGTAGGAACCTTTCCAGTTTTTAATTAGTCTCATGGTCCAGTAGTAGATGTGTTCATTATTTGTCTTCTTAACCTCCTTCTTTGATCTTCCTTTTTTTTTTTTTTTTTTTTTTTTGGAGACATTGTCTCACTCTGTCACCCAGGTTGGAGTGCAGTGTGCAGTGTGACATGATTGTAGTTCACTGCACCCTTGACTTCCTGGGCTCAAGCAGTCCTCTCACCTCAGCCTCCTGAGTAGCTGGGACTACACCTGGCTAATTTTTTATTTTTAGCAGAGATAGGGTCTTGCTGTGTTGTCCAGGCCTATCTCCAACTCCTGGGCTCAAGCAGTCCTCCTGCCTTGGCCTCCCGAAGTGCTGGGATTACAGGTGTGAGCTACCATATCCAAACCCCATCTCTTAATACAATAATGAAAAAGTCTGTATTCTGGCCCGGCGTGGTGGCTCACGCCTGTTAATCCCAGCACTTTGGGAGGCTCCGGAGGGGGGGGGGGGGGGGCGGATCACCTGAGGTCAGGAGTTTGAGACCAGCCTGGTCATGGTGAAACCCCATCTCTACTAAAAATATAAAAATTGGCCAGGCGCGGTGGCTCACGCCTGTAATCCCAGCACTTTGGGAGGCTGAGGCAGGTGGATCACGAGGTCAGGAGATGGAGACCATCCTGGCTAACACGGTGAAACCCCGTCTCTACTAAATATACAAAAAATTAGCCGGGCGTAGTGGTAGGCGCCTGTATTCCCAGCTACTCAGGAGGCTGAGGCAGGAGAATGACATAAACCCAGGGGGCGGAGCTTGCAGTGAGCTGAGATCGCACCACTGCACTCCAGCCTGGGTAAGAGAGCGAGACTCCATCTCAAAAAAAAATAATAATAAAAATTAAAAAAAAATTAGCAGGGTGCAGTGGCACACCCCCCGTAACCCCAGTTACTTGGGAGGCTGAGGCAGGAGAATTGCTTGAACTTGGGAGGCGGAGGTTGCAGTGAGTCAAGATGGCACCACTGCACTCTAGCCTGGGCAACAGAGTGAGACACTATCTCATAAAAAAGAGAAACATTCTGTTTTTTAGTATTTCAACAGATTAAGAACAGCTCAGTCCATTGCTGTGTTTAAGATAGATTGGGGTTATTTTGCTTAGACACATTTTAGAAGCTTCCTAAATTTTTTTAGGAAGTTTTTTTTGGATGTTTTTGTTTTTGTGATTTTCCTAAAGAAAATTTTGACAGTAAGCAGATGTTAACTTTTGAGTCCAACAGTATTTCCCTATTTCTTTCCTTTTCTTAGGACTGTTTTATTTTATTTTATTTATTTTATTTTATTTTATTTATATAGACAGAGTCTTGCTCTGCTGCCCATGCTGGAGTGCAGTGGCGCAGCCATGGCTCACTGCAGCCTCAGTCTCAGTCTCACAGGCTCAAGCAGATCCTCTCGCCTCCGCCTCCCAAAGTATTACAGGCATGAGCCACCATGCCTCTTAGGCCTGGTTTATTTTGAAAAGTATCATTGCTACTGTGTGTGAGCAGCCCTAACTTCACCGAAGACAGAAGAACCAACAAAAAGAAGTATAAATTTTTATTTACTTAATTAAAAAAAAAATTTTTTTTTGAGACAAGGTCTTACTCTGTCACCCAGACTGATCCTCCCATCTCCCCTTCCTGACTAGCTATGACTACAGGTGCCTGCTACCATGTCCAGCTAATTTCTGTATTTTTTGTAAAGATGAGGTTTTGCCATGTTGCCCAGGCTGGTCTTGAACTCCTGGGCTCAAGCAATCCACCCGCCTCAGCCTCTCAAAATGACAGGATTATAGGAACGAGACACCATGCCTGACCAGCATAATTGAACGTTACTGAAAATGCAGTGTTATGGTGTGAGATTACAGTATTGTCATCAGGCCATATTAGCACTGTATATATTGAAATCATGCTACCTAATACTTTTTTCTAAGTCTCAGTTATTTAGCTTGTTTAAATGTAATGATGGAGCTAAGTTTTCTAGGTAAAATGGGGTAACAGTTTTGCTGAAATCCCCCATTTATTATAGAACGGTGACTCTGGGATGTATTTTCTAGAAGCTGAATAGAATTTACTTTTGAGTTTGGGTTATTTTACAGTCTTGTGCTGGCATTATTCATCAGTATGACTAGTATCACACATTGCTTTTTCTAGTACAGTAAATTATTAAGAGTTACAAGTTCAGGGAATAGCTTTATCCTAAAGACGAAAGTGGTAAGAGTTTTAAAAACAGCCAGGCAGCTTTTGCCACTGTTTTACTGGAGAACATTCAGATGTCTGTCATTGAGCTTTAGAATGGGTGTGGGTGGCAGATGGAGTTTTCCAGGTTGACTTTGTTCAGAATCAACTCCATCACCTTTTGGCTTAGTTTTATGTATAAAGTACAGTTTGAGTCAGGGCGTGGTGGCTTATGCCTGTGATCCCAGTACTTTGGTAGGCCAAGGCAGGACGACCACTTGAGCCTGGGAATTTGAAACCAGCCTGGGCAACATAGTGAGTCTTTGTTTCTACAAGAAATTTAAAAAAAAAATTAGCCAGCCATGGTGGCGCGCCTATGGTCTCAGCTGTTTGAGAGGCTGAGATGGGAGGATCACCTAAGCCCAGGAGGTCAAGGCTGCTGTGAGCCATCATCGCTGCCACTGCAATCCAGCCTGGGTGACAGAGTGAGATCCTGTGTCCAAAAAAAAAAAAAAAACAACAGAATTGACTCCCATCACTTTTTGGCTCAAGTTTTTATATTAACTACAGTTTTGGTTGTAACTTAAGTATTTTGTAGGAAGGGAGGAATTTTGAACAACCAGACAGAGACTAACTTAATAGTTTTAATCTTACCTGCAAGGTAAGCTTGAATGAATTTGACATAGCTCCTTACAAGGTTTTGCATTTGGGGTGTAATTTATCATCTTAGTCGTGATGCTGTGTGTTAATATGAGGATATATTATCATTTTATGAAATGTCTTTTTTTTTTTTTTCCTTTTAACCTCCACAGTCTTGGTGCCATTATTTAAGAAACATTAGCTGATAATAGCAGTGTTTTCTAACCTACTAATAACAGTTATCCTTTTTTGGTAATTACCTTATTTTAGTAAAAGTTTGGAAGATTAAAACAGATACACATATGTTTCCAGGCTTAGTGAAGGGGATGTACCAACTTCAAAGAATTAAAAAGAAATGGCTTTTTACCTAAATAACCTTTTGTTGCTGGTAGTATAGCTTGTGCTAATTTTTGTAATGTTTAAGTAATGAAATAATTCTACATATCAGGTCCTTTTTATTTAGAACATCGACTTCCTAATATCATCCGAATAAATACTCTGGACATAGTAGGTGAAAGTATTTTGTTAACAACTTCTTTCTGGCCAAGCATGGTGGCTCATGCCTGTGGTCCCAACACTTTGGGAGGCTGAGGTGGGGAGATCACTTGAACCTATGGATTTGAGACCAGCCTGGGCAGCATGGCAAAACACTTGTTTCTAAAAAAAAAAACCACGGCTGGGCGCAGTGACTCACGCCTGTAATCCCAACACTTTGGGAGGCTGAGGAAGGGTGGATCACCTGAGGTCAGAAATTTGAGACCAGCCTGGCCAACATGGTGAAACCTCATCTCTACTAAAAATACAAAAATTAGCCAGGCATGGTTGTGGGCGCCTGTAATCCCAGCTACTCGGGAGGCTGAGGCAGGAGAATTGCTTGAAGCCGGGAAGCAGAGGTTGCAGTGAGCCAAGATTGCACCACTGCACTCCAGCCTGGGCAACAGAGTGAGACTCCTTCTCAAAAAAAAAAAAAAAGAAAAAAAATTAGCCAGGCATGGTGGCATGCACCTGTGGTCCAGCTACTTGGGAGGATGAGGTGGAAAGATCACTTGATCCTGGGGAGATCAAGGCTACAGTGAGTTGTGGTTGCACCACTGCACTCCAACTTAGGCAACAGTGAGACACTGTCTCAAAAAAACAACAAAAAAAAGAGCTTATTTTTTAAATACTTTATACTCTATTATAAACTCTATATTAAAATGTTTTAAAAAAAAAACATGTTTTTGATAGTAGGGATGGTGTCTCACTATGTTGCCCCAGCTGATTTTGAACTCCTGACCTCAAGGGATTCTCCCTCCTGGACCTCCCAAAGTGTTGGGACTGCAGGCCAGAGTCACTGTGTTCAGCTTGATGTATTATTTAAAAACTGATGAAAAGATAAGCTAGGATAGAATTTAATTAAGTGGTTTGTTTTCCTCTAAAATTGAATCTCAGCTGAGAAAGAAATTTGGAAAGGGACTGTTAGATATGTTCACTCACCTTTACTCCATAAGATTTTTTTAATCACCTAATTCGATCAGGTGGATCTACTTTCTTCACCTGTCTCACATTTGCCCGTGAATTCTCTATGTGTAGAAACAAAATTAATTTCTTTACAAGATCTATTAAAAATCTGTTGAAATTAACAGATTGCTGTGTGTATTGTGAGAGAATGGAAGCAACCAACAAATATTTTGGATGTCCAAACTACAGAAACATCCCTCAACTTGGAATCTACCAGTTCCTGATTTTAAAGATGGCAAAAGAACGGAAACTATAACCCTGCATGCTGTGTGGTTTGCATTGTTAACCCAAGTTTGCTTGTCTGTTTCCTAATTCACACAGAGCGTCAGAAGCCATGATGCATGTAGTGTGTGTGTACTGCAGCTGGAGTGGGCCCCAGACCAGGTATTTATAGACACCATGTTAAGCCTTCCATCCAGTTGTCATCTGTGATCTGACAGTCTGTATCCGCAGCAGTTTGGGAAGTTAGCATTTGTCATTCACCATTTCACCTTGTTCAATCTGGTTACAACTAGCCTATATGCATTTGTATTTTGGCATGCATACATGGATATGTAACATAAACTCCTGTTTAAAAATGGATTCGTTATTAGAACCATCCAACAGGGAGAAAATCCCAGTTAAAACAGTGTCTATTATATCTACCCCATCTTGGCTACTATAAATATCACATCAAGAATATTGGCCTCACAACACTTTGTTGTTGGAGATAACTATGCTTTCATGGGTTTCATAAGTGCCTTTCCTCTGAAAAACTGAAAGCTGTTCTTTTACATTACTGCATACAACTACCTGGAGTTATAGAGGGTTAGAAATTTTAATTTTGTTGAAGAAGAAATGGAAACTTAGGCCAGAGGACTTGTCAGGGGTGACTCTGAACAACAGGAACTAAGACTTTGCTTTTCCTTCTGTCTCTGGCCTGACAGATTTTCAGGAAGCACTCTGCTTCCATTTCCTCTGATGTAAATAATGGTAAACATCAGCTCGAATACATTGGCTGACTTACTAAGAGGAGGAAAGATGGTCTTTTAAACCAGCATCATAAGACTTTGTAGGAGTTTGCAAGCTGGTTGGAATTAGATACATAGCATTTAGTTTCTCTTCTTTCTTTCCTTTTTCTTTTCCTTGTAAGGATAGGTTAAAAGCAGGCATAGTTGAATTATTCTTAATATCCACTGTCCTCATCCTCTTCTCCTGTCATTCTGTAAACTGACCTAGTCCTCCCCTACGTTTAGGACTTAGGCTAGTGAAACTGACCTTCTCAGCTACAAGAGGACTATATGCTACTTTTTTAGTACAAAATTCATTGAGGGTGTGTTCACCTTGACCTCACTTGTTTATAACTAACACACAAATACCAGAAGGCCCTTACCATACCTCTTTATGTTGCTTACATGGATATTTCACTACAGTGCATTGTTTCTGTTAACATTAGTTCAAAATTCAACCTCTTCCAGAGTCAGCCTTAGTTTTAAATAAAACTAATAACTGTTAGACATCTGGTGGTATGAAAATAAAAAAACTAATAACTGTGTTTCTAGACTCTAATGGGTATAGCCTAAACTGAGATAAGTGCAGTTTTCCTTTTTACTCCTAAAGTGTAAGTAAGGTAAGATTGTTTCATGGGAAGTCAATAGCTTCCTGAAACAATGCTTTGTCTTCTCATGCTGTTAACCAGTAGTTTATTAGAATGATTTAAAGCCTTTTGAATATAACTGCTTTGCTGCTTTTTAAGATCAAGCCCTCTTGTTGGATGTTAACATTTAGTACTGAGCATTTGAGTTGCATCTGTCCTAATAATAGATTGTATTTTGAAGTCATTTTTGTTACTGACCTTTTGATTTTTATTTTTTATTATTATTATTTTTTATTTTGACTGAGTTTCACTCTGTCACCCAGGCTGGAGTGCAGTGGTGCAGTCTTGGCTCACTGCAACCTCTCCCTCCTGGGTTCAAGCAATTCTCCCACCTCAGCCTACCTAGTAGCTGGGATTACAGGCACCCACCACCACGCCTGGCTAATTTTTGTATTTTTAGTAGAGATGAGGTTTCACCACGTTGGCCAGGCTGGTCTCGAACTCCTGACCTCAGGTGATCCACCTGCCTCGGCCTCCCAAAGTGCTGGGATTACAGGCATGAGCCACTGTGCCCAGCCCTTTTTGATTTTTAATTAAAGATCTTACAATGGTCGGGTGCGGTGGCTCTTGCCTGTAATCCAAGCACTTTGGGAGGCTGAGGCGGGCGGATCACCTGAGGTCAAGAGTTTGAGACCACCCTGACCAACGTGGAGAAACCTCATCTCTACTAAAAATGCAAAATTAGTCGGGTGTGTGGCGCATGCATGTAATCCCAGCTACTCTGAGGCAGGAGAATCGCTTGGACCCGGGAGGCGGAGGTTGCGGTGAGCTCAGATGGCGCCATTGTACTCCTGTCTGGGCAACAAGAGCAAAACACAGTCTTAAAAAAAAAAAAAAATTCTTACACTTACATGCGTAGAGGTCAATTTTTAACTGGATTGGTGGCAAAAGAAGAGCTGGAAATGATGTTTAATGATACTATGATGCTTACACTGAGCCGTCTTGTTTGGGTGGTCTAAGGTAGCAGTGAATCTAAATAGTCATTGCCAGTTGAAAAACTATTAATGAACCATCTCCCTCCACATTCCCCTTTCTTTAAAACATTTAAATATTCTTAACTTAGTTGCACACTATTGATGTGATAAAAACTTATAAGCCTTTTAAGTTTAGAGTTGTATTATTTGGTAGGATGATGATTGTGATTTAATCTGCTGATCATTAGTTTACTTTTGTTTTCTGAGTCAGATGCTCACCCAGTTTTACCATGATTTTTGGAAAGCTTGGCTAGAAATAAAATAGAACATTTGCTTCTCTGTCCCCAAGCATTATGTTATTTCTTATTTCTCTTTATAATTCCCTCTCTGTCCAGGTATACCTGGTTTAAGACTTCTCATTTGTAACCTCAGTGTTCACATTTGAAACAAGAAAAGTGCATTAACATGAGAATCATTCTGGTGCAAAGATTCTCAGGATTTGTAATATCCTTAAGAATCACCCAAGGAGCTTATTGAAAATGCACATTCCTGGATTTACTCTCAAGTATGGTACCCCAGGGTCTGCATACTTCACAAGCGTCCCTGGTGGTTTTAGGGCAAGTGGTGAAAAAAGTACACTTGGAGAAACTATTCTAGAGTTGTAGACTAGACTAGGGAATAAAGAAACATAAATGTCCTTCATTCCTGAGCACTAACCCCGCCATTATGTGAATGCATATTAATGGATACTTAATCACATTGAATTACAGTATGCAGATTTTATTAAGAACATGTCTACCTCTTATTCTGATGCTGTGAATGTCTACCACAATGAGAAAGTAATTTTAAAATCATTTCTATTTGTGTAAGAGAAACCCGAGTTTGAGGACCTTATTTTATTCTACGCTGTTTAGATTTGTATCCTCTGGTAATTTAGTGGCATTAGTCACCTGCTAATTAATCTTTTTCCTTTCCCCTGTGTTCCATATAGAGAAAAGTGGTAAAGAATCTACCTCACTGGGAATGTCATCATTACCAACTTCAGATGGGTTTAACCATCCCGCCCGTTCTTCAGGACAGAGTCCTGATGTTGGTAATCCTATGAGTCTTGCTCGCTCTGTCTCTGCTTCAGTCTGCCCTATCAAGCCCAGTGACTCAGATCGCATTGAACCTAAAGCTGTGAAGGCTTTGAAGGCTTCAGCTGAATTCCAGCTAAACTCTGAAAAGAAAGAACATCTTTCTTTACAAGATCTTTCTGATCATGCTTCCTCAGCAGACCATGCTCCAACAGACCAGAGTCCAGCTATGCCTATGCAGAATTCATCCGAAGAAATAACTGTTGCAGGTAATCTGGAGAAATCTGCTGAAAGAAGCACCCAGGGCCTCAAATTTCATCTCCATACAAGACAGGAAGCTAGTTTATCTGTCACATCTACTAGGATGCATGAACCACAGATGTTTCTAGGTGAAAAGGATTGGCATCCAGAAAATCAGAACCTGAGTCAAGTGAGTGACCCTCAGCAGCACGAAGAACCAGGGAATGAACAGTATGAGGTTGCACAACAAAAAGCTTCACATGACCAAGAATATCTTTGTAACATAGGGGACCTTGAGCTTCCTGAAGAAAGGCAACAGAATCAACACAAAATTGTTGATTTGGAAGCTACGATGAAAGGAAATGGGCTCCCACAGAATGTGGATCCTCCAAGTGCGAAGAAAAGTATTCCATCTTCAGAATGCAGTGGCTGCTCAAATTCAGAAACATTTATGGAAATCGATACAGCTCAACAGTCCCTAGTTACTTTGCTTAATTCAACAGGCAGGCAGAATGCCAATGTCAAGAACATTGGTGCATTGGATCTCACTTTAGATAATCCCTTGATGGAAGTAGAAACATCAAAATGTAACCCTTCATCTGAAATTTTGAATGATTCCATTTCCACTCAGGATTTACAGCCCCCAGAAACTAATGTTGAAATACCTGGAACAAATAAAGAATATGGCCATTACTCCTCTCCAAGTCTCTGTGGCAGTTGTCAGCCTTCTGTGGAGTCAGCAGAAGAATCTTGCCCGTCTATAACGGCAGCCTTGAAAGAACTTCATGAACTTTTGGTTGTTAGCAGTAAACCAGCTTCAGAAAATACATCTGAAGAAGTAATCTGTCAATCAGAAACCATAGCTGAGGGCCAAACCAGTATTAAAGACCTTTCTGAAAGATGGACCCAAAATGAGCATCTTACCCAGAATGAACAGTGTCCACAAGTCTCCTTTCATCAGGCCATATCTGTATCAGTGGAGACAGAAAAATTAACAGGTACTTCATCTGACACTGGAAGAGAAGCTGTAGAAAATGTAAACTTCAGGAGTCTAGGTGATGGCCTGTCAACCGATAAGGAAGGTGTCCCCAAATCTAGGGAATCCATAAATAAGAACCGTTCTGTCACTGTAACCTCAGCTAAAACATCCAATCAGTTACACTGCACCTTAGGTGTAGAAATTTCACCCAAACTTTTAGCAGGTGAGGAGGATGCACTCAATCAGACTTCTGAGCAAACTAAGTCTTTGTCATCCAATTTCATATTGGTTAAAGACTTAGGTCAGGGCATACAGAATTCAGTAACAGACAGGCCTGAAACCAGAGAAAATGTCTGTCCTGATGCTTCGAGGCCATTACTTGAATATGAACCACCTACCAGCCATCCATCATCAAGTCCTGCCATTCTTCCACCATTGATTTTTCCTGCCACAGATATTGACCGCATTCTCCGTGCTGGCTTTACTTTGCAGGAAGCTCTTGGAGCTTTGCATCGAGTTGGTGGGAATGCAGACCTTGCACTTCTTGTTTTGCTCGCAAAAAACATCGTAGTTCCTACATGACTGTGGGAAAGTGGGCTAGACCGTTCTCCATTCCCTTTAAACAAAAGAAAGCTCTCTCTATATACACGCACACATACACACTCACCACATATACAGTATATATAGAAACCTGCAAGCAGAATGTTGAGCCAGATTTTTTTTAAAGATTTTTTTCGGCCAAAGTAATTTATGATCTTTTGTCTGATGAATTTGTCTATCCTACTTGTTAAAATTTAGGCCTTTTTAAATGTATTGGCAGTATGTGCATACAGAAGCTTTTTATTCTCATTAAGATGTATCCTGGAATAAAATGGATGGTTTTGTGTGTAGCATACTGTTTTAGAATGAGAGTAAATGCTTTGAAAAGCAGAAGCCATGAGAAATCCCACTACCCATCCAGCTAAAAACAGATGAACTCTCCACACTGTGACTGTGTGTCTGTGCTGATGGCAAGGTATGGTTTGCTGGCTCAGTTGTCAATTTAGAAACTTTTGACCACATAATTTGGTGTTTGGAATTCTACCCAGTGCTCTGTGTATCATGATTCATTAATTATAACAGGAAATTGGAGAATAATTGAATATCTTATCGTAGAGTGGTATGTTTTTATTTGTGTGCTTAGGATTTGACATTTTAATAGGGCGAGCAGGAGGGTTTAAATCTTGGGCTACTTTGTGCATCACAGGCTGCTGCATGGATTGCCATGAATCCTTATTACATTGGATGGGATATTGTGGGGGAGTTACAATGCAAGTGAAACGTGGTGCTACCCAGATTCTTAAAAGAACAGAACAACCATAATTCCATTTGCAGATGTCAAGAACTGTGAGGGAAAAATAATGGCCTAAACACTGGAATTTGCTAGAGTTTGGGTTTGCTAGCATCTCACTGATAACACCTCAACCCTTAATGACTAATGGTGGAATTAAGTTCAGGAATGGATTCATTGCCAGCAGCTTATTTCCTTTCTAGACTCTTCTGCCAGGAAGTTCTTCAAACGCTCAGTGTGAGCTGTGATCTGAGTGAAATACTAAGTGTGATAACCTTGTCACTGGTTAATCTTGGTGCTTGGAACGGTCAGTCTATTTGGAGAGTGTCCTTTGTGGCAGTGGAAATAGTAATTACAGTTTCTGACTTAAGTGGCCTTGGTAGAGTTTTCCATCCTTTTCTTTCCTCAGGAGTTTCTTTTTTAAGCAAAATTCATCTTATTTGTGTTTACCATGTCAAGTTAGAGTGGGGCATAATATATAGATGTATTTATTGTGGCCTTTTTTTATATAAGGACTAGCCCTTGGAAATCATTGTCCTGTGGGCCCCACTGTGCAATAATCCTACTGGATAGGTTTTAGATAATTCTTTCCTGGCAAACTGCTCTTTTGGGTACCTAGCAGGAATCTGAAGTCTTGGTTTTATTGAAAAGAATTTTGAGATTCATAATTTCTGATTCTAGATTATAGTTTGTAACATGTTTGAAACAGAAGCTTCGAAAGAGTGATTTCTCAACTTAGTGTTAAATGATTTTGTCTGAAGTCTGACTCTTTGTAAGCTTGTTTGTTTCATCAAATTTTAAGTCATTGAGCACAATCAAAATGGAGGCTCATATCTCAGGAGTTTTTGAAATTTTAATTTAGGGGCACTTAGAGACATTTTTTTCTACCCCATCCAACTTCTTTCTTTCCTTTTGCTATGATGTTTGTATGTATGTTATAAGACTTTAGTGATGGGATGGCGTGTCACGTAGATTCATCATGATCCTTTATGTAGTTAGGAAATGGTTGACAGAAGGAATTGTAGTTTACTGCTTTTCAGAGGGCGTGAAGAACAACAGGTCAGCCAGGTTGTCTTTAAGATGTTCTTTTAGACAGCTGCACATTGTAGACCCTTTCACCTGCCCTACACCAAAGATGTACGATGCACTAGGAAACTGCTCATAGGATTTCTGTCAGCTGACTTAAAGCTGTGATTGTAATTAAATAGTTGGTGCTATGATTGATGCAAAATCTAGTAGCAATGCAATGGGACCCTGTATTTGCTTTATGGGTGGTGGTTTGGGAATGTATTCTAAGCTTATAAATCTTTGGAACCACGGGGTGGGAAGGGTGGGGGAACTTACTGATGACAATAGACTCCCTCCTAAAGGGCCTTCCATGTAAGCAGAACGAACCTTGGCACACAATTCAGTGTGGATATTTGGGAAACAGTTCCAAGTGGAATATATAATATCAGTCGGGAAAAGATTTCATTAGGATAGCTTTTTGTGTATGTATATGTATATTTATTTTTAGGAATAGATCTATAGTTGTACATGAATTCCTGTTAGGAATACTCTGAATGAGCTTAACCCACTTGCCAAATATCCTTGTCCCTTCCATCATTTTATTTTTGAGATGGGGTCTTGCAGTGTTGCCCAGGCTGGACTCAAACTCTGGGGCTTAATCATCCTTCTGAGTAGCTGGGACTACATAAAGGCCAAAGTATAATTGCTTTTGATTTTTAAAATCTTCTTGCCCATCATTTTTATAAAAATAAAGCTGTTTGTCCAACACGGTGAAACCTCATCTCTACTAAAAATACAAAAAATTAGCTGGGCATGGTGGCACACGCCTGTAATCCCAGCTACTTGGGAGACTGAGGCAGGAGAATTGCTTGAACCTGGGAGATGGGGGTTGCAGTGAGCCTAGATCACGCCACTGCACTCCAGTGTGGGCGGCAGAGTGAGACTCTGTCTCACCCAAAAAAAAAAAAAAAAAGCTATTGACACTGTTAATATTTTGGATGACTTAAATTTAGCAGCTCTAGAATGCAAAGGGTATATTAAGGAGCATTACAATAGTGAACCTTCATCGTCAGCTTTTATTCAATTAAGAGCTCCAGAAATGCAGAAATTATGGGTTAACTTCTAAGAATACCATCAAATCCCTGTGAATTCTGGTTGCCAACAGTAATAACCAGTAATGGGCACCTTTACCGGACAGCTCCTTTACCATAACCAGTAGTGGGCAGTTCTGCGGTCAGCACTTAACTACAAGGGCGGTCTCTGTTTCTTCACCAGAGAGAGAAGATTTTCCTGTGTAATTTGTGCCATTTCCCTGAAGTTGGTTCTTGAGCGGAAAGATGTGCTTGGTAACCAGACAGCAGCTTTACATAGGTTATAGATTTTGCTCATTGATGCTGTTAAGAATTATTTCCACTCATACCTGTTCAGGGCTCCAGACAGCCAATAGCCTTCATCCCACAGTTTGGGCTTCAGCTATTAACACATAAAGATAACCAGTTGCAGCTAGGCTCGGTGGCTCACACCTGTAATCCCAGCACTTTGGGAGGCCAAGGCGGGTGGATCACCTGAGGGCAGGAGTTTGAGACAGGCCTGGCCAACATGGTGAAACTCCATCTCTACTAAAAATACAAAAATTAGCCGGGTGTGGTGGCCCATGCCTGTAATTCCAGCTACTCGGGAGGCTGAGGCAGGAGAATCACTTAAACCTGGGAGGCGGAGGTTGTGGTGAGCAGAGATCACGCCATTGCACTCCAGCCTGGGCAACAAGAGCAAAACTCTGTCTCAAAAAAAAAAAAAAAAAAGGTAACCAGTTGCTTGGCAAAGGAAGCTGGAGAGATGGCGAGTGCATGTGTTAAAACTCTTCTGCCTTGCAGCCCACATCTTCTAGAGCTCCCTGTCTTCATATGTACTAAAGGGAGACACAACCCTATGTGTTTTTTCCCAAAGCATGTCTCTAGCAAGAGGGTACATAGAAATGGAACATGAGGCTTTTTGTCACTGATTTTATGATAACCAGTTAATGTGGAATCTGCTGGTTGTCTTACTACAGCTTTCTATCTCCGGTGAAAGCCATAAAAATTTAGGTTAACTTTTAAGCTCATGTCTATATATATGTGTGTAAGCTAGCATATACATATGGTGATTGACAAGTATAGTTAATTTTATATGGATTTAAAAGCAAGCAATTTTTATATCTACAGACGTACTCTTCACTTATGGTGGCTTTTATCCCGCCACATATATAAATATATATATATATAGCAAACAGCCTTGCAAATCATCGGCCAGAAAAGCTGCAGGGCGTTGCAATGGCCTTTTCCTACCTGTTTGCCACCTGTGGTGAGGGTGAGCAGGATGATTGAACTGCTGCATATTTCAAACCTGTTATCACTGGCAGTGTGTCCCAAGAGAAGCTGACCAGATTATGCATTCTACTGTTCTCTAGCACAAGTACTCACCAAAAAGCCAAATTTCCCCTTTGGAGTTGGTGACTTAGTGTAGTCTGTGGCTGACCTAGAAAGACACAGAGTTATCAAGAGTTTCCCTTCCTAGAAGATGAATGTTACCTTTTGTGTTAGGAGGTAGAGAAAATAAAAATAGCTTTTTTTTCCCTAGAATTGCTAATTACTCTTAACAACAAATTAAATTCAAAGCCTGTCCTTGAGAACTGGAAATGTAAAATCATGGTTCAAGTTTTATACCTTAGTGATTCCTCAGTAGGTGTTACTAGGAGTTCACTGAATGAACTTAGGAGTGAACCTTCGATGTGCTTGATTTTCTTTTGTGCCTTAGTTTCTCTGAATAGCAGAGGCATCAAATTTTGGTGGGGAATGAGAGGAGTATTAGGGGAAAGTTTGAAAATAGCTCTCCTGGAGATGGAGGGCACACAGAGTGGTCCTCAGGCTCACCTTGACTGAGTTGATTCACAGTTATCCTGCATCAGACCATTAGATTTCTTTAGTGCTATGATTATAATAGGGATTTTTGAATCACCAAAAACAGTTTTTAGATGTTTATGTTCTTTGTTTTACTATCAATGTTGTGCTGGTTAAGGGAGAGAAAAGTTCAAGAAGATCTTACATATTTGAAAGGAAATTGGTACTCTTGAAGGCTATGCAACATGAGTCTTTGAACAAGAATTCCTTGCTACTTTGATTCATTCATCAAATACTGAGTGCCTGTGTGCCAGGCACAGGTGAACTCTGGGGATTCAGGGGTAACTAAAACAGATTGGAACCCTGCCCTTGTGAAGCTTTCAGTCTAGAAGGGAGACGTGAAACAAATTTTAGCTTCAAAAGCAACATCTATTTTTGCCTGTTAGCATGCATTTATTTTAAAAGTCATATTAGAGTTACCTGGTTCCACTTCAGAGCAGACTGGGAAAATCAGGCTTACAATGGAATCAGATGCTGTGGGCCTAAAACAGCTCTTTAAAAATCTATTTTTTTAGGCCAGGTGCGTTGGCTCACACCTGTAATCCCAGCACTTTGGGAGGCCAAGGTGGGTGGATATGAGGTCAGGAGGTCGAGACCAGCCTGGCCAATATGATGAAACCTTACCTCTACTAAAAATAAAAAATTAGCCGGGCATGGTGGCACATGCCTGTAGTCCCAGCTACTCGGGAAACTGAGGCAGAAGAATCGCTTGAACCCGGGAGGCGGAGGTTGCAGTGAGCCGGGATCACGTCACTGTACTCCAGCCTGGGCAAGAGTGAGACACCGTCTCAAAAAAAAAAAAAATTTTTTTTTAAATGGAATCAGAGAAACCAACAAAATATGTAACATGTATAAATGCCTGAGGAGATCAGTTATTGAGAAATCCATTTACAATGCTGGAGGAGAGGGGATGGCCAGGAAAGAAGTGCAACAAATAAATGGAAGATGACCCTAAAAATGCACCAGTGACAGTCAGTCAATCCATCAGACCACCTCACATGCAGGGTAGAAACATGGAGTGTGCGGCAGCATCCTCCTCACATCCCTTTGTGAGCACGGCTGCTCCGGAATACTGACCATCTGGGCTAGCACGACTTAGCAGAGGGTTCTGCAGGATGTGCTATTTTAAAGCAGCTGGGTGCAACTTGTGAAAACGGGAATCTAGAGCAGAACATGTAATCAGCGATGGCTGGGATTGGTGGACAGGATTGACAGGAGTATTTGAGGCTCTACCAGGCCTGTCTACAGGACAGCTTCATCAAAGGGACATTTTTTAACCTGTTATTTTAAATGCCACATATATGTTGTAATGCTGAAGCATACAGGTAGAATTTCTGGATCGTAACTACTAGTGACTTCTGAGGTTTACAGTTAGAAAATGTTCTCAAAGGTTTATCAGTTATGTATTGATGATTGGTAATCTAGACCCTCTGGAGGCTGTAGAATGTGAAAAGATACAGCTGAGCTGACAAGTTTTAGGGCACTATCTTCTGGAATGAAATCGGCCAAGAAAATGGTTCAAGGGCATGGGGGTTAGAGAATGTTTCTTTTACCTAAAAATGTTAAGCCAACTATGGAAGATTGGGGTCGTGGGGGCATGAAATACAAAATTATGATAATTTATACAGAACTAGGTTTCTTTATGTTCTGCAAGAAGGTTTTTATTAGCTAATTTGGGGAGGGGGGCATGCTGCAGTATTTTTTTTCCTGGGAACATGCATTTCTGATGGGAAGTTATTTTGTTTACAAGAGTTGGTTTTACACACAACCCTGAATGAATGTGTCTATGGCCTAAAAATGGTAGACCTGTATTTCCTTCCCGAGGCAGGCTGATTCGTTTCCTGATTCCTTCTGTCTGAGATTACCTGATGCTGACCAGACTTATTTTTCCTTTCCTGAATCTTCACAGCTGAGTTTATGGCACCCATCCAAGACCTTCCCATTTGAATGACTAGATTTCTATTCTATCCCCGATCATCCTTTTGAAATAGTTCTAGTGATAAACTCAGAGAAATTCAATATATTGATTGAATTTTATTTTTTCGCTTTGTATCTACAACAGAAATTGATTTGTTCATTTTTATTTCAAATCTCTTCATGGCAAGTTGGGCTAATGGACTTTGCACTCAAGAAAGGTTTGTTTACCAGTTTTGTAGCCATGTTTGGCAAATCTTAGCAACTAGAAACCCCGTCCTTTCTTTTCCTTCTTTATATGTTCTTGCAGTTACTCTTGTATTGCAAGATTTTCTGACTTTAAGCTTTGAGACTACTGCATCTTAAAAGAAGAACTAGGCTGACTGGCAAAAAGTCTTGCCAGTGGCCCTGTCACTCCCATGATGCTTTGGTTTTGAGAGTTGGGAAAACTCTGAGAACTTAAGGGAACCAAACTCAGGAATCCCAAAATTGGTGGCATTGTGCCATTCGTTTAGGGGCTGAACATAGGACCTGTCTGAAACTGAGTGAGCTAGATGCATTTGGGTTTGAATTTTTGTCACATACTGAAATGTAAGTCAGCCCTAAATAATCAAAACACTTTATTTTATTTTTCTTTTTTTAAATAGGAACTTTCTGAAGAAAAAGTGGTGTGTAAAACATTTGATATTTAAGACAATAAAGTTTTTATCATAAGACTTCTGTTTGATCAATTTCTTTTAAATTGAGGTGGTTACTTCAGTTAGACAAGGTGGTGTCCTTGTCTCTATCTCCCTACTCCTTTAAATAGCTTATACCCAGACATTGTAATTTATGGCGTGTACCTGAACCCCAGAAGAAGTGGGCCTCTCAAAGCCATTAACTTCCAGATTAGTACTGCGGGAGGACAGCTCCCTGCTGATGTAAAAGATGCGCATTTTGGGCCAGGCACGATGGCTCACACCTGTATTCCCAGCACTTTGGGAGGCCGAGATGGGCGGATTACTTCAAGACCAGCCTGGCCACCACGGCGAAACTCCCATCTCTACTAAAAATGAAAAAGCTGGGCGTGGTGGCATGCACCTGTGGTCCCCACTACTCAGGAGGCTGAGGTGAGAGGATTGTTTGAGTCCAGGAAGCGGAGGTTGCATTGAGCTGAGATGCCACTGCACTCCAGCCTGGGCAACAGCAAGACCCTGTCTCAATTATAATAATAGCAATGGAGTATGGTGGCCAAGACTAGATTCTAGAGCTAGGCTGATTGGGTTTGAGCTTTGCCACTTACTGGTTTATATGACTGGGTAAGTTACCTAACCTTTCTGTGCTTGAGTTTCCTCACCTGTTAAATGGGGACCATCAGAGAGATTATGGGGCTTAAATGAGTTAATCATATGAAGTGCTTAGAATACCTGGCACAAAGTAAGTGCTCATGAGATGTGAGCTGGTATTCATTATGTCACTCAAGGGATTTGAGGATGCTACATGGAATTTCCAGAAGTCAAGTGCTTTGTCTAACAGACTGATGTGGGGGAAGGGCTTTGCCCCATGTAGGTTCCAGGCTACCAGGATTCTGTCTTTTTCAACATGTGGGTTCCAAGATTGCCTTGGACGTCAGCATCCAGCTGGCACACCAGGGAAAGGGGTGTTATGTACCAGGCCTGGAAGTGGTGTGCATGACTTTTCTGCCCACATTCACTGGCTGGAACTCAGTCACATGACCATGCCAGAAGCAAGCGGGGCTGTGAAATAGATGTTCAGGCTGATGAGGGGTACAGCTAGTTGGTTGGCTAAGCAGTCCTCCAATGTTGACTTACACAGACAGAGACAACACATACCTTTTCACCAAAGGAGATGGCCCCAAATCCCACCCCAGGCAATCCATTGACCTCAACGTCCAGAGTTCCCTGATGCCACGTCTTTCAGGTCTTGATTGTGGCCCCTTAAGGTCTGGCAAACTCTGAACTTGGAAATGTTATCTGTTTCTACCCGATAGACAGTGATAGAGCTGGGATAGAATAACTGTAGTAGCAGATCTCAATTGGAAAAGGAAATGGGAAATGGAGGTGTCACTGGCCCCAACAATTAGAAAATCATGCTGAACAGGCTGAGTGTGGTGGCTCACGCCTATAATTCCAGCACTTTGGGAGGCCGAGATGGACGTATCATGAGGTCAGGAGATAAGACCATCCTGGCCAACATGGCAAAACCCCGTCTCTACTAAAAATACAAAAACTAGCTGGGCATGGTGGAGCGTGCCTGTAATTCCAGCTACTTGGGAGGCTGAGGCAGAATTGCTTGAACCCGGGAGTCAGAGGTTGCAGTGAGCCGAGATTGTGCCACTGCACTCCAGCCTGGTGACAGAGTGAGACTCCATCTCAAAAACAAAAACAAAAAAAAATCGTGCTGAACAGACATTGTGAAGAAGTTTATTAAAAATTCTGATTGCCTAGTTTGAAGGAAGTCCCTTGTCCATTGTCCATAGCCCCACCTGAATTGAGTCTGCTCTTGGGAGTTGGCGTGGCCTTCTTAGCTAGCTTACTGCTTGGTGCAAGCCTGGGGATCCGAGGGTTGTCTAAAGCCTTGGAAAAGAGTCAGTGGCTTTTAAAACCTGAGTGTGTGGTTAATTTGGGAAAACAATTTACTTGGTAGACTTCTGATTATTCACTTGCAGCCATTTCTGCATGCCAGTAACCACACTAGCAATTCTTGCCTCTACACAGTTTTCAGGTCTGATTAATTTTGCTTCTCACTTCTAGTTCGTTCTCAGTGACACCTGCCTTGACTTCATCTGAAGTATATTTGAATGGGAAAACCCGAATAGATGATTTTTGCTGCAGGCCTGAGTCTTACTGGGCCTTAGTATTCAAAGCCTGTTTCAAACTTAGCTCTTATCTGGGATCTAAAAGGAAATTTTTTTTTTTTTTTTGAGACGGAGTCTTGCTCTGTCACCCAGGCTGGAGTGCAGTGACATGATCTTGGCTCGCTGCAACCTCAGTCTCCCGAGTTCAAGCGATTCTCCTGCCTCAGCCTCCCAAGCAGCTAGGACTACAGGCACGCGCCACCACACCCAACTAATTTTCGTATTTTTAGTAGAGACAAGGTTTCACCATATTGGCCAGGCTGGTCTCGAACTCCTGACCTCATGATCCACCCGCCTCAGCCTCCCAAAGTGCTGGTATTACAGGCATGAGCCACCACACCCAGCCTATCCTAAAGCTTTCTAAATGATGTGTCTGTGCTTTAAGTGATTAAAAATTAACCATTTTCAGACTCTTAGAGATACCCTAGGGTGTTAACCAGTGTAGAGTCATTACTTTGTGTATAGATTTGTGCCATGGGGCCTTTATTTGAGAGGATTTCTATGTACACAGACAAGGTAGTTTAAACAGGGAGTAGCTTAGACAAATCTCACCTTGTTCTGCTATTCTCACCTGTCTAAAAAGAATTATGAGAACAAAGGCTATTACTAGTTGGAGGTAAGAAATAATTATTCTGTCATTCAGATCTCAATCTTTTGATATTCAGTTCCATTTGAAATGAGATTTCTAGTACTTCACAGAGCTCTTATTTACAGTACAATTATAGTAGGAATTGTGAGACATTAGTTATTAGTGGAAAGAATTAGTGGTCCTTGGCACAGAGAAAGGGGAATTCGCTGCATCTTTATTTTTAAAAAGACTAAAGGTATCAAGAGAATAAATGTATTTGGGGTTTTATGGCAGAAGTCTGTGTCTACAGCTTGGGGGAGGAAAAATCTAAGAAAAGAGAAGTGGGGCCGGGCACAGTTACTCACACCTGTAATCTCAGCACTTTGGGAAGGCTGAGGCAGGAGGATCTGATCACTTCAGCCCAGGGGTTCAAGGCTGCAGTGAGCTATGATGGCGCCACTGCACTCCAGCCTGGGTGACAGAGAGATACCCTCTCTCACAACAACAGAAAAAAAGGCCAGGCGCAGTGGCTCACGCCTATAATCCCAGAACTTTGGGAGGCCGAGGCAAGCAGATCACCTGAGGTCAGGAGTTTGAGAACAGCCTGGCCAACATGGTGAAACCTTGTCTCTACTAAAAATACAAAAATTGGCTGGACACGGTGGCTTATGTCTGTAATCCTAACACTTTGAAAGTCTGAGGTGGGCGGATCACGAGGTCAGGAGCTTGAGACCAACCTGGCCAACATGGTGAAACCCCGTCTCTACTAAAAATACAAAAATTAGCCAGGCGGTGTGGCAGGCGCCTGTAATCCCAGCTACTGGGGAGGCTAAGGCAGCAGAATCACTTGAACCCGGGAGGTGGAGGTTGCAGTGAGCCGAGACTGCGCCATTGCACTGTAGCCTTGGTGACAGAGCGAGACTCTGTCTCAAAATAATAATAATAATTCTCCAAATAAATGCTTCAGGATTTTTTTTTTTTGAGACAGAGCCTCGCCTTGTTGCTGTAGTGCAGTGGTGCAATCTTGGCTCACTGCAACCTGCACATCCCAGGTTCAAGTGATTCTCATGCTTCAGCCTCCCGAGTAGCCAGGACTACAGGTGTGCACCACCGTGCCTGGCTAATTTCCTTTTTTGTTTTTTTTTTCGAGACCGAGTTTCGCTCTTGTTGCCCAGGCTGAAGTGCAATGGCGCGATCTCGACTCACTGCCACCTCCACCTCCCGGGTTCAGGTGATTCTCCTGCCTCAGCCTCCTGAGTAACTGGGATTACAGGCGTCCACCCCGCCCAGCTCATTTTTTGTATTTTTAGTAGAGACAAGAGTTTTACCATGTTGGTCAGGCTGGTCTCAAACTCCTGACCTCAGATGATCCACCTGCCCTGGCCTCCGAAAGTGCTGGGATTACAGGCGTGAGCCACCATGGCCGGCCTAATTTTTTGTGTTTTTAGTAGAGACGGCATTTTGTCACGTTGCCCAGGCTGGTCTCAAACTCCTGCTTCAGGATCTTGATCCCACTTGTTTAAAATTTCCCTTGAAAGCTCTGCTTTTGTCTGCAGCTGACCTGGGCTCAACTGTTTTGCCACTAGCAAGTGGAAAGTTTGCTCGGCTTTAATTTTTTAATCAGAATTCTGTAAGCTGAACCAATTGGGATGTCTGTGGTGTTGGCTGTTGTTTCTGCTGCTAATCGTCAGTCCTCTTCAGTTAGGGCACAAACAAGATGAATTTTTTCTCACAGATTGTTGTGAATGGTCTGCTGCTGCAGGCTTCTCCTTCCACATTGTGTTGTCCGTTATTTTGGTTGGTTGTTTTGAGACAGCCTCGCTCTGTCACCCAGGCTGGAGTGCAGCGGTGCAATCACGGCTCACTGAAGCCTCGACCTCCTAAGCTCAAGTAATCCTCCCACTTCAGCCTCCCCAGTAGCTACAACTACAGGTATGCACCACCACAGCCGCATAATTTTTTTTTGAGATGGAGTTTTGCTCCTGTTGCCCAGACCAGAGTGCAATGGCATGATCTCGGCTCACCGCAACCTCCCCTTCCTGGGTTCAAGCGATTCTCCTGCCTCAGCCTCCTGAGTAGCTGGAATTATAGGCATGTGCCACCACACCTGGCTAATTTTGTATTTTTAGTAGAGACAGGGTTTCTCCATGTTGATCAGGCTGGTCTCGAACTCCTGACCTCAGGTGATCCACCTTCCCCAGCCTCCCAAAGTGCTGGGATTACAGGCGTGAGCCACTACACCCGGCCCCGGCTAATTTATTTTTAATTTTTCCTTGGGACAGGGTCTCACTATGTTGCCCAAGCTGCTCAAACAGTCCTCCTACCTCAGCCTCCCAAAGTGCTGGAGTTAGAGGTGTGAGCCACCATGCCTGGCCTAGTCCCTTCTTAAAAAGAATTGTCCATTTGTAAACTGCTGATTTCTTTGGGGCACTGACCCCATACACTTTTCGTAAAGCATCAGTGATTTCACCATTCTTCCACCCAAGCTTCGCCAGACGTTTGATGTTTGTTCTTGCTTCAGTTTTAGCAGAATTCACGTTGCTCCTATAGGGGCTATTTTCTTTTTATTCTTTTTTCTTTTTTTTGAGATGGAGTGCAATGGCATGATCTCGGCTCACTACAACCTCCACCTCCTGGGTTCAAGCAATTCTCCTGCTTCAGCCTCCTGAGTAGCTGGGACTACAGGCGTGTGCCACCACGCCCACTAATTTTTTGTATTTTTAGTAGAGACAGGGTTTCACCATGTTAATCAGGATGGTCTCGATCTCCTGACCTTGTGATCTGCCCCCATCGGCCTCCCAAAGTGCTGGGATTACGGGCATGAGCCACCACGCCCGGCCAGGGGCTTTTTTCAAATTGATGTCTTACCCTTAGTTCCTCAATCTAGATTGTGTTTGAACATGTTATGACAAGTTAGTATTTTGGTGCAAAAGAAAATTGAAAGCCATGCATATAGTTTTTATATAATATACTTTCCCACAAACTTTTTGAAGTTCTTCCATACATTTAAAAGTAAAAATACAAGGGAATAGAATAAATGTTCAAGAAAAGAACATCATTCTAAATCTCTCAAAATATGTAGCAAGCAGAACATATTGTCATCTTATATAAAAACGCCAAATTGTCACGAGACACTGCTTCCTTGTTTAGAGCTGTTAGTGTTCTAATGGGATTAACCAACTACCAAGCCTTATCTATGGAACCAGTGTGGCTTGGTTCCTTCTAGAACGTTACCAAAGGCCAACATTTTCCCTGCTTGACCCCAGATGTGTGAAAGTGAAGTGCCCTGAGCCAGAAATATTTCATCACCCCCAACCTGCTCTGCTCACAGTCTTCCCCCGAGAAGTAAATGGCTGCTTCATCCTTCCAGTTGCTTGCTTTAAAACCTTGACGCTGGCCAGGCTTGGAGACTCACCCCTGTAATCCCAGCACTTTGGGAGACCGAGGCGGGTGGGTCACCTGCGGTCAGGAGTTTGAGATCAGCCTGGCTAACATGGTGAAAACCTGTTTCTACTAAAAATACAAAAAAATTAGCCAGGCGTGGTGGTGGGCGCCTGTAATCCCAGGTACTCAGGAGGTTGAGGCAGGAGAATCGCTTGAACCCGGGAGGCAGAGGTTGCAGTGAACCAAGATCATGCCATTGCACTCCAGCTTGGGCAAAAAGAGCAAAACTCCATCTCAAAATAAATAAATAAATAAAACTTTGACCCCTCCCTTCACACCCTACCTATATCCAACCATTCCAGAATCCTATCAACTGTACTTCAAAATATATTCGTTATCTGATCATTTTTGTAACCGTGGTCCCAGGCACCATTTCTTCTGCCCGGATTATTGCAACAGGTCTCCCTGCTCCTGCCCTTGGCTACCTGACTACCTACCTGCCTCCCTACTCTGCCTGTCTGCCTCCCTACCTGCCTGCCTGCCTACCTACCTACCTACATACCTACCTGCCTGCCTGCCTACCTACCTACCTACCTATCTGCCTGCCTACCTACCTACCTACCTACCTACTGCCTGCCTACCTACCTATCTGCCTGCCTACCTACCTACATACCTACCTGCCTGCCTGCCTGCCTACCTACCTACCTATCTGCCTACCTACCTACCTATCTGCCTGCCTACCTACCTACCTACCTACCTATCTGCCTGCCTACCTACCTACCTATCTGCCTGCCTACCTACCTACCTACCTACCTATCTGCCTGCCTGCCTGCCTACCTACCTACCTACCTACCTACCTGCCTTCCTGCCTACCTACCTGTCTTGTCCACTCTTAGCACAACAGCCAACATAATTGTGTTGAATCAGATCAGGCCTCTCCTCCAAACCCTTCAGTGGGTTCCTATCTCACTCAAAGTAAAAGCTGAAGTCCTTATAATGCCTCCAAGGCTCCTGTGGCTCTCTCTCCTTCACTTCCTGCTTTCCCACCCTTCAGCTCCGAGCCACCCTGGCCTCGATGGCCTTGAGTAACCCATGCCTGCTCCCATGTCAGGGCCTTGGCACTTGCTATTTCCTTAGCCTGTAATGCTGTTTCCTCAGAGACTTTCCTGACTTTCTCTCTCACTTCTTTCAAGTCTTTACTCAAATAAAATATTTGGTAAATATAAATCAGGTAAATATAAATTTGGTAAATATAAATATAAATAAATTTGGTAAATATAAATATAAATCATACCTTTATACAAGGTCTCGCTCTGTCACCCAGGCTGAAGTACTGTGCGATCACAGCTCCCTGCAGCCTCAAACTCCTGGACTCAAGAGATCCTCCCACCTCAGCCTCCTGAGGAACTGGAACTACAGATCCACACCTCCCAAAGTGTGGGGATTACAGGTGTAATTGATAAATATTTGATAACTTACTTAGGTAAAGTAGCCAGAGAAGACCTCACCAAAGTGATACCAGGTGACAGTATAACACCTTAGTGATATCACCTTAGTGAGGCCTACTTTATTTAAAATTGTAGCTGCTCCTCCTCACCCCACATCACTTCCCTTCTACATTTTTCTCCTTTGCATTGACCACTACCTAACATACTCTGTGTTTCACTTATGTATATTGTTTACTTTCTTTCTCTGCTATTAGAATGTAAGCTCCATGAGGGTAGGGATTGATGTCTGTCCTCAATACCATACCCTCAGTGTCTAGAATTGTGCCTAGTGCAGAGGAGCCACTTCACAGAGCAGGAGCACCGTTGTCTTGGACAAACACCACTTTACGTTCCAGCTCCCTTTCAAACCTCATGCGTCTTAAGGAAATCACTTCTCTTCTAATGACAAGCAGCCAGAAAGAGCAGACAGTAAGCACAGATAAGACAGCTCAGGCACAGAAGGAGGGAGAAAGTCTCGGGTAACCACCCAACTTCACACTCATACAATGAGCCCCAGTAAAACAGTGGGCCCTAATAAGCACATTCCTTTCCCTCTAGGTGCACTAAGATAAGGAAGCTAAAAGCAGACTCAGGGGGTGGGGGGATGCCTGCAGCTGCAGGAAGATGTATGGGAACAGACACACAACTCTCCCTCCCAGGTAAGCAAGACAAAGAGACACAGAAACATTCCGAGCCTGTGATAAGCTCTCCCACCCTGAACTCTTAAATACTCATAGTCTGTAAGAGAAAAGGCTCCTGACCTAAGTTGGCCAGAAGCCCCTCTCAGGTTTATACTCCAAAATAAGCCCATGTTTGACTGTTAAGCCACTTTTCATGTTTCTTTCTTCTTTCTTCAACTCTTACACCACTCAGATATGTTTTGAAAGAACAAATCCAGGAACACCATTTTGCTGCCTCAGTTTCCTGACTTCAAAGGCCCTGAGAGGCTGCCATAAGTGGGGTGACATAGCTAGTGGCAGAAGTGTGCCTGAAACCGAGACAGGTCAGTGAGGCCAGTTGAGAGATTCTAGCCCCAGTGACTGCTGATGCTGAGTTTAATGTAGATTTAAGGCAGATTACATTCAGGGGGGTTAGTATGCTTGCGGACTTCTATGTGAGGTAGGTTTTTTTGTTTTTTTTTTTTTTTTTTTAGACAGCATCTCACTCTATCACCCAGGTTGGAGTGCTGGAGTACAGTGGCACAATCATAGCTCACTGTAATCTTGAAACTCCTCGGCTCAAGCCACCCTCTCACAGCAGCCTCCTAAGTAGCTAGGGCTAGAGGTGCATACCGGCACACCCAGCTAATTTTTAAAAATTTCTTAGAGACAGGATCTTACTATGTTGCCCAGGGTGGACTTGAACTCCTGACCTCAAGCAATGTTCCTGCCTCAGCCTCCCAAAGTACTGGGATTATAAGTGTGAGCCACTGCACCTGGCCCCAGTGAAGTAGTACTTTTTATTATACCCACATATAAGACTAATTTGGGACATTGGCAAACAGTATCTCCCTGCTAATAGTTGTACAGACTTTGATCATAGTACCTCTAGTACCTCACCCATTATCTTCCTAGAATGGAAAGGCTCAAATCAGGTGTATTAGGCCATTCTTTCATTGCTATAAAGAAATACCTGAGACTGGGTAATTTATTTTTATTTTGTTGAGATGGAGTCTTGCTCTGTCACCCAGGCTGGAGTGCAGTGGTGTGATCTTGGCTCACTGAAACCTCCACCTCCTGGGTTCAAGCGAGTCTCCTGCCTCAGCCTCCCAAGTAGCTGGGACTACAGGCATGCACCACCACGCCTGTCTAATTTTTGTATTTTTAGTAGATACAGGGTTTTACCATGTTGGCCATGCTGGTCTCGAATGCCTGACCTCAAGTGATCCACCCGCCTTGGCCTCCCAAAGTGCTAGGATTACAGGTGTGAGCCACCGTGCTCAGTGAGACTGTGTAATTTATAATGAAAAGAGGTTTAATTGGCTCGTGATTCTGCAGGCTGCACAAGCATGGGCCAACATTGCTCAGCTTCTGGGGAGGCCTCAGGGAGCTTTTACTCATGGCAGAAGGTGAAGCAGGAGCAGGCTTATCACATGACAAAAGCAAGAGGAAGTGAGAGAGAGTGGTGGGGAGGTGCCACATACTTTTACATGACTACATCTTGCAAGAATTCACTCACTGTTTTGAGGACAGCACCAAGAGGATGGTGCTCAACCATTCATGAGAACTCCACCCCCATGATCCAGTCACCTCCCATCAGGCCCCACCTCCAACACTGAGGATTCCTTTTATTTATTTATTTATTTTCTTTTTTTTGAGACAGGTCTTGCTCTGCACCCAGGCTGGAATGCAGTGGCGCGATCTCAGCTCACTGCAACCTCCGCCTCCTGGGTTCAAGTGGTTCTCCTGCCTCAGCCTCCGGTGTAGCTGGGATTAAAGCACGTGCACCACACCTGGCTAATTTTTGTATTGTTAGTAAAGATGGGGTTTCACCATGTTGGCCAGGCTGGTCTCGAACTCCTGACCTCAAGTGATCTGCTTGCCTTGGCCTCCCAAAGTGCTGGGATTATAGGAATGAGCCACCGTGCCTGGCCTAAGGATTACATTTTGACATGAGATTTGAAACAAATATCCAAACTGTATCATCAGGTGTAAAGAGAAGCAACCTTACATCTGTCCTTAGTTCTCTCTTTTTTATTTTTTGTCACCCAGGCTGGGGTCTTGAACTCCTGACCTCAGGCAATCCACCCACCTCGGCATCCCAAAGTGCTGGGATTACAAGCGTGAGCCACTGCACCCAGTGTCTTTTGTCCTTTAACTTCCATGGCCAGCTAAAAACTTTATCTGCATTTTAATTAAGTTAAAAATTAATCAGAAAAAAGAAATTAATCAGAAAATTAATCAGAAAAAAAGAAACTGTAGCATAGCCCTTTCTATGCTACAGCTCAAGGCAGCTGTTCTAGGTTGATGGACAGCTCTCTTCCATGCAGTGATTCAGGGAACTAGGGTGTCTATATTTTATATGTCTGACATCCCCTTGGCTTCATTGCACTGGTAGAAGAAGAAACAGCATGGAAGAGGAAATTTGCATAGAATCCCAGCCTAGGAATGGATCACATTTCTCTGTTCATGTTCTATTTGAGAGGATTTGATCATATAGCTGTGCGTGTCACAAAGGAGGCTGGGAAATGTAGTGCAGCACTCTGCCTGGCTACAACCCTATTACTGTGTAAAGAGAGAGAAGATTTTGTTTTTTTGTTGTTTGGCTTTTGTTTTGAGACAGGGTCTTGCTCTGTTGCCTAGGTTGGAGTGCAGTGGTGCAAACATGGCTCACTGCAGCCTCAACCTCCCATGTAGCTGGGATCACAGGAACACATCACCATGCCTGGCTAATTTTTGGATTTTTTGTAGAGATGGGGGGTCTCACTTTGTTGCCCAGGCTGGTCTTGAACTCCTGGGCTCAAGTGATCGTCCCACCTTGGGCTCCCAAAGTGCTGGGATTACAGGCGTGAGCCATCACACGCAGCCAGAGAGAGCAGATTTGGGTGAATAGCTAGAGGCCCTCGGATGCGAACAGACCAGCATGCTTGAGAAACTAAGGTTGGTGGGGCTGGCACACACCAGCGGAGAGTTAGGAGATGAGTCAGGGAGGGAGGCTGGATCAGATCAGCCTTGGAAGCCAGAGAAAAGAGTATGGACTGTATTCTAAATGCTATGACAGTAGGCAGAGGCTGCAGTCAGCTGAGAACACGCCACTGCGCTCCAGCCTGGGTGACAGAGCGAGACTCTGTCTCAGAAAACAACAGGCTGGGCGCGGTGACTCACACCTGTAATCCCAGCACTTTAGGAGGCTGAGGCAGGTGGATCATGAGGTCAAGAGCTCGAGACCAGCCTGGCCAAGATGGTGAAACCCCAACTCTACTAAAAATACAAAAATTAGCCAGGTGCAGTGGCAGGAATCTGTAATCCCAGCTACTTGGGAAACTGAGGCAGGAGACTCACTTGAACCCGGGGGGGGCGGAGGTTGCAGTGAGCCAAGATGGAGCCACTGCACTCCAGCCTGGGCGACAGAGTAAAACTCCATCTCAAAAAACAACAACAACAAAAAATAAGAATAGAATCATTTTTCCTGGGTCACTGATTTGGAAATTAAGGCAAAGTGACTTGCCTGAGGCCCTAGCATGAGTCAGTTGAGGCTTTTAATTCTTGTTGCCTTTTGACTCAGAGTCCCATGCACTTCTCATGAGATCAGAAAAGTCTTGTGCAATAAATGAATGAGCTTCAATTTCCAGCTTAAGTGACTCCCAATAACAAATAAGTATCTTGTGTTTTTCAGAGTCACCCTTTTTTTTTTGGTTTGCTTTTTGGGGTTTTTTAAGAGGTGAAGTCTTGCTCTGTCACCCAGGCTGGAGTGCAGCCACATGAGCTCAAGAGATCCTCCCTCTTCAGCCTCCAAAGCAGCTGAGGCTATAGACATGCACCACCATGCCCGGCTCGCCCTGTGTTTGACACGCAGAACGGATTCCATATTTGAACTCTGGACAAGGAGCAATTAGCTGCACATCAATGCACATTTGGCCTCTCCCTCTTTCCTGCAAGAAGTGTTGTTAGATAACAATGTCTGTTGTACCAGCTCACATACCTATGCAAACCTTAGGAATTTGGTAGACAGTGAGACCTTACATTCCTCTGAATGTTGTAAAATGCTGAATGTGACCATCTCCCAATACATGCAGATAAAAACAATATGGCAGAAATGCCACCACCTTCTTATGTCACAGACCAAGTGGACGCCCCAGGCATACAGCCAAGGAATAAAAATACCCACTGAGTGTACCATGTGCCCAAGCCATGATCAGCCATTCCTAGGGAGGAGGTGCCCAGCAGAACGCAGTGCTCAGCAGAAGATGGCCTGCTATTCAACAGCAGAGAAGAATCCCAAAGCTTGTTGGGTCAGTTTTGGGGGACTGCATTTTCATGAACCAGAGCTGCATCCAGCAGGTTGGGGCCTGTATGCACCCTAGCCAGGATGGAGTGGGAAGGAAGTGCGCAATTCTGACTCCACAAACACCTTTGGTAAGTAGGAGGCTATTTCTACTCATAGATACCTGGCTATTTATTTCCTCATTCAAAGTAATGTGTCCTCTGTCCTCAACCTTTTCTCTACCTATCCAGTGACTGGAGTCTCAACCCTCATCTGTTCTTATTCTGCTCTCTGAATATGAGAGGTAGATAACAACTCCAAAGAGGCTGTTATCTCTTGCTTTCCTGAACTCAGTACAAATAAGAAAACGCCCTGGGCTGGACATGATGGCTCATGCCCGTAATCCCAGCCCTTTGGGAGGCTGAGGTAAGAGGATGGCCTGAGCTCAGGAGTTCAAGACCAGCCTGGGTAACAGAGCGAGGCCCTGTCTCTACAAAAAATAAAATTCGCTGGGCGTATTTTATTCTGTACTCTCAGCTACTGGGGAGGCTGACGTGGGAGGATCCCCCAGGGAGTTCAAGCTACAGTGAGCTATGATCACACCCACCACTGCACTCCAGCCTGGGTGACAGAGTGAGACCCTGTCTTTAAAAAATAATTTAAGGCCAAGGCGGGCAGATCACCTGAGGTCAGGAGTTCAAGACCAGCCTGGCCAACATGGCGAAACCCCGTCTCTACTAAAAATACAAAAAAATTAGCTGGGCGTGGTGGCAGGCGCCCGTAATCCCAGCTACTGGGGAGGCTGAGACAGGAGAATCACTTGAACCTGGGAGGAGGAAGTTGCAGTGAGCTGAAATTGTGCCACCGCACTCCGGCCTGGGTGACAGAGCGAGACTCCGCCTCAAAAAAAAAAAAAAAAATTAGCTGGGCATGGTGTCACATGCACTTGTAGTCCCAGCTACTCGGGAGGCTGAGGCAGGAGAATCGCTTAAAGCTGGGAAGCGGAAGTTGCAGTGAGCAGAGATCGCACCACCGCATTCCAGCCTGGGGAACAGAGCAAGGCTCTGTCTCAAAAACAAACAAAACAAAACAAAACAAAAAAAACAAAAAACAAAGTACCACTATTTTGGGTCTCTCCTTGGGAAACTAAGGGGCTGGGGAGCGACCTTTGGAGGCTTGTGGGGTCCCTCTGAGATAAGCAATGAATCAGTATTTCAGATGCTAAGGGGACTTCAGGGATGGGGTGGCCTGAGCAGAGAAGAGGGAAGACCAGGGAACCAGAGTTGAGAACTGGGGTGTCTGAGAATAAAAAGGAGGGACTAATCTATGTGTCAGGATATATTTATTTGGGAACTTAAGGAGGGAAGAGAGCCAGGTAGGAGACTGACACCTCTAAGTGCAGGGGCTTTATGAGATGGTGGATTTGAGGAGGGTGTGTGGGAAGAGAGTTGTTACGGTGGGTTTCAGGGGCTGAGGGAGTTGAGGCCCTTGGGATACGTGGGGCTGAAGAAGAGGGATAAGGATAAGGAGTGGGAATGGGGCATTGGGGCTGAAGGTGAGGAGGGTGTGTTTTGGGGGTGGGGAGGAACACCAGGGACCTCAAATGTAGGACTGGGCCTTGAGGGTGAGGCACTGAGGAGGGGAGGCTGTGGAGGGCCAGGGGGCCCAGGGAGGGTCTAGGGCTGGGGACTGGAGTCTAGGCTGACCCGGTGGGGGTGCTGGGTCCTCCAGGCTGCGAAAGCCAGGGGGCCTGGGTCTGCACATTGAGGGGGTGGCTGGGCTAAGGAAGGGGAGGAAGATAAGTGGGGCTTGCAGGCTAAGAGGGTCTTGGGGTCCCTGGCCAGAGTTAGTGGGGTGCACTGGGGTCTCCAAGGAGGGGTCTGTGGACTAAAGAGGGCCGGCGGGAGGGGGCCCAGGGTCTGTGGGTGTCTCGAGTCTCTGAGGAGGGCCGGGGTCTCAGGGTCTGTGGGGGTCTCTGGCCTGTGGGGTCGGAGTCTCCAGAGTCCTTGGGGCCTGTGGGAGTCTCTGGGGTTTTGTGGGGGGATCCTGTGGGCTGAGGAGGGCTGTGGGGAGGGTCTCAGGGTCTCTGGGGAGGGCCAGTGCCTCGGGGTCTTTGGGGGTCTCTGAGGAGGGCTGGGGGCCCAGGGTCTGTGGGGGTCCCCAGCAGGTGGGGTTGGGGTCTCCGGAGTCCCTGGAGTCTGAGGGTGTCTCTGAGGTCCCAGGGGGGAGTCTATGGCCTGAGGGCTGAGGGGGAGGGTCTCCAGGGTCTCTGAGGAGGGCCGGTGTCCCGGGCAGGCGGGGTCGGGGTCTCCGGAGTTCCTGGGGTCTGAGGGTGTCTCTGGGGTCCCTGAGGGAATCTGTGGGCTGACGAGGCCTGGGGGAGGGTCTCCGAGGAGGGCCGGGGTCCCAGGGTCTGTGGGGGTCTCTGGCAGGCGGGGTCGGGGTGTCCGGAGTCCCTGGGGTCTGAGGGTGTCTCTGGGGTCCCTGAAGGAATCTGTGGGCTGAGGAGGGCTTGGGGAGGGTCTCTGAGGAGCCCCGAGGTCCCCGGCAGGCGGGGTCGAGGTCTCTGGCGTCCCTGGGGTCTGAGGGTGTCTCTGGGGTGCCGGGGAGAGTCTGTGACTTGAGGAGGGCTGGGGGCGGGTCTCGGGGTCTCTGGGGAGGGCCGCGGCCAAGGGTCTGTGCGGGTCTCCGGGTCCCCGGAGTCCCCAGGCGCAGGCGGGCCCTGGCGCCGCCCCGCCTGACATCAGTTCCTGCCGCCGCCGCCGCCGCGGCGCACAGCCCGCGGCCTCCTTCCCCGCCGGCCGCGCTCCGGAGCCTCCGGGCCGCGGTGGAGCGAGGGCCCAGGCGAGGCGAGGGCCGGGCGGCGGGCGCCGGGCCCCGCGGCCGGCACGACGGAGCCCCCGTACGGCCGGCGGCAGCGGTTGGCGGCGGCCCCCGGCCCCCGGCGCGGGAAGCGGCGGCGGGGCGGCGGCGGCGGTGGCGGTGGCGGTGGCGGCGACGGTGGCAGCGCCATGGAGCCGGGGGAGGTGAAGGACCGGATCCTGGAGAACATCTCGCTGTCGGTGAAGAAGGTGAGCGCGGCCTCCCTCCCGGCCGGGGCCCCTTCCTCGCCGCGCCCCCCACGCCCTCCGGCGGCGCTCTCCCGGGCCGGGGCCCCCCGCCCTTCCCCTCCGCGACCCGGGGGGCGACGAGCGGCCGGGAGCCCCGGGCCGGTAGAGGGGAAGCGGCGCCGCTCACGTGAGCGCCGCGGCCTCGGAGCTATTTTTAAAGAACAAAGTTGAGGTCAGCATCCTCGGAGCTTCCCCAAACCTGGCCCGGGGCCCTGCCCTCCCGGAGAGGGGTCAGCGACCCTCCGGTCCCCCACTGGGGCAGCGGCGCCCCCGGGAGCTCCTGAAGGAACCCCATGCAGCCTCCTGTGGAATCCGCTGCATCCCCGGGTCCCCCCGCCAGGCTGGCGTCGCCCAGGGTCTGGCAGTCAGGGTGGAGGCCAGTGATAAGCAACTTCACTTTCCCATGGCCTGGGTCCCGGCGACATTGCCTCTGCTCCTGGGAAGTCCCCTGAATAATCTTGCTCAAGGATGGTAGCTTTGAAGAGGTTCACTAGGGGCTTTGATTATAAGAACCTGAAGTACATGGGGATTGCATTTTGGATGCTGATCCGGGGAACCGGGTGACACCACAGACACCTTGCTGTGGGGCTTGCCGCAGTAAACATCACTGTCCCAATTCCAGGTAGAAATGAGTACATACCTGTCAAGGGCATGTATTTGTGATGAAGTTGGCATATCCGCAAAAGGGTCCGTGCTAGAAGGTAGAATCCATATTCTGACGTTTTTGGGCTGGATATAAAAATAATAATAATAAATTTAAAAGAATCCATATTCACTGAAAACCTAAATGGCCAAATCAGAATGGATTTTTCTCTCTCTCTCCCTCTCTGTGTGTGTGTTTGTGTAATTTGAATTCCTGGCTCACCAGATAGTCTCAGAAACTGAAAAAAAAAAAAAAAAAAAGAAAGAAAGAAAGAAAAAAGAGAAAGAAAATGGCTTGGGTGAGGGACTCAGCAGCTTATTTTACTTGAAGAAGCAAAATGGATAGAATTAATTAGATCAACCATCATATTTAAATAATTGTCTGTTTTCCCACTGAGATTCCTCAAAAGCAACACAGGCAAGCTATTTTACCTTTCATAAAGATAAATGTGACTTAAAAAGAAAATAGATTCTCGAATTGCCCTTACTGAAAACATTCCTCTAAAAGCACAGCTAAAGTAACATTGCAGAGATCCAACAAGAGTTTTACGTAGTTTTACTGAGCTTTGCTAATGTAATGGGGTATGGTTTTTGCTTACTCAAGGAGGGCAGGATGAGCAAATACTTTGTTGAGAAGCAGTACATCTTTCCTAATGGAAGAGAAAGGAACACAGGTGACCTTTCTAATCTAATCTGGGCTGATTGTGGCTTTAGGTAGGCCCGGCGTTTGTCTTTGGATTTCAAACAAATGAATGGAGAAAGTCTGTGATGGAGAGGCAGTAGACATGGGGCACGCTGTCACATGTATAAGCATGAGTCTTTTGAAGGCAGAGATTCACTTTGTAAGTCAGGCTGTCACTTATGAGTTAGGTGTGTTTGTTGAGGTGCATATAATTGTAGGTGTTTGGACAAGGACACTTATTGAGCTGGAATGCACCCCAGAAAATGTCACACTAGAAACTGCAAACCCATCCCTGGGTGTATCACAACCAAAGCCATGGGCAGCATCATTGTTAGGAGCATGGATTCTGGAGTCCAGCTGCCTGATTGAATCCCCGCCCTGCCAAATTAATAACCCTGTAACCTTGGTCAGGCTTATTAACCTCTCCATGCCCAGTTTCTTCATCTGTAAAGCAGGGATAAAATTAGGGATGTTGTGGAGTGTTTTTTTGTTGTTGTTGTTGTTGTTGTTTGTTTTTGAGACAGAGTCTTGCTCTGTTGCCTGGGCTGGAGGGCAGTGGTGTGATCTCGGCTCACTACAACCTCCACCTCCCAGGTTCAAGCGATTCTTCTGCCTCGGCCTCTCGAGTAGCTGGGATTACAGGTGTGCGCCACCACACCCGGCTAAATTTTTTTTTTTTTTTTTTGAGACGGAGTCTCGCTCTGTCGCCCAGGTTAGAATGCAGTGGCCTGATCTCCGCTCAGTGCAAGCTCCGCCTCATGGGTTCACACCATTCTCCTGCCTCAGCCTCCCAAGTAGCTGGGACTATAAGCGCCGGCCACCACGCCCGGCTAATTTTTTTGTATTTTTAGTAGAGACGGGGTTTCACCATGTTAACCAGGGATGGTCTCGATCTCCTCACCTTGTGATCTGCCCGCTTCGGCCTCCCAAAGTGCTGGGATTACAGGCGTGAGCCACGGCGCCCAGCGTCTAATTTTTGTATTTTTAGTGGAGATGGGGTTTCCCCATGTTGGCCAGGCTGGTCTTGAACTCCTGACCTCAAGTGATCTGCCTGCCTTGGCCCCCCGAAGTGCTGGGATTACAGGCATGAGCCACCGTGCCCGACTACTTTTTGTATTTTTTGTAGAGATGGGATTTCGCCCATATTGGTCAGGCTGTGTTATGAAGATTTTGTTTGTTTGTTTTTTGTTTTTTGTTTTTTTTGAGATGGAGTCTTGCTCTGTCACCCAGGCTGGAGTGCAGTGGCGTGATCTCAGCTCGCTGCAAGCTCCGTCTCTCAGGTTCACGCCATTCTCCTGCCTCAGCCTCCCGAGTAGCTGGGACTACAGGTTACAGGCGCCCGCCACTATGCCCGGCTAATTTTTTTGTATTTTTAGTAGAGACGGGGTTTCACCGTGTTAGCCAGGATGGTCTCGATCTCCTGACCTCATGATCCGCTCACCTCGGCCTCCCAAAGTGCTGGGATTACAGGCATGGTGAAGTTTTAATAAACATGTAGAGTGTTTAGCATGGATCCTGGCCCAGTCTTAACTGGTAGCTTTTTTCTTTGTGCAAGAGCCCATTCCTCAATTTTACAAGGTTTGAAGATGGCTCAACTGCCTCACCACCTAAAGGTCGTTCTACAACACCATTTGTTCTTGGTAGCCACTTCCTTTGTGTGTTTGTTTGAGACAACTGCGATGTGATTCTTGCATCATAAATTACATTTGGTTTTCTGAATCAGAGTGTCTGCTTTACTAGGAACCTGTTAGTTTGGCTACAGCAGTAGACATTGAGGACAGCAGTCTTGGGGTCAGATTTGTCCTTGAATGCCAGTCTCACCTAAATGTGTTATATAGCACCTTGAGAGTTGCTTTGCCTTTTTTCTTGCATCCTACCACCAGTAAATGGTCTTACTGGTCATTTTATAAGGATTTTACGTGAAGAAAATGAGATGCATATTTCTGCAAGGAAAGATCCATTGTGTATTTCTATATTTGCAAAGAGTACTTTAGAACTTTTTATGAAAATGAAGCATGCCTACAGGAAAGTGTACAGGTCCTGAGCGGACAGCTTAATGAGTTCTCACAAAGTGAAAACACCTGCATATCCAGCACCCTGACCAAGAAACAGAACATGACCATTATCCCAGAGGGCCCCTCGTTCCCCTCCCAGAAACTACACCCTCAAAGCAACCACTATCCCCAAGGAGTATTGTTGAGTTCAACTATTTTCACACTTAGATTTTGTGATGGTGAATACCCATTATAACACCAGACAGGTGAAACAGCTGTTAATCCATCTGAATCCAAGGCAACCTGTGTTCTGATATGGACACAGAATTCCTGAGGGTGAGAGAGAACTGGAGAGTTTAATAATTAACATGATTAAATGAAAATGATAACAATAGGCCAGGCATGGTGGCTCACGCCTGTAATCCCAGCACTTTGGGAGGCCAAGGTGGATGGATAACTTGAGGCCAGAAGTTCAAGACCAGCCTTGCCAACATGGTGAAACCCCATCTCTACCAAAAATACAGAAATTAGCTGGGTGTGGTGGCGCGTGCCTGTAGTCCCAGCTACTTGGGAGGCTGAGGCAGGGAAGCACTTGACCTGGGAGGTGGAGGTTGCAGTGAACTGAGATCGCGCCATTGCACTCCAGCGTGGGTGACAGAGGGAGACTCTGTCTCAAAAAAAAAAAAAAAAAAGGAAATGATAACAATAGCAAATTCAATTCATATTCAATTCTAGAAAGGGAGCTAGTAGCAGAAACATCCCAGATGCTGCCAGTAAAGCCTGTGGTTGCCGATTTGTTAAAGAGAAATGTCCAAGTCAACGACAGCTTTGGCATTTTTGAATCAGCATGTGGTTCTACTAAATAACATCTTCTCCAGGGGAGGGAAGGCAGGCAGTGATTTTCCCAAGTTCTGTTTTTGAGGAGCTGGTGTGTCTGCTGCATATGCCTGCAGAATGAGCAAAGACTATATGCCATAAGAAGCAACCTCCTGGCCAGGCGCGGTGGCTCATGCCTGTAACCCCAACACTTTGGGAGGCCGAGGCGGGCGGATCACCTGAGGTCAGGAGATCGAGACCGGCCTGACCAACATCGAGAAACCCCATCTCTATTAAAAATACAAAATTAGCTAGGTGTGGTGGTGCATACCTGTAATCCCAGCTACTCGGGAGGCTGAGGCAGGAGAATCGCTTAAACTCGGGAGGCGGAGGTTGTGGTGAGTTGTGGCACCATTGCACTCCAGCCTGGGCAAAAAGAGCGAAACTCCGTCTCAAAAAAAAAAAAAAAAGAAAGAAAGAAATACTGGTAGAGTTCAGAGAAAGAGAAGAAGCAGGCATTCAAGACAGAAGAAACAGCCTAGGCATCCCCAAGGAAGTGGGGCCTTCCAGATGGTCTTCCGAGGACAGGCGTGACCTGTCTTAAGAGGGACCTGTCTTAAGATTGCCAAGGGTTCTGCAAGATGCGGCTGGAAGGTGCTTTCTGTGGAAGCCATGTAGCCTAGTGGACACAAACGCAGGCTTCAGCGGTATGCAGACTTGGGTCTGGGTTTGTAACTGACCATCTCGATCCTGGCAGATGACTGGACCACTGTTCGCATCAGCAGTGAGAACCTTCTACTAATGCTATAATGATAATTCAATTATATGAGAGAACACACTTACAGCACTTAGCACAATACCTTGCTTACAGTCAGGCCTAAATAAAAGCCACCATTACTACTTGCAAGCGTCTCTGTGGACTCTGCAGATCACCCTTGTGCAGTCTTCAGTGAGTGGTGGTGTTTTTTGTGTTTTTGTTTTTGAGACGGAATTTCGCTCTTGTTGCCCAGGCTGGAGTGCAGTGGCACGATCTCAGCTCACTGCAACCTCCGCCTCCCAAGTTCAAGTGATTCTCGAGCCTCAGCCTCCCAAGTAGCTGGGATTACAGGCATGAGCCACTACGCCTGGCTAATTTTGTATTTTTAGTAGAGACAGGGTTTCGCCATGTTGGCCAGGCTGGCCTCAAACTCCCTACCTCAGGTGATCTGCCTGCTTCGGCCTCCCAAAGTGCTGGGATTACAGGTGTGAGCCACCGCACCCAGCCGAGGTTTTTTTTTTTTTTGTTTTGTTTTTTTGAGACAGTCTTGCTCTGTCACCCAGACTGGAGTGCAGTGGCATGATCTTGGTTCACTGCAACCCCCTCCTCCTGGGTTCAAGCAATTCTCGTGCCTCAACCTCCAAGTAGCTGGGATTACGGGCACAGACCACCACGCCCTGCTAATTTTTGTATTTTTAGTAGAGACAGGGTTTCACCATGTTGGCCAGGCTGGTCTCAAACTCCTGGTTTCCAGTAATACACCCACCTTGGCCTCCCAAAGTACAGTCGTGAGCCACTGCCTCCGGCTTCAGTGAGAGTCTTATACTACACTGCTGTTTCTTCAAGCTCCAACTTTTTCTTAAAAGGCCACATGGCAAATATTTTCAGGCCGTATAGTCTTTGTTGAAACTGCTCAGTTCTGCTCAAAAGCAACCAAATGTGTATGAGTGTGGCTTTGTTCCAATAAAACTTTATTTACAAAAATAGGTATCAGGCTGGTTTTAGCCCACAGGCAGTAGTTCGCATACGACGCATGTGTTCATATGAAAAAGTCCTTGCCAAGGTAGGCCAGGGATTACTTCCAGAGAAGTTGGTGCACCAGTGCTATAGTTAACCAAATCTCTATTGTAGCTGTGTTTTTGCACATTAGGCTTGTGGAGTGAATGTGGACACTTGTAAATCCCATCATGTGTCCCTGTATTCAGTTATTCAAAACTATTTAGTGAGCACCTTCCCTAGAACCTCACCATCATAGGCCCTAGGAAGGTTCATATGAACAGGCAGATGAGTATCTGCCCTCATGGAGCTGACATTCTAGAAGAAAAAGAAGGTGATAAATTCGTAGACAAATACAGAGATGATTTCAGATCATGGTAAGCATTATGAAGGCATTAAAGCAATGTGATAAAGAATTGGCAGGGAGGTTTGCTTTGGAGACGATCAGGGAAGATTCCCTAAGGCAATGACATTGCATCCTGCAAGGGACACTGAGTAGGATAAGAGAATGAAAAATGATTCTTTTTGTGTGTGTGTTTGTTTGAGACAGGGTTTCACTCTGTGGCCCAGGCTGGAGTACAGTGGCACCATCATGGCTCACTGTAGCCTTCAACTCCTGGGATCAAGCGATTCTCCCGCCTCAGCCACCTGAGTAGCTGGAACTACAGACATATGCCACCACGTCCAGCTAATTTTTAATTTTTTAGTGTGGAGACAAGGTCTCACTATGTTGCCCAGGTTGGTCTCGAACTCCTGAGCTCAGGTGATCCTCCCACCTCGGCCTGCATAAGTGCTAAGATTACAGGCATGAGCCACTGCACTTGGCCGTAAAATTATTCTAAGAAAATAGTTGTTTTTAAAAACACACAAATAGCTCAGAAGTACATAAAATGAAAAGTAATTGCCCCTGTTCTCCTACCCTTTAAAAGGGATAAATGAATTGTAATAGGGTAACCATCTCTCAGTTCCTGGGTCCTGACAACCTTCTCTCGCCTCAGTCTCCCACCCACTTCGGTTTGGGCAGACAGTGCCTCACCGGCGTCGGCTCTGAGTGAAGTTCTATTTCTGGCCAGGCACACTGCCTTGAGCAGGAGTCTCCCAGTCCCTAGTCGGGATCGGGATTTACTGGCGCTGGTGAATGAGCCACAGCTGTTGTTCAGCCCAGCCTGTCTGTGCAGTTGAAAAGGCTGCCTTGCATGGTGAACTTTTTCTCATTTTTCTACTCCTGAGATAGGTTAGATCTGCAAGTACAAAAAAATTAGCTGGGGGCGGGGAGGCGAGGCAGTGGGCATAGTGGCTCACAACTATAATCCCAGCACTTTGCGGGGCTGAGGTGGGAGGATCACTTGAGTCCAGGAATTCAAGACCAGCCTGTGCAACATAATGAGACCCTGTGTCTTCAAAAATAAAAATAAAAAATTAGGTGGACATGGTGGCACATGCCTATAGTCCCAGCTACTCAGGAGGCTGAGGCAGGAGGGTCACTTGAGCCCAGAAGTTCGAGGCTGCAGTGAGCCAGGATCATGCCATTACACTCCAGCCTGGGTGACAGAGTGAGACCCTGTCTCGGCGGGGGAAAAAAAAAATTAGCTGGGGTAGCTCATTCCTGGAGAGGGACTGGTAGGTAGGTAGATGTAAAAATTGTATTGACTATTTGGTTTAGATCAATAGTTTTGTTCTCTGTGGCTTTACAGAAAAACTCATAAGAGTTTTAAATGTTCTCAAAATCCCTAAGGACCTGAGTCACCAGGACAAAGATTTACATAAAATAGTATCTACACACACGTTACAAACTGAAGTGTTAAGGGTCAGTGTGCCTTCTGCCTGCTCCTCTTCCTCCTTTTCCTAAATTCTCAGTAGCTATTTCCCTTCTTTCCTCTCTCCCAGAGTAAAGGCTGTCTGGTGAGGGCGGGGAGGGACCTGAAGGTCCCTAACCCGGAAACCATGTCGTGCACAGAGGGATCCTGACCCCATGAGTAACTCCACCCAGGCTCAGGAGGAGATACTAGTGGAGAAGTGATAACTGCTTTTTCTGAGCCCTGCCCATTCACTTTTTTCGTTTTTTGGTTTTTTTGTAGAGACTGAGTCTCCCTGTGTTGCTAAGGCTGGTCTTGAACTCCTGGCCTCAAGCCTTCCTCTCACTCCAGCCTCCCAAAGTGTGGGGTTACAGGTGCAAGCCACTGTGTCCATGCCCCATTCACTTTTTCTTTTTTTAATGGAGTTTTGCTCTTGTTACTCAGGCTGGAGCACGGTGGCACGATCTCGGCTCACTGCAACCTCCTTCTCCCTGGTTCAAGTGATTCTCCTGCCTCAGCCTCCCAAGTAGCTGGGATTATAGGCATGCACCACCATGCCCAGATAATTTTGTATTTTTAGTAGAGATGGGGTTTCACCATGTTGGTCAGGCTGGTCTTGAACTCCTGACCTCAAGTGATCCACCTGCCTTGGCCTCCCAAAGTGCTGGGATTATAGGCGCGAGCCACCGTGCCTAGCCACACTTTTTTTTTTTTTTTTGAGACAAAGTCTCTCTCCGTTGCCCAGGCTGTAGGGCAGTGGCGCAATCTCGGCTCACTGCAACCTCCACCTCCTGGGTTCAAGAGATTCTCCTGCCTCAGCCTCCTGAGTAGCTAGGATTACAGGTGCCCACCACCACACCTGGCTAATTTGTGTATTTTTAGTAGGGATGGGGTTTCACCATGTTGGTCAGGCTGGTCTTGAACTCCTGGTCTCAAGTGATCCGCCCGCCTTGGCCTCCCAAAGTGCTGGGATTACAGGCATGAGCCATCTCACCCGGACCCATGCCCGTTCACTTTTAAGATATGGTTCTCCTTTTACGAAATGCTTCTCTGACGTCAGGTTTCTGTTGGAAACCTTGTGACACTGTGTGGTCCTTTCCATCCCATCACAGAACAACCTGGGCTCGCTCTCTCCATGGTTTGGCCATGGCTTAGGCCTATCCAGATTGAAAGGCCCTGTGTGATGATTTGAGGCCAGGCAGAAACTCACTGGGGTTTAACAGAAACAGGTCACCATCTGGCAGCAACAGGCTGTTCAGACGGGGCTGACTGTCTGTGGTCATTCTGCCATTATGGCTAACACTCCGGAGCTTCAGATGGAGCAGTGGTCTCCCTCAGAACTCATCCAGCTGGAGCCCAGTGTGAAAAGAAATTCCCAGCAAAACTAAAATTCTGCTGCCAGCTGACACAAATGTTAGGTCTGGAAACATTGAGTAAGAGGCAGAGTGGTCCACACAAGCCTTAATGTGGAAAGGCAAGAGCTGGTGTTCAGTTCGTGACAGTTGTGGGGAGAAGAAGGTTGGCATTTGCAGGGATTGTGGGGCTCCTGGCTGGGTCATTCCTACCTCAGGAGTCTCCAGTGCCCATCTCAGGCATCAGGATTCACCACCACGGCAGGAGTGTGTTGCTGCTGGAGCTGGCAGTGCCCTTCTGTCCAACGGAAGCAGTAGAGCTTTTCTCATGACAGAAAGCTCTCTGGGTTGCCACCTCTGCTGATAAAACAGGTTTCTTGGCCAGGTGTGGTGGCTCATGTCTGTAATCCCAGCACTTTGGGAGACCCAGGCGGGCAGATCACGAGATCAGGAGTTCGAGACCAGCTTGACCAACATGGTGAAACCCCGTCTCTACTAAAAATACAAAAATTAACTGGGCATGGTGGCACATGCATGTAATCCCATCTCAGGAGGCTGAGGCAGGAGAATCGCTTGAACCCAGGAGGTGGAGGTCGCAGTGAGCCAAGATCGCGCCACTGTACTCTAGCCTGAGCGACAGAGCGAGACTCCATCTCAAAAAAAAAACACAAAAAACAAACAAACAAACAAAAAAACAGGTTTCTAAGCCTGGGATCTGGGAACTGCCATGCAATAGAGAATGAGCAACTCTGGGCCCCGAGCTCTCCTCCTTGAGGGTCTAAACCAGGCAGCAGGGCCGGTTGGTTTGGGTGAAGTCTCCTTTCCAGCCCTATCCTCCTTGGTGTTGCTCATTCCAGGTGCAAACATCCTAGAACTTCCATTTGAGGCAGGTGAATAAGGATGATTTCTGGGAGAGTCCTTTCCGCGGGAGATTAAAGTTTAGGCCATTGATCTATCCGTTATTGAAACCATCCAGGGTCCTGAGAGCTTCTCCTAACCTCTTGCCAGTGAAGCAGGTGGCCCTCTACACAGATATTCTCCTCCATGCTGTGTATTTTGTTTTGTTTTTTTTTTTTGTTTTTTGAGACAGAGTCTCACTCTGTTGCCCAGGCTGGAGGGCAGTGGTGTGATTTCTGCTCACTGCAACCTTCACCTCCTGGGTTCAAGTGATTCTCCTGCCTCAGCCTCCCAAGTAGCTGGGATTACAGGCAGGCACCACCATGTTGGGCTAGTTTTTGTATTTTTAGTAGAGACGGGGTTTCATCATATTGGCCAGGCTGGTCTTGAACTTCTGACATCAAGTGATCCACCTGCCTTGGCCTCCCAAAGTCCTGGGCTTATAGGCATGAGCCACCGCACCTGGCCTCATGCTGTGTACTTGTAATTTATCTTTTCCTCCTTTGCCATAAGTGTCTACAAACATTGCACAAATACATAAGGAAGAAGGTATTAGTTTCTTATAATTCCCTTCCTCCCCAGATAACTGTATTTAACAGTTGGAACTAACAGATTCTGAGAAACCCAATATTATGCGAGTACAAGGAAGGAACTGATGCGTGCTTGAAATACACAAAAATCTCCAAACTTAATTTTTGAGGGTAATCAACCTTCATTGTTCACACTTTTGCTCCAAGTTGTTTTTGGTGTTCACAGACTGCTGAGGCATGAGAGTCCTGAACATGTTGAGAGGAAGGGGAGTAATAAAACCACATGAATCCTTAACATTTAGTTTATTCGGCACCTGTTACATGCCAGGCCCTACAGTTGGCATGTTTACATGTGTTTCCTGGGTCAGTGGCCCATGATGTCGGGGCACTTTGGGTTTTTTGGGGTTTTTTTGGACAGAGTTTCGCTCTTTCACCAGGCTGGAGGACAGTGGCGCCATCTTAGCTCAGTGCAACCTCTGCCTCCCAGGTTCAAATGATTCTCCTGCCTCAGCCTCCCAAGTAGCTGGGATTACAGATGCCCATCACCACGCCTGGCTAATTTTTGTATTTTTAGTAGTGATGGGGTTTCACCATGTTGGCCAGGCTGGTCTCCAACTCAGGTGATCTGCCCGCCTCAGCCTCCCAAAGTGCTGGGATTACAGGTGTGAGTCACCGCACCTGGCCTTGGGGTTTGTTTTTTGAGACAGGGTCTTGCTCTGTCACCCAGGGTGGAGTGCAGTGGTGTGATCTCAGCTCACTGCAGCCTCGACCTCCCAGGATCAAGTAATCCTCCTACCTCAGCCCTCCTGAATAGCTGGTACTACAGGTGTGCACCACCACGTCCAACTAATTTTTTCTATATTTTTTTTTTTTTTTGTAGAGATGGAGTTTTGCCATGTCGCCTAGGCTGCTCTGAAACTTCTGGGCTCAAGCCATTCTCCACCTTGGCTTCCCAAAGTGCTGGGATTACAGGCATGAGCCACCACACCCACCCGATGCCTGTTTAACACATGAGGGAATGGAGTTTAGAGAAGTAAACTGCCAGAGGTTATTAAGCTCACAAGGAGCAGGGCTGGGATTCAAACCATTTTCTGGCTCTTGCTCTTTCCCATTTCTCTGACCCTTTTCCTTCTCCATGGTGTTGGTCTTGAAGTAACAGATAACACGTCCCCATGGGTCAAGTCTGGGGGCCAGTCCTCCATAAAACCACCTAACAAATATTTGTTTTTATTGTTTTGTTTTGTTTTGAGACGGAGTTTTGCTCTTCTTGCCCAGGCTTGGAATACAGTGGCACAATCTTGGCTCACTGCAACCTCCGTCTCCTGGGTTCAAGCAATTCTCCTGTCTCAGCCTCCCGAGTAGCTGGGATTATAGGCGCCCGCCACCACGCCCGGCTAATTTTTGTATTTTTAGTAGAGACGGGGTTTCATCATATTGGTCAGGCTGGTCTCGAACTCCTGACCTCAGGTGATCCGCCCGCCTCGGCCTCCCAAAGTGTTGGGATTACAGGCATGAGCCACCGCGCCTGGGCACAAATATTTGTTGAGTGAGTATTATGTGCTGAGCACTCTTCTCGTCATAGGAATCAACAGTGAGCAAATCCTACCAAGCTCCTTCCCCCGTGGGGCAGACATTCTGGAAGAGGAGACAGACATCAAACAAATTGCAGTGGGATAGGTGTACACCCCAAGTCCTCCCTAATGTCCTTTACTATCCATTATGGATTTGTAATCCAGGAAGGTCCATCATGCTTTCTAGCCTTGTATTTACGTTTTCAGCCTGTAGAATATCTGACTGTATTGCACGGGCCTTGGAATGGCAGCAAGGGTCCCCCCAGGATCCCCCAGCCTAACATTGTGATTTAGACAGTGACAGAGTGAGCATTTCCCTTGGCCATACTTGGGTTGTCTGGGTGGGGGAGGCACTCATGAGGTGGTGGTGTAGGCACAGGAGAGGAAAAGGGAAGTGAAAGATGAACACGCCAGCTGAAGCTTCTGTGCTTTGAAAGCCTGGTTAAAATGAGGCTTTGAAAAACTCCCTTCTCCTCCGCCAGTGCCACACACAACACTGAGCGTGCAGAGCTCAGAAAACCGAGCTCAGGGTCTCTGCCAGCTCCTGCTTCCGTCCCAGCAGTAGAAGAATGGAGTAGAATCGTGTGCACTCTGTTTTTCAGGCCATTGGCTGGCTTCTAGGTCTCTGGTGTTCGCTGAGGGGCCCCTTGGCAGAACCTCTTAGCAGTTTTCTCCCCACCTTAAGAGGAGTCCTCGGTCCCTCCGTAAGAAGTCAATCCCTGTGCTGAGTTCTCAGCCAGAGTAATCATAGTACCTTGAGGCTTGCACACTCCCCTTCCGGGAAGAGGAAGCATTTAGCTGCTTTTGGAAACCATGTTCTGTCAATTATGCTAGAGATCTGTGCCCAAGTAGGCTAGTCACTTTCAGCTGTCATTTTTCCTACACCACAAAGAAAGCACAGAAAAATGAAATCCACAGAAAAATGAAATGCACAGATAATTCAAGTACCTGCTTTTTTCCAGCTTTCCCCCTGCATGTCTTTCTTTTTCTTGAGACAGGGTCTCACTCTGTCACCCAGACTGGGATGCAGTGGTGCAATCACAGCTACTGCAGCCTCTGCCTACCAAGTAGCTGGGACTACAGGTGTATGCCACCATGCCCAGCTAATTTTTTTTTTTTGTACATTTAGTAGAGACAGGGTCTCGCCATGTTGCCCAGGCTGGTCACCCCCTGCATATCTTTCAATAGAGCTGCCAGTAAAGCAGAGAGTCTACCAACTCTCCAGCAGAAGGACTAATGAGCAGTAATTTCGGAGGTGGGCAAAGAAACCTGTGCAATTAGCTGCTGTATTTAGTGGCAAATGAATGGTTAAGAAGCATTGATTTCACCAAACTTGCTTAAAGATCGATGCAGTCCCATGGTGGATAAACCCTTTATGACAGCTCTACACGTTGGGGGACTTTACCAGACCCAGGTTGCCACCCAGTCTGGGCACACGCCCTTCCTGGCTAGGGGCATTGACTGCCCTTCTAAGACATCGCTGAAGGACAGCATTTTTCTTTTTAATATTATTTTTATTTTTTATTTTTTATTTTTAGAGACAGGGTCTTGCTCTGTCACCCAGGCTGCAGTACACAACCATAACTCCCTGCAACCTCAAGCTCCTGGGCTAAAGCAATCCTCCCGCCTCATCATCCCAAGTAGTTGGGACTATAGGTGTGTGCCACCAGGCCTGGCTAATTTTTTAGTATTTTGTAGGGACAGGGGTCTTGCTATGTTGCCCTGGCTGGTCTTGAACTCCTGGGCTCAAGCGAACTTCCTGCCTTGGGCTCCCAAAATGCTGGGATTATAGGTGTGAGCCACCACTCCCAGCCAACAGCATTTTTGTTTTTCTTTCTTTTTCTTTCTTTCTTTCTTTCTTTTTTTTTTTTTTTTTTGACATAGTCTTGCTCTGATGCCCAGGCTGGAGTGCAATAGTGCAATCTTGGCTCACTGTAACCTCTGCCTCCTGGGTTCAAGTGATTCTCCTGTCTCAGCCTCCCAAGTAGCTGGGATTACAGGTGCGCACCACCACACCTGGCTAATTTTTTGTATATTTAGCAGAGACAGGGTTTCACCATGTTGGCCAGGCTGGTCTTGAACTCCTGACCTCAGGTGATCCACCCACCTCAGCCTCTCAGAGTGCTGGGATTATAGGTGTGAGCCGCTGTGCCTGGCCAACATTTTTCATATAGAGCAACTAGCCTCATTGTTTTTGAATTGCAAGATCTCTGATTGGTTCTTATGCGGGGGTGATTTCTGGGCTTTCTTGCTCTATAATTCACTATAATTTGATTGCCATTGAGAATGAAATATTTTCTAGGCTATGGTGCAGTGGAACCTCAGGTGAAGGATTTTAAAATTAGGGGAGTAGGCTTGACGCAGTGGCTCATGCCTGTAATCCCAGGATTTTAGGAGGCCAAGGCAGGAGGATCACTTGAGCCCAGGAGTTTGAGACCAGCCTGGGCAATATAGTGAGACCCCATCTCTATTATTTTATTATTGTTATTATTATTTTATACTTTAATTTCTAGGGTACATGTGCACAATGTGCAGGTTTGTTACATAGGTGTGCAGGTTTGTTACATAGGTGTACATGTGCCATGTTGGTTTGCTGCACCCATTAACTCGTCATTTACATTAGGTATTTCTCCTAATGCTATGCCTCCCCCTGCCCCCCACCTCACGATGGGCCCCAGTGTGTGATGTTCCCCGCCCCGTGTCCAAGTGTTCTCATTGTTCAGTTCCCACCTATGAAGGAGAACATGCAGTGTTTGGTTTTCTGTCCTTGTGATAGTTTGCTCAGAATGATGGTTTCCAGCTGCATCCATATCCCTGCAAAGGACATGAACTCATCCTTTTTGATGGCTGCATAGTATTCCATGGTGTATATGTGCCACATTTTCTTAATCCAGTCTATCATTGATGGACATTTGGGTTGGTTCCAAGTATTTGCTATTGTGAATAGTGCCACAATAAACATATGTGTGCATGTGTCTTTACCACATCTCTATTATTAAAATAAATAAATAGGAGAGTGGGCCGGGTATGATGATAAGGTGGGAGGATCGCTTGAGCCCAGGAGTTCAAGACTGGCCTGGGCAATATAGTGAGACTCCATCTCTATTATTATATTACATAAATATATTAATCTAGGAGAGTAGGCTGGGCATGGTGGTGTGCGCCTATAGTCCCAGCTACATGGAAGGCTGAGGTGGAAGGATTGCTTGAGCCCAGGAGTTCGAGACTGTAGTGCACTATGATTGTGCCTGTGATGAGCCACTGCACTCCAGCTTGGGCAACATAGTGAGCCCCCATCTCAAAAAAAAAAAACAACAAAAATAAAATTAGCAGTGTACATCGGAAGCATTGCAGTTCCCTGGGGCTGGTGAAGCGGCAGGCACCCAGCAGCTGAAGCCTCTGTTGACATCTCATGTTGTCTAGGAGGGAAGCAACTGGGACATTCCTGATGTGGTCCCCTAAATCCTGCAGAGCCCCATCGCTGAAGCCCTGGGGATAGCCCATGGCCCCTGCTGCTCTGCCCTGCTCAGTTTTTTGTTTTGTTTTGTTTTTTTAATTTTATTTTTAGAGACAGGGTCTCGCTCTGTCACCCAGGCTCGGATGAGCACTTCTGGGGTGGTGGCAGCTGATGTCCTGACTGCTTTATCTCCAGGTGGGATGAAGCAGAAGGAGCTCCAGAAGTAGCTACCCCTGTGTGTGAGCACACCTGGCCAAGACTCTGCAGTACAGTAGTAGGACGCTGGCCAGAGCTAGGGTGTGCAGGAAGTGCCCCTGTCTCCCTGGGCTCCGGTCTCCCTGCCTATAAAATGAGGGTTGTGGCTAAGTGATTATTTTTCTGATTTTCATTACATTCAGTAGTCAGTTTCATTCACTGATAACTTCTCCCTCTCCCTCTCCTTAACTCCAACTCCCTTCACACACCCTTCTGCACAGGGCAGGACATTCTTACTGAATGGGAGGCCCCAGGAAACTCTGCTTCCTAACCAAATGGTTTCTAAGGGCTCTTCTGCTCTTCGATAATGAAATTCCTCAGCCCTGGCCAGCACCCAGCCTTGTCTTAGATCGCAGAGGAGAGTCTCTGCAGAAGTGCTGCTGGCAGTAGTGATTTATTCCTTGGATCACATGAAAATGGGGTGTTATTAGCTGGGCGCGGTGGCTCACGCCTGTAACCCCAGCACTTTGGGAGGCCGAGGCAGGTAGGTCATGAGGTCAGGAGTTCAAGACCATCCTGGCCAAGATGGTGAAAACCTGTCTCTACTAAAAATACAAAACAATTAGCCATGTTGGTGGTGGACGCCTGTAATCCCAGCTACTCAGGAGGCTGAGGCAGGAGAATCGCTCGAACCCAGGAGGCGGAGGTTGCAGTGAGCCGAGATCATGCCATTGCAATCCAGCCTGGGCAACAAGAGTGAAACTCTGTCTCAAAAAAAAAAAAAAAAGGGGGTGGGGGTATGTTATTAGCTGGGTGCGGTGGCTCACTCCTGTAATCCCAGCACTTGGTGAGGCCGAGGTAGGTGGATCACCTGAGGTCAGGAGTTTGAGACCAGCCTGACCAATATGGTGAAACCCCATCTCTACTAAAAATACAAAAAATTAGCTGGGCATGGTGGCAGGTGCCTGTAATCCCAACTACTCGAGAGGCTGAGGCAGGAGAATCGGCTGAACCTGGGAGGCGGAGGTTGCAGTGAGCCAAGATCGTGCCATTGCATTCCAGCCTGGGCAACAAGAGCACAACTCCATCTCAAAAAAAGAAAAAAGAAAAAAAAAAGGTATTATTAGTCTTAGGAAGCTTGGCTAAGACTTAAAATACCCCAGCTGGCCGGGCACGGTGGCTCACGCCTGTAATCCCAGCACTTTGGGAGGCCAAGACAGGTGGATCACGAGGTCAGGAGATCGTGACCATCCTGGCTAACACGGTGAAACCCAGTCTCTACTAAAAATACAAAAAAAATTAGCTGGACGTGGTGGCGGGCGCCTGTAGTCCCAGCTGCTTGGGAGGCTGAGGCAGGAGAATGGTGTGAACCCGGGAGGCGGAGCTTGCAGTGAGCCGAGATTGCGCCACTGCACTCCAGCCTGGGGAACACAGCGAGAATCCCTCTCAAAAAAGAAAAGAAAAAAGACCCCAGCCTGCCTGCCTCACTTGTTTGTTTATTTTCTGCTCCCTGTGTCTTTCTGAGGGGATGGATGTCGAGCACTGGCCCTTCCCTTACATTCACAAGAGGCTGCGCCTGAAGCTGCAGCAAACTGCTGATGCAAGCTCGGGGGGGTAGTCGTTATGGTGGCCTCCCTGAAGGGACATTCAGTAGTTGCAACCACATGGCCCTTCTCCAGCTGTCACTGATACGGACGGGTCGCCCAAAGGTAAATGACAGCAGGTAGCTTGAGCTCCACCTTTCCCCTGGGGATCTGCCTTGTAAGGGAGGAATGTCTGTGAGACCAGAGGGGCAGTTTGCCCAACCAGTGACCATGCTGTGAGTAGAATTCCCAGACGCAAGGTGGGCAGTGGCATGTCACTTTCCATGGGACGCGTCCTCACCCACCTTGTACCTACAGCATCGCCATGTGAGGGGCAGCCTCCAGGACTCAGTGGACCAAGAGGGCCCCTGCAGTGCAGTCTGGCTCGGAGGTTGAGATGAGCTTATTTAGCTGTGGCCATCGTGGATGTAATCCTTAAAGAGGTGATTGGAGGTGAGGTGGGTGGTAATCCACCCATTCTTCAGGTGGGTTTTTTTTTTCTTTTTTTGAGATGTAGCCTTGCTCTGTTGCCCAGACTGGAGTGCAGTGGCACAATCTCAGCTCACTGTAACCTCCGCCTCCCAGGTTCAAGCAATTCTTTTGCCTCAGCCTCCCAAGTAGCTGGGATTACAGGCATGTGCACCACCACGCCCAGCTAATTTTTGTATTTTTAGTAGAGATGGGGTTTCATCATATTGGTTAGGCTGGTCTCGAACTCCTGACCTCAAGTGATCTCTCCACCTTGACCTCCCAAAGTGCTGGGATTACAGGCATAAGCCACCGTGCCCAGCCTTTTTTTTTTTTTTTTTTTTCGAGGCAGGGTCTCACTCTGTTGCCCAGGCTGGAGTACAGAGGTGTGATCATGGCACATTGCAGCCTCCAGCTCCTGGGCTCAAGCAATCCTCCTGCCTTAGCCTTCCGAGTAACTGGGACTATAGGTATGCACCACCACGCCCAGCTAACTTTAAAAAAAAAAAAAGTTGCTAGAAACAGGGTCTTGCTATATTGCCCAGCTGGTCTCAAACTTCTGGCTTCAAGCAATACTCCCGCTGACTCAGCCTCCCAAAGTGCTGGAATTACAGGCGTGAGCCACAGCGCCCAGCCCTCAGGTGGGGTCTATTCTGTTTTTGGATTTCCACCTCCTAGACCTGTCCTGCTGAGGCTCTTCCAAACACTCTTGTGTAAATAACGTTTGGTCTCCATGGAGCCCACAGGGAGGCTGCTGTTACCTGGCGGCCTTCTCCCTGGGCATCACAGGAGAGTCGAACCTGCCAGGCCAGGCCGGGCCGGGCAAGGTTTCTTAGGTATCCTTAGGTCTGTGTCTGCGGTGGCTGAGCAGGGATGGGGCAGGCACAGCGGTGGAGCCCCACAGTGGCCAGGCAGTTAAACAGGCACGCTTACAGCCATCTGTCCAGCCTCTCCTGTTGTTGGAGCAGGCGTTTTTATCCTGCTCTGTAAATAGGGAAGTGTGACCCCTGCTCCCCTAGTATAACTTGCGAGTTGACAGCAGAGTTAGAATCCAGATCGCCCCTCTTTTGGGCTGGGCAGGGTTGCAGCCTCTTTTTGACCTTGTCTGACGAGGGAGAAAGGAAGGACGTCACTTGGAACTGTCTTATGTTCATTTGGCTGTTTATCGTCTTTCACAGCCACCTTTGAGTTAATTATTAGAGACCAATCTGGAAGGATTTCTTCGTATCAACCATAGTACTAGAAATTGTTTTGTGGGTGTATGAAGATCAGAGAGAGACGGGACAGAGAAGGCCGGGCTGTGGCAGCTCAGAGCAGAGAGTGGGACTCACCCTGATTAAAATTCTCTGAGTCAGGCATTTCTTGGCTTGTTGGAGTGTACCACCCACACTTCCCCGAAGCAGTCTTGTGACGCCCAGCCTTCCCAGAGCGCCTGGGAGCCCTGTGCTCCTGGCTTTGGGAGAGTCTGGGATGAGCTGAGCTAGCTTTTCCCGGCCCTGGTGCCTGAGCACAACCGAAAAATCAGCAGCAGGGACAGGAGAGCAGCTGAGCAGGTCTAGAGCGTGGTCTGGGAACATGCCTTTGAGACAGAGGCCTCAGAGTCCGTGGACCTTAGGGAACCACCATGTTTAAAAATTTACCTTAAATCTGAATCTCTCTCTTCATTCTCAGCTGACCTTGCTTACTTTTGAATTTTCTTCTGATGACAACTTTTTCATCCTCCCACCATGGAGCATACTGGCCCACCTGCTTGTGGACTCTCCTTTGTGGCCAGAGGGGTCCCATCCTGTCTTTCCTGGGCAAGGACTTTATTTCTTTACTCTACCCTGTTTTTCCTGCCACTCTTTTGGCAAAACCGGTCAAAGGGATTTTCTGTATTTACTGTCTCTTCCTCCACTCCCTCCGTCCCTCCCTCCCTCCCTTCCTCCCTTCCTTTCTTCCTCTTCCTCTCTGTTCTTCCACTTCCCTCACCCCCTCTTCTGACCCAAAATAGGCAGAATGGCATACCGAAGCCCCATGTTCAGCTCGTATCATCACCGGACAGTCTATACCACCAGCCCTCTATTATTTTGAAACAGATTTCCAGACATCCATAAATATTTCAGTACGTATTGTTAAAAAATGAGGATTCTTTTCTCACATGACCCAATATTACAAAAAATTCACAATAACTTTTCCTCAATATCATCAAATATTTGCTGTTTCAAGTTCCAGCTGCCTCATCACTGTCATGTTTAAATGCCTCATTTGCTGATGCGGGATCCACACAAGCTCCTGCCCTCCGTGATGAGTGCCCATCAGGCTGCTGCCCCCGCCCCTGCGCCCATGTGCTTTCCTCATGGTCCCAGCACCTCCCTTTTAGGCCCCTGCTGCCATGACCCTGGCGACTGACCACACCTGCCCTTGGGAAACTTTCCTCACTGGGCTTCTGGAGCACATACTGCCCACGTTTTCTGCCCACCTCGCTGGCTGTGCCTTCGTGGTCTAAGACAGTGATCCTCAGCCCGGGCCAGGCATCAGGATTACCTGGAGTGTTACAGTGCTGCTTCTTGTGCCCTGACTCCAGAGTTTCTGATGTCATTGGTCTGGAAAGGGGCCCGGGCATTGTTGGGCTGCGTGGGTGAGGACCCCTGGTCTAACGCAGCCCTGGCGGCTCAGTACTCAGACGCTCCTCCTGCTGCACACTCACGGCTTTCAGTGGCTGGCGGCACCCCCCCTGCCCCTGAACCTCAGATCCATTTCCACAGCTGTGTCCTTGATGTCTCCACGTAGATATCTTTTTTTTTTTTTTTTTTTTTTTTTTTGAGATGGGGTCTCACTCTATCACCTAGTTGGAGTGCAGTGGTGCAATCTTGGCTCACTGCAACCTCTACCTCCCAGACTCAAGCGATTCTCCTACTTCAGCCTCCTGAGTAGCTGGGACTACAAGTGTATCGTGCCATCATGTCCGACTAATTTTTTGTATTTTTGCTGAGGTAGGGTTTTGCCATGTTGCCCAGGCTTGTCTCCAACTCCTGAGCTCAGACGATCCACTCACCTCGGCCTCCCAAAGCGCTGGGATTATAGGCGTGAGCCACTGTGCCCGGCCTCCACATAGATGTCGGATAGGTGTTCTGAACTTATGCCAGAGCTGAACTCCACCTGATCCAGAAACGGCTGCCGTCCACCTGCTCAGACCATACCTCAGAACTGTTGCTGGCTCCTCCTTTTCCCTCATGCCCCACATTTAATCCATCGCTAAATCTCTGCGGCTCTGCCTTCAGACCCTGCATCTGACCCCTTCTCCTGTCCTCTACACTGTAGCCAGCTCCCAGCCCCCATTTTCCCATTGTCGGGGCTGCTAGCCTCCTAACCAGCCTCTGCCTCCACCCTGGCCTTTCACAGTCTGTCTACTCACCATACAGAAACTATGGCAAGGCCGGATCTGGTGGCTCACGCCTGTAATCCCAGCACTTTGGGAGGCCGAGGTGGGTGGATTGCTTGACCCAGGAGTTCAAGACCAATCTGGGCAACATGATGAGACCCCATCTCTACAAAACAGAAAAACTAGCCTGCTGTGGTGTCGCACACCTGCAGTCCCAGCTACTCGGGAGGTTGAAGTGGGAGGATCGATTGAGGCAGAGGCTGCAGTGAGCCAAGATCGCGCCATTGCACTCCAGCCTGGGTGACAGAGCAAGACCCTGTCTCAAAAAACAAGCAAGAAGCTATAGCAGCTTTGTAATAGTGACATCGAGTTATGTACTTTCCTGTTCTCACCTGCCAACAGCTTCCCATCAAACTGGTAATGAAACGCAAAGCCCCTCGCACGGCCTGTGTGGCTGTGCATGATCCGGCCCTCAGCTGCCTTCTTGACCTCATCTCATGCTGCTCACCCCTCACTCCCTGAGCTCCAGCCACACCAGGCTCCTCACTGTTGCCCCTGCTGTTCCTCTAACCGGAATACTTTCCCCCCGGATGCCACAATAGCCATTTCCTCAGGGAGATCTTCTTGGCTCCTTATTTGTTTGTTTGTTTTTATTATTATTTTTTGAGTTGGAGTTTTGCTCTTGTTGCCCAGGCTGGAGTGCAGTGGCACGATCTCGGCTCACTGCAACCTCTGCCTCCCAGGTTCAAATGATTCTCCTGCCTCAGCCTCCCGAGTAGCTGGGATTACAGGTGTGCGCCACCATGCCTGGCTAATTTTTTGTATTTTAAATAGAGACGGGGTTTCACCACGTTGGTCAGGCTGGTCTCGAACTCCTAACCTCAGGTGATCCACCTGCCTCAGCCTCCCAAAGTGCTGGCATTACAGGCGTGAGCCACTGTGCCCGGCTTTTGTATTTATTTTTTTCCCTCTGGGGGCTCCGTATTTATAACAGATTTCCACACCCTGCTTCATTTTTTTCATAGCACTTACTACTCCCTGATGCCGTATTATACATTTGCACTAATTTATCTCTGCCACCGTGTCTGATATGTACATAGCAGGTGCTCAGTAACTGTGTGTTGAAATATGTGACCCTTCACGGCTTGAGCCTTCCCTTCTGGCCACTGCTGAACTGAGCTTTGAGCAAGAGGCAGCTCCTCAGCCGAGCCTATCACAAGTGTGCATTCCTTGCCACCTCTGCTGCAGGCTCCAGACCGAGGGCCAGCATGCTTCTTCTGTAAAGAGCCAGGTGCTAAATAGTTCAGGCTGTACAGGCCATGCGGTCTCTGAGACAAACTCCGTCTCAAAAAAAAAAAAGAGTGCTTAAAGTGTAGGCTTTGGGCTGGGCACCATGGCTTATACCTGTAATCCCTAGAATTTGAGAGGCTAAGGCAGGAGGATCACTTGAGCTCAGGAGTTTAAGACCAGCCTAGACAACATAGCAAAACTCCATCTCTACAAAAAAAATACAAAAAAAAAAAAAATTAGCCAGGTGTGGTGGTACATACCTGTAGTCTCAGCTATTTGGGAGGCTGAGCTGGGAGGATCACCTGAGCCCGGTAGGTTGAGGCTGCAGTGAGCATTACTGCACTCTAGCCTGGGCAACAAAGTGAGACCTGTTTCTAAAAACACTGCTCCACTTGCCGTCATAGCACAAAAGCAGCCACAGGTGACACGTGAGCCGATGGGAGTGGCTGTGTTCCAATAAAACTTTACACACAAAACTTGGAGGTGGTCCCCTAGCCACCCTGCCCTAGACTCCCACGAATTCTGAGATTTTCTGCCTTTCCCCAAAATCCACATGAACAGAAAGGAAACACTCAGAACCACTTGGCAGTCTGATCAGCAGAATGAACTTCTTCCCAGAAGTGGGGAAAGCCCCTCCTGGAGCAGCTGCAGCTTTTTTTAAAACTGACAAGACACATCCTCACTCGGGAGATGCCAGTGTGGGGCCAAAGGACAGAGACTGTACCAGCAAGGGCTGTTGGTAGAGAAGCCACCCTGGCTGCTCTCCTTGGTCTGTCTTCCAAGAAGCAGAACTGGAGAAGACTCTGAGCTCATGTCTACCATGGGGTTTTAGTTCTCATAGTTTATATTTTTTTGAGATGGAGTCTCGCTCTTGTCGCCTAGGCTGGAGTGCAGTGACGTGATCTCAGGTCACTGTGACCTCCACCCCCTGGGTTCAAGTGATTCTCCTGCCTCAGCCTCCCGAGTAGCTGAGATTACAGGCACCCACCACTATTCCCAGCTAATTTTTGTATTTTTAGTAGAGATGGGGTTTCACTGTGTTGGCCAGGCTGGTCTTGAACTCCTGACCTCAAGTGATCCACCTGCCTCGGCCTCCCAAAGTGCTGGGATTACCAGCGTGAGCCACTGCACCTGGCCAGTTCTCATGATTTAAAAGAGAGGGAACTGCATTTTTCTTTTTTCTTTTTTTTTATGGAGTCTCGCTCTGTCGCCAGGCTGGAGTGCAGTGGCACGATCTCAGCTCATTGCAACCTCCACCTCCCTGGTTCAAGCAGTTCTTCTGCCTCAGCCTCCCGAGTAGCTGGGGCTACAGGTGCACACCACCACGCCCGGCTAATTTTTGTATTTTTAGTAGAGATGGGGTTTCACCATGTTGGCCAGAATGGTCTCGATCTCTTGACCTTGTGATCCACCTGCCTCGGCCTCCCAAAGTGCTGGGATTACAGGCGTGAGCCACTGTGCCCGGTCCGGAACGGCATTTTTCTTTCTTGGATTCCCCTAAAACGTATTAGGAGGGGATTTAAATAGAGTCTAACTTTACAAAAAAGTTTTTTAAAATAGAGATGGGGTCTTGCTATATTGCCCAGGCTGGTCTCAAACTCCTGGCCTCTAATGATCCTCCTTCACTGGCCTCCCAAAGAGCTGGAATTATACTTGTGAGCCACCATGCCTGGCTAGAGTCTAACATTTTACATACATTATTCGTTCTGGGACCTCCAACCCAGGTTTGATGAAAAGACCTGGGTTTAAAATCTGTCTCTGCCCCTTACTAGCTCTGTGACCTACTTACGGGGCTGCGGTGGTGATTAAATTACGTTTGAAAAGTGTGTCATCGTCATCATAGCTGCTAACATTTGTTAAGTGTTTACGATGTATCATGTACTTGGTAAACATAGTATAAGCATTATGAACCCTCATGGCAACCTATAGGGAGGGTCCTATTACTAAGCCCATTTTACAGACAAGGAAAACGAGTTTCGAGAGGTTAGGTAACTTGCCCAAGGTCACACAGTGAATGAGTAGCAGAGTCAGCATTCAAACCAAGTTGTCCGACTCCAGAATCCACACTCTTAACAGCTCTGCCACCGTCCTGATGCACAGAGTGTGCACTCAATAAATCATGGCCCTAATTGTAGTGGGTATTAGCTCTACCAGCAGGTATTGAGTGCAACCAAAGAGTAATTTGGCATAAAAGATGAGGATTGTGCTTCCAGGCTGGGTTATATTTGTTATACTCACCCCATTAATTCTGTTCTGGGGTCCTCATTTCTTCGATGTTTGCTTTCCTTCCACTCCTGTTCTTTCAGAGCCTTCTGATACTGGAGCGGGAGGGAGGTGGTTACCAGCTGCAGCCTCATTACAGCTAAGAGAGTGCCACTGCTGTTTATTTACCTTTATGTGCTTTGCTACCCAGCTCCCAAAGTCTTTAAATAGCCACATGTGGCTAGTGACTACTGTATTGGACAGCTCAGGTCTAAATAGTCGTTTTATAACCCATTTTGCAGATGAGAAAAAATGAGGGTTAGAGAGTTAAGTAATTTGCCAAAGGTGCCCACCTCTGTAGTCGCAGAGCCACACTTTGGACCCGGGTTTCCTGCCTACGGAGCCTTCTCTCTCCACCACCGTGGCATATACACTCTTTGTACTGTACTTTTTGCAGAAATTGTTTCAAGGCACAGATTGCTTCCTAACTCATAATACCATGTGTAGATATGCAAGCCACCTTGAAATAAATGTGCAGGACATACCTAAAGAAAGCTATAAAAATTACCAAAGGATATAACAGAAGACCTGAATAAATGGGGAAAAGACTCCATGTTCCTGGATAGGAAGACTCAATATTGCAATATTATTTCCTCCTCCAAATGATCTCTGGATTCAGTATAATTCTAGTACAAGCCGGGCGCGGTGGCTCATGCCTGTAATCCTAGCACTTTGGAGGCCGAGATGGGCAGATCACGAGGTCAGGATATCGAGACCATCCTGGCTAACGTGGTGAAACCCCATCTCCACTAAAAAAAATACAAAAAATTAGCTGGGCATGGTGGCGGGCGCCTGTAGTCCCAGCTACTCGGGAGGCTGAGGCAGGAGAATGGCGTAAACCTGGGAGGCGGAGCTTGCAGTGAGCCGAGATCGCGCCACTGCCCTCCAGCCTGGGCGACAGAGCGAGACTCCATCTCCAAAAAAAAAAAAAAAAAATTCTGGTACAAATCCAGAAGAAAATTGTAGTGAAATTTGATTAAAATAATGTACTAGAACAGCCAAAACAGTTTTGTTGTTGTTGTTATTGTTGTTATTTGAAACGGAGTCTCACTCGGCTGCCCAGGTTGGAGTGCAGTGGCATGATCTCGGCTCACTGCAACCTCCAACTCCCGAGTTCAAGCAATTCTCCTGCCTCAGCCTCCCGAGTAGCTGGGATTACAGGCATGGTGGGGCCCGGCTAATTTTTGTATTTTTTTTAGTACAGACAGAGTTTTACCATGTTGGCCAGGCTGGTCTCAAACTCCTGACCTCAGGTGATCCGCCTGCTTTGGCCTCCCAAGGTGCTGGGATTACAGGCGTAAGCCACTGCACCCAGCTACCAAAACAATTTTGAAAAAGAATGTTGAGGGGGCTGGGGTGGACTTGTTCTGCCCATACCAAAATGCTGAATAAAGTGAAAATTTTAAATGGAGGACCAGCACAGGAATATATAATAGGCCAACAAGAAGTAGTTTTAAAAGGGGCATATTACATCACAGATCAGCCAGGCATAGTGGCATGCATTTGTAGTTCCAGCTACCCAGCAGGCTGAGGTGAGAGGATTAGGAAGAGCTGGACCATTAATTAACATTAATAAATACGAGGGCTGGGTGCCGTGGCTCATGCCTGTAATCCCAACACTTTGGGAGGCCAAGGCAAGCAGATCACCTGAGGTCTGGAGTTTGAGACCAGCCTGGCCAACACGGTGAAACTGGATCCTTACCTCATGCCATATATAAAGCTGGATCCTTACCTCATGACATATATAAAGATCTAAACATAAGGGAACCTGGCCGGGCATGACGGCTCACCCCTGTAATCCTAGCATTTTGGGAGGCCAAGGCAGGAGGATCCCTTGAGCCCAGGAGTTCGAGAGCAGCCTGGGCAACATAGGGAGACCCTGTCTCTATCAAAAATAAAAATAAAATAAAATAAATAAAAACATAAGGGGACCAAAAACCAGCAGTGAAAAAACAAAAAAGATCTAAACCTAAAAACCAAAATCAAATTGTCCTAAAACTATAAAAGAAAAAAGGCACTTTTGTGGCCAACCGTGGTGGCTCATGCCTGTAATCCCCACACTTTGGGAGGCTGAGGTGGGCAGATCTCTTGAGCTCAGGAGTTCGAGACCAGCCTGGCCAACATGGCAAAGCCCCATCTCTACTAAAAAATACAAAAATTAGCCAGGTGTGGTCGAAGGTGCCTGTGATCCCAGCTACTTGGGAGGCTGACGCAGGAGAATCACCTGAACCTGGGAGACACAGGCTACAGTGAGCCGAGACTGTGCCAGTGCACTCCAGCCTGGGCAACAGAGCGAGGCTCCATCTCAAAAAAAAAAAAGAAAAAAGAAAAAAGGCACTTCTGTAATCTTACATTGGGAAAAATGGGAAACTATAAAGGAAAAGACTGGTAGATTTGACTGCATCAAAATTAAAAATTTCTCAATAGGGCAAAAAAATGACAAGTGAAGTTTAAAGGTCAATTGATAACGGGGGGGAAAATAATATATAACAACACATTAGGTTAAATCCTTAAAGAGCTGTAACATGGCTGGGCGCGGTGGCTCACGCCTGTAATCCCAGCACTTTGGGAGGCTGAGGCGGGTGGATCATCTGAGGTTGGGAGTTCAAGACCAGCCTGACCAACATGGAGAAACCCCATCTCTACTAAAAGTACAAAATTAGCCGGGCACGGTGGCGCGTGCCTGTAATCCCAGCTACTCAGGAGGCTGAGGCAGGAGAATCGCTTAAACCTGGGAGGCAGAGGTTGCAGTGAGCCGAGATCACGCCACTGCACTCTAGCCTGGGCAACAAGAGCAAGATTCAGTCTCAAAAAAAAAAAAAAAAAAAAAGAGCTGCAACAAATAACAAAAACACAAGCAGCCAGTGGAAGATTGGGCAAAGGCTGTGAATACTTAGTTCCTAGAAGAAGAGAAACACGTGGCTAATATGGATGTTCCACTGCGCTTTTAATCAGAGAAGTACAATTTAAAACAGGTACTATTTTTCACCAAATGGACTGGAAAAAATTAGACTAATTATATGCAGTGTTGGCCAGCATGGTCGGAGTGTAAATCAGTCAGACATTCTAGACGGCCAGGTGGCAGGACCCAGGCAGATTGTGAATGTGTTTGTCTGTTGGCTCAGCAGTTCCCCTTGCAGGCACTCACCATACAGAAGCATCCACACAGGACTGCACAATGGTCACTGCAATATTATGTGCTATGTCCAGGAACTGGATATGATATCCATATTTAACAATGGTTGAAGTATGGTACATCATAATGATATGGAAATATACATGGATATACCTTAAAGGCAAAACAAGTTTCAGAATGAATATAGCATGATCTTATTTTCCTTTTTTTTTTTTTTTTTGAGACAAGTTCTTGCTCCAGGCTGGAGTGCAGTGGTGCCATTACAGCTCACTGCAACCTTGAACTCCTGGGCTCAAGGGATACCTCCCCCTGACCCTGCCTCAGCCTCCCAAGTAGGTGAGACTATAGGTGCATGCCACCATGCCTAGCTAGCTTATTTTTATTTTTATTTTTCGCCCCTGCTGGAGTGCAGTGGTGCAATCTTGGCTCACTGCAACCTCCACCTCCTAGGGTCAAGCGATTCTCCTGCCTCAGCCTCCCAAGTAGCTGGGATTACAGGAATGTGCCACCACACCCAGCTAATTTTTGTATTTTTAGTAGAGACGGGGTTTCACCATGTTAGCCAGGCTGGTCTGAAACTCCTGACCTCAACTGATTTGCCTGCCTTGGCCTCCCAAAGTGCTGGGATTATAGGTGTGAGCCACCACGCCTGGCTAATTTTTAATTTTTTGTTTGTTTGTTTGTTTTTGTAGACACAGCGTTTTGCTATGTGGCTGAGGCTGGTCTCAAACTCCTGGCCTCAAACGATCCTCCTGCCTCGGGCCTCCCAAAGTGTTGAGATTACAGGCATGAGCCACCACTCGTGGCATTCCTTTTTTTCTTATTTCTTTCTTTCTTTTTTTTCTTTTTTTCTTAGGTCTGTGTATACAGGAAAAGAGTTGGGGGGATACGTGCACACCAAGCTGTTGGCAATAGTAAATGGGAGCAAGGGGGCCTTTATTCTTTATACACACCTCTGTGTTGCTTCCATTTTTACAATGAACAAATGTTTTCAGAATAATTTTTCTTTAAAGGTATCTTAGCTGAGAAAAGAGTCTGAGTTCCAGCCCTGGGTCCTGTCACTTAACTAAAAACCATATTGAGGGACTTAACCTCGTCTCTGTAAATACACAAATATACACATTCTTTTCCATGTGGGAATTATAATTCAAGAGAATGAATAATATTCTGTTTTTTGTTTGTTTGTTTGTTTTTTGTTTTTTGTTTTTGAGAAGGAGTCTTGCTCTGTTGCCCAGGCTGGAGTGCAGTGGCGTGATCTCAGCTCACTGCAAGCTCCGCCTCCCGGGTTCCTGCCATTCTCCTGCCTCAGCCTCCCGAATAGCTGGGACTACAGGCGCCTGCCACTACGCCCGGCTAATTTTTTGCATTTTGCTTAGTAGAGACGGGGTTTCACTATGTTAGCCAGGATGGTCTTGATCTCCTGACCTCGTGATCCGCCCACCTCGGCCTCCCAAAGCGGTGGGATTACAGGCGTGAGCCACTGCAGCCCAGCCCTGTTTTTTTTTTTTTTTTTGGAGACAGAGTCTCACTCTGCTGCCCAGGCTGGAGTGCAGTGGCACAATCTCAGCTCACTGCAACCTCTGCTTCCTGAGTTCAAGCAATTCTCCTTCCTCAGCCTCCTGAGTAGCTGGGATTACAGGTGCCTGTCACCGCACCCAGCTAGTTGTTGTATTTTAGTAGAGAACGAGGTTTCACCATCTTGGCCAGGCTGGTCTTGAACTCCTGACCTCGTGATCCACCCGCCTTGGCTTCCCGAAGTGCTGGGATTACAGGTGTGAGCCACCACACCCGGCCCTGTTTTGGTTTTTTAATTAGAACATTGCACTAGATCTCTAAGGATGCTTCCAGCTGTAACATCTGTCTATAGGCTCTCTGATCTCAGATTTACTCAGATTTTGAAATTAAAAAAAAAAAAAAAAAAAAAGCTCTACCCCAGTGTGGTCGTACTTAATACTGAAGTGTGCAGTAATGTTTCCAGCTGTTGCTGAGAGGGATTATGCAGTTTTTGCAGGCTTATTCCTCTTTCTTTCAGCTCTAGAAATCTTTCCTTCTGGTGCTCTGATTTGCCTGCCTCTGGGAGGAAGGGAAGGGAAGACCCTGCAGGACTGAGGTTTGTCCTGGCTGACAGGCCTGCCAGGCTTGTTCCGGGCTGCAGAGAAGAGAGGCTATTTTTGTTGTGGGAGCTGAATTGTTGGTCTCTCTCCAGGAGCACATGCTTGTTGGTGTGGTTGATGTATCTTGCCTGCTGTGGCCATCTCTACCACTGCTTCCAGAAAACACTTGAGAATACGTTTGTCCCAAGAGGTTAAACCTGAGATCAGGATCAGGCATCTGTGCTCTTGTCTTGTGTTCCACTCCCTTCTGGCCATTGGAAGGGCAGTAGCAGAACAGGATATGGCTAACATGAACTTGGAGAGACTTTTCTCCTAGAGCTGTGCTTGAAAGGGGCCCTCTCTCTGTAACTGCGGTTGCAGTGAACTCAGTCCAATATCTGGGCTTTCTTGTCCTTCAGTAGGCTGATGGAGCTGCCCTTGCCCTCACCAGCCTGGTGGGGTTTGCACAGTGCTGCAGTTCATCTCACCTACTGTCCAAATCTCCTTTTATCAGCCCAGTCCAGGAACAGTGGTGTCCTTCTTGGTGTAGGGCTTAACGTGAGCCTTGCATGCACCTAGATCCATATCCAGCATTGCAGGCAATTCTAGTATTCCATGTCAAGAAGGCTGGCAAGAAGGCTGGTGGGGCAGGTGCCCCAGTCCATCGGCCCTTAGTATATGCAGAGGGTAGCTCCAAGTGGGGCCACTGTGATATGAAGGAGGATTGTTTGAATTCAGGAGATTGAGGCTGCAGCGAGCCGTGATCACACCACTGCACTCCAGCCTGCATGACAGAGTGAGACCCTGTCTCAAAACAAACAGGCCGGGCACAGTGGCTCACGCCTGTAATCGCAGCACTTTGGGAGGCCAAAGTGGGTGGATCACCTGAGGTCAGGAGCTTGAGACCAGCCTGGCCAACATGGCGAAACCTCGTCTCTACTAAAGATAAAAAATTAGCTGGGCATGGTGGTGGGCACCTGTAATCCCAGCTACTCGGGAGGCTGAGGCAGGAGAATCACTTGAACCCAGGAGGCGGAGGCTGCAGTGAGCCGAGATCATGCCACTGCCCTCCAGCCTGGGCGACAGAACAAGACTTTGTCTCAATAAAACAAACAACCAAAAAGAAAAGAAAAAAGATACTTTTCTAATATATGACTGGGAAAAATGGGAAACTATAAAGGAAAAGATGGACAGATTTGACTGCCTAAAAATTAAAACTTTCTCAATAGGGCAAAACAATAACATAAGCAAAGTTTAAAGGTCTGTTGACAATGGGAGGAAAATACGTCTAGCGCTCTCTGTATCAATGCCCCAACTCTGGGTTTGTGTGGCATTGGTCTAGACAGCACTGTACATAGTGCCCCTGAAGTTGTGCCATGCTGTGGCCCTGGCCTGAAGCTTGCCACCACTTGAGACCTATGCATGGACAGTGGATCCCTCCAGCCTCAAGTTGTCACTGTGCGGACTGCTGACTGGGTGCCTCTGGGGGACTGGGCTGTAAAGATACAGCTGTTGCCTGCTGGAACCTCCAGTGCCAGAGCAGCAGCTGGGACAGGGGTGGTTTGAGGTAGACGTCTCTGCTGGTCATTGTGGATACACCATTTGACTAATTTTTTTTAGCTACCTTCTTGATTCCAGAACTTTTGTAGCCTTCCTCTTAATCCATTTCTGATTTGGAGGTGTTTTTTTTTCTTTCAGTTGCAGAGCTATTTTGCTGCATGTGAGGATGAGATCCCTGCCATCCGGAACCATGACAAGGTCCTACAGCGTCTGTGTGAGCACCTGGACCACGCCCTGCTGTACGGGTAAGGTGGAGGAAGTTTCCAAAGATGACGGAGCACAACCCAGGCCATGAGTAGCCTCCACAGAGAAACCCTTAGCCTCTCTGCCTTTTCTTTCTTCTCTCCCCTTGGCAGAAAGGGATTTGTCCCACTCAAGTGGGCCACAGTCTCTCTGTAGTTACCCCAGTAAATCATCTCTGGGCAGACATAAATGATGGAGGGAGGATTTGCCACAAATGATATGATGGTGTGAAGGTGTGCTGGGTGCCTGGGAGACCTGCTGGGGATCCATCACTTCCTGCCTTGCGCTCACTGCTGGACCAGCCGACTGCAGCTTCCCAGGGTGGCCCCATGCAGGTCACAGCAGCTCCTGTCCTGTTTTCTCAGACTGCAAGACCTCTCCTCTGGCTACTGGGTGCTCGTGGTGCATTTTACTCGGAGAGAGGCCATCAAGCAGATCGAGGTGCTGCAGCACGTGGCCACCAACCTGGGGCGCAGTGAGTAGTCACAAGGAGACGCTGGGGAAGGGACCAGCTCCACCTTCGGTGGGTAGCTTGGGGCTCTGTCCCAGGTTTACCCTCAGGGTCAGCCCTGGGAGGCAAATTACCTGGTGGTGTCCAGTAGCAGTGGGGTGTTAAAATGCCAGCACCAGGCCAGGCATGGTGGCTCACACCTGTAATCCCAGCATTTTGGGAGGCTGAGGAGGGAGGATGGCTTGAGGCCAGGAGTTTAGACCAGCCTGGGCAACACAGTGAGACCCCATCTCTACAAAAATTTAAATATTACATGGATGTCTTGGTACACACCTATAGTCCCAGCTACTCAGGGGCTGAGGTGGGAGGATGGCTTGAGCCCCGGAGTTTGAGGCTGCAGTGAGGCATGACCACAGCATTGCACTCCAGCCTGGAAGAAAGAGTGAGACCCCATCTCTAAAGATTTAGGAAAATGGCCGGGCACAGTGGCTCATGCCTGTAATTCCAACACTTTGGGAGGGTAAGGCAGGAGGATCCCTTGAGCCCAGGAATTTAAGGCTGTATTGAGCTGTGATCACACCACTATACTCCAGCCTGGGTGACAGAGTCTCTGTCTCAAAAAATAAAATAATAGTAATAAATAATAAATTTATAAAATGCCAGCCCCCTCCATGAGGCCTCTTTTCTCCCCACATATGATGGTTTTTTGGCACAGCAGTGATGGGGAGAAAGAGGGCGAGCTGCCAGCGAGAGCTGGACTCTTATGGAATCCCAGCCTGAGCACGTGCTATGGAGTCTGGTTTCTCTCCCTGAGCTGGGATCACTGTTAGCCTACAGGATCAGTGCAGAGTCCTGGCGTTTCTTGACCTGTCTGAAGTGTGCAGTCTGCCCTCTTTATCAGAATTTCCTGGCCAGCTACATGCTGAGGTCTGACTAGGAAAATAAAGCACTCAGGGGTTATGGTACCCCACCAAGCACAAAGGCCACTGAAGTGCCTGGTCCCATTACCTGCTCTTTCTTTCCTTTCTGCGCTTGCTTGGCAAATAAAAGCCAGCAGTCTGAGAGGCCTTCCTGCCGGTTACTCCTGCCTTTGTTTGCAGGCCGTGCCTGGCTGTACCTGGCCCTCAACGAGAACTCCTTGGAGAGCTACCTGCGGTTGTTCCAGGAGAACCTGGGCCTGCTGCATAAGTACTACGTCAAGTGAGTGTCTGGGACGGTCTGTCTCCCCTAGCCTCAGAGCTCCCTTTCAGCTACCTCCCAAAGGCTCTTGTCATGCAGACAGCACAGTGTGCCACATCAGTGATGCCAGAGAGCCATTAGAACCTTGCCAGTAGCTGGGTAGCCTTCACCAGGAGCACCGGTGTCCCATCTGGGCTCCTGGGTACAGTCTGGGTCTCTGCTGCTCCCTGGTCCTCCTCCCAGGCTTCAGACCTGACCAGTGCCCATGCTTTGGCTCAGCCTTTGCTGGGGTTGCTGCAGGAACAGAGTGTGTACAGCAGCTGCTGAGAGCCTGACAAGCCTTGTGCTCGTCCATCTCTGAAGACACTGGCAGGACAGTGCAGTGTGGCTGCTAACCCAGTAGGAGATCGCTGAGAGGGTGGTGGGCAACAGCTATATCAAGCTGGGTGCCGTCCAAGGTGGAGGACATCACGTGTCAGATTTCAACACAGCTGGTATGTTGGTAAGGTTAGGCCAGGCTGGTAAACAGACCCAGAGGCACCATCGTGGCTTCTCATGTCTTGCAGGAATGCCCTGGTCTGCAGCCACGATCACCTGACGCTCTTCCTGACCTTGGTGTCCGGGCTAGAGTTCATTCGTTTCGAGCTGGATCTGGTGAGACACCAGGGCTCTCACTGCTTGTGGGAAGCAGAGGAGGGGGCAGGGTGGGGGCAGGGTGGGCGGTGGCTTCATTTCTCAGGTCTTGTTGAGGGAGCTTGTTGAGTATGACTGGGCTTGAGCAAAACTTGTTTTTTTGGGCGAGGGAAAGGTTTCAGGGTCCATCGAATTGAGTGAGAAGAGAAGTGATGGCAAGAATTCCTGGTTCAGGTGACTTTTTCCTATCTCCCTATCCAACTTGGAGAAAAGCCACATTGCCTGGAGTATCTTAGCCCAGAAGAACTGGCCTTCATGTTTAGGATGTGAAGAGTTAGAAGGACAAGGCAGTTTCAGCCTGGTGCTTCTGGGGTTCTGAAAAGTGTCATCAGCTCCATGAAGAGCCTTCAGCCACCCTCTTCAAGTTCTCAAGTTTCTCTCCCCATCACACCCTGTACAAATGGGATGCTGGCCCACATAGAGCCAAAGAGGCTCCCAGGCACCTCTTGGACTGGGCTCAAAATGGATGCAGCTGCCCCGTCCTAATCAAATGACCTTCCTTGGGCCAGGCGCAGTGGCTCACACCTATAATCCCAGCACTTTGGGAGGCTGAGGTGGGTGGATCACCTGAGGTCAGGAGTTCGAGACCAGCCTGGCCAACATGGCGAAACCTCGTCTCTACTAAAAAAATACAAAAGTTAGCGGGGTGTGGTGATGGGCGCCTATAATCTCAGCTACTTGGGAGGCTGAGGCAGGAGAATCGCTCGAACCCGGGAGGTGGAAGTTGCAGTGAGCCGAGCCACGTCATTGCACTCCAGCCAGGGCAACAGAGTGAGACTCTGTCTCAAAAAAAAAAATAAATAAATAGAGAGAGAGAGAGATAGCGGGGGCATCAAAGGGTGTAGCTGAGTTCTGACAGCTCTGTCTTCCATCAGCCTGAAGTCCACAGCTTTAAAAGCCAACACTATTCACATTGCTCTTCTTAGCAGCTTTTCTTTGAATTTACTACCTTAAGCCATTGATTTCCCAAAGAGGCACATCTGTGTCTCCCAGGCCTGGATCCTGCTGTCTGCAGAAGGCCGCTGCACGAGGCCTCCCACCAAACGGGCCTCCTCTACTCTCTCCTCAGGATGCCCCTTACCTAGACCTGGCCCCCTACATGCCCGACTACTACAAACCTCAGTACCTGCTGGACTTTGAAGACCGCCTTCCCAGCTCGGTCCACGGCTCAGACAGTCTGTCCCTCAACTCTTTCAACTCCGTCACCTCCACCAACCTGGAGTGGGATGACAGTGCGATTGCCCCATCTAGTGAGGGTGAGTGGCCCCAGGGCAGAAAAGCTAAGCCCCTGTTGTGAAACAGACTTGAACTGCTTAAGCCTGGCTGGGTGATGTCTTCCTTGGCTAGTTTTGGTCTGGTGGCTGAAATTTGCAATTAAACAGGGCTGGCCATTTCCCAGATCTTCATCTCCTCAGAGTCCCTGTGGTGGCTAAAAAGTGGATTCTGGGCACAAAAAGCTGAAATTATATATATATATATATATATAAAATATATATTTTTTAAGGTTAGACCCTTTTCCAGAAGGTTCTAGTCACATGCCTGTGGCAGTTTTCTAAGCAAGGAAGGTTTAGCAGTGGGACCTGGAAACCTTGTCGCAGGGTTGAGTGTTGCCTGTTCTGGGGAGCTTGTCTGACCCCACATTCTTTGCAGAAGGAGGTTAAGCAACCCCTAGAAGAAGAGAGAACCAGGCAGGTCTGAAGCGCAGGGAAACCTTGCCACTGTGTCCTGTGTGTCCGTCCGATTTCTCTGAGTTCCTTCTGCGCTCGCTGATGTGTTTGGGATGGTCGCACCCTTTGCATCAGGGACCGAGGAAGAAGCTGCAGGTCATTTTGTTGTCTTGACCCAATGATTTACTGGAACAGCCTGGTTTCTTTCAAACCTTAGGCCCTGGTGTTCATGGATAAAACTGGCCATTTTCCCCTCTTTATCTCCTGTAGGAGACCAGAGCCCTTCATTTACTTCACCCCACCACCTCACCTCCAGGGAAGGGGATCCCAGCCCCAATTTAGCCCTGGGGCACCCTAGAATTGCCTCAGCATTGAGACCTTGACCTTCCCCTTTCTTTATTTCTGCTGTACCACGGGTTATATGTCCCAGGAAGGGAGGTCCCTCTCAAACTTGCTGTTAGCAAGACCTGCATTGCTGACCGTGCAAGCTGAAGAAGGCGGCACAGTCTCCTTAGGTTGGGCCCATGGGCCACCTTAGAGGAGTTGGAGGGGTGGGCCTTGCCGGAAGAGCCAGGGCAAGGATGGATCCATGGATGGAGGTGTCCCCTCAGCAATTTGGAGATTGTGCAACTGCAGCTGCCAGGGCAGTGTCTCCTTGCCCTGCTAGGGTATGGAGGGAAGGCACGTAAGAGGTAGAAAACAAAGCTAGGCACAGGCAGCCAGGCTTCTCTCTGCCAGAACCAGCTTCTGGATGTGGAAAGGGGTCACCCTGACAGGTCTTTCCAGCTGGTTGGAGGCTCCTGGGCCAGCGCCTGAGCTGAGAGGCAGTCAGGGCCCTAGTAAGTTTCCCCAAGGTTGTTGGATACAATGTAGAAAGTTGAAGTTTTCCTCTCCTATTTTCTCCCCATGTCTCCCACCCCATTTCCCCTCCCCTCCCTCCAGTCATCCTTCCACTGCCTGTGTTTCTAATCTTCAGTTTTGTCCCTCGTTTTTGTAGATTATGATTTTGGAGATGTGTTTCCAGCAGTGCCGTCTGTACCCAGCACAGACTGGGAAGGTGGGCCAGAGTCCGCTGTTACCCTCTTTTCCTGTTTTGCAATGTTTCCATGCCAAGCTTGCTGCATGTATCAAATCAGCTCCTTATTATTTATAATAATATCCATAATCATAATAAAGCCAAGTTTGGTGTTCTAATAGATGGAATTCTGCAGTGGGAAAACTCAACCTCTAGCCATAGGCAAATCCCTTCTCCCAGTGCAGGGCTCCTGCCTTTGCTCAGTGGCCTTTCGGAGTCACTAAGTGGCTGCATTTCGGGGGATACAGGGTCACCCTTCCTGATTCCAGTGCCAGCTGATGCTCTCGGGGTGTGTAGGGCCTGACCCAGTGAACCAAGACTTGTTCTGGAAAACCATGCCTTTAAACATGCGGGTTGTAAGCTCCTGCGGGTCAGATGAGCATCGAAGAGAAAGAGCTTGATTCTTTCAGTCTGTTCCTAATGGCTTCCTCTTGGGTGTTTTGGAGTGGTTGAGGTCCAAGTCAGGAAACTGCCCAGGTACAGCTGAAACTTCCTACAGACAGAATCTCTTTGAAGCTTTAAAGCAGATTAAAAGGAAATCTGCCAGCCCTCCCACCCTGTCTGCTGGGCAGTAGCAGTGCCTGGGCATTTTTCTGCCTGAAATTCCACTTCATAAATTCACAAAGCTATTCCCAGGTTGCCACGATTACTCAAAGCAAAGGCTATGTTGCCAATAAGGTGAATGTTTCCCCCTTAAATCTGAGGCCATAGCAGATCCCTGTTATTTTACTTTATGTTATTTTATTTTACTTTTTGAGACGGAGTCTCGCTCTGTTGCTCAGGCTGGAGTGCAGTGGTGTGATCTTGGCTTACTGTAACCTCCACCTCCCGGGTTCAAGCAATTCTCCTGCCTCAGCCTCCCAAGTAGCTGGGATTACAGGTGTGTGCCACCACGCCCGGCTAATTTTTGTATTTTTAGTAGAGACAGGGTTTCACCATGTTGGCCAGGCTGGTCTCAAACTCCTGACCTCAGGTGATCCACCCCACCTCATCCTCTCAAAGTGTGGGATTACAGGCATGAACCACTGCACCTGGTCCAAATCCCTGTTATTAAAGAGCCTCCTACCCTCTGGGCCACTTCCAGCCTGGAACAGGGGAGGTGAGGGAACCTGGCCTCTGAACAGGGGAGGTGAGAACTGCCACACCCTGAGGATGAGGGGCACGTGGCTCTCCCCGCATTATTAGAGACGTGATTGCTGAGTAATGGGTGACAGGTGATCCGTTCCCAGATAATGTGAGTATGAAATACCTTAACTCTGTGAGAAATAAGATGTGGCATTGGGAAAAATAAACTATGACACTTGGCCAAGAGTAGCATTGAAGGGTCCCCTGTTTGAGTTAAATTAGCTTGGATTCCAGAATTCCATCATAACATCATGTACCCTCTTAGCCCCTCTTCTTGCAGCACACATGCTGGATATTGTTTTTTTTTCCCTCCGATTCTAACAACTAACCCCCCTCCTGACACGCCTGCTGCAGTCACTTGACAAGCAGGGCCTGACCTTCCTCTACAGCCTTTCAGAGCTCCCTGCGGCCTGAGAACTAACAGCCCAGTTGCACTGCTTGCCTCAGGGCAGGGTGAGATTTCTGGAGTTCCTGGAGCAGGATTCCTGAGCTCACTCTGGCAGCTCACCCGGGGAGGCTCTGTCTTCTCCTTGGACCTGGAGGAAGGCAGGACTTGGGGCAGCTCCAAACTCTGAGCCTGGGGTGGCCTTCCCCTGGTCTTTGGCTTATTTACAGAGCTGGTGGGCATGCGGGCCTTGACACCCACCACATCTCATGATCTGCCCACTCACCTCTCAGGGCTCCTCTTGGGTGCAACTGCGTGTGCTGAGGAGAATCACAGGAGCCGGAGCAAGAACACATGGGCTTGGCAGGAGCCTGCTTTGGGACCGAGAGACGCGGTTTTCTGTATCTTAGAACTTAGGCTCTGAGATCCCCGGAAATCTGGAAAAAGTCCCCGATGTTGCTGGTCTTTTCTGGCAGAGCTACTCATTGCCTTTAGCCTCCTCTTTTGTCCTTATATTAAAAGACAGCAGACTTAAAAAAAAAAAAAAAGGGCCAGGCTCACACCTGTAATCCCAGCACTTTGAGAGGCTGAGGCTGGAGGATCGCCTGAGCCCAGGAGTTTGAGACCAACCTGGGCAACACAGGGGGACCCCGTCTCTACTAAAAATATAAAAATTAGCCAGGCTTGGTGGTGCACGCCTATAGTCCCAGCTACTCTGTGGGCTGAGGCAGGGCAGGAGGATCACTTGAACCCAGGAGGTCGAGGCTACAGTGAGCTGTGATTGCGCCACTGCGCTCCAGTCCGAGCGACACAGCGAGACCCTGTCTCAAAAAAAAAAAAAAAAAAAAAAAAAGGACGGTGTGCTGCATCAGCAGACAGCTGCCCTGTGGCTTCCAAGGGCACTAAGTTGACAGCTGGTTGGGCCCCCAGTGGGGCTGTGGGGTGCATGTTTGCCTCTTTTCTTCCGGGCAGACAGCGGCCAGCAAGATGAGCATTGGCCGGCAAATAGAGCACGACCAGCCATGGCCCTTGCCATTGACCCTCACCCAGGCAGTTTCACCAGCTGGGCCTCAGCTCTCTGCTTGGGTGGCTCCCATCTGCCACTGGCCGTATGGGCTGTGTGCTTCACCTGCCCGTGCTCCCTCTCCTGCCCTGTTCCAGTAACCAGGGGCAGATGGCTGGGTGGGGCGGGATGTCCAAGCCAGCTCCCCTCTCGGGGGCCGTGTCAGGGTATGAGTCAGAAAGGACCAGTCAGTGAGCTGACACTTGAATGAAATGGAGTTCTCGGCCGGGCACGGTGGCTCACGCCTGTAATCCCAGCATTTTGGGAGGCCGAGGCGGGCAGATCACGAGGTCAGGAGATCGAGACCATCCTGGCCAACATGGTGAAACCCCAGCTCTACTAAAAATACAAAAATTAGCTGGGCATGGTGGCGCATGCCTGTAATCCTAGCTACTCGGGAGGCTAAGGCAGGAGAATCACTTGAACCCGGGAGTTGGAGGTTGTAGTGAGCCGGGCTCGCGCCACTGCGCTTCAGCCTGGCGACAGAGAGAGACTCCGTCTCAAAAAAAAAAAAAAAGAAAGAAATGGAGTTCTCAGCACCACCCTTGCAGGGGCACCTGGTCCTGCCCCCGAGGAGTGTGTAGGGTCAGGGGTGCTGGGGAGAAGCAGCCTGGGGGGCGGCCTCTCGGACCCCTGTCTTTGCCCCTTCGCACCTTGCTCTCATTGCCCTGCTCTGTCATCTTGTCTCTACTCTGTGCTCTGGGCATTTCCCTCTGCCCCATGGTTCCCACCCCTTGGGCTCCCATCCTGTCTCCTAGCCTCTGCCCCCACTCTGCACCCCTCACTTTCTCTGCTGTCTTCCTCCATTCTTCTCCCTTTGTGTTCCTTTTACCTCTGCAAGGGACCCTTCAGAGGACTTTGGGCACCTCTCAGCCCTACAAGTGGGGTATGGGGCTAACGGGGCTGCTGGGTACCCCTGTAGCGTCCTGGCAGGAAGGCTCTGAGGGTAACCTAAGAGGCGTGCAGCCTGGCTCCTCTCTAGGGCTCCCAGCCACCCATGGAGGCCTCGAAGTCACCATTCCTATGGGACTTAAGCCTGGAGCTTGAGCCTGGAGGCTGCTTCACCGCGGGGGCCCTTAACACAAACTCAGCCAAATTGTTGTGAGCTCCGGAGGCCCCAGGGGTGGTGGAGATGGTGTTCCTTCCAAGTTGCTCCTAAAGTACAAAACCCCATGTCCTGTTAGGTTGTGGCTTCTACTCGAAATGGGGCCACCCCTGTCAGGTTTCCCTGGGAGGAACTGGCCAGCCTGCCTCCCTCCTGGGCTAACGCATGCTCTGGGGGTCGGGGACCCCGGGGGGTGCCTGACAGGGTGTCTCCTGCTTCCTTGTCCTCCCAGATGGAGACCTCACAGACACGGTCAGTGGTCCCCGCTCCACAGCCTCCGACCTGACCAGCAGCAAGGCCTCCACCAGGAGCCCCACCCAGCGCCAGAACCCCTTCAACGAGGAGCCGGCAGAGACTGTGTCCTCCTCTGACACCACCCCCGTGCACACCACCTCTCAGGAGAAGGAGGAGGCCCAGGCCCTGGACCCGCCGGATGCCTGCACGGAGCTCGAGGTCATCAGGTCAGCAGGGAGGGGCCCAGAAAGGAGCTGAGGTCCTGGGGTCCAACCTGTCCACTCCCAGCATCAGCTGTTCATCCAGGGCAGACCGGGACACCCCCTGAGGGCAGTTGCATGCCTTCCTGGAAACCCTTCCCACCTCTAGGAGGTTCTTTGAGCAAGAGGAAGTGGAGGCCTGTCCTAGTCAGCTCGGCTGCTGGAACAAAGCACCGCAGACAGGCGGCTTCCACAACAGACATTCTTTCTCACAGCTCTGGAGCCTACAGTCCGAGGTCAGGGTGCCGGTGTGGCCAGCCTCTGATGAGGGATTCACAGATGTCCCTCTTCTCGCTGTGTTGTGGCGGGGAGTGGAGAGAGAGCTCTCTAGGGTCCCTTTTATGAGGGTGCTGATCCCATTCCTGAGGATCCCACCCTCAGGACCTCATCACCCCCCACCCCCTGATACCATCACATTGGGAGTTAGGATTTCAACACAGGAATCTGGAGGGGACACACACATTCACTCCATTGTAGGGCTCAAGCCCTTGGAAGCAGGTGGCACAGGCAGCGACCGTGGCTGGTGTCTGGGGCCATGTCCAGGCTGCCAGGGCGTTTGCTGGGTCTGCCTAAGATCAGAAAGCACCTTCAGGCTGTACTTCTTCCCAAGGGAGTTCTTGGAAGTTAAGATACAATTTCTGAGATTCATTGAAAGAAAAGTATCTTTGTCATATGGGCAGGACATGGAAAGGAAGGACATGGTGGGTGGCCAGCAGGGACTGTCAACCAGAGCCTCCCCGGCTCCCTGACCTCCCCGACCCCCTCTTAAAACTTCACACTGACTAAGAGGAGAAGCCCTGTGTGCGTGTCAGACTGCCCAGGCTTGCTGGCCTGAGGCGGGGGATTGCTCCCCAGTGACTGGAGCCAGGAGGCCACCCCATGGGCTGGTTCCAGTCCACAGCAGCATCATGCTCAGACCTGGGGTCCCTTAGCTAAGCCCGCTCCAGCCAACCTGGAACCAGAGTGGGACCCGGAGCGTGAGCCCAGAAAGCGCTGAGTGCTTTCTGGGTGATTCCTCCATGATGATGCCTGAGGGAAGTGAGGTCAGCTCGGGATCCACATCCGAAGGGGGGCTGAGTGGAGGGGGCATTGCCTGACCAGCCATGGCCTGTTTTTCTTTCCTAGAGTGCAGCTAGCTCAGCTGTTCCATTAGGAGGAATTCAGTAGACCCACTCTGGGGTTCCTCTGGCTGCAGCCATCTGTGCCCAGCCCATGCTACCCCCACCCCGCCCCTGCCAGCAAAGGGGGTGCCTCGGGGCCTGAGCCACTGTTGTCCTCTGACCCAGTGCCTCCACCCAGCACTGCCTAGGACCACTGACGCACTAGCTGTGCCCTCAGAGGCTACATGGCCAGCATTGCCACCGTGACCCAGCCTGGTTTTCCTCAGCACTGGACTACTCAGGGGTTAACACTCTCCCCGTCGTTACTGTCCCAGGGTCACCAAGAAGAAGAAAATTGGCAAGAAGAAAAAGAGCAGATCAGATGAGGAGGCAAGTCCACTCCACCCCGCCTGCAGCCAGAAGAAATGTGCCAAGCAGGGGGACGGTGACAGCCGCAACGGCAGCCCAAGCCTTGGGCGGGACTCGCCAGACACTATGCTTGCCTCCCCCCAGGAGGAGGGAGAGGGGCCGAGCAGCACCACGGAGAGCAGCGAGCGCTCCGAGCCGGGCCTGCTGATCCCTGAGATGAAGGACACCTCCATGGAGCGCTTGGGGCAGCCCCTGAGCAAGGTTATCGACCAGCTCAACGGGCAGCTGGACCCCAGCACCTGGTGCTCCCGTGCTGAGCCCCCAGACCAGTCCTTTCGGACCGGCTCTCCCGGGGATGCCCCGGAGAGGCCGCCGCTTTGCGACTTTAGTGAGGGGCTTTCAGCCCCAATGGACTTCTACCGCTTTACCGTCGAGAGTCCAAGCACTGTTACATCAGGTGGCGGCCACCATGACCCTGCAGGGCTTGGCCAACCGCTGCATGTTCCTAGTAGCCCTGAGGCTGCTGGCCAAGAAGAAGAGGGAGGAGGAGGAGAGGGACAGACGCCTCGGCCCCTAGAGGATACCACGAGGGAGGCTCAGGAGCTGGAGGCCCAGCTGTCCCTGGTCAGGGAGGGGCCTGTGTCTGAGCCAGAGCCTGGGACCCAGGAGGTTCTCTGCCAGCTCAAGCGAGACCAGCCCAGCCCGTGTCTGAGTAGCGCTGAGGATTCTGGGGTGGATGAGGGACAGGGGAGCCCTTCGGAGATGGTCCATTCCTCGGAGTTCAGGTAACAAGACTCTGCAGCTGGCATGGGACTCTCCCAGCCCTTGAAGCTGGGGACACTGTGCCTCTGACCTCCAGATAAATTAAGCACTAGGAAGACCTAGCCTGAGTGAGAAGGGGTGTGAGCCTCCCTCCCTAACTTTGGCTCCTAGTGGGAGGCGGAGGCACTACCCCCTGGCTCTGGGGTGGGGTGTGGCCTCTCTCACCGCTGCCTGCCTGACATCTCGCCCTCCTGACTTGGCCCTCACAGAGTAGACAACAATCACCTGCTCCTGCTCATGATCCACGTGTTCCGAGAAAACGAAGAGCAGCTGTTCAAAGTAAGTCCTAGGAACTCAGGAGTGAGCAAGAGACGGCAAGGGCAAGGCGGGATGGGCCACCGCCCCCGCTGGAGCGGCAGGAGCCACCTGCCTGACCCTTGTCTGCTTCGGCCCCCAGATGATCCGGATGAGCACCGGGCACATGGAGGGCAACCTGCAGCTGCTGTACGTGCTGCTCACAGACTGCTATGTCTACCTGCTCCGGAAAGGTGCCCGCCGCCCCCGGGCAGACAGCGGGTTGTAGACGAGGCTGACTCTCAGCCCCTTTTCCCCAGTCCCCTTGCCCTCTGAGTGCCTCCCGGCTGCCTGGCATGCAGTGATGGAAAGGCACCCCAAGGAAGGTGTTGCCAGCAGCCCTGAGACGTGAGCCTGGGGCTCCCTCTGTGAGCACTCCACGCCATTCTCCTACTGCAGGGCAAGGAGAGGCCCTCTAAGAGAGGGGGCTGTGTCTAAGAAAATGGGGCAGGGGGAGGGAAAAGAGGCCTGTGGGGATAATAGGCCTTGGGGTTTCCTCTCTCAGGGGCCACAGAGAAGCCATACCTGGTGGAAGAGGCCGTTTCTTACAATGAACTTGACTATGTGTCGGTGAGTCCAGGCCCCGCAGTTGTGCGCCTGCTGTAGGTACAGGGCTTCTCAAGCCACTTACCCATAGAACTGCAGGGCGAGGCACGGCCCCTTACTCCCCTCCCGGGGTTGGGCACCAACTTAACTCTCAGAGAGGCTTCTGTACACGATGCTGGGGGTAAGAACCAAGCTTGAGGTTGCCTCTTCCCGTGCTAGACTTCTGACCGTCCCTCCCTCACTCATGCCAGCCCCTGGCCTCTGGGGCTTTACTTGGTGGTGGCCCGGGGTGTGCTTCTTCCTCCCCAGCAAGCGCTCAGCCTGGCCAAGCTGCCTTCTCCGCCAGGCAGCAGCTAAGCCCCAAGTGCATGTCACGGTGTGGTTTCTGGCAGGTTGGCCTTGACCAGCAGACGGTGAAGCTGGTGTGCACCAACCGCAGGAAGCAGTTTCTGCTGGACACGGCTGATGTGGCGCTGGCTGAGTGAGTGGCAACCCCGCCCCTCTGGAAGGATTGGAGAGTTCGCAGCCGCCCATAGGTGTGGGTGGCCTGGGGGTCAGGGGTGGAGGTGGAAAGTGGGAGATCCAGGAGGGGAAACCAGATGTATTCCCTCTGGAACCTGCATCTGCTCAGAGAGGCAGGCAAGTAGACGACAATCATAGGACTCATGTGGTCAGCCCAGGTGACCTCAGCCCCTGGCGACTCTTGGGGGTGCTAGCATGAGTTGTTGGACAGGAAGGCAGGCAGAGAGCCATGCTGCTGGGCCAGGCGTGCCCTTGAACGCCTGCATCCTTGTCGTGGCTCAAGGTCCCACCCGTTGACGTCCTGCCCACCCTCTTTGTCTGTCTTCCCTCACTGTCAAAATCCAAGGCCCCTTGGCCATTGAGAACGATCAGGCCTGTTCCAGTTGTCATTTGATGACCTTGGACCTGCGTCATTGCCGCACCTGCCGCCCTGGTCACTGGGTCTAGCCAGGTCTCTCCCCCAAGTTTCTGTGACCCCTCCAGGCCAGCAGCGCTCAAGACTAAGCCCTGTCCAGTTGAGGCCCTGTTCCCAGGCCTCTAACCACAAACCTCACTCCCTATGCAGGTTCTTTTTGGCTTCTTTGAAGTCAGCCATGATCAAAGGCTGTCGAGAACCTCCCTACCCCAGCATCCTGACGGATGCCACCATGGAGAAGCTGGCACTGGCCAAATTTGTGGCCCAAGAATCGAAGTGTGAGGTAAGAACCTGGGGAGGAAGCTGAGTGCAGCCCCTGAGATGGCAGAGCAGCAGCCGCCTTGGCGTGAGCGTTAAGGGATGCACGTGGATGTCTTTGCCATTTCACAATCGCCTACCTGGGCGGGGCGGGGCGGGGCGGGGCGGGGCGGGGCTTTCCCACCCTGGAAGGGAGGAAAGTCATGTCCACCTTCCTACCTGGGGTGTGTCCTAAGGTTAAGACACCCTCGCTCGGCAGGGCACAGTGGCTCACGCCTGTAATCCCAGCACTTTGGGAGGCCAAGGCAGGCGGATCACCTGAGGTCAGGAGTTCGAGACCCGCCTCGCCAACATGGCAAAACCCCGTCTCTACTAAAAATACAAAAATTCAGCCAGGCGTGGTGATGGGCGCCTGTAATCCCAGCTACTTGGGAGGCTGAGGCAGGAGAATTGCTTGAACCTGGAAGATGGAGGTTGCAGTGAGTGGAGATCACACCACTGCAGTCCAGCCTGGGCGACAGAGCGAGACTCCATCTCAAAAAGAAAAAAAAAGAACCAGTCCGGGCTCAGCCACCTGCCTGGCCCAGGCCTTACTTGCTTTGTCCCCCGTGCCCGCCCCCGCATCAGGCATCTGCTGTCACCGTGCGCTTCTACGGCCTTGTGCACTGGGAGGACCCCACAGACGAGTCCCTGGGCCCCACGCCCTGCCACTGCTCACCCCCCGAGGGCACCATCACCAAAGAAGGCATGCTGCACTACAAGGCGGGCACCTCCTACCTGGGCAAGGAACACTGGAAGACGTGCTTCGTGGTGCTCAGGTGGGAGCCCTGGCAGCTCTAGGCCTGGGGCTTGGGCCCTGGGGTGGCTGGGCTGTCAGGTCCCCAGCGGGGATCTCTCCGCAGCAGGTCACTGAGGGAGCAGCCTGAGGAGAGGACGCCTCCCTTCCCTACCAGAGCTTGGAGTTGACTTAGCTCAGGCTGTTAGAGCTTCTCTGTAGAGCCAGTCATCTTTGGGGCCCCAGGAATCCCTGAGTGCCTCAGGGGAGGATGCAGGCTTGGTCCCCCGATGAACCTTGAGCTGCGCCCCAGGTCTGCTGAGGTGGCCACATTCCCTGCTGGGCCCCCAGGCCCTTCTTCACCCTGCCTTCCGTAGATGACAGCCCCTGGTGTCCTTTGCCTCAGGTTCATGGCCGCAGCATGTGCGTGGGAGGGGAACCCTGGGACCTGGGCTCCGCCTGGCCCCAGTTCCTGGGACAGGCCTCACTCGCCCTGTGTTGTGCCCCTGCAGCAACGGGATCCTCTACCAGTACCCGGACCGCACCGACGTCATCCCTCTGCTCTCGGTGAACATGGGGTAAGTGTCCCGGGAGAAGCGGGTGTATCCTGGGGCCCAGAGCTGCCGTTTCCCTGGTTTGAGATGGCTGCCCCTGTTGGCAGTTCAGCCTCGCCCTCAACCCCACCCCATCCAGCGGCCCTGACAGGTGGCCTGGGGCTTCCACGCTCTGAGGGCTGCAAGGAGCCCACAGGAGGGGAGGAGGGAGGCAGCAAGGAGCTCCTGGCTTAGAACAGGTCCAGTCTGATGGGGGAGGCAGGCCCTTCCCCAGAAGCTCCCGGCCTGATGGGAGATGGACGTTCGGGTATTTGGGAGGAACAGCAGGCCCTCAAGAGGAAGCATGCGTGAATGAATGCGGCCGATTCTCAGAGGGCCAGTGGGACAGCTGATTCCCAACCCCTCCTGGCCATGCTTGGGTATCTAGAGGATCTTGGGCATCCTGGAGGTGAAAGGCATCGCACAGCAAGGCGGTGGGTGGGGCTCCCAGACCTCTCCTGGGAGCTGGAGGGGCCTGGAGAACCCTCTGGTATCCTCCAGCCCCCAAGACGGTGGGGCAGACCCTGTGCCGCACACCCCGCACCAACCCTGGGGGCTGTCGCCCCGTGCTGCCCTTGCCTCCTCGCTCCCGTTTCACCCTCCTCCTCTGGCCCAGGGGGGAGCAGTGCGGTGGCTGCCGGAGAGCCAACACCACGGATCGGCCCCACGCCTTCCAGGTCATTCTCTCCGACCGGCCCTGCCTGGAGCTAAGTGCCGAGAGCGAGGCCGAGATGGCCGAGTGGATGCAGCATCTCTGCCAGGCTGTGTCCAAAGGGGTGAGCTTCGCCTGCCCCTACCGCTCACCTGGCTTGCCTGACCCACCCAGACCCCCAGGGTCCCATCCCTAAACCCATAGTCACAGAGCAACCTGAGGGCCAAGACGGACCTCCAGGGGGCAGCCCAGGAATGGACCCTGGAGCTCAGAGGCATCACCCCCATCCCCGCCTCTGCTCCCGATCCCTGGAGGGAGATCCCTGGAGGGAGAGCAGAAGGGCTGGCTGGTCCCCTGGAGTGTGGACTTCTGGTGCAGACCAGCCCTGGAGGCCCCAGCCTGCCTCTCCCCTGCCCCGCTGCCAGGTCATCCCCCAGGGCGTAGCTCCCAGCCCCTGCATACCCTGCTGCCTGGTCCTCACGGATGACCGCCTCTTTACGTGCCATGAGGATTGCCAGACCAGCTTCTTCCGCTCTTTGGGCACAGCCAAGCTGGGCGACATCAGCGCCGTCTCCACCGAGCCGGGCAAGGAGTACTGCGTCTTGGTGAGCTTTGAGTGGGGGCGGGGCTGCAAGGCCTGCAGAAGGAAAGCTCTGGCTGCTCACCCGGGGGCCTGGCTCTCCCTAGGAGTTCTCCCAGGACAGCCAGCAGCTCCTCCCGCCCTGGGTCATCTACCTGAGCTGCACTTCTGAACTGGACCGATTGCTGTCTGCACTGAACTCTGGGTGGAAAACCATCTATCAGGTACCCAGCTGCCCAGGAAACCCATTAGCCAGGGACCCTGTGGAGTGGGAGCCACTCCCCGGGGAGAGGAACCCCTGCTGCTCCCAGGACTTGGCCCTGCCTCCAGGGTCCTGGGCACAGCCATGTACCAGGGCGCTCCTGCCTCAGCCCCGGGGGTGAGTGCCTGCTGCTCTTAAAACAAACCCAGAAGAGTCCTCACTGTCCTTGCCGTCTCTTGCTGCGCACAAGCCTGCCAGGCTGGGAGCCCGAGGCCCTCAAGCCACTCAGCATTGCTGCCTCAAGGGCCTGGGAGGGAAGGGGTGGGCCCTGGGAGGTGGGTGTGGGACTCCAGCCCCGGTGGTTCTGCCTCTGGTTTGGACTGGGCCTTGGGTGATTGAGGGTGGCCTGGCAGGAGAGAGCTGTCTGGGGGCAGAGGCCAAGGTGGGCATGTTGGTGCCAGCCCCAGACTGAGCAGACACACCTGACAGGCACAAAAACTTAGAATCAAAAGGACAAAACCCTGACTCCCAGTGAGTCTGAGGCCAAAGCTGAAAACAGAACCCAAGAAGCTTAATTCCTGACCTCAGTTCCAATCAAACAGCACGAATTGTGGTGGACCTCCAGCTGTGCTCAGATGGGGGGACACAATATTGGCAGTACCCTCTTCCTTGCCCTCCAGGCTGAGTGCCAGTGTGGGAGCGTGCTCATGAGAGCCCTGCACAAGCGGGTTTTGAGCACATGCTACGCTCTAGCCCCGTGGAAGCCTGGACTAGTTAGAGGCAGAGAACAGCTCAGGACAGACACCTCCCTGCAGAGCCAAACAGAGTGCAGCGCCTGCCTCGCTGGGCCATCCTGAGAGCTGGGGCCTTCCCAGGAAAGAGGGAGCTCGGGGGGCACCACCCCATCCTCAGCTCAAGCCCCTGGAAGAGCGGGAGAAACTAGCAGCGTGGAAGATGTTCCCAGGGAGAGATGGGGAGGGCCTGACAGGGGCTCCGTGGCCAAGGCAGAGGCAGGCCTGGTGCCCACAAGCCCTGAAGACTCCTGTGGCCCTCAGTGGCCCTCATCTGTTCTCTGCACGCCCCAACACAGGTGGACCTCCCCCACACGGCGATCCAGGAAGCCTCCAACAAGAAGAAATTCGAGGATGCCTTGAGCCTCATCCACAGCGCCTGGCAGCGGAGCGACAGTCTCTGCCGCGGCCGAGCCTCCCGAGACCCCTGGTGCTGAGGCAGAGCTGGTTGGCGTCCCTGGTGGGCAGGAAAGGAAGGCACGCCAGCCGGCAGGCACACTGTCACGGCTGTTGTCATGCTGTCGGGAGCCTACAGTCCACCCCTGCCCTGGGCGGCAGAACCACCGAGTGTGGCTTAAGACAGGGTCCCTCCACTCCAGGGATCCAGATCAGGTGCCCGGCACCCCTGGGCATCCTGCCCGACAGGTAGCGAATGGAGGTCGCTGGGGGCAGAGGGTCCGAGCCCTGTGGGCTCTGCGGATGCACGCCCTCCTCCCGGGCCTCCGCCTCAGTCTGCAGAATTTCTGCCGAGTGGCACCGAGAACACCATCCATCTAAGGACGAACAAAAGAACCAGGAGGGCGGGACCCCCCTCTTCCTCTCCTGGGTTGGGGGCTGGGGCCCTGAGTGCCCAGCCATCCTTGTTCGTGTTTGAACACTCTCCTGGCCACGTGGGGAAGCGGGAACACGGGGTGTCTGCGCATGTTTCCTCCTCCTAGCTCCATCACTGCGCACACAGCTGCCTGCCTCGCCAGATGCAGGGGGGCGGGCAGCCCTCCCTGGCTGCCAGGAGGCTCTGCATGCCCACAGTCCTGCCCTGCCTGTCCCCTCAACCCGGCAGTGCCTGTAGCACCGAGGAGCAAAGGGGGTGGATGGGGGGCTTGGAGAAGGGCGGAGCCCACCAGCCTGGCATCCATGTTGACATCTTCTGACTGTCCCCTGCTTGGCTGGAGCCAGGCCCTTCCCTAGAGTTTCGTCAAGAGCCTCCTGGGGAAGGGGTCAGGTGGTTTGGGTTTTGTTTTTTAAAATAAAATAGACATGTTATATTGCCAAGGCTTGTCACTGGCCCTTTTTGAGCAGGGTAGGGGAAGGGAGCTCTCCAAATCCCTTGGGCCCTTTTCTGCAAACCTTCCTCCATCATCTGCCCTGTGCCTGACACAAGGGACACACGGGACATGCAGAACCAGATCAGCCACCGCTGCCGGGCGGACTCACCGTCTGCAGACCCTCAGGCCCTGGGAGTTTCTCGGCCCGACCTTTGCCCTCCGTCCTGTTCCTGTTTGCTGCAGCAGCCAGGGGAGGAGCAGCCACCAGCTCAAGCCCCAGGGCACGTCTGCACCGCCGCCCACCATCTGCAGCCCACCCCGGGGCAGGACGCTCCTGCCTCCACAGCCCCGGGGGTGAGTGCCCAAACCCAGGAGAATCCAAGCTGTCCTCGCTGCCTCTTGCTGCGCCGTCCCCTCCAGGGCTGGCCAGAGGGTGACAACCCTGCCAGGCCGGGAGCCTGAGGCCCTCAAGCCACTCAGCATTGCTGCCTCAAGGGCCTGGGAGGGAAGGGGTGGGCCCTGGGAGGTGGGTGTGGGACTCCAACTTGGGTGGTTCTGCCTCTAGTTTGGACTGGGCCTTGGGTGACTGAGGGTGGCCTGGCAGGAGAGAGCTGTCTGGGGGCAGAGGCCAAGGTGGGCATGTTGGTACCGGCCCCAGCCTGAGCAGACACACCTGACAGCTGGCCCAGGTGGCGTTCTCTTCTCAGCGGGCACAAAGGGCATCCCAGGGCAGGCCTGGCAGCAAGTCCTTACCAGCCAAGGTCACTCCTCAAGTCCTACTCACCCAGGTGCCCTGAAGTCCTGGGAGCAGCGAGGGGGGCATAGGAGCCAGAGGCAGTGGGGGTGGGGGCGAGCAGGCGATGCGGGTGCCTTTATCGGGTGCAGCACTGACCTAGGCACACTCTTCTCATCGCCAGTCCTCCACAGAACCTTCTGGAGTGGATGTCAGTATCTCCATTTTACAAATGAGAGAAACTGAAGCTCTGAGAGGAAGTGACTTGCCCAGGGGTCACACATGAGAGCCACACCTGGGATTCCAATCAGCTCCCCAGGGCTCCAGAGCCCTTCTCTACTTCTGACCCTGCTGAGCATGGGCCTATAGACGGTGGGAGCCAGACTGAAGACTTGAGTCCTGGAAAGGGGAAGTCAGTCACCAGGGGCATATCAGGGGCAGGGTGGGGCAGGGGCGGAGTTGGCCGTGTACCCCATGCCAGGGACCTCCCAGTCACTTGCCCCCTGCCTAGGGCTCTGCCAAAGCTGGACAGGCTAAGCCAGAGGCAAGGCAGGGGTGCCAGCCCTTTGCCCAGGGCCAGAGGGAGGCCAGGAGGAGGTGCCTGGGCTGGTTGGCACCTTCTCCCTATCCACGCTCTCCCTCCAGTCCCAAGTGACCTTTCCCCCAGATCCCAGGGTCCAGGCCCGCCCTCGGCTGGCAGGTGTGGGCACAGAGGCAGCTGGGATTGGTCGCAGCTGGCGGAGGCGCGTCCCAGGCTCCGGCAGACCGCTGGAACAGCTGAGCAGAGCAGGTGGACTGCTGAGATAGACCAGGGACACCAGGCAGCCACAGGCCTGTCAGACCAGGACCCTTACCCTCTAGACATGGCCTCGGTCCCCTGCAAACCCCAGCCCCGTAGCCCTGCGAGGTTACAGACAGCCTAAACGCCACCACCACAGGGCCTGTGCCGTGCCCCTGACCCGGGCACAGAAGGCCACTGGCCCGGAGGCCATGGAGACGGTGCCCCCAGCAGTGGACCTGGTGCTGGGTGCTTCTGCCTGCTGCCTGGCCTGTGTCTTCACCAACCCCCTGGAGGTGGTGAAGACGCGGCTGCAGCTGCAGGGGGAGCTGCAGGCCCGGGGCACCTACCCACGGCCCTACCATGGCTTCATAGCCTCTGTCGCTGCTGTGGCCCGAGCAGACGGGCTGTGGGGCCTGCAGAAGGGGCTGGCTGCCGGCCTTCTGTACCAAGGCCTCATGAATGGCGTTCGTTTCTACTGCTACAGCCTGGCGTGCCAGGCTGGCCTCACGCAGCAACCAGGTGGCACCGTGGTTGCGGGAGCCGTGGCGGGGGCACTGGGAGCCTTCGTGGGGAGCCCTGCTTACCTGGTGAGTGGCTTGTCTCCATCGTCCACCCTCCACCATCCCATGACCCAGCTCCCACAGGGGCCCTGCAGCCTCCAAAGGCAGGGCTCAGTGGACCTGGGTGGGGTGGGGCAGCCGGGGTGGGGCTGCTCCCTGGAACATCCTAGCCCAAGCCTGGAATCTGCCCCTTGGCCCAGGGCCTTGCTCTGATCCATGCTCCCCTGCGGTCCCTGCCCCACTGGTCCTGAGCCAGGGGAGGGGGCAGAGGGTGTCAGATGTGCTGGCTCAAATCCTGGCTTGGTTACTTCTCTTCCCGCATGGCCTCATGTACGATAAGAATAAAAGCTACCCTTGAGGGCCTCCGCCTCGTGTGCACTCTGCAGGGGGGCCTCAGGGCCACCCAAAACAAATAAAAAATTAAAAAATGTTTTGAAGAAAGCTACCCTTGGCTGGGTGCAGTGGCTCACGCCTGTAATCCCAGCACTTTGGGAGGCCGAGGCGGGCAGATCACCTGAGGTCAGGAGTTTGAGACCAGCATGGTCAACATGGTGAAACCCTGTCTCTGCTAAAAAGTACAAAAATTAGCTGGGCGTGGTGATGCATGCCTGTAATCCCAGCTACCGGGGAGGCTGAGGCAGGAGAATCACTTGAGCCCAGTTGGCAGAGCTTGCAGTGAGCCAAGATCATGGCACTGTACTTCAGCCTGGGCAACACAGCAAGACTCTGCCTCAAAAAAAAAAAAAGGAAAGAAAGAAAAAAAAAGCTCCCCTTGAGCAAAGGCTCGCCTTGCCCTTGGCTGGTGCTGGAGGATCATTGTCTCACTTAATCCTCAGAACAGCTTTCCAACCGTGACAGAATTGAGGCCCAGAAAAGGTTAAGTAACTTGCTCCAAGTCACACTGAGACGCAAAACCCAGGCCAACCCCAGAGCTGCACCTCAACCCTATTTCACTTGACCCCTAAGCTTCAGGCTCGGGACCATGGAGCTGTGAGTTTCAGGGGCACGGGGGCAGGGCGCCCTCAACACACACAGCTCACCCTGGCTCTCCCAGGCTCCATCCCCACACCCGTGTCCTCTCTGCTCCCATAGATCAAAACGCAGCTGCAAGCTCAGACAGTGGCCGCAGTGGCCGTGGGACACCAGCACAATCACCAGGTGAGGCCTGCCACTCTCAGAGCTCCCTGGGGGCATGGATTGGGCATGCTCCCAGCCTAGGCAGGGGTGGCCAGTGACCCCGTGCCCTCTCCCCACAGACTGTCCTGGGTGCCTTGGAGACCATCTGGCGGCAGCAAGGGCTCTTGGGGCTGTGGCAGGGCGTTGGTGGGGCTGTGCCCCGAGTCATGGTGGGCTCAGCTGCCCAGCTGGCCACCTTCGCCTCTGCCAAGGCCTGGGTACAGAAGCAACAGGTGAGGAGCTGGGGACACCTGTGCCTATCCACAGAGACACACCGGACTGAGGGGGGCCACCTGCCTCCTTCCACACGGGGAAGACCAGGGGGTGGCAACAGATGGGGCCCTGCCTCTGCCCTCAGAGTCGTGACTCCGGCCCTTGGTACCAGCAGGAGTGTGGGGTCAGCAGTGAACCCCAAAGCTGAGAAGGAGCTCAGGGTGGCAGGGCTGGGGGATGGCTGGAGGGGCCTCATCTGCTCCCCTTTCTGTAGCCCTTTTAGCCCCTGTGTGGTAGGAGGCCGGGAGGGCACGACGTGGGTGGGTAGAGAGCTGTTGCAGGGATCAGCACCTGTGCCATCCCCACAGTGGCTCCCTGAGGACAGCTGGCTGGTGGCCCTGGCTGGGGGCATGATCAGCAGCATAGCCGTGGTTGTCGTCATGACTCCCTTCGATGTGGTCAGCACGCGGCTATACAATCAGCCGGTGGACACAGCTGGCAGGGTGAGCAGGGGCGGGTCTAGGGGAGACCGTGGGGAGCTGGGAGCACCCCCCCAACACACACACACACACACACACTCTCACACACTCACACTCACACATGCACAGCCAGAGACACGCAGACACAGGCCAGGTATGCAAACACATTAACTGGGCTTGTTTGCTGAGCCCCCGGGTCCCAGGCACAGGCTAAGCACTTTCACATCTGGATTTTATTCCATCCTTATAATCACATTCATCTTCCTGATGAGGAAGCTGAGGCTCAGACAGATCAACTGACTTGCATGAGTTCCCCCAGCTGGTAAGGGGAGGAGCCAGAACTGGAATTCAGGCCTGACCCCACAGCCTTCCCATGGCGCCGCAGCCTCACAGGTGTGTCCAATACAAAGGTGCTGTCCATAGGGTGTGTGGGGGTGAAATTGACCCGTGTGCCAAGATGTGGTGCCAGCCAGGGCCTCAAGGCCCCTGTAGTAACACTCACCCCATGTCTTTCCCCAGGGCCAGCTCTATGGGGGCCTCACCGACTGCATGGTGAAGATCTGGCGGCAGGAGGGCCCCCTGGCACTCTACAAGGGCCTGGGCCCCGCCTACCTGCGCCTGGGCCCCCACACCATCCTCAGCATGCTCTTCTGGGACGAGCTTCGGAAACTGGCTGGGCGGGCCCAGCACAAGGGCACCTAGACGACGGCCCTCACCCCCACGTCCTGACACGGCCGGCACTTGGCCGGAAGTGAGAGCCTGCTCCAGGACAACTGGCTGTCCCGGGGCGGGCCATGGGCCCAGGCCCTGCCAGAGGTCCCGGGAGAGTGTGGACAGCTCTGGTCCATCCAGCCCCTTGGCCCACCCAGGTCCAGAGCATCCACTTCAAGTTACCACCCATTCTGTCTTCCAGACAGTTCTCTTCCTTCTCTGTACTGCGTACTGGGTCACCACATCCCAGAGCCTTGCTCAGTTATAGCAACTGCTGCGGGCGTGCACATGGCATAGGCCCAGTAACTTACATACATCGGCTCACTTAGGCCTCAGACAGCAGCACGAGGCAGGCACTTTTACTTCTTTTACCATTAGAAAGCCAAGGCCTAGAGTGGTGGGCTTTGACCACAGCCACACAATTTTGAAGTGGCAGAGCCAGGACTGGAGCTTAGCCCTGCTCACCCTAGACCTATGCGCTTGACAAGTGCGTGACTGTGACAGGCCCATGGGCCCGGACTGCCCATAGGGGTCACTGTACCATGGCAAAGGCTGAGGTGCACCAGGAGGCTGTGGCGTCGTCACCTGCCTTATTTGCTGGAGAAGCTGTAGCAAAGAACCACAGACTGGGCGACTTAGACAATAGAAATGTATTTTCTCACAGTTCTGGAGGCTGGATGCTGGAGACCAAGGTGTCAGTGGGCTGGTTTCTTCTGAGGCCTCTGTCCATGGCTTGCAGATGCTGCTTTCTCTCTGTGTCTGCACATGGTGGTCCCTCGATGTGCGTCTGGGTCCTGATCTCCTCCTCTTATAAGGACACAAATCATGTTGGCTTAGGGCCCACCCTCATGACCCCACTTTAATTTTTTTTTTTTTTTTTGAGATGAAGTCTCACTCTGCCACCCAAGCTGGAGTGCAGTGGCACGATCTCGGTTCACTGCAACCTTGGCCTCCTAGGTTCAAGCAATTCTCCTGCCCCAGCCTCCTGAGTAGCTGGGATTACAGGTGTGTGCCACCACACCCGGCCAATTTTTGTATCTTTAGTAGAGATGGGGTTTTGCCATGTTGGCCAGACTGGTCTCGAACTCCTGACCTCAAGTGATCCACTGGCCTTGGCCTCCCAAAGTGCTGGGATTACAGGCATGAGCCACCTCACTTGGCCCAATTTTAACTTAATTATCTCTGTCAAGAGCCTATCTCCATATACAGTCACATCCTGAGCTACTAGGGGGTAGGACTTCAACATGCACTTCTGCAGGGGCCGCAGTTCAGCCAACATCATCTTTTTTTTTGAGATGGAGTCTCGCTTTGTTGCCCAGGCTGGAGTGCGGTGGTGCAATCTCGGCTCACCACAACCTCCACCTCCCAGGTTCAAGTGATTCTCCTGCCTCAGCCTCCCGAGTTGCTGGGACTATAGGTGTGCGCCACCATGCCCAGCTAATTTTGTATTTTTAGTAGAGACAGGCTTTCGCTGTGTTGGCCAGGCTGGTCTTGAATGCCTGACCTTGCCGCCCGCCTCGGCCTCCCAAAATGCTGGGATTACAGGCGTGAGCCACCGCGCCTGGCCTCAGCCAACATCATCTAAGGGCTCTCACGGAGGGCCTCCCAGCTGCCCGCCCTGTGGGCATTTGCACATATCCTGACAAGCCTGAAAGAAGCTCCGGGTGCCCATTGTTCAGTCCAGGTGCCCATTGTTCCCGGGACTGAGGCCCGGGAAAGGGAAGCGACGTGGCAGGGCCAGCAGCAGACCCTGGGCCTTTCTCTAGACTGAGCACCATTCCCCGTGGGTGTGCTCTCAGCGCCGCACCGACCTTCACACTGCAGAGATGGATGCCAACTCCCTGGCAGGGGCAGGACTGCTGCCGAGCAGCCCCACCTGCCCTCCCAGCCACACCCCAAGTCTGTAAGGGCCGCTCCCAGGAACACCTGCTACTGCACACTCCAAACCAATAAAGTTTTATATTTTGTTTACTTCAACGACCCTCCTCTGTGGTGAATCTCAGTCTCCCCCATCCCTGACCCCCACCTTCTGCTCCCTCTGCCCTTTCTGTTTGTGAAAGCAGGATGGGAGCCGTGGTCCACCTGTTCAGCTCCGCCCTGCTGGACCCAGGTGAGGCCTGCCACCTAGTGGACCCAGGGAGGAGCATCAGGAAGGGCGGCCCCGGCCTGTGGGAGGAGAAGGCTCAGGCAGGCTCGGGCTGCAGGAGATTCCACACCGAGTCAGAGCCGGAGGCTTTGGGAAGCTGGAACCAGACCTTACAAAAAGCAGGCAGAGCTGACCTCCTGGCTGTGGGGGAAGAGAGCCCCAGACCTCAGGCTGAGAGGGCACAGCTGATCTCTGGCTATGGGGGGATAGAGTCCCTACTCTCAGACCCTGGGCTGAAGGGTCAGAGCCCACACTTCAGGCTGCAAGAGGACAGGACCCACACCTAAGGCGGGGCAGGACAGATGGAGCCTGGGACTTCGAAGGGGCATTGGGTGGTTCAAGCCCTCAAGGAAGATTGCTATTTTTTTTTTTTTTTTTTTTTTTTAGACAGAGTGTTGCTCTGTTGCCCAGGCTGGAGTGCAATGGTGTGATCTCAGCTCACTGCAACCTCCGCCTCCTGGGTTCAAGCCATTCTCCTGCCTCAGCCTCCCGAGTAGCTGGGATTACAGGTGCCTGCCACCACGCCCGGCTAATTTTTTGTATTTTTAGTAGAGACAGAGTTTTACCATATTGGTCAGGCTGGTCTCGAACTCCTGACCTTGTGATCTGCCCACCTTGGCCTCCCAAAGTGCTGGGATTACAAGTGTAAGCCACTGCGCCTGTCCTCCCTCAAGGAAGATTTCAAGTAAAGTGGATGCCAGACTTTAGCAGGGACAGAGACCAGAGACCAGCCCAGAGACACCTGTCCCTTCACCCCACACTGCCCAAATGGGGAGCCCGGGCAGCAGCTGGCTCCAGGCACCCCGTGTGCCTGGAGCTGGGACCTTGCCCTTCTGGGCCTCGAAGGGTTAACACCCCTGGCTCTCCTCCCCTCCCCTCCCCTGGGCCTTTGACCCCTCCCAGCCTCTCTCCTTCCCTCCACCGACACCTTTGCCCAGTGACGTTGGTCTGTCCTTACGCAGACCTGGCCGGAGGCTGGGGCTCCTTCCGGGGCTGCCATGTTCTCTCTTCCATCCCTCCCCTCCTGGCTCCCCGGCCTCCCCTCCCTCGAGTGGGGCTCTAGCCTCCTTGACTCCCTCCTGCAAGGTGAGCACCTCGCCCCATTCCTGCCTTGGCCCCGCCCCCTTCCAGCTCTTTGCAGTGCAGGGTGGACCCCACCCACCTGGTCTCCCGACACCCCTGCCCCTTGGCCGCCCCCTCTGACCCTACCAATGAAGCCTGCCCTCCTAACACCCCTGCACGCTGCCTCGCTGCCTCCCTCCCGCCCCCTCAGGCCTGATCGGGGCCCTTGGAGTCTTGGTCCTGAACAGCCTCCTGAAAGTTTACTTCTTCGTGGGCTGTGCCAAGTGAGTGCCCACCTCATCCCCCCAGGGAATGTGGCTGGGGGCACGGGGACCCCCACCAGGGGTCGAAGGTGGCAGTTCTGCACCCCTGCCCACACCCATTCTGTCCCCAAAGTGACCCGCAGCGGCGACCCGAAAAGGAGCGGCTTCGGGCCCAGTGGGCCTCCCTGGAAACGGTGCACCTGGCAGGGCTGGCCCTGTTTCTGACGGTCGTGGGGTCCCGGGTGGCTGCCCTCGTGGTGCTCGAGTTCTCCCTCCGGGCCGTGTCCACGCTGCTGTCCCTGGGCAAGGTGAGGCCTCCGGGAAGGCAGTGGGTGGATCACTCCCCAGCCCAGGGCCCGGGCTCACCCCCGGAATGTGGGCAGCAGGGCCCAGGTCCAGCATCCCAGCCTCTTCGCCGTATTTTCCGTAAGACTGAGAACAGAGGCTGCAGGTTGCACCTTTGGGTTTGGTTGCGGAAGCGGCCACACTCACAGTGGACACAGTCCCAGTCCCAAGAAGACAAGAGCGACAGTTTCTGTAGATCCGGCCCCCCAAATGCCAGGCCCTGCGCCGAGTGCACCGTGTGCATCACGTAATCCTCACAGCCACAGGGGTAAAGGTTTGCTCTGATTCCCCATTTCACAGATGGGGAAACTAAGGCTCAGAGAGTATGTGGCTTGTCTATGGTCAACAGATAGAGTCAGGCTTTGGACCCAGGTCTCTGAGACTCTGAACCACCACCCTTCAGCTAACAGATGGGCCCCAAGTACTAAGACATGATTGAAGGCTGGGCGTGGTGGCTCACGCCTGTAATCCCAGCACTTTGGGAGGCCGAGGCAGGCGGATCACCTGAGGTTAGGATTTCGAGACCAGCCTGGCCAACATGGAGAAACCCCATCTCTAAAAACAAAAACAAACAAACAAAAAAATTAGCTGGGCATGGTGGCGGGTGCCTGTAATCCCAGCTTCTTGGGAGGCTGAGGCAGGAGAATTGCTTGAACCCAGGAGGCGGAGGTTGCAGTGAGCGGAGATCGAGCCACTGTACTCCAGCCTGGGTGACAGAGCAAGACTCTGTCTAAAAAAAAAAACAAAACAAAACCCATATGATTGAAATTAAGGTGAGAGAGATGATCCCCTAGGGCTTCATCTGAAGCCGATGTGGCCCCTTCGGGAACCATCCCCAAGGTCCCTTCAGGCTCCGGCTTCCTGTGGTGGGCAGCACCTGTGGTGAGGCAGCCCCCACATCTCGGCCCCTCTTCGGCACTCCCCGCAGGGCTCCCAGGGTGCCGCCGAGAGGCTGCAGCTCTACCTGCTGTGCCAGTACTCGCTGGGCTGCGGGCTGACCTGTGGCCTGAGCTTCCTGCAGGAGGGCGCCCCTCACCGCACGCTGAACCTGCTGCTGAGCCTCGGGCTGGCCACGCTGCTGGGCCTGGGTGCCCGGCGCCTCCACCGCCACGTCTGCCGCCTCTACGAGCTGCACAGCAGCCAGCGCTACTGTGGGGTGTGCCTGGGCCTGCTGGCCCATGCACATGGCCTCCCCCAGCTGCTGGGCCGTGCCCTGGCCATAGCCTTTGCCGTGGGTGACCTGGCAGCTGTGGCCCTCATCAACCAGGACTTCCTGACCACCTCGGAGGCCATGCGGTTCTGGACACCGCTCACCATCTGCTACACGCTGCTGGTCATCTACATGCAGGGTGAGCGCTGCGGGGCCTGCTCCATTCAATCCACGCACATCCCTCTGTCTGGGTCAGGCTCCGGGGAGGCCGAGAGCCATCAGCCCTCACTCTTGCCATCCCAGAGAGCCTGGTCAGGACAGAGGCTGTGTGGCGGGGGCAGTGCAGAGAAGCAGCATGTAGTGGGCACCCTGAGGTTGTAGTCTTTAGATTGGGCTTTGAAGGATGAGCAGGAGATCCCTAAGAGAAGCGAGGCAGGGAACAGAATCTTGGACAGAGAGAACCGCATGTGCCAATGCCCAGAGGGGAGAGAGGGCATGGCCGTGCCAAACAAGCCACAGGAGTCCAGTGTGGCTGTCACCCCAAGGGCACAGGGAAGGGGTGAGGCTGGCCAGGTTCGAAGGGGCCTGTTGGAGAGCCCTCAACAGCCAGGCGGGGAAGTCTGATGAGAGGCTGCTGTCCAAGTTTGTTTATGTTTTTGTTTTGTTTTGCTTTTCTGTTTTTTGAGATAGGGTTTTGCTTGGTGGCCCAGGCTAGAGTGCAGTGGCACGATCATGGCTCACCGCAGCCTTGACCTTCTGGGCTCAAGTGATTCTCCCACCTCAGCCTCCCAAGTTGTGGGGATTACAGGCACACACCACTATGCCAGGCTAATTTTATTTTTTGTAGAGAAGGGGTCAGCCGGGCACAGTGGCTCATGCCTATAATCCCTGCACTTTGAGAAGCTGAGACAGGCAAATCACGTGAGGTCAGGAGTTCAAGACCAGCCTAACCAACATGGTAAAACCCTGCCTGTACTAAAAATACAAAATTAGCCCAGTGTGGTGGTCCATGCCTGTAATCCAGCTACTCAGGAGGCTGAGGCACAAGAATCGCTTGAACCCAGGAGGTAGAGGTTGCAGTGAGCCAGGATCGAACCACTGCACTCCAGCCTGGGCGACAGAGAGAGATTCTGGAAAGAAAGAAAGAGAGAAAGAGAGAGAGAAAGAGAGAAAGAGAGAAAGAGAGAGAGAGAGAAAGAGAGAGAGAGAGAAAGAGAGAAGGAGGTCTTGGCCGGGCATAGTGGCTCACGCCTGTAATCCCAGCACTTTGGGAGGCTAAGGCAGGTGGATCACCTGAGGTCAGGAGTTTGAGACCAGCTTGGCCAATGTGGTGAAACCCCCGTCTCTACTAGAAATATAAAAATTAGCCAGGTGTGGTGGCAGGGGCCTGTAATCCCAGCTACTTGGGAGGCAGGAGAATTGCTTGAACCTGGGAGGCGGAGGTTGCAGTGAGCCAAGATCGCACCATTGCACTCCAATCTGGGCAACAGGGGCGAAACTCCATCTCAAACAAAAAAAAAAAAAAAAAAGAAGGGGTCTTGCCATGTTGCCCAGGCTGGTCTTGAACTCTTGGGCTCAAGCAATCCACCTGCCTCAGCTTCCCGAAGTGCTGGGATTACAGGCGTGAGCCACTGTGCCCGGCTTACTGCAGGGTTTTTTTTTGTTGTTGTTTTGTTTTGAGATGGAGTCTTGCTCTGTCGCCCAGGCTAGAGTGATCTCGGCTCACTGCAACCTCCAACTCCTGGGTTCAATCAATTCTCCTGCCTCAGCCTCCCAAGTAGCTGGACTCTGTCTCAAAAAACAAACAAACAAAAAAACGGGGCCAAGCATGCTGGCTCATGCCTGTAAACCCAGCACTTTCGGAGGCTGAGGCAGGCAAATCACTTGAGGTCAGGAGTTCAAAACCAGCCTGGCCAACATAGTGAAACCCCGTCTCTACTAAAAATACAAAAAATTAGCCAGGTGTGGTGGTGGTGAGCCAAGATCATGCCACTGCACTCCAGCCTGGGCGACAGAGTAAGACTGTCTCAAAAAAAAAAAAAAAAAAAGAACAGAAGCCGGGAGCCTGGCAAGGAGGCTTCTTGGAAAGAGGAAGGTGGTTTGGGCCCAGGTGGGTCCATGGGAGTGGCGAGAGGTGTTCAGCTGGGAATGTGCTTGGCAGAAGGAGTTGCCAGGGCTAACTGAGGGACTAGAGGCGGGTGTGCGGAAAAGAAAGGAGTCAGACCGACTCCTGCCACTGCGAGGCTGCGAGGCTGTGGGGCTCTGGCCTGGACCAGTTGGAGGCCTGTGGGCTGGGCAGTGAGTCCTGGAGGCAGAGCACCTGGTGCCCTGCAGATACTCGGAGCAGGGATGGGGACCAGGAGGATGTGATGGGAGGAGGGCTGCACGGGAGGGGAAGGCTCATCCTGTGGAGGGTGGGTCAGGGAGCAGGGAGGTCCAGTCCGGGGTGTGTGGTCGGACGGTGACAGGCACCCGCATCCCACAGAGGAGCAGCGGCAGCACCCCGGCCTGCAGAGCCAGGTGCAGACGGTGCTGGTGCGCATGGGCGGCCTCTTCGTGCTGCTGCTGACTGTGGGTCGCTGGCTGGACCTGCTGGGCATCCTTGTCTCCCTACTGGGCGAGCTCTGGTGTCTCGTGGGCGTCCGCACCCTGCTTGACCTCTGCCAGATACAGGTGGGCACCCCCATCCCATGTGTCCCCCAGACAATGAACCCTGCTTCAAACAGCCCAGGAGCCTCAAGAGGCTCAAGTTTAAGAAGAGCCAGCTGGGCACGGTCTCTCACACCTGTAATCCCAAATACTCAGGAGGCTGAGACCTGAGAATCACTTGAACCCAGGAGGTAGAGGTTGCAGTGAGCCAAGATCTTGCCACTGCACTCCAGTCTGGGCAACAGAGTGAGACTCCATCTCCAAAAAAAAAAAAGACAGAGCCAGGGTGACTTCCCTTGGGGGTCAGGGGCAGAGGGAGCTGGAATCACCTCTCCCACCCTCTTTCACCAGGCCAGGGCTGTCCTCCAGGTCACTAGCACCCCCCACCCTGTCCACAGCCCTCTCCAGCAACAACCCAGAGGCCCAAGGGGGAGGAAGTGCCCGGGTCACTGGAGGCCCAAGGCCCGCAGGGGGATGGGTGAATGGGTGGTGTCATTCTCAACGCTTTTCCTCAGGATTTTCCATCCCAGAGGCCTCCAGTGTCAACACCAAGCCAGCCCCTGCCCTCGGCACCCCAGTCCCAGAGTTCGGCCCCCTCTTGACCTGCCTCAGGGAGGATCTGGAGTCTGTCTCAAGCCCACTAGCCTGATCTCCGAGGCCTTGACCCCAGGGCGATGCCTGGAGGCAGAGTGGCAGAGCTGGCCTCCTGCCCAGAGCTCAGCACAGGCCCTGGGAGCCCCGAGAAGGGAAGGCAGGATTTGGGGATGGGAGCCTCTGGAGAGGGGACACCTGGGGACCCCTGGTTGAACCCTCTTTTTCTTGGGGTGGGCAATGATGCAGCCTCTCAGACCTGCCTTCCTGGGCAGGGGTGGGGGTGCATCCTCAGGAGGGCTCCCCCTTTACTGGTCTCCCTTCCCTTCTCCATGAACAATAAAGACGATGTCTTTCTCAACCTGTGCTTAGAATCACGAACACACAGAGGCCAGGCGTGGTGGCTCACGCCTGTAATCCCAATACGTTCGGAGGCTAAGGTGGGCAGATCACCTAAGGTCAGGAGTTCAAGACCAGCCTGGCCAAGATGGCGAAACCCTGTCTCTACTAAAAATACAAAAATTAGCTGGGCATGGTGGTGGGTGCCTGTAATCCTAGCTACTGAGGAGGCTGAGGCAGGAGAACTGCTTGAACCTGGGAGGCGGAGGTTGCAGTGAGCCGAGATTCGTGCCACTGCACTCCAGCCTGGGTGACAGAGCAAGACTCTGTCTCAGAAACAAAACAACAACAACAAAGAATAATCACAAACACAGAGAGCAGGAAAGAGGCTTTTCTGAGGCCACACAGCTCTTCTGGCAGGTCCTGGGATATGTGCCTCAGGCTGGCCTGGGCTGGGTCCCCTGGGGGACGTGGCTCCTTGCAGACTGAGCAAAACCATTCTGGGTAGAGAACTGGGTAGAGTGGTGGGGGGGCATGTAGTACCGTAGTACCGAGGTGGCTGATGAGGTGAGGGGACGGGGGGGATGGACACTTGGTCTGGCACCCACCTGCAGTCTTGGGTGGATAGTGGCCATGTCCTGTCCCATCCCAGGCTGGGAAACAGCTGAAGGACGCACAATGCTGACCAGGCCTCTGCTGGGTGCTCTGTGGTCCCCAGCCCCAACCCTGACTTCTTGAAGGCTATGAGCATCCCTCCCATCTCAGCCCGTTCAGGGCCCAGCTCAGGAAGGCCAAAGGGTTGGGTACCAGCTCCTCTGCCTACCCTCTGTGTGACCTTAGACAAGCCACTGCCCCTCTCTGAACCTGGCAGAAGAATTACCACTGCATGCTGGGTGTCTGCCATGTGCTGGGTACTTTCACCGTTTCATTTCATTTTGACATCAGCGCCAAGAGGCAGGCACTGTTATCCCTTTTTACAGAGTCAGAAACTGAGGCTCAGAGAAGTTAAGTGACTTGCTCAAGGGCGCACAGGCATTAAGTAGCAAACCTGGGATTTGAATCCAGGTGGCCTGGCCCCCACAGCTCAAGTGCTTTGAATGCTCCCTGCTACCCTCTTCTTGTTGAAAAGCTGGGGCCAGGGAAACTAACAGAGATGAGAAATATGGCACGTCCATTACCGACAGGCTCTGGAATGTGGTTCCAGCCACCTCGGTGCAAAGGAGCCCAGCTCCAGCCCCCAGGGCCCTTTGGTTCCATGGGGATCCAGGGCTGCAACTCAGGGCCCTTTCCTAGCGGAAGCCCCACGGGGCAAAGGAGCCTCCCGGCCAGTGGTCTTTCTGGAGGGGGTTTGAGAGGCATGGGGGTGGCCAGGAAGGAGGCATTAGGGAGGAGGGGAGGCCTGGAGAGGGCACCTTGAGGATTCCAGGCTCTGATGGGTCCCTCCCTCTCGGCAAAGGCACCACACTCACCCGAAGACTGCTGCTTGGGAGCAGGCAGGGGTGACTCAAGGATCCTTCTCGCTCTACGCTCAGCACACCTGGGATACAGAGCAGGCTGCACCCAAGGCAGGGCCGGGTGGTTTCAGCTCATTCCCCGAAGAATGGCCACCCCTTGGACAGCTCCAGCAGCACCCTTTGAACCGTGCTCCTAGCCCTACCACCAGGACAGGCCTCTCATCCCAGGGCGTGGTCGCTGGGGTTGGGAAAATGCCTACGGAATCCCCTCCCCCAATGCAGGACCCAGTCCATGCCGCCTGGGAATGTGCTCTGTTCCCTCCGGGCAGGAAATGTGCCCCAGTCTGGAAGGAAATGGCTCAGTTAGGTGGGCACAGGGCCAGCCCCTTGCCGGACCCAGACTGGGCTCTGGGTTCCAAGCGGGGGCCAGTGTTTTTGCTGGAATGTGCTTTAGCCTCTGGATCCCTGGCACAGCCTGGGCCCCATTAGGGACAGGGCCAGGAGGGGACTGGACTCAGCAGTCCTTTCCTTTTTATGGGCACAGGGATTGTTTTCCAAACAAAAATCAGGACACGTGGGCTGGAATAGCATTCTTTTCTTATCGAAATATTTTCATGAAAAGACTGACAAGGGCATAAAATGAGCTCACTCTAAATGAGGCATTTAGCAAATCTCCACACCAAATGGAGAAAATAGGCCTGAAGTCCAGCAGGCATAGGACAATCCAAATTGTATGGTCTGGGCAAAGCATGAGGCTGGGACCAGTTCCCCAAGGGGACCCGAAGAGCCTGACCCTTGGGGCCTGACCACCAGGACCAAGGTTCTAGGGTCAGGGCAACATCGTGCTGAAGAGGTGGGGGACCAGCGTCCCCAGGCCCTGCGTAAAGTGGGTAGTGACCCCTGGGGCAGCTGGGATTGGGGTTAGCTGGCCTCCCCATCCTGAGCCCCCTACTTCTGGCTTTTCTGAGCTCTGGCATTTTCTTTCTGAGGACTTGCATTTCTTCACCCATTCATTCATTCAGTGTCATCACTGAGTACCTGCGTGGATCCAGGCATCAGGCTGGCACTGGGGACACTGAGAGGAGTAAGGGAGGTTCCCTTCCACAAAATGCTGCAAAGAAAAGTAAAGCCGGAGGCTGGGCGCGGTGGCTCACGCCTGTAATCCCAGCACTTTGGGAGGCCGAGGCGGGCAGATCACCTGAGGTCAGGAGTTTGAGACCAGCTTGACCAACATGGAGAAACCCCGTCTCTACGAAAAATACAAAATTAGCCGGGCGTGGTGGCGCGTGCCTGCAATCCCAGCTACTCAGGAGGCTGAGGCAGGAGAATCGCTTGAACCCGGGAGGCGGAGGTTGTAGTGAGTCGAGATTGTCGCACTGCACTCCAGCCCGGGCAACAGAGTGAGACTCTGTCTCAAAACAAACTAACAAAGAAACAAAGAAAAGTAAAGCCGGGTCAGGGGACAGAGTGACGGGGGCAGAAGTGAGAGAAGGTGTATTTGTTATCTACAGCTGCGTCACAAATTACCCCCCAAACTTGAAGAGTTTAAAACAACAGACACTGATCGTCTTGCTCTTTCTGTGGGTCAGGGATCTGGGTGCTGCTGAGCCGGGTCCTGTGTCTCAGGGCTACTGCCAAGGGTCAGCGAGGCTGTGGTGTCGTCGTAAGGCCCAGGGCCTCCCTTCTTCCTTGCCACGTCGGGCTCCTGCAAGGCACCCCTACAATGCGGCCGTTGGCTTTCCTCAGAGCCCACCAGGGAGAGGGGTGGAGGACAAGCAAGCCCACGCTTTGTGACTCAGTGCTGAAAGTGACATCCTATTGTTTTGGCCACAATCTATCATTGAGGAGAGGTCCCCAGGTCCCACCCACCCGAGGGGAGGGCATGGAGGCCAGGAGGTGGGGATCCTGGGGGCATCTCAGAAGCTGCCGTCCACGGAGGGCTCCTGCGAGGAGGGGGCATTGGAGCAGACACCTGAACAGAGTGAGGGGGCAACCAAGCAAACAGCGGAGGGAAGAACTTCCCAGGCCAAGAAGACGGCTCAACAAGGGCCTTGCGGCAGGAACAGGCCAGGGCATTTAGGAAGGTGGTAGAGCAGGGCACAGTGGCACACGCCTGTAATCCCAGCACTTTGGGAGGATAAGGTGGGTGGATCACGAGGTCAGGAATTCAAGACCAGCCTGGCCAAGATGGTGAAACCCCGTCTCTACTAAAGATACAAAAATGAGCCAGGCGTGGTGGCGAGTGCCCGTAATCCCAGCTACTCTGGAGGCTGAGGCAGTGAATTGCTTGAACCCAGGAGGCTGAGGCAGAGAATTGCTTGAACCCAGGAGGCTGAGGCAGAGAATTGCTTGAATACAGGAGGCGGAGGTTGCAGTGAGCCCAGATCACACCACTGCACTCCAGCCTGGGTGACAGAGCCAGACTCTGTCTCAGAAAAAAAAAAAAAAAAAAGGAAGGTGGTAGAGAGGGTGGAGCGGCTGGGCCTGGAGCCCCGGGCGAGGCTATGGACTGCGTTGCCCTGAGGGGAGCCAGCGGAGGGTTTTGCACAAGGACATGACGGAAGCTGACGTACACCTTGAGAGGAGTCCTCTCGTGGCTGTTTTCAGAATAGTTTGGAAGCATTTGGAATAACCCAGGTGAGAAGACAGGCGTTCCCAGGCCAAGGGGGTGGTATTGAAGCCCAGGTGGGTTTCAAGGCTCTGGAGTGGACTGAGGGACTGAGGCAGGGTCAGCGCCGCTGCAGCAGAGGGGTGAGGGGTGCAGTGGTGGGAGATGCTGTCTCGGGGGTGGGTTGGGGCAGGATCACACAGGGCCAGGGTGAGGGGCTTGGCATTGTCCCAGAGAGCAGCGGGGAGCCACAGAGGGCTGTGCACAGAAGGGCGTTAGATGCTGCTTTAGTGAGGTGTTCTGGCTACTGTGAGAAGAGGGGATTGTAAAGAATAAGAGTGAGGCATATGGGCCAGGTGTAGTGGCTCACGCCTGTAATCCCAACACTTTGGGAGGCTGAGACAGGAGGATTTCGTGAGCCCAGGAGTTCGAGGCCAGTCTGGGCAACATAGTGAGACCTCATCTCTACAAATAATTTAAAAAATTACACTTTGGGAGGCCGAGGCAGGTGGATCACGAGGTCAGGAGTTTGAGACCATCCTGCCTAACACGGTGAAACCCCGTCTCTACTAAAAATACAAAAAATTAGCTGGGCGTGGTGGTGGGCGCCTGTAGTCCCAGCTACTCAGGAGGCTGAGGCAGGAGAATGGCATGAACCCGGGAGGTGGAGCTTGCAGTGAACCGAAATCATGCCACTGCACTCCAGCCTGGGCGACAGAGCAAGACTATGTCTCAAAAAAAAAAAAAATACAAAAAATTAGCTGGGCATGGTGATGGGCACCTGTAGTCTCAGCTACTCAGGAGGCTGAGGCAGGAGAATGGCGTGAACCCGGGAGGCAGAGCTTGCAGTGAGCCGAGATGGCGCCACTGCACTCCAGCCTGGGCAACAGAGCAACACTCTGTCTCAAAAAATAAAATAATAAAAAATAAAATAAAAAGAGCAAGGCAGATCCAATTTTTAGGACTCCCTTTAGAAAAAATAATACAGAATTCGTATGAAAGTGACTATTTTTTTGGGTGGGGGGGAGAACAGAGTCTCACTGTGTTGCCCAGGCTGGAGTGCAATGGCATGATCTCAGCTCACTGAAACCTCCGCCTCCTGAGTTCAAGCGATTCTCCTGCCTCAGCCTACTGAGTACCTGGGATTACAGGCACACACCACCAAGACCGGATAATTTTTGTATTTTTAGAAGAGACGGGGTTTCACCATGTTGGCCAGGCTGGTCTCGAACTCCTGACGTCAGGTGATCTGCCTGCCTCAGCTTCCCAAAGTGCTGGGATTACAGGCCTGAGCCACTGTTCCTGGCCAAAAGTGACTATTTAGAACAAAGAGAAAAAGCACAACAAATGACTGGAGACTTGGAGATTTGGGTCCTTCTTCTGATGTCTCCCTGGACAGTTTGCTAGGCGTTCTTCATGGACATGCTTCCTGAGTGAAACCAGCTTCTCTCCTTGTCTAGAACACTCTGTAACTCCCAGCAACTCCCAGCCTTCACAGGGGCCATGGAAGTGAGGCCATGAGCATAAGTTTTATTAACTTCACAATAAGCCCACCTCTGGCTAAGAGAGAAGAGGGCGAGACCCACAGGGGCAATGGCAGGTTCCAGGCCACATTGTGCTTTAGTAAGGAGGAGGCTCAGGGCTTGAGGGTGCGGAGATAGATCAGCAAGGGCAGATGCTGGGATAGATGCTGCTGGGAGTAGAGGGTCCCAGTGGGATGGGGGCTCAAGGAGGGGGCTGGGATCAGTGAGGGTTTGGGGCTAGCTCAAGGACCCTCCCAAATAAGGGGCAGAAGGGCCCTGACTAGCAAGGCCTAGGGCGAGGAGGGGCCCCCTCAGTCTGCTGAGCCTCAGGCCCCTCCTTGGCCTCTCCCACACTTCTCACCCCCTCACCCTGGAGCCTGTGCTGATTCGCTGAGTGGACGGTCTGGCCGTGGGAACCAGCACGCCTGGTCAGAGCCAGTTCAGGCCCCTAAACCAGAGCGGGATTAACGCGGAGACAATATTGTCACAGCCAGGTCTTGGGAAGCTGGGCTTTGCCTGGGTGAGGCAGTGGGACACAGGATTGGAGCCTGAGAGTGGACACCATGTGGCTCTAGCTGTGGCCTGGTCGATTCCCACTTGGCTTTTTTTCCTTTTTTCTTTTTTGGCGGAGTCTTGCTCTGTTGTCTAGGCTGGAGTGTAGTGGCACGATCTTGGCTCACTGCAACCTCTGCCTCCAGGGTTCAAGCAATTCTCTTGCCTCAGCCTCCCGAGTAGCTGGGATTACAGGCGCCCGCCACCACGCAGAGCTATTTTTTTTTTTTTTTTGAGACAGAGTTTTGCTCTTGTCACCCAGGCTGGAGTGCAGTGGTGCGATCTCAGCTCACTGCAACCTCTGCCTCCCAGGTTCAAGCAATTCTCCTGCCTTAGCCTGCTGAGTACCCGGGATTACAGGCACCTGCCACCACGCCCGGCTAATTTTTGTATTTTTAGTAGAGACAGGGTTTTGCCATGTTGGCCAGGCTGGTCTCAAATTCCTGAACTCAAATGATCCGCCCGCCTCGGCCTCCCAAAGTGCTGTGATTATAGGTGTGAGCCACTGCACCCAGCCTCATGACTGACTATTTATTTAGAACAAGGAAAAAAAGCGCAACAAATAACTGCAGAAATACAATTTTAACTGGTTTAAGAAAAAGTAAGGACCGGGCACGGTGGCTCATGCCTGTAATCCCAGCACTTTGGGAGGCCAAGGCAGGCAGATCACGAGGTCAGGAGATCAAGACCATCCTGGCTAACACAGTGAAACCCCGTCTCTACTAAAAAAAAAATACAAAAAATTAGCCGGGCATGGTGGCGTGCGCCTGTAGTCCCAGCTGCTGGGGAGGCTGAGGCAGGAGAATGGCGTGAACCTGGGAGGCAGAGGTTGCAGTGAGCCGAGATCGTGCCACTGTACTCCAGCCTGGGTGACAGAGCAAAACTCTGTCTCAAAAAACAAAAAAAAAAAAAAAAAAAAAAAAGAAAGAAAGAAAGAAAAGAAAAAAGAAAAAGTAAGGGAGCCCATAGTTGTACTCCAGTCTGGGCGACAGAGCAAGACTGTCTCAAAAGAATAAAAAATAAAAAGTAAGGGAAAAAAATGCATTGACTCTGGAGGTCTGGTAGTAGGATTGCAGGTATGGCTGGATCCAGCAGCTGATGAAATCAGTTATCTTTCTTTCCTATCTCTTTGCTCTGCTGTCCTCTGTGGTGGTCCAAGTGGGGGGCAAAAGTGGTGTCAAGCTTGTATTCTGCCAGCCAACAAGCCCAGAGAGCTGATCTTAGAACTAACAGCCACTATGATTGGCTGGACATGGGTCATGTATACACCAGGCACTGAGAGTGGAAGAGAGGTTCCCCAAACAGAAACTGAGTGCTGTTATCAGAATCAGGGAAAGTAGTGCTGGCTATCAGGAGCCATGGATGTTCCTTGGATTCTCTTGCAGGACAAAGTCACGTCCTTCCCTTCCCTTCAGAACTTTGTCCCTCTTACTAAAACTTCTATCCTTCATGTGGTAGGGAGAGCAAAGGAACTCATCTCTGAACACCTACTGAGCATCAGGTATTTTTACCCACATTTACCCCACCAGATTCTTGCTATGAAGCCACAAGGGACAAACCTGGGTTGGCAACCCCTCGGTTGCAAGAGGAAACTGAGGCCCAGAGAGAAGTGATTTGCCCAAGGCTGGCAAGTGGCAGAGCTGGAATCACTCCCAGATACTGATGTTACTCACAGCTGTATCTGTGTCCCCATCTGACCCGGCCACCATGGGGGAGCTCCCTTTTCTCTATGCTGCTCCTCTCCCCGCCCTGCCTAGCACAGGGCCCCACACACAGCAGCGCCCAGGAAATAAGCATTGGACTGACCTGACTCCAAGCAGGTAGGGTGGAAGATGGAGGATGGAGGAAGGAGCTGGGAGGCCCAAGGGGCTTCTGAGGCTGTCTGCCAAGCTGACCTCTGACCTTTAAAGCCCATGTTTTCCCTTCTGCCCCCTTTCCCTGGGAATATTCGTCCCTATTCTCACACTGGCTCCTCCCCATCTCAGCTTAACCCTCACCTCCTCAGAGAGGATTTCCCCCCACACCCCACACCCCACACCCACCCCACCCCCTTTTGTCTCAGACCCCTTGTCCATTCCTTCATAGCACCTTTTACTATTGGTTATTGTTATGTTAATTTGCTTTATGGTTTGCTCTACCCAATCTCCCTGTAAGGACTGTGGGGACAAGGACTGATCATGTCTGATTTGATCCCGTCGGCTCCTTGACTCATGCATTGCACACAGTAGGTGCCCGGTCAGTGTCTGCTCAGTCAAAGCTCTCCACTGTGGAGGTGCCACCCCCGCCCCGGCAAGCAGACTTGCCCTCAAACCTCTCTTCCACCCCTTCCCTGCCACTCAGGGTCTCAGCTGCCACCATCCTAATAGAAGATTGAGCCCCTTGCCTGCTGGAGCCATCTAAGGGAGAAGAAAGCCGTTGTGAGCCTGGCAGGGAGGGCGGAGGGCAGCAGAGCCTCTGAGCTGGCAGACAAAGGGCGTGTGTTCTCATCCAGCGCACTTCCTGGGTTTCCGTTGCAGGAAGTTTGGCACCTGCCGATCGGTGACATCGACACCCGAGCTGCTGCGGGCCAGGACGAATCCCTCCATCCGGGAGCAGTGGTGGCGGTGGAACAGGTGGCCTGGGGTGCTGGAGGCAGGTAAGCAGAGGCAGTTGAACCCCTCATTCCCCTTGGACTGTCCCAGAGCAAATGTGGGAAGCCTGGGTCCTAGACTAAGTCAGTGTGACCTTGAACAAGGCCCCAAATCAACTCTTCGTTGCCTCACTATCCCACCTGGGGGTGCAACAGGTGGTTCAGGGGCTGTCATGGAGGTGAGGGCAGGCAGCTCCACTTTTATCTCTTAAATAAACTTCTGGGTCACTAAGCATTTGCAAAGGGGTTCTACAGCCAAAAGCGCCTGAAAACCCCCAGATCGCACCTTCCTCCTTTGAGTCCTTCCCGTCTCTGTCGTTCAGAGGGTATGGGGAAGTCTCCTCCAAAGGGTGCTGCAAAGCTGGAGTTTTGGGGGGCAGGGGCAGGATATCACTGCCAAGCCAGGAATGAGCCGAGCAGGGACTCAGACAGCCTTGAGTCCCAGCCTCGCCCTGCTGCACAGAACTCTCAGCACCTCCAAGCCCCAGCTTCCGATTCTGTAAAGGATGGCACTGGTACCTGTTCTTGAGACTAGCAGAGCTGTGTGCCCAGGGACACAGCGGCTCTGGTTTGAATTTGGCTCTGCCATTTGCCCCTAGTGTGGCCTTGAGCCTCTCGGGGCCTCAGTGTCCTTGACCGTGAACAGGAATCATCAGCCCTGGTGCTCATGGCTCTTGTGGGATTAGGATGGGGATGAGGATGGGTACCAGCACCTAGAAAGCCCCTATCAATGGCAGCTCCTGGGACTGCTGCTGTTACTGCAGCTTGGCTGAGAGGATCAAATGGGAAAAGGGGCGACAAGAGGGATGGGAGGGGCGATGATCAGTGGGTGAGGGCGGAGGCAGCCTCCTCTGACCCTCATAAACCAGCCTCCCTCAGAAACAGCCCCAGAGCCACCCTGGAGGGGTGACTGTAGCTGAGGGGTTGCAGGACGGGCCAGATCCTGTCTGGCCACCCCGCAGATGGCGCTGGGTCCAGCGCTCCTCAAGCCTCAGCCACTGTGGCTTTAATCAAAAGAACAATCTGTCTGCCTCTGAATCAGACCCAGATTCCTTTCCCCACAATGTCCCTGAGGCCTCCAGGGACCCAGGCAGTCCATCCCGGCCCCATCCCGGGCCCCAGAGTCCAGGCTCTGCCTCCCCTCCCGCTCCCGTCCTAATTGCTCCAGCTGGGAGGGGGAGGGTCACTGGATGTGGAGGGAGGGGTTCAGCCACAGGGCCAGCCGGGCCCTGCCTTCCAGAGCTCCTGGAGCGGCCTGTCCCCCGGGACACCGGGACCCACCTGCAGAGGGCTTACCGCTCAGGAGAGCAGAACAAGGTGACCTGCTCCACTGGGGGTCTCCGAGACCCCCACCCTCAGGAACACTCCCGGAAAAAGCCCCCAACCCAGCATATATTAACCACTATTAATCACAGTCCTGGCTGTAACTGTCACCTTTTATCCTCAGGCCAACCTGGAGAGGTAGGCAGTGGCTACCTCCACTTTACAGATGAAGACACTGAGGCTCAGGAGGTGGCGTGACTGCTCCGGGTCTCACGCTTAGTAAACGGCCGCAGAACCCTGGTCGGTTTGACGCAAGACCCTGGCGGATCCCAGAGCCAAAGTAAGCGCTCACCTCCGCCGGACAGGGTAGGTGGGGTTGCCAACCCAGGAGAGCGAGGGAAGGGGGACGGCAGGGACCACTCGGGGTCCATGAAGAACGCGAGGGGATGGGCAGCGGGGAGGGAAGGAAACCCACCCCGACTCCCCATTCTCCTACCCCCACTCCCCATCCCTCCCATTCCCCCATCGCCCCCATCCCCATTCCCCCCCATTCCCACCCCCTGGCCTGTGCCAAGGGGGAGGGGAGGCGTCGTCCAGGGAACAAAGGGAGGGGGAAGGGGCGGCGCGGGGCGCGGCCGGGCAGGTTGGGGGGCAGGTAGGGGCCGCTTCCGCGGGGCGGGAATCCCGCGCCCCCTCCCCCCGAGCCTCACCTTTTATGGTAAAGCGGCGCGGGGCGGCGGGGCGGAGGGAGCCGAGGGGGCGGGGAGGGCGGACGGGCGGAGGGGACGGGAGGCCCAGCGGCTCCGGGCTCCGCTGGCTCGGGCGTCGGATCGGAGCCGCCGGGGCGCGGGCGGCCCAGGTAAGCGGGCCGGGTGGGTGGGGGTCGCGTCCCTCCGTCCCTGTCCCCGGTGCACACAGGTGACAGCGCCGGCAGTGCTCGGCCGGAGCCTGCTCGGTCGCCAGCCGGGACCCCCGGCGCGGCGCCCCTGGAGGGGCCTGCGGGTGGGGGGTGCGGTCCTCACGCCCTTTGCGTCCCAGTCTCTTGGTCTCTCTCCCCGGAGTCGGGGAGTCGGCAGGTCCGGGGCGAGGGCTCAGTGAGGCCGGCGGAGGGCCGAGTCCCAGCCCGGGAGCGGGAGCCGGGGACCCGGCGCGCAGGGCGGAAGCTCCCGCACAAAAGGCCGGAGTCCCGCACATGGATCGAATTAAAGCTCCGGCGGCGCCCAGCGGTGACCCCGGCGGCCGCCCTGCTCGGCTGCCTGCGGAGGGTCCCGCGTTTCCGGAGCCCGGGGGCGCTCCAGGCCCCTTTTCCTAGCCAGGGTCAGGCAAGGGGAGGGACGGGTCCCGGGGCTGCTCCTCTCTGGGCCTCACGCGCCCGTCGGGGGCTGAGAAGGTGTGGAGATGGGCGATACCCAGGTGTGTGCCCTGGGATGATCTTGGCGTCGGCCCCTACCCCTCACCTCCCACCCAAGCCTGAGGACCCCGGGGAGAGGCTGGGGCCGCGCCCAGATTCCTGCTCTTAATGACGCTGTAGGTTCTGTCCGGGTCCTGGAGGCACCCCCAGCCGAGCCCAGCCCCCGGGCTGCTTCTCCCTCTCAGCTGCTGCCTAACCAGCTGTCCTTCTCTTTGCACCTTCCAAGGGCCTAGACCCTGAGTCTTCTTTCCTTATATATCCTCTCAGCCGCCCTAGGGACACACTCATTCTCACTTTATGAAAAAACGAGGCCAGAGAGTTTCTGTGACCTATTCGGGGTCACCCCGCAGGAAAGAAGTGGGGCCGCGTGTGAACCCAGCTCTCTACCTCCTCTGTTTCCCTGGGGTGGGAAAGAGGTTGAGGGAACCCCTCCCCTAAGTTGCAGGGTGGGAGGGGTTGGGGCACACCCCGCCACTTCTGCCTAAATTTAATTCCGTACCCAAAGGTAGACTGCTTTATCCGGTCATTAAAGAACAAAGCTGGCCGGGAGCGGTGGCTCACGCCTGTAATCCCAGCACTTTGGGAGGCCGAGGCGGGCGGATTACCTGAAGTCAGGAGTTGGAGACCAGCCTGGCCAACGTGGTGAAACCCCGTCTCTACTAAAAATACAAAAATTAGCCGGGTGTGGTGGCGCGCGCCTGTAATCCCAGCTATTCGGCGGCTGAGGCACGAGAATCGCTTGAACCCAGGAGGCGGAGGTTGCAGTGAGCCGAGATCGCACCACTGCGCAGCCTGGGCCACAGAATGAGACTCTGTCTCAAAATAAATAAATAAATAACAAAGCTTAAGCCGGGTGTAGTGGCTCAAGCCTGTAATCCCAGCACTCTGGGAGGCCGAGGAGGGCGGATCACTTGAGGTCAGGAGTTTGAGACCAGCCTGGTCAACATGGTGAAACCCTGTCTCTACCAAAAATACAAAAATTAGCCAGGGGTGGTGGCGTGTGCCTGTGGTCCCAGCTACTCAGGAGGCTGAGGCAGGACAATCGCTTGAACCTGGGAGGTGGAGGTTTCAGTGAGCTGAGATTGCGCCACTGCACTCCAGCCTCGGCCACAGAGCAAGATTCTGTCTCAGAAAAAAAAAAAAAAAAAAAAAGAACAGAGCTTAGAGGTGGCCCCAGAGGTTTTTTTGTTTTTTTTTTTCTTTGTAGGGAACAAGGAGTAGGAAGGAGGACTGTGGGGGTGACCCCCCCTGAGCTGCACATTCTCTGCCCCAAGGCTGCAGCCTCTAGCTGGTCTGGGTGGCTGGCTGGATCCCTGCCTCCTTCCTTCCTTTGGACAGGAAATGACTTTCCTTCCCTTTGTTCCCACTTTTCTCCACTTATCTAACTGGATCTGTGATTCGCTCTCTGGGGGAGGAAGAGTGGGGGCGGAGGGTCCCCTGGGCACAGCTGACTGGGAGATGGCCCCAGGGAACTTACACACAGCCTGCTCCCAGCTGAATCGGTGGCAGTGGGACGGGAGGGAAGCCGGGGCTCCCTCTCCCGATGGGATTGACAGGGCTTTGAAACTCCCCAGCTTAGACCCCCTGGGGCCTGAGGTCCCTGCAGTCACTGCTTGGGAGGTATAGGGGCTGCCCAGCTGTGAACATCTGGCCTCAGTGCTGGACATTTTCCGAGAAGCCAGGCAGATCCGACTTCCCGGAGGAGTGTAGGAAGGGTCAGGGCTGGGTGGGAGGAGGCAGAGGGCCATCCCGAAGCCCCACAGCAGCCCCTGGGGACCAGCCCGGAACATGCCGACCACAAGATTTCTGGTCTGGATTGGGCCATTGTAGAGTGAGAACAGGCCTGGGAACTTGGGCGACTTTGTGCCACCCAAGGAAGGAAAAGCGTGTCTGGGGACACACTTTTGGATGATGTTCCATTAGAATTCCGAGTGCCATGGATGGCCTGGGAAAGTCACTTAACCTCTTGGAACCTCACAGGGTCCATCTGCAAAGTGGGGGCAGGATGGGCATTTCTTGCAGCTAGATTGAGAGGCTGGTGGGTTTTGAGGCACATATAGTACCTGGCACAGGGCCTGGCACGAAACAAGTGCCTTATCAGCAAGTCGTTTGGTATTTCTTTAAATCTCACATGTACTCTGAACATTGTTGACAAAAATAGATTCTTAAACTTATAACAAAGTGTAAAACTAAAGCCCGTGACAGCCAGCCTAAGCATACGTACTTCCAGACATCATTTCCAAACCCAGAAGCAAAAGACAAGTACTTTAAAATAAGTTTTGAAGCTCTTTCCTAATATATTGGTTTCTTCCTCAGAATAGATATTTTATTGTCAGACTGAGCTATGTATTTTAGCCAAACAACTTAAGGGAATTTAGGAGCACGTGTTATTGTTTTTATTATCATCCATCAGTCGCTGTGAACCCAAAGTGGCCAGTGCACTTTGAGATAAGGAGGGAAGCCTGAAGAGCGAGATAGAAAAGGGGACATTTTTAGCCCTGGGCACAGGCATTGGGTGCCTGCTGAGGACTGATGTGCTCACTGGACTCCCAGCTTTCCCACCCATGGCCCCACCTCAGCCTTGGCCACAGGGACTACTGTCAGCAGGAACTACCTGAGAGATGGGAAATAATGTCCTTTTCCTGACATCAGGGTATCAGGGTGCCACCATGCTCTCTGATTTATGCTTTTCTTTTTTTTTTTTTCGAGACAGAGTTTCACTCTGTCACCTCGGCTGGAGTGCAGTGGCACAATCTCAGCTCACTGCAACCTCGCCTCCCAGGATTCAAGCGATTCTCCTGCCTCAGCCTCCTAAGTAGCTGGGGACTACAGGTGCATGCCACCATTTCTGGCTAATTTGTTTTTTTTTTTTTTTTTTTTTGAGACAGACTCTTGCTCTGTTGCCCAGGCTGGAGTGTGGTGGTGCAATCTCGGCTTACTGCAACCTCCGCCTCCCGGGTTCAAGCAATTCTCTGTCTCAGCCTCCCGAGTAGCTGAGATAACAGGCGTCTGCCACCATGCCCAGCTAATTTTTGTATTTTTAGTAGAGACAGGGTTTCACCATCTTGGCCAGGCTGGTCTTGAACTCCTTACCTCGTGATCCAACCACCTTGCCCTCCAAAAATGCTAAGATTACAGGCATAAGCCTCCACGCCAGGCCAAATTTTTGTATTTTTAGTAGAGACAGTGTTTCACCATGTTGGCCAGGATGGTCTTGAACTCCTGACCTCAAGTGATCGCCTACCTCCCAAAGTGCTGTGATTACAGGCGTGAGCCATCGGGTGGCCAGATCTGGGTTTTGATGCCTGCGCTCTGATATCCTCTAGGCACACAAAGAATGCAGACACCGGTCAGACGCATTGATAGTGAGCTTGTGAGCCAGCCTGTCCTGCCCTGGGGCTATCATCGCTTTCGTCCACCCTTGGCAGCAGGAAACTGCCCCTGGAGAGGGCCAGGAATCGGGGGGTGCCTTGTGGAAGAGGTGATGTTTGAGCTGGGCCTCTAAGAGAAAGCTGAAATTCACCCTGTGGGGGCAGGACAGGAAAACCATAGAAGAAACACTGCAAGGCAAGAGAGAGGACATAGGAAGGGCGAGTGGTCCAGGGGCTCAAAGAGGCTGAGGCTGCCGCAGTTGGACTTCATCCTGAGGTGGTGGAGAGCCATACTTTTTTTCTTTTTTTTTTTTTAGACAGAGTTTCGCTCTTGTTGCCCAGGCTAGAGTGCAATGGTGCCATCTCACCTCACTGCAACCTCCACTCCCACGGGTTCAAGTGATTCTCCTGCCTCAGCCTCCCAAGTAGCTGGGATTACAGGCGCCCGCCAGCACACCCAGCTAATTTTTGTATTTTTAGTAGAGATGGGGTTTTACCATGTTGGCCAGGCTGGTCTCGAACTCCAGACCTCAGGTGATCCACCTGCCTCTGCCTCCCAAAGTGCTGGGACAGAGTCTCACCGGGGTGCGATGGCTCACGCCTGTAATCCCAGCACTTTGGGAGGCTGAGGTGGGCGGATCACGAGGTCAGGAGATCAAGACCATCCTGGTTAACATGGTGAAACCCCATCACTACTAAAAATACAAAAACAAAATTAGCCGGGCGTGGTGGCGGGCACCTGTAGTCCCAGCTACTCGGGAGGCTGAGGCAGGAGAATGGCGTGAACCTGGGAAGTGGAGCTTGCAGTGAGCCAAGATCGTGCCACTGCACTCCGGCCTGGGCAACAGAGCAAGATTCCGTCTCAAAAAATAAAAATAAATAAAAAAAGACAGAGTCTCGCTCTGTTGCCCAGACTGGAGGGCAGTGGTGCAATCTTGGCTCACCACAACCTCGGCCTCCCAGGTTCAAGCGATTCTCCTGCCTCACCCTCCCAAGTAGCTGGGATTACAGGTGCCCACCACCACGCATGGCTAATTTTTGTATTTTTAGTAGAGATGGGGTTTCACCATGTTGGCAGGGTGGTCTCAAACTCCTGGCCTCAAGTGATCCACCTGCCTCGGCCTCCCAAAATGCTGGGATTACAGCTGTGAGCCACCATGCCCGGCCCATGGAAGGTTTTTGAGTAAAGGAGAAAGAGATTGATGCTCTAGAAAGATCAGGGTTAGGAGGTGAGACCAGAGGCCATGGAGCCTCCCCATCTCTCCCCTTGCCCCCTGCCCACTGCCCAGGCCTGAACCAGGACCCAGGTTTTGGAGATTGGGTGGAGTGAGAGAGTCTGGCACTAGAAAGCAAGCAAGGAGGGTGCTGGCTCATGTGCAGGGCTGAGAAAGGTCAGAGCAGAGCAAAGTGGCCAAGAGCATGGGCTCTGGGTTCCAGTGCCACCTCACCACCGTGTGACCCTGGACAGGTGACTTCTCTCTGAGTCTCGATTTCTTGATGTGTTAGGTGGGTGATGATAGTGCCTGCCCTGCAGCCACCTTGTGAGTGTTTATGAGTTAATGAGCATAACGTGTGAGTGTTTATGAGTTAATGAGTATAACATGCTCAGGGCAGAGCCGGTCTTGGTGAGGGCAGCTCTCACTGTGCCCTGCCCACTCTGCCGCCGGAGCCTAGCCCTGACGCCCTGGCAGATCCTGATCTGTTCTCTTTCCCTCCCAAAGCAGAGCTGGCCTGAACCTCCAGGACTTCAGCCCTTCTAGGAGAATCTGATCCCAGGTGAGGGAGGTCACTTGGGGTGTGGCCCAGCAGGCAGGCGGGACTCCAGACTGGGAACGGAAGTCAGCCCTGCTGGGGCTGGGAGCTGAAGCATCTGTTCCTTCCTCGCGGGTGTGAGACAAGGAAGAGTGATCATTGGTGAGGGCTGCCCTTTGCTCCCCTAGGTGTGCAGGTTCGGGGGAGGGGCAGTCAGGACTTTTGGGTCTCACCCCTGTGGCCAAGTTCCCTGGTGGGTCCTGTCTTCCCCAGCAGGACACCCCCACCCCTTCTCTGGCTGGGCTGGGTGCTGGACTGAGTTGTTGAGATGGTAGGGTGGCTGGCCTGTCTTTTTGGGAGGAGGGAGGCTCTCTCCTCTCGGGGGAGGGTGGCTGTGTGTCTGGGTGGCAATCCTGTGCTGTACCCCACTCTGTCCCTAGCCACACCAGGAGCTGAAGCCATGGCCTCAAAGCCTGAGAAGAGGGTGGCATCGTCTGTCTTTATCACCCTGGCACCCCCGCGCCGCGATGTGGCCGTGGCGGAGGAAGTGAGGCAGGCAGTTTGTGAGGCCCGGCGTGGCCGCCCCTGGGAGGCTCCTGCCCCCATGAAGACACCCGAGGCTGGCTTGGCGGGGAGGCCCAGCCCCTGGACAACCCCTGGCAGAGCTGCAGCCACAGTGCCGGCTGCACCTATGCAGCTCTTCAATGGAGGTAAGAGCTGAGGGGACTTTGGGGAAGACCACGTCAGAGGCAGAGGTGGGGAGGAAAGGGCAGGCTCCAGCGTCATTCATTCATTCATTATTCATCCTGACAAAATTCACACATCAACGGGAAACAAAAAGATGTGCCCCTTCTGGGTGGGCAAGGGAGCCCGGGAAATAGAGGCTAGATGTCAGAATTTCCGGGACATTTTCATGGGTTATTGGGATTATGGGAAGAGGATCTTGGGAGTGTGGGAACAAGATCAAACTTGCCTGGGAAGGGCTGTCCTGTCACTGGTCAGCATGGCTGGCTGGCCGTTTCGTCTGCCAATTTAATACCCTCAAGCAGAGCACGGGGATCTTGGGGTTCAGTCTCCCTGAAGTGAGATAAGTTTTAGGTGACCAGCTTGGTCATGCGCCTGGTCTGACTGCAGGACACAAAGGCTGGCCCCGGGCCCTGGGGATGCTGCCAGCTGCTTGAAGCCGTCTACACCGAAGGCTGCCATCTGCCATCTGCTTAGTACTTGTCCTCTCAGAGTCATCCTCGAGCGGGTCCAGGACCCCCTTTCTGCCCACCTGCCCTGTGGCCTCGGGTCCCCCTGCTTCTCTCTTGAATTCCTGCCCGCCCATCATAGCCTATGGGCCCTGCACCGGGAGGCAGGCACTGGGAGAGGCCACAGCACTCTTACTGCCTCTCCAAGACCTGGTTCCTGACTCCGTGAGCTCATCGGAGCCTCTTTCTCTCACTTCCGCTGAGTCAGCAGCAGCATCACCCGGGCCTGTACCAACACAGTCACTGGGTCCATTCCAGCACAGCCGCAGGCTCCCACCCCAAGTATCTCTGATTCAGCAGATCTGCCGTGGAGCCTGAGAATTTGCATTTTTTTTTTTCGAGACAGGGTCTTATTCTGTCACCCAAGCTGCAGTGCAGTGCAGTGCAGTGGTGTGATCACGGCTCACTGTAGCCTCAACCTCCCTGGCTCAAGCAATCCTCCCACCTCAGCCTCCCAAGGAGCTGGGACCACAAGCTCTCACCACCAGGCCCAGCTAATTTGTGTGTGTGTGTGTATGTGTGTGTGTGTGTATATTTTGAGACGAAGTCTCGCTCTGTCACCCAAGCAGGAGTGCAGTGGTGCGATCTCGGCTCACTGCAACCTCTGCTCCCCAGGTTCAAGCAGTTCTCCTGCCTCAGCCTCCCAAGTAGCTAGGATTACAGGCGCCCACCATCACACCCAGCTGATTTTTGTATTTTTAGTAGAGACAGGGTTTCACCAGGGTTGCCAGGCTGGTCTCAAATTCCTGACCTCAGGTGATCTGCCCGCCTCAGCCTCCCAAAGTGCTGGGATTACAGGCGTGAGCCACCGCGCCCAGCCTAATTTTTTTTTTTTTAGATGGAGTTTTGCTTTTGTTGCCCGGGCTGGAGTGCAGTGGCGCAATCTCAGCTCACTGCAACCTCCGCCTCCTGGGTTCAAGTGAATATCCTGCCTCAGCCTCCTAAGTAGCTGGGATTACAGGCATGCCCACCACGCCCAGCTAATTTTGTGTTTTTCGTAGAGATGGGGTTTCTCCATGTTGGTCAGGCTGGTCTCAAACTTCCAACCTCAGGTGATCTGCCTGCCTCAGTCCCCCAAAGTGCTGGGATTACAGGTGTGAGCCACTGCACCCGGCTTTTTTTTTTTTTTTTGAGACAGGTTCTGGCTCTGTCACCCAGGCTGGAGTGCAGTAATGTGATCTAAGCTCACTGCAGCCTCAACCTCTTGGGCTTAAGTGATCCTTCCACGTCAGCCTCCCAAGTAGCTAGGACTACAGGCTTGTGCTGCCATGCCTGGCTACATTTTTTTTAATTTTTAGTAGAGTTGAGGTCTCACTATGTTGCCCAGGCTGCTCTTGAACTTCTGGGTTCAAGCGAACTGCCTACCTCGGCCTCCCAAAGTGCTGAGATTATAGGCATGAGCCACCGTGCCTGGCCTGAGATTAAGTTTCTTGCCTAAGGACACACAGCAAATCAGTGGCAGAGTTAGACATGGAACCCAGGCCGGGGTGATCCCGACCGGGGCCCTCAGCTTCCCTCTGTATGGCCATGTAGGTAAGTAAAACCCTCCCAGGTCCACCTGGGAGGCTCTGACCAGCCCTCTCTCCTCCCCCATTGCAGGATGCCCACCCCCTCCTCCTGTCCTGGATGGTGAGGACGTGCTTCCTGACCTGGACCTCCTCCCACCCCCTCCACCGCCCCCTCCAGTGCTTCTGCCTTCTGAAGAGGAGGCTCCTGCTCCAATGGGGGCCTCACTCATTGCAGACTTAGAGCAGCTGCACCTGTCCCCGCCCCCGCCCCCACCACAGGTACTGCCTGCCCCCCGACCCCCAGCAATCCCTTGGTCCCCTTGGTTGGGGCACGGGGAGTCTGGGCCTTCTGGGCATTCAGGGGTTCTAAACCTGGACTTTGTCTGGTGCATTCTTCTGCTCGGGGGCAGTCCCTCTTTGAAGCTCTCAGAAGTCCCTATTTAGGCAGGTAAAAATTGGTTAAGTGTTTCAGGGTCCCTGGAGAGGGATGCCACTGCCTCGCTGCTGCACCTGCCGCAGACACCTCCTTCAGCTCTGAGGAAGACGTTTCCCTGAGTCCGACCTAAATCCCTTAGGCTGCATAGGAAACCTGGATTTTTGTTTGTTTGTTTGTTTTTGAGATGGAGTCTCGCTCTGTCACCCAGGCTGGAGTGCAATGGCATGATCTTGGCTCACTGTAGCCTCCACCTCCCAGGTTCAAGCGATTCTCCTGCCATAGTCTCCTGAGTATCTGGGATTACAGGCACCCACACCATGCCTGGCTAATTTATTGTGCTTTTATAGAGACAGGGTTTCACCATGTTGGTCAGGCTGGTCTCAGACTACTTACCTCACGTGATCCGCATGGCTCGGCCTCCCAAAGTGCTGGAATTACAGGTTTGAGCCACTGCACCTGGCCAGGAACCTGTTTTTTAACCCTGGGCCCTTAACAGAGGCTGTGTAGAAATGGGGGGCGTCACAGGCCAAGGGCTTAGTCCACTTCAGTCCAGCATCCATGGGGAAGCCTGGTTGCAGGAGAGTCCTTCTAAGTAGGACAAGGAGCAGTGGCTGATTGAGGGACCCCAGTCAGCTGCCACTGTGACCTTCCTGCTGAGAGACTTACGCAGGTCCCTTGCTTCCCTGGGCCTTGGTTTCCTTCTCGGTACAATGCGGCTAATTGTACCTGTTACCACCCAGATGAGGAACAGAGCTGGGAGGGCTGCATGGGGTCCCACTGGATGACTCCCCGTCTGCATCCCCACAGGCCCCAGCGGAGGGACCTTCAGTCCAGCCCGGTCCCCTCAGGCCCATGGAGGAAGAGCTGCCACCTCCCCCGGCAGAACCTGTTGAGAAAGGGGCATCCACAGGTAGGTGCACAGGGCTGAGAGGATACTGGGGTGATCTCATGGGGCCAGCATGGGCTTCCAGGTAGAAACCAAGAGAGTGAGGACCCCTCTTCCCATCCCCACCCCAGCTCATGTTAACAATGATGGGCTTTGTAGTTCGGCATCCATTTAATTTGTATTGCTTTAGCCTTTTTCCCTTTATACCTAAATTCTATTTAAAATGTTAGTCTGCAGTTTGCTATGATAGCAAAAATGTCTTGAATTTTTTCTCACTATTTTATTTTCTGAACACCTAATGCCCTCACACAGTGCAAAATAAACAGCATGAGTGGGGACACAGTGAGAAGCCTGCAACCTGCCCCATCCCCCTACCACCCGGTTTCCTTCCAGATGGGTGTCCTCTGTCATTGAGCTCTCATGTATCCTGCCAAAGACACTATGCACATACGAGCAAATACAAATATGTGTCCACCTGCTCCCTCCCCCCATTTTTCCATAAGTAGCAAACTAGGCTCTTCTGCTGTTCACTTTCTTTCCTTCGTACATCTCAGAGCTGGTCACACATCAGAATATAAAGTGGCTCCTGGCTGAGCGTGGTGGCTCACGCCTATAATCCCAGCATTTTGGGAGGCTGAGGCAGGTGGATCACCTGAGGTCAGGAGTTCGAGATCCGCCTGGCCAACATGGTGAAATGCTGTCTCTACTAAAAATACGAAAGTTAGCTGGGTGTGGTGGTGTGTGCCTGTAATCCCAGCTACTCGGGAGGCTGAGGCAGGAGAATCTCTTGAACCCAGGAGGCGGAGGTTGCAGTGAGCTGAGATTGCGCCACTGCTCTCCAGCCTGGGTGACAGAGTGAGCTTCCGTCTCAAAAAAATAAAAAAATAAAATAAAATAAATAAACAAAGTGGCTCCTGGCTGGGTGTAGTGGTTCATGCCTGTAATCCCAGCACTTTGGGAGGTCAAGGCAGCCAACAATCCCTTTGTCCTGAAACTGCTGTCCAGAATTCCTTATTTATTTATGTTATTTATTTTTATTTTTATTTTTTTAGACAGAGTCTTGCTCTGTCACCAGGCTAGAGTGCAGTGGCGCGATCTTGGCTCATTGCAACCTCCACCTCCTGGGTTTAAGCGAGTCTCCTGCCTCAGTCTCCTGAGTACTGGGACTACAGGCGCCCGCTACCACGCCCAGCTAATTTTTGTATTTTTAGTAGAGACAGGGTTTCACCATGTTGGCCAGATGGTCTCGATCTCTTGACCTTGTGATCCGCCCACCTCGGCATCCCAAAGTGCTGAGATTACAGGTGTGAGCCACCGCGCCGGGCTCTTTATTTTTTTTAATTTTTATTGTTTTTCCTGAAACAGAGCCTCACTCTGTTACCCATGCTGGAGTGCAATGGCACAGTCTCGGCTCACTATAACCTCTGCCTCCTAGGTTCAAGTGATTCTCCTGCCTCAGCCCCATGAGTAGCTGGGACTACGGGGGCATGCCACTATGCCCGGCTAATTTTTGTATTTTTAGTAGAGATGGGGTTTCACCATGTTGGCCAGGCTGGTCTTGAACTCCTGTCCTCAAGTGATCCGCTCACCTTGGCCTCCCAAAGTGCTGGCATTACAGGTGTGAGCCACCATGCCTGACTCAGATTCCTTTTTAATGCTCCTCATGACCCTCTGTATTTGTCATTTGAGGAATTTGCAGGGTTTAAGACAGAGCCTCGGGTATCCTGAGCATGTTCTGGGTGGTGCCTGGGTACAGTCCTCACAGGCTGGGCTGGTGATGGCCTGTGTCTCCCCTACCCCAGACATCTGTGCCTTCTGCCACAAGACCGTGTCCCCCCGAGAGCTGGCTGTGGAGGCCATGAAGAGGCAGTACCATGCCCAGTGCTTCACGTGCCGCACCTGCCGCCGCCAGCTGGCTGGGCAGAGCTTCTACCAGAAGGATGGGCGACCCCTCTGCGAACCCTGCTACCAGGTAACCCCTGCAGCAGACCTCTGGGTGCCAGGCAGTGAGCTGAGCACTTAGAATATGTTGCACCATTTCATTCCCCACACAGTCCTGGGAAGTAGGCACTATTGACCCCTTTCACAGATGAGGAAACTGAGGCTCAGAAAGAAGGAGCCCAGTGAAGGCGATTGGTTTCCTAGGGCTGCCTGTAAGAGATCACCACAACCTTCGTGGCTTCCAGCAGTACACGTTTATTCTGTCCCAGTTCGGGAGATCAAAAGTCCAAAATCAGCTTCACTGGGCCAAAACCAAGGTGGTGTGCTGTCTGGAGGCTTGAGGGAGAACCCACATCTCTGCCTTTTGCAATTTCTTTTTTTCTTCTTCTTCTTCTTTTTTTTTGCGGTGGGGGACGGAGTCTCACTCTATCGCCCAGGCTGGAGTGCAGTGGCACGATGTCAGCTCACTGCAACCTCGGCCACCCAGGTTCAAGGGATTCTCCTGCCTCAGCCTCCCGAGTAGCTGGGATTACAGGCACCTGACACCACACCCGGCTAATTTTTGTATTTTTGGTAGAGATGGGGTTTCACCATCTTGGCCAGGCTGGTCTTGAACTCCTGACCTCGTGAGCCACCCACCTCGACCTCCCAAAGTGCTGGGATTACAGGCATGAGCCACTGCGCCCAGCCTGTTTTTTTTTGTTTTTTTTTTTTTTTAAGATGGAGGCTCATTCTGTCACCCCAGCTGGAGTGCAGTCGTACAATCTCAGATCACTGCAACCTCTGCTTCCCGGGTTGAAGCAATTCCCATGTCTCAGCCTCCTGAGTAGCTGGGACTACAGGTGCCTGCCACCATGCCCAACTAATTTTTGTATTTTTAGTAGAGATGGGATTTCACCACTTTGGCCAGGCTGGTCTCAAACTCCTGACCTCAAGGAATCCACCCCCTCGGCCTCACAAAGTGCTGGGATTACAGGTGTGAGCCACCGCACCTGGCCCCTTTTGCAGTTTATGAAGCTGCATTCTCCTTGACTCCTTCCTCTGCTTCAAAGCCAGCAGTGTAGCATCCCACTTCAGCGGCCCTATTGTCACCTCTGTGTCAAGTTACAGGGACACGCGATGGCATTTAGGACCCACCTGGATAATCAGGATAATCTCCCCCATCTTAAGATCCTTAGCTCATCCCATCTGAAAGCCTCTTTTGCCGGGCAAGGTAACATTCGGGGTCCAGAGATAAGGACTGGATATCTTTGGGGGCATCTCTTAGCTACCACACGAGGTCACACGAGATGGCCAAGGAGCTGGGATTCTACTCCACACCCATCTGGCTCTGGAGCCTGCCATCAGTCTTGCCACTATCTCCCCTAGAGTAGAGCCACAGGGTTCCAATGTTTGATCTCACGGGAATCTGTGTTGCTTCCGGGTACCAAGTGCAATCTGGGAGAGCCAGCTGGGATGCCAGCACACTGGAATTTCTAACTCTTGGATGGTTTGTGGTGGCATGTTGAGTGTGGTGACCACCCACAGCCGCATCCCCTGGGGATGTGTAGGCCACTCTTTGTGCTTATGAATGAGGAACACCTGGAAATCAGCATTTTGAATCAGTGTCTCAAGTGATTCTCATGCATATAGAAGTTTGAAAACGGCTGATTTGAAGGGTTAGAGTATTTGGAGCTGAGACTCTCCAGAAGAATCCAAACAATCCAATCCCAGGCTCACCACCAGTGAGGCACTGTGGGAAGAGAGAGGAGCCAGGCCCTCCCTGCCGTGTCCCTGTGACCCCATCAACATCATGGGGGAGTGTTCCTCAGGGGTGAGACACCAGGGGAGGAGGGGTGTCCAGCTGGAAGCAGGAAGCAGCCAGGAGGAAGACTTGAGCAGTGTGCTGGGGAGAGAAGGGCCATGCCCATGAGAGGGAGGGGGGAGTGGGAGATGCCCCCACACGTGTCCAGGTGAGGTCAAGGTAAAATGCACAGGAGCACAGCCAGGAAGGAGAGACAGCATGTCCAGGAGAAAAGGTGGAAAGGCTAGAGGGAAGCCCACTGCCCTGCCTCGGGAATCTCTTTGTCATTGCTCCTCATTCCAGAAGGAATTTGAGGCAGCTTCTATGAATGCATGTATACCAGCCAGGCGCGGTGGCTCACACCTGCAATCTCAGCACTTTGGGAGGCTGAGGTGGGAGGATTACTTGAGGTCAGAAGTTCAAGACGAGCCTGGGCAACATAGCAAGACTCCATCTCTATTTTAATATAGCTATTTTTTTATTAAAATATGTTTTTAAAGAGAATGCATATATACCTATAGACCACAATAACATGCGTGCACTGAAAAATTCCACGTGATTCTCCCGCCTCAGCCTCTCAAGTAGCTGGGATTACAGTTGCCCACCACCACGCCCGGCTATTTTTTGTATTTTTAGTAGAGACGGGGGTTTCACCATGTTGGCCAGGCTTGTCTGGAACTCCTGACCTCAGGAGATCTGCCTGCCTCAGCCTCCCAAAGTCCAGGGATTACAGGCATAAGCCACCTTGCCTGGCGCATTTCTTCTTAAAGCATCATATAAAATTATGTTAACTGGCCAGGTGCCGTGGCTCATGCCAGGCCGAGGCAGGTGGATCACCTGAGGTTAGGAGTTCGAGACCAGCCTGACCAAAATGGAAAAACCCTGTCTCTACTAAAAATACAAAAACTAGCCAGGCATGGTGCGTGCCTGTAATCCCAGCTACTTGGGAGGCTGAGGCAGGAGAATCACTTGAACCCGGGAGGCAGAGGCTGCAGTGAGTCAAGATCACACCACTGCACTCCAGCCTGCGCAACAGAGCAAGACTCCATCTCAAAAAAAAGAAAAAGCCTGGGCACGGTGGCTCACGCCTGTAATCCCAGCACTTTGGGAGGCTGAGGCAGGCAGATCACCTGAGGTCAGGAGTTCGAGACCAGCCTGACCAACATGGAGAAACCCCGTCTCTACTAAAAATACAAAAAATTAGCCGGATGTGGTGGCGCATGCCTGTAATCCCACCTACTCGGGAGGCTGAGGCAGGAGAATTGCTTTAACCCGGGAAACGAGGTTGTGGTGAGCCAAGATTGCGCCACTGCACTTCAGCCTGATTGACAAGAGCAAAACTCCGTCTCAGAAAAAAAAAAAAAAAAAAAGGTAGATCTCATGTTAAGTGTTCTTCCCACAATAAAACAATTTTTTAAAGACTGCAATAATACTACGATATGTAAAATAAAGACATCCAAACAGAAGGAAAATCAAAATAGAAAGTGAGACGAGATCAAAGGGAATGTTACTACCCAAAATGTGTGAGGAAGCCAGACACGGTGGCTCACGCCTGTAATCCCAGCACTTTGGGAAGCTAACGTGGGTTGATCACTTGAGGTCAGGAGTTCGAAACCAGCCTGGCCAACATGGTGAAACACCGTGTCTACAAAAAATTAGCCGGGCGTGGTGGCGCACACCTGTAGTCCCAGCTACTCAGGAGGCTGAGGCATGAGAATCACTTGAACCTCAAGTAGAGGATGCAGTGAGCTGAGATTGGGGCACTGCACTCCAGCCTCAGTAACAGAGCGAGACTCTGTCCCAAAACAAAACAAGAACCAAATAACAACAAAAAAGCCCTATAATGGTTTCTAAACGTGAAATGTGGAATTTGGCTCTGAGCTTCCAAGTGGCCAAATGGAAAAGGGAAAGAATTTCAAGTCTTCTTGTCTGTATGATAAAGCACCCAATTCTCCTGAGAATTCCTTTTCCTGACCCTGAGGTTTAAGCGAGGTTTCTCCTATAGCTCTGTGGACCCTGGCCATAAACATATCCCAGTAACAAGAAATGCAGCCATAGCATCAGGGCATCAGGGCAGTATTCCTTGCTGTAAGCCAAGGATGCAAGGCTAAGCTCAATTTGTTATAAGCAATGGTGGAGGTTTTGGGCGATAGTTACAGGTTGTCTGCAGGCCTCTCCTGTACTTCCCAGTTCCTGGGCCCCTGAGGGCAGCCTCTCAGAAGAAGACGACCCTCGTGGGTTGGGGTGGGTGTGTCGTGGATGGTTCTGGCAGTGGCCTCTGTCCTAGGACACACTGGAGAGGTGCGGCAAGTGTGGCGAGGTGGTCCGGGACCACATCATCAGGGCCCTGGGCCAGGCCTTCCACCCCTCCTGCTTCACGTGTGTGACCTGCGCCCGGTGCATTGGGGATGAGAGCTTTGCCCTGGGCAGCCAGAACGAGGTGTACTGCCTGGACGACTTCTACAGGTACGAGAAGGGTTTGTGCACTGGGTGGGGTGCAGGGACAGGGCGAGACCCAAGCAGGGTGAAGGAGCTGAGCTTGAGTCCTGGGTGCTGGGCCAGAGTTTCCTGTCTACTGGTTTATTATAAAGAATATTACAGGGCTGGGCTGGGCGCGGTGGCTCACGCCTGTAATCCCAGCACTTTGGGAGGCCGAGGCGGGTGGATCACGAGGTCAGGAGATCGAGATCATCCTGGCTAACATGGTGAAACCCCGTCTCTACTAAAAATACAAAAAAAATTAGCCAGGCATGGTGGCGGGCGCCTGTAGTCCCAGCTACTCGGGAGGCTGAGGCAGGAGAATGGCGTGAACCTGGGAGGCAGAGCTTGCAGTGAGCCGAGATCACGCCACTGCACTCCAGCCTGGGCAACAGAGTGTGAGACTCCGTCTCAAAAAAAAAAAAAAAAAAAAAAGAATATTACAGTGCTGGGGGCAGTGGCTCACACCTGTAATCCCAGCACTTTTGGAGGCCAAGGTGGGCAGATCATGAGGTCAGGAGTTTGAGGCCAGCCTGGCCAATACGGTAAAACCCCATCTCTACAAAAAATACAAAAATTAGCTGAGCATGGTGGTGTGTGCCTGTAGTCCCAGCTACTTGGGAGGCTGAGGCAGAAGAATCACTTGAACCCAGGAGGTGGAGTTTGCAGTGAGCCGAGATCGCACCACTGCACTCCAGCCTGGGTGACAGAGTGAGACTCTGTCTCAAAAAAAAAAAAAAAGAAAAGGATATTACAGCGATACAGACAGACACGTGAAGAGATGCCTAGGATGAGGTCTAGGGGAAGGGGCAAGGAGCTTACATGCCCTCCCTCCCCAAGTGTGCCACCCTCCAGGAACCCCCACATGTTCAGCCACCTGAAAGCTCCCGAACCCTGTCCTCTTGGGCCTTCTATGGAGACGTCATTGGATAGGCATGATTGACCACCCAGTAGAAATTCGGCTGGAGGAAAAGGGTATGGTGGAAGCTAATAAACTGAGAGGGAAACCTAGCAGGGCCTGTCCAGAGTCATCTTGGTCTCTATGCAGCTTTTCTTCCTCCAGGATGGAGGGCAGGATTCTCCCTGGAATGAATGAAGGGCTTATGACTCAGTCAGATAAGGCAGGCCAGAGAATTTCTTTATGGCCAGCTCCCAGCAAGAAAGGTGGGAGAAGATTCCTGCCTTGGGGAGAAAAAGGAACAGGCAAAAGGTCAGAGAGAAATTCTGTTTTCTAAGGCCTGAAGTGCCCAATATTATAACAAGTGCTATGGGAGTGATGAGCCCAGCAGGAACTATAGACAAAAACATATATAAAAAACACATATGGGGCCGGGCGCGGTAGCTCACGCCTGTAATCCCAGCACTTTGGGAGGCCAAGGCAGAGGTTGCAGTGAGCCGAGATCGCACCACTGCACTCCAGCCTGGGCAACAGAGCTAGACTCCATCCCAAACAAAACAAAACAAAAAACTGAAAAATAAATATAATGTCACAGGCAGGTACGATTAAGGGTTCTGTTTTACCACCCAAGGCACACAGCAGCTAAGTACCCAAAGTCTCTCCACAGGTAAGTATTGAAGCTCTTGGTAAGTATGCACATCCCCAAGGACCTGACTTTGGGGCCCTGCTCTGAAAGCCCAGACCTCGGGGTCTGCCCTTGGAGCTGAATGATGCAGTGGGGACACACAGATAACCGCTGGACTCAATCCCTGCCCATGAGTTGCTCACCACTCAAGCGGAGAGACAGATGTGCCTCTTAAGAAAGAAAGAAGTACTGGCTGGGCACAGTGGCTCACGCCTGTAATCCCAGCACTTTGGGAGGCCAAGGTGGGCGGATCACGAGGTCAGGAGTTCAAGACCAGCCTGACCAACATGGTGAAACCCGTCTCTACTAAAAATGCAAAAATTAGCTGGGCGTGGTGGTGCCTGCCTGTAGTCCCAGCTACTCAAGAGGCTGAGGCAGGAGAATCACTTGAACCTGGGAGGTGGAGGTTGCAGTGAGCTGAGATTGCATCATTGCACTCCAGCCTGGGTGACAAGAGCAAAAAAAACTCCATCTCAAAAAAAAAAAAAAAAAAAGAAGTACTGAAAAAAAAACAAAAAAGACAGATGAGATGGGTCCCAGCCCCACTGAACACAGTTCTCAATTCAGACAATCTCCAGTGACGCTGGGAAACCAGGTCTCATTACACAGGTCTCTCCACCTGCTCCTGCCAAGAAGAAACAGACATCTCTGCAGTCCCATAGCAACGGGACTGAAATTGCTCAGGAGGTGAACACCAGCCAGCCCGAGTTCTGACAGCTAATTAATTTCTGTGGTTGTGGCATGAACGCCTCCCAAGCATGGGTTCCTTTGCTTCTAGGAAATTCGCCCCCGTCTGCAGCATCTGTGAAAATCCCATCATCCCTCGGGATGGGAAAGATGCCTTCAAAATCGAATGCATGGGAAGAAACTTCCATGAAAATTGCTACAGGTGTGAGGTGAGTGGAGCCTAGGTGGTTTAATAACATTCCATTGCTGCGTGCCAGGCCCTTAGCTGGGTTGCTTGGACATGGGGACAGGTCAGGGTGGGGGCTGTACTCTCAAATTGCTCATTGTCTAGTAGGAGAAACAAAAGATACTGGAAATGCAACCATAGTCTATTATCAACTCTTTGCGTTAATAAGAAACCGGACTCAAGTTGCATTCTCCAGAGAAGGGAATCTGTTGGCTCATGGTGCTGGGATCACTGATGGTATTGAGCGATGGCATCAGGACTCTCTCCATTTTTTTTTTTTTTTTTTTTGGACACAGTCTTACTCTTGTTGCCAGGCTGGAGCGAAGTGGTGCGATCTCAGCTCACTGCAACCTCTACCTCCAGGGTTCAGCAATTCTCCTGCCTCAGCCTCCCGAGTAGCTGGGATTACAGGCGCGCACCACCACACCTGGCTAATTTTTGTATTTTTAGTAGAGACAGGGTTTCACCATGTTGGCCAGGCTGGTCTGGAACTCCTGACCTCAGGTGATCCGCCCACTTCCACCTCCCAAAGTGCTGGGATTACAGGCATGAGCAACCACGCCCAGCCTCTTTCCATCTCTTGGCTCTCCCTTGTTTGTGTGTTTGCTTCATTTTCTCTGCCTGTGGGCTGGCCTTCTCTGTGGGGAGGTGGGGCACAGTGCATGGGCATAGGTGGCCCAGGTTTGCATCTCCCCAGCTTAGAAACCCTAGGGGAAAGAGAGAGCACACCCCCTCCAGGGAAGCCAGACAGTCCCTAGAAGGCCTCTAATCACCCCAGCTAGGGTCACATGCTCATTCAGGGCCAGTCACTGTGGCTGGGGTGCTAGGATTGATAACCACTGGGGCCAGGGAGGCAGAACCATATAAAAAAGGAGGGGTTGTTACAACTGGAGGAAGGGAGAAGAGGATGCTGGACAGATCCACACCACAGTGCCTTTTCCAGGTGCTGGGCAAGAGAATGTAGAAATCAGCTTTGGGGGCCTGGTGCAGTGCCTCACACCTGTAATCCCAGCACTTTGGGAAGCTGAGATGGGTGGATTACTTGAGCTCACGAGTTCGAGACCAGCCTGGGCAACATGGTGAAACCCTGTCTTAAAAATAAATAAATAAAAATAAAAAATAAATCAGCTTTGGGATAAAGAAGGCAGTGATGGTCTAACCAGGATGGTAGAATCAAAGGCACTCATGTAGGAGGCAATGCTTGACTGGGCCTTGCAGGATGAGTAGGAGTTTGCCAGATATTCATAGAGGGGAGAAGTCCAGAAAGGGGAAAAGAGCTACAAAAATCCACGGTAACACGAGCAAGCCTGAAGAATCAGAGGAAGTGGAAGCTTCTTTTTCTTTTTTTTTTTTGAGATGGGATTTCACTCGCGTTACCCAGGCTGGAGTGCAATGGCGTGATCTCAGCTCACTGCAACCTCCACCTCCCGAGTTCAAGCGATTCCCCTGCCTCAGCCTCCCGAGTAATTGGGATTACAGGCATGCACCACCACGCCCAGCTAATGTTTTGTATTTTTAGTAAAGATGTGGTTTCTCCATGTTGGTCAGGCTGGTCTCAAACTCCTGACCTCAGGTGATCTGCCCACCTCAGCTTCCCAGAGTGCTGGGATTACAGGCGTGAGCCACCGTGCCCAGCGTTTTTTTATTTTTGAGACAGTCTCACTCTGTCTCCCAAGTTAGAGTGCAGTGGCATGATCTTGGCTTACTGCAACCTCCAGCTCCCTGGTTCAAGCAATTCTCCCTGCCTCAGCCTCCTGAGTAGCTGGGATTACAGGTGCGTGCCACCACGCCCGGCTAATTTTTGTATTTTTAGTAGAGATGTTGTTTCTCCATGTTGGCCAGGCTGGTCTTGAACTCCTGACCTCAGGTGATCCACCTGCCTCGGCCTCCCAAAGTGCTGGGATTACAGGCATGAGCCACTGCACCCAGCCTAGATCAACTCTTTTGAATGTTACTTTTTCACTTAGAAATTGTCTCTTTTAAATTGTTTTTATTAAATTTTTATTTATTTATTTTTTGAGATGGCGTCTCACTCTGTCACCCAGGCTGGAGTGCACCAGTGCGATCTCAGCTCACTGCAACCTCCACCTCCTGGGTTCATGCGGTTCTCCTGCCTCAGCCTACCAAGCAGCTGGGACTACAGGCATGTGCCACCACACCTGACTAATTTTTGTATTTAGTAGAGATGAGATTTCACCACGTTGGCCAGGCTGGTCTTGAACTCCTGACCTCAAGTGATCCACCTGCCTCAGCCTCCCAAAGTGCTGGGATTACAGGTGTGAGCCACTGCACCCGGCCAGAAGTGGAAGTTTGTAGATGTGACTGGAGTGTAGAGGGCTGGGGTTATGGTTAATGATTAGGTCAGAGAGAAGGAAAGGACTATGGTGCCAGGCTAGAGAGTCTGGACTTCAGGCTGCAGAGAGGGGTCAGGCTGAGATGGGCGAGCTGATTAGAAGCTGGTGCAGTTGTCCCAGGAAGAAGGGCCCAGGAGTCATCACATGTGGCTTGGTGATCAGAAGGGTCCTATGCTAGTTTTGAAGTTCTGCTATTGCTGTCTTTAAATTCTTGATTTTTGTTTGTTTGTTTGTTTTTAATAGAGACAGAGACTGGAGTCAGGCTGGAGTGCAGTAGTGTGATCATAGCTCACTGTAGCCTTGAACGAACTTTTGGGCTCAAGCAGTTCTCTCACCTTAGCATCCTGAGTAGCTGGAAGTACAGGTGCGCACCACCACGCCCAGCTAATTTTTTTATTTTTAAAATTTTTGTAGAGTTGACTTCTCTACAAAAATTTGCCCAGGCTGGTCTTGAACTCCTAGGCTCAAGCGATCCTCTCACCTTGGCCTCCCAAAGTGCTGAGATCACATGCATGAGCCACTGCGCACGGCCTGAAATTCTTAAATTTTTTTTTTGTAGAGACTGAGTCTCACTTTGTTACCCAAGCTGGAGTACAGTGGCGCTATCTCGGCTCACTGCAACCTCTGCCTGTCAGGTTCAAGCAATTCTCTTGCCTCAGCCTCCTGAGTAGCTGGAATGACAGGCTTACACCACCATGCCCGGGTAATTTTTTGTATTTTTAGTAGAGATGGGGTTTCGCCATGTTGGCCAGCCTGGTGTTGAACTCCTGATCTCAAGTGATCTGCCCGCCTTGGCCTCCCAAAGTGCTGGGTGGCGTGAGCCACCACACCCAGTCAAAATTCTTAATTTTTGAACAAGGGGCCCCACATTTTTATTTTGTCCTAGATCGTACAAATTATGTAGTCAGTCCTGCTGAGGAGGCTCAGAAATCCTCTCCCACCCCTTCTACAGCTGGCTCCTTGTCACTGAAGCTTCTGTCTTCTCCGGTGATGGTGACAAGGTGGCAACTTTTATGCGGGGACCTAAGTGGAGAGCCCCAGAGCAGATCTCTTACTCAGCCGATGAGTATTTCGACACACCTGTTCACTCCCATTTATTTAAACAGATACTGGAACCCAGAGGCTATTTTCACTGAGGTTATCAAAGGAGCTGGGTAGAGAAGTTGATAAATTGCTGAGTAATTACATTGTCTTTGTTGGTTATAGGTCAAAGTCCTGCTGATAATGCATTTTGAAAGCCCAGTGAGGAAGTTTAAGTGCTGTTATCCCCAACATCATCCTCACGAGTTCCAGCAGTGACTGGCACCTTCCTGAGCCTGGCCAGGAAGCGAATAAACCCCCCCGGTAGTCCTTGATGACTTGGCCGAGGTGGTGTAGTAAGTCGGCATTTGGACTCCAGCAGTTATGTGTCAGAAGATGAGGCTTCTTGGCCAGGCATGGTGGCTCATGCTGGTGATCCCAGCACTTTGGGAGGCTGAGGCAGGCGGTCAAGAGATGGAGACCATCCTGGCCAACAAGGTGAAACCCCATCTCTACTAAAAATACAAAAATTACCTGGGTGTGGTGGCGTGTGTCTGTAGTCCCAGCTACTCGGGAGGGTGAGTCAGGGGAATTTCTTGAATCCGGGAGGCAGAGGTTGCAGTGAGCCGAGATTGCACCACTGCACTCCAGCCTGGAGACAGAGTGAGACTCTGTCTCAAAAAAAATTAGCTGGGTATGGTGGCGCACACCTGTAGTCCCAGCTACTTGGGAGGTTGAGGCAGGAGAATCACTTGAACCTGGAGGCAGAGGTTGCAGTGAGCAGAGATTGTGCCACTGCACTCTAATCCTCCAGCCTGGGCAACAGAGCAAGACTCTGTCTCAAAAAAAAAAAAAAAAAAATAATGAGGCTCTTGAACTGCAGCAGCCTGGAAGGAGTTGAGTGCTGTTAACTAAGAAGAAAAATGGGTTTCCCTGCACTGCCCACACCCACATCTCACCATTTCTACTTGCTTTGGGGTCCATATTATTTATGACTATTGTTGGAAGGATAACAATACTTTTATATGTAGGTAGTATTGTTTTTTTTTTTTTTTTTTGAGACGGAGTCTCGCTCTGTCGCCCAGGCTGGAGTGCAGTGGTGCAATCTCGGCTCACTGCAAGCTGCACCTCCCGGGTTCACGCCATTCTCCTGCCTCAGCCTCCCGAGTAGCTGGGACCACAGGCGCCTGCCACCACGCCTGGCTAATTTTTTGTATTTTTAGTAGAGATGGGGTTTCACTGTGTTAGCCAGGATGGTCTTGATCTCCTGACCTCGTGATCCGCCCACCTCAGCCTCCCAAAGAGCTGGAATTACAGGTGTGAGCCACCGCACCTGGCCTGTAGGTAGTATTTTTTAATTTATAAAATGCTTTCATTGACATCACCTTGTTTAATCCTAGTGACAGTCTTGTGAGATGGGATTTATTGTCCCCATTTCACATGGGGAAACTGGTGGGGTGTGGTGGCTCACACCTGTGATCCCAGCACTTTGGGAGGCTGAGGCAGGAGGATCACTTGAGCCCAGGAGTTCGAAGCCAGCCTGCGCAGTAAGACCTCATCTTACCATAAATGTTTAAAAATTAGCCAGGCATGGTGGTACCTGTCTGTAGTTCCAGCTACTCTGGAGGCTGAGGCAGGAGGATTGCTTGAGCCTGACAGGTGGAGGCTGCAGTGAGCCATGATAATGCCACTGCACTCTAGCCTGGGTGACAGAGTGAGACTCTATCTTAAAAAAAAAAAAAAAAAGGATGGGAAACAGGCAAACAGTCTCAGAAAAGTGGTTCCAGCCATGCTTGTGTGGGCTGGGTTCAGTGAGGTTTCAGCCACCGCACAGCTGCCTTGCAGAGGTTGTGAGACTTGGTGGTAGATAAGGTGTTTCTTCCAATTGGTTCTAATTTAGGAGGGGTCTCATGTGGCCCTCTGGCATGTGTTCTTACAGTGCCAAACAGGTGGCACAGATGGTGCAGTTGTATAGCCCATGGTCTACTTGAGAGACTCAAGTGGCCTTGTAGGGAGGAGACACACAGGGGTGCCTCACCCAGCTGGCCATGGAGGAAGGCAGATTGCAGACCCTGGTCCCTACTGCATAAGGAGGGCCACCTGTGACCCCAAAGTAGTCCCTATAGGGACTCTTTTTTTTTTTTTTTTGAGACGGAGTCTTGCCCTGTCTCCCAGGCTGGAGTGCAGTGGCGCGATCTCAGCAACCTCCTCCCGGGTTCAAACAATTCTGTCTCAGCCTCATGAGTAGCTGGGATTACAGGCACCCACCACCACGCCCGGCTAATTTTTATATTTTTAGTAGAGACGGGGTTTCACCATGTTGGCCAGGCTGGTCGCAAACTCCTGACCTCATGATCCGCCCGCCTCAGCCTCCCAAAGTGCTGGGCTTACAGGCGTGAGCCACTGCGCCTGGCCCCCTATAAGGACTCTTTTGTGGGATCAGTGCAGCTTCCAAAGGGTGCCCAGAACCAAGTCTCTGCGCGCAAATTGTCCCCCCTGTTATTCTCTAGCATGTGCCCAGGTGAGGTTTCTGGGGCAGAACAGTGACGTTGGTAGAATTTGGGCCCCGAGTCCCTGTGTTCCTCATTCTGAAATCCTTTGGTGATTTGAAAAATAGAAAATATTAATGTTTGTGCTGGTGTTGAAGCTGTGTGGGCTGTGGAGTCACAGAAAGGCCCCTGGAGCCAGATCCTGGAGACCCAGTCTGGTCCCAGCTCCAGAACCAGCTGTGTGACCTGGGGCAGAGCCCACTCCTCCCTGGACCTTGGTATCCCACCTGTGAAATGAAGGGACTGGACTAGATTCAGGCACTCATCAGCAGATACCCATGGCCTGTGCTGGGATGGGGACTTGGCCTTAAACAGGGTTCCTGTCTCGTAGAACTTACGTTCTTTTTTTTTTTTTTTTTTTTTTTTGAGATGGAGTCTCGCTCTGTCACCCGGGCTGGAGTGTAGTGGCACGATCTCGGCTCACTGCAAGCTCTGCCTCCCGGGTTCACGCCATTCTCCTGCCTCCTGCCTCAGCCTCCCACATAGCTGGGAGTACAGGCGCCCGCCACCACGCCCGGCTAGTTTTTTGTATTTTTAGTAGAGATGGGGTTTCACCGTGTTAGCCAGGATGGTCTCTATCTCCTGACCCTGTGATCCGCCCGCCTCAGCCTCCCAAAGTGCTGGGATTATAGGCGTGAACCACCGCGCCCGCCCAGAATTTATGTTCTAAAGGGGTTATTGAAGCCGGGCGCACTGGCTCACACCTGTAATCCCAGCATGGGAAGCCAAGGTGGGCGGATCACTTGAGGTCAGGAGATCGAGACCAGCCTGACCAACATGGCAAAACCCTGTCTACTAAAAATACAAAAATTAGCTGGGTGTGGTGGCACACGCCTGTAATCCCAGCTACCTGGGAGGCAGGAGAATCGCTTGAACCCGGGAAGCAGAGGTTGCAGTGAGCCAAGATCGTGCCACTGCACTCCAGCCTGGGCGACAGAGCAAGACTGTCTCAAAATAAATAAATGATAAAAACAAATTTTAAAAAATAATAAAGGAGCTATTAAGACTCTTCTAGCCCCAACTTTCCCTGAACCCTCAGGGGACTTCCCCAGGTGTCCTTAGTTCTCCTGACGGTGAATGTCTGTCCTCACCGGCGCCTCCACGTGGATTAAAGCCTCCATGTGTGTCTGTGTCTCATCTTCCCTTATGGAGACCTGGCCCGGGTGTTGGGAGGGCAGCAGTGAGCAGCCTCCTTCCTCCCACTTAGGAAGGGCATCCACTCATGCAGTTGGTTTATTCGGCAGATGCCAAGTGAGTCCCTCCCCTGTGCAGGCAGCGCCCAGGCCCAGGGCGGGTCAGCATGTGTCTTTGTCTCCCCAGGACTGCAGGATCCTCCTGTCTGTCGAGCCCACGGACCAAGGCTGCTACCCCCTGAACAACCATCTCTTCTGCAAGCCATGCCATGTGAAGCGGAGTGCTGCGGGGTGCTGCTGAGAGTGCCCGCTGGGCAGTGAACAGACCACTAGCCCCGGCTGGGGCCCTTCCCTGACTTGGTTTCCCTTCCTAACCTGCTCTTGCACACTTTCCTTCTGAGCCTCCATGGAGACCAGCCTGCAAGCCGGCCCAGCCTGTCCAGGATACAGTGGGGCTGAGCACCCCCAGGCCTTCCACTCCTCTACCCTCTGGGCACCAGAAGGCTCCTGGACCATGAGCTTCACCCCCAGAATTCCCTGCTGACCCTGCCCCACTTCCAGGGAAAAGCTGGGGGAGGTTGGACCCCTCTCACTGACTAGCTGTCTGGTAGGGGTGCTAGGACCAGCCTCGCCTGTGGGGTTGAGCTGTTTGAGGACAAACTCCAAGGTCCCTTAAAAAGTGCCTTTTAGAGGCTGGGCATGGTGGCTCACGCTTGTAATCCCAGCACTTTGGGAGGCCAAGGTGGGTGGATCACCTGAGGTCAGGAGTTCAAGACCAGCCTGGCCAACATGGTGAAACCCTGTCTCTACTAAAAATACAAAAATTAGCCAGGCATGGTAGCAGGTGCCTGTAATCCCAGCTACTGGGGAAAGCTGAGGCAGGAGAATTGCTTCAATCTGGAAGGCAGAGGTTGCAGTGAGATTGCACCATTGCATTCCAGCCTGGGCAACAAGAGGGAAACTCCGTCTCAAAAAAAAAAAAGTGCCTTTTAGGCCGGATGTGGTGGCTCATGCCTGTAATCCCAGCACTTTGGGAGGCCAAGGCAGGCAGATCACTTGAGGTCAGGAGTTTGAGACCAGCCTGGCCAACACGGCAAAACCCCGTTTCTACTAAAAATACAAAAATTAGCTGGGTGTGGTGGCGTGCGCCTGTAATCCCAGCTACTCAGGAGGCTGAGGCAGGAGCATTGCTTGAACCCGGGAGGCAGAGGTTGCAGTGAGCTGAGATGGCACCACTGCACTCCAGCCTGGGAGACACAGCGAGACTCTGTCTCCAAAAAAAAAAGTGCTTTTTGAAAATGTTGAGGTTGAAATGATGGGAACCAACATTCTTTGGATTTAGTGGGGAGCATAATAGCAAACACCCCCTTGGTTCGCACATGTACAGGAATGGGACCCAGTTGGGGCACAGCCATGGACTTCCCCGCCCTGGAATGTGTGGTGCAAAGTGGGGCCAGGGCCCAGACCCAAGAGGAGAGGGTGGTCCGCAGACACCCCGGGATGTCAGCATCCCCCGACCTGCCTTCTGGCGGCACCTCCCGGGTGCTGTGTTGAGTCAGCAGGCATGGGGTGAGAGCCTGGTATATGCTGGGAACAGGGTGCAGGGGCCAAGCGTTCCTCCTTCAGCCTTGACTTGGGCCATGCACCCCCTCTCCCCCAAACACAAACAAGCACTTCTCCAGTATGGTGCCAGGACAGGTGTCCCTTCAGTCCTCTGGTTATGACCTCAAGTCCTACTTGGGCCCTGCAGCCCAGCCTGTGTTGTAACCTCTGCGTCCTCAAGACCACACCTGGAAGATTCTTCTTCCCTTTGAAGGAGAATCATCATTGTTGCTTTATCACTTCTAAGACATTTTGTACGGCACGGACAAGTTAAACAGAATGTGCTTCCCTCCCTGGGGTCTCACACGCTCCCACGAGAATGCCACAGGGGCCGTGCACTGGGCAGGCTTCTCTGTAGAACCCCAGGGGCTTCGGCCCAGACCACAGCGTCTTGCCCTGAGCCTAGAGCAGGGAGTCCCGAACTTCTGCATTCACAGACCACCTCCACAATTGTTATAACCAAAGGCCTCCTGTTCTGTTATTTCACTTAAATCAACATGCTATTTTGTTTTCACTCACTTCTGACTTTAGCCTCGTGCTGAGCCGTGTATCCATGCAGTCATGTTCACGTGCTAGTTACGTTTTTCTTCTTACACATGAAAATAAATGCATAAGTGTTAGAAGCTCTTCCATGTTGTGTGTAGGCTCTCACACAGGTAAACGCTGGCGTTTGGTAGTAGCCCTGGGCATCTGCTCGCTGTGGCGGGAGTGTCCGAAGAGTGCTGGGGCTCAGCTCAGCAGATGGAGGGGCTCATTTCCTGCCTCATGCCCAGCACTGGGGCCGGCCAACTCACTGGGTGTGCTTCTCCTGGACACAGGCCACCACTGATGGGGTTGGCTGCAGGAGCCTCAGTAGGGCTGCCAAATGCTTTAAGAATTAACACTCATGCCGGGCGTGGTGGCCCATGCCTGTGATCCCAGCACTTTGGGAAGCTGAGGTGGGCGGGTCACTTGAGGCCAGGAGTTTCAGACCAGCCTGGCCAACATGGTGAAACACCGCCTCTACTAAAAATACAAAAATTAGCTGGGCATGGTGGTGCTTGCCTCTAGGCCCAGCTACTCGTGAGGCTGAGGTAGGAGAATCTCGAACCTGGGAGGCAGAGGTTGCAGTGAGCTGAGATCACAACACCGCACTCCAGCCTGGGTGATAGACTGATTCAAAAAAATAAGAATCAACAGTCAGGCTGGGTGCAGTGCCAGCACTTTGGGAGGCCGAGGTGGGTGGATGGCTTGAGCTCAGGAGTTTGAGACCAGCCGTGTCAACATGGCGAAACCCCGTCTCTATGAAAAATGAGCTGGGCACGGTGGTGTGCACCTATAGTCCCAGCTACCTGGGAGGCTGAGGTAAGAGGATCACCTGAGCCCAGGAGGTCGAGGCTGCAGTGAGCCGTGATTGTGTCACTGCGCTCCAGCCTGGGTGACAGAATGATACCCTGTCTCAAAAATAAAAAAAAAACACCCCCAGGGCGTGCTCCCTGCACATAACTAGGCTGCTCTCCCTTTTCAAGCTTGCACACTGACCCCTGGGCTCACTTGGTGAGCACAGGCCCAGAAAGAGTTGGCCTGAAAGAGCACTGGCTTGGTGACAGGCCACCCAGATCTCAGACCTATCTCTGTACTCAATAGCGTGGACAAGTTAGTAACCCTCAGCCTTGATGTTCTCATCTGGAGCAGTTTAAAACATTTTATTTATTGGCTGAGCGCGATGGCTCACACCTGTAATCCCAGCACTTTGGGAGGCCGAGGCAGGCAGATCACAAGGTCAGGAGTTCAAGACCAGCCTGGTCAACATGGTGAAACCCCATCTCTACTAAAAATACAAAAATTAGCCAGGCGATGTGGCAGGCGCCTGTTATCCCAGCTACTTGGGAGGCTGAGATAGGAGAATCGGTTGAACCTGGGCGGCAGAGCCTGCAGTGAGCTGAGATTGCGCCACTGCACTCCAGCCTAGGTGATAGAGTAAGACTCCATCTCAAAAAAAAAAAAAAAAAAAAAAAAAAAATATATATATATATATATATATATAAAATGTATTATAAAAATAGAGGCCGGGCGTGGTGGCTCATGCCTGTAATTTTAACACTTTGGGAGGCCAAGGCAGGCAGATCACGAGGTCAAGAGATCAAGACCATCCTGGCCAACATGGTGAAACCCCGACTCTATTAAAAATACAAAAAAATTAGCTGGGTGTGTTGGTGCGCACCTGTAATCCCAGGTACTCAGGAGGCTGAGGCAAGAGAATTGCTTAAACCTGAGAGGCGGAGGTTGCAGTGAGCCGAGATTGCGCCATAGCATTCCAGCCTGGTGACAGAGCGAGACTCCGTCTCAAAAAAAAAAAAAAAAGAGGCCAGGCACGGTGGCACATGCCTGTAATCCCAGCACTTTGGGAGGCCAAGGCGGGTAGATAGCCTGAGGTCAGGAGTTCGTGACCAGCCTGACTAACATGATGAAACCCCATCTCTACTAAATACAAAAAAGTTAGCCGGGCCTGGTGGCACATGCCTGTAATATGAGCTACTTGATAGGCTGGGACAGGAGAATCCCTTGTACTTGGGAGGTGGAGGTTGCAGTGAGCTGAGATCGCGCCATTGCACTCTAGCCTGGGCAACAAGAGCAAAACTCCATCTCAAAATAAATAAATAAATAAATAGAGATGGAGTCCCACTATGTTGCTCAGGCTGGTCTCAAACTCCTGGGCTCAAGCAATCCTCCCACCTTGGCCTCCCAAATAGCTGGGATTACAGGCGTGAGTCACCATGCCCAGCCAAGTTGGAACAGTTCTAATCTATCATGGAGAGTTGCTGTGAGAGAAAGGGAAGTATTAGGCTGAGAGATTTCAGCTTAGTTCATGAGTCACTGGCTTCATCTTGTGAACCCTGAAATTCTCTAGCCGTCACTCCCTCCATGGTCACGTTGATGCCTGTCAATCAGACCACCAGGAACACGCCTGCAGTCAACAAATTTGGGTTTATTATGCTTGCTGTGGCAAGGGAGGCCACACAGCACGGGGAAGCCAGGGCATCTCCAAAAGCAGTGTTAGTGCTGGTATCGGATTTGGAGAAAGATTTAAGGAAGTGTGGGTTTGCTCTGGATGTGTGCTGTCAGAAAGCGGGGTGATTGTATGGTTCAGTGACTCGATCCCTTTATATCTACAGCTGTGATTGGGGGCGACGCAGCAGCAGCTGCAGGAGACATTCTCATTTGTGTGGGTGGCCCTGAGATGCGTGTTCAGGACAGCTGCTGAGTGGTGTTGCTTTTGACTTTAACCTTCTTAGGCCAGACGTGGTGGCTCATGCCTATATACCCAGCACTTTGGAAGGCCAAGGAGGGCGGATCATCTGAGGTTGGGAGTTTGAGACCAGCCTGACCAATGTGGAGAAACCCTGTCTCTACAAAAAATACAAAATTAGCCAGGTGTGGTGGCGCATGCCTGTAATCCCAGCTACTCGGGAGGCTGAGGCAGGAGAATCGCTTGAACCTGGGAGGCGGAGGTTGTGGTTAGCCGAGATCACGGCATTGCACTCCAGCCTGGGCAACAAGAGCAAAACTCCGTCTCAAAAAACAAAACAAAACAACAAAAAAACCATATAAACAAACAACAAAAAAACCATATATATGTGTGTGTGCGTATATATATGTATATGTGTGTATATACATGTCCATATATGTATATATGTATGTATATGTGTATATATATGCATATGTGTGTGTGTGTGTGTGTGTGTGTGTGTGTGTGTATATATAGCCTTGTTGTAATTCCTCATGTCCTAGCATGCTTCTGTTTGAGTGTATTTGGAGGGGTGTTACCTGGATGAAATTCTAGGAGATGCCTCTGCTTTTCGGGCTGCCCATGTAAAAATCATTCCATTCCATAAGGGGATGCTTCTAGGGAGCACTCAATAGTGTGTATTCACCTCCCCCACCCCAACCCTCCCAACCAACCTTCATTCTTCTTTTCATTCCTCTTTTCATCCTTTTCTCTGCTCTCACTTGGAGGGCGCCTGCCACATGTAGGCACAATCAGAACACCCCAGGCAAAGATGATTTCCCTTCCCTTTGGGTACACTTACTGGCAAAGATAAAATATATTCTCTAGATTCAAAGAGATATTTGTGCACCCATGTTCATATCAGCATTACTCACAATAGCCAAAAGGGGGAAGGAACCAAGTGTCCATGAACAGAAGAACGGATGACAAGATGTGGTCTCTCCAGACAATGGAAGATTCTTCAACCTTAAAAAGGATGGCAGCCTGGGTGCGGTGGCTCACATCTGTAATCCCAGCACTTTGGGAGGCTGAGGCAGGTGGATCACTTGAGGTCAGGAGTTCGAGACCAGCCTGGCCAAAATGGTGAAATCCCATCTGTACTAAAAATACAAAAATTAGCCATTAGCCAGCTGTGGTAGTGCACGCCTGTAATCCCAGCTACTCAGGAGGCTGTGGCAGGAGAATCGCTTGAACCCAGGAGGCGGAGGTTGCAGTGAGCCGAGATCGTGCCATTACACTCCAGCCTGGGTGACAGAGCGAGATCTCCGTCTAAAAAAAAAAAAAAAAAGGCCACACGTGGTGGCTCACACCTGTAATCCCAGCACTTTGGGAGGCTGAGGCAGGCGGATCACGAGATCAGGAGTTCAAGATCAGCCTGGCCAACATGGTAAAACCCCGTCTCTACTAAAAATACAAAAATTAGCCAGGCATAGTGGCACACACCTGTAGTCCCAACTACTGGGGAGGCTGAGGAAGAAGAATCATTTGAACCCAGGAGGCAGAGGTTGTGATGAGCTGAGATCGTGCCACTGCACTCCAGCCTGGGCAACAAAGTGAGACTCCATCTCAAAAAAACAAACAAAAAAAAAGGATGGCATTCTGACACATGCCACAATGTGAATACACCTTGACAACATTGTGCTCAGTGAAATAGGCAGACACAAAAGGACAGACACTGTATGATTCCACTTATATGAGTATCTAGTCAGATTCATAAAGACAATGTAGAACAGAGGTTTCCAGGAACTGGGGGGAAATAGGAATGAGGAGCTTAGTGTTTAATGGGGGCAGAGTTTCAGTTTGGGAAGGAGAATAGCGTTCTGGAGGCTGGGCGCAGTGGCTCACGCCTGTAACCCCAGCACTTTGGGAGGTCAAGGCAGGCGAATCGCTGGGGCCCAGGAATTCAAGACCAGCCTGGGCAACATGGCAAAACCCTGTCTCTACAAAAAATTAGCCAGGCATGGTGGCATGCGCTTGTAGTTCCAGCTACTCTAGGGGTTAAGGTAAGAGGGTCATCTGAGCCTGGGAGGTCGAAGTCGCACTCCAGCCTGGGTGACAGAGTGAGACCCTGTCAAAAAAAAAAAAAAAAAAAAGCTGGCCAGAGTTCGAGACCAGCCTGGCCAACATGGTGAAACCTTGTCTCTCTAAAAATACAAAAATTAGCCAGGTAGGGGCCGGGCGCGGTGGCTCACGCCTGTAATCCCAGCTCTTTGGGAAGCCGAGGCGGGCGGATCACGAGGTCAGGAGATTGAGACCATCCTGGCTAATAGGGTGAAACCCTGTCTCCACTAAAAATACAAAAAATTAGCCGGGTGTGGTGGCAGGCGCCTGTAGTCCCAGCTACTCGGGAGGCTGACGCAGGAGAATGGTCTGAACCCAGGAGGCGGAGCTTGCAGTGAGCCGAGATCGCGCCACTGCACTCCAGCCTGGGCGACAGAGAGAGAGTCTGTCTCAAAAATAAAATAAAATAAAATATTAGCCAGGTGGAGTGGCGGGCACCTGTAGTTCCAGCTACTTGGGAGGCTGACGTGGGAGAATCACTTGAACACAGGAGGCAGAGGTTGTCGTGAGCCAAGATTGCACCACTGCGCTTCCAGCCTGGGTGACACAGTAAGACTTTGTCTTAAAAAAAAAAATAGTTCTGGAGATGTATGGTGGTGATGGTTGCCCAACAGTGTGAAGGTACTTAATGCCATGAAACCGTACAGTTAGTTGCGATGGTAAATTTTACATGTATTTTAGCACAATTAAAATATACGTATATAATACATCTATCTATGCATCTAAACCAGATGCTGCGAGACAGGAAGAGGAGCTGGTGAAGGCATGCAGTGCTGGAAGGGTCCTGAGGGGGACGGTCCCTGCCTAGGGTCCCCTGCGCAGCCTGGGAAGGCTGGCCACTGCTGTCTGCAGATGAGCTGGTTGTCCCGGCTGTCCTGGACTCCCTAAAGGCAGGTGCGCACACAACCACTAGAGGGCAGCATGGGCTGGCGAACGGGGAGCCCGGGCATGAATGATTTCAGGGTTCACACGGGTCCTCAACTTCTCCAAACTGCAAGAGGGGAAGGGTCATTCCGGCCCACGCACCACGCAGGGTGGCAGTGAGGCTGAGAGGAGAGAACAGATTGCAAAACTAGAAAGTGTCCAGCCTGGGCCAGGCACGGTGGCTCACGCCTGTAATCCCAGCACTTTGGGAGGCAGAGGCCGGTGGATCACCTGAGGTCAGGAGTTCGAGATCAGCCTGACCAATATGGTGAGACCCTCGTCTCTACTAAAAATACAAAAATTAGCCGGGCATGGTGGCGTGTGCCTGTAGTCCCAGCTATTCAGGAGACTGAGACAGGAGAATCGCTTGAACCCGGAAGGCGGAGGTTGCAGTGAGCCAAGATCATGCCACTGCACTCCAGCCTGGGCGATAGAGCTAGACTCTCTCTCAGAGAAAGACTCTGTCTCAAAAAAAAAAAAAAAAAAAAAAAAAAAAAAAAAAAAAAAGAGAAGGAGACCAAGGTGCAACTTTCTTCGGTTGTCCCGAATCCGGGTTCATCCCACACCAGCCACCTCCACCATGCCGTGAAGTTTGACCCCAGAGAGATCAAAGTTGTATACCTGAGGTGCACTGGAGGTGAAGTCGCTGCTTCTGCGCTGGCCCCCAAGATCGGCCCCCTGGGTCTGTCTCCAAAAAAGGTTGGTGATAACATTGCCAAGGCAACGGGTTACCGGAAGGGCCTGAGGATTACAGTGAAACTGACCATTCAGAACAGACAGGCCCAGATTGAGGTGGTGCCTTCTGCCTCTGCCCTGATCATCAAAGCCCTCAGGGAACCACTAAGAGACAGAAAGAAACAGAAAAACATTAAACACAGTGGGAATATCACTTTTGATGAGATCGTCAACATTGCTTGACACACGTGGCACCGATCTTTAGCCAGGGAACTCTCTGGAACCATTAAAGAGATCCTGGGGACTGCCCAGTCTGTGGGCTGTAATGTTGATGGCCGCTACCCTCATGACATCATAGATGACATCAACAGTGGTGCTGTGGAATGCCCAGCCAGTTAAGAAGCAGAAAGGAAAATATTTCAATAAAGGATCACTTGACAACTGGTGGAAAAAAAAGAAAAAGAAAGAGTGTCCAGCCTGGGCAATGTGGAGAAACTCCATCTCTACTAAAAATAGAAAAATTAGGCAGGGCCAGGCGCAGTGGCTCATGCCTGTAATCCCAGCACTTTGGGAGGCCGAGGCGGGTGGATCACCTGATGTCAGGAGTTCATGACCAGCCTCAACATGGAGAAACCCCGTCTCTACTATAAAAATACAAAATTAGCTGGGCGTGATGGTGCATGCCTGTAATCCCAGCTACTCGGGAGGCTGAGGCAGGAGAATTGCTTGAACCTGGGAGGCGGAGGTTGTGGTGAGCCGAGATCACGCCATTGCACTCCAGCCTGGGCAACGAGAGCGAAACTCCGTCTCAAAAAAAAAAAAAAAGAAAAAAAGAAAAATTAGGCGGGCGTGGTGGTGAGCACCTGTGGTCCCAGCTACTTGGGAAACTGAGTTGGGAGATTCACCTGAGCCTGGGATGCAGAGGTTGAAGTAAGCTGAGATCGCACCACGCCACTGCCCTCCAGCCTGGGCCACAGAGCGAGACCCTCTCTCCAAAACAAAACAAAACAAAAAACTAGAAAGTGAGTGATATGGCTGTGGAATTGCTGCCTCTGTCCTAGAGACACGCCCTTTTGGAGGGAGACCTGTGTCAGCAGACTGAATTCTTCATTGGCTCAAACCCCCACCTGCTAGGAGGGGCCCACCTGGAAGTCCCCATGCTGCTACCCTGCAATTCCATACCTGGGAACCTGGGCACAGTAAGCACAGAATCAGAGCTGGGACAAAGGACAGCATGGTGCACTGGGAGCCCTGAGCCTTTCTGATGGTCACCCTGTCCCCAGAGGCCCCTTTCCCGAGGGCACACCCAGGTGTGAACTTCACCCAGCACAGGCCACAGGCCAGCCCCTCCAGGGCAACCCAAGCCCCTCCCTACCCTGCTAGAGAGACAAATGGTGGGAACCGGGAATTGAATGGGGGGATGGGGAGAGGGGAGGAGGCTGAGCTGATGAGGAAGAATTGCAGGGACTGAGAACATTTTCCAAAAAATGTTCTCCTCACTTTAATGTACAGTTTATGTAACAAAATAATCTATGAAGTAGCAATTTTGACATTGCCAAAGAGGAGGAAGCTGCACATCAGAGAGCTGGTATAACTGCACAAGGCCGCACAGCAGAGACAGGATCAAAGCAGGTCCAGTGAAAATTCTATAGTCCTCCACTACAGACCCACTTCAGAAATCCATATTCTAGAATGTTTCAGAACCCATCGTGTAACACAGGTGCCAATGTCCAACTGAAAAAACCTTTAATGTCTGGAGCTCTGCATCTCTGCATCTTTTTTTTTTTTGAGACACAGTCTCACTCTGTTGCCCAGGCTGGAGTACAGTGGTGCAAATACAGCTCACTGCAGCTTTGATGATGTCCTGGGCTCAAGCAGTCCTCCTACCTCAGCCTCCCAAGTAGCTGGGACCCCAAGCATGCACCACCACACCTGACTAATTTTTTAAATTTTTTGTAAAGATGGGGTTTTACCATGCTGCTTAGGCTGATTTGGAACTCTTGGCCTCAAGCAATCCTCCTGCCTCGGCCTCCCAAGTGCTGGGATTACAGGAGTGAGCCACCGTGCCCAGCTAAGACCTGCATCTTTTTTTTTTTTTTTTTTTTTTTTAGAGATGAGGTCTCTCTATGTTGCCCAGGCTGCTCTTGAACTTCTGAGCTCAAGTGATCCTCCTGCTTTGGCCTCCCAAAGTGCTAGAATTACATGTGTGATCCACCACGCCAGGCCAAGACCTGCATCTTAAGAGGGGGAGTTTAGACTGCAGGCCTCTTGCTTGTAAGTGACATATAATTTTCCCAATCCATCCAGAAAGGTCCTTGTATCCTGTATGACTCATACTAATTCTCAGAGAGTGAGCATCAGATTAGAGAGACTCTGGAGTGTACCCTGCTCATAACCTTCCTTCTGCAGAAAAAAATGTATGTGATTCAGTGGAAAATAATGCACTATCTACACCCAGCACACCCTTCCTGGTTATCAGATTCTAGCCTTTTATTGTCTTTGAGCGACTTTACAGCTCTGTAAATTATAGGTAAATGATATATTGCCCTGTCTAGTAGAGGTTCTCCCTCGCTTTCTTGTTGAAAAACCAGTTTTCATTTGCACATTCATTTCAATATTCCTGACCTATGAATGTGACTGTTCTTAGCTGTCCCCCCTTTTTTTTTTGAGACAGAGTCTCGCTCTGTCACCCAGACTGGAGCAGAGCACAGTGGCATGATCTCAGCTCACTGCAAGCTCCGCCTCCTGGGTTTAAGCGATTCTCCTGCCTCAGCCTCCCAAGTAGCTGGGATTACAGGCATATGCCATGATGCCCAGCTAATTTTTGTATTTTTAGTAGAGACGGGGTTTCACCATGTTGGCCAGACTGGTCTTGAACTCCTGACCTCAGGCAATCCACCTGCCTCGGCCTCCCAAAGTGCTGGGATTACAGGCGTGAGCCACTGTGCCCGGCCCTTAGCTGCCCTTTTGAGCTGGTTATAACATCACCTGGCTCCCTTATGAGTTAAATAAAATGGCTAATACCTATTCATTTTCTATCTGTGTGGGAGTCATGATTTTACCTTCTTTTGAAAATGAAAATGACCTTGCAACGCTTCCTTCATCAGGTGTTTATGACAGCTCCTTTAGGCCAGAGGAGGTGGTGGGGTCCCTTGCAGGGCATCCCATGAGGTGGAATTAAGAGCAGCTGGCCGGTGGCCTCTGTTCCCCAGAGTGGTCTCTGAATGGGAAGGGAGGGGAGGGGAGGAGGAAGACAGGAGGGAGGGGTTCTGCCCAGTGGATGGGATAAGGTCTTAGCAAGACCTAGATTCTCGGGCTGGGTGAAGTGGCTCATGTCTATAATCCCAGCAATTTGGGAGCCGAGGCAGGAGGATCACTTGAGCCCAGGAGTTCTATTTCAGCCTGGGCAATAGAGTGAGACCCCATCTCTACAAAAAAAAACAAAAAACAAAAAACAAAAAAAAAACTAGACTCTCTCTCTGGTTAAGCTCCTAGCCAGCTATTTGACCTTGAGACACAATGTCTTTAAGTTTTGAGGGTGAGGAAGGGTGTCAAAAACTGACATTTATTTCCTGAGCTCTTGTCTGTCTTGTCTGGGGTGAGGCTGGAGAGGTGGGATGATTGACTACGCTGAACAGGAAGCTAGGTTTCAGGAGTTAGGCAGCCTGCCTGGGATCGAGACTCCTTGATGAGGATACTGACAGTAATAACAACAGCAGCAGCTACCATTTCGTGGGCATGCATATGCCCATATGTATTATCTCATTTAGTTCCCACTGCTGCCTGGAAGGAAGGAATGATCTATGATCCCATCGTTCACACAGGGAGACGAAGGCTCAAGGTCACACCACATAGATTCCAGCTCTATATTTAGCCAAGTCCTAAACCCTTTATTCCACTGCCTTAGCCTCCTAGATGAGACAGGGCAATCCCTTGGCCACTGAATTGCTTTTTTCCTCACCTACAAAACAAAGAGAATTATTACCTTGATCATACACGTAAAGGAATGCAATGGCAGATGACCAAATGTCATGTGGTTTCCTGGGATGGATTCTGGAAAGGAAGAAAGGACATTAGTGGAAAATCTGGTGAAATCCCAGTAAAGTCTGGAGTTTGGTGAGTCATGTTGTACCAATGTCAGTTTCCTAGTTTGGACAAATGTGCCATAGTTGCGTGAGATTTTTTTTTTTTTTTTTCTGAGACAGTGTCTCGCTCTGTCACCCAGGTTGGAGTGCAGTGGCGCGATCTTGGCTCACTGCAAGCTCTGACTCCCGGGTTCACGCCATTCTCCTGCCTCAGCCTCCTGAGTAGCTGGGACTACAGGTGCCCGCCACGACGCCCGGCTAATGTTTTGTATTTTTAGAAGAGATGAGGTTTCACCGTGTTAGCCAGGAAGGTCTCGATCTCCTGACCTCGTGAACTGCCTGCCTCGGCCTCCCAAAGTGCTGGGATTACAGGCGTGAGCCACCGCACCCGGCTGTTTTTTTTTTTTTTTTTTAAGACGGAGTCTTGCTCTGTCACCAGGCTGGAGTGCAGTAGAGCGATCTTGGCTCACTGCAACCTCTGCCTCCCAGGTTCAAGCAATTCCCCTGCCTCAGCCTCCCAAGTAGCTGGGACTACAGGCACACACCACCACGCCTGGCTAATTTTTTGTATTTTAGTAGAGACTGGGTTTCACCATGTTGGTCAGGATGGTCTCGATCTCCTGACCTCGTGATCTGCCCACCTCGGCCTCCCAAAATGCTGGGATTACAGGCGTGAGCCTCCATGCCCAGCCTCAATAAATCTAAAGTTATTTTGAAATCAAAAGTTTCTTATCTAACAAACTAACGGGATAAAGGGGAAAGTCTTTGAGCCTGAGCTCCTGGATGCCCTGCCTCTCACTGATGACGTAAGAACAAGGGGGTGAGAGGAGGCCATCACACACTCTTCTGCCAACAGGAAAGTCGGGCTGAGAGGGTAGTCATGTCTGGACAAGGGGGAGGGGCCTACTGACTGAGAAGATGGCAAGAGAAGAGGAGTGGGGGACCTGACCCAATATCTATAGCATGTGGGAGACAAGTGCCAAGTAGGAAGAGGATGGTGAGGGGTCTCAGAAGATCAGAGTGACCTTCACCCAGTGTGAGTGGTAATTTTTTTCCTTCCCACCTTCATCCTCCTCCTCGCAGAGGTGATCAGATGTTTGCAGGTGCCTGCTTGTGTTTACAAGTAGGTCTTGGAAGATAAGAGAGGCAGTGGGAGGGGTGGGAAAGCCCTGTTCTGGCAGTCAGGACACCCAGGGCTTGGCCACTAACCAGCTGTGTGAGCTCGGCCGGTCTCACACCCTCTCTGGGTTATGGATTCCTGAGGAATCCATAAACACGCAAGGATTCCTCAGGAAAACACAATACGGGCCGGGCACGGTGGCTCACGCCTGTAATCCCAGCACCTTGGGAGGCCGAGGCAGGTGGATCACCTAAGGTCTGGAGTTTGAGACCAGCCTGGCCAACATGGTAAAACCCCATCTCTACTAAAAATACAAAAAATTAGGCCAGGAGCGGTGGCTCATGCCTGTAATCCCAGCACTTTAGGAGGCCGAGGCAGGCGGATCACCTGAGGTTGGGAGTTCAAGACCAGCCTGACCAACGTGGAGAAACCCCATCTCTACTAAAAATACAAAATTAGCCGGGGTGGTGGCACATGCCTGTAATCCCAGCTAGTCGGGAGGCTGAGGCAGGAGAATCGCTTGAACCCAGGAGGCGGAGGTTGCAGTGAGCCGAGATTGCGCCATTGCACTACAGCCTGTGCAACAAAAGCGAAACTCCGTCTCCAAAAAAAAAAAAAAAAAAAAAAATTATGGCCTGCCGTGGTGGCTCATGCCTGTAATCCCAGCACTTTGGGAGGCCGAGGCGGGCAGATCACCTGAGGTCAGGAGTTCGAGACCAGCCTGACCAACATGGAGAAATCCCGTCTCTACTAAAAATACAAAATTAGCCGGGCATGGTGGCTCATGCCTGTAATCCCAGCTACTCGGGAGGCTGAGGCAGGAAAATCGCTTGAAACCAGGAGGTGGAGGTTGCAGTGAGCTGAGATCATGCCACTGCACTCCAGCCTGGGCAACAAGAGCAAAACTCCATCTCAAAAACAAACAAACAAACAAAAAACACAATACGACCCAGGAATCCTGAACTGGTCCTTTACAGTTAGCAGGATCCCAAACTTCAGACCACAGGGAGGGGCTGGCTGAAGCAGGAGAGAAACCCATGAGGGGTCACCCTGAGGGCCCAATCAGAAGGCACATGGGGGGTCAGGGAGGGTTAAGAATGCTCTCTGGGGCCTGTGAGTCATGGGCCTGGCAGCTTGGGGTTTCCCAAGACTGCTCAGACGGGCTGTGGCATGCAGGGAGCTCAGCCAGAACCTCCCTTGCAAATCTGCACCCTTTCCCCCAGCAACCCCCCCGCTTCCAGCACCCCTCTGACCAGCAACCCCTCCTTGGCAAGGTAGAACTCCCAATGGCCCACCCTGAGATGGCTTCAAATCAAGTCCCACGGGCAGAAAGCAAACAGTGGCTCCACTCCAGTGTGCCTAGAGATCCCGCTTCATTCATTCATTTGTTCATTCATTCACTCACTCTTTAATAAAATACTCATTGACCCCTCCCATCTGCCAGTCACTGCCCTTGGCACAGAGCTCAGTTTAATGGAAAAAGGAGAAAAGAGAACAGTCCGTGCTGGGGAGGCACAGCCAGGAGTCCAGGAGGGCAGGCCATGGAGAAAGTGATGTCAGAGCTGGGCCTAAAGGGTGTGCAGGGGTCAGCCAGGCGAGGCTCTGGAACAAGAGCTATCCAGGCGCTTGCTCTCTGAGCTGGGCACAGCTGAATGTGGCTGAGCATGTGGGAAGTGCAGGATGAGGGCCAGACTCAGGCAGGAACCAAAGCAGCAAGGCTTCCTAGACTCTGTGCCAGGATTGGGGCTTTTTCCCAGGGGGGCAACGGTGAGAAGGAAGAACCCCAAGCCAGTAGAACCCCAAGCCGGTAGAACCCCAAGCCGGTAGGGCAGATGAACTTGCCATAGAGTCCAACTGCCCATAACCACAGAGGTGGTGGCCGGGCCCAGAGAGGGTGTGAGACCGGCCGAGCTCACACAGCTGGTTAGTGGCCAAGCCCTGGGTGTCCTGACTGCCAGAACAGGGCTTTCCCACCCCTCCCACCGCCTCTCTTATCTTCCAAGACCTACTTGTAAACACAGGCAGGCACCTGCAAACATCTGATCACCTCTGCGAGGAGGAGGATGAAGGTGGGGGAATGAAGGCGTGCAGGTGAATCAGGTCAGTGTTGCTCATAGGCTGACCCAGTGCGGATGGTCCCGTCAGTGGCAAGGAGGGCAGGATTCTGCACGGGTGAGAGCACTTGCCCTAGGGGGATGCAGTGAGTCACTGGGTGCAAAGTTCACACTCCTCCTTCCTCCTGGCTTTGATCTGAGTTCCCTGGAGGGAGGTGCAGCCTGGATTCCTGGAGGCGGGGCCATCTCCTCTCCCTGCCCTGCCCTGTGGGTCCAGATTGGGAGGCCGGCTGTCTCCACTCCTCTCTGAACTCCCACACACACCTTTTCGAGGCCCTAGTAAGTTTCCATGTTGGCCTCACTGGCGGGGTCAGACTTGACCTATCACCTAGGACATTCGCTGCAGGAAGTTGGAAGCTTCCCTCTCCTGCTGAGCTCAGCCATGCGTCTTACTGCCTGGTGCCACATTCCGTTCCCTCCTGTCTCTGGGAGGATGATCAGATCTGGCAGAGAGCCCAGGCCTGCCCAACCAGCGGAACAAAATAAATGACCGCAGGGTGGGACTCCGCGGACACCAAGACACCAGGGAACTCTTGGACTGAGCACCAGAGGAACTAACCCCAGTAGCTGCCCCCGAGCAAGGACCTACTACTGATGCTGCCAACAGCCCCGGGAGACAGAAATATTATCACCCTTATTTTATAGAGAGGAGAAAAGAGGGGTGCAAGGGTCATGGGGACAGTGACTGATCCTGACATCCACTAAGGGCCCTCTTGGGTTTTGTGTCATGAGTTGAAAGGGAAGCAGCTGGCAAGGTGGTGTGACATTGAGCTGCGCAAGTGCAGGTGAGATGCGGTGGAGGTGGAGCAGTGGGACTGACCAGTGTTGGGGTTTTGTCAGGACCGCAGGAGGGGGTGGGGGTGGGGCCTGACCATGAATTGTAGGCTGGGCAGGAAGGACACGGAGGGCAGGCAGGCTGAGGGACATGCAAAGGGGGCAGGATCCATGGACTGCTGGAGCCGGGGCACTGGAGGAAAGAAATGAGGTGAGGTCAGAGAGGTCAGTCAATAGATATTATAGAGGAGGGGCAGTCACTGGTCACGGGGGACAGATACTGGGGTGGCACTGCTCCTAGGGTGTAAACCCTTGGCACATAGCCTGCATAGAACAGGCCCTCAGAGAGTATTTGTGGAATGAATGAGTGGCTACTTGCAGTCTGGGGTTGGGTGACTCAAAGGATATTTTACTTTCTTCTCTCTAGCTTTTTTTTTTTTTTTTCTGAGATGGAGTCTCACTCTATTGCCCAGGCTGGAGTGCAGTGGGGCAATCTTGGCCCACTGCAACTTCTGCCTCCCAGGTTCAAGCGATTCTCCTGCCTCAGCCTCCTGAGTAGCTGTGATTACAGGCACCCACCACTATTCCCACTAATTTTTGTATTTTTAGTAAATACGGGGCTTCATCATGTTGGCCAGGTTGGTCTCAAACTCCTGACCTCAGGTAATCTGCCCACCTCAGCCTCCCAAAGTGCTGGGATTACAGGTGTGAGCCACTATGCCCGGCGGCCTGCTTTTATTTATTTATTTTTTTTAATAACAGCTTTACTGAGATATGAATCACACATACAAAATTCACCCTTTTAAAGCTTTCTTTTTTTTGAGACAGGGTCTCGTTCTGTCACACAGGCTGGAGTGCAATGGTGCGATCATGGCTCACTGCAGCCTTGACCTTCTGGGCTCAAGCCATCCTCCAGCCTCAGCCTCTTGAGTAGGCTGGACCATAGGCGCACACCATCTTGCCTGGATAACTTTTGATTTTTCTTTTTTTTTCTGTAGAGATAGGGACTCACTGTGTTGCTCAGGCTGGTCTTGCACTCCTGGGCTCAAGTGATTCTCCCGCCTCAGCCTCCCAAAGTGCTGGGATTACAGGTGTGAGCCACTGTGCCCAACTCTGATTTTTTTACAGTAAGCACATGATAAGGGAGGAGACCACCCCTCATATTGTCTTATGCCCAATTTCTGAATCCAAAGAAAGAAGTAGTAAAAACTAAAAGGCAGAAATGGAATCCACAGGCAGATAGCCCAGCACTGCACCCTGGGCCTGGAGTTAAAAATCAACCCCGACCTAACTCTTCTGTTATCTATAGATTTCAGACATTGTATGGAAAAGCGTCGTGAAAATCCCTGTCCTCTTCCTTTCCGTTCTGATTACCAGTGCATGCAGCCCCCAGTCACGTACCCTCTGCTTACTCAATCGATCACGACCCTCTCACGCGGACCGCCTTAGAGTTGTAAGCCCTTAAAAGGGACAGGAATTGCTCACTCGGGGAGCTCGGCTTTTGGAGACGTGAATCCACCGATGCTCCCAGCTGAATAAAGCCCTTTCCTTCTACAACTCGGTTTCTGAGGGGTTCTTGTCTGAGGCTCATCCTGCTACAATGATACTTTTCTAATATGAACCCATATATGTTTTTAAAATTCATTTTTCTAAAAAGTTAGGATAAATCCATGAGATAGAAAAATAATGGACCAAAACTTAGAGAAAAGATAACTACTGGCTGGGACCCAGGACTGTGGCCAGCCCTGGGCTGATTTGTGGTTTGAGCAAACCACTGCCCTTCCCAGAGCCTCGCCTGTGAGACGGGGGTTGGCAGAAGTGAGCAGGGCAGCAGCTAGGGATTGAGCTGAACTGATGGCATCTCAGGCTCTTCCCAGCCTTAACAGCTCAAGATTTTGGGGCAATCTGGATTCCCACACCTGGTGAGAGAAGCAAATTAAGGAGATGACCTGGTCTTTGGAGTTCTCTTCCCTAAGAGGATAAACACCACAATATTGACAGTCCAGGCAACAAGGCCAAATTCAACCCAGAACAATGTTTTAGGTCACACCATCTCTCATCAATCCCTAATTGAACTGAAGGTATTTAACACCTTATCTGTCTTTTTTTTTTTTTGAGACGGAGTCTTGCTCTTGTTGCCTAGGTTGGAGTGCATTGGCACGATCTCGGCTCACTGCAACCTCTGCCTCCTGGGTTCCAGCAATTTTCCTGCCTCAGCCTCCCAAGTAGCTGGGATTACACGCTTCCACCACTGCGCCCGGCTAATTTTTTCTTTTTTTCTTTTTTTTTAGTAGAGATGGGGTTTCTCCATGTTGGCCAGGCTGGTCTTGAACTCCTGACCTTGTGATCCTCCCGCCTTGGCCTCCCAAAGTGCTAGGATTACAGGCATGAGCCACCGTGCCCAGCCTTATCTGCCATTTTTTATCTTCCATTCTAAACCAGTCCTTCTCAAACTGAAATGTGCATACAAATCACCTGTGAATCTTGTTAATATGGAAATAATCAATAGGTCTGAGGTGGGACCTGAAATTCTACAATTCTAACAACCTCCCAGCAGATGTCAGTGTTGCTGGTCCCCAGACCACTATTTAAATATCAAGGCTCAGCTGGGCACCGTGGCTCACGCCTGTAATCCCAACATTTTGGGTGACCAAGGCGGGAGGATTATTTGAGCCCAGGAGTTCCAGACCAGCCTAGGCAACATCAGTGAGACTCTGTCTCTACAAAAAACAAAAATTAGCCAGGTACAGTGGCATGTACCTGTGGTCTCAGCTACTCAGTAGGTGGGAGGATCCCCTGAGCCTAAGAGTTCGAGGCTGCAGTGAGCTGTGATCGCATCACTGCTCTCCAGTCTGGGCTACAGGGTAAGACCCTGCCTCGAAAGAAAAAAAAGTGACAAAGCAGCATCCCTTTGTCACAGAGAAAACCTGGAAACTCCATTGTACTTCACGGAATTGCTAAAAGACGACACCAGACCATATAGGCTGCCTTCCTATTAACTTTTCCTTTTTTTTTTGAGATGAAGTCTCACTCTGTCACCCAGGCTGGAGTGCAGTGGCTCGATCTCGGCTCACTGCAACCTCACCGCCTCCTGGGTCTAATCAATTCTCCTGCCTCAGCCTCCCGAGTAGCTGGGACCACAGGCAAGCGCCACTACGCCTGGCTAATTTTTGTACTTTTAGTAGAGATGGGGTATTGGCCAGGCTGATCTTGAACTCCTGACCTCAGGTGACCCACCCGCCTCGGCCTCCCATTGTGTTGGGATAACAGGCGTGAGCCACTGAGCCTGGGCCCTATTAACTTGTCTGTCACCTGTCATCTCCCTCTTGTCTTTCATTACTACTTGCTTGTTGTCTATCGTGTGTCCCCTCTACTGCAATGAAAATCCTTTGAAGGCAAGGGCACTGCTGGGTCCCTAGCTGCTGAGCACATATTTAAGGGCTAACTAAATATTTGTTGGATGAATGAACCTCAACATTTTGAGGTAGTAAGTAAAAAAGCAAGTGACAGAATGGTATGCAGGCTTTTTTTTTTTTAGAAGTCTTGCTCTGTCACCCAGGCTGGAGTGCAGTGGTGTGATCTCGGCTCACTGCAACTTCTACCTCCCAGGTTCAAGTGATTCTCCTGCCTCAGCCTCCAGAGTAGCCAGGATTACAGGCGTGTGCCACCACACCTGGCTAATTTTTGTATTTTTAGTAGAGATGGAGTTTTGCCATGTTGGCCAGGCTGGTCTCAAACTCCCAACCTCAAATGATCTGCCCACCTTGGCCTCCCAAATTGCTGGGATTTCAGGCATGAGTCACCGCACCCAGCCCCATTTGTGTTTTTTAAAAGTTTGAGGCCAGGTGTGGTGGTTCACACCATTAGTTCTTTGGGAGAACTGTTTGAGGCCAGGAGTTCGAGACCAGCAGCCTGGGGAACATAGTGAGGTCCTGACTGAAAAAGTTTTTTCTTTTTTTTTTTTTTTGAGACGGAGTTTCATTCTTGTTGCCCAGGCTGGAGTGCAGTGATGCGATCTCAGCTCACTGCAACCTCTGCCTTCCGGTGGTTTCAAGCGATTTTCCTGCCTCAGCCTCCCGAGTAGCTGGGACTACAGGCACACACCACCACGCCCAGCTAATTTTTTGTATTTTTAGTAGAGACGGGGTTTCACCATGTTGGTCAGGATGGTCTCGATCTCCTGACCTTGTGATCCGCTCACCTCGGCCTCCCAAAGTGCTGGAATTGCAGATGTGAGCTACCGCGCCTGGCCAAGTTTTTTTCTTAATTAAAAAGGGCCAGGTGTGGTGGCAGCAGCTACCATTTTTTAGTATGTACATGCATTTGCTTTGTTTTGTTATGCACAGTGCCTGGTCATAATATATTTTTTAAAGAATAATGCCAGTGTGGTGGCTCATAATGCCAGTGTGGTGGCTCACACCTGTAATCCCAGCACTTTGGGAGGCCAACATAAGTGGACTGCTTGAGATCAGGAGTTTAAGAACAGCGTGGGCAACATGGTGAAACCCTGTCTTTACAAAAAATACAAGAAGTTAGTTGGGTACAGGCGTGGTAGCTCACACCTATAATCCCAGCACTTTGGGAGGCTGAGGTGGGCGGATCACCTGAGGTCAAGAGTTCGAGACCAGCCTGACCTACCTGGAGAAACCCCGTCTCTACTAAAAAAAAAATACAAAATCAGCCGGGCATGGTGGTGCATGCCTATAGTCCCAGCTACTTGGGAGGCTGAGGCAGGAGAATCACTTGAACCTGGGAGGCGGAGGTTTTGGTGAGCCAAGATCACACCATTACACTCCAGCCTGGGCAACAAGAGCGAAACTCCGTCTCAAAAAAAAAAACAAAAACAACAACAAAAAAAAACTCCCTTAAGGTGATGCTCCTGCGGCCAGAGTTGAGAGCCTCTTTTTTCTTTTCTTTTTTTTTTTTTTTTGCTCTCTGTTGCCCAGGCTGGAGTGCAGTGGCACAATCTCAGCTCACTGCAAGCTCCGCCTCCTGCGTTCACGCCATTCTCTTGCCTCAACCTCCCGAGTAGCTGGGACTACAGGCACCCACCACCACACCCGGCTAATTTTTTGTATTTTTAGTAGAGACGGGGTTTCACCGTGTTAGCCAGGATGGTCTCGATCTCCTGACCTCGTGATCTGCCCGCCTCGGACTCCCAAAGTGCTGAGATTACAGGCATGAGCCACCGTGCCCAGCCTGAGATTCTGTTTTAAGATGGCTTTTGATTTATTTTGATGGAGGTAATGTATCAATTTTTTTCCTTTATGGTCTTTATTTATTTATTTATTTATTGAGGCGGGGTCTCATTCTGTCACCCAGGTTGGAGTGCAGTAGCGAGATTTCTGCTCAATCGATCCTCCCACCTCACCCTCCTGGGTAGCTGGGATCACAGGCACATGCCACCGCACCCAGCTAATTTTTTGTATTTTTGGTAGAGACAGGGTTTCATGTTGCTCAGGTGATCCTCCTGCCTTAGACTCCCAAAGTGCTGGGATTACAGGCATGAGCCATCAAGCCCGGCCTGCATTTCCTTTTATCTTAAGAAACTTCTCTTCGGTTGGGCGAGGTGGTTCATGCCTGTAATCCCAGCATTTGGGAGGTTGAGGCAGGCGGGTCACCTGAGGTCAGGAGTTGGAGACCAGCCTGGCCAACATGGTGAAACCCCGTCTTTACTAAAAATACAAAAATTAGCAGGGCAAGGTGGCGGGCGCCTGTAGTCTCGGCTACTCGGGAGGCTGAGGCAGGAGAATCACTTGAACGCAGCAGGCAGAGGTTGCAGTGAGCCGAGGAGACGCCACTGCACTCCAGCCTGGGTGACAGAGTGAGACTCCATCTCATAAAAAAAAAAAGAAACTTCTCTTGTCTGTTTGTGGCTCGTACCCATAATCCCAACACTTTGAGAGGCTAAGGCAGGCGGATCATCTGAGCCCAGGAGTTTGAGACCAGCCTGGGCAACATAGCAAGACTTCATCTCAGAAAAAATTAAAAATGAATAAGTAAATTGTTTAAAAAAAGAAAAAAAAAATTTTTTTTGAGACAGAGTATTGCTATGTCACCCAGACTGGAGTGCAGTGGCATAATCTCAGCTCACTGCAACCTCCACCTCCTGGCGTCAAGGGATTCTCCTGCCTCAGCCTCCCACGTAGCTGTGATTACAGGCATGTACCACCACACCCGGCTAATTTTTTTTTTTTTTTGCAGATCACAGAACTTTTATTTAGATGGAATCACTGCGAATTACATAGAAGCTACCAGCCTAAGCCAAAACCCACGAGGTTCATGTGAACTTACAGTTACACAAATAAGAAACAAATGGTACATCCGAAACCATAAGGAAATATTCTGATGCCCAGATGATGAAGGCTGGGGTGAATTAAGTCCACACATTTATTTCAAGTTGTTAAAGAGTTTGTGGGCCACGCAATGGTCCTTTGCATGCAAGAAGTCAAAGAGCTCCTCCGTGCAATCCTCTTCTGTATGTGATCGAGAGGATACATGCTCATCATAGAGCTCTAGCCGCTCCCGGGCCTTTACACATTTCTCCAACTGCTCGCATTGCTCTCTCACTGTTGTTAGGGGATCCACTAATTCCTCCTCTTCCTCTTCCTCCTCCTCAGGATCTCCGGATTCGGTAAGCATCTTTTGCTCGTCCTCCAGTCCCATGTCTGGCTACGGTTCTAGATTTAACACGAGCAGCAACAGCGGCACCTCAATTTTTGTATTTTTAGTAGAGATGGGGTTTCACCATGTTGGCCAGGCTGGTCTCAAACTCTTGGCCACAGGTGCTCCGCCACTGAAAGTGCTGGGATTACAGGTGTGAGCCACCGTTCCCGGCCAGAAACTTCTCTTTATCCTGAGCTCTTAACAATCATCTCCTATAATTTCCTGAAAGTATTAAAGTGTCACTTTCAGCTGGGCGAGGTGGCTCAAGCCTGTAGTCCCAGCACTTTGGGAGGCCGAGGAGGGCGGATCACTTGAATCCAGAAGTTCAAGATCAGGCTGGGCAACATGGTGAAACCGCATCTCTACCAAAAATACAAAAATTAGTCAGGTGTGGTGGTGGGCCCCTGTAGTCCCAGCTATTTGGGAGGCTGATGTGGGAGGATAGTTTGAGCCTGGGAGGCAGAGATCACAGTGAGCAGAGATCATGTCACTGTACTCCAGTCTGGGTGACAGAGAGAGACCCTGTCTTAAAATAAAATAAAATAAAAAATAAAGTGTTGCTTTCATATTTAATATCTTGACTTTTTTTTTTTTTTTGAGCTGGAGTCTCGCTCTGTCACCTGGCTGGAGAGCAGTGGTGCGATCTTGGCTCACTGCAACCTCTACCTCCCAGGTTCAAGCGATCCTCCTGTCTCAGCCTCCCAAGTTTGCTCACTAGTTCATCCTTTGCCCCCAGTCAGCAAAGTCATGTGTGTGGTGCCTCAAGTTTCCGTAGTGGTGTGGATCTGCAGTGGGGCTGCTTTTCCTGACCTATTGGCCAGGCTTACCTTTCTGTAATTAATTGTTTGTTTGTTTTTTGAGACAGAGTCTTGCTCTGTCACCCCGGCTGGAGTTTAGTGGCGTGTTCTCGGCTCACTGCAACCTCCACCTTCCAGACTCAAGCGATTCTTGTGCCTCACCCTTCCGAGTACCTGAGACTACAGGCATGCGCCACCACGCCCAGCTAATGTTTTGTATTTTTAGTAGATACAGGGTTTCACCATGTTTGACCAGGCTGGTCTCAAACTCCTGAGCTCAGGCAATCTGCCCGCCTTGGCCTCCCAAAGTGCCAGGATTACAGGCGTGAGGCACTGCACCTGGCCACCTTTCTGTAATTAATACTGATAGTTTGTGTAATACATTTTATTTTTCCATGGAAAACACGCACACACACACGCACGCACACTACTGTCAAGAAAAACTCTGAGGCTCATTCACCCAGATTTGTGATTGTTAACTGGTGTTAAAATGATGTCACCTGGAGGCTTTTTTGAATTTATCAGGACTCACACTTAATGCAAAAGGAAGAAAGCTCTCTCAGGTGAGACAGCCATGGAGTGGGAGGGTGCAGGAGGAGGCCAACATCATCAGCAAGGATCCCCTGCAAACATGCCGCCCAGGAGGCAAGGCCTGTTTGGCATGTAGACCAGTCCTAGTCCACAGGTAAACATTCCATGCACTGGGGCAGAGGGGACTTGAGGAATTTATTTACTTCTTTATTGGATGGAGGAGGGTGGTGAGGGAAGAATGGGAAGTATTTGGTTCACCCCTGCCATTTATCCTGGGATTCCTGGCATCTGAGGAATCTGCATCCATACTGATTTGTTGACTCTGATTCTTTCTGTTTTTGTTTTGTTTTGTTTTTGAGACAGAGTCTCACTCTGTTGCCCAGGCTGGAGTGCAGTGGCACGATCTCCGCTCACTGCAACCTCTGCCTCCCGGATTCAAGTGATTCTCCTACCTTAGCCTCCCGAGTAGCTGGAATTACAGGCATGCACCACCATGCCCGGCTAATTTTTGTATTTTTAGTAAAGACGGGGTTTTGCCATGTTGTCCAGGCTGGTCTGGAATTCCTGACCTCAAGTGATCCACCCGCCTCGGCCTCCCAAAGTGCTGGGATTATAGGCGTGAGCCACCGCACCTGACTGACCCTGATTCTTTCTCCAGGGCCAAAATCGGCCTTTGCACAACAGAGGGTTTTTTTAATTTAATTTTTTTTTTTTTGAGACAAGGTCTTGCTGTGTCACACAGGCTGGAGTGCAGTGGCACAATCATGGCTCAAGTGATCCTCCCACCTCGGTCTCCCGAGTAGCTGGGACTAGAGGTACATACCACCACACCTCGCTAATTAAAAGAAAATATTTTTAGCAACGGGGATCTCACTATGTTGTCCAGGCTGGTCTCAAACTCCTGGGATCAAGTGAACCTCCTATTTCAGCCTCTCAAAGTGCTGGGATCATAGTCATGAGCCACTGCACCTGGCTTGGTTTTTAGACACGTGACTGTTTAGTGAAAACACGGCACTAGGCTTTTTGAAGCTAAATGACCTGGGTTTGAATGCTAGCTTTGCCAACCTTAATGACTTAGTTTAAATCTCAGTTTCCTCCCTAATGTGAGGATAACACTGCCTGCATCAAAGAGTTCTAACAAGCTGAAGTATTGGAAAGGGCTTTGTTAGCTGCAATGCTCCTGCCAAATGTTCTTCATAGCCTTTCCTAAGAGGAGGAAAAAAGAGAGATTTAAGTTTTGTAATTTGGTTGCCCTAAATAACAATGGGCAAGAGCTAAATCACAAGGCATAAGTGGCAGTGGACACAAGTTCGTTGGAAACATTCCCCAACATTTTTAGCCAAAAAGTTGTTCAGTTCTCTGTGTTCTCCCTCTTCTGCAACCTACACCCAGCCAAGGGCTGACTCAGTTTTAAGGGAGAAGTAGCATGAATTCAACAACATTGCATTCAGCATCCTCTATTCCTGCACTGAGCCTCTATTCTTTAGGTAAGGAGAGCCCCAGAATGAGAGGTCTTCAAAAGATGAAATCAGAAGTTGTCAGAGGCTGGGTGTGGTGGCTAACACTTGTAATCCCAGCACTCTGGGAGGCTGAGGCAGGTGGATCACTTGAGCGCGGGAATTTGAGACCAGCTTGGGCAACACGGTGAAACCCTGTCTCTATGAAAAATACAAAAATTAGCTGGGTGTGGTGGCATGCACCTGTAGTCTCAGCTGCTCGGGAGGCTGAGGTGAGAGGATCGCTTGAGTAGGGGAAGCAGAGGTTGCAGTGAGCCAAGAGTGAGTCACTGCACTCCAGCCTGGGTGACATAGCAAGACCCTATTTCAAAAGAAAAAAAAAGTTATCAGAGATTCATAAAGGGGATTCAGACATTAGGTGAGAAGTTTGGATGAGATAAACACTAAAATCTCTTCGAACTCCAAAATTCTATACAAAAGAGTTCCTCTCAAAGTGTATCATCTAGTGGGGAAGATAAAACCTGAACAGGCCGGGCCCGGTGGCTCATGCCTGTAATCCCAGCACTTTGGGAGGCTGAGGCAGGCAGATCACGAGGTCAGGAGATCGAGACCATCCTGGCTAACACGGTGAAACCCCATCTCCACTAAAAATACAAAAAATTAGCCGAGTGTGGTAGCGGGTGCCTGTAGTGCCAGGTACTCTGGAGGCTGAGGCAGAAGAATGGCGTGAACCTGGGAGGCGGAGCTTGCAGTGAGCCGAGATCGTGCCACTGCACTCCAGCCTGGGTGACAGAGCGAGACTCCATCTCAAAAAAAAAAAAAAAAATGTCATATAGTGATAGAAATAGTCATAGGGTATCCAGATGAAACTCTGGCTGTACCTAAGGCATGAACACTCATCAGGGCAAGCCAGTGTGGTCTGGCTGGAAAAGGGATGCTATTGGGAGGTGACTAAGCTGAGAGTGGGGAGGCTGGGGAGATTCATTGTACTGAGTGCCTACTGCCAGATATTCTGGAGCTTTTATCCCAGTGGGAGATGCAGACAAAAACAGGTAAACAAGAGAATGCAGATAGAAGTAAGAAAAATAAGGCAAGGGAAAGAATGGAGGGGAGGGACACGTGAAACTAGTTGCAAGTGATATGAAGGAGCCTTCCGTGTGCAGAATTTGAGCATGGACCTTATGGGCAGAGGAAACAGCATAGATAAAGTCCTGAGGCGAGCGTAAGCATTGTGTATTTGAATAACCATTGCGAGGAACAGTGACTATTTTTCTACTAGATGAGATGTGTGGGTTTCTCCCATCTAGGCACTTCCTTGGAGCTGACTAGAGAACAGATACGGCTTTTTTTTTTTTTGAGACAGAGTCTCGCTCTGTTGCCCAGGCTGGAGTGCAGTGGCGCAATCTCGGCTCACTGCAACCTCCACTTCCCGGGTTCAAGCGATTCTCCTGCCTCAGCCTCCCGAGTAGCTGGGATTACAGGCACGCACCACCATGCCCGACTAATTTTTGTATTTTTTTTAGTAGAGATGGGGTTTCACCATGTTGGTCAGGCTAGTCTCGAACTCCTGACCTCAGGTGATCTGCCTGGCTCAGCCTCCCAAAGTGCTGGGATTACAGGCATGAGCCACCACGCCCGGCCACAGATATGGCTTTATAAGTCAGCCAGTGTGACTTGGGACAACTAAAGTTGGAAGGCTTCAGCCAGCTGTCATTAAAGGAAGGGTGGGCCCTTGGTCTGCAACTGCCAATTAAAGAGATTATAGGGTGACAGTGACAGCAACATTGCAACTGAAAGGGACAAGCAAAGCTTGCTAGTCAGTGTGAGCCTAGAGGTGGCTTAGAAGACAAAGGCGTCTCACATTATGCTCCCACTCACACACATACACCTTAGTTTTGTGAGGTGTGCAGGATAGTTTTCATCTTCATATTGCACCTGTGGAAACAGAAGTGAAATGACTTACTCAAGCCATATAGTAAGCAACCAGCTAGGCTAAGACCCAGTTTCCTCATCCCCAATCGACTGCTCTTCCCTTTATTTATTTATTTACAGACAGAGTCTCACTCTGTTGCCCAAGCTGGAGTGCAGTTCGAGGCTGCAATGAGCTATGATGGTGCCACTGCACTCCAGCCTGGGTGACACGCTACACTGGGCAACAGATCGAGAACCTATCTCTTACTAAAAAAAAAAAAAAAAAAAGGTAGAAAAAAGTCTGTTTGTGCCTTAACTCTATTCCACTCAAAATCTATGCCCAACTTGTCCTATTTTCTTTTCTTTTTTTTTTTTTTGAGGCAGCATCTTGCTCTGTCACCCAGGCTGGAGTGCAGTGGCACAATCTCAGCTCACTGCAAACTTTGCCTCCTGGGCTCAAGTGATGCTCCCAACTCAGCCATTCAAGTAGCCGGGACTATACCACCACAGCTAGCTAATTTTTTTTTTTTTTTTTTTTTTTGAGATAGGGTCTTGCTCTGTCGCTCAGGCTGGAGTGCAGTGGCACATTTTTGGCTCACTGCAACCAGTGGCACATTCTTGGCTCACTGCAACCTCTTGCTCTTGGGTTCAAGTGATACTCCTGCCAGCTAATTTTTGTATTTTTTACAGGCATGATCCACCGCACCTGGCCTGAGACTCCATCTCCACAAAAAAAAAAAAAAAAAAAAATTAGCCAGGCATGGAGTGGGCGCACCTCCTCGGGAGGATGAGGTAGGAGGATAGGTTGAGGCCAGGAGTTCAAGGCTGCAATGAGCTATGGTGGTGTCACTGCACTCCAGCCTGGGTGACAGAGCAAAATCTTGTCTCCAGAAATAAATAAATTAAAATAAAATTGCATAAGATTATATTCTAAGTAGGCCGGGCGCAGTGGCTCACACCAGTAATCCCAGCACTTTGGGAGAGTGAGGCGGGTGGATCACGAAGTCAGGAGATCAAGACCATCCTGGTTAACATGGTGAAATCCCGTCTCTACTAAAAATACAAAAAATTAGGCGGGCGTGGTGACCGCACCTGTAGTCCCAGCTACTCGGGAGGCCGAAGCAGGAGAATCGCTTGAAATGGGAGGCAGAGGTTGCAGTGAGCTGAGATTGTGCCACTGCACGCCAGCCTGGGCAACAGAGCGAGACGCTGTCTCAAAAAAAAAAAAGTTATATCGGAAGTACTGCCTGAAACTATTCAGTCCAGAAGTCAGAAGCTTTGGGCTTGGGCCAAATCTAGCATACTGCCTATTTTACTGATGGCCTGGGAACTAAGAATGGCTTTTATATCTTTTAAAAGGCTAAAAAAAAAAAATGACCGGCGCAGTGGCTCATGTCTGTAATCCCAACACTTTGGAAGTTCAAAGTGGGCGGATCACCTGAGGTCAGGAGTTCAAGACCAGCCTGACCAACATGGTGAAACCTCGTCTCTACCAAAAATACAAAAATTACCCAGGTGTGGCCAGGCGCGGTGGCACATGCCTGTAATCCCAGCACTTTGGGAGGCTGAGGCGGGTGGATCACGAGGTCAGGAGATCAAGACCATCCTGGCTAACACAGTGAAACCCCGTCTCTACTAAAAATACAAAAAATCAGCCGGGCGTGTTGGTGGGCGTCTGTAGTCCCAGCTACTTGGGAGGCTGAGGCAGGAGAATGGCGTGAACCCAGGAGGCGGAGCTTGCAGTGAGCCCAGATCGCACCACTGCACTCCAGCCTGGGTGACAGAGCGAGACTCTGTCTCAAAAAAAAAAAAAAAAAATTACCCAGGTATAGTGGCGTGCGCCTGTAATCCCAGTTATTCAGGAGGCTGAGGCAGGAGAATTGCTTGAACCCAGGAGGCAGAGGTTGCAGTGAGCCGAGATCATGCCACTACACTCTAGCCTGGGCAACAGAGTGATGTGGTCTCAAAAAAAAAAATCAAAATAATGTTGTGATTATTGTGAATAATTTGATTATGACAAGTAAAATTGTATGAAATTCAAAAATCTGTGTCCACACAAAAAAAGTTTTATTGGAATAATTTTTTATTTTTTATTTTTGGGAGACAGAGTCTTGCTCTGTTTCCCAGACTGGAGTGCAGTGGTGCAATCTTGGCTCACTGCTACCTCCGCCTCCCGGGTCAAGTGATTCTCCTGCCTCAGCCTCCTGAGTAGCTGGGATTACAGGCGCCTGCCACCAGGCCCGGCTAATTTTTGTATTTTTAGTAGAGATGGGGTTTCACTATCTTGGCCAGGCTGATCTTGAACTCCTGACCTTGTGATCCACCCACCTCGGCCTCCCAAAGTGTTGGGGTTACAGGCGTGAGCCACTGCGTCCGGTCTTTTTTTTTTTTGAGATAGAGTCTCACACTGTCACCTGGGCTGGAGTGCAATGGTGCGATCTCAGCTTACTGCAACCTCCACCTCCCAGGTTCATGTGATTCTCCTGCCTCAGCCTCCTGAGTAGCTGAGATTACAGGTGCACATCACCACATCCAGCTAATTTTTTGTTTTTTTAGTACAGATGGGGTTTCACTATGTTGGCCAGACTGGTCTCAAACTCCTGACCTCGCGATCCGCCCACCTCAGCCTCCCAAAGTGCTGAGATCACAGGCATGAGCCACCGCGCCTGACCTTTTTTTTTTTTTTTTTTTTTTTTTTTTTTTAAGACAGAGTCTCACTCTGTTGCCCAGGCTGGAGTGCAGTGGCACGATCTCGGCTCACCGCAACCTCCACCTCCCAGGTTCAAGCGATTCTGCTGCCTCAGCCTTCCGAGCAGCTGGGATTAGAGGTGTGTGCCCCCATGCCCGGCTAATTTTTGTATTTTTAGTAGAGACAGGGTTTCACCATGTTAGTTAGGCTGGTCTTGAACTCCTGACCTCAGGTGAGCCACTGGCCTCGGCCTCCCAAAGTGGGAATAAAACTTTTTCTCATTTGTTTATATATATATATTTTATGTCTGCATTGCACTCCAGTCTGGGCAACATGCGAGACTCCATCTCAAAATAAATAAATAATAAAAAATAAAATAAAAAAGCTTGCTGGCCCCTGGGCTGGACCAGTAGCTCCCCTTCTATTGATGGGAAATTTGAGGCACAGAGAAAATGAGTGGCCTAAGATCATACACAGAGTCAATGGCAGAAATAACTCTGGCTCCCTATTGGTGCTCTTTTCACTTCATTACCATATAAAAGCAGCTAAACAAAGGTTTCTCAGCTTCTCATGACAATGGCTACTTGGTCCTTTTATATGCCTCATCTCTGCTCATTCTCACTCTTGTCTAACCTAGGTTCTAGCAGCTGCACACAGATGCAGCTGTGACCTCGAGAGGGCAGCACTCGTTAAGATGACTCCAAAATACAATCTCTTATCTGAGACCCAAAAATAGAGTGAATATATCGTCCTGTCCTAACGAAAAAAAGAAAAATGCATTAGAAAGTGTCTCAACTGCTTCTGATGATGATATATATGCATTCACACCAGTGTAAATGTAAGAGGTTTTCCTTTTTTTTTTTTTTTTGACAAATTGTCAACAAAGGTGAATTCAAGCACAAACAATCCCCACATTTAGCTAGACTGGAAAGCACTGAGGCCACATCAGTGGCAAAGGCAAGACAGGCATTTGAGAGAACCACCCAGAGAAACTTTTTTTTTTTTTTTTTTTTGAGACAGAGTCTCGCTCTGTTGCCAGGCTGGAGTGCAGTGGCTCGATCTCTGCTCACTTCAACCAACCTCCGCCTCCCAGGTTCAAGCAATTCTCCTGCCTCAGCCTCCCAAGTAGCTGGAACTACAGGCACACGCCACCACGCCTGGCTAATTTTTTGTATTTTAGTAGGGACGAGTTTCACCATGTTGGCCAGGATGATCTCAATCTCCTGACCTCGTGATCTGCCTGCCTCGGCCTCCCAAAAGTGCTGGGATTACAGCTGTAAGCCACCATGCCCGGCCCCCAGAGATACTTTTAAGTGTTTCCTGAGCACTGGGGGAACATGAAGAGGGAGAAAATTAGATCTCAGAGAGCCCAAGGGACAGTTTTAAGTAGACTCGTGACCCAGGTTTGTCCTTTTCTGAGTAGACTAGAGGTTCCATCTCTTTATTCTGGGATGTCCAGTAATAAAATGGGGCTAGTAGGGCTTGCAAGCAATGAGGTATTTATGAAGTACAATTAATGTATGCAAAGGGCTTTGAGATCCTTCAGATTAAAAAGTGTCCTGTGCAGGTGCAAGATGGACTGGTGTTGCTGTGAGGGCAAATATATTTTGTGGGTGTTACCATTGTTGTTGAACAAGGCAGTGGGGGAAAAAGTAGTTAAGATTATGTGGCACGATCCTTCAACATGACCCAGAACTGGGCCATAGGAAACTTGTACAGACTATCACATCAGATGATGGAGAGAAACATCACTGAGAATGCATAAATCCCCGGAGGCAGAATGGTTAATTTCGTGAGGCACAGTCATGTCTAGACAAATCTGGTGGGGCTATTTAGAAAAACACATATGGTACTTCTGGCTTTACAAGGAAGGGGACCAAGTCACATTACTCAGCAAATATCTTTCCTTAGTCTGAACTTGGCTTCTAAGATTTTCTGAGAACTGAGCTTTTTTTTTTTCTTTTTTTTGAGATGAAGTTTCGCTCTTGTTGCCCAGGCTGGAGTGCAATGATGTGATCCCGGCTCACTGCAACCTCTGCCTCCCGGGTTCAAGCGATTCTCCTGCCTCAGGCTCCCAAGTAGCTGGGATTACAGGCGACCGCCACCACACCCAGCTAATCTTTTAAAAAATATATTTAGTAGAGACGGGGGTTCACCATGTTGGCCAGGCTGGTCTTGAACTTATGACCTCAGGTGATCCGCCTGCCTCTGCCTCCCAAAGTGCTGGGATTATAAGCGTGAGCCACCACGCCTGGCCTGAGCATTTTTTCTAAATAATCTTGAAAGGCCTGGTGCTGGGTTAATAGCAGGAACTAGGCTAGTAGCGTAATTAAACATCCCCATATTGCAACACTTAAACATATGGGAATCCCAATGAGTTCCTAATGTATAATTCCTAAATTTAATCCTAAATTGTTCCAATGAATCCTTTTATATGACCTTGGCTAATTATGTAATATCTTAATCTCCAGTGGTAATGATAAATGTGAAAATGATGGCGTGAGTTGATTCATTTCTCCTTGCAGATATTCTATCAGGACCAATGATAAGGGCTTCTAGAAATAAAACCTCAGCAGACAGGAAACTGCCTTCAAACTTCAGCAATCAAGAATATTACTTACTTTAGTCCCTGGAATGCATGAGACAATGGAAATGCACTGAATTAGATTTTTACAAAATTTTTATCAGCTAGAACTTTGGTTCAGATCACTCCTATAATATTCAGGAAGACCATACAGACTTATCATGAAAATGAATAGTTCAGTTTACTTGGGGTATGATTAGTTAGGAAGGAATTAAGAAATCCGTAGCAGAAATATCCATACATTTAAAAGTTAATTCTGGCCAGGCACAGTGGCTCACACCTGTAGCCCCAGGACTTTGGCAGGCTGAGGTGAGTAGATCACCAGAGGTCAGGGGTTCAAGCCAGCTTGGCCAACATAGTGAAACCCGTCTCTACTAAAAATACAAAAAAAATTAGCCAGGCGTGGTGGCGTGTGCCTGTAGTCCCAGCTACTCAAGGGGCTGAGGTGGGAGAATAGCTTGAACCCGGGAGGTGGAGGTTGTAGTGAGCTGAGATCATGCCACTGCACTCCAGCCTGGGCAACAGAGCGAGACTCCATCTCAAAAAAAAACAACTTAATTATGTTACACAGAAAAGTTACAACTCTAATGCTGCATTTGCTTTGGAAATTATAAGCTACCAAGAAGAAAGAAAAGAAAAAAGACGGCTAGGTGGGTGCAGTGGCTCTGACCTCAGCACTTTGGGATGCCAGGGCAGGTGGATTGCTTGAGCCCAGTAGTTTAAGACCAGCCTGGGCAACAGGGCAAAACCCCATCTCTACAAAAAATACAAAAACTAGCAGGGCAGCGTGGTGTGTGCCTCTAGTCCCAGCTACGTGGGAGGCTGAGGGGGGAAGATGGCTTGAGCTCAGGAGGTGAAGAGGTTGCAATGAGCTATGATCATGCCACTGTACTCCAGCCTGGGTGAGAGAGTGAGATCCTGTCTAAAAAAAAAAAGATAAAAATAAAAAGATGTAATATAACACTCACGTGCCCAGCATTATAAATGTAATTCGGGATTTAATTTATGACATAAAGCTAATTGACTTCACAGCTTTGTATGCTGTCTTTTTTGAACTCCTGGCCTCAAGCGATCCCCCCACTTTGGCCTCCCAAAGTGCTGGGGTGACAGGCATGAGCCACTGATCCTGGCCTTTTTATGCTTTTAACAGTTCTATAGGGCCAGGTGCAGTGGCTCACGCCTGTAATCCCAGCACTTTGGGAGGCCGAGAGGGGAGGATCATTTGAGGTCAGGAGTTTAAGACCAGCCTGGCCAAAATGGTTAAACCCTGTCTCTACTAAAAATACAAAAAAAATGAGCCGGGCGTGGTGGCGCACACCTGTAATCCCAGCTACTCAGGAGGGTGAGGCAGGAGAATCACTTGAACCCAGGAGGTGGAGGTTGCAGTGAGCCGAGATTGTGTCACTGTGCTCCAGCTTGGGTGACAGAGTGAGACTTTATCTCAAAAAACAAACAAACAAAAAAACAACACAGACAGTTCTGTAATACTATATGGTTTTATAGGGCAAAACTATTTTGTAAAATATTATTATACTCCATCCATGAATTTCAAAGCAGTTGACAGAATCATTAGAGTCTTGGTGTATTCCTCTATGCTTTTAAAAAAATCCATTTAAGAAATAAAAAAGCCGGGCATGGTGGCTCACGCCTGTAATCCCAGCACTTTGGGAGGCCGAGGCATGTGGATCACAAGGTCAGGAGATTGAGACCATCATGGCTAACACGGTGAAACCCCATCTCTACTAAAAATACAAAACATTAGCTGGGCATGGTGGTGGGCGCCTGTAGTCCCAGCTACTCGGGAGGCTGAGGCAGGAGAATGGTGTGAACCCGGGAGGCGGAGCTTGCAGTGAGCCAAGATTGTGCCACTGCACTCCAGCCTGGGCGACAGAGCGAGACTCTGTCTCAAAAACAAAAAAAAGAAAAGAAGTAAAAAAAGCCGGGCGTGGTGGCTCATGCCTGTAATCCCAGCACTTTGGGAGGCCGAGGCGAGCAGATCACGAGGTCAGGAGTTTGAGACCAGCCTGGCCAAGATAGTGAAACCCCATCTCTACTAAAAATACAAAAAATTAGCTGGGCGTGGTGGGGGGCATCTGTAATCCCAGCTACTTGGGAGGCTGAGGCAGAAGAATCGTTTGAATCCGGGAGGTGGAGGTTGCAGTGAGCTGAGATCACGCCACTGCACTCCAGCGCTGGCGACAGTGCGAGACTCTGTCACAAAAAAAAAAAAAAGAAGTAAAAAAACTCAGTGGACTTTATCCTCATATTAACATAAACAGTTTAAATAGTATTTCTCAGATTATAAAGCACGTTTACATCTATTATCTGATTTGATTGAATGTTCAAAACAATCCTGTGGGGTAGATGTGTTATATATACTTAATAGATTTAATAAATTTCTAAAATTAACTCAATGAATATTTGTCGAGCAACTACTGTTTGCCAGGCACTAGTCTAGAAGATGACCATTCAGACAAAAAGAAAACACACCAAGACCCTACAAAAATGTTTATGTAACTTGCCCAAGAACACAGAAGGTGAATCCAATCATTTTGACTGGTGTATTCTATCATTTTTTCTATCTTAATTTGGAAAAATGAAGCATAGATTTTTTTTTTTTTTTTGAGACGGAGTCTCGCTCTGTCGCCAAGGCTGGACTGCAATGGCGTGATCTCGGCTTACTGCGACCTCCACCTCCCAGGTTCAAGCAATTCTCCTTCCTCAGCCTCCTGAGTAGCTGAGACTACAGGCATGCGCCACCACGCCCAGCTAATTTTTGTATTTTTTTTTTTTTTTTGGTAGAGATGGGGTTTCACCATGTTGGCCAGGCTGGTCTTGAACTCCTGACCTCAGGTGATCCACCTGCTTTGGCCTCCCAAAGTGTTGGGATTACAGGCGTGAACCATGGTGCCCAGCCAGCATAGATAATTATCTTGACTCTGTCTCTTGGTAAATTTGTGGCATTTCTGGCATGGACTTGCTCAACCACATTTGCTTGCCAGCATCTGCCCCCATACATTCCATCCTCCAGTCCTCTACTAGCTGAACTATCGAAAGCCAGTTCCTTTGCTTATGCAGCCCTTCCCTCCTACTTCAGGGCTCAGGTCATCCTGTCAATTCTTTCCACTCTCCAACCCACATCCATTCCCTACTCCCAGACTGGGCAACACAGTGAGACCCTGTCTCTACAAAAAATTTTAAAATTAGCCGGGGGTGGTGGCATGCTCTTGTATTCACAGACACCTGGGAGGCTGAGGCAGAGAGGGGAGGATCCCTTGTACCCAGGAGTTAAAAGCTGCAGTGAGCCATGATCACATCACTGCTGGGTGACAGAGCAAGACCCTGTCTCAAAAAAAAAAAAAAAAAAAACTGAAAACATCCAGCATATTTGTACACAGGGTTTCAATGTCCCCAATATAATGGATACTGTACTTACTTGTTTATCTTCTTTTGAAAGGAGAGAGAAATCTTTCTTAAGGCCAGACACAGTGACTCACGCCTATAATTCCAGCACTTTGGGAGGATGAGGTGGGCAGATCACTTGAGGCCAGGAGTTCGAGACCAGCCGGGCCAACATGGCGAAACCCTGTCTCTACTAAAAATACAAAAATTAGCCAGGCATCCTGGCATGTGCCTGTAGTCCCAGCTACTCGGGAGACTGAGGCAGGAGAGTCACTTGAAAGCAGGAGGCACGGGACACGGTGGCTCATGCCTGTAATCCCAGCACTTTGGGAGGCCGAGGCAGGTGGATCATGAGGTCAAGAGATCGAGACCATCCTGGACAACATGGTGAAACCCGTCTCTACTAAAAATACAAAAATTAGCTGGGCGTAGTGGTGTGCACTTGTAGTCCCAGCTACTTAGGAGGCTGAGGCAGGAGAATCGCTTGAACTTGGGAGGCGGAGGTTGCAGTGGACCAAGATCGTGCCACTGCACTCCAGCTTGGTGACAGAGGGAGACTCCATCTCAAAAAAAAAAAAAAGAAAGAAACTAGGAAGCAGAGGTTGAAGTGAGCTGAGATTGTGCCACTGCACTCCAGACTGAGCGACAGAGCGAGACTCCATCTCAAAAAAACCCCAAAACTAACTTTCTTTTTCTTTTTCTTTTTTCTGAGACAGAGTCTCGCTCTGGCGCCCAGGCTGGAGTGCAGTGGTGCGATCTCGGCTCACTGCAAGCTCCGCCTCCCGGGTTCACGCCATTCTCCCTCCTCAGCCTCCCGAGTAGCTGGGACTACAGGGGCCCGCCACCACGCCCAGCTAATTTTTTGTATTTTTAGTAGAGACGGGGTTTCACCATTCACAGAATGGTCTCAATCTCCTGACCTCGTGATCTGCCCACCTCGGCCTCCCAAAGTGCTGGGATTACAGGCGTGAGCCACCGCGCCCGGCCAAAACTTTCTTAAAATTTAATACTCTCCAGGAAGTAGAATTTTCATGACATATACTCTACATGTAACTAATGCATTAATACCATCAGAAATACATCTAAACTAGTTTGTTAAAGAAATGATCTTTTCCGGGCCGGGCGTGGTGGCTCACGCCTGTAATCCCAGCACTTTGGAAGGCCGAGGCGGGTGGATCACGAGGTCAGGAGATCGAGACTATCCTGGGTAACACGGTGAAACCCCGTCTCTACTAAAAATACAAAAAAATTAGCCGGGCCTAGTGGCGGGCGCCTGTAATCCCAGCTACTCCGGAGGCTGAGGCAGGAGAATGGCGTGGACCCGGGAGGCGGAGCTTGCAGTGAGCCGAGATCACACCACTGCACTCTGTGACCTGGGCGACAGAGCGAGACTCCGTCTCAAAAAAAAAAAAAGAAAAGAAATGATTTTTCCTCAGCTGTATTTTAAGTTCCACATCAGTGATTCTTAGGAGGAGTGAGAAAGGTCCCACGAAGTAGGTAATTCAAGGGATATCTCAGAATCCCTCGAAATCCTGATATTCCATTTCAGAAGACAGCTTTCCTCAACCACCCCCAATTTCTCCCTGTCCCCCAGGCTGGAGTGCAGTGGTGTGATCTTAGCTCACTGCAACATCTGCCTCCCAATGCCCCAAAATTGAATCCAATCCCTCAATCACTACCAGTATAAATCAATGTAAATGACAGAAGTATAGTGTGTGCTAGGACAAAGGAAAAACAGGTGAAGACCTTATTCTACATAAGCTGGAGAGCAACATTTCATAAATAATTAGAAAATGTACACTTAACCATATACTACTGCTAGGCTTCATCCAAAGTGACAAATATCAAAAAATAAAAAATTGTGGGCTGGGCGCAGTGGCTCACGCCAGTAATTCCAGCACTTTAGGAGGCCAAGGCGGGCAGATCACCTGAGGTCAGGAGTTCCAGACCAGCCTGGCCAACATGGTGAAACCCCACCTCTACCAAAAATACAAAAATTAGCTGGGTGTGGTGGCACATGCTTATAGTCCAAGCTACTTGGGAGGCTGAGGCAGGAGAATGGCTTGAACCCTAGAGGTTGAGGCTGCAGTGAGCCAAGATCACACCATCACCCTCCGGCCTGGGCGACAGAGTGACAAGACTCCATCTCAAAAAAAAAAAAAAAAAAAAAATTGTTGGCTGGGCACGGTGGCTCACATCTGTAATCCCTACACTTTGGGAGGCTGAGGCAGGGGGATCACCTGAGGTCAGGAGTTCGAGACCAGCCTGACCAACATGGAGAAACCCCATCTCTACTAAAAATACAAAATTAGCCCAGCGTGATGGCGCATGCCTGTAATCCCAGCTATTCAGGAAGCTGAGGCAGGAGAATTGCTTGAATCCTGGAGGTGGAGGTTTCAGTTAGCAGAGATCGTGCCATTGCACTCCTGCCTGGTCAACAAGAGTGAAACTCCATCTCAAAAAAAAAAAAAAAAAAAAAAGCTTCAATAGCTATTAGGCATAAATGTTGCAGGATAAAATATACATGATACTTTATATCTGTATTTAATCACATGTTCCAATAAAGAATGATAAAGTAATACATTGAAAATACAAATTGGCCAAGCACAGTGACTCACGCCTGTAATCCTAGCACTTTGGGAGGCCCAGGTGAGTGGATCATCTGATCTCAGAAGTTGGAGACCAGCCTGGGCAACATGGAGAAGCCCCATCTCTATCAAAAATACAAAATATTAGCCGGGTGTAGTGGCATCACCTGTAGTCCCAGCTACTCAGGAGGCTGAGCCGGATGATTAAAAAAAGAAAATACACATTTTGACTTGTTTTTTTTTTTTTTTTTTTTTTTGAGTGGGAGTTTCACTTTTGTTTTCCAAGCTGGAGTGCAATGGTGTGGTCTCTGTTCATTGCAACCTCTGCCTCCTGGGTTCAAGCAATTCTCCTGCCTTAGCCTCCGGAGCAGCTGGGATTACAGGGGCGTGCCACCATACCCAGGAAATTTTTTGTGTTTTTAGTAGAGATGGGGTTTCACTATGTTGGCCAGGCTGGCCCTGAACTCCTGACCTCAGGTTATCCACCTGCCTTGGCCTCCCAAAGTGCTGGGATTACAGGGGTAAGCCACCGAGCCTGGACTTGACTTTTGATTATATTTATCAGTACATAGAATTCTGAAGGTGAGCTGGGTTGGGTGGCTCATGCCTCTAATTCCAGCACTTTGGAAGCCCGAGGCAGGCAGATCACTGGAGGTCAGAAGCTCGAGACCAGCCTGGCCAACATGGCAAAACCCCTTCTCTACTAAAAAACACAAAAATGAGGCTGGACGCGGTGGCTCACGCCTATAATCCCAGCACTTTGGAGGCTGAGGTGGGCGGATCACGAGGTCAGGAGATAGAGACCATCTTGGCCGACATGGTGAAACCCTGTCTCTACTAAAAATACAAAAATTACTTGGGCGCAGTGGCACGTGCTGGTAATCCCAGCTACTCAGAAGACTGAGGCAGGAGAATCGCTTGAACCTGGGAGGTGGAGGTGGCAGTGGGCCGAGATCACGCCACTGCACTCCAGCCTGGTGACAGAGCTAGACTGTGTCTCAAAAAAAAAAAAAAAAAATTAGCCGCCTGTGGTGGCGCATGCCTGTAATCCCAGCTACTTGGGAGGCTGAGGCAGAAGATTGCTTGAACCTGGGAGGCTGCAGCTATAATAAGCCGAGATTGCACCACTGCACTCCAGCCTGGGTGACAGAGGAAGACTCCGTCTCAAAAAAAAAAAATTTATGAAATTCTGAAGGTGGAGCTTGACCCCAAAGTGATATATCTGTTTTCCTTTTTTTCTTTTTTTTTTGAGACGGAGTCTCACTCTGTCACCCAGGCTGGAGTGCAGTGGCACGATTTCAGCTCACTGCAACCTCCACCTCCTGGGTTCAAGTGATTCTCCTGCCTTAGCCCCACGAGTAGCTGGGATTACAGGCATGAGCTACCACGCCCAGCTAATTTTGTATTTTTAGTAGAGACGGGGTTTCTCCATGTTGGTCAGGCTAGTCTTGAATTCCAGACCTCAGGTGATCTGCCTGCCTCAGCCTCCCAAAGTGCTAGGATTACAGGCATGAGCCACCGCGACCAACCTTAATATTTGTATTTTATTAGAGATGGGGTTTCACCGGGTTGGCCAAGCTGGTCTTGAACTCCTGACCTCAGGCAATCCACCCATCTCGGCCTCCCAAAGTGCTGGGATTACAGGTGTGAGCCACCGTGCCCAACCCACGTTTTCAAATTAAGCACGTAGACAATCTTTTTATTTCACTGTTGTTCACTGGGATGTGGTAGAACTAGAGCAGGGTCCAATATGGGGGAAGAAAGTCTTTTAAAAAGAAAATTATGGCTGGGTGCGGTGGCTCACGCCTGTAATCCCAGCACTTTGGAAGGCCAAGGCAGGTGGGTCATGAGGTCAGGAATTCGAGACCAGCCTGGACAACATGGTGAAACCCCGTCTCTACTAAAAATACAACAATTAAGCGGGTGTGGTGGCACATGCCTGTAATCCCAGCTACTCAGGAGGCTGAGGCAGGGGAACCACTTGAACCTGGGAGGCAGAGGTTGCAGTGAGCAGAGATCAGGCCACTGCACTCCAGCCTGGGTGACAGAGCGTGACTCTGTCTCAAAAAAAAAAAAAAAAAGTAAAGAAAAATACAGCCGGGCACAGTGGCTCACGCCTGTAATCCTAGTACTTTGGGAGACAGAGGCAGCAGGATCTTTTGAGCTGGAGTTCTCCCAGCCAAGAAATAATTTATTATTCATGTTATCATGGAGCAGATATGAGGGTAGAAGGAGACCACATCCTGGGAGTGTAACAATTCCTCCAGAAGCCCTAAGGTTTTGAGTTCCCTCTTGCTGCACTGACCCAGGAACTTCCTAAAACAGAAGGTACTTTCCAACATCACAGTCTCTGGCATCTTCCCCTCTAAGCCTCACTGTCAGACTTTTCCAAAGGTCATACTTACTGTTTTTTTTTTTTTTTTCTTCAATCCATTCCAATCAAGCTTTTGCCTCCTACTCCACCCAGACAGCTTGTGTCAAGGTCACCCATGACTTCCACTTATTCATACAACACTCAATTTTCATGCCTCAGCTTAATCTCTCAGCAGCATTTCATAGTTGACCATTCCCTTCACTTTTTTTTTTTTTTTTTTTTGAGACCGAGTCTTACTCTGTCATCCAGGCTGGAGTGAAGTGGTGCGATCTCGGCTCACTGCAACCTCCGCCTCCCGGGTTCAAGCAATTCTCCTGCTTCAGCCTGTCGAGCCAGCATTCCTGTGCGTCACCATTCCCGGCTAATTTTTGTATTTTTACTAGAGACGGGGTTTCACTATGTTAGTCAGGCTGGTCTCGAACTCTTGACCTCGTGATCTGCCCGCCTCGGCCTCCCAAAGTGCTGGGATTACAGGCGTTAGCCACCGAGCCCTGCCCAAGCCGAGCTAATTTTTTTTTTTTTTTTTTTGAGATGGAGTTTCACTCTTGTTGCACAGGCTGGAGTGCAATGGCACAATCTCAGCTCACCGCAACCTCTGCCTTCCAGGTTCAAGCGATTCTCCTGCCTCAGCCTCCCAAGTAGCTGGGATTACAGGCATGCGCCACCACAACCAGCTAATTTTGTATTTTCAGTAGAGAGGGGTTTCTCCATGTTGGTCAGGCTGGTCTCGAACTCCCAGCCTCAGGTGATCTGCCCGCCTGAGCCTCCAAAAGTGCCGGGATTACAGGCATGAGCCATCACACCTGGCCAATTTTTGTGTTTTTTTAGTAGAGTTAGGGTTTCATCACATTGGCCAGCTGGTCTCGAACTCCTGACCTCAAGTGATATGCCTGCCTCGGCTTCCCACAGTGCTGGGATTACAGGTGTGAGCCACCCTGCCAGGCCACCTGCTCCACTTTCTTGACTTCCTGGACACCACCCTTTCCTGGTTATCCTCCGACCTAACTGGTTGTTCCTTCTCATCCTGCTTTGCAAACCTTCTTCTCAGACCTTTTAACAGTGGAGTGCTTCAGGGCTTCCTTTATCCTATTTCCTTCTATATTTATGTTAGTGATCTCATCCGGTTTGAGGCTTTTAAATGCTAGCTATATATAGGATAACTCTCTCACACACAAATATACATAATATACAAAAAGGGCATATATAAAAATATACATCTCCAGAACTTCCTCCTAAATCAAGACCCATATATCCAATAGCCCACCAGCGTCTCCCTTTGATATCTAATAAACACCTCAAATTGAACATGCCCAAACTGAACTTCTGCTCTTCCCCTGCAGAACTGCTCTATCCAGTCCTCCTTCATTACAACTCTTTTAGTTGCCCAGGTCAAAAAATGTTTTGGCTCATCCTTGCCTCCTCTTTTTATCAATCCCAGGTTCAACCTACCAGAAAGTCTGCTTGGATTTACTGTTAAAATATATCCAGGGCCCGGTGGCTCACACCTGTAATCCCAGCACTTTGGGAGGTCAGGAATTTGAGACCTGCTTGACCAACACGGTGAAACCCCATCTCTACTAAAAAATACAAAAAATTAGCCAGGCGTGGCGGCACATGCCTGTAATCACAGCTACTTGGGAGGCTGAGACAGGAGAATCGCTTGAACCCGGGAGGTGGAGGTTGCAGTGAGCCATGATGTCGCCCACACTGGGCGACAAGAGTGACACGCCATCTCAAAAAAAAAAAAATTAGCCAGGCAGTAGTAGCACACACCTGTTGTCCCAGCTACTCAGGAGGCTGAGGCACCTGGAAGGCGGAGGTTGCAGTGAGCCGAGATTGCACTACTGCACTCCAGTCTCGGCGACAGAGTGAGACCCTGTTTCAAACAAACAAACAAACAAAAAAAACGGCCAGGCGCGGTGGCTCATGCCTGTAATCCCTGTACTTTGGGAGGCTGAGACAGGCAGATCACGTGAGGTCAGGAGTTCGAGACCAGCCTGGCCAATATGGTGAAACCCCGTCTCTACTAAAAATACAAAAATTAGCTAGGCGTGGTGGTAGATGCCTGTAATCCCAGCTACTTGGGAGTCTGGGGCAGAATAGCTTGAACCTGGGAGGCGGAGGTTGCAGTGAGCCGAGATCGCACCACTGCACTCCAGCCTGGGCGACAGAGTGTGACTCCGTCTCAAACAAAAAAACAAAACAAAACAAACAAAAAAACACACTCACTCTAGTCCACGCCCGCAGCCATGCCGACCAAGGGCCCGCTGCAGTCGGTGCAGGTCTTCGGACGCAAGAAGACAGCCACAGCTGTGGCGCACTGCAAACGCGGCAATGGTCTCATCAAGGTGAACGGGTGGCCCCTGGAGATGATTGAGCTGCGCATGCTACAATACAAGCTGCTGGAGCCAGTTCTGCTTCTCGGCAAGGAGCGGTTTGCTGGTGTGGACATCTGTGTCCGTATGAAGGGTGGTGGTCACGTGGCCCAGATTTATGCTATCCATCAGTCCATCTCCAAAGCCCTGGTGGCCTACTACCAGAAATATGTGGATGAGGCTTCCAAGAAGGAGATCAAAGACATCCTCATCCAGTATGACCAGACCCTGCTGGTAGCTGATCCTCGTTGCCGGGAGTCCAAAAAGTTTGGAGGCCCTGGTGCCCATGCTCGCTACCAGAAATCCTACCGATAAGCCCATCATGACTATCAAAATTCACCTGTATAATAAACAGTTTTTGAGGGATTTTAAAGTTAAAAAACAAAACAAAACAAAAAACACAAAAATTAGCCAGGTGTGGTGGCATGTGCCTGTAATCCTAGTTACCCAGGAGGCTGAAGCAGGAGAATCGCTGGAACCCAGGAGGCAGAGGCTGCAGTGAGCCGAGATCATGCCACTGCACTCCAGCCTGGGTGACAGAGCAAGACTCCATCTGAAAAAAAAAAATCTCTCTCTCTCTCTATATGTATCTCCAGGATATATTTTGGTCATTAAAGCCACCCTCCCCTTCACTTGGATTACTGATATGGCCGATTCATTTGGCTCCTGCTTCTACCCTGGGCCTCTTTTTTTTTTTTTTTTTTTTTTGAGACGGACTTTCGCTCTGTTGCCCAGGCTGGAGTGCAATGGCGCAATCTCGGCTCATCGCAAGCTCTGCCTCCAGGGTTCACCCATTCTCCCACCTCAGCCTCCGGAGTAGCTGGGACTACAGGCCCCCTCCACCACGCCCGGCTAATTTTGTTTTTGTATTTTTAGTAGAGACGGGGTTTCACCCTGTTAGCCAGGAGGGTCTCGATCTCCTGACCTCGTGATCCGCCCACCTCGGCCTCTCAAAGTGTTGGTATTACAGGGCCCAGGGCCTCTTATTTTCAATACTTTGGGCAATCCTTCTAAAACCTGTCATATCATTAAAAGCCATAAAAACCTATTACAGTTTACCAGGTTCTACAGATCTGCCCCACACACTCCTCTGACTCTTTGACATTCATCCTATACCCCCGTCTTGACCATTCTATTTTTTTTGAGACAGGGTCTCACTGTCACCCAGGCTGGAGTGCAGTGGCTCAATCAAGGCTCACTGCAGCCTCGACTCACTTCCCAGGCTCAGGCAATTCTCCCACCCAAGTAGTTGGGACCACAGGTGCACGCCACCATGCCTGGATAACTTTTATATTTTTTGTAGAGACGAGGTTTCACCATGTTCCCAGGTGGGAGTGCAGTGGTGCAATCATAGCTCACTGTAACCTCAAACTCCCAGGCACAAGCAATCCTCCTGCCTCAGCATCCCAAGTAGCTGGGACTAAAGGCGCACAACACCACGCCCAGGTAATTGTAACATGCTGTAGAGACCAGTCTCGCTATGTTGCACAGGTTGACCTGGAACTCCTAGCCTCAAGCAATCTTCTCACCTCTGCCTCCCAAAGTGCTGGGATTACAGGCATGAGCCACCACGCCCAGCTATGACCATCCTATTTCAACCACACTGATTTCCTTCCTCTATTTCATATGTGCCAGTCATGCTTGCTCCTCCCTGAAGGTGTTTTCATTTACGATTCCCTTTGCAGTCTCTTCCCTAGATATCCACGATTTGCTCCCTTAGCTCCTGCAAATCTTCATTCATAAATTATCTCTTTGTTGGGGCGCCATGTCACACACCTGTAATCCTAGCACTTTGGGGAGATGAAGCGGGAAGATAACTTGAGCCAAAGAGTTAGAGGCTGCAGTGAACTAGCATTACACCACTGCATTTCAGTCTGGGTGACGGCGAGACCCTTTCTCTAAAAAAGTACAAATAAAAGTAAAACCATCTCCTTCTTGAGGCCTATCCTAACCACCTCATTTAAAATTGCAAGACTTGCTTCATCTCTATTATCCTTCACTGTATTTTCACTATAGCACTTGCCACTTTTATTATTTAATTTCCTTATTGTCTGTCTCCCTTCTCCTCCACCAGGGGTAAGCTCCATGAGAACAGGGATCTTTGCTTTGTTTTTATTCAGTGATGTACCTAAACACCGGTGACAGGCTCTGGCACATTGTTTGATGCTCAAAAATTGTTAAACAAGTAAATTAAAATCCTGAGTTTTCAGAGTCTTTTTGATATATTGTCTAACTAGGCCACTATACCATGATGCCAACATGATAAATCTACAGGTTTCATATAATCTGCACACTTGTCAGGATAGAATTTTGCTTTGGGGATGACCATTTTGTACTCTGGCAGGACAAACAAATGTTGGATGTCTCAGGGGCTTTGTTTACTTTTATAGATGTGTTTCTATTTTTCTTCTTCTTTTGAGACGGCGTCTCGCTCTGTCGCCCAGGCTGGAGTGCAGTGGCATCATCTTGGTTCACTGCAATCTCCGCCCTCCCTGGTTCAAGCGATTCTCCTGCCTCAGCCTCCGGGACTATAGGCGCGTGCCAGCACGCCTGACTAATTTTTATGTTTTTTAGTAGAGACGGGGTTTCACCATGTTGGTCAGACTGGTCTGGATTTCCTGACTTCGTGATCTGCCCGCCTCGGCCTCCCAAAGTGCCGGGATTACAGGCATGTGCCAGCGTGCCTGGCCATGTTTCTATTTTTCTAAGTATACTGTTGCTGCAAGGATTTGTTCCTTGAACTCCAATACTTCTGAAGTACAGGGAAGCATTTTATAACCAACTCTCTGAACGTTTTGCCTCAAAGGAGAAAAAATTATTACACCGTGTGGGAGTGCTAACTGCAGCCAAAAATATTTTGAAGGACTTCCCATATTACTAAAGTCTCTAAAGAACCTCATTTATCTTTACTAGGAAAAAGTTATTGCTGTTTTAAATTCTCTTCTATTCCAGAATTTGCCTTGAGAAGCTGTTCTTTCCTTGAACAATGGATTAAAAAAAAAAAAAAAAAGAACAAATCCAAAGGCATGGGCAAAAGGGGCCTAGTCCACACCATTTACTTTTTTTTTTTTTTTTTTTTTTGAGACAGAGTCTCGCTCTGTCGCCCAGGCTGGAGTGCAGTGGCACGATCTCGGCTCACTGCAAGCTCCGGCTCCCAGGTTCACGCCATTCTCCTGCCTTAGCCTCCCGAGTAGCTGGGACTACAGGCGCCCACCACCACACCCGGCTAATTTTTTTTTTTAATTTTTAGTAGAGACGGGGTTTCACCGTGTTAGCCAGGATGGTCTCGATCTCTGACCTCGAGATCTGCCTGCCTCGGCCTCCCAAAGTGCTGGGATTACAGGCGTTGAGCCACTGCACCCAGCCCAGCCCACACCATTTCTATACTGCCTTGACTGTCTTAAGAATCTGGGTGTAATCAAAGTTTTGGTTAACATCTACCCTCTTTTAGGGAACACAAATGTGGTACAAATTAATTCAGACACCTCAGTTTTAGAGTAAGAAAGAAAAACTACATGAACAATGAATTGGCAATTCTGGAATTCACTAGTCTGGTCTAGCTTGACAAACACAAATGAGATACAGGACTACATAAACAAAGGCCTTTTCACCTCTAGGGCAGATCATGAAATTGTGGTGATTCAAAATCTGTTTATTTGAACATGGTTCTCTGCATATTTAAAGTTCACTAGTTCCAACAGTGTTTGGGTTTTTTCGGTTTAGGAAGCTGGAAAAAGTCTTAAGGTCGATATGAGGATGGGGGAGGAGGTTAGCTCTGGATTTCTGTTTAACTGTTTTGCAAATGTACGCCATTGGTCATAAGGGAGATGTTAACTGTGCAAACACCACCCACTCTTTTTTTTTTTTTTTTTTTTGAGACAAGAGTTTCGCTCTTCTTGCCCAGACTGGAGTACAATGGCGCGACCTCGGCTTACCGCAACCTCTGCCTCCCAGGGTCAAGAAATTCTCCTGCCTCAGGCTCCGGAGTAGCTGGGATTACAGGCATGCACCACCACGCCTGGCTAATTTTCTATTTTTAGTAGAGACGGGTTTCTCCATGTTGAGGCTGGTCTCCAACTCCTGACCTCAGGTGATCCGCCTGCCTCGGCCTCCCAAAGTGCTGGGATTACAGTCGTGAGCCACCGCGCCCAGCCACCACCCACTCTTTAAGAAAATACAAATCAACGCCATTTTTTGTACAATAAAAGTATGTGCTTTCTGTGTTAAATGTAATGGTTAAAGGTATAAAGCATCTGTTTTGGGCTCTGTCGCCCAGGCTGGAGTGCAGTGGCACGATCTCGGCTCACTGCAAGCACCGCCTCCCGGGGTTCATGCCATTCTCCTGCCTCAGCCTCCCGAGTAGCTGGGACTACAGGCGCCCGCCCCCAAGCCCGGCTAATTTTTGTATTTTTTTTTTTAGTAGAGACAGGGTTTCACCGTGTTAGCCAGGATGGGCTCGATCTCCTGACCTCGTGATCCGCCCGCCTTGGCTTCCCAAAGGGCTGGGATTACAGGCGTGAGCCACTGCGCCTGGCCCAAAGTATGTGTTTTATAAATAAAAATGAACCCCAGGAATTAGGAGTGTTTAAACAGACCCTTCTAGTCTGTTCAAGTGCTGGGCAATCATTCTTCGAATCTAAACTGCCCAGCTAATTAGAGCCATAATAATTTACCTGAGTTATCAGGCTACTGTAACAGATTCCAAATTTCCACTAAAACTAATAGTTTTACACTATTTCATTTTCATTGTGCAGACAAAAAAGAAAAAAAACACAGCATTTAAAAAAAAATTCTGTAAGCTCTCACCGCCAAAAGGAAGGATAGGCCAGGCGCGGTGACTCACGCCTGTAAGCTCAACACTTTGAGAGGATCTCTTGAGCCTAGACGCTCAAGACCAGCCGGGGCAACATGGTGAAACCGTCACTACAAAAGGTTAACTTAGCCCAGCGCCAGGCACGGTGGCTTATGCCTGAAATCCCAGCACTTTGGGAGGTCGAGGCGGACGGATCACTTGGTCAGGAGATGGAGACCATGCTGGCCAACATGGTGAAACCCCATCTCTACTAAAAATACAAAAATTCGCCGGGCGTGCTGAGGCGTGCCTGTAGTCCCAGCTACTCCCCGAGGCGGAAGTTGCAGTGAGCCAAGATCCACTGCACTCAAGCCTGGGTGACAGAGCGAGCCTCCTTCAAAAAAAAAAAAAAAAAAAAAAAAAAAAGCCCAGCGTGGTGATTCGCGCCTATTCTCAGCTATTCAGGAGGCTGAGGTGGGAGGATAACCTGAGTCCAGGGAGGTCGAGGCTGCAGTGAGCTGTGATTTCGTTACTGCAAAAAACAGAGACCTTGTCTTAAAAAAAAAAAAAAAAAAAGGATAGTTGATGTCAAAAGATACGGTATAAAAATTTAAAGCTCTATGCAGTGCTTTTGGTCATAATGAAACTAAATTATTTGGAATCCAAAAGCCTCTTCTCAGATATTTCTTTCATCTGGAAGCCATCAAATCCTGATCGATTCCTTCAACAGATGTTCTTTTACCTTTTCATCCTATCATTATGAGCTTTACCTCCTGTTACTGAAATAACTCCCTATAATTATACATAGTAAGAATATAAAGGGCTGGCTCTTCTATGTACTCACGCTGTGAAGAAAAACTTAAAAAAAATTAAACAAAAAAACCTTGTACGAAAGCAAAGGAAGAAGACAAATTTAGCAGCAGTTCTCTTGAATTTCCTGGCTTTGTTGATTTCGAACCACAAGGTTAACATTAAAACACAAAGACTCACATTTAAATATTTCTTTTGAAATCAGAAAAACAATAGCTCTTTGAAATGACGCTGGAACGCACACAATAGATTCTACTGGGTCAATGTATTATTTATATACTCATCTGAACTTTCAAAAGAAGTTAAATGGGAGATATTCTCAACAGGCAAAAATAAGATATTCCAATCTATTGTTCAAGTTTATGGCTCCGATATAAATAATGGGCTATAAACCCGTATCTGGAAAACAGTTGCGCAGTGCGTGCTTAATGGCCAGCCAATGAAAACCAACGTCTCATTCTACTCCGTCTTTCAGCACGTCAAGGACATCCCACTCCGCCTTTTTTTTTTTTTCTTTTTAAAGAGGCCAACCGCTGGGGACACCTGGTTTTGGCACCTTTATGAGGCCTCCCAGCAGCACAGGAGCTCTAAGGGGCACGCTCTGCAGTTGAGCTATTTGCAGAGCTCCATGATCGCTCAAAGCCGAGCACGCGCACGGGTTTGCTACTGGCACCAGCACAAGGCTTTAGACAGGCACTTCCCACGGCTGAGTTCTAGGCATCCCCTTTTTGAAACGTGTTCTCTCCACCCTGCAAGGGTGGGGTGAGAAATCTCACTTTCGAAGGGCTTGCAAGGAGGAAGAGAGTCGGCGCCTTGCGGATTCCCCGGCCGCGCTTCAAGGTTCACACGCCGCGTGGCAGCTCGGATGCAGCCCGGTTCCGAGGCGGTCGGCGGTCGAGACTGGGGCCTCGAGCCGAGAAGCGAAGAACAAAGCGGCCGCGTTAGCCCGCCGCCCCGAGGGACAGCCCGGGCGCGCCCGCCGCTCCGCCCACACCCCGCCCCTCGGCCGCGCGAAATGGCGGCGGCCGCACCACAAAATGGCAGTCGCTCGGTCGCGGAGAAGCACCTGCTAAATCCCGTGACTCCCTCCCCCTGCCCTGCCCCGCTAGCGCCAACGTCGTTCTCCCCGCCCAGGCGCCCCGGTCTTCCCACGCCGCCCCGCCCAGGGGCAACAGGGTCCGGAGCCCGCCAACAACGCGGCGCCTTTGTGCGGGCGCACGCCACCTTTACTCAGCCACACGGGCCCCTCTCCGGGGGGCTTTTTCTTAAAGGGGCAACCGCTGGAAGAAACGGAGCACCGCCGCCCGGGACGCCCCTCAGGCCCGGGGTTACTACGGTTTCCCCAACTCGCAGCGTTAGCGTCAGGCCACCAAAGTGAAGATGGGTGGTGAAAGGACCACAGAGCCCGATAGAAGAGAAAACCTAGGAAAAATTAGTGAAAGACGCCCCCAACCAATGCTTTGGCGGCCACGCTGAGTCCTAACGTACTGAGCCCACTCGACGGGGCCCGTGCGCACAGGCGGCTCCAAAGGGCGGGTTTCGGCTTTCCTTCCACCTCGCAAAAGTCCAGTGAGCGCTCTAGGTTTCTCATGGCTACCCCCTGCCCTCTCCCCGTGCTGGGGAGTCTCGGGGGCTGAGCAGTGGCAGAGGGAGGAGCGGCTGCCGCGGTCCCTGTGCTTTTTCTCTGGCGTGAGGGTCTCAGTGGCCTTGGGCTCTGCTTGGGCCGTGGCTTGAAGGTTGGAGGTGTCGCGGTGCGCTTGGGTTTTTTCGCTTTCTTTCAAACGCTTGCTTCCTGGCGCTCCCCACCCCCCAGCGTCCCTTTGGCTCCATCTTTCCAGAAACTTCTCTGAGAAACTCAGCAAAAAGCATCCAATTTCGCCACTGCTTCCCCCTCCGCGCATGCGCGAGACGCCAAGCGGAAAGCCTTTGGCGCGCCGGAGTGTGAGAGTGGTGCGTGAGCGCGCGCGCGCTCGCCGTGCGGGGGCGGTTCTCTCTGACAATGAAGGGAAAGAATTCCCCCTCCCCTCAACATTCCGTCCTCGCGCAAGCGCGTCGGAGCCACTTCCTTGGCCTTTGAGGGAAGGGGGAGGGGTCGTCCCGAAGCGCGCTAGTCGTGTTTCCGCGCGCCTGCGCACGGGGCCGTTTTCGTCTCGCTGTGTTGTCCGCGAGTCTTTGCTGTGAAGTGCGTCTGAACAGCTCGCTTGTGCCCGACCTACTTTTTCCTTAAGGCCCACTCGCGGAAACTAGTTTCTTGTGGGGTTATCGATTCTGTACCCCGAGTTTCCTGGAGATTAGTCTCCCCTTTGTGCCCCGGGGATGAGGCTGGACGGCGTCGCGCTGGCTTGTCTTCCACCCCTTCCCGCGCCATGTTTGGAACGGCTGTTGACTGGATCCCGTGTGGAGTGTGATGGAGCCTTCTCGAAACGGGAAAACAGTCCTGGCCGAAGGCTTGGGTGGTGCCTGGGCCGGCTTATATTAGGCACTGCGTAGAATGTTTGCTCACTAAGCCCAAAGAAAGGTGTCTTTTTTTTTTTTTTTTTGAGACGGGAGTCTCTTGTCATCCAGGCTGTAGTGCAGTGGCGCAGTCTCGGCTCACTGCAACCTTCGCCTCCCGGGTTCAAGCGATTCTCCTGCCTCAGCCTCCCATGTAGCTGGGACTACAGGCGCCCGCCAATACGCTCGGGTAATTTTTGTATGTTTAGTAGAGATGGGTTTCACCATGTTGGTCAGGCTGGTCTCGAACTCCTGAGCTCAGGTGATCCGCCCACCTCGGCCTCCCAAAGTGCTGGAATTACAGGCGTGAGCCACCGAGCCCGGCTTTGCCCCCAGCCTGGGAACGGGGTCTTGCTGTGTTGCCCAACTGTTTTGGAAGTCCTGACGTCAAGAGATCCTTCCGCCAGGGCCTTCCAAAGTGCTGAGATTACAGGTGTGAGCCGCCACGCCCGGCCTTTAAAAAAAAAAAAAAAATCAAAATGGTTTTAAAAGGTGTCATTTTCATTGGAACGGGGTGGGGCTCCTAGTGCCCGCCACAGTCCTCCACTCAGGCCGGCGGGGCGGGCCCTGGCCTCGGCCTCGGTGCGTGGGTGCAGAGGGCCTAGGCCGCAGCTGCTTCTCCCTCTGCCGAATTGAGCTGGGCGGTGGTAACCATAGTGGACCGCACTTCCTCTTCGTTCAGTGCCTCCCCTCATTCTTGTCCTTTAGGGGTGTGGTGGAAATTATTACCAGGGTTATGGGTTCTTCAAAATACAAAAAGCCAAACCAAAACGAAAAAAAACCCTCTTGTGTAATGAACTTCCCCCGCGTGCAAAATTCGGGGAACCCGGGCGGCTTGCCTCTGCCTCCCGCCTGCGCGGTCTCCCTAGACGAATTGCCTCCCGCCTAGCCGCCTCCCTAGACGTATTGTCTTGTGACGCACCCCCGAGTCCCTGTAGGTGCAAGGCTTTAAAAAGGGAGCTTTTTCGAGAAGAAAGCACATCGGGGGCTCTTAGAGGCCAGCGTGGACGCCGCAATCGCGGGGTGAGCCGCGCGACGACCCTATGGCTCTCGGAAGGTGCTGACTTGGGGCGGGTGCGCGTGCACCACTGACCGCGCCAGCCCGGGGTCGGGCCGGGGCAGCGCGCTGGGCGGAGCCGCTCCGTGGCCCCTAACAAAGGGCGAGCTCATTGCCCGGTGGGAACTGTGAGTTGGTGTCAGAGTCCTCCTAGGAACTCAGTATATGAAACTTATCTAGAGGGTGTTGAAGTACCAGCAAGCAATAGAATTCTGACAAGGCTGTAATTTGAGGCTTGGAAATGACCAGGTTAACTGTCTCTTGAATTCGTAGAATTTGTTATAGATTCTGTCTTAACATAATTTATGCTTAATAGAGTCTTTAAAATCGGCGTTCCTACGGTAATGATACCACTGACTACTAAATAAGAGGAAGAAAATTTGTGGCGTGTATGTTTTATAATTTGAAATAGGCATATCAAAGTTCTTTTGTGCTGTCTAATAGGATCCTGGAGATGGATTTATTTATTTATTTATTTAGAGACAGAGTCTCTCTGTGTCGTCTAGGCTGGAGTACAGTGGCACGAACAGAACTCACTGTAGCCTCGACCTCCTGGGCTCAATGGATTCGCCCACCTGCAGGCGCACCGCCACACCCGGCTAATTTTTAAATTTTTTGTAGAGACAAGGGTCTTGCCTTGTTGTCCAAGCTGGTCTGGAACTCCTGGGCTCAAGTGATCCTCCCACCTCAGCCTCCCAAAGTGTTGGGGTTACAGGTGTGACCCACTGGTCCAGGCCTGTTTGAATTATTTACTTCAAACTACAGCTAGGTGTCTGAGAGGAGCAGCAGAAGAGCTTCAAACAAATCTGCTGAAAATTTCCATCCATATGTAAAAGCTACTAAACACAATTTATTTGGTATTGTTTTTGAGATTTCATCAAATGCAGTTTGATAGCCTTCTCTGAATTAATCAGAAGTCTTGGCCGGTTTTGGTGGCTCACGCCTGTAATCCCAGCACTTTGGGAGGCTGAGGCAGGGGATCACTTGAGGTCAGGAGTTTGAGACCAGCCTGGCCAACACGGTGAAAACCCGTCTCTGCTAAAAATACAAAATTTAGCCAGGCGTGGTGGCCGGTGCCTGTAATCCCAGCTACTCGGGAGGCTGAGGCACGAGAATTGGTTGAACCCAGGAGGGGGAGGTTGCAGGGAGCCGAGATCGCGACGCTGTACGCCAGACAGGGCGACGGGGGGGAGACTCCGTCAAAAAAAGAAAAAAGAAGTTTTGATTTGCGTTATTTACGTTCTGCTTGTGTCTTGATGTTACAGAAGTTACAATCTCCTAGGCCTGGGTGTTTTGGCTAATGTGATTATCACTTATGGTGAAACAGTTAAGCTTTTTAATAATGGAGATTACCAGTAGGGTCTTAAAAGGTTGAGTGAGGGCCTGGCACCATGGCATTCGCCTGTAGTCCGGTGGTTGGAGGGGGAGGATCCCTTGAGCCCAGGAGTTTGAGGTTGCAGTGAGCTATGATCCTACCCCTGCACTCTAGCAGGAGTGAAAGAATGACACTCTCTCAAAAAGAAAAAAAAAGTTAAATAAAATATCTGAGTTAACATAGAGAGTAATAACATTTTGTTCATGTGGGATTTGTTAATATATATGTAATTTAATGCAGTTAACTATCAACATTTCAGGGGAACCCTTAGCTAAAGTGACCCAGATGCTGACTTCCAAAAGTCATTTATTTTATTTTTTATTGTTTTGAGACGCAGTTTTGCTCTTCTTGCCTAGGCTAGAGTACAATGGTGCAATTTTGGCTCACTGCAATCTCTGCCTCCGAAGTTCAAGCGATTCTCCTGCCTCAGCCTACTGAGTAGCTGGGATTATAGGCATGCACCACTAGGCCTGGCTAATTTTATATTTTTAGTAGAGATGGAGTTTCTCCATGTTGGTCAGGCTGGTCTTGAACTCCCTACCTCAGGTGATCCACCTGCCTTCGCCTCCCAAAGTGCTAGGATTACAGGTGTGGGCCACCGAGAGCGGCCCAAGTCATTTTATTATAACTTTTTAATTTCAGATTATAAAAGCAATACCTGACAGGGCTTGGTGGCTCACTTCTATAATCCCAGCACTTTGGGAGGCTGAGTCTGGAGGATTGCTTGAGACCAGGAGTTTCAGACCAGCCTGGGCAATATGGTCAGACACCATCTCTTTTAAAAAAGACAAAAACTTAGGGGGCCGCACCCAGTGGCTCACGCCTGTAATCCCAGCACTTTGGGAGGCCGAGGCGGGAGGATCACAAGGTCAGGAGATTGAGACCATCCTGGCCAACATGGCGAAACCCCGTCTCTACTAAAAATACAAAAATTAGCTGGGTGTGGTGGTGTGCGCCTGTAGTCCCAGCTACTTAGGAGGCTGAGGCAGGAGAATCCCTTGAACCCAGGAGGCGGAGATTGCAGTGAGCCAAGATTGCACCACTGTACTCCAGCCTGGGTGACAGAGTGAGACCTGGTCTCAAAAAAAAAAAAGCCGGGTGTGGTGGCATGGGCCTGTGGTCCCAGCTACTCAGGAGGCTAAGGCTGGAGGATTGCTTAAGCCCAGGAGGTTGAGGCTGCAGTAAGGTGATCACACCACTGCACTCCAGCCTGGGAAACAGAGCAACCCGATCTCAAAGAATAATAAAATAAAAGTAATACCTGTTAACCAAAGAAAAACTTAGAAAATATAGAGGAATAATTTTTTTTTTGATGGAGTCTTACTCTTTTGCCCAGGCTGGAGTGCAGTAGCTTGATCTCGGCTCACTGCAACCTCTGCCTGCCGGGTTCAAGTGATTCTCCTGCCTTAGCCTCCCAAGTAGCTGTGATCACAGGTGGCCACCACCATGCCCGGCTAATTTTTTTTTTTGTTTGAGATGGAGTCTTACTCTGTTGCCCAGGCTGGAGTGCAGTGGCGCGATCTCGGCTCATGGCAACCTCCACCTCCCAGGTTCAAGCAATTCTCCTGCCTCACCCTCCTGAGTAGCTGAGACTACAGGAACTCGCCACCAAGCCCGGCTAATTTTTTGTATTTTTAGTAGAGACGGGGTTTCACCGTGTTAGCCAGGATGGTCTCTGTCTCCTGACCTCATGATCCGCTCGTCTCGGCCTCCCAAAGTGCTGGGATTACAGGTGTGAGCCACCGTGCCAGGCACTTGTATTCTTTTTTTTTTTCGAGATGGAGTCTTGCTCTGTCACCCAGGCTGGAGTGCAGTGGCATGATCTCAGCTCACTGCAACCTCTGCCTCCCGGGTTCAAGCGATTCTCCTGCCTAAGCCTCCCAAGTAGCTGGGATTAGAGGTACACGCCACCCTGCCCAGATAATTTTTTTTTTTTTTTAGAGACAGAGTCTTGCTCTGTTGCCCAGGCTGCAGTGCAGTGGTGTGATCTTGGCTCACTGCCACCTCTGCCTCCTGGGTTCAAGCAGTTCTCCTGCCTCAGCCGCCCGAGTAGCTGGGATTACAGGTGTGAATCACTGTGCCCGGCCTTAATTTTTGTATTCTTATTAGAGACGGGGTTTCCCCATATTGGCCAGGCTGGTCTCAAACTCTTGACCTTGTGTTCTATCCACCTTGGCCTCCCAAAGTGTTGGGATTACAGGCGTGAGCCACCGCGCCCGGCCCTAATTTTTGTATTTTTAGTAGAGACGGGGTTTCACCATGTTGGCCAGGCTGGTCTCGAACTCCTGACCTCAGGTGATCCACTGGCCTCAGCCTCCCAAAGTACTGTGATTACAGGCATGCGCCATTGCTCCCAGCCAGGAATAAAATTTTTTTAAAAAATTCAAATTCTACCACATAGGCATTAACCATGATTAACATTTGCAAATATCTTTCCAGTCTATTTTCCACTCAATTACACAAATATTGGTAAACTGCATTAGTAATTCTTAGTATTAAGTATATTGCCAGTATTTCCTCACAGGGGGAAAAATGTTACTTTTAGCAACTTTCCAGAAATAAACAATGGTAGAAACTTAAGAACTGATTTAAAAATATATCAGCCAGTATATTCATTTCTGAAAAACTAAAAATAACACGGAATAAATTATTTAGCTTTCTTAGAGGGTTGAACAGTAAAGTACCATATGAAGTGTTTTTTTTTTTTATCGGAGTCCACTCTGTTGCCCAGGCTCACTGCAACTTCTTCCTCCCAGGTTCAAGTGATTCTCCTGCCTAAGACTCCTGAGTAGCTGGGATTACAGGTGCATGCCACCATGCCCAGCTAATTTTTGTATTTTTAGTAGAGACGGGGTTTCACTATATTGGCCAGGCTAGTCTGGAACTCCTGACCTCAGGTGATCCACCTGTCTGGGCCTCCCAGAGTGCTGGGGTTACAGGCGTGAGCCAACCGTGCCTGGCTCTGTTATAAAGTATTAGCTTGCTTAAAGAATGGATCTGCGCTGGGTGCAGTGGCTCACACCTATAACCCCAGCACTTTGGGAGGCCAAGGCTGGCAGATCCCTTGAGTTCGGGAGTTCAAGACCAGCCTGGGCAATATGGAGACGCCTCTACAAAAAAATACCAAAAACAATTAACTGGGCCTGGTGGTGTGCGCCTGTAGACTCTGCTACTAGGTGGGAGGATGGCTTGAGCCTGGGAGGCAGAGGTTGCAGTGAGCTAAGATTGCACCACTATACTCCAGCCTGGGCGACAGAGGGAGACCCTGTCTCAAAAAAAAAAAAAAAAAAAAAAAAAAGAACTAGAGGACTAGCTAGCTAATATTTTCAATTCTTTGGAGTTCTGATAATTTATTTATTTATTTATTTATTTAGAGATGGAGTTTCGCTCGTTGCCCAGGCTGGAGTGCAATGGCGCGATCTTGGCTCACTGCCGAGATCAAACACCCTTTAATAATATTACAGTGGTGTTGCGTTTTATTTTCTGTTATTTTGGGGAAAAAATTTGGTTCTAATAGTACGAGTTTGTTGGTATTGTCAAATTCTCATGTGGTTGGGGCTTTGTTCATTTTATAGCTAGTTAATATTATATTATTTTATTTTATTTTATTTACTTATTTTTTGAGATGCAGTCTCACTGTCGTCCAGGCTGGAATGCACTGGCACGATCTTGGCTCACTGCAACCTCTGCCTCCTGGGTTCAAGCAATTGTCTGTCTCAGTCTCCCGAGTAGCTGGGATTCTAAGCGCCCGCCACCACACCTGGCTAATTTTTTTGTATGTTTAGTAGAGATGGGGTTTCACCATCTTGACCAAGCTGGTCTTGAACTCCTGACCTTGTGATCCACCCGCCTCGGCCTCCCAAAGTGCTAGGATTACAGACATGAGTCACTGTGCCTGGCCAGTTATATGATTTTATATGATGCCTTTTATATATTTTATATGATGCCTTTAAGAAGAAATACGCAGGTGGATCTCCTGTGGTCAGGAGTTCCAGACCAGCCTGGCCAACATGGTGAAATCCTGTGTCTACTAAAAATACAAAAATTAGCTGGGTGTGGTGGTGTGCACCTTAGTCCTAGCTACTAGGGAGTCTGAGGTGGGAGGATCGTGTGGACCTGGGAGGTGGAGGTTGCAGTGAGCTGAGGTGGCACCATTGTACTCCAGCCTGGGCGACAGAGCAAGACTCCATCTCAAAAGAAAAAAAGAAGAATTTTTTTTATATTTTATATATATTTTATTTTATTTTTATATTTTGGGCTGGGCGCAGTGGCTCACACTTGTAATCCCAGCACTTTGGAAGGCCTAGGCAGGTGGATCACTTGAGGTCAGTGTTTCGAGATCAGCCTGGCCAACATGGTGAAAACCCATCTCTACTAAAAACACAAAAATTAGCCGGGCGTGGTAGCAGGCACCTGTAGTCCCAGCTACTCAGGAGGCTGAAGCACAAGAATCTCTTGAACCTGGAAGGTGGAGGTTGTAGTGACCCCAGATCACGCCACTGCACTCCAGCCTGGGCAACAGAGCAAGACTGTCTCAAAATAAAAAAAGAAGAAATGCATATATATATATTTTTTTCTTTTTTTTTTTTTTGAGACAGAGTCTCGCTCTGTTGCCCAGGCTGGAGTGCAGTGGCGTGATCTGGGCTCACTGCAACCTCTGCTTCCCGGGTTCAAGCGATTCTCCTGCCTCAGCCTCCCGAGTAGCTGAGACTACAGGTGCATACCACCATGCCCGGCTAATTTTTTGTATTTTTAGTAGAGATGGGTTTTCACTGTGTTAGCCAGGATGGTCTTGATCTCCTGACCTTATGATCGGCCTCCCAGAGTGCTGGGATTACAGGCGTGAGCCACCAGGCCCGGCCAAAATGCTTATATTTTAAGTGCATGTTTTCTCCTGAAACAGCTTAATTTTAATAGCTTGGGACCTGACTTGTAACCAAATTCTTGTTAAAATCTGATAACTATCCTGTCCTGTTTAAATGGAGATATTATTTTACTACTCTACTGGCTGGGTTAGCATTCAAAGCCTGAGTTGGAGGCTCAGACGCTTTTTCCATCTGAGCTTTCATTACGCATGACTGAACTCTTTGAGCATGTCTAGCATGCTAAATACAGCAGCTCCTCACAGTGTGAAAATAAAACCTGATTAAAAACAAATCTATTTTAATTCCACTTTGCAAATGGCTCTGCTTTAATGTCAGCTTTCTGAATTATCTTTAGTAATCAAATGAGGAAATTCACTTCACCATCCGTTTATCATAGATAAATCACAACCTACTTTTTGATCTTTTTCAGTGAGCATCAATTATTGTTAAATAAAAAAACATCAGAGAATAACAGAGTGGGTTGCCTTTCTATTGAAAACATAACAAAGATACATGCTTTAAAGAAGTTCTGCCCCTGTAAAGCTTTGTAACAGGAATACAAATGGAGAAAAGCTTTTCTGGTGTTTTTTGATGCATTGTCAGCAAAAATGAAAAGCACTGAGAAAATCAAAAACTTGATTTGGGGCTGAGCAAAGGGCATGTACTTATCAGTTTTGTTATTAAGAGCTTTTGCAATAGAAACAGTCAACCAAAAAAAAAAAAAAGCAAGAAACTTCATACTTGACATGCAATCACTATATCCTGATTTGACTACAGGACCTGGCTATAATGGTGAAAATGGTTTTTTTTTTTTTTTTTTTTTTTTGAGACTGAGTCTCACTCTGTCGCTCAGGCTGGAGTGCAGTGGCACGATCTCGGCTCACTGTAACCTCTGCCTCCCGGGTTCAAGTGATTCTCCTGCCTCAGCCTCTCGAGTAGCTGGGATTACAGGTGAGCACCACCACGCCAGGCTAATTTTTGTATTTTTAGTAGAGGCCAGGTTTCACCACGTTGGCCAGGCTGGTCTTGATCCCCTGGCCTTAGGTGATCCGTCCATCTCAGCCTCCCAAAGTGCTGGGATTATAGGCGTGAGCCACCGCACCCGGCTCTTTTTTTTTTTTTTTTAAAATCATGATTTTAACAGAAGCCTCCATTCAAGGCGAGACATGCCTTTTATTTCTCTAATTGCGAGACACTTTTCTGAATCCTCTTGTCAGTTGCACCTTTTAATACAATTGAGGTGACACTGTTCTTCATGGTGACACTGGTCTTTCCCAAGAGGTTTCAGCTAATTCAGTCTATCAGATTTTACATCAGATTTTAAAATTTGCTTCAAACTTGGGTGCTTGTATTCAAATTCATGCTTCATAGAAAAATGCATATCAGTTCAACAGTTGACTAACTGCAGCCACGTTCACAGTACTGAATAGTTCATGAGTTTCGTTAGTAGGGTGTTAGCTTGACTTTCCTTATGTGATAATTGTGACAGAGAAATGGCCAGATGTAAATAGCCAATTTTACTTTTTTTTTTCTTTTTTTAAGAGAGGGGTTTCTCCTATGTTGCTGAGGCTGGAGTGCTGGGGCTTTTCAAGGCACAATCATAGTGCACTACAGCTTGGAACTCCTGGACTCAGATGATGCTTCTGCCTTAGCCTCTCCAGTAGCTGAGACTACAAAGAAACAATTTAGTTATGCATAGGTGACCTGAGATATTAGTGCCATTGGTTTTGGTGACAATATTTTCGAATTCAAATAGTGTCGTTTGTAAGTTAGTTTGTATTTAAGGAGATAATCGATGAGGCCAAGTATTTAAAATTGGCTGGGCTGGTGGTTCATGCCTGTAATACCAGCACTTTGGAAGGCTGAGGTGGGCAGATCACCAGGTCAAGAGATCGAAACCATCCTGGATAGCATGGTGAAACCCCGCCTCTACTAAACGTAAAAAAATTACCTGGGCGTGGTGGTTTGCGCCTGTAGTCCCAGCTACTTGGGAGGCTGAGGCAGGAGAATTGCTTGAACCCGGGAGACGGAGGATGCAGTAAGCAGAGATGGTACCACTTCACTCCAGCCTGGTGACAGAGTGAGACTGCGTCTCCAAAAAAAAAAAAAAAAAAAAAAAAAAAATCTGGCTTGCACCTGAAGCAGCACACCTCTGGTATTTCTGTGTATTTTTATTATAAATAATTTTATTTTTCTCTCGATATAGTTACCTTAATTTTATGGGTTTTCCTTGAATTTCTGTAAATTGGCCTTTATATAAAAGTTCAACTGGCCGGGCATGGTGGCTCACGCCTGTAATCCCAGCACTTTGGGAGGCCAAGGTGGGCAGATCACCTGAGGTCAGGAGTTCAAGACCAGCCTGGCCAACATGGTGAAACCCCGTCTTTACTAAGAATACAAAAAACTAGCCTGGTGTGGTGGTGCGCGCCTGTAATTCCAGCTACTCGGAAGGCTGACGCAGGAGAATCGCTTGAACCTGGGAGGCGGAGGTTGCAGTGAGCTGAGACAGCGCCATTGTGCCCCAGCTTGGCTAACAAGAGTGAAACTTGGTCTCAGGAAAAAAAAAAAAAAAGAGGCTGGGCGTGGTGGCTCAAGCCTGTAATCCCAGCACTTTGGGAGGCTTGAGGCGGGTGGATTACCTGAGGTTGTGAGTTCGAGGCCAGCTTGACCAACACAGAGAAACTGTCTCTACTAAAAATACAAAAATTAGCCGGGCATGGTGGCGCATGCCTGTAATCCCAGCTACTCAGGAGGCTGAAGCAGGAGAATCGCTTGAACCCAGGAGACAGAGGTTGCAGTAAGCCGAGAACACACCATTGCACTCCAGCCTGGGCAACAAAAGCAAAACTCCGTCTCAAAGGAAAAAAAAAAAAAAAGAAAGTTCAACTGTAGGTTTCAAAAGCTCTTAGGCCTGGAAAGGCCAGAGGTCTAATTCCTTTCTCTGTTTAAATATTAAATTATGGTCTGAGGGGAACAATATTGGATTCCTGTCTCATTTCCGTTTTATTCCTTCTATACCACAGCGATCAGCAAGGGTATCTTGCAAACGGTTTCGCAAGATTCTATATAAAAAAGTTGCTTAGGCCAGGTGCAGTGACTCCCGCCTGTACTCCCAGTACTTTAGGAGGCCGAGGCGGGCGGATCACCTGAGGTCAGGAGTTCAAGACCAGCCTGGCCTACATGGTGAAACCCTGTCTCTAATAAAAATACAAAAATTAGCCAGGTGTGGTTGCGGGTGCTTGTAATCCCAGCTACTTGGGAGGCTGAGGCAGGAGAATCGCTTGAGTCTGGGAGGCGGAGATTGCAGTGAGCCGAGACCGTGCCACTGCACTCCAGCAGCCTGGGCAACAGAGCGAGACCCCGTATTAAAAAAAAAAAAGTTGCTTCATGTTACAAGCCAGTGACTCTTGGATGGGATGCGTTTCTGAAGCCGTCGCTGTTCAGCAGAGCGGTGAGAAGGGCAACCTTTTTCTGATCGCTTTCCCAAGCAGGCAGGAATCTAAGTGTCCGGAAACGCCAGGAGCTGGCCGCCAGGTGAGCGGAGGACGAAGGGGTCCTGACTTCTAGGGGACAGGCCTTGGCAGCCGCTTTGACCCGTAGCCCTGTGGAAACCAATTGCATTTCTCTTCATATCTTCCACCAGGCCGGGGCCTGGGGTTGCCGCTGGAGGGGCTAAAGACCGCTCCTGCTTCCTCAGCCGCCCCTTGCCCGGCGCGGGAACCCGACCGAGAGCCCGCCAAGCAGCGGGACTCCACTAGCAGCTGCGCGCCTGCGCACCGGGGCCGAGCGCGCGAGCGTTCCTTCCCCGCCTGTAGTCCCTCACTTCGTCGCCCGGTCCGCGCGCCTGCGCGCCGGCTGGGAGGAACTCAGCTTCTCCGCCTTGGCAGGCGGGAGGACGCGCGCGCGCCCGCGGCGAGGGGGAGGCAGTGCGGCGGCGGGAGTCGGGCCGCGCGCGCCAGTGGGAAGCGTCCGGCTGCCACAGCGCCAGCTCCGTCGTAGTCGCTGCCGCCCGTGTCCCGCTCGCCCCTCCTCCCGCTCCCCCGCCCGCCCCTGCCCGGGCGCATGCGCTGCCGGAGCGCGAGGGTCGGCTTCGGGTGTGTGGTGGCGGCAGAGCTGAGCTGCGAGGCCCGAGAGTCAGAACCTGGGGGAGAGGGATGGTCTCTGCACGGGGGGGAGCCGGAGGAGCCGCCGCCGCTGCCGACGCCACCGCCGCAGCCGCCGCCGCCGCCGCCCCGGCACCCGCCTCCCGGCGCTGACGGTCTCGTACGAAGCCGGCGAGGGGGAGCCAGCAGCGGCGGTCGCCGGCACGCCGCCCAGCATGGTCCGGGAAACCAGGCATCTCTGGGTGGGCAACTTACCCGAGAACGTGCGGGAAGAGAAGATCATCGAGCATTTCAAACGGTGAGTGACACGAGGCCCGCGGCCGCGCTCGCTCCTCGGGCGCCGCTTCCCGCCCCGGCCCGTTGCCGGCCCCTCCCGGAGCGCGGAGCTGGTGAGGAGGACTCCGGCCCGGACCCACGGGCGCTGTGGGACCTCGTCAGCCGCTCGGCCCGCGTCGCGGCGTTGGGCCTCGGGTGTCGGCGGTGCGGGCGGCCAAGCCGCGCCGCCTTCGAAGAGCCCGCGGGGCCCCGGCGGCCGCGTCCGTGACGAGGGAGGTGACCGAGGCTCGGCCTCCACGCAGCCGGCGCCCCGGGGCTGCCCTCGCGTCAGCCCGGGAGTCGGTGGGAGATGCGCTGGGCGGCGGGGTCGCGTCCTTGCGCGCAGTGCCCGGCCCGGAGCAGCCGGGACCCGAGCCCGCCCGACAGCCGGGTCCGGCGCCGCCACTCCAAGCTGCTCTGCGGGCGCTCGGCAATGTCTGACTTCGGGAGGGTTCCGTGCGAAGGGAAAGGCGGTGCGAAAACAGAAGTCGCAGTAGGTACTGTGGTCGCGTCGCGGACCCGGAGAGACCATCTAGGACCTCTCCGGAGGATTTGCAGCCTTGAAACTCACTGGGAATGGCAAACGTTTCTCGTTTTTGCGGGGCTGGGTGGAGAGTGGTGTGAAATAAGTTGGTGCGCCCGTTTGGGCTTCCTCGTCCCCGGCGGAGGAGACCGCGTCTGACAGGAGGTTGCTAGCCCCGGCGCCCGTAGCCTCGGGTCGCACTCCCAGGCCGCCCTAAGACCCTGGTGCCCCCCACCCCTGAATTCCCGAATCAAACGGTAAAACATTCCAAACCTTTTACGATGAGAAGATGTAGCTTAAAAAAAAAACCTCCCCTGAATATTTTTGTGAATTATAAGAATAAATGTTGTCGTTGATACATCTTATTGAGTAGCGTGTAGTGCGTTTTCTTTGTGAAATGCCTGTGTACCGTAACAGATAGGCCTCCGCATAAAACACTTATTAAAATGACGATTGGCTTGGACTTGGTGCAGATTCAGAGGGACCATAGCAAATCTGTGGTTGTCCTCGAAAATGACAGTTTATTCCGATATTTAAGACCCTGGAAGGTTTTAAGTTTGGCTTTTAATTTCCCTTACTATGTAGTGAGTGAAGGAAATTATGGAGCGTCCTCATTAATGAGTCACCATGGGAAAAATAGATTGCGTCGCTCGCTTTGAGCCGCTTGGATAAGGAAATGGAAGCAGCGGCGGCGGAGCTCCTGTCTTTTAAATGGAGGATCATTGATTGTGTTGGTGGTTGCTGTTACTGGGGCATTAAACCCTCGCCGCTGGAGCGCGCGTCTGCGCGTGTCCGCGTGTGAAAAGGAGCCGGGAATCGTGGGGCCATTCATAACCTGCTTGAGCTGTCCTCGGCAGGCCGGGGGGAGGTGCGCGCTTCCAGGGACTCTCCCGGTGTTTACTACGTCGTGCCTGAGAAACCAGGCGGGGGCGGGGGGAGGCAGGGAGCAAAAATTCACCTCTGTGCCCTAGGATGAAGGGGAGACCACGGGCTGGATTGGGAAGCAGATGGGAACTTTCTCTTCCTGGCGCTGCTCCACCCCTTACCCGCCCCCCACCTCCTGGCTTCTCCTCGAGTATCGTCAGTGTTTTGATGGAAAAATCATTTAGGTGTACATTATTGGAGTGGAAAAACCACTTAGATGTGCTCACTTTAATCCCCTGTGGACTTTCTCTGTAGGTCTCTGCCTGGGAAATTCGTATGCACCGATGTACAAGCACGTGCATTGCAGCATTCGCTCGCTCCTCAGTGTTATGTGCCTAGACGTGTCATTTCTCATTATGCAGATTCCAGAGACATTGCATGCTTATGGCTGGGAGTTTGGCCCCTCTGCAAGATGAGGGGGCAGAGAGAAGAAAGAGGAAATCGTCCCAGGCAGCTTTGGAAGGGTTCTTAGTGGACGGTGCTGCGGTCTGGCTTGTGTGAATGACTTTCTAAAATGGCGGCCAGGACCCACTTTATGTGGGAATCAGCAGAGCCGATCTCAGAATGCACAGAGGGAGGAGGGGGCGGAGGATTCGAGCTGCCTTGGAAAGCGGCAGTCTGGAGGAACATTACTGTATTAAAAACGGCTTAGCTGGCAGTTTGCTCACGACTGCATTCAAAGGAGTATCTTACCTATTGCAGAGTAAAAGCAGATGCTACTGATAAAAGCAGGTTATTTTAAAACTAAGCAGATCATGTGTCCCTGAAATTCTTTTATTTTAAAGGTTTTTTTTTTTCATTTTTAAACAAATCTATTTAGTTGTTTAAATAGACAGTACATTTTTATGGGTTCAAAGCATGTGAAAGGTATACAGAGAAAAATCTCCACCCCTGACCCTGGAATTCCCAGTTGCCACACTTCCTCCCCTCACCCCCCAAAATCCAGGTAATGTCTATTTCTGGTTTCTTGTTTATCTTTCTGCATGTACAAGAAATGTTCCTGCTGATCCAGCTGTGGAGCTAAGTGGACCTTGTTTGGAGGAACTCAAGGCCTTTTATCCCTATTGTGGGATATATTTTGTAAAATGTGTGATTGCTACTAGGAGTAAAAGTGAAATCTGAATAATTTAAGTGAAAGGAATAAAAAGGTAGTTGTACCAGAACGATGGCTCTGCAAGAAAATGAAATGGTATTCACTTCTGGTGTCTTGTACAAATCAGAATGAGAAAAACCATGCAATACCTATATTAAAACTGAACTTTAAGTGCCTACTCTTATCCTTTTCCCTAGCTGATTACATTAATAACTGTTTTACAGGATTAAGAGGTGTACACTGGGAATACATTATATAAAACGTTTTCAAGATGAATGTTCTCTTAACAGTGATTAGGCTTTTGTAGTAAGTGTTTGCATTTTACAAAAAGATTAAACCAGACAGCTTTGGGGACAGCTTAGAGACATTTTAACAGAAAAAAGAGGTCAGTCAGTTCTTTAAAAATTTTTATATTTATTTTTAAATTTACATTCTGATTAGTTTTGTTTGTTTGTTTGTTTTTAAATGGACAGTAGATTGAGGGGTGGATGGCGATTTGGCTTTTTCCTCCCCAGTGCCAAAGAAAGACCAAATCCTTAAAACATAATCAGAACATTTACAAAAATTGGCTTTTCTTTTCTTGCAATAATAATAAATCTGTTGTTATTTTTACAGTTTTCAGTTTGCGGATTTAAAAAAATTAAATGAGAACTATTTCTGAATCGGGTTTTAGTTAACAAAGATTCATTACAGGGACACAATAGAGAAAGTCCTTTCCTTTGTATGTTAGCTGGGTTGAAGGGGGAAGGGAGGAGTTATACAATTGGTTCCTGTCTTTTAGTTATGAGAGGGAGAGAGGTGTCTGCAAAGGCGACTCCTTGAATTAGAATGAGCAAATGAATAAAACCCTTAAAATATTTAACATCTTTATCTTTTCAGATTTTAAGTAAGTTGCGAATTTAGTTCTTCCCATCCATCTCCAGTTTTAGAGACTAGGTTAAAGATTATGCGGAGGTAAACTGAGGTAGCCCCTCGTGTAAAAATATTGTTAAAGAGGCTGGGTGCGGTGGCTCACGCTTATAATCCCAGCACTTTGGGAGGCCGAGGCGGGCGGGTCACGAAGTCAAGAGTTCAAGACCAGCTTGGTGAACATGGTAAAACCCCGTCTCTACTAAAATACAAAAAATTAGCCAGGTGTGGTGGTGTGCATCTGTAGATCCAGCTACTTGGGAGGCTGAGGCAGGGGAATTGCTTGAACCTGGGAGGCGGAGGTTTCAGTGAGCTGAGATCGTGCCACTGCACTCTAGCCTGGGGGACAGAGCAAGACTCCGTCTGGGGAAAAAAAAAGAATGAGACCCATTTAAAAATGTAATTTGTTTTTGCTGATTTAAAATGTTTGATCACAGTGGTTTTCCTGAGTTAAATAGATGGAATAGCTATTACATTTTATGTATATTCAGATATCTTTACCTCTGGGACACAATATAAAATATTGAATTTCCTTTTCCTGACTACTAGGGATATTTTTAGACTTAAACAAATTTGACTCACTGTAGCCTGTATCATTGTTACGTCGCTTCTTCATTTGAGACCAGAAGGTTTCTATGAAACCACTTCTTGTCTATGGCCATACCACCCATACCACCCCCATCCCGTCTATGAAACCACCTCTGGTTTTGAATATTCTGATTTCCAATATCTATTTGCATGATAGGCTTTTGCACATTTTAAAAATAAAACAAAAAATTCAGAGTTATCTTAAAACATTAAAAATTACACAGAATAATTATAAAGCAATACAGAATAATACAGAAAAATTATACAGAATAATTATACAAAATAATAAAAAATAATAAAATGGGTTTTATTTCCCAAAAGGAACGCCCCTGGCAGATTGGAGGAAAATATAGGGCTCACTGCCAGGAAGAATGATAGTGTTTCGCTTGTGTGGAGGGCACCTTTTTCTAACTACCTTTGTTGCAGACTCGTGATTGCTGGGATTGTATTGTGTGGTATACTTATGAAGAGGTTTCAGGCTTGATTTATGGGACATTTTAAATCCTGTAAACACTAATCCTTTGGGAAAATTTATGTAGGAGGTTTTTCCAAATAGTCTTTCAAGTTTCCCTTTCCCCCTAGTTTGAAATTTTACTGAAATTTTTAAAAAATTGAAAATATTCCATGAAAACCAGCATATCCAATTGGAGACTATATATTTCTTTGCTTTTATTAATCGACTGACTGATTGATTGAGACAGAGTCACCCAAGATGGATCACGGCTCAATGCAGCCTTGACCTCCCAAGCTCAAGTGATCCTCCCACCTCAGCCTGCAAAGTAGCTAGAACCACAGGTATGTGCCACCACACTCGACTAATTTTTTATAGGGATGGAAGGTCTCCCTATGTTGCCCAGCCCTGGTCTTGAACTCCTGGGCTCAAGTGATCCTCCCACCTTGGCCTCCCAGAGTGCTGGGATTATAGGCATGAGCCAGCTTGCCCAGCCTTTGCTTTTATTTTTATTTTCATTATTTTTTTATTTTTATTTTTATTCATTTTTTTGAGATGGAGTCTCACTCTGTCACCCAGGCTAGAGTGCAGTGGCAGGATCCTGGCTCACTGCAACCTCCTCCTGGGTTCAAGCACTTCTTGTGCCATAGCCTCCTGAGTAGCTGGGACTACAGGCCCGTGCCACCATGCCTGGCTAATTTTTGTATTTTTAGTAGAGACAGGGTGTCACTGTGTTGGCCAGGCTGGTCTTGAACTCCTGACCTCAGGCGACCCACCTGCCTTAGCCTCCCAAAGTGCTGGGATTACAGGTGTGAGCCACTGTGCTGGCCTATTTTTATTTTTATTTTTATTTTTTGAGGTAGAGTCTTGCTCTGTCACCCAGGCTGGAGTGCAGTGGCTTGATCTCAGCTCACTGCAACCTCCTCCTCCTGGGTTCAAGCGATTCTCCTGCCTCAGCCTCCTGAATAGCTGGGATTATAGGCGCACACCACCATGTCTGGCTAATTTTTGTATTTTTTTTTTTTTGAGACGGAGTCTCACTCTGTCACCCAGGCTGGGCTGGAGTGCAGTGGCATGGTCTCAGCTCACTGCAACCTCTGCCTTCCCGGTTCAAGTGATTCTCCCGCTTTAGCCTCCCGAGTAGCTGGGATTACAGGCACTTGCCACCACACCAGGCTAATTTTTGTATTTTTAGTAGAGACGGGGTTTCACTATGTCGGCCAGGCTGGTCTCACTCCTGATCTCGTGATTTGTGCGCCTCGGCCTCCCAAAGTGCTGGGATTACAAGCATGAGGCACTGCGCCTGGCCTAATTTTTGTATTTTTATTAGAGTTGGGGTTTCACCATGTTGGCCAGGCTGGTCTTGAACTCCTGACCTCGAGTGATCTGCCTGCCTCTGCCTCCCAAAGTGCTGGGATTACAGGCGCCAGCCACCATGCCCGGCCTGCTTGCTTTTATTTTTAAAACATTTTTAGTGTTAGTTTGAGCTGTAGTTAACCATCCACAGTATTTAGAGTAAATAATGTAGTCTGAAAATACCTTGAGTGTATATATTCATTAAATTGGGCTCCTGAATTGTGTTATTAGATGATTTGAAATAAGTGCTGTTCAGCCCCTTGAAACACATATATTAGCCTGCTGAACAAGGAGACTAAATAAAGTACATTTATCTGTAGTTAAATTAACAATCTTCTTTACTATTTGGTTTAAATTTTTCTTTAAACTTATTATTTTTACTTGCCTTACAGCTACACATATTTTGAATGAAAATAGTGTACTCCTCTGTGGAAACCAATTAGAATGTTAATCATTTTATTAGAAAGCATGTAGTTTTTTTTTGTTTGTTTTTGAGACGGAGTTTCGCTCCTGTTGCCCAGGCTGGAGTGCAATGGTGCTATCTCGGCTCACCGCGACCTCTGCCTCCCAGGTTCAAGCAATTCTGCCTCAGCCTCCCAAGTAGCTGGGATTACAGGCATGCACCACCACACCCAGCTAATTTTGTGTTTTTAGTAGAGACGGGGTTTCTCTGTGTTGAGGCTGGTCTCGAACTCTTAACCTCAGGTGATCTGCCCACCTCGGCCTCCCAAAGTGCTGGGATTATAGGTGTGAGCCACCGCGACCGGCCAAAACCATGTAATTTTTATGTGATATCTAGCTGGTTTTTAGTGTGTGGAAATATGCTTTGCAGTGAGTGAAAAGATTTTTTGGATATAATTTTAAAGTATCTCAATATTCAGATTGTTCTCCCTACATGTATTCCTGTCTGCCAAGTTGAAGATTACAAGCATCTAAAAAAACCATAGTGGAATGGCTCTATAAAATCCTAACTTAAATTTAGTGAATTCTTGGATTTAATTACTTATGATTTCATTTTGAGTATAGAAATGAAATGAACTCTAGCATATTTAAAGATTTGTATTATATAGTTTAAGGAACTGCTCCAATCCTTAGAATTAAGGAAGATTTGTGGGAAAATTCAAATGAGAAACACTATTTCTTATCCTGTGTACCTGGTGCTAGATTTTTAGTCCAGCCTTAAATGCAAGGGTTGCATGTGCCTGTCTTTGTATTAGATGCTGTTTGGGTCACTAGGGAACATTGCCAAATGATATGAAGATTCTTTTAATTATACATTGTATTGACTTTGATTGTTATATTCCCATTATGTTACACATAACGTATGTACTTTTACATATAATACATTTATAGTTTCTTTGATTCTTAAAATTGACTAAAAGTGATTTTTTTTTTACACATCATTTATTTTTCCTTTGATTTAAAAACTGGGGCTTATGTACTCAAAAAACATTTTGCAGTTTACAAAACTATATTTAACATATAGCGATTTGTCTTTTACCAATCAAATTGGTAGGTAGAAGTATTTTGTCTGAACCAGTAATTTTTTTAAATTACACTGTTTGCAGCTGGGTGCGGTGGCTCATGCCTGTAATCCCAGCACTTTGGGAGGCTGAGGCGGGCGGGCGGATCATGAGGTCAGGAGTTTGAGACGAGCCTGGCCAACATGGTGAAACCCTATCTCTACTAAAAATACAAAAAATTAGCCTGGCATGGTGGCAAGCACCTATAATCCCAGCTACTCGGGAGGCTGAGGCAGGAGAATCGCTTGAACCCAGGAGGTGGAGGGTGCAGTGAGCCAAGATCATGCCATTGCACTCCAGCCTGGGTGACAGAGCAAGACTCTGTCTCGAGAAAAAAAAAAAATTATGCTGTTTGCAGTGAAGGCTCATTTGCATTCAAGATTATTTAAAAGTGTCCTTGGATTAAAAGATAAAAGAGTAATTTATTACTTTATTGTGTGAAAAGGATGCTAGAACTTTTTTTTTTTTTTTTTTTTGAGACGGAGTTTCTCTCTCTTGCCCAGGCTGGAGTGCAGTGGTGTGATCTCGGCTCACTGCAAGCTCCACCTCCTGGGTTCACACCATTCTGCGTCAGCCTCCCAAATAGCTGGGATTACAGGCACCTGCCACCACACCCGGCTAATTTTTTTGTATTTTTAGTAGAGACGGGGTTTCACCATGTTAGCCAGCATGGTCTCGATCTCCTGACCTCAGGATCCGCCCGCCTCGGCCTCCCAAAGTGCTGGGATTACAGGTGTGAGCCACCGTGCCCGGCCAGATGTTAGAATCTTTAATGAAGACCTCATCGATCAGAATTCAGGAGGAAGTACTAAACTTGGGTGGGAAAATACCTCTTTATTTTTAGTAACTTCTTACTGGGATCTAATATTTCCTTCAACTATAATATAGAGAAAACTAATAGTAGTTGTGATTTTCGTCACCAATACAAATCATATATATTTTCATATTTTATATTACAGTTTTTGCAAATACTTCATTATTGTCATCACAACTTGGAAATTACAGTGGCTGTTAGATCTGCTGCCAGATACTTTTTTTTTTTTTTTTTTTTGAGACAGAGTCTTGCTGTGTCACCCAGGCTGGAGTGCAATGGCATGATCTCGGCTCACTGCAACCTCTGCCTCCCAGGTTCCAGCAATTCTCCTGCCTCAGTTTCTCGAGTAACTGGAATTACAGGCGCCCACCACCATGCCCAGCTAATTTTTGTGTTTTTAATAGAGACGGGGTTTCACCATGTTGGCTAGGCTGGTCTTGAACTCCTGATCTTAGGTGATCCGCCCACCTCGACTTTACAATGTGCTGGGATTACAGTCATAAGCCACTGCGCCTGGCCTAGATACTTTTATTTGGTGTGTTAGTAAAGAAGCATATATATTACTATATGATCAATTTGTGTTATATATCTTAAAAATTCTATCTCAGGAATTTTGAACATACACAAAAGTGGACACAATAGTCAGTGAATCCCAAGTTCCTCTCGTTCATCTCCAACAACCATCAGTTATGGCCTATCTGCTTTTCTCCTTCCTGTATTTTTTTTTTTCTTGAGACAGGATCTCACTTTGTCACCCATGCTGGAGTGCAGTGGTGTGATCACTGCTTACTGTGTCCCTTCAACCTCCCGGGCTCAAGAGATCCTCCCATCTTAGCTTTCCAAGTAGCTAGGACTACAGGCGCACACCACCATACTCGGCTAATTTTTGTATTTTCTGTAGAGACAAGGTCTCACTCTGTTGCCCAGGCTGGTCTCGAACTCCTGGGCTCAAGTGATCTGTCTGCCTCGGCCTCTCAAAGTGCTGGGATTACAGGTGTGAGCCACTGCACCCAGCCTTTTTTTTTTGAGACGGAGTCTCGTTCTGTTGCCCAGGCTGGAGTGCAGTGGCGTGATCTCAGCTCACTGCAACCTCTGCCTCCCGGGTTCAAGCTATTCTTGTGCTTCAGCCTCCTGAGTAGCTGGGATTACAGGCGTGTGCTACCACGCCCAGCTAGTTTTTGTATTTTTAGTAGAGACAAGGTTTCACCATGTTGGCCAGGCTGGTCTTGAACTCCTGACCTCAAGTGATCTGCCTGCCTCAGCCTCCCAAAGTGCTGGTATTACAGGCGTGAGCCACCGTGCCCGGCCCCTATTTATTTATTTATTTTCATAAAAAAATTGTTTTTTTTCTACCCAGGTTGGAGTGTAATGGCATAATTATGGTTCACTGCAGCCTCGACCTCCTGGGCTTGAGGTATCCTCCCACCTTAGCCTTCTCAGTATCTGGGACTATAGGCATGAGCCATAATGTCCAGCTAATTAAAAAAATTTGTTTTAGAGACAAGGTCCAGTGGCTCACACCTGTAATCCCAGCACTTTGGGAGGCCGAGGTGGGTGGATCATGAGGTCAGGAGATCGAGACCATCCTGGCCAACATAGTGAAATCCTGTGTCTATTAAAAATACAAAAATTAGCTGGGTGTGGTGGCACATGCCTGTAATCCCAGCTACTTGGGAAGCTGAAGCAGGAGAATCACTTGAACCTTGTAGTTGGAGGTTGCAGTGAGCCGAGATCGTGCCACTGTACTCCAGCCTGGTGACAGAGCAAGACTCCGTCTCAAAAAGAAAGAGAAACAAGGTCTCACTATGTTGCCTAGGCTGGTCTTGAACTCCTGGGCTCAAGTGATCCTCCTGCCTTGTCCTACCAAAGTGCTGGGATTACAGGCATGAGTCACTGGGCCCAGCAAAAAAAAAAAAAGTTCAGGATCAGACTACACCTCCCACATCCCCTTTTCCCAAATTCACCAGTTAACATTTTGTCACATTTGCTCCATTACCCTCTGTTGTCTTTATGGCATGATGTCCTTCCACTCTAAATTCTCTAGTGTGTACCTCCCTGAAACAAGGACACTTTCCTGTATTGCCACCGTGTAGTCCTCCTAGTTAGGAAATCAGAATTGATACAACACTACCACCCAATGCATAGCCTAGGTGTATAGTAGGCTCTACCATTGAGGTTTGCATAAGTACGCCCTGTTGTTTTCACAATGATGAAATCACGTAAAGATGCATTTCTCAGAATGTATCCCTGTTCTTAAGTGATGCATGACTATATTTGGATGATCAGTTGGATTTTAAAAGAGCTTGGCCAGGTGCAGTGGCTCTTGCCTGTATTCCAGCACTTTGGAAGGCTGAGGCAGGTGGATCACCTGAGTTCAGGAGTTCCAGACCAGTCTGGGCAACATGGTAAAACCCAGGCTGTAAAAACAAAAACAAACAAACAAAAAAAACCCGGGCACGATGGCGCACACCAGTAGTCCCAGCTGTTCAGGAGGCTGAGGTGGGAGGATCACTTGGGCCCATGAGGCAGAGGCAGCAGTGAGCCGATACTGCGCTGCCGCACTCTACCCTGGGCAATAGAGAAAAACCCTGTCTCAAAAAACAAACAAACAAAAAACTTAATGTTTTGAAATAGTGTATAGCTATTATATGTGACATTGGTGTATCAGTTACTTTGAAATGAATCCTTCTGCTAACCAGCTATGTTCTTCAGTCAAACATATCTCTCCTTAATTAGTATTTTTAAAGTTTGAAATAGTTTTAAATTATATTGCAGTCGGTTTTCTTTTTTAGTTTTTTTTTTTTTTTTAATTAAGAGATGGGGTCTGACTATGTTGCCCAGGCTGCAGTGCAGTGGCTATACACAGGTGAGATCATAGCTCACTGCAGCCTCCAACTTTTGGCTTCAAGCAATATTTCCGCCTCAACCTGCCAAGTATGTAGGATTACAGGTATGTGCCACTGCACTCTATTTATAGTTCATTTTCTTTTTCTGTTTTCTTTTTCTTTTCTTTTTTTTTTTTTTTTTGAGAGGGAGTCTTGCTCTGTCGCCCAGGCTGGAGTGCAGTGGCGGGATCTCGGCTCACTGCAAGCTCCGCCTCCTGGGTTCACACCATTCTCCTGCCTCAGCCTCCCGAGTAGCTGGGACCACAGGTGCCCGCCACAGCCCCCGCCACCACGCCCGGCTAATTTTTTGTATTTTTAGTAGAGACAGGGTTTCACCGTGTTAGCCAGGATGGTCTCTATCTCCTGACCTTGTGATCCGCCCGCCTCGGCCTCCCAAAGTGCTGGGATTACAGGCTTGAGCCACTGTGCCCGGCCTGAAAAGGAACTTTCATCACAGCTTTGTGTCTCAAAGAGTTGTAGCATTTTATTTCCTGTATATTGGATTGATTTGAAATTTGTTTTAAAAATGATTTTCGAGAGGACTTTTCCTAAAAAGACTTCTTATTTCTGGAGAAAGCTTTTAGTTCTAGAGATGCTATAATTCAGAAGATTAAAATGTTGACTGGAGAGGCTCAGGTATTTAATAAGTATAAAGAATGATCAGTTAACATCTTTTTTTTTTTTTTTTTTTTTTTTGAGACGGAGTCTTGCTCTGTCACCCAGGCTGGAGTGCAGTGGTGCGATCTCAGCTCACTGCAAGCTCCACCTCCCGGGTTCATGCCATTCGCCTGCCTCAGCCTCCTGAGTAGCTGGGATTACAGGCGCCCGCCACCACACCCGGCTAATTTTTTGTATTTTTAGTAGAGACGGGGTTTCACTGTGTTAGCCAGGATGGTCTCGATCTCCTGACCTCGTGATCCGCCCGCCTCGGCCTCCCAAAGTGCTGGGATTACAGGCGTGAGCCACCGTGCCTGGCGTAGTTAACATCTTAAGGCATAGACTTCAGTGACTGTTTTTCTTTTTGAGACAGCCTTGTTCTGTTACCCAGGTTGGAGGGGAGTGGTATAATCCCAGCTCACTGCAGCCTCAACCTCCCAGGCTCATCAAGTGACCCTCTCATCTCAGCCTCCCAAGTAGCTTCAGAGGTGTGTGTGTGTGTGTGTGTGTGTGTGTGTGTGTGTGTGTATGTGTAGCTAAGGTCCCACTGTAGTGTGTGTGTGTGTGTGTGTGTGTGTGTGTGTGTAGATAAGGTCCCACTGTATTGCCCAGGATGGTCTCAAACTCCTGGTCTCAGGATATCCTCCCGCCTCAGCCTCCCGAAGTGCTGGGATTACAGGTGTGACCATTACAGGTGTGTGAGTCTGGCTATTAGTGACTTTTTTTTTTTTGAGATGGAGTCTTGCTCTGTCTCCAGGCTGGAGTGCAGTGGCACAATCTTGGCTCATTGCAACCTCCACCTCCCGGATTCAAGCGATTCCCCTGCCTCAGCCTCCTGAGTAGCTGGACTACAGGCACATGCCACGATGCCTGGCTAATTTTTTGTATTTTAGTAGAGACGGGGTTTCACCATGTTGGCCAGGATGGTCTCGATAACCTGACCTTGTCATCCGCCTGCCTCGGCCTCCCAAAGTGCCAGGATTACAGGAGTGAGCCACTGTGCCCGGACTTTTGTTTTGTTTTGTTTTGTTTCTGAGACAGTCTTACTCTGTGGCCCAGGCTGGAGAGCAGTGGCACGGTCTTGGCTCACTGCAATCTCTGCCTCCTGGGTTCAATTGATTCTGCCACCTCAGCCTCCCAAGTAGCTTGGACTACAGTTGCGTGCCACCATGTCCAGCTAATTTTTTTAAAAAATTGCTTTTTGGTAGAGATGGGGTTTCATCACATTGGTCAGGCTGAGTGACTTTTTTTTTTTTTTTTGAGACGGAATCTCACTCTGTCACCTAGGCTGGAGTGCAGATGGTGTGGTCTCGGCTCACTGCATTCCACCTCCCGGGTTCAAGCGATTCTCCCGCCTCAGCCTCCCAAGTACCTAGGACTATAGGCACATGCCACCACACCTGGCTAATTTTTGTATTTTTAGTAGTAACGGGGTTTCAGTATGTTGGCCAGGCTCGTCTCGAACTCCTGACCTCATGATCCACCTACCTCGGCTTCCCAAAATGCTGGGATTACAGGTGTGAGCCAGCGTGCCTGGCCCAGATACTTTTTTATGGAGTAAGGATAAAAGTCACTAGTTAAGTGAAATATTAGAAATATTTGTATATTTCCCATAGTTTTAAAAAATTATTATTTTACTGAAAAGTAAGTCCTAAGGATAGAAGCTGATTTCCTTCTCAGCAGTTGTACTGTAAATAACAGTATTAGTAAGCACCTTTTTAGAGTCCTTTCCATTCCCAGCAAGGACTCTCTTTTTTTTGTGGGGGGAGTAGTGACAGGGTCTTGCTGTGTTTCCAGGCTGGTCTCAAAACTCCTTGCTTTAAACATCCTCTCACCTTGGCCTCCCAGAATGCTGAAATAACAGGACTGGGCCGGGTGCGGTGGCTCACTCCTGTAATCCCAGCACTTTGGGAAACTGAAGCGGGTGGATCACAAGGTCAGGAGTTTGAGACCAGCCTGGTCAATATGGTGAAACCCCGTCTCTACTAAAAATATGAAAAAATTAGCTGGGCGTGGTAGCACATGCCTGTAATCACAGCTACTCAGGAGGCTGAGGCAGGAGAATCGCTTGAACCTGGGAGGCCGAGGTTGCAGTGAGCTGAGATTGCGCCACTTTACTCCAGCCTGGGTGACAGAGTGAGACTCCGTCTCAAAAAATAAAAAAACAAAAAACAAAAATTGCGGGAGTTAGCCACCATTCTTGGCCTTTTGAGGGACTCTTGATGTGGATTTTTGCTAATTTATGATTTAGTCTCTTGGCTTCTGCTAACTTCAGCTTTGTGTTTTGTAGCCTTCGTGTTTGGATCAGCTTGCCTTGCACCTTTTTTCTTAATCTAAGTGCTTTGTTTACTGTCATTACTTTAATAAATGTTTTATTTTGGTTATTAGCAGTTCTATTTACAATTATACTTCAGTTCTTCCTAGAAAAGTACTATGTAAATCAGATACATTTATGAAAGCTACTCATTAATTATTGTGAGAATAGTGTCCGAATGTTAGCTTAATGGTCATCGTGATTATTTATATTCCTGCACTTTACTTTTTGATTCTTGCAGTATAAACTCCTGTCTTGTTCTCTGGGGAGGAAGCACACTGTGAATTTTTTCCAAGATTGTCTAAAATATTCAGGCTTTTTATTTGCTCTAACCAGTAGAATCTAAAGATTACAGAAACTTTGGAATTTTTCTCCTCATAATTTGACAATCTTTTGAGAGGTTTGTCAGTTGAACACTGTCCCTTTGTTAAAAGTTAATTTTACTTAATAAATAATTTTTCATTAGATTGGAGTAAAATATAATGTGAGTATGTATGTGCATAAATAATTTTTTTTCGGTGAAGTGCGGGTAGCTCATGCCTGTAATCCCAGCACTTTCTGCTTTTTTTTTTTTTGAGACGGAGTCTCGCTCTGTCGCCCAGGCTAGAGTGCAGTGATGCAATCTCAGCTTACTGTAAGCTCCGCCTCCCAGGTTCACGCCATTCTCCTGCCTCAGCCTCCTGAGTAGCTGGGACTACAGGTGCCCACCACCATTCCTGGCTAACTTTTTGTATTTTTAGTAGAGATGGGGTTTCACTGTGTTAGCCAGGATGGCTTCGATCTCCTGACCTTGTGGTCTGCCTACCTCAGCCTCCCAAAGTGGTAGGATTACAGGTGTGAGCCACCGCTCCCGGCCGAATCCCAGCACTTTTCCCATTCTCAGTGGGTAATAAAAGGTAGTTGGGCATGGTGGTATGTACCTATAGTCCAGCTACTTGGAAGGCTTAGGCGGGCAGATCACTTGAACCTGGGAGGTTGAGGCTGCAGTGAGCCAAGATTGTGCCATTGGACTCCAGCCTGGGTGACAGTGACGCTGTCTCAGAAAAACAAAACAAAACTGCACATGCACACACACACAGACACATATAATTTTTTTCCTTACTGGAGTAATGAAGCCTGCAATAGTTCTGAAGAATGTCTGCATTCAGAGCTTTACTGGAAACAGATGCCTTTTCCCAGGAGTTGTAATTATCAAGTTTTCTATGTTCAGGAATCTAGGCACTCACCCTGGATTCAGTAAACAGATAGGGGTATAGTTTTATTGGTTGAATTAAGCTTATTCTTGGTCTTAACATTTTCTTAAAGCCTTTCTACTTAGAACCAATAAATAGTTTCTAATATAAAAAAGTAATCTGGCTGGGTGCAGTGGCTCATACCTGTAATCCCAGCACTTTGGGAGACCGAGACTAGAGGACTGCTTGAGTCCAGGAATTGGAGACCAGCCTAGGCAACATGTTGAGACCTCATCTCTATGGAAAACAAAAACATCAGCTGGGTGTGGTGGTGCCTGCCTGTAGTCCCAGCTGCTTAGGAGGCTGAGATAGGAGGATTGCTTGAGCCTGGGAGGTTGAGGCTGCAGTGAGCCATGATTGCACCACTGCACTCCAGCCTGGGCAACAGAGCAAACCCTTGTCTTAGAACAAAACAAACAAAAAAACTAATCTATTATGTTTTCAGCAATACTATTCACAATAGCCAAAAGGTGAATGCATCTCTAATGTCGATGACCAATGAATAGATAAACAGAATGCACTTATCAGATGTGTAATAAACAGAATTCATACAGTGGAGTATTCAGCCTTAGAAAGGAAGTTTTGACACATGCTACAACATTTGAAGACACTATGTAAGTGAAATAAGCCAGTTAACAAAAGAAGGAAAAGTGGACTGTATGATATACATATATGAGGTACCTAGCTACGGTAGTCAACTCCATAAAGACAGCAAGTAGAATAGTGGTTGCTTTTTTTTTTTTTTTTTTTGAAACAATGTCTCACTCTGTTGCCCAGGCTGGAGTGCAGTGGCTCGATCTTGGCTCACTGCAACCTCCTCTTCTTGGGTTCAAGTGATTCTCGTGTCTCAGCCTCCCAAGCAGCTGGGACTACAGGCGCTTGCCACCACGCCTGGCTAAGTTTTGTACTTTTAGTAAAGGTGGTGGTTTTGCCATGTTGGCAAGGCTGTTCTCAAACTCCTGACCTCAAGTGATCTGCCTGCCTTGGCTTCCCAAAGTGTTGGGATTATAGGCGTGAGCCTCTGTGCCGGCCGGTTTTTTTTTTTTTTTTTTTAATATTGTAAGCAGTGTTGTAGTAAGCAATTTTGTACTCTTGCAGACAAGTGCAGTTATACATGTATGATAAATTTTTGTGAATGGAATTTCTAGGTGTGTGAACTTAGGTTTGTGGGTTTTTTTTTTTTTTTTTTTTTGAGACAAGGTCTCGCTCTGTCACCCAGTCTGGAGTTCAGTGGTGTGATCATGCCCACTGCAGCCTGGAACTACTGGGCTCGAGCTCCCGTCTCAGCCTACCGAGTAGCTAGGGCTCAAGCTCCCGTCTCAGCCTACCGAGTAGCTAGGACTCAAACTCCCATCTTAACCTCTTGAGTAGCTAGGACTACTACTAAGTGCCAACACACCTGGCTAATGTTTTTATTTTTAGTAGAGAAGGGGGTAGGGTGGGGAGGTGGGGAGGGGTCTTGCTTTGTTCCCCAGGTTGGTCTTGATGTCCTGACCTCAAATCGTCCTCGCGCCTTGGCTTCCCAAAGTGGTGGGATTATAGATGTTAGCCATCATTCCTGCCCATTTTTAAGATTTTGAGTGAAATTGAGCAGCTTTGAGTGTGTTTTTAATCTTAATTTTAATTTTTTTTTGAGATGGAGTCTCACTCTGTCGCCCGGGCTGGAGTGCAGTGGTGAGATCTCAGCTTACCGCAACCTCCGCCTCCTGGGTTCAAGCAATTCTCTTGCCTCAGCCTCCCGAGTAGCTGGGACTACAGGCGCACGCTGCCATGCCTGGCTAAATTTTGTATTTTAGTAGAGACGGGATTTCACCGTCTTGCTCCCAGACTGGTCTCAAACTCCTGACCTCAGGTGATCTGCCGGCCTCGGCCTCCCAGAGTGCTAGGATTACAGGTGTGAGCCACCACGCCTGGCGAGTGTGTTTGTTTTAATTACCATTTGTGAGTGTGTTTTAGAAAATCTTCCTATGCAGGTATATGCCTGTTTTTTTTTTTTTTTTTTTCTGAGACGGTGTCTCACTCTGTTGCCAGGCTGGAGTGCAGTGTCTGGATCTCAGCTCACTGCAGCCTCCACCTCCTGGGTTCAAACGATTCTCCTGCCTCAACCTCCTGAGTAGCTGGGACTACAGGCACGCACCGCCACATCCGGCTAATTTTTTTGTATTTTAGTAGAGACGGGGTTTCACCGTATTGCCCCCAGGCTGGTCTCAAACTCCTCACCTCAGGTGATCCACCCATTTTGTCCTCCCAAAGTGCTGGGATTACAGGTGTGAGCCACCGCACCCAGCCACATTTGCCTGTTTTTTGTTGGGGCGTCTCTTTCCCTTGATTTCTAATAACTCTGTATAGTTAGGAAATCATTTATTTCTCAAGTGTTGCAAGTATTTTTTTTCTCCATTTGTCTTTTGACTTTATATCTTGCTATATAGGAGTTGTAATTTTTTTTTTTTTTTGGAGATGGAATCTCACTCTTGCCCAAACTGTAGTGCAGTGGCATGATCTCAGCTCACTGCAGCCTCAGCCTCCTGAGTTCAAGTGATTCAGGAGTTGTAATTTTTATGTGGTTTGATTTATGTAGTCTTTTCCTTTATGGTTTAGGGATTTTATATCATGCCAGTTCCAAAATTATATGACAGCTCAATTATTATTATTATTTTTGGCATAAGCTAATACATATCTTCAAACTATGAAAAATCTTGCTCACCTCTTTTTCCTTCCCTCCTCCCATCCCTCCTAGTAGAGAAATACTTCAGGGTATGAGCTTTTTCTAAAAATGAAATTAGGGCTTTGTAGTTAACTTTCTTTTGCTGGCTTTAGGGATTCTCCGTATCTTTTGCCATCTTTAGTAATTATTTGTTACTAAATATTTGTTACTGAAAAGAGTGATTAAAGGAGGAATACATTAGTTTTTTTGTTTTGTTTTGTTTTGTTTTTTGAGACACAGTCTCACTCTGTTTCCCAGGCTGGAGTGCAGTGGTGCGATCTTGGCTCACTGCAAGCTCTGCCTCCCGGGTTCACGCCATTCTCCTGCCTCAGCCTCCCAAGTAGCTGGGACTACAGGCGCCTGCCACCACACCTGACTAATTTTTTGTATTTTTAGTAGAGACGGGGTTTCACTATGTTAGCCAGGATAGTCTCGATCTACTGACCTCGTGATCTGCCTGCCTGGGCCTCCCAAAGTGGTGGGATTACAGGCGTGAGCCACCGCGCCCGGCTGGAATACATTAGTTATTTAAGAACAGCTCATATATCCATTATATATATAAAATCATTTCATAATAAATTTCTTGAAAGAGTTCTGTATTACCATGAAATGAAGCTAGCAGATTTTGACTATCATCAGCACCTCATCATATATAACGTTCCTAGTTAGGCGTGCTTGAAATAGAAAAATGCCTTCCATGGTTGCCTATTTATAGTAGGATGTGGCATACAGTTGATTTATAGTGAGATAACATAGAAACTTGTGACTAAAGGAGATATAAAATCTTTTGTGTTGAAGGACAGGGACAGGTATTTTTTGTATTTTTGAAAGATAACAGTTTTATTAAGCTGTAACTCATAAACCATAAAATTTACCCATTTAAAGTATACAATTCAGCTGTTTTTAATATATTCACAGAGTTGCGCAACCATTATCACTATCTAATTGTAGAATAGTTTCATCACCCCAGAATGAAACCCACATCCATTAGCAGTCATTCTCCATTCTCCTTTGTCTTCAGCCCCTGGCAATCTCTAATTTACTTTCTGTTTGCATGGATTTGCCTATTTTGGACCTTTTGTGTATTATGGAATCATACAGTATGTGACTGGCTTCTTTCATTATGCATGTTCTCAAGGTTCATCCATATTTTAGAATATATCAGAACATCATTCTTTTTTGTTGCTGAACAATATTCCATTGAATGGGCATGCCCTCCCCCCTTTTATTTTTATTTTTAAGAGACAGGGTTTCACCATGTTGCGCAGGCTGGTCTCCAATTCCTGAGCTCAAGCAATCTGCCCACCTTGGCTTCCTACAGTGCTGGGGTTATAGGCCTGAGCCACCACGCCTGGCTCATGCCACGTTTTTTATCCATTCATCAGTTGATGGCCATTTAGATTGTTTCTCATTTTTGGCTGTTATGAAAAATGCTGCTATGAAAATATCTGTATATTTGTTGTTGTTTTTTGAGGCAGGGTCTTGCTCTTTCACCCAGGCTGGGTGGCTATCTCACCAGCAATGTATGAGGGTTCAGATTTCTCTTCATCCTCATTATTAGTTGTCATTGCCTTTTTTTTTTTTTTAGCTGCCCTAGTGGGTATGAAATGGTATATAATTGTGATTTTGATTTTGATTTCCCTAATGACTAATGATGACTAAATTTACCATCTTTTCATGTGTTTATTGGCCATTTATGTATCTCTCTCTGTATCCGTATATGTGCTCTGCCACCCAGGCTGGTGTGCAATGGCGTGATCTCAGCCCACCGCAACTTCCGCCTCCTGGGATCAAGCAATCCTCCTGCTTCAGCCTCCTGAGTAGCTGGGACTACAGGCATGTGCCACCACACTTAGCTAATTTTTGTGTATTTTGTAGAGTTGGGATTTTGCCACGTTGCCCAGGCTGGTCTCAAACTCCCAGGCTAAAATGATCCACCTCCCTTGGTCTCCCAAAGCGTTGGGATTCAGGAGTGAGCCACTGCATCCGGCCCCAGCTAATTAAAAAAAAAATTATATATATTTATTTATTTATATACATATATATTTATAGAGATGAGGTCTTGCTGTGTTGTGTAGGTGGGTCTGGAACTCATGGTTTCAAGTGATCCTCCCACCTGGCCTCCCAAAGCTTTGGGATTACAGACTTGAGCCACTGTGTCCAGTCTCATTTTAGAAAATTGGATTGTGCTTTTCATTGAGTTTTAGGAGTTCCCTATCAGAGATATAATCTGTAATTATTTTCTCCTATTCCATAGGTTTATGTATATTTTTGATATGTCTTTAGATAGAATAAAACTTTTTTTTTTTTTTGAGATGGAGTCTTGCTCTGTTGCCCAGGCTGGAGTGCAGTGGTGCGATCTTGGCTCACTGCAAGCTCCGCCTCCCGGGTTCACGCCATTCTCCTGCCTCAGCCTCCCAAGTAGCTGGGACTACAGGTGCCCGCCACCATGCCCAGCTAATTTTTTGTATTTTTAGTAGAGATGGGGTTTCACCATGTTAGCCAGGATGGTCTCGATCTCCTGACCTCGTGATCCGCCTGCCTTGGCCTCCCAAAGTGCTGGGATTACAGGCGTGAGCCACCGTGCCCAGCCAGAATTAAACTATTAACTGTTTTAATTTGTCATTGTCATTTAGCTATTTAGATTTATCATTGACTTGCTGGATATTTGTTAAGTTTTACTTTGGTTTTAATTTATTTTAACTGACATGAGGTATATGACATATTACAAATTTTACTGTCTTACTTGGTTATGTTCAAATTGTAGGAGTCTTGTAATCTGAGTATATGATTTCAAGTTACATGCTACATTTAGTGTGTTGAAATATGGGGATATCAGTAATTGTGAATGGAGTAGTCTTAATATCTACTTCAGTTATGTTGATGACAAGTAACAGCTTTTATTAAATTAATTATTTATTAATTTATTTTCGAGATGGAGTTTTGGCTCTTGTTGCCTAGGCTGGAGTGCAGTGGCGCGATCTCGGCTCACTGTAGTCTCTGCCTCCCAGGTTCAAGCGATTCCCCTGCCTCAGCCTCCTGAGTGGCTGGGACTGCAGGCGGGCACCACCACACTCGGCTAATTTTTTGCGTTTTAGTAGAGATGAGGTTTTACCATGTTGGCCAGGATGGTCTCCATCTCCTGACCTGGTCATCTGCCTGCCTTGGCCCTCCCAAAGTGCTGGGATTACAGGTGTGAGCCACCGTGCCCGGCCCTTTTGGTCTAAATATAAACTCACGTGGGTTGAATTATAAATTAGTAATTCATTTATAAAATTTTGTTACAAAAAAGGTAATATAAGTATTAATGTTACTACATTAGTGCCCATAATTTGGTGGTTGTAATGGATACATTTATGATTTAACTGAGTTCAAAAGAGGAATGATTTTAATCTTTTTATAATGTAAAAAACCAGCACAAACATTTATTGTCTCTACTGTATTTATTTATTTATTTATTTATTTATTTATTTATGAGACAGGGTCTTGCTCTATTGCCCAGGCTGGAGGTGAGTGGCATGGCCATGACTCACTCATGGCCATTTTCACTGATGCTCCTGCCTCAACCTCCCAAATTACTGGGATTACAGGTGTGTGCCACCACGTGGCGTGTTGTCTCTACTGTTACAGGTAGCCTAGCCAAACTTGAATATATTCATCTCTCATGACTTTTTCTTATCCCTTATGGTGTGTTTATTTGCTCTTTGCTTTTTGTCTGTCTATAGTTATTGATTTTTTTTTTTTGGGACAGAGTCTCACTCTGTTGCCCAGGCTGGAGTGCAGTGGCGTGGTCTTGTCTCACTGCAACCTCACTGCCTTCTGGGTTCAAGCGATTCTCCCGCTTTAGCCTCCTGAGTAGCTGGGATTACAGGCGGGCACCACCATGCCTGGCTAATTTTTGTATTTTTAGTAGAGACGGGGTTTCACCATGTTGGTCAGGCTGGGTCTTGAACACATGACCTCAGGTGATCCACCTGCCTCGGCCTCCCAAAGTGCTGCGATTACAGGTGTGAGCCACCATGCCCAGCCGATCATTTGCTTTTGAATAAGGCACAGCTGTGGTGATGATGGGATGGAAAGGTGGAAAAGTAGGCAGTACACAAAGCCATGGGTAGTTTGATAAAAATGTGATCTTTTGGAAGTTATATATTGGGTTTTAGTTGGGTGGGTGGCTATGTAATTTGCCTGCATCTTCAAAAGGCTTGACACTCGTCCTCATTTACAATTCTATAATAACTTTTTCTCCCATAGCAGGATTTCAAAACTTTGAGAGCTAGTAAAGATGGGATCTCATTCCCTGGAAATAGAACAGTAATGTTAATGATCATAAAACGACTCAGATGTGATTTTTTAGCTCTAGAAATTAACTGGGCAAAGAGGGATTAGATGCAAAATTTGAATGTGTTATTTTCATTGGTGTTCTGTTGTCTTGCTTCAAGAATGACTCAGAGAGAATTGTTTTCTATAGTAGCATGACTTGTGTGAGAATGAAGTGTGTGGCAGTTCTTTCCTATTGCTTATTAGGTCAGTTGCAAAAGCTAAGATTAAAATTAATCATTGCATTCCTATTGATAGCCTAGCCAATAAAGGTTGAATGTAGTCACTTCTAGAAAGGAGTATTGAGAGAATTCCTTGGATTTTAGCATACTAAGGATTTTAAAGCTTTGTGTAATTGATGCTTTGGAAGTTATGGAGTGAGTTTCTTATGCAGTTGATGAAAACAATTTTAGAATGGGAGGGGTCTTCTTTTCACATACCAACGAACTGAAAATTGTAAATAAATGTCATGAGGCTAGGGATCTATGTTTTGTTCCCAGGATGTGTTAAGCTCCTAGAACAATGCCTTTTTTTCTTTTTTGAGATGGAGTCTGACTCTGTTGCCCAGGGTGGATCTCGGCCCACTGCGTCCTCACCGCCTCCTGGGTTCAAGTGATTCTCCTGCCTCAGCCTCCTGAGTAGCTGGGATTATAGGCGTGTGCCACCACACCTTGCTAATTTTTGTATTTTTAGTAGAGGTGGGGTTTCACCATGTTGGTCAGGCTGGGTCTCAAAATCCTGACCTCATGGTCTGCCTGCCTCAGCCTCCCAAAGTGCTGGGATTTCAGGCTTGAGCCACCACGCCTGGCCTCAACAGTGCCTTTTAAAACCATATAGTTAATAACCTAATCGGGATTAGAACCCTAGTCACTTTTCTCATGTATTTTCTATTTTCTTTTTTGAGACTGAGTCTCGCTCTGTCACCCAGGCTGGAGTGCAGTGGCACGATCTTGGCACACTGCAATCTCCACCTCCTGAGCTCAAGCAATTCTCATGCCTTAGCCTCCCAAGTAGCTGGGATTACAGATGTGTACTACCATGCCCAGCTAATTTTTTTGGATTTTTAGTAGAGGTGATCCACCTGCCTGGGCCTCCCAAAGTGCTGGGATTACAGGTGTGAGCCACTGCACCCAGCCTGTATAAATAATTTTAATTGTACCTATATTATAAAGTTTAACAGTTTTAACTCCCTGGAGAAAGAAAATTAAGTAGCAAAAAAATTACATTAAAAAAATTAGACTGTCACTTGCAAATGGACACAAAAATATTTGGATTTACTTTTGCCTTTAAGTAAGGAGTGTTTGAGTACTTCAGTTTTCCAGTACGATTGTCACTTAATGAATTAAGTTAAAATGAAATCTGTAAAATAGCTATGTATAGTTTTTATTTTAATATAAGTTTTACAGATTTTTAAATTACTTTGATTCTATCTTAGGTTCAGTAGTCGTTTTTAGACTATAAATATTTGTAAAAACTTCTGAGAAGTGTATTTCAAGGCCGGGTGCTGTGGCTCATACCTGTAATCCCAGCACTTTGGGAAGCCAAGGCAGGCAGATCACCTGAGGTCAGGAGTGCAAGACCAGCCTGGGCAACATGGCGAAACCCCATCTCTACTAAAAATACAAAAAACATTAGTTGGGTGTGGTGGCATATGCCTGTAATCCCGGCTTCTTGGGAGGCTGAGACACGAGAATCACTTGAACCTGGGAGTTGGAGGTTACAGTAAGTGCACTCCAGTCTGGGTGACAGAGTGAGACTCTGTCTCAAAAAAAAAAAAAAAAAAAAAAGTGCATTTCAGCTAAGGGTTCTAGAAAGGTGAAGGGGAGTTTTGTAAATATTATATTTAAGGAATGGGCCGGGCGCGGTGGCTCATGCCTGTAATCCCAGCACTTTGGGAGGCTAAGGCGGGCGGATCACGAGGTCAGGAGATCGAGACCATCCTGGCTAACACGGTGAAACCCCGTCTCTACTAAAAATACAAAAATACAAAAAATTAGCCTGTCGTTGTGGCAGGTGCCTGTAGTCCCAGCTACTCGGGAGGCTGAGGCAGGAGAATGGCGTGAACCCCAGAGGTGGAGCTTGCAGTGAGCTGAGATTGTGCCACTGCACTCCAGCCTGGGCAACAGAGCGAGACTCCATCTCAAAAAAAAAAAAAAAAGAAATGAGAGTAATGTAATAATGCGATACAGATATTTTCCCCAGAGAGAAAAACGTTAAGTGTAAAAGAGAGCCATTTAAAAAGTCATTTTGCAGGTCGTCCCTCCTACATACATAACGCAAATTGTCCAAAAAAAATCTAAAAACTCATTTTGGAAAATTATTGATATGCAGCAATAACGTTGACTTTATTTTTTCCAGATATGGCCGCGTGGAAAGTGTCAAAATTCTTCCCAAGAGGGGATCTGAAGGAGGAGTGGCTGCCTTTGTGGATTTTGTGGACATCAAAAGTGCACAGAAAGCTCACAACTCGGTCAACAAAATGGGTGACAGAGACCTACGCACGGATTATAATGAACCAGGCACCATCCCGAGTGCTGCTCGGGGATTGGATGATACAGTTTCCATAGCATCTCGTAGTAGAGAGGTTTCTGGGTTCAGAGGAGGTGGTGGAGGGCCTGCTTATGGTCCCCCACCGTCACTTCATGCACGAGAAGGACGTTATGAGCGGAGACTTGATGGGTAAGTTCCAAGGTTTCTGTAGGCAGGTATTTTGTATTTGATATGGTGAGAAACAGAAACTCATATTTAGGGGCCCCAGATGGATTTAAAGTTTTGGGCATTCTCAATGTTTCCTATTTTGGGTTGGAAACGGAAGTGATTTATATCCCAATGGCTGGTATCTTATGGAATCGTAGAGGATATTTCCTGCAGCTGATTGGATATCTGTTCCTGAGATATAATGTGATGGAAGATTTCCTATGGAAGCTTCATTTTTGGAGTTACCTGTCTTCTAGAATTACTTATTCCTTCTCTTGGATAATGTTAAGTCCTTCCTTGGATATATCCCTTCTACCTGATGGAGCTATTTGGCTTTTGTGTTCATACTATATGGAATATTTCTGGAATATTAGAGCCTACAGATTCTTTTAGAAGTTGATATCTGCCTCTCCATTTTCACTACATAAAGTGTACAAACAAATTGGATTGTAACAAAAAATCTGGCAGACCATAATGATTCAACCACTTGGATTCTACAAACAATACTTTAACATGGAAATGTGTACTTGGATGAAGAAGAGAGAAGGCAATGCCTGATTTTTCCATTTTGGATCTACACAATTTCTGTATTGTTGGAATTACACTCTTTGATGGAATGGGGAAAAATTAAAATGATGGATGTTTCCTAAATCCTGGAATATAGCCATTCTTTTCTAATTGCTGGGATATATGGGATGTCTTGCTGTCAAGATTCCACTAGCCCAGGGAAAGAGGATTACTATATCATTTCTTAAGCAAGTTGCTGTCCAATCAAAGGTACTTTAGCTTTGAACACATGGTGATGATCAGTTGTGGATACAGCAATCAAAATTGACTGGGCTGGATGGCTACAAAAGTGAACTATTGGCGAGCAACTGTGCCTTCCTCATTCGTTGGAATTGTAGAGGATATTTCCTCTTCTGCCAGCTACCTGATTCATACTTAGGGCTGGAAATATTTATGAATGTGGATAAATTTCTAATTGTCTGCTATCTCAAGAAAGAAGTCTGGGGGTTTGAGAGTTACAGTTTGTCTGGGACTACTTGCTTCCAGTGGAATTATTTTGTCTGGTCACTAAGATTTTTTTTTTCTTGTGGTTCATCTAAATATCATTTGACACCCTTGCCCATTAAGAAGGTGGATTACCCCCATAAGAGGGGCCAAAATTGGGGAAGTTATGTTCACAATTCTCTCCCTAGATTTAATTGGGATTATAGGTCGTGTTTCCACACTTGGAAAAGGTTGGTATGTCCTGACCTGTGTATATTAGCCCCTCTCCTAACCCAAGTCAAACTCTCTTTTTTTCCCCACTAACTCTAGAAGTATTTAGTACTAATAGTGAATCAGAGAATAGCCATTAGATTTCAGCTCTGCTAGCTCTTGTGCCTGCCTTCTGTATCTTCTTAATGGATAAGAACTTTGCATATTTATAAAATAGCAGCTGTAGCAGTAATCGTCCTAGAACTTTTTTGCCTGTTGCTTCTGTTAAATCATTAATAATGGCTTTCACTGATTAACATTTGATAGGGTGCTAAAGTAATTATTTATGGCATTTTAAGTCTCAAAGGAAACCCTCTTATTTGTTAGACATTGAAATATAAAAATCTCAGAACTGTAGTAAATAAAAGAGAAACTCATTTAATACATTTAAGTAGGAAAGATATAGAATGTTTATCATGCCAGTTGTTTTTCACAATAGCAGCAAAAAAAGCTAAACTAAGCCTAGGAAGGTGGGGTTGCTACTAAGTGAAATGATGGGTGAAAAGAATATTAGTGGAGAGACCTGGAATCTAAGCATGTACTGGGGATCTGGTATTAATTGTTATAAGATTTTGCCAGATATTCTTCATTGGAGAGATTCTAATTCTTTATGTTTCATGATTCCTTAATCCCTTTTGATAGAAGATAGATCCAGAGATGGGTTGAAGAGAAACTCCAGTGAAATGGTCTTTTAGGAACTCAGGAGCTGAGTTCTAGTTCTCTACAAAAGTAGAGAACTTACGATTTCTTTATAGGATTATAACTAGTTTTTAATATTAACACATAATTGCATGTGTGTAATCGTACATGCAACGTGTTTTGTACTTTTTAGGTTGACAGGTATTCACATCCTACTAAATGATTGTTTAAGTTAAGCTATTTTGCTAATAGCGACCTTAGAATATCTTATAGTTCCTAATGTTACCTAATTTCATCACAGGCAATTTGAGTATAGCTAAAAGCCAAAAGAACATATTTCCTACAACCATTGAGTTTATACATTAAGAAATTGAATCATGGAATAGGCATTTTTAAAGTCATTTGGAATTTGATAGCACAGGAGTAAATAATTTTTATTTTTATTTAAATTCACATAGAGTAGCATGTGGTAACCCAATATTTTGATACTTGAAGTGGTTTTTTTTTGAGATTCTATTTTTATTATTAAATGTAATTGGGTACCGCTGTGCAGTCTATGTAGTCTAGTTTATGTAGTCCAGTAATTTTTTATAACTATCCAAGCAGTCAAAACTTAATGAAAAAAAGTTAAACTTAGAAAATTTTTTCTGGACTTCTTGAAAGTCCTTCCTATTGTTGAGACATGCGCTGCAGCAGGGCTTTCATGTCTAAGTTAAAACATAGCATGGAAATGTGGCCTAAAAGAAATTTGTGAGTAAATAAAATTTGGTATATACTTTAATCAGATGAAAGTGTAAAAACTTTCATATTATTAAAATAGTCTCTTGTTCCGTTAACATGAAAAGGAGATTGTATATTTATGTATGCAAGTCAGAAAATCTCTAATAAAGTAAGCAAGTGAGCTGCAGAACACTAGTCATGAAAGCCCAATATACAATGAAAACAATGATTGCTCAGCTGTGAAAATAATTTTTGGAGTCAAGTAAAATGTTAAGCTTGTTAGCGTTTGCTTATTAAGTAGGTTAATGCTGTTTAGAAAATGACCAGTTGCAAAGACAAAGACAATGCTGAAGTGAATGTTTGCATGACTTGCTTTTAGTTTTGCTTGCTCCTTTCTGATTAAATATTTTTCCCCCTCCTAAATGCAGGGCTTCAGATAACAGGGAGCGTGCTTATGAACATAGTGCCTATGGACACCATGAACGGGGGACGGGAGGATTTGATCGGACAAGACATTACGATCAGGATTACTATAGAGATCCTCGAGAGCGGACTTTACAACATGGGCTCTATTACGCTTCTCGGAGTCGAAGTCCAAATCGCTTTGATGCTCATGACCCCCGATATGAACCTAGGGCTCGCGAGCAGTTTACACTGCCCAGTGTGGTACACAGGGATATCTACAGGGATGATATTACCCGGGAGGTACGAGGCAGAAGGCCAGAGCGGAATTACCAGCACAGCAGGAGTCGGTCACCACATTCATCCCAGTCTAGAAATCAGTCTCCTCAGAGACTGGCTAGCCAAGCATCTAGACCCACAAGGTCCCCTAGCGGCAGCGGCTCTAGAAGTAGATCCTCCAGTAGTGATTCAATCAGCAGCAGCAGTAGTACCAGCAGTGACAGGTAGGTTAACAGCCTTTTGTTATAACAGATGAGCTAGCTTTAAACAAATTCTCAACAATCAGTGGGAATGGTTTCAGCATAGTATTATTTTTTAAAGTAATCTTGGATCATATATGTATGTAATCAGTAAAGAAACTGGCATGTGGCCATTGAATTAACTGTTCTAAGTACTCGAAGTTAAGTGATGATTTGCAAAGTTCTGTTTCATCCTCCAGATGCACAGTATTAAAATTAAATGATCAAAGTGGAAGGGAGGTGGTGACTCTAGCTGTGCAAGGCAAATCTTGTGACACTGAAAATATGGTATCTCTTTAACATTTTTAATTTTGTAGGTGTATAATACCAATTTATTTCTATTATTTTGATTGAAGATTTGTAAAAGCTGTTTGGTTAAATATGTATTGGTGAAATATAATATTGTTGACACATTTATTATCAATGACTAGATCAACTTATGAACAAATTTTAGCTAATTTTAACATCAGGGTGGTAGCCAATTTATAAACTCAAGTAGAAAAGCTTCCTTTGAATGCAGGTTGTAACTTTACTGTTCTGTAAACTGATCTCACTAGTTGAGAATTTCTTTCTACAAATATATATATATATTTTAAAGACAGTCTCACTGTGTCACCAAGGCTGGAGTGCAGTGGTGTAGCCTTGGCTCACGGCAACCTCTGCCTTCTGGGTTCCAGCAGTCCTCCTGCCTCAGCCTCCCAAGTAGCTGGGATTACAAACGTGCGCAACCACGCCTGGCTAATTTTGTATTTAGTAAAGATGAGGTTTTGCCATGTTGGCCAGGCTGTTCTTGAACTCCTGACCTCAAGTGATTTGCCCACCTCATCCTCCCAAATTGCTGGGATTACAGGCATGAGCCAGAGTGCCCAGCCAAAAAGTTTTATTTGAAAAGCGAAAATAGTAAGTTGAGGGTAATCTTAATAAGAAACTTAGCTTCAAACCTAGTTATATGGATTTTGAAATCACAGATCTGGGTATGTGGTATAGATTATCCTTTAAGTAATCTAGGATAAGTTATTTATGTTCTTCAGGTCTCAGCTTTCCCTTTTTTTTTTTTTTTTTTTTTTTGAGATGGAGTCTCGCTCTTGTCACCTAGGCTGGAGTGCAATGGCGTGATCTTGGCTCACAGCACCCTCCACCTCCTGGGTTCAAGTGAGTCTTCTGCCTCAGCTTCCCATGTAGCTGAGATTACAGGCACCCATCACCATGCCAGGCCAATTTTTGTATTTTTAGTAGAAACGGGGTTTTACCGTGTTGGCCAGGCTGGTCTCTAACTCCTGACCTCAGGTGATTCACCTGCCTTGGCCTCCCAGAGTGTTGGGATTACCAGTGTGAGCTACTGCGCCTGGCCAAGCTTTCTCATTTTTAATAAGGACCTTAATAAAGTTATTGTGAAAATTAAAATGAACACTTAATGTAAAATGCTTACTTTGATACCTAGTATATGTTAAAAAAAATGCTGCTATTCAATTTGTTAATCCCACATGTCCTGCTTTTCAATTTAGGTGGTATATATTTAAAATTTACAGTCAAATTCTTTGACCTGATTAAAAGGCTCAGATTACTTTTCTTTTGCCTGCTTAAAATTAATTTAAGCAAATGGTCATGTAGTTGAATGTCTGTTTTTAGGCTTCCTGAATTTTCTTATTCAAAATAATACATGAAAACATTTTGTTTATCCCTCTGCCTATCTAGATATAATTCAAACATTCTGGAAGATTTGCATATTAAAATGAAACAAGCACCTAGTTTAGAAAGTCATGAAAGTTACGTTCTATGCCCAGCTTTCAAGCCGTGTGACATGGATGAAAACTCTTAACTTCTTTTGATTTTATTTGGTGTGCTGTCTAGATAAATGATTGATGAAATTCATTTGAACCCTATAAACTAATTATAAAATCTTGTTCCACTTTTTTTTCTGCATAGAATTGTCTAAAATGCTCAAGTTTTAGTCATTTTCCATAAACCTACCTCATTAAAAAGCTGCATCTGCATTCCACTGGATCAAAACTTATTGAAAAGGTGTTGAGGCACTGGGCGTGTGGCTCACTCACGCCTGTAATCCCAGCACTTTGGGAGGCTGAGGCAGGTGGATCACCTGAGGCAAGGAGTTCGAGACCAGCCTGGCCAACATGGTGAAACCCTGTCTCTACTAAAAATACAAAAATTAGCCAGGCATGGTGGCACATGCCTGTAATCGCAGTTACTCAGGAGGCTGAGACAGGAGAATTGCTTGAATTCGGGAGGTGGAGGTTGCAGTGAGCAAGCCACTGCACTCCAGCCTGGGTGACAGATGATGAGACTCTGTCTCAAAAAAAAAAAAAAAAAAAAGAAAAGAAAAGAAAAAAAAGAAAAAGTGCTGAGGCTGGGCAAAGTGGCTCACACCTGTAATTCCAGCACACTATGAGGCTGAGGTGGGTAGATCACTTGAGGTCGGTCAGGAGTTCGAGACCAGCCTGGTCAATGGTGAAACCCTGTCTCTACTAAAAATACAAAAATTATCTGGAGGTGGTGGTGGGTGCTTGTAATTCCAGCTACTCAGGAGGCTGAGGCAGAAGAATAGCTTGAGCCCAGGAGGTGGAGGTTGCAGTGAGCTGAGATAGCTAGAGGAGAATGATGCCTTCAGAGTAGCATTATACTTTGATGGGAGTATAATGGATCCGCCCTCAGAACTGTAGGCTCAGAAGCTTGAACCTAGAGGTGATCTGATGAATTTGATGGAGCTTAGTCCCTGCTCATGTAATTAAAAAAAAATAAAAAGCAGCTGTATGCTTCTAAATGTTTGCACTCAGAAAGATAACTGCTAGAAGGGTAGGATGCACTTAGAAAATCTGCCTGGGGAGTAAATTACAATAAAAAAGTTAGTGAGAAAGAGGATTTTTGATGATTATTTTATCAAGTTAGGGTAGCTAGATGTATTCATTTATATACCAAAGGCTACAACCTAGAAGTCTGGAGGGTGACATCTGACCAGCAGACAAATTTTTTTTTTTTTGAGGCGGAGTCTCGCTCTGTCACCCAGGCTGGAATGCAGTGGCACGATCTCGGCTCACTGCAAGCTCCACCTCCCGGGTTCACGCCATTCTTCTGCCTCAGCCTCTCGAGTAGCTGGGACTACAGGCTCCCGCTACCACGCCCAGCTAATTTTTTGTATTTTTAGTAGAGATGGGGTTTCACCGTGTTAGCCAGGATGGTCTTGATCTCCTGACCTCGCCATCCGCCCGCCTCGACCTCCCAAAGTGCTGGGATTACAGGCGTGAGCCACCGCGCCTGGCCCAGCAGACAAATTTAATTCACCTTGTATAGTGTTTTAAATTTAAATTATTGCCAGTGTTTAAAAAATTGGAATTTCCACCTAAAAGGCCAGATTTGGGCTCTTGTATGTTTTTTTCCCTCTGATTTGCACTGTAGGACCATACCTGACAAGGAAGTAAGGCATACTGAAATCTGCTGGTTGAAGGCACCTTCTTACCGTGGGCTTGGGGAAGAATCACTGAGAGATTCTTGCTCTGTTACCACTGTCTTATGTCTGTGTAGATTCTTCCTTTTTATAAATCACTATTTTTTTTTCCCTTCTGAGAGGTTATAGAGCATTTACTTAGGTTATTGGTTTCATTTCATATATAGTCATATTTTCTAGAGCTAACAGATTTCAACCCTATATTTACATGTTGCTTTTAGTGAGTTACTTGAACCTCATTCATTAACTTATTGATTCCTTCTAGTTTCACTGATGTGACAAATTTTATGTAATTATAGCTTTTTTTTTTTTTTTTTTTTTTGAGACAGGGTCTCACTCTCGCCCAGGCTGGAGTGCGGTGGCGCAATCTTGGCTCACTGCAACCTCTGCCTCTCGGGTTCAAGCGATTCTCTTGACTCAGCCTCCTGAGGAGCTGGGATTACAGGCACTGCCACCATGCCCGGCTAATTTTTGTATTTTTTAGTAGAGACAGGGGTTTCACTACATTGGCTAGGCTGGTCTCGAACTCCTGACCTCAAGTGATCCACCCACCTCAGCCTCCCAGAGTGCTGGGATTACAGGCATGAGCCACTGTGCCCGGCCAATGATAGCTTTTGTATCTATACATAAAAAGAACAGTGAGATAAATCTTTTGACTGCTGGGAAGACCTGATAGGTAGCATTTGGTTAGGCTATGAAGGATATGCAGGACTTCAACAAGAAGAGAGGAGGTTTAGGCTAGACAGGGAACACTGTGGGCAGAAGGAACAACCTGAGGTGGAAGGATGTTTTGAGCATAGCAGATAATTTAGAATGATTTAACTGTGGTAATGATTTTTTTTTTATTTTGAAGAGACAGAATCCTGCTCTGTTGCCCAGGCTGCTGGAGTGCAGTGGTCATAGCTCCTGGGCTCAAACCATCCTCCTGTTTCAGTCTCCTGAGTAGCTGGGATTATAGGTGCACATCACTTACACCTTGCTAATTTTTAAATTTTTCGTAGAGACAAAGTCTCACTTTGTTGTCCAGGCTGGTCTTGAGCTCCTGGCTTCAAGCGATCTTCCCTCCTCTGCCTCCCAAGTGCTAGGATTACAGGTGTGAGCCATCACGCCCAACTTTTGGGTTTTATTCTGTATGCAGAGAGGGCCATTAAAAGATTTAAGAAAGGAGATAGCTTGTTGAGATCTCTGCTTTAGAAAGGCAACTGGTGACTTATCCATAATCTCTGTTTTTCCTACTCTTGGTACCTCAGAGAAGGAAAATTTGGAACAGGTGGGAGAGACATTGTATTAAGAATCAGATTATCCTGATGTGTAAAAAGCAGAATGAACTTTCTGGTGATATGAAAGAACAAGACTGAGTGGCCTGAATGCATATCACAGAACCTAGTATATTGCCTTTCTCAGAATACATGTCCAATAAGTAGTTGAAATACTTAGATACAGTTCTTAGTTAACATGAAGGATAAAGCAAAATTGATGTAGATAGCTAAAAGTTTTTGTCATTTAAATTGTGATTGAAGCAAGTGTACAGAAATAATCCTCTGGTGTTCAGTTTACATTATTCCCTTTTATCAGATGTTCTCTTTTCCTCTTTAATTATATTGAATTCAAAGTGTAATATTTTGAGATGTTATGAAATTCAGAATGTTCAGTTTTCCTTTTGGAAGAAATAAGTTATTTCTTGTGATCTTTACAACTTGTGAAACTGTGACATTCCTGAAAGTCCTTTAAAGATGTTTAAAGTTAGCACTCGTATAGTGGACAAAATATAGCTTGGTTTTACCTATGGAAACAAGTTTGTCTTCTGTCTCCATGACTGATGGGGAAATTAATCACCCTCCATCCTTATTAATAGTTACACTTTTGATGAAGAGATTGCTAGTGGGGTATTTCAGATGAGTAAACATGGGATTAATGGCAGTCTAGTTGTGAAGTCCTTATAAATAACACATCTATTGTTTCTGCAAAACCATTTACAGTATTTTACTGGTGAGAACTGGGCCTTCATGGCTCCATGTGCTGCTATGTACTGCTCGACGTCTTTTTGTTTCTCTGTCATGGCCGTTTATTGAGCCACATTTCCTTTCAACAGAACATTTTAAATGCGTAAATTCCACAGAAGCATTTATTTTAAAATCCCTTGATTGAAGTTGAACATACTTTATTTCTATAGTTCCCTATTATTGGATTCCCGCCCCCCCAATCAAGTTGTAAGAATTTCCTTTAGGCCAGGTGCAGTGGCTCACACCTGTAATCCCAGCACGTTGGGAGGTTGAGGCGGGTAGATCATGAGGTCAGGAATTCAAGATCAGCCTGGCCAAGATGGTGAAACCCCATCTCTACTAAAAATACAAAAATTAGCCAGGTGTAGTGGTGGGCGCCTGTAATCCCAGCTACTATGGTGGCTGAGGTGCGAGAATCGCTTGAACCTGGGAGATGGAGGTTGCAGTGAGCCAAGATCGTACCACTGCACTCCAGCCTGGGCAACAGAACAAGACTCCATTTCAAAAAAAGAAAATTCTTATTTGCCATGAGCCGAGGAATGCACAGGTACTAACTAGATGGTGTGGACAGCTGACGCAAACTGGGCATATACAATGGGACACACCTGTACTAGGATGAAAGGCACAGCCTAGAGGGCTGGCAGGTGTTGGGTAATGCTCAAGTTTCAGAGTGATGGCAGAAGAGTAGGTTGGTAGGCCCTCATGGCTCTGCTTGGCAGCATCACAGGCCACAGCCCCCCTGGGGCTCTTGGTTCCCCCAGGGTCCAACCAAGTCTGAGTCATGGGGCTAGGATGAAGTTTCCCTTCCCTCCTCAGCAGGAAACCCCCTTCTTCCCAGAAGAGAGAGGGGAAAGGAGGCAATGGGTGACAGGGTCACTGCACCCACCAGAGATTGGAATTTTAGAGCAAGCTTTCTTCTTAAATAGATTTTAAAAATTAGAATGAGCTGATTTTTAAAAAATGTATTTCTCACATTTTCATTATATAGTTGTTACATTATTAAAATTTACTTTGCATTGTCATAAGCTAGAAGATATAAGGGAGAAGCTTGGGAACAGGAATGGGGGAAAGAAAGACACACACACAGTTCCTGGGCGGGGAAGCAGACATGTGAAACCCTTTGTGGTGTTTGCTTAAAGTAACAAGGAAAGCATATAGAAGAACTTCAAGTAACCAAACTTTTCAGCTCTTCTGCCATGTTAAGATATGGAAAGTCTTATGTCTCTCTCTTCTCCAGTGTGTTAGCTTTGCATTAGAACGATGTACTTTTTTTCTTTTTTTTTGAGACAGAGTCTTGTGTTGTTGCCCAGGCTAGAGTGCAGTGGTGTGATCTCGCCTCACTGCAACCTCCACCTCCCGGGTGGAGCAACTCTCACGCCTCAGCCTCCTGAGTAGCTGGGACTATAGGCATGCGCCACCACATCTGGCTAATTTTTTGGCTAAATGGATTACATGTGTGAGCCACTGTGCCCGGCCTAAAACAATTTACTTTTTAATTGAAAGGGAAATGAAAGTATTTCTTATTACTGATGGTATTCTTTGCACAACCTGTCTGTATATTTTTTTTTAATTACATATGCTGAGTAAAGTATATCAAAAGTTATCTATAACCCTATTACTTTTTTTCCTAATGTTAGACAATTTAAGATTCTTTTTTTTTTTTTTTTTTTTGAGACAGAGTCTTGTTCTGTCGCCCAGGCTGGAGTGCAGTGGTGTGATCTCGACTCACTGCAAGCTCCGCCTCCTGGGTTCACGCCATTTTCTTGCCTCAGCCTCCCGAGTAGCTGGGCCTACAGGCGCCCGCCACCCCGCCCGGATAATTTTTTGTATTTTTAGTAGAGATGGGGGTTTCATCATGTTAGCCAGGATGGTCTCGATCTCCTGACCTTGTGATCTGCCCGCTTTGGCCTCCCAAAGTGCTGGGATTACAGGCATGAGCCACAGCGCTCGGCTTGTTTTATGGGTTAACAGTAATTAGAATATTTAATGAATTCTGGATTTTAACAACAGATATAAGGTAATAAAAAGGAATATGACCCTTTTAACTTAAAAAAGCATGAAAGTCTGCAGTCTAATAAGAAGCATTTTTTTTCTGTAAAGACCAAATCTGCAAATCATGAACAATTTAGATATTATAGTTTCTTTCCTAGAGGGGGAATTTTACTCACATATCCTTTTGTCTTTTCTTGAGGAGATTTTGCAGTTAACTTATTTTAGTTAGGAGAAATTATTTTCTTCCAAGTTCAAGTAGAAAATTTTTCAAAAATGCTGTCATTTTTGTAGTCTTGTGAAAGAATGTGGATGAGGCTATAAAGGTGAGGAAAACCATTAAGAATGGTGGCATTGTATGTATCAAAGTGACAATGTACCTTCCATTTCTCTCTCTCTTTTTTTAAAAACAGGTATGTGCATTCAGGTGTCAATTGGGAGAAGGAATGCTAATTTTATTACCTGGCTGTACAGTTTCTTATGATACGTGGCATGTGCTGGGAACTGCCAGACATAGCAGCAGTTTTAAAATATATATGAAGTAAAAGTCAATTCCTTTCCTTTTCCTTTTCCTTTTGTTTTTCTTTTTCTTTCTTTTTTTTTTTTAAAGGCAGAGTCTTACTTCGTCACCGGGCTAGAGTGCAGTGGTGCAATCTAAACTGACTGCAACCTCTGCCTCCCAGGTTCAAGCGATTCTCCTGCCTTAGCCTCCCTAGTAGGTGGATTACAGGTTGTGCCACCAGCTAATTTTTGTATTTTTTAATAAAGATGGGTTTTCGCCATGTTGACCACCCAGGCTAGTTTCAAATTCCTGGCCTCAAGTGATCCACCTGCCTCCGCCTCCCAAAGTGCTGGGATTTCAGGCATGAGCCACTGAGCCTGGCCTAAAAGTCAGTGTTTTAAAGTATTAAACAAATTAATAATTAGTGATCATTTTTCGGTGATGATCATAGAAACAAATTTGTCTGATTTATTATCCAAAGTTACCTATAATAATGAATAGGCAAATAATTTCTGGATTCAGTGGTAGATATAATTTTGTTTTGTAGCTTTGTGATTCTTTATTTTTTTTTTGAGATGGAGTCTCGCTCTGTTGCCCAGGCATGAGCCACCACGCCCAGCCCATTCTTTGATTTTAATTAGTTTGTTCTGCTTCGTTATTACTTTTTTAGATCGTCTAGAGGTTTCAAAAGGGAGAATTTCTTGCTGAAAATTAGTGTTATGATTAAAACATATTCATTGCTTTGGACCTTTCCAACTGTTACATGAAGTTTCTTTTTAAGCATACAAGAGGAAGTGTACGTGGAGTTTCTATCTTGACGTTTATAATTATTCTTTGTGATGGACTCCTGTAAGAGCCAATTAATGGTTTTATTGACTGTGTATGATTAAGTATGCTCTTTCCTTAAAATATGTGTATCTAAATTCTTTAAAAAGTTACCTACTTGGAAGGGTTAGGGAAGAAAAAGAACAGCAGGCATATTAGTGTCTGTAATACTTGAGAAACATTAGGTCGTGCCTCATTTTGAGCGGCTCTCTTAAATACTTTACAAAAGAATAAGCATTTGCTTGTTCCCTGCTTAATGCTATTTTGGTACTGTTTAGCAGCATGGAATAAATGTTCAGCAGTGTGTGCTTTGGACAAGAAATACACCAAAAAAACCCTTTTTTTCCCATCAGTGGCAGACAAACTGCAGAGGTCACTGAAGAGCCCACAGTTTGGAAACACATTATTTTTTTTGGCTCCTGTATTGCTTGCATCGTTTGTTATTGTGCAATAAGCAACACACAACCTTCTGTTTTAGGGGGTCATATTAGCCAACCAAGCCTTTTTTGTGCTAAATATGGAAATGGAAGAGTACTTACTTAATTGTTCTGGTAGGCATAGCTCTCATAATGGATACCTGTAAATAGGTCTGTTTCCTTTCTGGATTTCCTTTTTTGGTCAAATACAGCATTTTAGTAAAGTTTTGTTTTTTTGTTTTTGTTTTAGATGTGTAGGTGTTGTCAGCTGCAGGGTCTTGTACAGAATAGGCATTCCATTTTGGAAACAAGTACTGGGCTGACCCATATTGCTGAAGTGGGAACCTTGCTTTTAGTTAGGATGCTCGACTGCAGAGGAATGAGAACCAGGTAGCCTTAGCTCTGGAAGCAGATGAGAAGCGCTCATCTGGGCAGCCCCTGCGTCTGAATATTGTGGGGGAAAATAGGAACTGTTGTTTGTGACTCGAACCAGCCTAAACTGGAACCATCCAGTTTGAGTTGGCTGCTTGCCACCTCCCGGAGGCTTCCTTGTTTTGCCAGAGTTTCTCCACAGCCCTCAGTCCAGGGGCGGGGCGCAGGGACCCGGCTGCTGCGTGGTGACTGGGCCAGGCGGTGGGAGGGGCAGGACGGCTGTGCCTTAGTGTTCCTGGAGAGGAGGATTTCAGATCTAGCCAGGGTGAACGCCCGACTGCAAGCTGGTACAAACTCTATTTTTAATACATCTTTCTGTTATTAACCCTTGCTTTAATGGTAACTTTTAGTCTTCTACCTTTTAGAAGCTACGGCTTCTGTAAAACTGCTTCTGCACTGCCAGTGCTTGGCCACATCACAACATGGTCAGCATTTGGTGACAAGGAGTTTATTACCAAAGTCCCCAGGAGCGTTGCTTTTAGTTAGGTTAGTCCATTTGAAATAAAGAACTGTCCCTCTCACCCCTTCTCATTCTTACCAATTAGGTTGTACTGAGGTTTTTTATTTTGGTTTCTTAGGTGGAAGGAATTAAAATAGGTTTTGGTGGCAAAGTTGTGACATGACATGATGTCTTGTGGGTTTTAATTTACTCTGGATGATTGATTGGTTGATTTTTGAGATAGGTTCTTGCTCTGTCGCCCAGGCTGGAGTGCAGTGGTAATTTGCACATTTGCAGCCTTGACTTCCTGGGCTCAAGCTATCATTGCACCTGAGCCTCCCAAGTAGCTGGGATTACAGCCACACACCACCACGCTGGGCTAATTTTTGTATTTTTTGTAGAGATGGAGTCTCACTGTGTTGTCCAGGCTGGTCTTGAACTCCTAGGCTCAAGCTATCCGCTTGCCTTTGCCTCCCAAAGTGCTGGGATTACAGGTGTGAGCTGTGCCTGGCCTGAATTTTTTTTTTTTTTTTTTTTTTGAGACGGAGTCTTGCTCTGTCACCCAGGCTGGAGTGCAGTGGCACGATCTCAGCTCACTGCAAGCTCCGCCTCCCGGGTTCACGCCATTGTCCTGCCTCAGTCTCCCGAGTAGCTTGGGACCACAAGCGCCCGCCACCACGCCCAGCTAATTTTTTGTATTTTTAGTAGAGACTGGGTTTCACCATGTTAGCCAGGATGGTCTCGATCTTCTGGTCTTGATCTCCTGACCTCATGATCTGCCTGCCTCAGCCTCCCAAAGTGCTGGGATTACAGGCGTGAGCCACTGTGCCTGGCCGAAAAAAATTTTTAATGTTGCTAAAAATCAGAAAGTCAAGCCTGGTCTGATGGTATGTTCCTGTAGCTTCTCTGGAAGTTGATGTGGGAGGCCTGGTGTTTGAGACATAGCAAGACCTCATCTCTTAAAAAAAAAAAAACAAGTCCTTCAGGTACGGTGGCTCACACCTGTAATCCCAGCAGTTTGGGAGGCTGAGGCGGGTGGATCACTTGAGGTCAGGAGTTCGAGACCAACCTGGCCAACATGGTGAAACCAGTCTCTACGAAAAAAATACAAAAATTAACTGGGCATGGTGGTATGGTGGACGCCTATAATCCCAGCTGCTCGGGAGGCGGAGGCAGGAGAATCGCTTGAGCCCTGGAGGCAGAGGTTGCAGTGAGCCAAGATTGCACCACTGCACTCCAGCTTGGGTGACCGAGGGACACTCCGTCTCAATAAAAACCCCAAAATTAAAAATAATAACAAGTAATTACGCAGATTAAAGTTTTAAATAACAAATTTTATTTTATTTTATTTATTTGTCTTTTTTTTTGAGACGGGGTCTCACTCTGTCACCCAGGCTGGAGTGCAGTGGTGCTGTCTCAGCTCACTGCAACCTCCACCTCCTGGGTTCAAGCGATTCTCTTGTCTCAGCCTCCTGAAAACAACAAATTTAAAAATAAAAACTGCCATGTCAAATTGTATTTGTTTGACTTGGAAGCAAACTATGTAAACTCTTTTTTTTTTTTAATTTTATTATTTTTTTTGAGGCAAGAGTCTTGCTCTGTTGCCCAGGCGGAAGTGCAGTAGCATGATCTCGGTTCACTGCAGCCTCCACCTCCCAGGTTCAAGTGGTTCTCCTGCCTTAGCCTCCCTAGTAGCTGGGATTACAGGCACACGTCACCACGCCTGGCTAATTTTTGTATTTTTAGTAGAGACAGGGTTTCGCCATATTGGTCAGGCTGGTCTCGAACTCCTGACCTCAGGTGATCCGCCCAGCTTTGCCTCCCAAAGTGCTGGGATTATAGGCATGAGCTACCACACCCAGCCAAAGTATGTAAACTCTTTTTTTTTTTGAGACAGTGTTTTGCTCTTGCTGCCCAGGCTGGAGTACAATGGCGCGATCTCGGCTCACCGCGACCTCCACCTTCTGGGTTCAAGTGATTCTCCTGCCTCAGTCTTCGGAATAGCTGGATTACAGACATGCGCCACCATGCCCAGCTAATTTTGTATTTTTAGTAGAGACAGGGTTTTGCCATGTTGGTTGGCTGGTCTTGAACTCCTGACCTTAGGTGATCCACCTGCCTCGGCCTCCCAAAGTGCTGGGATTACAGGCATGAACCACTGCGCCCGGCCAATCATTTTTACTTATGGTAAAACTTTACTCATTGCAGTTTAGGTGATCTTGTTCTTTCCTTATATCTCTTTTGGGGTGTTTGTACTTGGAAGTTCTCTATGGTCATTCTTAGAAGCCAAGGCACAAATTTACCTTGCCCCAAACAAGGAATCATGCGTGTCCAGAAATTAAGGAAAATGTAGGAATTCTCATTTTAAAATAAACATTAGCATTTTCTTTCTTTCTTTTCTTTTCTTTTTTTTTTTTTTTTGAGACGGGGTTTTTTGCTTTTATCACGCAGGCTGGAGTGCAATGGCTTGATTTCGCCTTGCTGCAACCTCCGCCTCCCAGGTTCAAGCAGTTCTCCTGCCTCAGCCTCCTGAGTAGCTGGGATTGCAGGCATGTGCCACCACGCCCAACTAATTTTAGTATTTTTAGTAGAGATGGGGTTTCACCATGTTGGTCAGACCGGTGTCAAACTCCTGACCTCCAGTGATCTGCCCACCTCAACCTCCCAAAGTGCTGGGATTACAGGCATGAGCCACCGTGCCTGGCCAACATTAGCATTTCCTGGAGTTCAGAATTAGCTGAGGTTTTATTCTTTATACAAGCACCCCTCTATCAATCTGTGTCTTAGAGTACAAACTGAATTGGCTTCAAAGGGTAGTCTTGCTGTCCATTCCTGTGTGAGAAAATGGAAAGAGCACTCTCTGGTCATTTACTTACTTATTAGTTATTCATTAAGTTATATGCTACTGGAGTTTACTGGTGCTAGAAATTATGATATCTCTATAGAACACCTTTTTTTTTTCCCCATTATTTGAGATGGAGTCTCACTCTGTTGCCCAGGCTGAAGAGCAATGGCGCCATCTTGGCTCACTACAATCTCCATCTCCCGGGTTCAAGTGATTCTTCTGCCTCAGTTTCCCAAGTAGCTGGGATTACACGTGCCTGCCACCATGCCCAGCTAATTTCTGTATTTTTCAGTAGAGTTGGGGTTTCACCATGCTGGCCAGGCTGGTCTCGAACTCCCAACCTCAGGTGATCCACCCGCCTCGGCCTCCCAAAGTGCTGGGATTACAGGCATGAGCCACCGCACCCGGCCTATAGAACATCTTTCCAAATCCACTTTGTACTATAAATAAACTTCCTATGTCCAGGTAGACAAAACAGTAAGTGAAATAGCTTTAAAAATGTCTTTGCAGAGTTCGTTTCTAAGAATTTCACTCATCCTCTAAAAACTTTCATTTGGTATGGAAGAGAGATGTAGATTAGAAATATATGCTAAGATGAGGGCAGTAAAACATTTTCTTACAAATAGGTGGGAACACATTATATACAGTTCAATAACATCAGGTTGACATTTTTATTTTTATTTTTCATGTGATCTAGGCTCACTGCAACCTCTGCCTCCCGGGTTCAAGCGATTTTCCTGCCTCAGCCTCCCGAGTAGCTGGGATTACAGGCACGCACCACCACACCCAGCTAATTTTTGTATTCTTAGTAGAGACTGAGTTTCACCATGTTGGCCAGGCTGGTCTCGAACTCTTGACCTTATGATCCGCCCACCCCGACCTCCCAAAGTGCTGGGATTATAGGCATGAGCCACCGTGCCCGGCCTGGTTGATATTTTTAGATTTTGACTCAGGTTTTTTTTTTTTTTTTTTTTTTAAGACTGGGTCTTGCTCTGCTTCCCAGGCTGGAGTGCAATCTCTGCTCACTGCAACTTCCACTGTAAAATTCACCCATTTAAGTGGACAGTTAATGCTTTTTAATACATTTACAGCATTTTGCAACCATCACCATAATGAAACTAGTGCATTTTCATGACCCCGAAAAGAAACCTCATACCCGTTAGCAGTTGCTCTCCATTCTTTTTCTCCCCCAGCCCAAGGCAACTGCTAATCTATCTCTATAGCCTATTCTGGCCATTTAATAGAAGGAAAATCATACCATATTGCGGTCTTTTGTGACTGGTTTCTTTCACTTAATATGTTTTTGCAGTTCATCCGTGTTATAGCATTGATCAGTACTGGTGCACTGAATAGCCACATTTCAAGTGCTCAATAGCCACATGTGACTAGTGGCTGCAGTACTGGATATCCTAGCTAGAAACAAAAACCTCCCTAATAAACCAGCATATCATCCTTCAGGAGAAAATGGTAGGCCTTTGTAATGCTTAAGCGTAGCCCAGAAATATATGTGTGTGGGTTTTAACAAAGAAATTCCGTTTACAGGAGCTAACACTTAGAGGTTTAGCACATTTGGAAATAATTGCTATGAAAAAAATTTTTTTTTAGAGGCAGTCTTGCTCTGTCACCCTGGCTGGAGTGGTGGTGCAATCATGGCTCACTGCAACCTTGAACTCCTGGGCTCAAGGGATCCCCTCACCTCAGCCTCCTAAGTAGCCGAGACTATAGACATGCCACCACACTTAGCTAAATTTTTTTTTTTTTTTTTGAGATGGAGTCTGGCTCTGTCGCCCAGGCTGGAGTGTAATGGCACCATCTCGGCTCAGTGCAAGGTCCGCCTCCTGGGTTCACGCCATTCTCCTGCCTCAGCCTCCCGAGTAGCTGGGACTACAGGCACCCGCCACCACGCCCGGCTAATTTTTGTATTTTTGGTAGAGATGGGGTTTCACCATGTTAGCCAGGATGGTCTTGATCTCCTGACCTCGTGATCTGCCCACCTCAGCCTCCCAAAGTGCTGGGATTACAGGCTTGAGCCACCGCGCCCGGCCTTGTTTTTTGTTTTTTGTTTTTAAGCGATAGGGTCTCGCTATGTTGCCCAGGCTGGTCTAGGTCTCATGACCTCAAGTGATCCTCCTGCCTTGGACTCCCAAAGCACTGGGATTACATGCATGAGCCGCTGTACCTGGGCTAATATAAAAACCATTAAGAAAAACTAATGTCATGGTGTCATGTTAATAAATTCACATATATCTCAGTAGAACTGTTTAAAAATATACACATCAAGTTCTGGAGACCTGGTTTTTTTAAAAAAAAAAAACTTATTTATGTTGGCTACATGTTCAAATGATATTTTGAATATATTAGGTTAAATAAAGCATATTACTACATTAATTACATCTGTTTCTTTTTACTTTTTTTTTTTTTTTTTTTTTTTTTGGAGATGGAGTCTCGCTCTGTCGCCCAGGCTGGAGTGCAGTGGCGTAATCTTGGCTCACTGTAAGCTCCGCCTCCCCGGTTCACGTCATTCTCCTGCCTCAGCCTCCCGAGTAGCTGGGACTATAGGCACCTTCCACCATGCCTGGCTAATTTTCTTTTTGTATTTTTAGTAGAGATGGGGTTTCACCTTGTTAGCCAGGGTGGTCTCGATCTCCTGACCTCGTGATCCGCCCACCTCTGCCTCTCAGAGTGCTGGGATTACAGGCGTGAGCCACTGCTCCCAGCTCTTCGTTTTACTTTTTAAAATATGACTATTTGAAAATTAAAATTTTGTGGCTTATATTTCTACTGGACAGTGCTCTTCTAGAAGCAAGCTCTATTAAGCTGTAATGTCACAAAATAATTTGTGTATCAATTTAGTGCTTTTCATTTTGTTTAAAGACAAATAGAGTTTGTTATTTTTCTTTTTTTAAATTCCCTAAACCCTTCTATTCTCTTGGAAATGATGGGTTAATAGAAAAGCCTCTTGGGACTGTTATGCCTAAAATATAAACTGAACTACTTCCAGATTCCATCTTCAACACTTCAAGTGTTGGTCAGGCTAAAATGCCTGTTTCCAGGGTGGCTGAGGGAATGGCTCAACCGAAATATTTATTTCAAAGTCCAGGTTCCAGGCTTAGAAATATGTTAATATCAAAGCCCCTAAATAAATTAATTTCCCAAGGAGAAAATCAAATAACCAGAGTAAATTTATTTTTAAAATTTAAAAAACAACTTTGGGCGGGGCACGGTGGCTCACGTCTGTAATCCCAGCACTTTAGGAGGCTGAGGCAGGCAGATCACCTGAGGTCAGGAGTTCAAGACCAGGCTGGTCAGCATGGCAAAACCCCATCTCTATTAAAAATACAAAATTAGCTGGGCGTGGTGGCATGCACCTGTAATCCCAGCTAATCAGGAGGCTGAGGCAGGAGAATCGTTTGAACCCAGGAGGTGGAGGTTGCAGTGAGCTGAGATTGCGCCATTGCACTCCAGCCTGGGCAACAAGAGTGAAACTCTGTCTCAAACAACAACAACAACAACAAAAACACTTTCATCTGATGATCATTTTTAAGTGATGGCTAGTACTTTTGATAGAGGTTTAAAATATGTCTGTTTACATACTGGTGCTAATAGACTGGAATTCAGTTGTTGGAATTAGAAGACAGAAATAATACACATCTGTGTTGCTTCTAGGCATCATTTGTATAACCCAAACTGGAGGAGTTCTGTGATTCTTTATATGTTATTTTCGATGGTGGTAGGGAGGGGCAGATTAGCTTCCTGAATATGCTGTGTCATGGTGTGTGGAGCCATCTTGGACTGTAGCTTTGTATCTGTCACTGGAAGAAACTGCAGAGAAGTAATTATATTTAAGCAGAAGAATTTTAGCCTGAGGTTTCTTACTGAGTAATTCGTAGTCATTTATAAATAAACAAAAAAGTATACCAAATAGCGGATGGCTTAGGCTTTCTGGTAGGGAGTTAGGTGCCTTTCTAACTCCTTGTCCCTGCAACTGCCCTAATGGAGAGTTCAGAAGCAGGAAAGAGCAAACTTCTTTTTCATTCTGGATAGAGAGGAGATGTCATTAGTATCAAAGTTAAATTGAAAAAAGGCCAGTACACTCAAGCCTGGGCAACAGAGCGAGACCCTGTCTCTTAAAAAAAAACAAAAAAAAGCAAGCCAATTGCAGTGGCTCCCGCCGTAATCCCAGCACTTTGGGGGAGGCTAAGGCTTGAGGATCACTTGAGGCCAGGAGTTTGAGATCAGCCTTGGTCAACATGGCAAAACCCTGTCTCTACTAAAAATACAAAAATTAGCCGGGTGTGGTGGCGTGTGCCTGTAATCCTAGCTACTTGTGGCTGAAGCTTAAGAATCACTTGAACCCAGGAAATGGAGGTTGCAATGAGCCAAGATTGCACTACTGCACTCCAGCCTGGGCGACAGAAAAGGCAAAAACCTCAAACTTCAAATTTGCTTATGGGTTTGGTAAGGCTACATCAGTTGTATGTGACCACTTGGAATTAAAACACACACACACTCACTTGATCTGTGTGCTTTCTTGGCCTGTGCCTTCTGAAACATTTTAGTTTTTTCATACAAGAAATATCAGATTCTATATACCGTGTGACTAAGGGAATGAGAAAATCCCATTGTATTTGACAGTTTAAATTTTCTCATCTTTTTTGTCTCTTAAATAAAGACTGCTGCCACGTTGGAAGGATTTCTTGTTCTTAGGCAGACATGTTACATCTGCTTACTGCTTTCAGGGAGCATGCATGTTTGATGCTTTTTGCTTTGAGTTACTTGAGTACAAGGTTTTCTGAGTGTGAAGGGTCCAGTAAAGCCCACCCAAAAAGAAGTCACATGATTCTTAATAATAGATTAACAAAAACGTAGCCTCTTTCCATTTTTGCTACTGTTATTAGGACAGTAGATCCTAAAACTACCATATTATGGTTGTTTTTTTTTTTTTTTTTTTTTTTGAGACGGAGTCTCGCTCTTTCGCCAGGCTGGAGTGCAGTGATGTGACCCTGGCTCACTGCAACCTCCGCCTCCTGGGTTCAAATGATTCTCGTGCCTCAGCCTCCAGAATAGCTGGGATTACAGACACGCGCCACCACACCAGCTAATTTTTGTATTTTTAGTAGAGACGGGGTTTCACCATGTTGGCCAGGTTGGGCTCGATCTGACCTCCTGATCTGCCTGCCTTGGCCTCCCAAATGCTGGATTACAAGCGTGAGCCACCGCGCCCGGCCCATATTGTATTTTTAATGCCAAAGCTTATAAGTCTTCAAAAAAGTTTTTTTAAATTGTAGTAAAATATACACAGCATAATATTTACCTTTTTATTTTTATTTTTATTGAGACAGAGTTTCGCTCTTGTTGCCCAGGCTGGAGTGCAGTGGCGCGATCTTGGCTCACCGCAAACTCTGCCTCCCGGGTTCAAGCAATTCTCCTGTCTCAGCCTCCTGAGTAGCTGGGAATATAGGTATGTGCCACCACGCCTGGCTAATTTTGTATTTTTAGTAGAGACAGGGTTTCTCCATGTTGGTCAGGCTGATCTCGAGCTCCCGACCTCAGGTGATCCGCCCGCCTCGGCCTCCCAAAGTGCTGGGATTACAGGTGTGAACCACCCATTCCTGGCCTCATTTTAACCATTTTTAAGTGTATAGTTCTGTGCCATTAAGTACATTAATATTGTGTGACCATCACCACTATCCATTATCATTAAACAATAACTCCCATTCCTCCCTCTCTTAGCCTCTGCTGACTACTGTTCTGCTTTCTGTCCTCATGAATTCTTGACAGCTCTAGGTACCCATATATGTGGAACCACACAGCATTTGTCCTTTTGTGTCTGGCTTATTTCACTTAGCATAATATTTTCAAGGCTCATCTGTCTTGTCACATGTATCATAATTTCATTCCTTTATAAAGGTGAATAATATTCCTTTATTCTTTTTGGGTAAGCTTTAATTATCTACCAGATACCCTGTTGATCAACATAATCCTTTTGCTTAACTCTACCAAAAGATAGTAGTAAACTTTAAAACATTAACTACTGCTGTAATTGGATCCCAAATAATTACTTATACTTAACCTTTTTTTTTTTTTTTTTTTGGAGACAGAATATCACTCTGTTGCCCAGGGTGGAGTGCAGTGGCATGATCTCGGCTCACTGCAACCTCTGCCTCCCAGGTTCAAGCGATTCTCCCACTCAGTCTCCTGAGTAGCTGGGACTACAGGCATGCGCCACTGTGCCCAGCTAATTTTTTTTTATATTTTTATTAGAGTTGGGGTTTCTCCATGTTGGCCAGGCTAGTCTTGAACTCCTGACCTCAGGTGATCCACCTGTCTCGGCCTCCCAAAGTGCTGGGATTACAGGCGTGAGCCACCATGCCCGGCCTATACTTAATCTTTTGTGAGCATGCTAACCACATAAAGCATATTTAAACACAATTTTAAACAGCATTTTCTGCCAAAATAAGGCACTTTTATAAAATGCAGTATTTTAATGATTTTTTTCCTCTCATTTATGTAAACTATTGGACTTGAGAATAGATGAGGAATAATAAAACTGATTAATTATTGTGTTTGATTTTACCATCACTTTTTTTTTTTTTTTTTTTTTTTTTTTTGAGACAGTCTCACTCTGTCACCCAGGCTGGAGTGCAGTGGCGGGATCTTGGCTCACTGCAATCTCCGCCTCCCAGATTCAAGCAATTCTCCTGTCTCAGCCTCCCACGTAGCTGGGACTGCAGGCGTGTGCCACCACTCTTGGCAAATTTTTGTATTATTTGTAGAGACGTGGTTTCACTATATTGGTCAGGCTGGTCTCAAACTCCTGACCTCAGGTTATCCACCCTCCTCGGCCTCCCAAAGTGCTGGGGTTACAGGATTGAGCCACTATGCCCAGCCTTTACCATCACTTTAGTGACCATCAACACTAAATCTAGTTAAGCCTAAATCTTACCTATTGATTAATTTATTACTTAAGTGGAGCCAGTACCTGCCTAAGGTTTAGATTTGTTTGATGTTTATAAATATTCAGAGGTGAAGTCTAGATGGATAGTAGGAGAGCTTTAAGAAGTTAATTTCTGAGGTCCAGATTTTGTACTAAGTAATCTTTAGGAAGTGTTATTAGTTGTTTATATCAGCAATAAAGGGTCATTGTAATCAGAGGAAAAATTACTAGCTTGGGCAACATAGTGAGATCCTGTCTCTACAAGTAATTTTAAGTGTTAGCCTGGTGTGGTGGCGCATGCCTGTTGTCCTAGCTACTTAGGAGGCTGAGGTGGGAGGATTGCTTGAGCCCAGGAGGTTGAGGCTGCAGTGAGCCATGAGTGCACCTCTGCACTCCAGCCTGGATGACAGAGCGAGACCTTGTCGTGAAAGAAAAGAAACATTAGTGTTGGTGGTTGGTTATGGTTCTCTTTCCACCTCCAGCTTTGTCTAGTAAGAGAAAGCTTTCTTCCTTTGTCAGTTTCACTCTACTAATTCAGTTAATCATTATCATATCAGCTCTTTTCCCGTTAGAAATCTTTGTAGTTTCTGATGACCGGAGAAATCTGATAGACCAAACAAAGTTGAAATTAAAATATTGGTTACATAATAAAAACTTTGTTTTTTGGAGATGGAGTCTCGCTTTGTCGCCCAGGCTGGAGTGCAGTGGTTCAATCTCGGCTCACTGCAACCTCCACTTCTGGGTTCAAGCGATTCTCCTGTCTCAGCCACCCGAGTAGCTGGGACTACAGGCGTACGCCATCATGCCTGGCTAATTTTTCTTTCTTTTTTTTTTTTTTGAGACGGAGTTTCGCTCTTGTTGCCCAGGGTGGAGTGCAGTGGCGTAGTCTCGGCTAACCGCAACCTCCGCCTTCTGGGTTCAAGCGATTCTCCTGCTTGTAATCCTGAGTAGCTGGGATTATAGGCACCAGCCACCACACCCAGCTAATATTGTATTTTTAGTAGAGGCGGAGTTTCTCCAAGTTGGTCAGGCTGGTCTTCAAACTTCCAACCTCAGGTGATCCCCCCGCCTCGGCCTCTCAAAGTGCTGGGATTACAGGCGTGGGCCACCACGCCTGGCCTAATTTTTGTATTTTTTAGTAGAGATGGAGTTTCACCATATTGGTCAGGATGGTCTCAAACTCCTGACCTTAGGTGATCCACCTGCCTCGGCCTCCCAAAGTGCTGGGATTACAGGCTTGAGCCACTGCACCTGGCCGCATTTTTGCTTTTTAATGTATCAACACAGCATTTTCTTAATACTATCCTAAATTTAAAGAGTTTAGATCGCTTTTCAATAACTTTGGCTCTAAAGGGCTTCATTGATGATTTATACAGTTGAGTCCTGCAATGCTTTCCCCGTTTCTTTTGTAATAGTTGCACAGTCACCAGTTAGGTCTGACTCATTGCCCTGATGTCATCTCTGAGGAAGTTTACCTGGGAAAGACAGGCTGTGAGACCCCTTGATTGAGCAGAGCATTGTGGGCAAAAAGCAGCAGGTAGCTTACTTTGACTGGTTTGGAATCGCTTATCTTTTTCTAAGGAACAAAGGAGAGTGACCACTAACTTTGTATTTTACTTCTTAATTTATCTTTGTGTGTGTGTGTGTGTGTGTGTGTGTGTGTGTGTGTAAAATAAAATTTACCATTTTAACGACTTTTAAGTGTTCAGTTCAGTGGCACTTAAATACATTGACATTATTTTGCAACCATCACCACCATCTATCTCCAGAACTTTTTCATCTTCCTCAACTGAAACTCTATACCCATTAAATAATAACTCCCAATTCTCCCTTTCCCCCAGCCCCTGGCAACCACCATTCTACTTTCTGCCTTTATGAAGTTGACTACTCCAGGTACCTCCTATAAATGGAATCATACAATCTTTTTTGGGTATGGCTGGTTTATTTCATTTAGCATAATATCTTCAAGGTTCATTCATGATGTAGCATTTGTCAAAATTTTTTTTTTCTTTTTTTCTTTTTTTTTTTTTTTGTTTGAGACAGAGTCTCACTCTGTTGCCCAGGCTAGAGTGCAGTGTCTCAGTCTTGGCTCACTGCAACCTCCACCTCCCAGGCTCAAGCGATTCTCCTGCCTCAGCCTCCCGAGTAGCTGGGATTACAGGCATGTGCAACTACCGCCTGGCTAATTTTTTTGTGTTTTTAGTAGAGATGGGGTTTCACCATGTTGGCCACGCTGGTCTTGAATTCCTGATCTCAGGTGATCCGTCCACCTTGGCTTCCCAAAGTGCTGGGGTTACAGGCGTGAGCCACTGCACCCAGCCAAAATTTCCTTTCTTTAAAAGGCTGAATAATATTCTATTTTGTGTGTATACCATATTTTGTTGACTCACTCATCTGTCGATAGACACTTGGGTTGCTTCCACCTTTTGGGTGTTGAACATGCTATGAATGTGAGTGTACAAATATCTAGTTGAGTTCCCGTCTTCATTTCTCTTGGGTATATAACCATAGTGGAATCGCTGGTTCAGTGGTAAGTTAGCGTTTGGGGAACCCCATGGCTGTACCATTTTACTTTCCCGTCAGTAATGCACAAGGGTTCCAATTTCTTCACATCCTTGCATTTGTTATTTTGTTTGCTTGTTTTTTTGAGACAGGATCTCACTTTGTCATCTAGGCTGCAGTGTAGTGGTGCGATTTTGGCCCACTGCAACCTTGACTTCCCAGGTTCAAGCCATCTTCCTGACTCAGCACCCCCGCCAAGTAGCTGGGACTACAGGCACATACCACCATGCCTGGCTAATCGTTTTTGGTAATTTTTTGTAGAGACGGGGTTTCGCCATGTTGGCCAGGCTGGTCTTGAACTCCTGAGCTCAAGTGATCTGCCTGCCTCGCCCTTCCAAAGTGCTAGGATTACAGGCGTGAGCCACTGCGCTCGGCAGTTTGTTTTTAATAATAGCCATCCTAGTGGGTGTGAAGTGATGTATCATGTGGCAGAGTTTTTTTTTTTTTTTTTTTTTTTTTTAAGATCCTGTGTTGTTTATGCTGAACTCGAACTCCTGGGCTCATGCTGTCCTTCTGCCTCAGGCTCCCAAGTAGTGTCAACTACAAGTATGAGCCCAGTTTCACATGGTTATGATTTGCGTTTCCCTAATTATTAGATGTTGCGCATTTTTTCTTGTGCTTATTTGCCATTTATATATCTTTGGAGAAATGTCTTTGAAGTCTTTGACCAGTTTTGAATCAGGTTGCTTTTTGTTGTTGAGTTGTAGTGTGGTTTCTATGGTTGTTGTTTTATTTTTTTATTTTATTTATTTATTTATTTTTGAGAGAGAGTGTCACTGTCACCCAGGCTGGAGTGTAATGGCGCTATCTCGGCTCACTGCAACCTCTGCCTCCCAGGTTCAAGCAGTTCTCCTGCCTCAGCCTCCTGAGTAGCTGGGACTACAGCTGCATGCCACCATGCCTGGCTAATTTTTGTATTGTTAGTAGAGACTGGGTTTCAGCATATTGGTCAGGGTGGTCTTGAACTCCTGACCTCAGGCGGTCCACCGTCCTCGGCCTACCAAAGTGCTGGGATTACAGGCATGAGCCACCACCACTGGCCTGTAGTGTGCTTTTTAAACGAAATTAAAAATGTCTTAAAATTATAAAGCAAAATACCCTATTAACCTTATTGTGTAAAATAGACCTTTTTCTAATTTCTTCTGAGCATTGTACTTTGGTGAGGAAAAATCTAATTGTGATATTAAACTACCACCTTCAGGCCCTAGGTTGACGGTAAGGAAAGCTGTTGCGGTAAAAACCATTTCAATATGAATGGAATCGTTTTCATTGATGTAAACCTTACACTAGAGTATGAGTAAGCAATATTGTATATATTTTACTTACTACTTGTTTAAAAATTATAAAATGGTTTTGTCTATAAAGTAGTGACCTTGGTTTTGAATGGTGAAGTTAATATTGTAAAAAAGTTGTTTATACTTTACCTTTTTATCAGGTTGTCCAAAATCAAGTGACACCAGAGTGTTTTAGATCTCAGCTTCTTCTTGAGGAAGTTTGATTTTCAGAAGTTTACATTTTTTTCTTACAATTCAAAGATTTTTATGAAATGATACATTAGTAATGAGGAAGAATAATCAATGTTAAGGATCCTGCGTTTGGATTGCAGCTTGAAATTAGCATGTTGGTTTTTCAAAAGATGGGAAAGCAGTCCAAGAAATAATACAGGCCAGGGTTTCTCAGTCTTGGCACTATTCACATTTGAGACCAGAGAACTCTTTGTTGGGACTTTCCTGTGCACTGTAGGGTACTTGGTAGATGCCAGTAACCCTACCCCACCCCACCCCCACTGTGACAACAAAAATGTTGTAGAACCCTGCTAAAACTAGTAGGGTCCTTGAAAGATCATGAGGTCTGCTAACCGCTAGGGAAATTCAAGTTAAGAGAGGCAAAATGAAGTGTCTTGGCAGGTCACTCAGTTGATTATTTCCTTGTTATTTTTTGGAGTAAAAAAAAAATAGAGGCTTGAGTCAGGTGTGGTGGTGTATGCATGTAGTTCCAGCTTCTTCTAGGGTGACTGAGACGGGAGGACGTTTGAGCCCAGGAGTTTGAGGCCAGCCTGGGCAACATAGTAATACCTCGTCCCTTAAAAAAAAAAAAGGTGTAGGGGCGGCTGAGGCAGCAGAATTGCTAGAACCTGGGAGGCAGGGGTTTCAGTGAGCCAAGATTGCGCCGCTGTACTCCAGCCTGAGCGAAAGAGTAGAGACTCTGTCTGGTAAAAAAAAATAAAAAAATAAAAAATAAAAATAAAAAAAAAATAGGCTGGGCGTGGTGGCTCATGCCTGTAATGAGCCAGGAGGCCGAGGTCAGCAGATTGCTTGAGCTCAGAAGTTCGAGACCACCCTAGACAACATGGCAAGACCCTGTCTCTACTAAAAATGCAAACAAAAAAAATAGCTGGGCGTGGTGGTTCATACGTGTGGTCTGTGGTCCCAGCTACCCAGAAGGCTGAGTTGGGGGGATCATTTGAACCTGGGGATCGGAAGTTGCAGTGAGCCGAGATCACGCCACTGCACTCCAGCCTGGGTGACAAAGTGAGACTCCATCTCAAAAAAAAAAAAAAAAAAAACACCAACAAAAGAGGCTTAAATTCAGATTACATCAGAAGTGGTGGAGTTGAAAATGGTAATGGTGTCACATCAGACTGCTGAACTGTTTTTAAAACTTTCTAGGCTTGACTTTACATTTTAAAATTATTGGGCTTTCATTTATTGTGGACAGTATCTATTGACATTTGCCGTATTGAAATTTAAACTTTAAAATTTTTATTTTAGTGAGAATGACGTTTTATTTTTTGAAAACCTTTTATTTTTTACTTATTTATTTAGTTTTTTTTTTTTTTTTTTTTGAGACAGTCTTACTCTGTCACCCAGGCTAGAATGCAGTGGCATGATTTCGGCTCGCTGCAACCTCCACTTCCCAGGTTCAAACGATTCTCATGCCTTAGCCTCCCAAGTAGCTGGGACTACAGGCATGTGCCACCACGCCCCGCTAATATTTGTATTTTTAGCAGAGTTAGGGTTTCGCCATGTTGGCCAGGCTGATCTCAAACTCCTGACCTCAAGTGATCTTCCTGCCTCAGCCTCCCAAAGTGCTGGGATTACAGGCGTGAGCCACTGTGCCCGGCCTGAAAATCTTTTAAACGTCTGGTTTAGTAAGATAGTTAGATTCTCATAACCAATTCTGTATTCAAACTGTGATTATAAGGTTTTTTGGGTGAAGTATATGAAGAAAATTTGGCCTCACACAGATACACAGTTGAAATAGGGAAGGTCTCACAGATCTCCTAAAAGGATTTTGGGTCCTCACAGGTCCTCTTACACTTAGATAACTGCTGCACTAGAAAGATACAATTTGGACTTATAAAAAAAATGAGATGTGGAAGTATTATTACTTGCTGTGGTGATGCATTCTGTTTAAGAGATTATGGGCCAGGAATGGTGGCTCACGCCTATAATCTGCACTTTTGGAGGCCGAGGTGGGAAGGTCGTTTGAGCCCAGGAATTGGAGATCAGCCTGGGCAACAAAGTAAGACCCCGTCTCTACAAAAAATAAAATAAATAAAAGTTAAAATAAAATAGATGATTATTCTAATAGAAATTAGATAAGGACCAGTGGGCACCCAAACCTGATTGAAAATCTTTTCTTTTGACCCCAAATTATATATTGATTATATGGAGAGAAAAATTATTAGCTACCTGATGGTTAGGGAGATACCTGGTTATGACAAATGGGCCCTCTAACTATGTTAGTTGCAGTGTTTTCTAATTGCCCTAATCGCTCCTTTCTGAAAATATTGGTTTATGCCAGAGTTTTGTTTCTCAACTTAATTTGGTTAAATGTCTTTTAGTCTTCCAGCTTTAAAAAAAAAACCAGTATAGATGCATATTTGCCGTAAGTGAATGTTTACAAATAATAGAGGGATACAGAAGTCAGTAACTGGATGTCACTCTTGTACGTTAACAAATATATCCCTGAGTCATCTTATAAATAGCATACTCAGTGCCTTGGCATTTTCAGTGGTAAGAGTCAAATGCTCATGTAGTTCTGTTTGTAAAATGGCTGCAGGAATAGGATTAGTTGATGGCATGATATCATTATTTGGTTTATGAGAATCCTAGCATCCTATATTCTGTTCGTTTATTAAGAATTGTTATGTAACCAGTTGCCTACTCTTATATTTCTTCATAAGGAAATACTGGTCAGATCTGGTTCTTCATTTTTTCAATAATCTTAATTACAAATTATAAGAAATAATTTGTCCTTAATTGTCTTTGGAAATGTGGTTAGGAAAAGTGGAACTAGGTTTCTTTTAAATTGTGTTCCAGCCCAGGCTGGAGTGCAGTGGCACCATCACACCTCACTACGCCTCAACCTCCTGGGCTTAGATAATCCTCCCACCTTAGACTCCTAGGGAGCTGGGACCACAGGCGCATGCCACCATGCCTAATTTTTTGTAGAGATGGGGTTTTGTCCTGTTGCGCAGGCTGGTCTCAAACTCCTGGGCTCAAGTGATCTGCCTGCCTTGGCCTCCCAAAGTATTGTGCCTGGCCTCAAATTGTTGTTGTTTATGAAAAGACTGGGGTCTTGCCATGTCATGTGCATGCTGGTCTCAAACTCCTGAGCTCAAGGGATCCTCCTGCCTCAGCCTCCAGAGTAGCTGGGACTATGCACTGTGCCCGGCTTCCAATTCTTTATTTAGAATGATACTTTTAATTGATATTGAACATGTAATATTGTTGTGCTTGGGTAAATTCCACTTTCTTAAAACAATTAGTCAATATACCATTATTACTACTTCTTTAAGACAACTTAGATTAGCTTCTGATGAACTATTTTTGGCTTTTAAGAAACAACTGAATACTATATCATGCATTTTGATGAACTGTTGTGATTCTTTAGCTCTAACAAAATTGAGAACATAAAAAATTTTTAAAAATTAAAATGGACAAGAATTCCAGGCATTTGGGCCTTCTGTCAATTTAGTAAGACTGAAAGTATTTAGGGGCCTACATTCATGCCCTCATTTTGATTCAAGATCTTGAAATCCATGGTACATTGTAGTTTAGGTTAGCATATCACAATGTGAACTCGAGGCCGAGCGCGGTGGCTTATGCCTGTAATCCCAGCACTTTGGGAGGCCAAGGCGGGTGGATTACTTGAGGTCAGGAGTTCGAGACCAGCCTCACCAACATGGTGAAACCCTGTCTCTACTAAAAATACAAAATCACCTGGGCCTGGCGGCCAACAAACTACTTGGGAGGCTGAGGCAGGAGAATCACTTGAACCTGGAAGGTGGAGGTTGCAGTGAGCAGCACTCCAGCCTGGGCAATAAGAGCGAAACTCCATCTCAAAAAAAAAAAAAAAAAAAAAAAAAGTGAACTAAAAACTTGTACCATTTTTATTGTTTCATAATTAATTTTAAAACCAGTCTCCCCTTCTAGTTGCCACTTCACATTATTCAGCAGATGATTCTGAAAGTTAAATTCTATATCTTGTTTCAGAATTGGTGTGGTAGCAGGGGATTCACCCAAAAAGAGTGTGATAATTTTTTTTTTTTTTTTGAGGTCTCAAACTTCTGAGCTCAGGTGATTCACCTGACTCGGCCTCCCAAAGTGCTGGGATTACAGGCATGAGCCACCGTGCCTGTAATAATGTTTATAATAATGGCCTGTGATAATGTTTATAATAAATCTGTTTAAATGTTTACAATAAATCTGATTTCTGCCATTATTTTTATACTTTATTTTAAAGGCATTATCACCATTGATTGATTATCTTTGTCTCTCTCTTTTTTTTTTTTTTGAGACGGAGTTTCGCCCTTATTGCCCAGGCTGGAGTGCAATGGCGCAACCTTGGCTCACTGCGACCTCTGCCTCTTGGGTTCAAGTGATTCTCCTGCTTCAGCCTCCGGAGTAGCTGGGATTACACACACACACCACCACACCTGGCTAATTTTCTATTTTTAGTACAGATGGTATTTCACCATGTTGGCCAGGCTGGTCTCAGACTCCTGACCTCAGGTAATCTACCTGCTTCAGCCTCCCAAAGTGCTGGGCTTACAGGTGTGAGCCACTGCGTCCAGCCATCTCCATTTTTATTTTTATTTTTATTTTTATTTTATTTTATTTATTTTTCAAGATGGAGTTTTGCTGTTGTTGCCCAGGCTGGAGTGCAATGGCATGATCTCGGCTCACTGCAACCTCCGCCTCCCGGGTTCAAGCGATTCTCCTGCCTCAGCCTCCTGAGTAGCTGGGATTACAGGCATGAGCTGCCACGCCCAGCTAACTTTTGTATTTTTAGCAGAGATGGGGTTTCACCATGTTGGCCAGGCTGGTCTCAAACTCCTGACCTCAGGTGATCCATCTGCCTTGGCCTCCCAAAGTGCTGGGATTACAGGTGTTAGCTACCATGCCTGGCCTTCATTTTTATAATACAAACTTGTGTAGAACTTTTTGTTGCCTTATTAATGATTTCTTTTTTCTTTTTTTGAGATGGAGTCTTGCTCTGTCCCCAGGCTGGAGTGGAGTAGTGCAATCTTGGCTCACTGCAACCTCCACCTCCCGGGTTCAAGCAGTTCTCCTGCCTCAGCCTCCCGAGTAGCTGGGACTACAGACGCACGCCACCATGCCCAGCCAATTTTTTTGTATTTTTAGTAGAGACCGGGTTTCACCATGTTGGCCAGGATGGTCTTGATCTCTTGACCTCGTGATCTGCCTGCCTCAGCCTCCCAAAGTGCTGGGATTACAGGCATGAGCTACCGTGCTCGGCCCTTGTTAATGATTTCAATAGCCGTAAATTTTGCTTTTGCTCGTGATTGTTTACTTCTGTAACCACTGTTGCTAAGGAAATTTGGTGTATATAATATTGGTAGTATTGTAATTAAAATATTTTCCTTAATGTTTACTTTATGATTATTGCCATTGACTAAGTTGATAAGTCACATAACATATTCTATACTGTCATCTGGTGGCCTTGTGAATAATCTTGTATTAATATTACTTGGAGTATTTAACATGTATAACAAGTATCTTTTTCCTTCTGTGCTAAAAACAGAAGATTGATTTCATTAAACCCTAATGTCAATGACAATATCGTATTCAGGATAGTATTTACTTAATACTTGTAACACTGCTTTTGCTGGATGATCAGCAAACATTTTTTCTTCTTATAGATGGGAAAGCTAAACCTAATTCATTGATAAGGGGCCTAGCAATGACAGCTTATGATTTTATCTCAAGGCCTTTATCCTTAGTAGTTTGCACTGACAGAGGTTTATTTTCCTACATTTCAAACCACTATCAGAAAGTGCTGATAACCTTATTAAGCTTTCTTTTTCTTTTCTTTCTTTCCTTTTTTTTTTTTTTTTTTTTTTTTTGAGACAGTCTCGCTCTGTTGTCCAGGCTGGAGTGCAGTGGTGTGATCAGAGTTTAATGCAGCTTCTGCCTCCCTGGTTCAAGTGATTCTCATGCCTCAGCTTCCAGAGTAGCTTGGATTACAGGCACGTCATGTGCCACCAAGCCTGGCTAATTTTTGTATTTCTAGTAGAGATGAGGTTTCACCATGTTGGCCAGGCTAGCCTCGAACTCCTGGCCGCAAGTGATTCACCTGCCTTGGCCTCCCAGAGTGCTGGGATTACGGTCGTGAGCCACTGCACTCGGCATGTTTTCATCTTTTTTTTTTTTTTTTTTTTTGAGACAGAGTCTCTCTCTGTTGCCTAGGCTGGAGTGTAGTGGTATGACCATGGCTCACTGCAACCTCAAACTCCTAGGCTCGTGATCCTCTGCCTCAGCCTCCCCAGTAGCTGGGATTACAGGTACGTGCCACCATGCCCAGCTAATTTTTTAATTTTTCTTTTGTAGGGGATGGGGTGTTGCTATGTTGACCAGGCTGGTTTTGAACTCCTGGCCTCAAGCAGTCCTCCTGCCTCAAAGTAGTGGGATTACAGGAACTAAGCCACTGCACCCAGTCAAGTTTTCATCTATTGCTTTAACATGTGAGAGCTAAAAATGGTGTGTAAATTATTAGTTTTCTAGAAACATCTTTAGTTTTCTATAAGAAAACATAGAACTTATTTAGTTTTAAAAAAATGCTGTAGCGGCTGGATGTGTTGGCTCATGCCTGTATTCCCAGCACATTGGGAGGCTGAGGTGGGCGGATCACTTGAGGTCAGGAGTTTGAGACCAACCTGGGCAACATGGTGAAACCCTGTCTCCACTAAAAATATAAAAAATAGCTGGGCATGGTGGTGCGTGCCTGTAATCCCAGCTACTCGGGAGGCACGAGAATCACTTGAACCCAAGAGGTGGAGGTTGCAGTGAGCCACGATCGCACCACTGCACTCCAGCCTGGACAACAGAGCGAGACTGTGTCTCAAAAGAAAAAAAAAGGTCTGTAGCAAATTTTTTTCAACCTAAACTTGGACTCATTTGTCTGAATGGATTAGTGATTGTCCTGAATATGAGAGCTGTAGTTCTAGTGCAAAGACAGAAACTACCCTGGGTCTTTTCCTGTAGCTAGTGTGCTTAAGATGGATTCACCACTCAAAATGATTTGCTTGAAAAGTGAGGCCTCTATAACATGGGGGAGAATATGAAGCAAAATTTCAGAAAGATAGCAAAATCTGTAAATAACTTTTTATTAACCTATTTGAGAATGCCATAAAAGCAAGCCACAAAAGTCTTGCATGTCCAGTACTGAAAAGAGAATTTTATGTTTCTCACATAGTTCTTAGGCATAATAAAGTTTTTTTCTATGAACTTGCATAGAGAAGTAAGGCATAATAAACTTATTTAAATGTATTTTTTTCTTAATTTGACTGTGTAAGTAGCATTTCCTTCTTGTCCTTCAGTTGACTCTCTTTCTGTTTGAGGATTTTATTAAACTGAAGAGATTAGTTTCATTAACTCTCACCTTTCCATGTTATCACAGTGAAGAAAGCCTAAAGTAACATGATCTAGTAACTTACATAATATTTATTCATTAGTCCTTCAGTAATTTAAAAATTGCACCTACCTGGAAAATTATTTTGGGTATTGTTTTCCTAAAAATTACCCATGAGGTAGTAGTGCTACTACTACTACTACTAACAGTAACTGAGCAGTGCTGCTTCATTTATTTATTTATTTGTTTGTTTTGTTTGTTTTAAAGACAAGGCCTGACTCTGTTACCCAGGCTGGTCTCAAACTCCTGGCTTCGAGCGATCCTGCCACTTCTGCCTCCCAAAGTGCTGGGATTATAGGTGTGAGCCACCACACCCGGCCCTGTTTTATTTATTGGATACCTGTCATATTCCAAACTCTCTAAACTTTTGCGTTTCTTTAATTCTTTTTTTTTTTCTAAGATGGAGTCTTGCTCTGTCACCCAGGCGGGAGTGCAGTGATGCGATCTTGGCTCACTGCAACGTCTGCCTCCCAGGTTCACGCCATTCTCCTGCCTCAGCCTCCCGAGTGGCTGGGACTGCAGGCGCACGCCACCACACCCAGCTAATTTTTATATTTTTAGTAGAGACGGGTTTTCACCATGTTGGCCAGGATGATCTCAGTTTCTTGACCTCACCCGCCTTGGCCTCCTAAAGTGCTGGCATTACAGGCGTGAGCCACTGAGCCCCATCTGTTTTATTTAATTCTTAACCCTGTGATATAGGTACTATTATAATTATTTTCATTTTACACACTTGATATTGGGGGAAATTGGGTATGATGCAATTTTAGAAATACTATTTTCATTTAGTTTCATTATGTTGGCTGATAGTCCTGTGTTCCATGTGGTAACTTTAGGCATAAAATTATGATAGGAAACCCATTTCAAAGGTGTTAAGTGATTTGTCCACGGACATGTGCTATATGTCTGATCCAAGATTTGAATCTAGACCTCTGAATCCCAAACCCATATACGCACTATTATTATTATTACACTAAGTGAATTGAATTCACTAGTCTTACTTCATTTGAAAAAAAAAAGTTCAAGTTATTAATAGAATGCAACACTTGCATTGGTGGTATGTGGTGGTAAATGAAGATTATACTTTTGTGCTCCTGCATATTTATTGTCTTCTGCCACCTCTGAAGGTAGAGTACGAGATAGATGTGTAGAATGCAGGGCCTCCAGAAATTCCAGTCTGAAAATTTAGACCTATTAGTTATTTTAAGAAGTTTTCTAATGCTGCTCATTTTCTGTTTGTCTTTTCACTAAAGTTTGTTGTTGTTGCCTTTTTGCAGCAGTGATTCCAGCAGTAGTTCAAGTGATGATTCTCCAGCTCGATCAGTTCAGTCTGCAGCAGTCCCTGCACCCACTTCCCAGTTGCTTTCATCTCTGGAAAAAGATGAGCCCCGTAAAAGTTTTGGCATCAAGGTCCAGAATCTTCCAGTACGCTCTACAGGTAAAATTTTGTGTGAATGTCCTTTCCTCTGTGCTACTACTGAGGAATGAGGTATGATACTGCATTACATTGAAATAACTTTGGGCATAAAATTATAATGGAAAACCCATTTCGAAATATTAACGTTTTAAATGAGGAAAGCCATGAATAATGGAAAAGTCTGCTTAAGCTATTCTGTGGTCTCTACTGGTAATATTTTTAATTGACAGCTGACCGTAATATACTGTTACTCCTACATTGGTCATGTTGAGCATGTAAACAAGTTAAAACTATTAGTAGATAGTCATGCCAACAAAGACCAAATTAAGTATTTTTTAGCTAAGTGTATTTCAGTGATTGCTTAAATTATTTACTAAAATAGGGGCCAGGCGCGGTGGCTCATGCCTGTAATCCCAGCACTTTGGGAGGCCGAGGCGGGCGGATCACGAGGTCAGGAGATCGAGACCATCCTGGCTAACATGGTGAAACCCCGTCTCTACTAAAAATACAAAAATTAGCTGGGCGTGGTGGCGGGCGTCTGTAGTCCCAGCTACTCGGGAGGCTGAGGCAGGAGAATGGCGTGAACCCAGGAGGCGGAGTTTGCAGTGAGCTGAGGTCAGGCCACTGCACTCCAGCCTGGGCGACAGAGCGAGACTCTGTCTCTAAAAAAAAAAAAAAAAAAAAAAAAAAATTATTTACTAAAATAGCCTAAAAACTTATGTATCAGGTTTGTGAATAGAGTTATTGAGATACTAATGTTGATGAGCTTTTGATTTAGAGTACTTGGTAATTTAGAAATGGACAAGGGAGTAAAATTGGCTTGCCTTTCTATACACCTTTTATATTTCTAATAAAGCAAATTAACACAAGACCCCCAGATGGTATGATTCATCTGTAAAGGATACTAAAATTGTTTAGCATGCTACATGACACTTCTCACACAATTTTATCATTGAGATGATCCTTGGAAAGATAGACGATGCCTTTCCATTTCAAGTCTTTAACACTTTATAAACAGACATGTAAAAGTTTTATTATGAAACCTACCCCAAAGTAGAAGGAATAGCAAAATGAACTCCCCTTATATAATATCCAAGATTCAGAAATCATCATTTTGCATTTTTGCTTTATCTGTTTCCTGTCTTCCTGCTTTCCTACTGTTTTTTGTTTTTTTTTTTACCTTTAAGGTGAATCCTTGATGTTGTTTTATTTCATACCTATTTACACACGTATATTTATGTATATATCTATAATATATAAGGGCATTTTTCTGGATAACCACAGTATCATTCTTACCTAACAAAATAACCAATACTATCATCTAACAGTTTATTTTCAGAATTGTACAATAATCTCGAAACCGTGTTTTTAGAGCTTTTTTGTTTGAAAAAGTAATGTTTTAATGACAATAAAATTTAAGTCAAATCTCAAGCTAGATCCTTTTGTGGTTCATAAGCATGATGATTGGGTTTTCATGCTGTGTGAGGTGTGCCTCCCTCAGACCTTGTTATGACATTAGTATATTACCTGTCTGACATGAACAAAAAAATGAGAAAATCAGGCTAAAGATTTAGTAGGTTGCTTATTTAGTTATAATTAAATTAGAAGAATTAATAACTTGGTTTTTTTTGGGAATTTAGATACAAGCCTTAAAGATGGCCTTTTCCATGAATTTAAGAAATTTGGAAAAGTAACTTCAGTGCAGATACATGGAACTTCAGAAGAGAGGTATGGTCTGGTATTCTTTCGGCAGCAAGAGGACCAAGAAAAAGCCTTGACTGCATCAAAAGGAAAACTTTTCTTTGGCATGCAGATTGAAGTAACAGCATGGATAGGTCCAGGTAAGACACAAGCAAGCTGAGTTTGAGTTACTCATCACACACACTGTTTGTGTTGCAGTGTATGAGAGGGCAGCATATGATCCTGAATGAGGACACTATTCTGGCTTTATTTATTGACATATTTCCATTGTCTTCTGTTTTAAAAGATGGTTCTATTTATTGTTCAACTTAATAAAAAACATTGTTTTGGTTAGGGAGGATAGATTTTTCTGTTGCTGTAATGGAGCCTTGCTGACTGTTAAGAGTCTGAAAGGCAGAACTGTGTAGACCCTTATTGAGTCCAGCCTTCCCAAAAGGATTGAATTTATCAAAACTAGGAGGTAGCTCCTAGGAGTGTGACAACAGAATTACCTTGAATTGGAAAGGAAACTACTTCTGGTTGGGCGCAGTGGCTCATGCCTGTAATCCCAGCACTTTGGGAGGCTGAGGTGGGTGGATCATCTGAGGTCAGGAGTTCAAGACCAGCCTGGCCAACATGGTGAAACCCTGTTTCTACTAGAAATACAAAAATTAGCTGGGCGTGGTGGCGCACGCCTGTAATCCCAGCTACTTGGGAGGCTGAGGCGGGAGAATCGTGTGAACCCGGGAGGTCAAGGTTGTAGTGAGCTGAGATTGCACCACTGCACTCCAGCCTGGGCAACAGAGCAAGACTGCATCTCAATAAATAAATAAAAAGAAAAAAGAAACAAATTACTTAATATTGATGTGGGGGACTTGTTAGACCAGTTTTATTTCTATTATGTCCAATACAAGTTGGGTCTGTTTTTCCAGCTTGCATGACCTTGAAGACAGAGTAACAGGAATAAGCCTTATGGGTGCAACCCACTGAGAATTTCCAGGGAACATTTATTATCTTGAACCTACCTGTGGAACCTGTTATAAGGCAGGAAATCTTCTCACACGTGGCTTGCATTGGCATTTCTCCTGTTTCAGGACCGCCTGCAGTACTTGTTTAAAAATGCAGGCTCTTTAACCCTGCCCCAGCTTACTGATTCAGAGTTTATACACTTAAGTTTGGGAACCCCTGATTTAACAGAACTTGTGAATAAATTTGTAAAGGAATCAATAGAAACATTAAAAATTTATAGTCACTTTATGAAGCTGAGACACTTGAACTTTAAGACTTTAAGTGGAATTTATAGGGTAAACATGGCCTGTTATAGGATAAATATGAATATTCTTGTAATATTCATTTATTAGATAATTAAAAAGAAAAAAATGTAGTTCCCCTGGTGAGGATGCACAAATATGTTATTTGTATGGTAAAACTGGCACGGAATTGTTAGGGTGACCACTGCAAAATGGTCACTCTGTGATGTTACAATGAAACATAACAATTCAAAGGAATATTATCTTTTCAAAGGATAATAGGTTAAGCCTTCACAGTCCTTCTTCCATCAAGTTTGAGATGGATTGCCCTAAATTTTACTAAGCTAAGAGCAACTCCAGGAGTTCTTTAAAATTTAACACATTTGGAACAGGTCAGAACGGCTTGAGAAACATTTAGAATGTCATATATGTTTCTAGAGCCAATTATAATTATTAAGTAAGGAGGATCTCATCCAGGGGCATTCAGTATGTAACTTTTATCTCTAGATGGTAGGGCTAGCTTGAGATTTTTACTGTAAAAAGCTTTTAACCTAGTTATTTAGCACCTAGGAAATAGGCTTTACCTACTTGCCAGTGAAAATTTTGAGAAGTTTGGTTGGTTCAAGTATAGAAAAGCTAACTACTTTTCCCAGATAGGACAACATTAAAACCAGTTAAATGGGATATGTGAAAGCAGTTGAATTTTGAGTATGGAGACTAGGTTGGAATTATGCTCTCAGATGGTTAAATCATTAATGTTATATTGAAATGTATTGAGCTGATTGCTTAGGTCAAGGATTATTTTCAAAGATCCAAATCCAAGAAACCTAACTTTGCATATAGACCCATTGGTGGCTTCTAAGATTTCTTTTCCCATACATTGCATTACAATCCCCTAAACATGAAATTACAAGTTCAAGAAGTTTTTTCCCAAAGGTGTGTAGGCATTAAGACTTTGACTGGTTGTGAAGGTTAAGTGGACTACACGTGGAAAACTTTTTTTTTTGCTAACTGAATTTCCGATCTTGAAAATTTACTGCTGAGCGTGGTGGCTCACACCTTGATTGATTGATTGATTGATTGGAGACAGGGTCTCACTCTGTTGCCACCCAGGCTAGAGTGTAGTGTCATAATCATGGCTCACCAAAACCTCGACCTCCTGGGCTCAAGCGATCCTCCTGCCTTGGCCTCCCAAAGTGCTAGGATTATAGGCATGAGCCACCATGCCTGACCAAGCTCATGCCTGTAAACAGTTTGGGAGGCTGAGGCAGGAGGATCGCTTGAGCCCAGGAGTTTGAGATGTGCCTGGGCAACAAAGGGAGACCCCATCTCTACAAAAAATAAAAAATCAGCCAGGTAGCCAGGCTGAGGTGGGAGGATTGCTTAAGCCCAGGAGTTTGAGGCTGCAGTAAGCTATGATCCCACCACTGCACTCCAGCCTGGGCAACAGAGCAAGACCCTGTCTCCAAGGGGGAGAAAAAAAGAAAGAAAGAAAATGCACCAGGCAGGCCATTTGGTGGGAATGAAGCCGTTACAGATTTTAATAGTTGCAAATCATGCTTTCTTCTTGTGTTTCTGCCTTTCGGAGCACAAACCTCAATATTCTATCTGAATTTTTTGAAATATTATTAAATGTCTGTGCACATTTAAATTAAGACCAAATTGAGCTTAAAATGAGATATGTTCCTTTGAGATATGCAGAATATATGGAGACAGCTATTATGAGTCCTGGGTAGTTTCTGAGTCCACCTGAGTTTCATGTGAAAGTACATCATAGTCTGATTGATCGAAAGGGGTAACATTAGTTGAGCTACCATTGGAGCCATCAGTCTGGACTCAGAAGTGAGATGTATTCTGACTTAACTCAAGGTCCCTGAAATTGAGTTTTTAAAAATACCAGTGTTGTTGACATTATCAGTAATGTTCAATGGCTGGCTCTAAATGCTTCATTTCAGTAAAGTTGATTAAATATTAATTTTTTGGATGGCTTTGTTTTACATTAAGAAAAAAGAACACACAGTAGTTTCCTATAATTGTTATCAACAAAACCTTGAGCGTTCCTGCCCTAGACCAAGTTTATAAATGGAGCTTCAGAGAAAGGCTATGATAAATTAGAAATTAAGCCATTGCTTTTGACCATAAAAAATAGAGGCTGGACGTCGTGGCTCACACCTGTAATCTCAGCACTTTGGGAGGTTGAGGCGGGCGGATCACCTGAGGTCAGGAGTTCGAGAGTAGCCTGCCCAACATGGCGAAACCCCGTCTCTACTAAAAATACAAAAATTTGGCCAGGCATGATGGCGGGCACCTGTAATCCCAGCCACTTGGGAGGCTGAGGCAGGAGAATTGCTTGAACCCAGGAGGCAGAGGTTGCAGTGAGCCGAGATTGCTCCGCTGCACTCCAGCCTGGGTGACAAGAGTGAAACTCCATCTCAAAGAAAAAAAAGAAGAAGAAGAAGCCGTAACAATCATTTCTGTTTGTCACTGGGGACCATGCAATATCAAAAGATAATTTAAAACATATTGCTTTAATCTGTTTTCATAGTTACTCTTATATCTAAAATTTCCGTATTTAGACAGTTGATTTATTGTGTTAGTATGAGAGGGGCGAAATGCTAAATATCTTATAAAATGTTGAAAAGTAAATGAAATTAAACAATGAAGGTGGACTATTTTCAGCTGAGTTTTTATGTCTATTTCAGAGTATAGTTTTATACGCCAAATTGAGAGCCTGCTACGTAATTTTGGAAACTAGGATTAGGCTCAAATAATTAATTACCATTTTTGCTGGGGTTTAAAATCTATTTCTGTGTCAGTGATTATTTTTAAAACAAATCAGGCCAAGTGCAGTGGCTCACGCCTGTCATCCCAGCACTTTGGGAGGCTGAGGCAGGAGGATTGCTTGAGCCCAGAGACCAGCCTGGGCAACAGGCTGGGGGGGTGGAAAAACTAGCTAGGCATGGTGGCATGCACTGGTGGTCCCAGCTACTTAGGAGGCTGAGGTTGGAGGATTGCTTGAGCCTGGGAGGTTGAGGCTCCAGTGAGCCATGATCCTGCCAGTACACTCCAGTCTGGGTGGCAGAGCGAGACTCTGTCCCAAAAACAACAGATCACCTTAGCAAAGATATCTATCTATTTTATTTTTTCTATTTTATTTTTGAGACAGGTTCTCTCACTGCCATCACCCAGCCTGGAGTGCAGTGGCGTGATCACAGTTCACTGCAGCCTCAACTTCCCATTCTCATGCTATTCTCCCACCTCCGCTTCCCAAATAGCTGAGAATACAGGCGTGCGCCACCATACTTGGCTAATTTTTTGTATTTTTTTTGGTAGAGATGGGGTTTCAACATGTTGCCCAGGCTAGTCTCAAACTCTGGGGCTCCAGCGATCCTCCCACCTTGACATCTTAAAGTGCTGGAATTACAGGCATGAGCCACCCTTCCCAGCTAATTTAGCAGATTTAAATCAGTTTATTTTTAATTTTAAAGGTTAAACAAAGTGTTACTTTAGCCTTAATTTTTTTTTGAAACGTTTATTTAGCCTTTGTATTCCTTTTTTGCTTTAGAGTTAATAAGGGGTGGCTATTTCTGAAGGTGTTTATGATATTTCAGTTTATGTGAGTATTCAAGCCCATTATTTCAGACATTTTGTTTTTTAAATGTAGATTTTTCCATGATATATAAATATGCATTAAAATACTGTCTTCTCTTTTTACTCGGCCCCCATTCCACTTACAGAAACAGAAAGTGAAAATGAATTTCGCCCCTTGGATGAAAGGATAGATGAATTTCACCCCAAAGCAACAAGAACTCTCTTTATTGGCAACCTTGAAAAAACCACTACTTACCATGACCTTCGCAACATCTTCCAGCGCTTTGGAGAAATTGTGGTATGTTGCTTTTACTATGTAAACAATTTTAGGTCTTTGTCATAACACATAAAGCATAGTACAGATTATATTTGGAAAGGTGATATTTAATGGTGTAATGAATGAACATTGTTGTGTGCTTTTAGCTCTTGCTAAAAGATAATCCAGAGAATCCCATTGGGTATGGTTCTATATACGTGTGTAAAAATGTAATATATGTCCTTTGTTTACACATATATATTTTCTTACCTCTTTTTTTTTTTTTTTTTTGAGACAGAGTATCACTCTGTCTCCGAGCCTGGAGTGCAGTGTCATGATCACGACTCACTGCAGCCTCAACCTCCTGGGCTCAAGTGATCCTCCCATCTCTCAGTCTCCTGAGTAGCTGGGACTGCAGACATGTCCCACCACGCCCAGCTAACTCTTGTGTTTTTTGTAGAGGTGGTGTTTTGCCATGTTGCCCAGGCTGGCTCTTACCCATTTTTATCTTTCTTTGTTCATTGGGTTCTGTTTTAATGCCATCTCTAGTCCTGTGGATTGAAAGGAAAATCTGGAAGAGAAAAATGTTTGTAAAAATGAAGCAGCAGGCTGAGCATGGTGGCTCACACCTATAATCTCAGCACTTTGGGAGGGTGAGGTGGGCAGATCACTTTGAGCTCAGAAGTTTAAGCCCAGCCTGGGCAACATGGTGAAACCCTGTCTCTATAAAAATACAAAAATTAGCTGGGCGTTGGTGGCTTGCTCCAGTAGTCCCAGCTACTCAGGCGGCTGAGGCTGGAGAACCACTTGAGCCCAGGAAGCAGAGGCTGCGGTGAGCCGAGATCACGCCACTGTACTCCAGCGTGGGTGACAGAGTGAGACCCTGTCTCCAAAAATAGAAGCAGCAAATTAGTGTATGATTGTTTTGTGATCACAGTGCACATCAGAAATACCTTGGGGATTACTAGAATATGGATGTCGTCTGCTAGCAGTTTAATTCTATTAGGAAGTCTTAATTTGAATCACTTTTTATATTATGCAAGTCATTGTTAGATTAAGGGGTACAAGAAGTTTTCTGTTCCTTTATGACTTAAAATTAGAGTCAGTTTAAAAATGAAAATATTTTGGTCACAGCTTTGTAATCTTGGGATATACTATTATTATTTTTTTAGACAGAGTTTCACTCTTGTCACCCAGGCTGGAGTGCAGTGGTGCGATCTTGGCTCACTGCAGCCTCCGCCTCCTGGGTTCAAGCGATTCTCCTGCCTCAGTCTCCTGAGTAGCTGGGATTACAGGCGCCCGCCACCATGCCCAGCTAATTTTGTATTTTTTAGTAGAGGCGGGGTTTCACCGTGTTGGCCAGGCTGGTCTTAAACTCCTGACCTCAGGTGATCTACCTGCCGTGGCCTCCTAAAGTGGTGGGATTACATGTGTGAGCCACCATGCCCAGGCTGGGAGATAACATTTTGTAAGATATCAGCCTTTCTCATCTCCTCAAAATCTTTCATAGAATCGTAACTTCTGTAGAAATCTGCACATGCCTTCTTTCTTGGTTCAGCCACAGCAAACTTATAGAGAACCACAACCCCCAATTAATGCTCCAGCAATATGATATTACAGATTCTTGGCCAGAAAGTCACACATCTGAGGTTTCATCAAAGCACTGGAAGCCCTGGTAGTTAGTTATTGTCCTTGATAGGTATGACAGCCCCACCCCAATGTCCTTCCTTGCTGATGGAGAAATGGATGACCTCATTTTCAATTATTTTGATTTGTCAAATTATTTTGGTTTTGTGGGAGTAGCATATACTCTAATTGCAGTTCTACTGCCTACCTAGATGGGTGGTATGGAATTCAGTAACCTATCTGGGCTCCAGCTTCTTTTGTCTTTAGACAGTTATCTGTTATTTATTTATTTATTTATTGATCTTTTAATTTTAAAGGTTAAAGAACAAAGATTTATTAATCTTCTCAGATATCATATTTTATTTTATTTATTTATTTTTAAGACGGAGTTTCACTTTTGTCACCTGCGCAATGGCGCGATCTTGGCTTACCGCAACCTCTGCCTCCCGGGTTCAAGCGATTCTCTTGCCTCAGCCTTCAGAATAACTAGGATTACAGGCATGTGCCGCCATGCCTGGCTAATTTTTGTATTTTTAGTAGAGACAGGTTTTCACCGTGTTGGCCAGGCTGGTGTCGAACTCCTGACCTCAAGTGATCCGCCCGCCTCCACCTCCCAAAGTGCTAGGATTACAGGCGTGAGCCACGGTGCGCAGCCAGATATCATATTTTAAATGGCCTGGCCCCTAATAACGATTTTAGATATTGCAGAAGGGAATTATTTCTTAGGATTTCATTAAATAGCCTGCCTTTTCTTTATTATCGTTAAGTTTCTCTTAATGCTGTTAGTATGGATTTTAAATTTTGAATTTTGAATTGCAATGCTGTTGCTCCTCTGCAGAGAGCTTCACATGAGAAGGATTTCATGGTTTGTGACAATAAATGCTATATGTTTTATAGCAAACTAGTAACTTACCATTGTATTAAGGTGTACAGTTTTTTTAACTAAGTAAATGATGATTGAGAACATGACTTTTTTGAGAAATAAATACCCTATATGGACTTGGTTCATTCTAATTTATTTTCTTGGGCATATTGCTAAGTTGTATTCATTGGTTTTTTCAGGATATTGACATTAAGAAAGTAAATGGAGTTCCTCAGTATGCGTTTCTGCAATACTGTGATATTGCTAGCGTTTGTAAAGCTATTAAGAAGATGGATGGGGAATATCTTGGAAATAATCGCCTCAAGGTAAATGAATTTGCATAAATTATTGTGCTGTTATGATTTGCTTTGTTTTTTAAGACTTGAAGGGTTTTTTTTTTGCATATGCCTTATTATTTAAGATCCTACTAAGACAGATAACCATAAAAGTGATATACTTCTTTGCATTCCTATCCTATTATATACTGTAATCTGATTAATATTCGATTAGCCAGGCAGGATTTTTTTTGTATATTCCTATTTAATTTTAACCAGATGTTTCCCACTTGAGATGTTGATTTGATAAGATTACTATAGAAAACCAGTTTTCTGAGAATTCTGTTGTAGTTGAATAGTAATTGTGAACTTTACTAATAGAAATTTTGCCTTTTATATTCAGCTGGGTTTTGGAAAGAGCATGCCTACAAACTGCGTGTGGCTAGATGGGCTTTCTTCGAATGTGTCAGATCAGTATTTAACACGACATTTCTGCCGATATGGGCCTGTGGTAAAGGTAGGCGGGAGGTTTTGGTATGTGGTTCAGACTTCTGACTCACTCGTCTTGGTATTCTCTCCTTTCAGTCTCAGTTGGCTAGCATTGCCTATTTCTTTAATAACGAGCACATTAAAATTATGTTTGCTAAGATTTGGTCAATAAGGGCATTTGCATCTGTTGCCTTAAGTTATGAGTATTTTGAAGAAACTATTTTGAACTAGCCAAGGTGATTAATTTTGAAACTATTCTCATAGTATAAATAGAATGAAATAGAAATGTTGCTTAGGGATTTTTATAATTTTATCTTACATTAAAATTAGATAGTCTGACTATATAGTTATTCACATTTACACTAAATATGTAATTAGACTTTTTTAAATGAGGGGAAGTTCACACAACAGAATATTCATCTAACCAATGATTTTTATGTAATACATCCATAAGCAACAGGAAAAGGGTCTCCAGACCCAATTCAGTGTGTGAAGGTAAAGCTTTGGTTCCTTAAAACTATGTTTACTCTGTGGTAGGTATATTGTATACCCTTGACAATGCTTTTTTTTTTTTAAATTTATTTATTTATTTTTAATTGAGACAGAGTCTCACTCTGTCACCCAGGCTGGAGTGCAGCGGCGGGATCTCAGCTCACTGCAACCTCCGCCTCCCAGGTTCAAGCGATTCTCTAGCCTCAGCCTCTTGAATAGCTGGGATTACAGGTGTGTGCCACCACGCCTGGCTAGTTTTGTATTTTTAGTACAGATGGGGTTTTGCCATGTTGGCCAGGCTGGTCTCAAACTCCTGACCTCAAGTGATCCACCTGCCTCGGCCTCCTAAAGTGCTGAGATTACAGGCACTGCGCCTGGCAGACAATACTTTAAATGTAGCTTTTGTTGTTTAGAGAAATACACATCTTAAAGATTGCCTGTATAAAAAAATCCACAGCCTTAAGACAGTTATGCTACTTGTAGCCAAAGTTCACAGAAATTCTTTGTTGTTCTTAATTTTTCCTTCCTTTCAAGGGTGTTTTTTGCTGTTGTTGGTTTTGCTTTTTTGTTTTGAGCCAAAACAAGACGAATACTTTACTGAAATACAATATAGTGGTCAGTAAACATGGAAAACAAAGTAAAATACAGAAGAACAAAATAAAGGCATAATATCTCAAGCCATAATGTCTATGATTCTAAACAGTCCCTGCACATTTTCATTTTATTGTGTTCACTACAGTGTGCATCACACTTTTTTTTTTAATAGAATAAAATATATAAAAATATATTTTTTCTCATCCGTGTCCTTGTGGCTTAGGATTTTGTTGGGACTGACACTAAGTCCAGTGGATGAGGCTCTTACTTGTTTTTTGTTTGTTTGTTTTACAGGTGGTGTTTGACCGCTTAAAAGGCATGGCCCTGGTTCTCTACAATGAAATTGAATATGCACAAGCAGCTGTAAAAGAGACCAAAGGGAGGAAAATCGGTGGGAATAAAATTAAGGTGTGCAGAATGACTTTAAACAGAAGCAAAACAAAGTCCTATTCAAATCTCACCCTCTTGGGCTGGGCGTGGTGGCTCACGCCTGTAATCCCAGCACTTTGGGAGGCCAAGGCAGGTGGATCACCTGAGGTCAGGAGTTCGAGACCAGCCTGATGAACATGGTGAAACCACGTCTCTACTAAAAATACAAGAAAAATTAGCCGGGCTTGGTGGCGCGTGCCTGTTAATCCCAGCTACTTGGGAGGCTGAGGCAGGAGAATTGCTTGAACCCAGGAGGCGGAGGTTGCAGTGTGCTGAGATCATGCCGTTGCACTCCAGCCTGGGTGACAGAGTAAGACTCCATCTCCAAAAAAAAGAAATCACCCCGTTAATAACTAGCATTTTGTAGGCTGCCAGCCAGGGGAGTGGTTTACAAGACACGTATGCTGTATCATTAGTGTTTAAGGGGAATATTACAATTTTATGCTCAGCTACTTGTGGGCACAGCATCTTTAAACCATTAGCCACAGATCCTTCCCTAAAAATCTTCTCATTCAAAGAAGTGTGCTTCTCAGTGTTCGGGTGCTGATGCTCACACAGACACTCTCATCGCAGGCTTGACCACAGTTATGGGTATCTGACACCCAGGGCCTCATAGTATCAGTCCAGCATCCTGAATGATATGTCTTTCTTTCCTTTCCTACTCTCCTGAAGAGTGGGTAGCCACTTAAAGCATAACTTTATGTCCAGTGTATGTTTTTAAAAACTTGTATTCATGGTAGTTTGAAGGAATTTATGCACTTAACTATGAAATAACTATGATTGTTAGGTTGAAAAAAGTATTTTAAAAATAAGATGATAAGCTATTTGATAGCTGATGAGCATCATATGCTTTAGTAACTTTGAGGCCCAGCTGTGAATAAAGTTTAAAATGTTCATCCATATTTTGTTTTATATTCTAACTGTAGTTTTGGCAACAGAGATTGCTGGATTTAGTTGATCTGATTACTTAATTGCCATTTCAGTTTTCCATTTTGCTTTTTTCACTCCTTCACAATTGGGTTTGAAACTTTATAAATTTCATTCTTTTATCACGGTTTATACAGAATTTGAGAGATTTCAGGTTAATATAGTTTCAGTGATGAGGACTGTTTTACTTGAGATACATTGCTGTTTCCTGAAATTTTCTCAGAAGGGCTATGTTGTGAAGAATTTACAAATCTGATAACATTTTTCCATCATTAAAATTTGAAACTTGCATCAAACACCTCTTTTTTTTTTTAAAGGTGGATTTTGCAAATCGGGAAAGTCAGCTGGCTTTTTATCACTGCATGGAGAAATCTGGTCAAGACATCAGAGACTTTTATGAAATGTTAGCCGAAAGAAGGTATGTATTTTAAACTTACCAGTGTAGCTTGAGTTTTAATAGTTTTAATACAGAAACTTAAGATGGCATTAAATTTTATTTTTCACTCTTTACCCCTACTTTCATCTTCTAGAATAGAGAATGCTTCTCTTTTATCACTTCATATGGAAACACAGGTTTATTTTTTTGAATCTAGTTTCCAGGTAATTCCTATGGGTTTGGAGCAACCTGTCTGGATTTCTCACTGAATGCTCCTAGAACTTGAAAGAGTTACTGTTTTGCCAGGTGATAACTTTATGTACTTTTTTTTTTGAGACAGGGTCTCACTCTGTCACCCAGACTGGAGTGCAGTGGCATGATCATGGCTCACTGCAGTCTCTGCCTTATAGGCTCAAGTGATCCTCACACATCATCTTCTTGATTAGCTGGGACTACAGACACTTGCCACCACGCTGGAGTAATTTTTGTAAAGATGGGTTTTCTCCATGTTGTCTAGGCTGGTCTTGAACTCCTGGGCTCAAGCATTCTGCCCGCTTTGGCCTCCCAAAGCGCTGGGATTACAGGTGTGAGCCACCACACCTGGTCTGCTTTATGTACCATTAATCATAAATACAAATCATCTTGCTTACAGTTACTTCTTAAAGTAAATGTATTAATATATGTTAGAGTGCATTATAAACTTTTAAATGGCTACATATTTAGTAATGACAACAACCAGGTTGTATGTGCTCATACATTTAACTTAAAAAATAAATAAATAAATAAAAACTTCCAAAAGAATATCAAGAGCTTTATTTTAAAGTTGAATCTCTTAAATAGTCAAAGTGAATCAATAAGCCAAAGCATATGTAAACTGGCAACTTTGGCAATGTGCAGGGCAAACCTGATTTCCTCTTGTTAATACTTTCAGTCATGGTTATGTAGTATTTAATATTTTTTCTGCTGAACAGACCGAAATATAGTAAAACATCTTAAGATAATGCCACCAGATTCTTCAATAGCTGATTACTTTTGAAAATGGAAATTTGGTCCATATTATCAAGCTGTTTTTCCAGACATACCTCTGATTAAGTTTCCTGGAATGTTCCCACTAGGTCTCCACCCCTATATGTGTTAGACAAAAGGTTTGTGTGAAAAACGCCTTTAGACACTTGAGTTCAAAGTATGAAAAGGGCTCCATGGCAAGATGAGCCAAGTCAGGGTTGTGCTGCCACAAGCCCTGTTGAATGCATTCCCTTTCTACTGCCTCTTCTTGCCAATTCATTTTTGTTTAAATGATAGCAAGTATTAATATATATTAATTTCTTAGTGGAATATTGTACAACAGTCGTTGAATACTTTGTGCTTTTTTTTTTTTTTGAGATGAAGTCTTGCTCTGTGGTCTAGGCTAGAGTGCAGTGATGCGATATTGGCTTACTGCAACCTCTGCCTTGCTGGTTCAAGCGATTCTCCTGCCTCAGCCTCCCGAGTAGCTGGGACTACAGGCGCATGCCACCATGCCCGGCTAATTTTTGTATTTTTAGTAGAGACGGGGTTTCACCATATTGGTCAGGCTGGTCTTGAACTCCTGACCTCGTGATCCGCCCGCCTTGGCCTCTCAAAGTGCTGGGATTACAGGCGTGAGCCACCGCACCCGGCCTACCTGGTGTTTTTAAATGAAAAATGCTCCCTACGGCCAAATTCTCAAAAGCTCAAACTTGTCAGGTTTTGATGGTTTCTCACCAGATCAGAATCCAAATCACAAAGCTTCAAAGATCAATACTCCTTTAGCTAGAAAGTCAGGCTCGATAGACTGTTTTCTCAGTTGTGTGAGTGTAAGAGAGTGAAAGTGAGCGTAAAATTATGTGGCCACATGCAGGAGAATGTGTGTGTCTCATGTCAAGAGAGAAAAAAATTCTCTATCCTGGCTTCCCAAGTAGCAGTTTGAAGTCATTGTTAATACAGTAAATGCTTACAAGGAATTCTTATCTATATGTGAGTGGAAAGTGTCCCGGAGGCCTACTTGCACCTAAAACATACAAAATCCATTAAAATCCTCTGTGTACATTAAATATTTTAAAACAGCAGTTTTGTGTGAGGGTTGAATAATGTAATGTGGGTGTTACTTTTTGTATATTACTACTTAAAATCTATTTTTTTTTTGTTTTTTGAGACAGAGTTTCCCTTTCGTTGCCCAGGCTGGAGTGCAATGGTGCAATCTTGGCTTACCGCAACCTCTGCCTCCTGGGTTCAAGCGATTCTCCTGCCTCGGGCTCCAGAGTAGCTGGAATTACAGGCACGCACCACCAGGCCTGGCTAATTTTGCATTTTTAGTGGAGACAGGGTTTCTCCATGTTGGTCAGGCTGGTCTCAAATTCCTGACCTCAGGTGATCCGCCTGCCTCGGCCTCCCAAAGTGCTGGGATTACAGATGTGAGCCACCACGCTTGGCCAAAAGTCATTGTTTGTTTTAGTGATGAACTAACTGGCTTTGGGTTTGTTCTGTGTTTTTTCTCATGGTTATTTATCCCTCTCAAATGGCAGTTATCTCCTCATGAGGACGCAGGAGGGTGTGGGACTTCACTGTGACCCAGGTTTGCCCCATGTGGTTTCAGTTGGCAGTGCTTATGGAATGCATTCCTTGCAGTAGACCTTGAGGATCTTTGCCTCTTCCATAGAATGGAAGTTATCTCACTGAATAGTTGATGCATGAATGAAAAAAAATGCTTTAATGCTAATGATAAGCTCAGGAATGCAAATGACAACTCTATTTGCACAGGGCTTTCCCATTTTCCAATAGTATTTCATTTGATCCCTCTAATACTCTGTCAGGTAACCCTTTTTATGGAAGGAACTTTTGCTAATAAGATCACAGGCCACTAAGGGGCTGGGCTGGGGATAAACCTAGGGTTCCTACCTGCTAGTGCATTGAGCTTACCCTTTACCGGAGTGGTTCTCGAGATGAATTTACAGGGTCACATTGTGATTCAGATGACATCTACTTATGGCACTTTGGATACTCTGTGGTTTTGTGAACAGAGTTCTCTCCGAACCTGACTTTCTGCAGTTCCTCAGAGTCCCCGTACATGGTCCAAGTGCCAGTTGTGTTGTCCCTGCTTAAATTGTTGAATTCTTTGAGGGCAGAACTGCTTATTTCTTTTGTTGTCATGGGGCCCAGCAAAATAAGTATTTGTTAAGCTGAACAGTGCTCCAGCATGAATGCTTATACATATATTTCTGCCTTCCAAAACTTTTTTTAATATTACTACTTAATAAATTTTTATTAAATTTTTTTTTTTTTTTGTAGAGATGGGGTCTTGCTGTGTTGATCCTGCCAGTCTTGAACTCCTGGCCTCAAGCAGGCCTCCCAAAGTGCTAGGATTACAAGCCTAAGCTACCATGCCCAGCTCGTATTTTTAGATATAGTTTTAGTTTGCTTAATTAAAAAGATACCTTGATACTGTGTTTTTAAATATGACTCAAGCCTACCATTAATATGGGCAGTAAACTAATGACCATTCTAGGTGTCTTACTCACTTTATAATATTAGAAGGTATATAATGTGTTCACCTTCATGTGGAAAATACATCCTCAAAGTATGTATTTATGGTGGTAATGAGTTAAATTAGCCTAATTCCATGCCTAGTAACAGTTATTTATGAGCTGCCTCGTCACTATTTAGACAAGGAATCTGATTTCCATGGAGCTATGGAAGGATCATCTTGAATCCAATTAAACCAAATATCATAGATACACAATAAAATATTTTCTTTGAACTGAGGAAGTTCAATATAAGTACATATAATAGGCCAGGCACAGTGGCTCATGCCTGTAATCCCAGAACTTTGAGAGACTGAGGCGGGCAGATCACCAGAGGTCAGGAGTTTGAGTTCGGCCTGGCCAACACAGTGAAACCTGTCTCTACTAAAAATACAAAAAAATTGGCCAAGCGTGGTGGCGCATGCCTGTATTCCCAGCTACTTGTGGTGGTGGTGAGGTAGGAGAATCGCTTGAACCCCAGAGGTGGAGAGCAGTGAGCCGAGATTGTGCCACTGCACTCCAGCTCAGATATATACATACACACACACACACACACACACACACACATTTATAAATATATTTACAAAATATACATATTTATAAATATGTATATTTATAAAATAATGTGTTATCGATGCTTCCAGTGTTGGAATGTTCAGTCTAGATGCTTCGTTTGCTGTTCAAAGGAGTTGGAACATCATTTAGTAGCAGCTTTGATATATTTTTCTAAAGTTCATTCTTTCAACAAATAGTTGAGTGCTATGAGCCAAGTGCTGTTGTAAGAGCTAGAGAAATTTTGGCCAAGAAGACAAAGCCTGTGCCTTTATGGGGCTTAAGTTCTAGTGTTCTTTTTTTTTTTTTTTTGAGATGGAGTCTCGCTGTGTCGCCCAAGCTGGAGTGCAGCGGCACAATCTTGACTCACTGCAAGCTCCGCCTCCCAGGTTCATGCCATTCTCCTTCCTCAGCCTCCCGAGTACCTGGGACTACAGGCGCCTGCCACCATGCCCGCCTAATTTTTTCTATTTTTAGTAGAGATGGGGTTTCACCATGTTAGCCAGGATGGTCTTGATCTCCTAACCTCGTGATCCGCCTGCCTTGGCCTCCCAAAGTGCTGGGATTACAGGCATGAGCCACCGTGTCCGGCCAAGTTCTAGTGTTCTTTCAGCGAGCTACTAATGGCAGTGTTACCTAGAATGAGCCAGGTGTATCTACATGAGAGAACAAACATTGCGGAGAATGAATGAGTGAAGGAAGTAATTGGTCTCTGTTACAGGTGTATTTAATTTCATATAATATATGTTCTTGTGTGTAAATTTAATCCTATTTTGAATGCACCAGACAGGTCCCTGTGGGAGAAAACCTGTGGTGAGTTCCTTAAAACTGGAGGAGTTCTCTCATGGTGCTTGCAGTCATCCCTGGTTTGTTAGTTGGCAGCCTGGGGGAAAGTGACAACATTTACTGAGGCCAAGTACCTGCCTAGGATTATGTAGGAAAGTTTTTACAGATATTATCTTAATCTTTTTAACAGCTTTATGAGGAAAAGCTGCCATTTTATGAGTGAGGAGACTGAGTTCAGAGAGTTTAACCAGGTTCCAGTATTTTTTAAAAATTGTGAATTAGATAGAAGTGTTACCAGTATCATACAGGTCATATAGATGGCAAAATTTTAGTTAAAATTTTTATCTGTTTTTCTAAACAGTGGATTTATTTCCCAAGTTGTAAGAATATCTTTTTATAGAATAGTAATTTTGTGGGAGACTTAGGTAGGAGTGTGGGGATATTGTCCAGTAACTAGTGTCTGCTTTGTCACAACGCCGGAGTTACCAGAAACATTAAAAAAGGGTTGAATCACCACTGCCCAATAGAAGCATAATGTAAGTTATATAAATTCTGTATATGTAATTTTAAATTTTCTAGTAGCCACATTAAAAAGACAAAGTGAAATTTTCTTTAATATATCTAAAACGTTGTTTCAACATATAATCAGTCTAAATTGTTGTTTTTCTATAAACTAGGTCTACAAAATTGGCTGTGTATTTTACACATCTCAATTTAGCTAGATTTCAAGTGCCTAGTAGCTACTTGAAGCTATAGTGGATAGCTACTACAAACTAATCATTTCACAAATGATTAAATAATGTCAAAAGATTTTTTAGAAGCAGGAATTTCTGATTTCATATGTATGATTTTATGCATAAGTGATGAGGAAACAAAAGAACTAATATCTTTGTTATTTTTTGGCAGAGAGGAACGAAGGGCATCCTACGACTATAACCAAGATCGTACATATTATGAGAGTGTTCGAACTCCAGGCACTTATCCTGAGGATTCCAGGCGGGACTATCCAGCTCGAGGGAGAGAGTTTTATTCAGAATGGGAAACTTACCAAGGAGACTACTATGAATCACGATACTACGATGATCCTCGGGAATACAGGGATTACAGGAATGATCCTTATGAACAAGATATTAGGGAATATAGTTACAGGCAAAGGGAACGAGAAAGAGAACGTGAAAGATTTGAGTCTGACCGGGACAGAGACCATGAGAGGAGGCCGATTGAACGAAGTCAAAGTCCTGTTCACTTGCGACGTCCACAGAGTCCTGGAGCGTCTCCCTCTCAGGCAGAGAGGTTGCCGAGTGATTCTGAGAGGAGGCTTTACAGCCGATCCTCAGACCGGAGTGGAAGCTGTAGCTCACTCTCCCCTCCAAGATATGAGAAACTGGACAAGTCTCGTTTGGAGCGCTATACAAAAAATGAAAAGACAGATAAAGAACGAACTTTTGATCCGGAGAGAGTGGAGAGAGAGAGACGCTTAATACGGAAGGAAAAAGTGGAAAAGGACAAAACTGACAAGCAGAAACGCAAAGGAAAGGTTCACTCCCCTAGTTCTCAGTCTTCAGAAACGGACCAAGAAAATGAGCGAGAGCAAAGCCCTGAAAAGCCCAGGAGTTGTAATAAACTGAGCAGAGAGAAAGCTGACAAAGAGGGAATAGCGAAAAACCGCCTGGAACTCATGCCTTGCGTGGTTTTGACTCGAGTGAAAGAGAAAGAGGGAAAGGTCATTGACCACACTCCTGTGGAAAAGTTGAAAGCCAAGCTTGATAATGACACTGTCAAATCTTCTGCCCTGGACCAGAAACTTCAGGTCTCTCAGACGGAGCCTGCAAAATCTGACTTGTCTAAACTGGAATCAGTTAGAATGAAAGTACCAAAGGAAAAGGGGCTTTCAAGCCATGTTGAAGTGGTGGAGAAGGAAGGCAGGCTTAAAGCCAGGAAGCACCTCAAGCCTGAGCAGCCTGCAGATGGGGTAAGTGCTGTGGATCTGGAGAAGCTGGAAGCCAGGAAAAGGCGCTTTGCAGATTCCAATTTAAAAGCAGAAAAGCAAAAACCAGAGGTCAAGAAAAGCAGTCCAGAGATGGAGGATGCTCGCGTGCTTTCAAAAAAGCAGCCTGACGTGTCCTCTAGAGAGGTCATTCTGCTGAGGGAAGGAGAGGCTGAAAGAAAGCCTGTGAGGAAAGAAATTCTTAAAAGAGAATCTAAAAAAATCAAACTGGACAGACTTAATACTGTTGCCAGCCCCAAAGACTGTCAGGAGCTTGCCAGTATTTCTGTTGGGTCTGGCTCAAGGCCCAGCTCAGACCTACAAGCAAGACTGGGAGAACTAGCAGGTGAATCTGTGGAAAATCAAGAAGTCCAATCAAAAAAGCCCATTCCCTCAAAACCACAGCTCAAACAGCTGCAGGTATTAGATGATCAAGGACCAGAGAGAGAAGACGTTAGGAAAAACTATTGCAGTCTTCGTGATGAAACACCTGAACGTAAATCAGGCCAAGAGAAATCACATTCAGTAAATACTGAAGAAAAAATTGGCATTGACATCGATCACACGCAGAGTTACCGAAAACAAATGGAACAGAGTCGTAGGAAACAGCAGATGGAAATGGAAATAGCCAAGTCTGAGAAGTTTGGCAGTCCTAAAAAAGATGTAGATGAATATGAAAGACGTAGCCTCGTTCACGAGGTAGGCAAACCCCCTCAAGATGTCACTGATGACTCTCCTCCTAGCAAAAAGAAAAGGATGGATCATGTCGATTTTGATATCTGCACCAAGCGAGAACGGAATTACAGAAGTTCACGCCAAATCAGCGAAGATTCTGAAAGGACTGGTGGTTCTCCCAGTGTCCGACATGGTTCCTTCCATGAAGATGAGGATCCCATAGGCTCCCCTAGGCTACTGTCAGTAAAAGGGTCTCCTAAAGTAGATGAAAAAGTCCTCCCCTATTCTAACATAACAGTCAGGGAAGAGTCTTTAAAATTTAATCCTTATGATTCTAGCAGGAGAGAACAGATGGCAGATATGGCCAAAATAAAACTATCTGTCTTGAATTCTGAAGATGAACTAAATCGTTGGGACTCTCAGATGAAACAGGATGCTGGCAGATTTGATGTGAGTTTCCCAAACAGCATAATTAAGAGAGATAGCCTTCGAAAAAGGTCTGTACGAGATCTGGAACCTGGTGAGGTGCCTTCTGATTCTGACGAAGATGGTGAACACAAATCCCACTCACCCAGAGCCTCTGCATTATATGAAAGTTCTCGATTGTCTTTTTTATTGAGGGACAGAGAAGACAAGCTACGTGAGCGAGATGAAAGACTCTCTAGTTCTTTAGAAAGGAACAAATTTTACTCTTTTGCATTGGATAAGACAATCACACCAGACACTAAAGCTTTGCTTGAAAGAGCTAAATCCCTCTCTTCATCTCGTGAAGAAAATTGGTCTTTTCTTGATTGGGACTCCCGATTTGCAAATTTTCGAAACAACAAAGATAAAGAAAAGGTTGACTCTGCTCCAAGACCTATTCCATCCTGGTACATGAAAAAGAAGAAAATTAGGACTGATTCAGAAGGGAAAATGGATGATAAGAAAGAGGACCATAAAGAAGAAGAGCAAGAGAGGCAGGAATTGTTTGCTTCTCGTTTTTTACACAGCTCAATCTTTGAACAAGATTCCAAGCGATTGCAGCATCTAGAGAGAAAAGAGGAAGATTCTGACTTCATTTCTGGTAGGATCTATGGGAAGCAGACATCTGAGGGAGCAAACAGCACAACTGATTCCATTCAAGAACCAGTAGTTCTGTTCCATAGCAGATTTATGGAGCTCACACGGATGCAACAGAAAGAAAAAGAAAAAGACCAGAAACCCAAAGAGGTTGAGAAACAGGAAGATACAGAGAATCATCCCAAGACCCCAGAATCTGCTCCTGAGAATAAAGATTCAGAACTGAAAACTCCACCTTCCGTTGGGCCTCCAAGTGTCACAGTCGTAACTCTAGAATCAGCCCCATCAGCACTAGAGAAGACCACTGGTGACAAAACGGTAGAGGCGCCTTTGGTAACAGAAGAGAAGACTGTGGAGCCAGCTACCGTCTCAGAAGAAGCAAAGCCTGCATCTGAACCTGCTCCTGCCCCTGTGGAACAGCTGGAACAAGTAGACCTGCCCCCAGGAGCAGACCCCGATAAAGAAGCTGCCATGATGCCTGCGGGTGTTGAGGAAGGTTCATCAGGTGACCAGCCGCCTTATCTGGATGCCAAGCCTCCAACTCCCGGGGCCTCGTTTTCCCAGGCAGAGAGCAACGTAGATCCAGAGCCTGACAGTACCCAGCCACTTTCAAAACCAGCTCAGAAGTCTGAGGAAGCCAATGAGCCAAAGGCCGAAAAGCCAGACGCCACTGCAGATGCTGAGCCTGATGCAAACCAGAAAGCCGAAGCTGCTCCTGAGTCTCAGCCCCCAGCTTCTGAAGATTTAGAGGTTGATCCTCCAGTTGCTGCAAAGGATAAAAAGCCAAACAAAAGCAAGCGTTCAAAGACCCCTGTTCAGGCAGCTGCAGTGAGTATCGTGGAGAAGCCCGTCACAAGGAAGAGTGAGAGGATAGACCGGGAAAAACTCAAGCGGTCCAATTCTCCTCGGGGAGAAGCACAGAAGCTTTTGGAATTGAAGATGGAGGCAGAGAAGATTACAAGGACTGCTTCTAAAAACTCTGCTGCAGACCTTGAACATCCCGAACCAAGTTTGCCTCTCAGCCGAACAAGGCGCCGGAATGTAAGGAGCGTCTATGCAACCATGGGTGACCATGAAAACCGCTCTCCTGTCAAAGAGCCCGTTGAGCAACCAAGAGTGACCAGAAAGAGATTGGAGCGAGAGCTTCAGGAGGCTGCAGCGGTTCCCACCACCCCTCGGAGGGGAAGGCCTCCAAAGACACGCCGGCGAGCCGATGAAGAGGAGGAGAACGAGGCCAAGGAACCTGCAGAAACACTCAAGCCACCTGAGGGATGGCGGTCGCCAAGGTCCCAGAAAACTGCAGCTGGTGGTGGACCCCAAGGGAAAAAGGGAAAAAATGAACCGAAGGTGGATGCTACACGTCCTGAGGCCACCACTGAGGTGGGCCCCCAAATAGGCGTGAAAGAGAGCTCCATGGAACCCAAGGCTGCTGAGGAGGAGGCAGGGAGTGAACAGAAACGTGACAGAAAAGATGCTGGCACAGACAAAAACCCCCCTGAAACCGCCCCTGTTGAAGTTGTAGAGAAAAAACCGGCCCCTGAAAAAAACTCCAAATCAAAGAGAGGAAGATCTCGAAACTCCAGGTTAGCAGTGGACAAATCTGCAAGTCTGAAAAATGTGGATGCTGCTGTCAGTCCCAGGGGGGCTGCAGCACAGGCAGGGGAGAGGGAATCTGGGGTGGTGGCAGTCTCCCCTGAGAAAAGTGAGAGTCCCCAAAAGGAGGATGGTTTATCATCCCAGTTGAAAAGTGATCCAGTTGATCCAGACAAGGAACCAGAGAAAGAAGACGTGTCTGCCTCTGGGCCGTCCCCAGAAGCCACCCAGTTAGCCAAGCAGATGGAGCTGGAGCAGGCCGTGGAACACATCGCAAAGCTCGCTGAGGCCTCTGCCTCTGCTGCCTATAAGGCAGATGCACCAGAGGGCCTTGCCCCAGAGGACAGGGACAAGCCTGCACACCAAGCAAGTGAAACAGAGCTGGCTGCGGCCATCGGCTCCATCATCAATGACATTTCTGGGGAGCCAGAAAACTTCCCAGCACCTCCACCTTATCCTGGAGAATCCCAGACAGATCTGCAACCCCCCGCAGGTGCACAGGCGCTGCAGCCTTCTGAGGAAGGAATGGAGACAGATGAGGCTGTATCTGGCATCCTGGAAACTGAGGCTGCTACAGAATCTTCTAGGCCTCCAGTCAATGCTCCTGACCCCTCAGCCGGCCCAACAGATACCAAGGAAGCCAGAGGAAATAGCAGTGAAACCTCACACTCAGTGCCAGAAGCCAAAGGGTCTAAAGAAGTGGAAGTCACTCTTGTTCGGAAAGACAAAGGGCGCCAGAAAACAACCCGATCACGCCGCAAGCGAAACACAAACAAGAAAGTGGTGGCTCCTGTAGAGAGCCATGTCCCTGAATCCAACCAAGCTCAAGGTGAGAGTCCTGCTGCAAATGAGGGGACAACAGTACAGCACCCCGAAGCCCCACAGGAAGAAAAGCAGAGTGAGAAACCCCATTCCACTCCTCCTCAGTCATGTACTTCTGACCTAAGCAAGATTCCCTCCACAGAGAATTCGTCCCAAGAAATCAGTGTTGAGGAAAGGACTCCAACCAAAGCATCTGTGCCCCCAGACCTTCCCCCACCTCCCCAGCCAGCACCGGTGGATGAGGAGCCTCAAGCCAGGTTCAGGGTGCATTCCATCATTGAAAGTGACCCGGTGACCCCACCCAGCGATCCAAGCATCCCCATACCCACACTGCCTTCTGTAACTGCAGCAAAGCTCTCACCTCCTGTCGCCTCTGGGGGGATCCCACACCAGAGCCCCCCTACTAAGGTGACAGAGTGGATCACAAGGCAGGAGGAGCCACGGGCTCAGTCTACTCCATCTCCAGCTCTTCCCCCAGACACAAAGGCCTCTGATGTTGACACCAGCTCCAGCACCCTGAGGAAGATTCTCATGGACCCCAAGTATGTGTCTGCCACAAGTGTCACTTCCACAAGTGTCACCACAGCCATTGCAGAGCCTGTCAGTGCTGCCCCTTGCCTACATGAGGCCCCGCCCCCGCCAGTTGACTCTAAAAAGCCTTTAGAAGAAAAAACAGCACCTCCAGTGACAAACAACTCTGAGATACAAGCCTCGGAGGTGCTGGTAGCTGCTGACAAGGAAAAGGTGGCTCCAGTCATTGCTCCCAAAATTACCTCTGTTATTAGCCGGATGCCTGTCAGCATTGACCTGGAAAATTCACAGAAGATAACCTTGGCAAAACCAGCTCCTCAAACCCTCACTGGTCTGGTGAGCGCACTCACTGGCCTGGTGAACGTCTCCCTGGTCCCGGTGAATGCCCTGAAAGGCCCCGTGAAGGGCTCAGTGACCACACTGAAAAGTTTGGTGAGCACCCCTGCTGGGCCCGTGAACGTCCTGAAAGGGCCTGTGAATGTTCTTACGGGGCCAGTGAATGTTCTCACCACTCCAGTGAACGCCACGGTGGGCACAGTGAATGCCGCCCCAGGCACAGTCAATGCCGCTGCGAGTGCAGTGAATGCCACAGCAAGTGCAGTGACCGTCACAGCGGGTGCGGTTACTGCTGCATCTGGTGGTGTAACGGCCACAACAGGCACGGTGACAATGGCAGGGGCAGTGATTGCGCCGTCAACAAAGTGCAAACAGAGAGCGAGTGCTAATGAAAACAGTCGGTTCCACCCAGGGTCCATGCCTGTGATCGACGATCGTCCGGCAGACGCGGGCTCAGGGGCGGGGCTGCGTGTGAACACTTCTGAAGGGGTTGTGCTCCTGAGTTACTCAGGGCAGAAGACCGAAGGCCCACAGCGGATCAGCGCCAAGATCAGCCAGATCCCCCCGGCCAGTGCAATGGACATTGAATTTCAGCAGTCAGTGTCCAAGTCCCAGGTCAAACCTGATTCTGTCACAGCATCGCAGCCTCCATCCAAAGGCCCTCAAGCTCCTGCAGGCTATGCGAACGTGGCCACCCATTCCACGTTGGTACTGACCGCCCAGACATATAATGCCTCTCCTGTGATTTCGTCTGTGAAGGCCGATAGGCCATCCTTGGAGAAGCCCGAGCCCATTCACCTCTCGGTGTCCACGCCTGTCACCCAGGGAGGCACAGTGAAGGTTCTCACCCAGGGGATCAACACACCCCCTGTGCTGGTTCACAACCAGCTGGTCCTCACCCCAAGCATTGTCACCACAAACAAGAAGCTTGCTGACCCCGTCACCCTTAAAATCGAGACCAAGGTCCTTCAGCCGGCCAACCTGGGGTCCACGCTCACGCCCCACCACCCTCCTGCTCTGCCCAGCAAACTGCCTACAGAAGTCAACCATGTCCCCTCGGGGCCCAGCATCCCAGCAGATCGAACTGTCTCCCATTTGGCAGCTGCAAAGCTAGATGCTCATTCTCCTCGACCAAGTGGACCCGGGCCATCCTCATTCCCAAGGGCAAGCCACCCCAGCAGTACTGCATCTACGGCGCTCTCCACCAACGCCACAGTCATGCTGGCTGCAGGCATCCCAGTGCCCCAGTTCATCTCCAGCATCCACCCAGAGCAGTCTGTCATCATGCCACCCCACAGCATCACCCAGACTGTGTCCCTGAGCCACCTCTCCCAGGGCGAGGTGAGAATGAACACTCCCACGCTGCCCAGTATCACCTACAGCATCCGGCCAGAAGCGCTTCACTCTCCTCGGGCTCCGCTGCAGCCCCAGCAAATAGAGGTCAGGGCCCCACAGCGTGCCAGCACCCCGCAGCCAGCCCCAGCTGGTGTGCCTGCACTGGCCTCCCAGCACCCTCCCGAGGAGGAAGTGCATTATCACCTTCCTGTCGCTCGAGCCACAGCCCCTGTGCAGTCAGAGGTACTAGTCATGCAGTCTGAGTACCGACTGCACCCCTATACTGTGCCACGGGATGTGAGGATCATGGTGCATCCACATGTGACGGCAGTCAGCGAGCAGCCCAGGGCCGCGGATGGGGTGGTGAAGGTGCCACCAGCCAGCAAGGCCCCTCAGCAGCCAGGGAAGGAAGCTGCCAAGACACCAGATGCCAAAGCTGCCCCCACCCCCACCCCTGCCCCCGTCCCTGTCCCTGTCCCCCTTCCTGCCCCTGCTCCTGCCCCTCATGGTGAGGCCCGTATCCTCACAGTTACCCCCAGTAACCAACTCCAGGGGCTGCCTCTGACCCCTCCTGTGGTGGTGACCCATGGGGTGCAGATTGTGCACTCCAGCGGGGAGCTGTTTCAAGAGTACCGGTACGGCGACATCCGCACCTACCACCCCCCGGCCCAGCTCACACACACTCAGTTTCCCGCCGCTTCCTCTGTTGGCCTGCCTTCCCGGACCAAGACAGCTGCTCAGGTGAGCCAGCCAGGTATCTCCCCACTGTCTGTTGGGCATGTGCTTGTGGGGCTCAGCAGGCTTTTAAGCCAAGATGTGTGAAAGAAATCAGGGGCCAGGTGTGGTGGCTTATGCCTGTAATCCCAGCACTGTGGGAGGCCCAGATGGGAGGACTGCTTAAGCCCGGGAGTTCGAGACCAGCCTGGGCAACATGGCAAAACCCCATCTCGTACAAAAAAAAAAAATTACAAAAATTAGCCAGGTGTGGTGGCACACACCTGTGGTTTCAGCTACCTGGGAGGCTGAGGTGGGAAAATTGCTTGAGCCCTGGAGGCAGAGGTTGCATTGAACCAAGGTCGTGCCACTAGGCTCCAGTGACAGAGCGAGACCCAGTCTCAAAAAAAAAAAAAGCCGGGCATAGTGGCTCACGCCTGTAATCCCAACACTTTGGGAGGCCAGGGCTGGCAGATCACTTGAGGTCAGGAGTTCAAGACCAGCTTGGCCAACATGGTGAAACTCTGTCCCTACTTAAAGAAAAAGAAATCCGCCTTTTGGTAAAGATAGTGGTTGAGTACAAGTGAACTGGTCAGCTAGTCCCTAAAGATGTTGATCTTTTCATGAGTTTAAAGAGCTTTCTTAGTTCTGAGATGAAAGTATTAGATCACATCATGGGGAGTTCTGCATATGGGGAGGGAGCTCTTGCTGGGTAGCATCAGCAGGAGGCAGGTAATAGGGGATCTCTCCTTACCTGGAACCCCGAAAGCAGCTCCGTTGATTCAGGCTCCTTCTGTGGGCCTGACTTAACGGGAGATGCCACATCTTATCCTTTCCCTGTGGCCCTTTGGGTCATTTGTTGGTCTCAGGGGCTTGTGCACAACAGACTGACTCTGTCCCTTTGCCTTCCTTCCCTACACCAGGGCCCTCCTCCTGAAGGTGAGCCCCTGCAGCCTCCTCAGCCTGTGCAGTCCACACAGCCTGCCCAGCCTGCACCACCCTGCCCGCCCTCCCAGCTCGGTCAGCCCGGCCAGCCACCAAGCAGCAAGATGCCTCAAGTGTCCCAGGAGGCAAAGGGGACCCAGACGGGAGTAGAGCAGCCTCGCCTCCCAGCTGGACCTGCAAACAGGCCACCTGAGCCTCACACCCAGGTTCAGAGGGCACAAGCAGAAACAGGCCCGACTTCCTTCCCCTCCCCTGTGTCTGTCTCCATGAAGCCTGACCTTCCAGTCTCTCTTCCCACTCAGACTGCCCCAAAACAGCCGTTGTTTGTCCCAACAACCTCTGGCCCCAGCACCCCACCAGGACTGGTTCTGCCACACACTGAATTCCAGCCAGCCCCCAAACAAGATTCCTCTCCACACCTGACTTCCCAGAGACCCGTGGATATGGTTCAACTTCTGAAGGTAAGCATGAGCAGGGGCTGCCCTTCCTGGCCCCCAAGTTTTATGCCATGTCAAATGTCCTAAGATTCCCTAGTTAACAGACCCACAAGCTACAGCCTCTGGCTGTGTCCAGCATGGCTCAGCGAGGGGCCATGAGCTCACTTCCTGTTTGTTTCCCTGTGAGCAGAAGTACCCCATCGTGTGGCAGGGCCTGCTGGCCCTCAAGAATGACACAGCTGCTGTGCAGCTCCACTTCGTCTCTGGCAACAACGTCCTGGCCCATCGGTCCCTGCCCCTTTCTGAAGGAGGGCCCCCACTAAGGATCGCCCAGAGGATGCGGCTGGAGGCAACGCAGCTGGAAGGGGTTGCCCGAAGGATGACGGTAAGACTCTCAGGCCCAGGTGAGCAACTGCCCCACCTACAGGGAGGAAGACGTAGGTAGTCCCTGCCAGCCCATCTCCCTGGCCTGTCATGGAAGCATTAACTGTATTCTTGTTGTTGTTGAAACAGTCTCTGTCGCCTGGGCTGGAGTGCAGCGGTGCGATCTCTGTTCATTATAGCCTCTGCCTCCCGGGTTCAAGCCATTCTCTTGCCTCAGCCTCCTGAGTAGCTGGGATTATAGGCACGCACCACCATGGCACCACCATGCCCAGCTAATTTTTTGTATTTTTAGTAGAGATGGGGTTTCACCATGTTGGCCAGGCCAGCCTTGAACTCCTGACCTCAAGTGATCTGGCTGCCTTGGCCTCCCAAAGTGCTGGGATTACAGGCCTGAGCCACTGTGCCTGGCCAGTAACGGTATTCTTGAAGTGAGCAATGAAGGGTCCACTATGCTTCTACTTGGTGGGGGGATGTAAAGTACCTCTAGACCCAGAAACAAGGCTTTACAGTTTTTAAAAATTATTATTTTTTAAATCAGCTTTCTCAGGTTGAAAAAAAGCTTTTTTTTTTTTTTTTTTTCATTCAAATATCAGGGTAGCCTTTAAAGTCATCTCAGAGGTGGGGGTTTTTGTGGACCTGATACTGTGGGTTGGATGTGGGCTGCTGTTTGACTAGGAGGCCCCTGCTCACTGGCAGCTGGCCTCTGCCTCAGGTGGAGACAGATTACTGTCTGCTGCTGGCTCTGCCCTGTGGCCGTGACCAAGAGGATGTTGTGAGCCAGACCGAGTCCCTCAAGGCTGCCTTCATCACTTACCTGCAGGCCAAGCAGGCGGCAGGGATCATCAACGTTCCCAACCCTGGCTCCAATCAGGTCGGTTGTCCTGTGTCCTTCCTTCACATGTACACCCACAGGTGGGGCTGATCAGGGTAGGTGGGCCTACTCATCTGGTGCCCACTAGATCTGGCCCCAGAGGTGGGCAAAGGGGCATTTTGGACAGAAGTCAGTAGAGCACATGGGGCGGGGCGCCATCACCCATCCTGAAGAGAACCCAGGGAACCGCTGAGAACACAGGTTTTCCATGAGTTTAAAGATAGGGCCCCAGGGGGTTCCTGTTTATAGTTTTCTGACACCTGCTAGGTCTTCCAGTAGACATAGTCCTGGCACATTTGCTGGTTGGGGACTGATTTGGCCTGGCTCTTAGCATTGGGCCTCTTCAGGGCTCCCCAATGGAAGTGGAGTTGTGGGGGTGAAGACAGACGGTCCCACTTTGCTCTCTATCCTGTCTCCAGCCTGCCTACGTGCTGCAGATCTTCCCGCCCTGTGAGTTCTCTGAGAGTCACCTGTCCCGCCTGGCCCCTGACCTCCTTGCCAGCATCTCCAACATCTCTCCCCACCTCATGATTGTCATTGCCTCCGTGTGAGCCACTGAGTGGTTATCACCTCAGTGAATCTTCCCAGGGCTCTGCAGTAAAAACAAAGGACAACCCAGCCAAGCAGAGGAAGAAGCTGCCGAAGGGGACAGACTCCACTGCCAGACGGCCAGCCGTTTGCTGTCCTGCCGCCCGGCTCAGTCGGCCAGACTTCCTCTAGGAGTGGTGCTGCTACCTTGTATGTTTACATAATGCTTTAGCCCAAGGACACATCACCAACCCATGGACTCGCAGACACCGGGGCTGGGTTTCTCTTTCCTCTTTTTGGAGAAAAGGAACAGGGCAGTGGAATGAAAATTTTTTGTTTGTTTGTTTTTAAGAAACAAGAAAACAGAACTGCCTTTGCACTAAATTAGTGACTTGGACTTTTGCCCAGTGAAGACAGGCTGTGACACTCTGGATGTCTTGGTGTGTGTAGACACACATTGCAGACTCTTAACGCAGGAAGGACTTCAAACTTCTGCTGAGACCTTGGGGTCAAGGAACATTTCATTGGTTTTTTTTGTCCACCCCCATCTCCCTTGCTCATTTGGATGCGTCACCTTAATTCTCCTGCTGCCACCGTCTTTGATTCACCGGGATGTACAGTTTACAGTTGAAGAGCAAACAGAAAGGTTTTCTCTTGGTGGGATATGCAGAACTTGGGATGTGTGTATATATAAATATATAATATATATAAATATATATAATACTGACTTAAAAAATCAAATCCCCCGACATACGTTTTTTTTAATCTGTGCCAAAAATGTGTTTTCAGAGGAAATCTTATTTTCATATTCAGACTTTGTATTGCCCACTCATTTGTATAAGTGCGCTTCGGTACAGCACGGGTCCTGCTCCCGCGATGTGGAAGTGTCACACGGCACCTGTACAAAAAGACTGGCTAACCCCTCTTCCTATTACCTTGATCTCTTCCCCCAACTTCCTAACACTTATTAATTTATGAAACTGTTTTTCTCAGCGCAGTTTTGTTTTGTGTGTCCATTGGATTACAAACTTTATTAAAAAATATAAAACACACCAAGTGTGAGTGTGATTGTCACTTGGGTGGGAGGACGAACCATGGGTCCTTGGCTTATGGGAACAGTCAGCCCTCATCCCGCTTTTGATCCCCATGCCAAGTCTGTACATGGGAACTGTTTCCCTTCTGCCTCCTAGTCAGTCAGTCCTCCTCCCCAAGGATAATTTTATCTTGTACAAAGGAGATTTTTGTCACGGACACTGAACTTAACCATTTCTCACTCTTGTGGTGTCTTCAGAGTCCTAACTGGTTCTTAGGTAATGTGGAAGGAAGGCACTTCCAATTTTGATACAGAATATAACCACACCCCATGCCATCTCAGAAACATTTTAGCAAGCTTTGGTTTCTTGTCTCTCTCTTGCCCCCTCTTCCCTTCTCCCAGTGTGAAGCAGGCTGACTCCTGCAGAGGCAGTGGCCTCCTGGGGCCCCTGGGGGCTCATTTGATCCCGTCTCTGCCTCCAGACAGGAGAATGGGAGTTGGGGACAGGCTTCCCCTGCAGCTGGATTCTCTAGAAGCTGTGGAGTTGGGACAGGGACATGGGGACTATAAAGTTGGTGGTCTCACTTGGAATACCAATGGGCTCCTACAAATGGGCCTGTCCTGGTGTGAGAAGATAGCATCCCCCTCTGAACGGTGGGCCATAGATGCCGGGGCCACTGTGGGGGGACGAGATGGTACCTCCTGACTCCTTGCTGACAGGAGTGAGAAAGCTGTTCCACCAGCTCCCTACCTCCCCATCAAAGCCCCTGGCTGCTCCTTCCTGTCCCTCTGGGCCCCCAGCCTGGTGGCAGAGATGCCATCTTTTGAACCTTCCCAAAAGATGATGGCACCGGCTTGGCCTTAGTCCTCGGGCCAGGTAACCCTGAAGCAAGTGTGGCTTCCATCTGCTCCCTTAGGCCCATCAGAGCCAGGGCAGTGGCCTGGGCCTGGCACTCTCCTTGGCCTACCTTGCCACTCTGGCTGGAAGGACCCCTGAGCCAGGCCTGGCAGCAGTGGCCTGTGAGCCAGGCTCGCTCTGGGTTGCCTGTACCCTGGTAAGCAGTTGGTGGCCGCCCCTGCTGGTCCCTTCCCCAACTTCCCAACCTCTCCCCAACCTGGGCCGAGGGGGAGCAGGGTCATAGCTGTGGGGCGAGGGGAGGCCAGGCCCTAAAGATGAACAGGTGAGAAGCCTCCAAACAAGATGGGATGAGGGCATGGGGCACGTGGTGCCGAGGTCTCTCCAGCCTGAGTGTACTGCCCACTCCTCAACTTGGGGCAAAGCAGCCAGCCTGGCTCTGATTCTAGTCGCATTCAGCAAGAGGGACGGGCTGACCTTCCCAGGAAGGCTGGTTCCTGGGTGGTACAGCCTTTCTGTGGCATCAGTTGTAGCTGCCAGCTCCCCACCCACCCCACAGGGACCTATAGGCAGCATTAGAAAATAATCCAATTTATTCTCTCTAGGGAACAGGCCACCCTTCCCGGTTCCAGGGTGCCATCCATCCTTAAATAAACAGTCAGAAGGGCCGCCAGCTCACTCGGCAGGCGGGGGACATTCAGGAGCTGTAGGGGAGGTCTCTGCCAGTGCGGGCTGGCCCTCAGCCCCGTCGCGAGGGCGGAAGACCAGCTCCCCAGCCTGCAGCACCTGCCCGGCAGGCCACGTGCCACCTGGCCCATACTGCTGATAGAAGTCCGCGTCTGTCTGGAACATGACCAGTGCCTGGGCTGTGTGGATTCGCACATGCTGAGCCAGGCTGTTGGCATCCAGAAACTTGTCCCCACAGGAGTCACAGGCGTAGAGGATGTGAGTGTTGGGGTCTGTGGAGGTGGGGCAGCAGTCAGAGTGGGAAGGACCCCGGGCTCTGCCCACATTCACACCCGGGTGGCCCCCCTCACCTTCTTCCTGCACTTGCTTCACAGCTTTGCTGATCTCGGCCTTCAGGACTTCCGTCTCATCGGCTGTCACTGCAGCTCCCACCGGCACCACTGCGGGCAGAGTCGCAGGGCCTAAGGTGAAGGCACGGGCACTGCCCCATCATCGCCACCCTGGCAGCAAGCTGCCTGTGACTTCCCTCTGCTGCCCACAGCCCGCACCTGTGAGCTGAGTGACGGCTGTCGCTGCCAGTGCCTCGGTAGCCAGCGTGACCATGTCATCCACAGTGACCACGCTGACCTCACTGCCCTCCTCGGGCTCCAGGATCTTGATGCCTGCCTTGCCCTGGTGCACGGTCTTCACGTGGGAGCGCAGGTTGTCTACCCGGTTGAAGCCACGCCCACACTTATCACACAGGTAAGGCTTCTCTCCTGGGGGAGCAAGGTTCTCTCTTGCCTTTGTGGGAAGGGGCCGCAGGGATGGGGTGGGAGGCCCTCAATGACTCGTTTGCCCAGCAACCCTGTCTTTTACAGCAGGAGGTGCTCTGGGGTGGCTGCACGGGTGCCTCTGGTGACACTGGCACCTCTGGAAGCTCTAGGAAAATGGGGTCCTCATTTGAACAGAACTGCCTTCAAGGCCACCTGCAGCAAGAGCTAGCACCCGAGGCTGGGGTCTGGGGGGTCCCTTCCTTCCCCCTGCTCCCCACCTGGCAGCAGGGCCTGGGAAGGAACAGGCATGGTAGGGGCCACAGCTCACCAGTGTGAATGATGATGTGCTTGGACAGGTCCCCCACGTTCACGAAGGCCTTGCTGCACACGCTGCACTTGTGTGGGCGGATGTTGTCGTGGTGGCGAATATGATTGGCCAACTGGCTGGACTGGACGAATCTGTGGGGCCACAGGAAGGGACTCGCATGGAACTGCCCCAACCTGGGCCTCCTGCCTCACCCTCTAGACTGAAAAGGACCCCTAGGACCAGAGCCTGGGGCGTGGGCAGCAGTCAGCTCAGTCCCCAGCCAAGCCCCCAGTTTGTCTTCTGAGCCCCCTCACTGTGGGGTGTCTGGCCAGTGGGTGTGGGGGAGGGGGCAGGACCTCTTGCCGCAGCGCTCGCAGACGTAGGGCTTCTCCCCGGTGTGCTGGCGCACGTGGGCGATGAGGGAGCTGGCCTGGGTGAAGGCCTTACCGCACATCACACACTGGCATGGCTTCTCACCTGGGGACCGGGCAGAAGGTGTTGGTGCCTGCTCCTCTCCGTGCCCTCCCAGTCCTGGGCATGGCCGCTCACCACCCACCTGTGTGAATGCGGACGTGCCGCTGCAGAGCGCCGGGGTCTGCAAACTGTCGCTGGCAGTGGATGCACACGTAGGGCTTCTCCCCGCTGTGGATCCGAAGGTGCCGCTTCAGGTTCCCTGTGGCGAGACCGAGGGCGAACCTGGCGTGGGGCACCACCGGTGGCCGAGGAGCAGGGGTGTGAGGGCAGCCAGGGCAGCCCTGGCCCTACCTGAGGTGGTGAACTGCTTCCCACACTCTCGGCACTTGAGGGGCCCGTCAGCGATGTGGATCTTCAGGTGGGCCTTCAGGTTCCCTACCTGTGCCCAGGGAGGGGTCAGGGGGGCCACCCCACAGAGCTCGGCCCCGGGCCCCCTCACCTGCCCCTCCCACAAAGGAACAATTGACTCTCAGGCTTGCCAGGGTCCGTGAAGGGCTCTATCTCTCCTGGGTCAGGAGAGGTCCCAGGTCCCAGCGGTGAGAGGTAAGCCGCCCCACCCCATTTTTTCAGGACCAAACCCCGCCCTGAGTCGGCCTGCCCTCCGCAGAGCAACCGGGAGCTCCCCCGCGGAAGTGGCTCTCGCTGCGCCTGTTTCCTGGGTGAACAAGCTGATGAGCTCCTGGAGGCCGGGGCTGTGCTCCCCGCCCGCCCCACCACGTGGCATGCATGCGGCTGCGGCCACCGGCGGCTGCCAGGCGCTGGTTCCGGGAGGGGTCCGCACACCTGGTTGAACTTCTTGTCGCAGTGTGGGCACTTGTGCTCCTTGTCCGTGTCGTGGGTCTCCAGGTGGCGCATCTTGGAAGTGGGGTCGGAGAAGGAGCGGCCGCAGTAGTCGCACTGGTAGGGCTTCTCGCCGCTGTGCACCAGCTGGTGGCGCTTGAGGTTGCCCGAGGTGGTGAAGAGCTTGCCGCAGTCCTCGCAGCGGTAGCGCGCCTCGCCCGAGTGCCGCTTCTTGTGCAGGTTCAGCAGGCTGATGAGGCGGTAGCTCTTCCCGCACTCCTCGCAGCCGTAGGGCTTCAGAGGGCTGCAGGGCCAGAAGGCGACAGGAGGCAGGGCTCGCTGGGGCGTGAAAGGCCGGGCCTGGCAGGGGCCGGGGTAGGAGGCCGGCTTGGGGCAGTACCTGTGCGTCTTCTCATGGGCCTTGCACGCGGCCGGGTCGGAAAAGGCCTTGCTGCACTCCCGGCACGAGAAGGGCTTCTCCCCCGTGTGGATGCGGATGTGCCGCTTGAAGTTCCCCGTGTGCGTGAACTCCTTCCCACAGTCCTGTGGGTGCAGCGGGGAAGCGGGGTGTGAGGAGCAGCCGGTGGGAGGCCGGAGGGGAGGGACGCTGGCTGGGAGGGCTGGCCATAGTCTCCCTCACCTCGCACTTGTGGATGACGGAGCCGTAGGCCTTGGACTCCGTGCGGTCGCCGTAGGTGCCTGAGCGCAGGCCCCGGGCCTCGGAGCCGAGCTCCTGCCCCGAGTCTGTGCCCGCTGACTCCTCATTCTCGTTCTCCTCGGGGGCCTCTCCGTTCTCCAGCTGGGAACCCTCCTCCTTGACCTCAGCTGGCCCTGCGCCCTCCTCCTCTTGCTCCTCTTGCTCCTTTTGCTCCTCTTCCCCTTTCCGGGCGGGCTCCACCTCCATTTCTGCGGAGAAAAGGGCAAGCATGGAGGCGGCAGCCCTCTCTGCCTGAGCGCACGTGAGGGGCGCCGGCAACATGTGGAAGGGACAGTAAATGGCCCCAGCACTGGCCAAGGAAAGCCCCCGGGGGGGCCTGTGAACTGGGTATTTGCTGCTTGCGGGATGCAGGTAGGGGGCTTAGCCAGCTGGGGTGGGCGCTGTCGGCCAGCAGGCACTGGAGGGTTGCCGTGGGTGGCAAGGCACCCCTGCACGGTGCTGAAAGCCGGGAAGCAGCAGAAGCTCCAGGGCTTTGAAGGACGTGCCTGTGCTCACAGACACACGGCTAGCATGGTCAACCAAGGAACGACCTCGAGACTCAAGAACATGCGAAGACCAAGGTGTCCCAAAGCTGAAGTGCATGGTGACTCCAGGTGGGACTAGCTGGAGGCAGGAGGAGAGGGAGGCCCCAGTGCGCAGTGGAGGCAGGGCCCTGGGAGGATGCACCAGGTAGGGCCTGGTCCTGGCTGGGCGGGGCTACCTTGCTCCGAGCTCTCGGACAAAGCGGCCTCAGCTTCTGCAGCAGCCATGCCACTCGTGGGGTCTGGCTTGAGCTCCACAGGCGGCGGCTCCCGGGGCGCATCGGCTTTCTCTGTCTGCTCTGCACCTGGGTGGGGGAAGCACCGGAGGCTGGATTGCTACCCTCTGCCCAGGGGTCGGATACCTCTCCTGGACCAGCGCGCTGGTGGTGGCTGCGTGTGACCCAGGAGGGGAGGCCCCAGCACACCCCTAGCCAAGGCTGTTGTGTCTGCTCTGGTTGAAACAGACCCCCTGGAACACACAATAGGTCATTCTGGGTAACACAGGCTCAAGAGGTGCAGGTGCCCGTGCTACCTGCCCCAAGGCAGCCCTCACTACCCTGTGCCCAGGCTGCTGGGAGGTGACAGGACAGCCGGCTGGGTCCTTGGCATCTGACTCACCGCTGGCCGCACTCTGGGCCTGACCGCCGCGCTCCTCCTTGAGGTCCCTGCTGGGGCCTATGGGTGTGCTGCGTCCTGCCTGCTCCAGCCTGCTCAGCGTGCTGGTGGCCACCTTCTCCTCTTTGGCTCTCTTGTCCCCTCCTGGAGATGGAACAGGGCAGACCTGCCGTTTCCCATCAAGTGCCCGCCATCTGGAGGTGTGAGGTGGCCCAGAACTTGCTAGGTCTTCCTCGTCCTCCCTAGGGTACCTCTAAGTAGTGGTTTGCTGATTTGTTCATTCACCAAATTATTCACAGGGCACCCACTCCATGCCAGGCTGATGGCTGGGCACTGGGAATACAACAGTGATGGTTCCTGCTTGTGTGGGACATGCAGACCCCATGTGTGCACTAAGGGAGCTGATCAGAGGTCAGCACTAGGAAAGGGAGGAACGCAGCCTCTGGAAGTCTACAGCAAGGCACCTGGCCCATAGTGGGCATCTGAGGGCTTTTATCTTAGCAGCTAAGGGAAGTGGAAGGAGGGGCTCAGGAGAACAGACCCGCAGGAGGGTTTAGGAGCCTGCCCGTGTGCAAAGGCACTGAACCAGGCACGGCTCCCGGGTGCTCTGTAGGGGAAAGGCAGGCAGAGAGGCCACCCTCAGACCTGAGGCTAACCCTTGCCAGCACCCACAACCGAGGCAGGGCCAGATGAGGAAACTGAGACCCAGAAAGTCAGAGGCAGAGCCCACATCAAAAGCCAAGGTCTCTGGCCATCTGCTTGGGAGCAGCTGCCAATAACCTACCTTCTGTGGCCAAGGCCTCCGCATTTCCCCCAGGGCTGGTAGCCGGCTCAGCAAGTGACTTGAGGGCATGGCAGGCCGTGATGATGTCCTGCATTTGGAGGAAAGTGGCCACGGCCAGCACATCATCCACGTTCTCAGGGCTCAGGCTCAGCTTGGCCGTGTACATAAACTCCAGCACCTGCCCCAGGCCTACCAAGGACAGGACAGCTGTCACAGACCCACCTCAAGATCCGGCACCGGCAGCCTGCCCCACCACTCCACTCAGCAGCAGGACGCAGGGATTTAGGAACAGCTGAGTGGCAAGCCTGCATCGCCCCATCTCCTCTGTGGAGAGGAGGCAGGTAACCTGGGGGATCTCAGCACTACCAACAGCCCTTGAAAAGAAGTGCTCGCTGAGGGTCTGAATGCCTGCCCTGCACAGAGAACAAAAGGTGTGAACGCCCACCCTGCACAGAGGACAGGAGGTGTGAATGCCCACACTGCACAGGGAACAGAAGGTGCAACTGTCCGCCCTGCATGGAGGAGGATGGGCTGTGAATGCCGCCCATGCATGGAGAAAAGGAGGTGTGAATATGCACCCTGCACAGAGGACGGGGGTATAAATGCCCATCCTGCAGGGAGGACAGAGTGTGAATGCCTGCCCTGGATGAGGACAGAGGTGTGAATGCCCACCCTGCATTGAGGACGGATGTTGTGAACACCTGCCCTCCACACCCTCTTATTTGGCCGCTACACTTCACCAGTGGAGGACACTCCAACCTGACTTTCATCAGGGCTCTGCTACCAACTCTCTATCTGACTGACCTCCAGGCCAGTCACTGACCTCTTTGGGTCTCAGTTTCCACATCTATAAAATGGGAGAATAATACCTTCTCATGGCATGTCACGTCAGTCTGGGTTGGGAGTCTGAATCCAGGACCAGTTCCTTCCACAACCCCAAGGTCTTCCTGACACTGCTCCCAGCCCCTAGGCCTTCCCCATCACCTCTCCCCACGCTTCTAGTTAGCACTGGGGTAGATGCTTCAGGACTGACTCTGCCACGGAAAGGGGCCAGAGGGCATAGAGCCTGCCTACTCTCTGCCCCTCCCAATGAGGCCTTTCCTGTGTTCACTGCGGCCTAGAGCTCATCATGAGCCCTTCCTGCCCGTTCTCCCCTTACCACTCCACTACCAATCAAAACAGGCCCCCAAAAGGTGGGAGGAACTTAGTACTGAATTGCTCATGGCCTGAAGCCTGTGCGGGAGGCCTGTTGCATCCCACAGCCTGCAGGTGCTGCCCCTGGAGGGCCTAGCATGGCACAGGGCCGGCCATAGCTTCTGGCTATCAGCAAGCTCAGCCCCAGCCCTGACGGGGTACCTGCCGCGTTACTGATGTCCAGGTGCACCACGTCCTTCTGGTCCACGAAGAGCATCTTGAAGTACTCGCTGCAGGCCGCCAGCACTGCTTTATGAGCCTTAAAGTGAACACCGTCCACCACAAAGGTGCAGTCACAGAGAAGCCCCAGCTGCCGCTGCTGGTTCAGCTGTTCCAAGACATGCTGGCTGTGCTGGGGAAAGTCCATGGCTGAAGAAAGCCAAAGGGCGTTGGGGTTAGCACGGAGAAAGGACGTCAGACACGCTCAACAGTCACTCCTAAAGTCCCAGGCGAGCACCATGGAGAAGACAGAATTAAAACAAGTGAGGGCATTTCTGCCACAAAAGGGCAGTTCAGTCCAGATACCCCCTGCAAGCCAAACTCAACCAACTGGTGGCTCCTGTATTCCTGGGTTTACTGTCCAGGAAAAGTGGCCCAAACCAAAAAGCACTGGGGCACCAACACGAGGCAGCCGCCTCCGTATTCAGCCTGATAATAACATGAAAAAGCCAAAAAAGGGAACAAATACAGAACACTGAAATGTGTCATCATTTCAAAAATGAAACGACATGGTCACTTTAACATTTGTTACAAAAAGAATGCATGACAATCTCAGAATAAAGGACAGATGTTTCAATTGGACATGTTGGTCTTTAAGAAAACTTTCCTATTTTCTCATTCTCTCATGGACAGGTGAAGACAAGACGGTGTTTCATCAGCCAGTGTTGCAGAACTCGGCCCCTCTCAGGCTCTGCACGTACCCCATCCCCCGACAAAGCCTAGCTCTCCCTCTCTTTCTGATTCATGGGAACTACCTAGAGTTGCGGAGTCTTCTGACTCCAGAAACCTGTGTCCTGGTGGCCATCCCAGGAGAAACAACTTTGATCCTGACCCCAAGAGCTGCTGACCTGGCCACAACTTCTCTGTCAAGGGCCTCACTTAATGCCTGGAAATCCCACAAGTGAAAATGCTCAGGAAAATTCCATGGCCCAGTGCCGAGCAGTCTTGAACCGCACAAGCCGTGACTAAGTAACTATCTAAAACAGCTCTCCCTCCCGCCCCAACACCACCCAGAGTGGGCGTCAACATCAGCAATTGTCTAGGGAAAATAAGCGGGCCCTCTTTTCTAGAAAGAACCCATTTCAGAATGTTTGAAGAGAAAAATCAACACCCACTGTCTGGGGCCACATTAGACAGATTCAACTGGGCACGGCTGTCACGCCCTGGCCCAGGATCTGCTAAGGGGTAGTGAGTTCTCTGCCTACTCCTCCTCTTCTCTGAGGCCTGAGTCTGCACGGGGCTGGCTCCCCGGCTTCTGGGCAGGTGAGAGGGACACTTTGGGGCTCTCCGCCCCCAGTTTCGGCAGCTCTGCCCCGGCTCAGGCACTCCCCTGTGACATCAGCATCTTGGGGGGTGAATCACTGCCGCAGCTCTGAAGCTGCTGTGGCCATGCATGGCTGTCGGGCTGTGATGAGTCCGGAGGAAGCCACGCCCCTCACACCAGCACAGGTCGGCCTTGAAGGGCGCCAAGGCCTCCCACCACGTGATGTCTGGAAACTTTTCACAAGTGGGGGTATCTGCTGAGCGGGGGGAAGTGACGCAACAAATAACGGGGAGCATGGCAGTGGCAACAGGCATGAGCCACAGCGCACCAGCCTCCGAGCCACAAGTTCAGCGTTGCTGCTGCTGCCAGAGGCCCAGAAACAGCTGTTCCCTCCCCCTACACATCCCCGCGCAGGCTTTGGCTCTCTCAATGACATTCCTAAATGGCTGTGGCTAGAGCCCTAAGTGTAAGCACTGGAGAGCCAGGGCCAGCCCCGAAATCAGGAGGTAAGGCCCTGGGGCAGCTGGCCCCGCACCAAGTGCACCAAGTGGCTGGCAGCAGCACACGGCCACCTGGAGCAAAGCACAGAGGCCTTTCTCTCCTGTCCTCAGTCCCTGGAAGCAGCAGGTTCCTATCTGTGACCTGAAGGAACGCAAGGGAGAATCGTGGCTGCGCTGCTCCTATGCACTGGACATGGGGAGGCACCAATGTCCAGCTTGTGGATCAAGACCTGAAGGGCACAAAGGGCAAGGTGGGTGCAGAAGGAACCAAAGGCAGGGGCGAGGTGGGCCCAGGCCACGGCAACCCTAGAGCTGTCTTCTCCTGGCTGTGGAAAAGGTCACGTGAGCACACAGGTGTGTGGGTGGCAAGCCCTGGGCCTCAATTGCTAGTCACCCCCTACATACCCAGGAGCCCCAAGTGCAGAAGAGGGGAATACCAGGGCCCACACAGGGCAAAATCCTCAACTGGCTTCAGAAGCAGCCCATCTGGAACTTGCAAGTGAGGCCCAACCCTTCTCTCCAGGCTGTGTGCCTGGCTTCCTCACCTTCCCCAGGAGCCAACCCGAAACTTGAGCCACCCAGGTGCTAAAACAACCTGGGGAGCATCAGCTGAACCCCCAGAGGTACAAAGAACCCTCTAGCAGGAAAACCATCTGACTTGCCGGGAAGAGACATGTGAGGAGACTCCTAGCCAAGGGGAGGGACAGGATCAATCCCCTTGTGTGGGCCCAAGGCTGGGATGAGCCTCCCTGTGGCCATGTGCCCTGGGGCTTCCTGGCAAGCGCAGCCCCGCCCAGCCATACAGCTGTCCTGGGACTGGATGGATGGATGGATGGGTAAGCTAGATAGATTAGATAAGACACATTCGCTAGATAATAAAATAGTAAAGGCCCCAAGGACAGGGTGGGTGGTGGCCCAGCCCCCCACATACCACCACCCGCCAAGAGAGCAGCTGTGTGCCCATGAGCAACATTTTCCACCGTGCTGACTGCACTTTTCCAATGCAAGATGCCCGCCCAGAAGTGGGCTCCTCCCACACACGGGTGTTAGGAGGAGAAACAGAGGCGTCTATAATCCTCTGAGGCTGCCCCAGCAGAGAAACGCACCAAAAGGGAAGAAAACAGGAGAAATGATAAGAAGGGGGGAGGAAGAAGTGAAGATGGGCAAAGTAAGGGAAGGAAAGGAGAGAGAAGAAGGAAGGAAGGAAGGGAGAGAGGGAGGGAGGGAGGGGCCCTGTACCCACAGAGAGATCAGCAGCAGCTGAAATGCGCTTACCAGTACAATCTGGGACTGGCCTCCCAGGGGTGCAAGAGCAGCTCGAGGGGGCCAGGAGGGGGCGGACTAAGTGCTAAATGGTGTTACCCGCAGAACTGTGTCACTGTGGACTTTACAACCGAAGCCCCACCCTCACAGGGCAAGTGGAGCTCAGGGTCCCCCAGGCTGTTCCCCAGCCGGGAAGCTTTAACAGCCCCTCTCTCAAGGCCCGTGGCGAGACGGAGGCATGGCCGGCTGGGTCCTTCCCTCTGAGGGGCTGAGCTAGAACTAGGCAGTCCCCCACCTCCAACCCACGTGAACTGCTCTGGAGGGATCACCAGCCTGTATCCTAGTTCCCCTCTTATCTATTCCTCAGCGACAGGAACCCAGCAGGACGGCCAGGCTTGGAGGGACATAGGAAAAGGGTTTGGGAGCGAAGGGGTGTGCAGGTCCTAGGAACATATCCCCTCCTAAGTACGTGCTAGGAGGTGCTGTCTGGGGAGACGTTAACCACAGTAATCAGATCAACAGCCAGCTGCTCCCCATCGCCCCCAGATGTGCGGGAACACAGGGTGAAGAAATACTGTTCCCACCAGGCAGCCTGCCCCACCCCACCCTTGGAATACGGTGCCCATCGCTCAAGCACAAGTGTCAAGGTCTGTGGTCTTGTCTTCACCTTGCGTGATGGGCGATAAATATGTGCACTAGTTAAAGCAACTTCTAAGGAAGATCCTAAAACCTTAGAACCATAGAAAATGCCAACAGAACGAGACCACAGAGCCCAGCAGCCCAGAGTCCTCATTTTAGATGCAGACTGACCTGACCCCCACTCACAAAGTCTTAGCTGCAATCGGGCACCTTTTCCCAACACCTCTAGTCACTCAGTTTTTCTCCCTCACCTCAGGTGTCAGAGCTGGGATGCTGTCCTGATGACCAAAAGCTTAGGTGGACACAGAGCCCTGGGCTCCCTCACGAGGAATTCACTGGGGAACAAAAAAGTGAGGCACTGAGGACACCTGCAGTGTGAGTCCGGACAGGCACACTGACACAGCGGAACAGACGCGGCAGAACCGACACGGCGGAACGGACGCGGATGATGCAGAGCCCCTCTCAGGATGGCCAGCCATTCCTCCCCTGCCAGGGCCCACCACGCCTCCCATGGAGAGACGGTGTCTGTTTCCCTCCTGTCGGAATCTGGATGGCCCAGAGACGACTCTGACATCAGGATGCTGGGACTGTGCCAATTCCAGACCTAAACCTAAAGAAGCCTGGAAGATTCTGCTGTGGCTCCTGGGAATCCAGTCACCGAGCTGGAGGAAAGTCCAAGCTCCCGTGTGAGTGGGAGACACATGGAGGGGCTCTGGGGAGAGGGCACATGGAGAAGAGCAGAGAGGCCACTGACAGCACCAATGCTCTGTGGCGAGGGACACACTTTCCTGGACCTCCCAGCCCAGCTGTGCGCTGCTGCACGCACGGCCTCAACCAACACCTCGGGGAGCAAGCGACTGCCTGTCCACCCATCCAACTAAGAAAGACTGACTCACCGATGACTTATGCCACTGGGTTTTGGGGTGCTGTGCTGTGCAGCAGGAGATAACTGAGACGGACGGTAAAACCAGGAAGAAAAGGAAGTGATTCAGCCAAAGGTTCAGGATGACGGTTCTCTCTGGATGGGGGAGGGTAAGCAGGGGACTTCTGAGATCCTAGAAGAGTTCTCTTTCTTTACTTGGAGTCCCCTGGATTTATTACTTAAACTAAATGTGTATATTTCATATACATTTACATGAAAACATTCCAATTATTTAAAAAAATGTATTTTTTTTTTTTTGTAGAAGCAGGATTTCACCATGTTGCCCAGGCTGGTCTCAAACTCCTGGGCTCAAGCAATCTGCCTACCTTGGCCTTCTAAAGTGCTGGGATTACAGGCGTGTGCTACTGCACCCAGCCATTTTTCAAAAATTTTAATAAGAAAAAAGTGAGGTTCAGTTGCCAGACTTGATCCAGTCATGGCACAGAGTGTGCTGGCCAAGGCTGGGTTGCTCCCAACCACACTCCCGGCCATGCTCACCAGGGCTGCCTTGAGGCCCAGCGTGGCAGCGAGGGTCAGAGGAGCTAAGAGAGCCGCCAAGGCTCCTGCGGGTGGGATTTGGAAGGGCTGGCCCCAGAAAGCACAACCCATTGCATCTGTCTTGCAGTCCCAAAGCACCACAGACTGCTGAGTAAGCCAGGTTTCTGTTTGGGCCGTGAAATCCACTCTGGTGCCAAGTTCCATACTGCTGCCTCCACGACGCAGGGATTCCAGTGGCGGCTGAGCCCCATGGAAGCAGCAGAGCCTCCCGGGACAGGCCAAGCAGGACCTGGATCTGGGTTCCACCAGCCACCCGCAGGTGATCTCCAGCAAAGCTTCTCCAATGGCCAACAGGGCTAATGGTATGACTTCCTTTGTGACAGGATTAAATTAAGTAACATAGGTCAAGACCCTGTACAGAGCCTGGCATATCGTGAGCATGCAACAAACTACTGTTGCCAGGAAGCAGAGATGCAGATGATAGTTTCATTTTTTTAGGCCAAAGTCTTTATCAGATGGTTTCTATATACCCCTTTGCACTGGGCACATGGGGTACTTGACCTTGTTAAGAGGTGTAATCATAACCCATCACTCCTAAATGCAATCTGGAAGAATTCCAGAGCACAATTAGCATGAAGACAGGGAGGAAGTGATGGGAGGGGCACTGAGTGGAGAGACATCTAGAGCTATTGTCTCTGCCAGGAGGCACTTTATATTGAACAACTGTTCTGTTAAACCCCAAGAGTGCTCCCAGACAAAGGCTGGAGTGCATGCCCAGAGTGCTAAGTGGCCCCAGAGAGCACAGCTCCATGTCAGAGTCAAATGGGCACCTGTCAAACATGAAATGTTACCCAGGTTATTAGTATGCACTAAACTACCTGCAGGGTTTCCAAACTGCCACAAAGGGAAGCCATTAAGCCAGGAAGCAACTGGCCTACCATAGGGAGACACTGATCTTTACAAACAACAGTCCCCGGCTCCCAGAACAAGCTGCTCCCAGCTCTGAGCCTTGACATGAGCCATCTTGTGTCCAGGTGCTTGAGGAACCTAAGGGCAGGTGAGAAGGATCACCATTTGGCTTCCAGTTGCTCAGCATTCTTGATTTTCTAGAAATACAGGTGGATCAACATAAACTTCCAAAGGAGCCAGGCACGGTGGCTCACACCTGTAATCCCAGCACTTTAGGAGGCCGAGGCAGGACTGTGGGAGGTCTGAGACAAGCCTAGGCAACATGGTGAAACCCTGTCTCTACAAAAGAAATTTTAAAATTACCTGAGTGTGGTGGCACACACCTGTGGTTCCAGCCACTCGGGAGGCTGAGACAGGAGGACAGATTAAGCCAGGAGGTCGAGGCTGCAGTTAGCTGTGATTGTGCCACTGCACTCCAGCCTGGGCAATGGAGCAAGACCCTATCTCAAAAAAACAAATAAAAAACTTCTGGCCAGGTGCGGTGGCTCACGCCTATAATCCCAGCACTTTGGGAGGCCGAGGCTGGCGGATCACTTGAGGTCAGGAGTTTGAGGCCAGCCTGGCCAACATGGCAAAGCCCATTTCTACTAAAAATACAAAAATTAGCTGGGTGTGGTGGTGCGCACCTGTAGTCCCGGCTACTCGGGAGGCTGAGGCAGGAGAATCACTTGAACCCGGGAGGCGGAGGTAACAGTGAGCCAAGATCACACCACTGCACTCCAGCCTGGGCCACAGAGTGAGACTCTGTCTCCAAAAACAAACAAACAAACAAACAAATGAAAACTTCCAAGGAAATGGAAGTTCACACCAGGCCAGGCTTGTGAGCATGAAACCTACCTGCCCAACCCCACCAACCACCCCAGTTTGACAACATATCCCTTTGAGTGCAAGACATGGCAGAGAAGCAAAAATGAACAAAACCAACCCTGCTGGCACTTTCCTCCTCACCCAGCAAACACTCTTCTTGTATTAAGATTGGATTTCTCAAACTTTTAAAATCACTTTCTCCTTTAGATAAACATATAAATCTTGGCTCCTCCCGACAACCTGATTCTGATATTTCCACTGGAGAGTACCCATTCCCAGCATAAGAATCACTGCTATCTCTACACAGTCCCACCAGCCAAGGTTCAGCAGTATTTTCGGAAGTTTGTATTATAAAAAAACAGATTTTTTTAAATCTTAAAAATGTCTAAATATAAAATGCAGTTATGATGCTGACTTTGCTTTTCAAACTATACAACTACCGCTATCTTTCAGATTTAGGCCAAGTGCAATGGCTCACACCTGTAATCCTAGTACTTTGGGAGGCCAAGGCTGGAGGATCACTTTAAAGAGGCCAGAAACTTGAGACCAGCCTGGGCAACATAGTGAGACCCCATGTCTACAAAATAAAAATTAGAATATTAGCTGGGCGTGAGCTATGACTGCACCACTGCACTCCAGCCTAGGTGACAGAGGGAGACCCTATCAACATCCACAACTAAAGTTTAGCCACACTTTTGAGGGGGCAGACACCCCTCTGCCTGATCCCTGATGGACCCCACTGCTCTAGGACTATGCACAAAAGGGAAGGCTGGCAGGCCCTGAAAAAGAGCTGTCCAGGATTCCAGCAGCCCAGGCCAGCTTAGAATCCACTGTGCTAGTACGCATACCAGGGACTTGTAAAGCTCAACACAGGGTAAATTAAGGGGCCTTCCTGCCAAAAAGACAAAATCACGACATCTGGGACTTGGGCAGTACCTGATCATTCCCCAAGGCACACACACCCATCAGCCACAAATACTTCCCAAGTGTCAAGCAATGGCACTGACACCACCTTAAATGACACAGTGTGTCACCTCCTCTCTCCTACCAGTTTAATAAACTCACTGCAAGGTGGGGCTACTTCTTATTTCTTCCTTACAGCTGTTTATAGCACATTACCCAGAACCCTGCTTTCAAGTGGTTACAGATCAAGTAGGGAACAGGCCTGTTGAGAGCAGAGATCCCTGGCTTTTTTGAGAATGACTAACACAATGTCAAAGTATTTCCTAGACCCTTATGAAATGACAGTTGTACTTCTGGTGCTTGTTAACTGATAAAATAATAGAAAAAAGCCACTATGAAAAAGTGAATGTCCATTCCATTAATCACAAAGGCATTTAAGCAACAATTCTATGTACATGGATGAGAAATTTCCCCAATATAGAGAAAATCAGTGGGGTGATACAGCTGCTCATCTACTCATAATTATTGCATTGCCCTTTAGGGGTGCTCAGCCTATAAATTAGGAAACAGATACATAGAGAGAGAGGACTAATGAATTTCACAAATGTCTAATGAGAGTCTACCTTGTGTTTGTCCTAGGTACTATGTTAGAACTTCAAACTGAGTGGGGAAGACAGGTAATAAATGGGTATAATAAACAATGGCAGCTACCAAGTGCTGTGGAGAAACTAAAGCAAGCTGAGCAGATCGAGAGGCAGGGGCTATTTACTATTTAAGAAAGGAGGCGGCCGGGCACAGTGGCTCACGCCTGTAATCCCAGCACTTTGGGACGCTGAGGCGGGTGGATCACGAGGTCAGGAGTTCAAGACCAGCCTGGCCGACATAGTGAAACCCCATCTCTACTAAAAATATAAAAAATTAGCCGGGCATGGTGGTGGGTGCCTGTAATCCCAGCTACTCAAGAGGCTGAGGCAGGAGAATGCTTGAACCTGGGAGGCAGAGGTTGCAGTGAGCCAAGATCGTGCCACTGCACTCCAGCCTGGGTGACAGTGAGAGACTCCATCTCAAAAAAAAAAAAAAAAAGTAAAAATAAAGGAGGCAAGGGGGACCTCAGAGGAGGTGGCATTTAAGCAAAGACCTGAATGAGGTTTAAGAGGGAGCTAGGCCACTGTATGCCCAGGGACCATCACAGACATGAGAAGAGCAGATGCAAAAACCCTGAGGCGGGCATGACTTTGGCACAGGGGCCGGTGTGTGTGGAGAGGAGGAGGTGTGTGGCACAGGGGCCGGTGTGTGTGGAGAGGAGGAGGTGTGTGGCACAGGGGCCGGTGTATCTGGAGAGGAGCAGGTGTGCATGAGAATGACAGCAGCAGGGGCTGAGCTCGCCCAGGGTCTCAGGGACACAGCGGACTTTGGATTTCTTCTAAGTGCACTGGGATGCCTTGGGAGTGACGAAGAGTGACAGAAAAGAGCAGAAGAGTGAGGTTCCTAAAAGGCCCCTCTGACTGCAGTGCAAAGACAGACCGCAAGGAGGCTTAGTAGGGGCCCCAGTTAGGCTACTACAGTAGAGAAGAGACAGCAGTGGCCTCACCAAGGAGGTAGAAAACAGGCGAGAAGAGGTTATATTAGGAATATGTTTTGGCAGAGCCAACACCATTAGCTGATCAAGCAGATGTGCGTTGTGACAGAAGGAAAGGAGTCAAGGATGACACTAAGATCTGTGCCCGGAGACACTGGCCCAGTGGCGGTGCCGCTTCCTGAGAGGAGGAGGAGTGGCAGGAGGAGACTCCGTGGGGGGAATCAGAGTTCTGTTCTGGCCAATTACAGCTGAGATGTCTGCTTGTAGAGACGGTAATTAAAGCCACAAGGTGGAACAAGATATCCATGGAAGCAGGTATTGGATAAACAAGAGAAGAAACCAATGGACTCAGAATCCCAGCTCCAAACTTAACACAGTGACCTCAGGCAAGCATCTCTGAGTTTTAGATTGCTCACCTGTAAAATAGGAAAACCACCATAAATACGAGTGTGCAATGAGACAACTAGCAGATAGGAAGTGTTGCCCAAATATTGGCAAAAGTAGAACTAGATATTACTTCTCTAACACAGCTCTGTGACTGAAACACAGTTAAAACAAAAGGGAAATGATGAACTAATAAAACAAAAACAAACCAGATGATCCCAAGTGACCTCCCTGCACCAGGGGAGCACAGGGCCCCTGTCAAACAGGACAGCAGCTGGCCAAAGCCTTGGGAAGGCGGCTGACGGAAGCTAACAGAGCCACAGCCTGGTCCAATACGACCAAAAAAAAAAAAAAAAAAACACACAGGTGTTGCTTCTCTCTGGCTGCAGCCTTCCACCGTCAGGCCTTTGTTATGGAGCAACTCAGGGCAGAAGGCCTGGGAACTCAATTTCAATATAGAGGGATTCGGGGGTCCAATCTCCATAACTGGTGGGCTGAGGGGATGGTGGAGTGGAGGTTTACTTCAAAGTCCACTGCAAAGTGCCAGGGGCCCTGGGATAAGGCTGGGTCTGAGCCCCAGCCCCTTGACCTTCACTGGGGCAGAAGGACAGTGTGATGAGTGCTGAATGGGGGCTGCCGAAGCGCCAGCCTGGGACGACGTGACCACACCTAAAGACAGACGAAGGCAAGAAAGACCTTTGGGCAGGGGACAGCATAAGCAATGATGGCTGAGGGGCCAGGTGGAGAAGGGGGATCATGCCCCAGCACACAGGAGGGAGGGGACAAAGTGATGGGAAACACAGCTGGAGGGCCAGGCTGGGGCTAGGCACTTGGGCTGGGACCACCACACCAGGCCTCAGTGACAACCTTGGCAGTCAGGAGTCACACTGGGACTTGAAAGGGGGAGATGAAGTCCCACTGGGCTGGACCCTTGGGATAGGAAAAATGGGATGATGTCACCCCCAGGTGGCCCTAGAAGGGTTTAGCTGGTGCCAAGAATCCAACACACACTTACATGATTCTTTCTGGCAGCCTGAACCAGTGGCCTTCCCACTAAATACTATTAAATCCTCTAAAAGTTTTAAGCACCTCTTCTTGGAGTAGCTCAAAGTCTCTTAAAATTTAGTACCTGACCCTTCCCAGTGGAAGGTGGGCCATGCCATTTGTCCAAAACTATGAGCCCAGGCTAAGAATGTACACATTTTACTTATTTTTAAAAGACAACGTCCACATTTCTGTAGGGTATACACAAAACTGGTAAAGAGAAGCCCCTCAGGGGAGCAGGGGAAGTGGGGAAGGAGCTCAACTTTTCACTATATATCCTTTCTGTGCTGTTTCACCACTTGTAAACACTATCTATTAAAAAATTAAAACTGAGAAAGCTAAAGAACAATGGAGAGAAAAAGAGGAGGGAAGGGAAGGAAGAGGGAGGAGAGGGAGGGAGGGAGGGAGGGAGGAAGGGAGGGAGGAGAGGGAGGGAGGAAAGGAGGAAGCAACAGGGAAGAGAAGGAGGAGAGGGAGAGAGTAGACAGAGGGAAGGAGGGAGGAGAGGGAGGAGAGGAAGGGAGGGAGGGAGGTCCCAGCTATCTGGGAGGCTGAGGTGGGAGGATCACTTAAGCCCAGGAGTTTTGAGGCTGCAGCAAGCTATGATCACACCACTGCACTCCAGCATAGGCAACAGAGCAAAACTCTGTCAAAAAATAAAAATAAAAAAGACAGAAAAGAAAGAAAGAAAATAAATGCCTGCAAAGTCAGAGACCTAAGTCCTTTATTTCTATCTATCATAAAATCTTTAAGACATTTTCTACAAGACCTAGTGACTGAAAACTTCTCAAAGGAAAAAATTTCTCATGAGGGAAATGGAAAATTGTGGTAATGTGCACAGAGAATCAATGTATCACTCAGGAAAACAATATGAGCAGAAATTCCTTGAGGGGACGCCCCGAGCACCACAGCTGGTGTCCTCGTGCTCAAACAGAGGAAGCCCCCTGACACTGCGACGACACTGAAGTCCTTCTCCCAGGGACACATGCACACGCAATTCAACACGCAACTGTGGGGGGCTTGCTGCTCCCAGGACCCAGTTAAAACACTCCTACCTCCAAATCCAGCCGAAGCTAGTTAAGTGCCTCAGGCAGGCACTTAACTCTGCACAATCTCTGCAGGCACAATCTCTGCACCTCAATTCCTCTTCTGTAAAATGGAGATGATGACAAAAGTTTCTTCTTCATAAAGCTACTGCTGGCCATCATCATTCTATCATTACATATAAACCCAAGCCAGCAAGGCTGATAAATTATAGAAAACATTTGGCTTGAACTTGTTCTTAATTTTTTAAAAAAGAAAAAAACTATATAGAAAGAAGAGAGCCCAATGCTGTCATCCTTATCCTATCTTCTGAAAACGGATGTAAAAATCTCATCAGTAATCAGGGCACCCATCAAGTTTCAACCTGAAAAAAGACCAGGAAAAGGCCCCCCACACTGCAGTGCTTACTCCACTCGACAGGAATCAGAATCAAAGGCATAAATGCTTAATACTTGATGGTAACCGCCACCTTCTTTCTACAAAGGACACAAGGACTGCAGGAGCAAAGAGGCTCTCACTGAGGAAGAAGAACAATCACAAAGGAAGGGCCGGATGGCCCATGATGCTCTTGAAGATCAAGAATTCAAGCCAAAAGAAAAAAGCAGGTTAAGTAAGAACTGGAAATGGATGTAGCTGGACTTCCATGTGTGCACAGGCTCTTCAAGTGTGACTGACTTTTTCTGGGTTTGTATCCTCATTAGGATTAGGTAACTGCCAAGGTCCCTTGTAGTGTTAAGATGTAATACATGCTCCAGCCTGGGCAACATGGTGAGACCCCATCTCCAGAAAAAAATACAAAAATTAGCCAGGCGTGCTGGTGCATGCCTGTGGTCCCAGCTACTTGGGAGGCAGAGGCGGGAGGATCACTTAAGCCCACAAGGTCAACGCTGCAGTGAGCAGTGATTGCACCACTGCACTCCAGCCTGGGCAACAGAGTGAGACCCCGTCTCAAAAAAAGAAAAAAGATTTAAGAAATGTTGAATAAATGAATGAATGATTTCATTAATGAGGCTGCCATGCATTCGAAGTATAACAGATACAGTGTGACAATTAAAATGAGGCATTTACCTAGCAGTTAGCAGACTTTTTTCCATTTAAAACTTTCCCTACAGTATTATCTTTAAGATTTCCAACTATGAACATTAACTGTATAGGATATAAACACCAACTATGAAATACATATGGCAGAAGCCAACATCAGATTTTATATTTCCTATTCCAAATAGGATTAAGCTAAGATTCTGTAAAACTTCACTGGGAAAAAACTAAACGAGTAAGAATATTTTAGAGTAATATTTTGGGGATCCTGAAGCTGTAAGTTGGGCCTGGATAATCAGTGGTCAAGACTCAATGTCTCAGTTTCCAGTGAGTTTTAAAAACGGATGCGGAAGTGCTGTCCTACAGCAGAGTTTTTAGAAGCAGCCCAGTGAGGATTAGGAGAGGCTCAGGGGCCCAGGGCTCGCCCTTCAACAAACAGCGCTGCTGACCTCCAGCCCCTCAAATCCCTACCACCTGCGGCAGCGATCAATCAGCAAAGCTGCTCCCACCCGCCAGCCGCTTTGAAGTGCAAACTTCTGAGAGAAACCTGGAGACCACCCCCAAGTGTGACCTGGCTCCTGGTCCTAGTAAGACCAGGGAGGTGGGGGGAATGGGATGGAGACGGAGGCACAGCTAGTGACGACATGGGGTGACGACATGGGGTGGGGGTCCCAGTGGAGAAGTATATTTTACGATGTTAATATATATGCTTTATCAGTAAACCGGGAGAGGTGGCGCGTGCCTGTAATCTCAGCACTTTGGGAGACTGAGGCAGGAGGATTGCCTAAGTTCAGGAGTTGGAGACCAGCCTGGGCAACATGGTGAGATCCCGTCTCTACAAAAAATCCAAAATAATTTAGCCGGGTGTGGTGGCAGGTGTCTATGGTCCCAGCCACTCGGGAGGCTGAGGTGGAAGGATCACTTGAGCCTGGGAGGTTGAGGCTGCAGTGAGCTGAGATTGTGGCACTGCTGCTCCAGCTCGGGTGACAGTGCGAGACCTTATCTTGAATAAAATAAAAAATAAAATAAAATGAAATAAAAATTGTGATTCCTGATAAGGGACTGTGGGTGGAACTGTGCCCTGTGCAGAGAGGAAACTCAGCCTTGCTACTAACAGCTCCATCTGCTGAGACTCCAGAGGAGGTTACTGGCAAGAGAAACTCACGGGCTGGTTGCTTCCCTTGCAAATAGACCATAACCCACAGCAGCCATGAAGGGAGTCAGGGCCAGAGCTGCTGTGGTGCCGCACGCACAGTGTTTCATGCCGCCTCACCAGTGCTCACAATGATCCTGGGAGGGGGGACTAATACAGTCACCCCCATTGAGCAGATGAGCAAATCACAGTTTAAGAAGTTGTTGCTGACCTAGGTTGCACAGCCCTGCCCACATTCAAGGCCAAATCCATCACACTCTAAAAACTGTGCCCTTTCCGCTATAGAAAAGGACAAAACTTCTGTGGACAAACAGAATACCGGGTTCAACAGATCCTGAGCCTGTACCAAATGGACAAATTCTCTGTCATCACAGGCACATAACAATCTCTCTTCCTTATACTAATGAGTGCGATAAAACATCGTATAAAACCCAGCAGTGGTTGGCTACGGTGGCACATGACTGTAGTCCCAGCTACTCGAAAGGCTGAAGCAGGAGGATCACTTGAGGCCGGGAGTTCAAGGCTGTAGTGAGCTTTGATTGCACCTATGAGTAACCACTGCACTCCAGCCTGAGCAACAGCGAGACCCTGTTTCTAAAAAAAATAAAAAAATAAAGCAAATCCAAGGCTGGGCACAGTGGCTCACACTTGTAATCCCAACACTGTGGGAGGCCAAGGCAGGCAGATTGCTTGAGCCCCAGAGTTTGAGACTACCCTGGGCAAGATAGTGAGAACCCATCTCTAAAGAATATATAAATTAATTAATTTTAAAAGACTCACACAATCCAGAAGTGAACATTACTAAGCATTAATATATTCACAGTTTGCTGCTGCCAGATGAACTGCAAAATGAAAACTATGAAACAACTCCATTTCTGGCAAAGGTGCCCTGGCCAATTCTCCCACCGCAAACAGCCACAAATGCTGACTAAAAATGATAAGACATCTTTTAAAATGCATTAAAGATTGGGAATGATAGTAAGAGGAGTTAAAAATAAAATAAAATGTATCAAAGAACTGATAGGTCAGTAAGTAATACTGAGAGGTCAAAACACATCTAAACAAGGGTTGAAATCCAGAGAGCAAGTGGAGCTTTGAAACCAGGTTTCAAGAAAAGACATTTGCAGAACTGGGCAAGCTTGAGCCCCACCCTCCACCCCATCCCCAGAGGGAGGTCTCACTGAACCTTGGTGGAAAGAAGACAATACAGAAACTGCCTATATCAAATCTTGGTGCTGAACAGAGGAGGGAAAAATCTTCCCTGAGAATGTATAATGATTAGCAGTCCCCCAAAAGGACTACAGCCCAAATTTACACCTTATGAAACACATATTTCAGGCAGATGAAAGTGATCCCAGAAAGAAAAGTATTAAATGCAAGAAGGAAGGAAGAACAATGAAAGTAGTATATATATAAGTGAGCAAACCTAAACAAATGCTGAACTAATGATGCTCATAAAAGTTGTAAAAGGACTGGCACAGTGGCTCACACCTCTAATCCTAGCACTTTGGGAGGCCAAAGCAGGAGGAGTGCTTGAGCCCAGGAGTTCAAGACCAGCCTGTCTTTACCAAAAGAGACCCTGTCTTTACCAAAAAAAAAAAAGTAAAAAGTAAAAATTAGCAGGGTGTGGTGGCGAGTGCCTGTGATCCCAGCTACTCGAGAAGCTGAGGCAGGAGGATTGCATAATCCTAGAAGGTCCAGGCTGCAGTAAGCTGCGATTGTGCCACGGCACTCCAGCCTGGACAACAGCGAGACCCTGTCTCTAGAGAGAAAAAAAAAAAAAGGTTTAAAAAGAACTAAAATGCACACCCACAGAATAAAAGTGGAAGAGAAAGTGATAGCAATTAAAGTGTTCTCAGGTCCTCACTGTTTGAGAGTAAGGTATAAAGACACTGACTAAATTTAGACTTTGATAAGTTATGTAAATTGAAAGCTATACCACATTTATGGATCAGATGACTCAACATCATAAAAATGTCAGCTCTACCCAAATTTATATATTATAAACTCAATGCAAATTCTAATAAAACATACCAACAATTTTTATGGCATTTGACAAATGTAATCTAACATGACAATGGGGCCAGGCAAGATGGCTCACGCCTGTAATCCCAACACGTTGGGAGGCTGAGGTGGGAGGATTGCTTGAGCCCAGGAATTCAAGACTAGCTTGGGCTACATGGTGAAACCCTGTCTCTACAAAAAAGACAAAAATAGCTGAGCGTGGTGGCGTGTGCCTCTAGTCTCAGCTACTTGGGAGGCTGAGGCGGAAGGATAGCTTAAGCCTGGGAGGTCAAGGCTGTAGTGAGCCAAGATCACACCACTGCACTACAGCCTGGGTGACAGAGCGAGACCCTGTCTCAGAAAAAAATAAAATGAAAATGGAAGAGCAATGGGCCAAGGATTTACTAGACACCAGTTCACCAGTTTTCTAAAATGATGTATTTTACAAGTCAGTGTGGTATTTAAACAGAGAACAGGCCGGGCACGGTGGCTCACGCCTATAATCCCAGCACTTTGGGAGGCCGAGATGGGTGGATCATGAGGTCAGGAGTTCAAGACCAGCCTGGCCAAGATGCTGAAACCCCGTCTACTAAAAATAAAAAAAAATTAGCCAGGCGTGGTGGCACGCATCTGTAATCCCAGCTACTCAGGAGGCTGAGGCAGGAGAATCGCTTGAACCTGGGAGGCGGAGTTTGCAGTGAGCTGAGATCGCGCCACTGCACTCCAGCCGGGGCAACAGAGTGAGACTCCGTATCAAAAAAAAAAAAAAAAGAATTTCTGCTCATCAAAAACAAAAAACAATATCCTACAGTGAAAAGACAAGCCACAAACTGGAAGTAGGTAGTTATAACACATATAACTGACAAAGAATTAGTATCCAAAATAAGAAATAAAAAACAAAAAACTAACAAAATGTCTACAAACCACCCAATAGAAAAATGAGCAAGACAATCTGTTGTTTCCGAGAAGATGAAATCTGAATGATCAGTAAGCAACGAAAAGATGCCCAACTCAGAACCAGGAAAATGCAAATCAAAACCACATGAGATGTCATTGTACGCCCACCAGATTAGTAAAAATGTTGAAGTCTGAAAATACCATTGTTGAGAGGATATGAGGCAAACGGAATTGTTGAAGGGTAAACTGGGGAAACAGTTTTGGCAACAACTTGGCATTATTTGTTAAGTTGAAGACGCACATACCCTGTGACTCCACTCCCAGCTGCAGTCCCTGGAGAGGCTGTGCATACATGTCCCGGGAATGTGAACAGTGGCACTGTTTGTCTCAGCAAAATACTGGAAACAACCCAAATGTCCACCAGTAATAGAAAGGATAAATAAATTCTCATACAATGGAACATTATTCATCTGTGAAAATGAAATACCACTCTATGCAACGTGGATTAATGTCAAGGCACTGAAGAAAACAATATGATTATATTAAGTTCAAAAACCTGCAGAATTAAACGGTACATTGTTTAGCAATACAAACACATGGTAAAACTATAAAGAAAAGCAAGAGTGATAAAAGCAAAACTCAGGGATGACTTGGGCCGGGTGAGATCAGGGAGGGGACACAGGGGACTCCAAAGGTAACAGTAAGTTCTTTTTGGAAACTGGGTAATGGGTACATGGAAGATGTTTCTTGTATCCTTATTCTTTACACTGAACACATTCTTTTGTATGGAGTCAACATTTAACAAAAACGATTTACAAAATTAAACAAGTTCTTTCTTACTTTAAATCATTTGCCAAGCATTAATTTGGGCTGCTGACTGAGTCACAGTAACGGGGGAAAATCCCTGAGGGGCCCACATGGCCCCGAGACTACAGAAATGAGAAGTGCTTTGCTCTCTGAGCTCTGGTGATACAGCTTCCCATGGGGCAGGCTGGCGAAATTCGAGTGGAGCCTGCCACTCGGGACAGGAAAGTGACTGCTTAGGTTAATAAGTTCCAGTATAGGAAGTGGTGCGGCTGGGGTGGGGAGAACAGATTCTACTGCCAGACCTTTCAAGACCAGAAGCTGAGTAGATTTTTGATGTTACAATGAACCCACTAAGCCTGCTTTCTGGCCCGCTCTCCACTCGCAGCGGGAATTCCCACCTCTGAGCCTCTGTCCACACTGCTGTTTAGATATGAGTGAACAACTCTCAGTTCTAACCATGCCCTTTGCTTCCTTCCTTTGAAGCCCAGCCCTACGAACCATCTCTCTTCAATTCATAACAAGCACGTTTGAATCCAAGAGCCTAAGCCCCAGTTTTCTACACGTATCTGTGCTGACTGCATTACTGAGGTCAACCTTAATCACCCTGGGACTGTCAAACTATTGATGTCCATAAGGATTCTCTGTGCTGGCATTCCACACACACGCAGCAAGGTTCAATGAGCCACAGTACTTACTCTCTGACCTCTATTATTTCAACCATTTAAAAATTGTGGCCACGGGAGGCTGAGGTGGGAGGATCGCTTGAGCCCTGGAGGTCGAGGCTGCAGTGAGCTATAATCCCAGCACTGCACTCCAACCTGGGCGAAAGAGCGAGACCCTGTCTCAAAAATTAAATTAATTAATTAATTAATTAAAAAACAAAAAAAAAAGCCGTGGCCAGCAAAAGAAGTAGATTATGATCTCCAGGACAATATGTTTTGTACATAAAATGTATTTGGAGTTTTTTGTTTTCATTAAAGTTGAGGTCCCTCCCTACTGTGATGTCAAACCCAACAATGGGTCACCCCACAGGACACCACCCCTGCTCGCACCTGTAATCCCAGTCCTTTGGGATGGCGCAGGTAGGTGGATCACTTGAGCCCAGGAGTTCAAGACCAGCCTGGGCAACGTGGCGAAACCCTATCTCCACAAAAAACAGAAAAATTAGCTAGGTGTGGTGGTGTGTGCTAGTAGTCCCAGCTACTTGGGGGGCTGAGTCAGGAAGATCGCTTGAGCCAGGGAGGTCGAGGCTGCAGTGAGCTATGACAGCTCCACTGCTCTCTAGCCTTGGCCACAGAGCAAGGCCCTAATTAAAAAAAAAAAGTGTTATATGAGGCTGGGTTTGGTGGTTCAAGCCTATAATACCAGCACTTTGGAAGGCTGAGATAGATGGATTGCTTGCGCCCAGGAGTTTGGGACCAGCCTGGGCAACACGGCGAGATTCTGTCTCTACCAAAAAAAAAAAAAGTTTCCTGGGAGGAGAGGGGGGTAACTTACTTTCCACAGGTACACGCTTGAGAACCTTCTGATTTTTCTACCTTGTGCATGCATTCCCATAGTAAATGTTGTTTTCTTCCTAAACTCTGCATATTTTCTTTTTTGACCCTCAAGAGTCTTCTATCAAATAACAGTAATTATGGAGCCAGGGACTCGACTAAGCACTTTACATGCATGACCTTATTAATAATTCCACCCAATAAAGTTATATTCAAGGTAACTATTATCCACATTTTACAACTGAGGAAACTGAGGGTTAGAAAGGTCAAGTACTTTGCCCAAGGGCATACAGCTAGTAATTATAAGAAGCAAACATAAGCCCACATACGCCTGGCTTAGGAGTTTGTGTTCCTAACTGCTACCCTATACTGCAGGGGTTTCTTAACTGGGGGTGATTTTGTGCCAGGAGATATTTGGCAATATCTGGAGACATTCTGGGGTGTCACCACTGGAGAAGAGTTACCACTGGCATCTATGGGGAGAGGCCAGAGACGCTACAGAAACCCACCCCCCACAACAAAGACTTATCTGGCCCCAAATGTCAGAAGTGTCAAGGTTGAGAAACCCTGCTATACTGGAACAAGACAAAAAGACAGAGAAACCATCTTCTGACCAAAACTCTCACAGTTAAGGTCAGAGTTCACCATGTCTATTTCCCATATGACAGCCAAATGCCCAATAAACAAGAAGCATGCTCAGCCCTCAATTACATGGAGTTTTCTCCAGCCCCAAATGCCAGTTCCTCCTCAGCCAATCAAGGCTGATCATCCACTCATCCGACACTTGCTGAGCGCCAGCTGTGTGCCAGGAAACAAGCTACACAGTGGCAGTACCAGGATAAATAAGACCCTGTCCTGCATCCAAGATGCTGGCGGTCTCATGGGAAGGCAGGCAAGGAAGCCTCGGATCATAATTGAGGTGAAAATGTGTTAATAGAGATCAAAAACAGGATGCTAAGAAGTCGCAGGGGAGGGGCTCCAAACTCACTTGGGTTGGGGGAACTGGGAATGGCTCAGAAAAGGCTTCCCAGAAGCATCTGAACTTGAAGGAATTAAACAGGCAGAGAGAATCCTCAAAACACCCCTTACCAGATCTCTCAGGATATGGTCTCTGAGTAGCCAAGGTTTGATGACTTTAATTAGAAAGCTTGGGGGAACTCTCCCAGAAAACAGAAGGGGCACAGAGTAGTCCTTGACTGTCCATGCACAACCTGGATAGCCCCTGCCACAGGGCAGGATGGCAACCTGGCGTCCCCACAGGTTTGGGCCTTCCTCAACTTCAAACCTGACTGGCCTCCAGCTTCCAACCAGCCTGTACCTTGCAGCAGGAGGTAAGTAACATTTCATAAATGTCCACTATACCAGGGGTTCCCAACCCCTGGGCCACAAACCACTGCTGGTCCGTGGCCTGTTAGGAAGTGGGCTACATGGCAGGTGAGTGGCGGGCGAGTGAGCACGCAAGTGAGCGAAGCTTCAACCTGTATTTACAGCCGCTCCCCATCACTTGCCATTACCACCTAAGCTCCGCTTCCTGTCAGATCAGCAGCAGCATTAGATACTCACAGGAGCTCAATCCCTATTGTGAGCTGCACATGTGAAGGATCTAGGTTGTGAGCTTCTCATGAAAATCTAATGCCTGATGATCTGTCACTGTCTTCCATCAACCCCAGATGGGATCGTCTAGTTGCAGGAAAAGCAGCTCAGGACTCCCACTGACTCTACATGATGGTGAGTTGTACAATTATTTCATTATATATTACAATGTAATAGTAATAGAAATAAAGTACATAATAAATGTAAGGTGTTTAAGTCAACCTGAAACCACCTCCCACCCCCCACCCCTCAGCCCCCTTTCTGTGATAAAATTGTCTCCTACAAAACCGGTCCCTGGTGCCAAAAAGGTTGGGGGCTGCGGGCCATGCCACGGCTGGTGGTCCTAGGTGCACGGGGGCCGAGGGGGCACGAGGCAGTAGTGTGGGGACTCCAGGTCCCAGAGGCCGCTCATGGGGTGGGAAGTGTGAGGCCGCTGCCTGCCTGGGCCTCGGAGGGTGGGGGGAGCAGGGCAGGGAGATGATAAATTGACCATTATCTCAGGATGTCTCTTTCTGACTGCCAATATCTTCGCCATCGCCAGCATCACCAACCCAGACTGGCTCAACACCAGGGAGTCTGTGGGAGCACTCACTGTGGGCCTCATGGGACAGTGTCAAACAATGCGTGGACGAGAGGGGATGTGCATCCCTCCCCAGCTTCCCCTGGAGTGGGTCACCATGCTGTTTTTTATCATCATGGGAATCATTTCATTGACTGTAAAATTCCCCTTAGACAGACGGAGGCAGCTAGGACTCTGGAGTCAGGTGTGAATCTGCCCTCCCATTGATTGTCACATGTGGTTTGCTGGTGGCTTCCCACTGGGGAAGAGAAGCTACAAAATATGTTCGATGGATAGCATTCACTGGGATGATGCTTTTCTGTATGGCTGCCGTCATATTTCCAATAGGATTTTACATCAATGAAGTCAGAGGTCAACCTTATAAATTACCCAACACCACAGTAGTTGGGTCATCATATGTACCTTTTGTCTTATCAATTTCTTTACAATAGTAGGACTTCTATTTGCTGCCAAGTTTATTTGCCAAGCTGATAAATGTCTAAATTGCTTGACTCTCACTTATTTTTGAAGGGTGAGGAGGACAAAGGCGAGACATCTGAGCAGCCCTCATGGGAAGATGCTCACATGAAACTGATGCTGAGAAGGAAAAATAAAAAAAGTTTTGATTTGCTCTCACTATGCACTTTGGACTTAAAGAAGAAAAAAAAAAAAAAGGAAGAGCCTTTTTGTTTTATTTTTGAGACAGAGTCTCACTCTGTCACCTAAGCTAGAATGCAGTGGCGTGATCTCAGCTCACTGCAACCTCCGCCTCCCGGGTTCTCCTGCCTCAGCCTCCCGAGTAGCTGGGACTACAGGCACCCACCACCACACCCAGCTAATTTTTTTTTTTTCTCTTGAGATGGAGTCTCGTTCTGTCACCCAGGCTGGAGTGCAGTGGCGTGATCTCGGCTCACTGCAACCTCCGCTTCCCAGGTTCAAGTGATTCTCTTGCCTCAGACTCCTGAGTAGCTGGGATTACAGGCGCCTGCCACTGCGCCCAGCTAATTTTTGTATTTTTAGTAGAGACGGAGTTTCACCATGTTAGCCAGGATGGTCTCGATCTCCTGACCTCGTGATCCACCCACCTCAGCCTCCCAAAGTGCTGGGATTACAGGCGTAAGCCACCGCGCCCAGCCAGGAGAGCCTTTTCCATAACCAAATACAGACAATACTGACTAAATCTCCTGAGCATATTCAGGCAGTCAGGTCTGCACTGTGATAGCAACCTAGAGAAGGAGAATGCTTTCTACTGAAAAGCATGTGGCCCTTTGTGACTCTGTTGTTCCATTTTTAATATCTAATGATTCAATAGAGGGAAAAAAAAAGTCTAAGTAGTTATGTATCATGGTGGACCAGAGGGATGCAAGAGAAGTTCATGTGGGGCTGGCCTCACCTCCTGAGAAATCAGTGTTCACAACTTCCTTGTAATAGTATGAGCCTTTGGCACCATTACTGCACCAAGAAGCCAATAGATCAAAACTTGTTTGCTAAAATGTATGTAAAAATTCTGAAATTCCCTATTCTGTGTGTATGAAAAAAAAAAATCAAACACTAAGACACATGTTTTGGGTAGGTAGGTGGGTGGGTGGGGGAAATCTCTCTCTCTCTCTGTATGTGTGTATGTATATATATATATGTACATACACACACAATATATATATATACACACACTATATATATATACACACTATATATATACACACACACTATATATATATACACACACACTATATATATACACACACACTATATATACACACACACTATATATATACACACACTATATATATATACACACACACTATATATATACACACACACTATATATATACACACACACTATATATATACACACACACTATATATATATACACACACACTATATATATACACTATATATATAAAATATATATTTTGCTGACAGAAAAAAAAAAACGAAAAGGTTGGGGAGTGCTGCACTATGCAGCAAACCCTGTGAATTACCTGCCTGACCTCATGTAATTCTCCAGACAATTCTGTGAATTACCTGCCTGTCCTCATGTAATTCTCCAAACAATTCTGTCATCCCTATTTTACAGATGAGGAAACTGAGGCTCAGCAATGAAACTGAGTAAAAGGCTTGCTGTCTGATGTGTCAGAAGACAATCTTGTGATTAGGAAAATTAATAGTCATTACTTTTTTTTTTTTTAACTCTTTGGGACACAGTTTCAGAAGGAACTGACTGTCAGGACACAGAGCCACTCAACGGGAGGGCAGATTCACACCTGACCCCAGAGTCCTAGCTGCCTCTACCTGTCCAAGGGGAATTTTACAGTGATCAGTCCAAAATGCGCGGTTTGCAACATCTTCACCCCCTCAGGAAAGCCTTCCAGCGCCAGTGCATCCTCCCTGTGTGCGCACACCCTCCACCAGCCCTCCAAGGTATTTCCTGCATTGCATTGTGAGGATACACATGGCTGGGAGCACCTGCTCCCGGGATTCAGTCTTACTTGTGCCAGCATCCCTAGCACCCAGCACAATGCCTGACACATGTTGGGCACAGAAACAATGAATGGATAAACAAGCCTGGCCTCCCTGGGCCCAAGCCCTGTAAACCTACCCAAAGCCAGAGCAGCCTGCCTTGGGGACTCAGTGGACCTCCCCTCAGGCTGGGATCACACCCCCAAGAGAGTAATCCAGACAGACTGAGGACAGAGCAGGTTCTCTCAGCCAGCTTTTTCTCCAGCACTGAAACAGTCACAATCTGTTCTTTAGCTGTGCACCAGATGCAGGAACTGGCTTATGTTTGGGAACCATGTTGCACAAAAATCCCACCTTAAACATTAGAACTTTAAAAGGAATGAGTGTGTGCTCGCTGCTCTGTGTCCCTTTTTGCCCTAGGGAGATCATACATGATGGCAGGAGCTACAGCAGCCAGCTTGGACCATGAGATGGAAGCCTAAGTTTGAGCAAGAAAAGCCACATTATCAAAGGAATCCTGCTCCCAGATGATCTCACAGAACACAGCAAGCTGTGCTACCAGCTCTGGACTGTGTACTTCCAGAATGTTAAGGAGCAAGGAATAAACTTCTGTTTCCACCACTGTAGATTTCACCTAACTAAAGGCGTGAGCATTGCCCAGTGATCATCCACTCTGGCCTCTCTCTGCAGGTAAAACAATAATAGTAAGATCAACAATTTCCCAACCAAACTGTAACTGGGATTTTGTCATTACTATATAATTTTGAAGAAAAGGCTATCAGGAAAGAATCATTTGAATCATGTTGAACCTAGAGAAAAAGGACAAACTGATCTGATTTGTTTCATCCTTGAGTATTACAGACATACCTCAGATTTCCAGACAGCCCAGGCTACTCTTTTCTGACAGTTTGCCTGTGTAAACTCCAGCTTGGCTCCCCTCGTCCGGCTCATTACCTGAATCAATGACACACAAGTGGAAAATCTGATGAGAACCTAAAGGGTACCTGCTCCCTCAGAGCTGCCTTTTCATGCATCCATCAAACATAGACAAATACAGAGTGCTTAGCACAGAGCCTGGCCCAAGGAAGTGCTGAATAAATGGCCTGCTCTGTGCCAGATAGCATGCTGACACTGGGACACAAAGATGCACAGACTCAGCCTCAGGCCCTGCTCTCAAGAACTCCAGCTCAATAAGAGACAGGACACAATGTTAAGAAGGAAAAACGACAAGGTTTGTATCCAAGCATTACTGCAGCATTGGCACTGCTCTGGGATATCCTGGACACTTTGTTTCTCATTGCATACCCTACCCTAGGTGAGCTCATCCCCTCCCATGACTTCAGTGACCTTTGATGGTGATAACTACTAGCTGAACAGGTGCACTTGAATGTTTTACAGGCATCCAACTCCAACATGTTCAAAACTAAACATATCTGCCCTCCCCCAGATCTGCTCCCCGTACTGCTCCCTATCACATGGAGCAGCATCCAACACCCATCAGTCAAAAACTGGGGTGATCCTGACTCCTCCCTGCCCCTAACTCTCATCAAACTAATCACCAAATTGTGTCAATTCTATCGCTAAAACCATCTCTCCTCACTCTCTGCCTTTAACTCACACCTTTATTTCTCACTTGGATTATTCTAGCAGGCTCTTAATTGGCCTACAGGCCCACTCCCTTTGATACATTCTTCACTTAGCCAGAGTGATCTTCCTAATCCACAAATCTGATTCGTGGCCAGGCATGGTTGCACATGCCTATAATCCCAGTACTTTGGGAGGCTGAGGCGGGAGGATCATTTGAGGCCAAGAGTTCGAGACCAGTCTGGGCAACATAGTGAGACCCCATCTCTACTAAAAATTTAAAAAATTAGCCAGGTGTTATGGTGCACGCCTGTAGTCCCAGCTAGTTGGGAGGCTGAGGCAGAAGGATCACTTGAGTTCAGATCAAGGCTGCAGTGAACTATGATTATGCTGCCACTGCACTCCAGCCTGGGTGACAGAGCAAGACGTAGTCTCAAAAAAAAAAAACAAAAACAAAAACAAAAAAAACCTGATTCTTTTATTTCAGGCTGGAAATAAAAGAATCCTCCCACCTCAGCCTTCCAAGAAGCTGGGACCACCAGAGGTGTACTCCACCATGCCCGGCTATTTTTTTTTTCCTTTTTTTTTTTTTTTCTTTTAATAAAGATGGGGTCTTGCCATGTTGCCCAGGCTTGTCTCAAACTCCTGGGCTCAAATGATCATCCCACGTTGGCCTCCCAAAGTGCTAGAATTACAGAGTAAGCCACCGCACCTGGCCACAGATCTGATTCTTAAATGGCTTCCCATTAACCTAAAGTTTAAAGTCCTTAACTAGGTTTACAACGTCCCCTAAGACCAGACCACAGCTTGCTGCTGCTTTTTTTTTTTTTCTTTTTTGAGACGGAATCTCGCTCTGTCGCCCAGGCTGGAGTGCAGTGGCGCCGTTTCGGCTCACTGCAACCTCCGCCTCCTGCGTTCGAGCGATTCTCATACCTCAGCCTCCTGAGCAGCTGGGACTACAGGCGCGCGCAAGCACGACCGGCTAATTTTTGTATTTTTAGTAGAGACGGGGGTTTCACCATATTGGCCAGGCTGGTCTCGAACTCCTGACCTCAAGTGATCTGCCCGCCTGGGCCTCCCAAAGTGCTGAGATTACAAGCGTGAGACAACGAGCCCGGCCCAGTCTGCTTCTTTATTTAGCCTGATCTCTCTCTCCTCTCTCTACGAAGATGAGTTTTCTCACAAACTACACCCTTAACTGGGAATACCCGTTTTCCTGCCTCACTCCGCTGAGCTTCCCTTAGATCTTAGCTTTCTGGGGGACAGAAGCCTCCCGGGATTCCCCCTAGGCTGAGTGATGTGTCTCTACTCCGTGCTTCAGAGGAAGGAGGGCTTTCTGCCCTCGCAGCAGTATCAGAATTGCTGATTTACCTGTATGTCTCCCACATGGGTCTCTGAGCTCTGGGTGACAATGGTGATACAATTAATAACAGCAACAAACACACAGCATTTACTTTGTACCCATAAGTGTTCTAGGAGCCTCATTTCCCCTTTATTACAATCTTAGGAGGCTGATTTTATTATCATCTCTGCTTAAAGGATGAATAAACCCAGGCAGAGAGAAAAAGCCAAAAGTGCCTAAGGTCACAGCAGGGAATGGGGATTCAAACCCCGCTGCTGGGCTCCACGGTTCACACTCCTAACTCCAGGATCGAGGATCCTGGAGGATCGAGTCCGCCCGCATCACTCGCTCTAGCTTCACCATCTATCAGGTGCTGAACCACCGTCCGCAGTACGAATGAATGAATGAAATGCTTTTATACAGGGACAGCGTCGGCCTCCTCTGTCAGCTCCTCCTAGGCCCGGGCAGCCCCGCTCCCTCCCGCCCCGGCCGGCCGACAGGAGCTGCCCCGGCACTGCGCTCCCTCGCGGCCGCAGAACGCCCACCCTCGACAGCGCGCGGGGTCAAGGGGCGGTGACAGCCGTGCGGCGGGGGCGGAGATGCTACCAGCTGGGGTGTCATCCAGCCCGGGAGGTGACACGCGCCCCCTCGCCCGGGCGGTCGCCTGGCCGCCCACTCCCCGCCAGCACGCCCGGCGACGCCCCCCGCCCCGCCACCCCACAATCTCCCGCCCAGCGGTGTCCCCTCAGCCCCGGTTGGCGTCCCATTCCACTTCCCTCCCCTCCCCCACACAACCGTCACCGGCGTCCCACCGCGCCCCATCCTCCGCCGCCTCCGCCCCGGCTCCCGGGACTTCCCCGGCCCCGGGCGATTGTTGACACTCACCTGCCATGTCCCGGACCCCACCGCAGAGGGAGGTGCATCACGGCCGCGAGAAGGCCGGGGACGGCACTCCAGAGCAGACAAAGGGCGCCGCCATGTTAGAGTCGGGCGGAACCGACCTCGCAGGCTTCCCGGCTGCAACTTCCGGCGCATGCGCAGCGTCCTCGCTAGGAGAGCGCCCATAGACAGACGCATGCGCCTAGCTATCCAAAAGTTCCACCTTACAGTACTTCGGCGCTCAGAGTTGTCCTCATTGTACCCCTGCCTTGGTTTCTCTTCCAAATATAACAGTAACATCATGTGTTCAGCTCTTACTGTGTGCCAGGCACTGTGTTAAGCGCTTTACATGCATTATCTCTTTAAATCCTCACACCAATTATAAGATAGTATTATTCTCCTAATTTTAAAAAAGGGAAAACAGACTCAAAAAGTGTAAATCAATGTCCATGGTCACATATCTTGTAAGTGGTGGACCGGAGATATGAATCTACTTGTGGCTTCAAAGCTGCAGATCCCAGTTGTGTTTTTCTACCTTCTAAACCGAACATTATCCCCTTCCCTGATTGTCTTGGACGTGAATAAAGGTGTCTGAAAACAAAAGTGTCTGCAGACTTGCATGGCCCCTCCGTGGCCCCTCTTCTACCTTTTTGGTAGCTCTAGGCCACTGACTTCTCCACTTTCTCACAGTCTGAGGGCTTTCTCCTTTGTTTACTTCTAGGCCTGCATATTTTCCATAATCTATAATTTTAACAACACTCTTGCCACTACTGTAAGCTCTTTTGCCCCCTTGCCTTTTTGTCACATGGATTTGGTAAGAATACCAACGCTGTGTGAATCCAAATGCACCTTTTCTCTTTGTTAGCTCCCAAACAGCCAAGCACAGCTGAAGAAAGTATGCAGTGGGGAGACTGTTCCCTAGAGATTCATGTCCACTAGCCTTCAGTGGGATGCAACATATGCCAATCTGGCAACTCACTCCTGTCTTCACAATGGCTAGAGAAACAAAAAAGCCCAGCAGTTGACTTCACCCCTTCTTGTCTTTAGGTTTTTTTTTTTTTTTTGGAGACAGAGTCTCACTCTGTCTTCCAGGCTGGAGTGCAGTGGCGCTGTCTCGGTTCACTGCAAGCTCCGCCTCCCGGGTTCACGCCATTCTCCTGTCTCAGCCTCCAGAGTAGCTGGGACTACAGGCGCCCGCCACAACACCTGGCTAATTTTTTGTATTTTTAGTAGAGACGGGGTTTCACCATGTTAGCCAGGATGGTCTCGATCTTCTGACCTCGTGATCCACCTGCCTCAGCCTCCCAAAGTGCTGGGATTACAGGCGTGAGCCGCCGTGCCCGGCCGTCTTTCTTTTCTTTCTTTTTTTTTTTTTTAGATGGGGTCTCGCTATGTTGCCCGGCTGGACTGAAACCCCTAGGCTTAAGCATCCCATTTCAACCTCCCCAGTAGCTGAGACTACAGGCATGTGCACCCACAACTGGCTAACTTCACCCGTTCTTTTTAACTATATTTTTAATTTTTATTTCAGTAGTTTTTGGGGAACACATGGTGTTTGGTTACATGGATAAGTTCTTTAGTGATGATTTCTGTGATTTTGGGGGACCCATGACCTGAACAGTGTACATTCTACCCAAGGTGTAGTCTTTTTTTTTTTTTTTTTTTTTTTTTGAGATGGAGTCTTGCTCTGTTGCCCAGGCTGGAGTGCAGTGGCGCCATCTGGGCTCACTGCAAGTTCCGCCTCCCAGGTTCACGCCATTCTCCTGACTCAGCCTCCCGAGTAGCTGGGACTACAGGCGCCCGCCACCATGCCCGGCTAATTTTTTGTATTTTTAGTAGAGACGGGGTTTCACCGTGTTAGCCAGGATGGTCTGGATGTCCTGACCTCGTGATCCGCCCGCCTCGGCCTCCCAAAGTGCTGGGATTGCAGGCGTGAGCCACTGCGCCCAGCCAACCCAAAGTGTAGTCTTTTATCCCTCACCCCTCCCACCTTTCCCCCTGAGTTCCCAAAGTCCATTGTGTCATTCTTATGCCTTTGCGTCCTCATAGCTTAGCTCCCACCTAAAAGTGAGAGCATATGATATTTGGTTTTCCATTCCTGAGTTACTTCATTTAGAATAATGGTCTCTAGCTCCATCCATGTTGCTGCAAATGCCATTATTTCATTCCTTTTTATGGCTGAGTAGTATTCCATGTTATATATATATACCACATTTTCTTTATCCACTCGTGCATTGATGGGCATTTGAGATGGTTCTATATGTTTGCAATTGTGAACTGTGCTGCTACAAACATGCGTGTGGAAGTGTATTTTTCATATAATGACTTATTTTCCTCTCTGTAGATACCCGCTAGTGGGATTGCTGGATCTAATGGCAGATTTACTTTTAGTTCTTTAAGGAACATCCATATTGTTTTCCATAGTGGTTGTGCTAGTTTACATTCCCACCAGCAGTGCAAAAGTGTTCCCTTTTCACCACAACCATGTCAACATCTATCATTTTTTCATTTTTGATTGTGGCCATTCATGCAGGAGTAGGTATGGCATTATGGTTTTGATTTGCATTTGCCTGATGATTAGTGATATTGAGCATTTTTTCACGTTTGTTGGCCATTTGTGTATCTTCTTTTAAGAACTGTCGGGCCGGGCGCGGTGGCTCACGCCTGTAATCCCAGCACTTTGGGAGGCCGAAGTGGGCAGATAGCCTGAGGTCAGGAGTTCGAGACCAGCCTGGTCAACATGGCGAAACCTCGTCTCTACTAAAAAATCAAAAAAATAAAAATAAAAAAAATAGCCAGCATCGTGGTGGGCACCTGTAGTACCAAGCTACTCAAGAGGCTGAGGCAGGGAGAATTGCTTGATCCTGAGGCTGCAGTGAGCTAAGATTGTGCCACTGCACTCCAGCCTGGGCGACAGTGTGAGACTCTGTCTCAAAAAAAAAAAAATAAGAATTGTCTGTTCATGTCCTTAGCATGTGACTTTTTAATAGGATTATTTGCTTTTTTCTTGCTGATTTGTTTGAGTTCCTTGTAGATTCTGGGTATTAGTTCTTTGTTGGATGCATAGTTTGTGAAAATTTTCTCCCACTCTGTGGGTTGTCTGTTTACTCTGCTGATTATTTATTTTGCTGTGCAGAAACTTTTTAGTTTAATTAGGTCCCATTTATTTATATTCATTTTTGTTGCATTTGCTTTTGGGTTCTTAGTCATAAAGTCTTCGCCTAAGCCAATGTCCAGAAGAGTTTTTCCAATGTTGTCTTCTAGAATTTTTGTGGTTTCAGGTCTTAGATTTCAGTCTTTGATCTATCTTGAGTTGATATTTGTATAAGGTGAGAGATGAGGATACAGTTTCATTCTTCTACGTGTGGCTTGCCAATTATCCCAGTACCATTTACTGAATAGGGTGCCCCTCCCCCCTTTATATTTTTGTTTGCTTTGTTGAAGATCCATTGGATATAAGTATTTGGCTTTATTTCTGGGTTCTCTATTCTGTTCGTTTGGTCTATGTACCTATTTTATTCCAGTACCGTGCTGTTTTGGGGACTATAGCCTTGTAGTATAGTTTGAAGTTGGGTAATGTGATGCTCCCAGATTTGTTCTTTTTGCTTAGTTTTGCTTTGGATATGCAGGCCCCTTTTTGGTTCCATACTTCCCCATTTCTTAAAAAAATTTTTTTTAAATCATAGTAAGAAAACTTAATATGAGAGCTGTCCTCTTAAGAATTTGTTCTTTCTCTTCAACTTTTATTTTAAGTTCAAAGGTACATGTGCAGGAGGTGCAGGTTTGTTACATAGGTGGTAATATATGACCCATGTTTACTTTAGGTTGAACTAATGTTTGGACTTAACATTTAAATGTATTACAGGCCAGGTGTGGTGGCTCATGCCTGTAATCCCAGCACTTTGGGAGGCCAAGGCAGGAGGATCGCTTGAGACTGGGAATTGGAGACAAGCCTGGGCAACATAATGAGACTCCCCCTCATCTCTACTAAAAATAAAAGCTTAGCTGGGTATAGTAATGCATACCTGTAATCCCAGCTACTTGGGAGGCTGAGGCAGGAGGATCACTTCAGCCCAGGAGTTCGGGGCTGCAGTGAGCTATGATTGTGCCACTGCATTCCAGCCTGGGTGACAAACCAAGACCCTGTCTCTAAAAAAAATTTTAAATAAATGTATTACAATTAGGCCCTATATGTCAAAAGGTCTTTTCAGGGCACAAAAGCATTCAAGTGCACAGCCTCTGTAAACTGTCCAGGACCAGTCCCTGGTTGGTGGTCTTCTTAGCTGGAGAAAGTTATCGAAATCACCTTCTTTGTCCAAAGCTGTAGTTACGGCTGGTGGAACAGGAGTTCCAGTTGGCCTCTGTGAGCTGAATGAGTCGTAATTGTCTTAATACTGTTTATCTCGAGGCAAGTAGTCGTTTAGCTGCTAGAGAAAAAGAAAAACCTTGTGGCAATTGAACATAGTTTATTTTTTAAGGTAGGAGTGCACGGCTGAACCCTTGCGTGGCACAGCCTTAGGTCCTGTCTATAATTTGGGATGTTATTGCCACAGTCTGTTCTGTCAGTCTTATTGTCTCTATTTTAACTTTAATGCTCATCAGTTGTTATGTCTAAAATACAAATAGGGCCGGGCATGGTGGCTCACACATGTAATCCCAGCACTTTGGGAGGCTGAGGCGGATGGATCGCTTGAGGTCAGGAGTTCGAGATCAGCCTGGCCAACATGGTGAAACTCTGTCTCTACTAAAAATACAAAAATTAGCTGGGCGTGGTGGTGTGTGTCTGTAATCCCAGCTACTCGGGAGGCTGAGGCAGGAGAATCTCTTGAACCCGGGAGGTGGAGGTTGCAGTGAGCCAAGATTGCGGCACTGCACTTCAGCCTGGGCGACAGAGCAAGATGCTGTCTCAAAATAAATAAATAAATAAATAAATAAATAAATAAATAAATAAATAGATAGATAGATAGATAAAAGTAATAAGTATATCAAGGTGTGTTGTTTTAGTCTGTTCTCACGCTGCTAATAAAGGCATACCCAAGACTGGGTAATGTGTAAAGGAAAGAGGTTTAGTTGACTCACAATTCAGCATGACTGGGGAGGCCTCAGGCAACTTCCAATCATGGTGGAAGGGGAAGCAAACACATCCTTCTTCACATGGCAGCAGCAAGAAGGAGAATGAGCAAAAGGAGGAAAAGCCCCTTATAAAACCATCAGAAAGGCTGGGAGTTGTGGTTCATGCCTGTAATCCCAGAAATTTGGGAGGCCAAAGCAGGTGGATCACTTGAGGTCAGGAGTTCCAGGCCAACATACTGAAACTCCATCTCTAGTAAAAATAGTGAGTCTCCGTCTAAAACAAAAACAAAAACAAAACAAAACATCAGATATCCTGAGAACTTACTCTCACTCACTATCCTGAGAACAGCAGCATGGGGGTAATCACCCCCATGATTCAATCACCTCCCACCGGGTCCCTCCCACAACACGTGGGGTTTATGGAAACTACAATTCAAGATGAGATTTGGGTGGGGACACAACCAAATCATATCACGTGTCTAACCTCCCACCCTGTTGTAGCTGGGAACTCAGTCTCTAAGGTTTTTCTGGGGTCCCCTTAGCCAAAAGGAGGTCCGTTCAGTCGGTGGGGGACTTGGGATTTTATTTTTAGTTTACAGTGGAATCATGCTGGATTTGTCCTTCTGTACTGGCTTATTTCACATAGCACAATGTCCTTAAGGTTTATCACTGTTGTCAAATTTTGCAGAATTTCTTTTTTAAAGGCTGAATAATATTCTATCTTATGTATATACCGTATTTGGTTTAACCATTTGTCTGTCAGTGGACCCTTGGTTGGGTTGTTTCCACATTTTGGCTATTGTGAATAAATGCTACAATGAACAGTGGAGCACGAATATCTCTCCAAGGTCCTGATTTCAATTCTTTAGATAAAGACCCAGAAGTGGGATTTCTGGATCCTATGGTGGTTCTATTTTTAATTTTTTGAGGAATCCCCATATACCGTTCTTCATAGTGGCTGCACCATTTTGCATTCCACCAACAGTACACAAAGGTTCCAATTTTTCCACATCCTTACCAACACTTGTATTTCACCTCTTCTTTTACAGGGAGAATAATAGCAGATCTGTTAGGAACCTTCTTGTCTTCCCAATATTAAGCATACAAATCTATCCCCGGGTCTATCTGTGTTAGATGTGATCAATCAGGACTCAGCATCCATTCTTTCCAGAATCTAAAACGCTAAAAATGTATTTCCGCCTGGCGTGGTGGCTCACGCCTGTAATCCCAGCACTTTGGGAGGCCGAGGCAGGTGGATCACCTGAGGTCGGGAGTTTGAGACCAGCCTGACCAACATGGAGAAACACTGTCTCTACTAAAAATTAAAAATTAGCTGAGTGTGGTGGCGCATGCCTGTAATCCTAGCTACTCAGGAGGCTGAGGCAGGAGAATCGCTTGAACCCGGGAGGCGGAGGTTGCAGTGAGCCAAGATTGTGCCATTGCACTACAGCCTGGGTAACAAGAGTGAAACTCCATCTCAAAAAAAAAAATGTATTTCCCAGACTCAGCTGCAATTAGAATCCCACATATGGATGGGTTCTGCCAGTTAGTGGGATTTGGAAGAAGGAAGTGAGGCTGTAGCCATAGTCCTGCTGCTTTTGGCTGATATCTGCTGGCAAACAAGGTCATGGCTGTTTATAATTGCACCATAGAGCTTCAAATAAGAAAAGATTTGGGGTTTAAATTCTTGGCTCAAGGCAGGGTCAGATAACCTGGGGTCATTCCTGACTACTGCAATAGATGTATCATCTCTTATAGCCATGGGGCTTATGTAGCCAAAAATTGAAGAGAGTTCATCCCATGGGTTGCTGATTTGTAATGTAATTGTTATGTATGCTGTATTCACAGCCTGACCAGGTGCATGGAACAGGAAAAAGTGGCTCTCAGGAACTGAAATAGGGATGTTTGGGTGGATGCAGATGATTTTGTGTTCCCTGACTACCCATATCCAAAGTCCAGTGAGATTCCTTTGCTGATAGAAGCAGCCCCTCCTTCCATCTGACCAGGCTGATTCTGCTTTCTCTGGGGAGTGTGTAATGACCTCACCCGGGGAAGTTATTTTGCAAGAGGAATCTAATTCTCGTGAACACTCCACTGCCCATTGTTTGTTTCCAGATCTATAATGAAAGCCAGATTCCAGGATGAGCCAGGAGACAGGCACAGAGTCTGACCAAGGAGGATATGGCTTCTACAACAAAATAAAACAATCAAACAAACAAACAAGCCTTAGCTAAGTAAGTGAGCTGAAGCCTAGGGAATATGGGTGCTACCTCAGAAAGGAAAGAATATAACATTTGGCTGAATTTATCAACATAATATGTTACAGAGATTTGGGGTTTTAAAGTTCCAGCTGGAAATGGTTCTAACAAGTCAACTGGTTGATTAAACTCTGGATCAACAGTGGCCTTTATAAAACGAAGTTGAGTGGAGATGCCAGAAACTGCTTAGAATATTACAGAAGAGGAATCCAAGAATTTGCACTTGATGGCTGAGACAGGACAGGAGTTAAGTATACATGTGTTGATTGAGTGAGTGAATGATTACAACTTGCCTGGTTTCTCATTAGGTGCCACTGATTCAATTATATGACTAACCAGGTCCCTCAACCCCAAGCTTCTCCCCTCCAATATTCTTGCCCCACCCCACCCTCAGTCAGTCGCCAAAGTGACACACAGCACCCCTCACCATCTCCAGAGTCTCCAGCCTAAACCTCATCCACTTTCTACTCTAACGCCCCCTCAAAGCTCAGTTACTATTCACATGTGGGCAACCCTGCATTTTCCCTATAAGGATAACTTTTTAAGCAGTTGGCCACCCTGTAGACATAAACTTGAAGAAGTGTAGATAAACCTTGTAGACTTAAACTTGAAGAGCTGTTGATAGACGAATGGCTGTTTATACAATTTAATTTACCAACTTGATTGCACAAATCTTAAAAATCACAAATTATATAACACGGCAGCGTACTAATTCATAAATATTGCTTTTCTTCCTCTGTTTACTTGTCATGAAATGATTTTCTTAACTCTTCCCAGAAATCCTTGGCATATACTTTTTAGTTCCCATCCATTTTGAAAATGTTATAAATTACACAAAAGTGAAAGTAATAAGACATTTTCTCTATTTCCATCATCCAGATTCAATAGTTAAGTTTTGCTACACATTCTTAATATATTCTTCCTTTCTTTCTTCCTTTTTTTTTTTTTTTTGAGATGGAGTCTCACTCTGTTGCCCAGGCTGGAGTGCAGTGGTGTGATCTCGGCTCACTGCAATCTCCACCTCCCACGTTCAAGTGATTCTCCTGCCTCAGCCTCCTGAGTACCTGGGACCACAGGCATGTGCCACCATGCCTGGCTAGTTTTTGTATTTTTAGTAGAGACAGTGTTTTGCCATGTTGGCCAGGCTGGTCTCAAACTCTTGACCTCAGGTGATCTGCCCGCTTCAGCCTTCCAAAGTGCTGGGATTACAGGCGTGAGCCATTGCGCCCAGCCTGAAGAAGTACTTTAAAGCAAATCCCAGATCCTGTCATTCCACCGTGCATGATGATGATACCTCAGTGTGCAACTGTAAAAAAAATTCCACAATGCCCTGATCAGGCCTAACAATAAGAAGAATTATTCTTTGGAATAATTTAATATTCAGCCATAATCAAATTTTGCTAATTGTCTCCAAGTGTCTTTTTATGATTGCTTTGTTCAAATCAGGATCCATACAAAGTCCTCCCAACCACAGTCACAATTGTGTGGTGGTGTTTTTAAAATTGTCTTTTGAGTCACTTTTATTCCAAAGTCATTCCTTTCCTTGTTTTTTGTTTGTTCCCTCTTGTTGCCTTGATGCAGAAATAGGGACTGTTGTCCCACAGAATTCCCACATTCTGGAATTCTGTTTGCTTCTTTATACTGTCATTTAACTAGCTTCTCTGTCTCCCTGTTTCCTGTAAATAAGCCCTCAAGGCCTGAGTAGATTCAGGTCTAACTTTTTATTATTTATTTGAGACAGAGTCTCACTCTGTCACCCAGGCTGGAGTGCAGTGGTGCAATCTTCTCTCACTGCAACCTGCGCCTCCCAAGTGCAAGCGATTCTCATGCCCCAGCCTCCTGAGTAGCTGGATTACAGGCACGCGCTACCACGCCCGACTAATTTTTGTATTTTTAGTAGAGGTGGGGCTTCACCATGTTGGCCAGGCTAGTCTTGAACTTCTGACCTCAAGTGATCCATCTGCCTTGGCCTCCCAAAGTGCTGGGATTATGGGCATGAACCACCACACCCAGGCCTGGGTCTAATTTTTTAAAATTTATTATTGTTATTATTATTTTTTAGAGGCAGGATCCCATTCTGTCACCCAGGCTGGAGTGTGGTGGTGTGATCATGGCTCACTGCAGCCTCAAACTCCTGGGCTCAAGCAATCCTCCTGCCTCAGCCTCCCAGGTAGTTGGAACTACAGGTATGCACCACCGTGCCTGGCTAATTTTTTAATTATTTTTTTTATAGAGACATGTCTTGCTATGTTGCCCAGGCTGAGCACGAACTCCTGGGCTCAAGCAGTCCTTGAACTTTGGCCTCCTAAAATGCTGGGATTCTAGGCATGAGCCATCAGGTCCGGCCCAGATCCAACTTTTTTTGGTAGAAGCATTTCACAGGTTTTGCTGAGTGCTTCCGGGAAGTCACATCATGGGCCCCCTTGGTGGGTCTGCGTGGCAGCAATCTGACTTTCCCTTTGGGAATTTCCCCATCAACCTTCCAAGCAATGGGTTTTTCTTTTGAAGATCTCTGAGTCATTGATTTCATTAGGGGTTGTAAAATAATGCATTTCTATCGTTCTTTCCACATCTATGAGCTGGAATTCTTCTGTAAACAGGAATTTCCCCACATCAATCAGGGTTACCTGGTTACCTGAAAACATAGTTCATTGAGGAAAGGCAGGATACAGCTTATTTCCTTTCTTAAAATACAACAACTTTATTGAGATATAATTCACATACATACAATTAATTCTTATAGAGTGTACAGATCAGTGGTTTTTGGTATATTCAGAGTTGTGCAACCATCACCACTAATTTCAGAACAGTTTCATTACCCCCAGAAGCATCTCCATGCCCATTAACAGACACTTCCCATTCCTTCCTCCCCTCTCAGCTCCTGACAACCACTGATCTGCTTTATCTCTATGAATTTGCCTATTCTAGGAACTTCCTATAAATGGAATCATACAACATGTGGTCTTTTGTGACTCGACTCCTCTCCCCTCCCTTCCCTTCCCCTCCCCTCCCCTCCCCTCTCTTCCCTTCCCTTCTCTTTTGAGACAGGGTCTCACTCTATCCCCCAGGCAGGAGTGCCACTGGCACGATCTCAGCTCACTGCAACCTCCCCATCCTGTGTTCAAGCAATTCTCCTACCTCAGCCTCCCGAGTAGCTGGGATTACAGGTGCACGCCATCACACCCGGCTAATTTTTGTATTTTTAGTAGAGATGGAGTTCACCATGTTGACTGGGCTGGACTCGAACTCCTAACCTTAAGTGATCCACCAGCCTCGGCCTCCCAAAGTGCTGGGATTCCAGGTGTGAGGCACTGCTCCCGGCCACTTGATTTTCAAGGTTCATTCACGCTGTGGCATGCGTCAGTACTTCAGCATTTTTTTATTGTCAAATATATTCTAATGTATGAATACACCACAGTTGATTTTTCAGCTGATGAACATTTGGGTTCTTTTCACTTTTGCTGTTATTAAAAATGCTCCAATGAACATTCATATAAAGGTTTTGATTTTGTTTTGTTTTTGAAACAGGGTCTCACTCTGCCACCCAGGCTGGAGTGCAGTGGCGCAATCTCGGCTCACTGCCACCTCTGCCCCCTGGGTTCAAGCAATTCTTGTGCCTCAGCCTCCTGAGTAGCTGAGACCACAGGCATGCACTGCCACAGCCCAGCTAACGTTTTGTATTTTTAGTAGAGTCGGGGTTTCTCCATGTTGGTCAGGCTGGTCTGGAACTCCTGACCTCAGGTGATCCGCCCACCTCGGCCTCCCAAAGTGCTAGGATTACAGGCGTGAACCACCGCGCCCAGCCAGGAAATATGTTTTTACATATACAAGTTTATCTATTATTTCTTTCACTTTGCCAGATAAATCATACTATACATTCTGATGTTCACCCTGCTTTTTGTAGTTTATAAAGTATCAAGCAATCTTTCCATATTAGCAAATAGAAATCTACATCATTCCTTTTAATAGCTGAATAGAATATTAGCTTATGACTATCACAATTTTATAAATTCCCTACTGATAAACACTTTAGTTGCTTTCTTTTTTTGCTATTAAAAATATTGTAATAAGCATTAATATATACAGGCATCTGCCACTACACCAGGCTAATTTTTGTATTTTTAGCAGAGACAGGGTTTTGCCATGTTGGCCAGGCTGGTCTCAAACTCCTGACCTCAAGTGATCCGCCCATCTCCGCCTCCCAAAGTACTGGGTTTACAGGAGTGAGCCACCGCACCCTGCCACCCATATACCCTGATGGAAGACAAGTGAATTCAAATTCCAGGAGACATGTGAGTATCCACTACAAGAACTAACTTTGTCTTGAAGTCATATACTTAATCTTAAAAACCCAGGCCGAGCACAGTGGCTCACGCATATAATCCCAGCACTTTGGGAGGCTGAGGCGGGTGGACCACTTGAGGTTGGGAGTTCAAGACCAGCCTGGCCAACATGGTAAAAACCCCATCTCTATTAAAAATACAATAATTAGCCAGGTGTGGTGGTGGGCGCCTGTAATCCCAGGTACTCGGGAGGCTGAGGCAGGAGAATCACTCAAATCCAGGAGGCGGAGGTTGCAGTGAGCTGAGATCACACCACTGCACTCCAGCCTGGGCAATGGGGAGAGACTCCATCTCAAAAAGAAAAAAATATTAAAAAAAAAACTGTTCATATTTTGTAGTATATCCATGTCTGTTCTTTGTTAATCAATGTATTAAAAAATAATAAATTACTCAACATTAAAATTTCATCTCTTTAGGAAGATGCGCCACATTTATCCCAACGATCCACACATTCTGTACGTACCTGTTTTCCCAGGGCTTGGGTACCCCAGCTAAAGGAGTGTGGTTCTGATCTATCTCCTTTATTATAGGTATAATCCAGTTACTGAGAATGTGACTATCAAGAGCGAAGGCGCTATTCAGTTCAACTTCACGCTTGTTTGATCCTCAAAAGATTCAAACAATGAATCAAAGAAAGGAAAGGGAGCTAGCATCAGCACCGATGATGCCAGTGATCCAACTACTAAAGAGTTTAAAACTTTAATTTAAAAACTTTTAGCTGAGAATGGTTTGGAAAGCCTCATGTTACACTCCTTCTCAAATCTGGCTCTTTATCGATACCATTCCTACAAAGAGACATCATCATGGTTTATCAGAAGACACAACCAAAATCCAGTGAGGAAGGGCAGCCGTCAAAGGTTTTATTCATCCGGGCATGGTAGCTCACTCCTAATCCCAGCACTTTGGGAGGCCGAGGTGGGTGGATCACCTGAGGCCAGGAGTTCGAGACCAGCCTGGCCAACATGATGAAACCTCTCTCTACTAAAAATACAAAAACTAGCTGGGCGCGGTGGCAGGCGCCTGTAATCCCAGCTACTCGGGAGGCTGAGGCAGGAGAATCGCTTGAGCCTGGGAGGCGGAGCTTTCAGTGAGCCAAGATCTCACCACTGCACTCCACCCTGGGCAACAGAGCGAGACTCTGTCTCAAAAAAAAAAAAAAAAAAAAGATTTTATTCTCCAGGAGAAGGGGTTCTTGGGGGCTATAAGCAGCAGGCAGAAGACTTTATTGCATGTGTGGTTAGGTGATAGCAACCTAAGTTTGCATTGGGAACTGGCATCAAGAGTGACCCGAACTCCTACTCATGAACCTCTCTCTCCCTGTCTCTCTCTTTGCCTTTTGTGTCTCTCTCTCCCTCGTCCTCTCAGCCTCCTCTGTCTCTGTCCCCATCTCTCTTCCTCTCTCTCGATCTCACTCCCTTCTTCCCATCTCTCTTTCTCTCTCCTTCTTCTCCACTTCTCTCTCCCTCCTTTTCTCCCTCCCTGCCACTGTTCAGGCTTCTGGGCCCCCCTGGACAGGTGCACACAGGACTCCTAGACCACCTTTCAGGACACATGCACAGGGCTGCAGGACCTTGGTCCCCCACCTCCCTGTGCCCTCAAGGTCAGGGGTGTGGGGTGTGCCTGGGCTTTCCTGGGCGGGTGCCCCACGCTCCATGAAGTAGAAGTTGTAGGTCACCATTGGCTCGAGTGGTGCACCCACCGGGCTGCTGGCTTCCTCCTTGTGATCTGCTGAGGCCAAAGCAGAGGACACCTTCCCAGGCCCGACCCTGCGCCAGGGTGGGGTAGGGGTGGGTTTGGAGGTCAGCATGGGGATGGGAGCAGTCACTGCAAACGGGTCCCTGGCTGGCTTCCTGCCCTGCACTATGCCATGCAAGGCCTCCTCTCCCGCCCTTCCCCCTACCCCACCGCCTCCACCTCTAGAAAGCCCCAGGCACAGGCTCCATAAGTCTCTGTGGATCCAGGAACTAAGGGCATCCACTGGGCTCCAAAGCTTGGCAGTGTCGCACACAGGACAAGTGCTCTCAGGAGACATTTTGGACAAATTGCTGAAATGCCTGATGGACATGGCTCTTGTCACAAAATGAATTTGCATCCTGAGGAAGCCTCTTCTTCAAAGGAAGTTTCCCCAGTCACCTCTGCCCTCTCCGATGACATGAATCGTCCCAGGTGACCTCAGCCCTCCCAGGTGATGTCTTTCCACCATAACTCTGGCTCTCTCAGGAGGTAGACTACTGCAGGGACCTGAGCCACGTCGCCGCCTTGTTCCTCCTTTATCTGCCTGAGGAGGACATATTCTGGGCACTGGCCCAGATGCTGGCTGGTGAGAGGCACTCCCTGCAGGGTGGGTGGACAGCTGCCCCCAGGGCCTCATGCAGCCAGACCCGGGGACGGCCACCCTGGGCAGGTGATCTCAACTTTCCGTGAAGGCACCTTCCTTGTGTTGCCAGCTTGTTTGGAGCCTTTAGGATGTCTCTGTTGAGGGTCCTGGGGCTGAACCGGGACCCCCAGATCCTGAGTCAGATGCCTCTCACCCCCATCAGCAGAGGGCATCTCATCATCCCCGTGGCCACCCTCTGTGTCCTGGAGCAACGCCCTCTGGCTCTGAATGCTGTACAGTTGACTCTCCCCTCCCTGAGGGTCCTGCCCTCCAGCTGCCCTTGGTACCCACAGATGGGCCGAAAAAGCCCTGATGGCAACATCTCCCCATCCCGTGTCCCCTGGCCCGACCCCACTTCTAGGAGACCACCATGAAGCCCAGCACCCGCCCTCTGTCGTGGCCTCAAAGTCAGGCTTGCCCTCCCAGCACCCTGGCCCAGGAGGCCTCCAGGAGCACCTCCAGCCAGGCTCCAGGGGATATTCCCACCCCTCCTCCCCAGGGCCAAGGCCGCATGGTGGGGTCCCCAGATGAGAGGGTGGGAGACCTCAGGGTTCAGGGGCCTCTGCAGCTGTCCAGCTCTTCCAGCTGATGGTCCCACATCTTGGGAGCAGGCTGATTTCATGATGGGCTGGGGGCTTCTCAGGATTCCACAGCCCAAATAGCGCAAGGGTCCAGGGCCTCCAAGACCACCAGGAGCATGTGGCACCCAGGCCATACCCCAAGACCATGAGGCACGCAGTGAGTTTATGGTCCCCCCAGCTCTTCCCCAGTGGCCCTGCATCCTGTGGGGCCGGAGGAGCCAGGGGCTGCCAGACCCTCATGGGGCTGGTGAGAGGGTGAGTTCTAGCCAGGGCCTGACCTGGGACGTGGGGTTCTCCATGGATTTGGAGTTGGGTTTCCTTTCCTGCCCTGGAGGAGACAGAGGCACAGGGACTGGGGCCAGTTCCCACAGAGCAGGGCTAAGGACAGTGTGTCCACCAGGAGTGCAGGGAGGGGAAGGTGTAAGGAGCCCTGGACACCGCCCAGTGTTCTGCACTTGGGGAAGGGTCTTCAGAGGGCCCTGGAAGAGGGAGGTTTTTAGGGCAGCCCAGAGGGACCTGAGCACCTCTGTTCCTCCCATCAGGACAAGGAAGGGCTATGCATTCAGGGTTCCTCATTAGGTTGGTTGCTTTGGAGCTTGATCAATGGGGTAAGGAGGCACAGGGAGACCCTGGCTCAGGGACCCTCCTTGCCCTACAGGGCCCTGCTCTTCGCCCAGGGGTCCGGTTCACCCCCAGCACATAGGAGGCACAGGCAGATATCTGCAGGACACACAAGCAAAGCCCTCTGCCCAAGAGGGGTCATCCCACGGCAGAGGCTGGGACTCAGGCCCAGCCTCATGGGCAGACTGGGCCAGGACCCACTTGGGAGGGCTCAAGGAAGCCTCAAGTCCTGGGGAAGCCCCTCTCTCCAGAAGCCACATCCCCACTGAAATGAGTGCTCCCCCATGAGGAGCTGCAAGACCTTGTCTGACCCAGCCTCCTGAAGGGGTCTGATGACCCTCATGGGAAGGGTCAGTGACTGGGGGACTGAAGCCCCAGTGGGCCCGGCTCGAGCCACCAGCCCCCAGCCTGGAAGGGCCAGGTCCTCCCACACCTGCTGTCCCCACAGATCTCTCTCGGGCTCACCCTGAGCCTTTGGGACGTGTATTTGCTAGAAGGGGAACAGGTGTTGACGCCAATGGCACGCACTGCCTTTAAGGTTCAGAGGAGTAAGTCCACGTGTGCCCAATGGGGACTGGGGAGCACAGGGGTCAGACCCTGACTGGCCCGGTGGCAGCTTCCTCACACTGTCCCCATGATCCTCTTCTCTGGCCCAGAGGGAGGTCTGGCTGGGTAGGCTGGGCAGGGAACAGTGACATACCCCCTCCTGTGGGAGCCCATCCCCTACATGACCCAGATGAAAGTCAGGAGTGTGGTGAGCACTTCCCTGCTCAGGCTGCCCCCTAGCCACAGCCTCCTGTGCACATCTGGACCCCTGGGGTGGCCACAAAGGGATCCGGCACTCCCCAGTGGGAGATGCTGAGGTAGTAACGGGGTATGGGCTCTGACCCCTCCCAGGGAACACTCCTAGCCTGATGCCTACCCTGTCCCTAGAGCACCTCGTGAAGATATCCAGGTGTGGCCGTGGGCATGTTTTCAGGACCAGTTTTCCCATACCTGGGCCCTGGATGATGATGCAGTTCTCAGACACCCTTGGGCCTCTATGAGGAAACAAGGAAGCCTGGGGACCTGCCACCCCCAGGTGGCCTGCAGCACCAGGTACCCTCCCGAGTCACCCCCTGGGGCAGTCAGTAGTTGGGGAGTGCCCAGGACCTCCAACACTACTACTTGGGCCTTCCTCTTCGCCTTTTCTTCCTCCTCTTCCTCCGGACTCTAAGAAAGTACAATAGGCCCCCAGGTCCTCAGGGCAGGTGGTCAGTTTGTGTGTACCGGACGTGCTGTGCAAGCAGGAGGGGGATGTGCGCAAGACTCTCCAACAAGCCCCCTCCCACTTTCCACCATGTCCCACTCTCCCCTTCAAAGGGCCCTCAGGGTCATTGGAGGAACCAGATCCATCTATGGGACTCCCCACCCCTCCCTGCGAGCACTGACAGCCTCAGAGAGCAGCAGAGGCTCCTCACTCCTGAACACCCCTCCAAGGGTGCCAGGACAACAAGCCTTGAGCCAGAGAGACAAGGGAATCTATGTCCCTGATCCCCGACCAGGGCGTTTAGTGGGTGGGCACAGGGGGGACCCCTGGCCCAGAGCCAGAGCCAAGAGTTCAGCCAGGTGTGGGAACGGTCAGTCCTGGCATGGACTGGGCAGCCCAGGAGGGCAGAGGGGGCTCTGTATCTGGGCTCTCTCACCCACCGTGGAAACAGGTCTCCATGTGAGGTGGCGAGGGGACTGGGTGACAGCCAAGGCCCCTCCCACCTGAGTTCTGACTGGAGGCTGTATCCCAGGCTCAACAGTCCTGGGATGACGGCATGGGGCAGGAAGCCCCCAGCCAGCCTGAACTCTGGGGGAGGGCAGTCCCAGGAGCCACCTGCTGCACCCCGACAGCTTCCCACCACAGGAGGCACAGACCCCTCCGTCTGCGATCAGCAGCCTGCAGGTGTGTCCTCAGTGTCAGACCACAGGGGCTACACAGAGACCCTGAGGACTCCAGAGACCCAGGCAGGTGGAGCCCGGCCAAGAAAGGACTGCGTGGGCTCACTGGAGATGCTGACCACGTCTGTTTCTTTCAGCCAAACCTGAGCAAGGGTCCTTGGCACCCAGGCCTGGGCTGGCTTCACCTGGCAGGAAGACCCTCTGGCAGGGGGACAGGCAGGCCCCTCCTGGCCCAACAACTCGGTTCCAGTGGCCCATTTGGCCAGCTTCCCCGCCATGGGTGGCCCGTTTGGTCAGCTTCCCCTCCATGGGTGCCTCGTCCTTTCATACCCTGTCCTGATGGGACTATCTGTGAGGCCAAGGCCCAGTGGCACGAGGGGGCTTCCATGGAACCTAGGGCAGCAGGCCATTCTCTGGGGGCACCGGGGACTGAGGGTGTGCCCAGCCTGGCCCTGGCTCAGGGGGAACCTCAGGTTTCCTGGAGGTTCCTCCAGTGGAACTCCATGCCACGGCTCCATCCCTATGAACCTGGATGTGGGGGGCCCTCGTTGCCCCCCGTTATGATTTTGAACAGAGCTGCTGGGTCCAAGTCCCTTCCAAATGTGTCCTGGACAGCCCCAGGACCATGGGACAGCCTAGCCCAGGAAGCCCATGGGGACCCCGAAACCAGGCCCTGCCCAGGCCCATCAGGACTAAAAGGGAGGTCGGGAGATACCCCGACTGCAGCGTGGCACCTGTGTCTGGCCCGCTCGGTGGTCAGTGACTGGCAAGTCTGGAAGGGGTCAGGGTGGCACCCCGCAAGCTGCACCACAGCCCCAGACACCTCGGAAAATCCCGTTCAATGGGGAAGCCAGTCCCATCAAGGCCACGAGAGAGAAAGGTGAGCATGGCATCCCCGCAGCCCCGGCCAGCCAGCAGCATGCCTGGGGCCTCTGTCCCAACCTGTGGGACAGTGTCCCCCTCCCAAGGCACAATTCCCAAGCCAAGAGGGGTCTGGACTAGACCCCAGCCCTGGGAAGTGAGGGGCACCAGGGGTGTGGTGGGCTCCCAGCTGCAGTGAGCATGACCATGCAGGGGACCCTGGCACTGCGGAGCTCTGCACTGTCACAATTCACCTCGCAGAAGCTGGGTGAGATCCCGAAGCCTCGCAGCCACTGCTGGAGCCACAGCAGGCGCCCCCACCACGTGCCTTCCAGCTGCTGGTGCAGGCTTTCCTGACAGCAGGGCGCCCTGCAGCCCTCGCCTCAGCAGCTCAGACTTGGAAGGTATCTGTGGCTCAAGTTCCCAGTGCTCCCACCGAAGAGAATTACTACGGAGGATGCTCTGGGTCCTGAGTCGAGCAAAATGGCACGCCCTATGGATGCAGCCTGCTTCTTTCCCGGCCACCACGCCTGCTGGATGCGCCCACCGAGCAAGTGGTCTTGAGACGGTCATGGGGACGGAAGAGGTTCAGCATCCTGCACGGGCCCTTACCAAGGCTCACTAGGCTGACACCATGGCTGAGCGCCCTCTCTATTGACAAGAGACTTGCACCCAGTCCCTGGGATGGACCAGCTGGCCACCTGCTGGCAGGCTGGTCACACTGCGGAGGGGGCTGAGATTGGCTTTCACTGCACTGACCCATAATGTGGACATGGACCTGCTGGCCCTGCAGGGCACACAGCACTGCTTCCGACTAGGGGACCCCATTCACAGCTAGAGACATGCAGCAGTGTGTTCCCACCTCAGGGCCTTGGCTCTGCCACCTCTACTTGGAATGTTCTCAGTTCCCTCCAGGCTTCTAGAAGCATCTAGGCCAGGGCTCATGACTGGATAAACAACCGAATCCCCACAACCCAAACAAGCTTTTCATTCTCATTTTATTTGGTGTTAAACTTAAGAAAATGTATTAAGACATGACTTACATCCCTGGTAAGTGTGCAGCTCGAAAGACATTCACAGATGGAACACACCAGCCCCCAGATCACAAAGCCAACCATGGCCAGCCCCTCCAGCGCCCCCGGCCCCACAACCAGTGTCCTGACTTCCGTTGACACCATGAGCCTGTCTTTTGTACTTTACACTCATGGAAGGATAAACACTTTCACGTTTTAAAATAAATGTTTACTTTTGAAATGATTCTAGATACACAGAAAAATTGAAAAGACACTGTAGTGTACTCTACACCTTATACCCAGCTGCCCCTAGTAATGACATTTTGCATTACCATGGCACATTTGTCCAAACTAAGAAATGTGGGCTGGCTGTAGTGGCTCACACCTGTAATCCCAGCAATTTGAGAGGTTGAGGCAGGTTCACTTGAGCCCAGGAGTTTGAGACCAGCCTGCGCAACACAGGTAGGCCTTGCCTCTAGAGAAAAGTAAAAAAAAATAGCCAGGCATGATGGCGTGTGCCTATAGTCCCACCTAATCAGGAGGCTGAGGCAGGAGGATTGCTCGAGCCCAAGAGTTCCAGGAAGCAGTGAGCTATGATCGCACCACTGCACTCCAGCCTAGGTGACAGAATGAGAATTTATCTCTTTAAAAAAATTAATTTATCTTGGGTGCAATCCTGTTAACTAAATAATAATGTTAACTATTATCTAAAGTTATTAACGCAGTAATTATATTAACATAGTGAAATTTTTTCAGATTTCATCCTCTTTTGCCTAACTTCTTGTACCTGTCCTGGGATCCCACCTCAGACTCACCCTCTGCCTTTAGGTCACTTCTCCTTAGCTTCCTCCAGAGGCTACAGCCAAACACACACCTGGGCTGAATAGTAGAGCTGGTTGCTGCTGGGTTCCAAACCTCTGCAACATGTTACTGTACTAAGTACTATAGGCAATGGTAACATAATGGCGGCTATTTGTGGGCCGGGCATGGTGGCTCATGCCTGTAATCCCAGCACTTTGGGAGGCCGAGGCGGCTGGATCACCTGAGGTTAAGAGATTGAGACCAGCCTGGCCAACGCGGTGAAACCCCGTCTCTACTAAAAATACAAAAAATGGCTGCCCAGATATCTGCTGGGCATGGTGACGGGCACCTGTAATCCCAAATACTCAGGAGGCTGAGGCAGGAGAATCGCTTGAACCTGGGAGGCGGAGATTGCAGTGAGCTGAGATCGCATCATTGCACTCCAACCTGGGCAACAAGAGTGAAACTCTGTCTCAAACAAACAAGCAAACAAACAAAAACAATGGTGGCTATTTGTGTATTTAAACACAGAAAAGGATCATAAAAATACAGTATAAATGATAAAAAATGGTACACCTGGCCAAGTATGGTGGTTCATACCTACAATCCCAGCACTTTGGGAGGCCATGCTGGGAGGATCACTTGAGCCCAGGACTTCTAGACTAGTCTGGGCAATATAAAAAGACCCCATCTCTTTTGAGATATCAATTTTTAGAGATGGTGCACCTGTATAGGGCAGTTCCATTATAATCTTATGGGACCACCATCCTATGTGCATTCTGGCATGGACTGAAATATCATTATCTGACATGTGATTGCATAAGTAATCTAGAGATGATTTAAAGTCTACGGGAAGATGTACTTAGGCTATATGCAAATACTGCACCATTTTATATCAGGACTTGAACATCTGTGGATTTTGGTATTTGTGGAAGGTGGTGAAACTGATTCCCCTACACACACCGAGGGACAACTGTAAATCTTCCGGGCCCCATAGAAGGCTCAATTCCCTGCACCCCCACCCCCAGATAAGCATTCTAAAGTGTTTGTTCACTTTACCTGCTCATCCGTGAGCCAGAGGGTTCCATCAACAGCTTGGGCTGTCTCAGAGAGACCTGGATTCAATCCCATTCAGCCACTTAGTGTGTCACTTTGGACAAACCATGTAACTTCTCTGAGCCTCAGTGTCCTCATCTGTAAACTGGGTTGATCATGGTCCTTACCTCACAGGGCCACTGTGAGATGAAAGCTGACACCGCGAGTGACACCACTTCTCTCTCCCTCAGACTCAACAGGAAGATGCCTTTGCTGCCCAATGCGAAGGTTATGGGGAGGACGCGAGGCCCCAAGGTTCCCCTGTCCCAGGAGCATAAACCCTGGATTTTTGCTTCCAGAAACAACCACCTCTAGGATGAGGATGGCTCTCAACTCCCCAAAGCCTGTGCTACCACCCCACAAAGGCAGCGTCTTCAGCAGTGGGGAAGGGGCTGCACTGCGCCAGCCTCACCCTGGCCACTGTCTGCCCTCATGAGTCAGAGCCCAGCTAGGTCCTCAAGCAGAGCAGTGCAGAGTCCGGCCCCAGTCCCAGGCTCCAGGCATCCCTGCCACCCCCACCTGCCCCCACCAGCTGCCTCCATCCCTTAGCCCCTGCTTCCCTCCTTCCCAGCTCAGGATGTCTTAGCTCCTTACATGTCCCCATCATCTGTCTCCTCAAGGGGAGTGCAGCACAAGGGCAGGGAACTCGGCCAGTCTATGGCTGAGTCTCCGGTGTCTGGGAGAGATTAGAAGCTCAACACATACTTGCCCAGTGTCTGTGTGCATTTCATCAAGCAGAAGACAGCTTTGGAAATGAGAAGAGACCCTCCTGAGGCGACAGTCCTTAGCTGCCATTTCTCAAGTATTCTTGGCGTGCCACGCACTAAGCTGGACCATGGACATGCGAGCTCTGGAACCCGTGAGGTGCTGTCACTCATGCACAGGTGGGTTGGCTCAGCCCTGGTGCAGTCACATAGCTCCCTGCTAGCTGAGCTGAAATTGGAACCCATTCAGTTTGGCTCTTGCACTGCACAATGGCTCCCCAGCTCCTCTGAGTGAGAACTAAAGCCTTGCAATGCCCTCAGGTCATTGAACCTGGGACTTCTCTTCCTGAGCTGCCTGCCGCTCTTCCCTGCTCACACCAGGTCAGATGCAGACCTCCCCTCTGGGCCTGAAGCATATCAATCATGCTCCTGCCTCAGGGCCTTTGCACAAGCCATTCCCACTGCCCGGAATGCTCCCTGCCCAGATATCTGCTTGGCTGACCCATCACCTCCTACAAACCTTGCTCAGATCTTGCCTCATCAATGAGGACAACCCTGGCCATGCGTCTAGAGGGCGTCCAGCACAGAGTATGTGCTCAATACACAGGTGAAGAAGGAAGAAGGAAGGGATGGAGAAGAGAGAGGTGAAGGAAGGGCAGAATGCCTATGGCCATTTTTATTCCAGTGATAACTAGTTGCAGTGAATACCTAAGGGCAATGCAGACAGGGCAGAAACAAAGTTCACAAAAGGCCAACATGAGCAGGGTGGAAAAATGCAGCTCTACTCATCTGTCCTGGTGCAGATTTGAAGACTCCAGATGTGTCACATCTGGGCAGTCCCTTCTCTGCCCCCTCCCCTCTGAGCTCTCCTTCTACCTCCAAGCCTGGCCCATCTTCTAGGGATCCAGGACAACACAGGAAACAGCTGTGCATCTCCCAGGACACTGGGAAAGACTGCCAGTGGGGAAGATGCTCAGTGGCCCTTAAAACTCATCTCGGTTTTGCTCCAACTGTGCAGCCCATCCACTCCTGTGAACAGGAAGAGCACTCAAATGAGAGCCCAGACACTAGACCCTATTCCTCTTGACATCTGAACATCTTCCCCATCCCCAGCATTTCCCAGGGTCCTGGGAGAGGGACAGCTGTCTCGTGGATTGTCCTTCTTCACCTGTGTATTGAGCACATACTCTGTGCTGGACGCCCTCTAGATGCATGGCCAAGAGACAAGAGCGACAAGAGCAAAACTCTGTCTCAAAGAAAAAAGAAAAAAAAATGTGGGCCAGGCACAGTGGCTCATACCTATAATCTCAGCACTTTGAGAGGTCGAGACGGGAGGATCACTTGAAGCCAAGAGTTCAAGGCAAGGTCTGAGCAAGGTTTGTAGGAGGTGATGGGTCAGCCAAGCAGCTATCTGGCCAGAGAGCATTCCGGGCAGCGGGAATGGCTCGTGCAAAGGCCCTGAGGCAGGAGCGTGATCGGTACGCTTGAGACCCAGAGAAGAAGTTTGCATCCAGCCTGGTGTGAGCAGGGGAGAGCAGCAGGCAGTTCAGGGAGAGAAGTCCCAGCTTCAAAGGCCTGCGGCTGCTGCAAAGCTCTAGCTATTACTCAGAGCAGCTGGGGAGCCAGCAGAGGGTCCTGGGCAGAGAAGGGTTCAGCTGTGGCTCGGGCGTTAATAGGCCACATCACACCTTTGGGGAGAAGAGGGGGACCAGTTGGTTAGTCCAGGTAAGTGATGAAGGGTGCTCAAACTAGGTGGGAGAAGGCAGGTGGTGAGAAGTGTCACCTCAGGATCATTGTGAAGGTGCCACCTGCATGATTTGCTCGTGGACTGAATTTGCTCAGATGGGGGTGTGGAGGGAAAAGGAGAGTCCAGTCCACAGGCCCGATGAGCCACGCAGGAGTCAGACTGAATGGGTTTTATTTATTTATTTATTTATTTTTGAACAGAGTTTTGCTCTTGTTGCCCAGGCTGGAGTGCAATTGTGCGATCTTGGCTCACTGCAACCTGTGCCTCCCGGGTTCAAGTGATTCTCCTGCCTCAGCCTCCCGAGTAGCTGGGATTACAGGCATGTGCCACCACACCCGGCTAATTTTGTATTTTTAGTAGAGACGGGGTTTCTCCATGTTGGTCAGGCTGGTCTCGAACTCCTGACCTCAGGTGATCCACCTGGCTTGGCCTCCCAAAGTGTTGGGATTACAGGTATGAGCCACTGCGCCCTGCCCTGAATGGGTTTTAATTTCAGCTCAGCTAGCAGGGACCTATGTGACTGCACCAGGGCCAAGCCACTCAGTCTTTGTGAAGACTGGGTCTTGCCATGTTGCCCAGGCTGGCAAGGAACTTCTGACTTCAAGTGCTCCTCCTGCCTCGGCCTCCCAATGTGCTGGGACTGCAGGCATGAGCCACTATGTGCAGTTTAAAAAATAATTTTTGACTGGGTGCGATGGCTCATGCCTGTAATCCCAGCACTTTGGGAGGCAAAGGCAGACTAAGCACAAGGTCAGGAGTTCGAGACCAGCCTGACCAACATGGTGAAACCCTGTCTCTACTAAAAATAAACAAAAATTAGTCAGGCGTAGTGGCGTGCGCCCATAATCCCAGCTACTGAGGAGGCTGAGGCAGGAGAATCGCTTGAACCCAGGAGGCAGAGGTTGCAGTGAGCCGAGATTGCGCCACTGCACTCCAGCCTGGGTGAGAGAGTGTGACTCCATCTCAAAAAATAATAATAATAATAATAATTTTTAAGCCGGGGCAACATAGTGAGACCCTATCTCTACAAAAACTTTTAAAATTAGCTGGACATAGTTGCATGAACCTGTATTCCTAGCTACTTGGGAGGCTGAGGCAGGAGGATGGCTTGAGCTCAGGAGTTTGAGGCTCCAGTGAGCTATGGCTGTGCGCTGTGCACTGTGGCACGCACCACCAAGCCTGGCTAATTTTTGTATGTTTAGTAGAGATGGAGTTTCACCATGTTGCCCAGGCTCACCTAGAACTCCTGGGCTCAAGTGACCCACCTGCCTCGGCCTCCCAAAGTGCTGGGATTACAGGCGTGAACTACCGTGCCTGGCCAATAATAATTTGTAAATTTTAGAACAATTTCCAATGTATTGAAAAGCTGCAACGGTTGTACAGAGCTGTATACACCACATCCAATTTCCCCTATTGTCAACACGTTACATGACCATAGAATGTTTGTCGAAACTAAGAAAGCAACATCAGTACATTATTAGCGTCTAAACTCCAGGCTTTATTCAGATTTCACCAGTATTTCTGCAGTGCCCTTTTCAAGATGCAATTCAGGATACCTCCACTGTAGCAAGTTTTCATGTCTGTTTAGTCTCTTCTGGTCTGTGACAGTTTTTGTCTCCCATTGTTTTTCATGATCTTGAGAGTTTGGGGATTGTACATGTATTTTATGGAATGTTCCTCAGTTTGGATTTATCCAATGTTTTTCTCATATTTAGACTGGCGTTAGGAATTTTGGGGTAGGAGACCACAGACATAAAGTACCCTTCTTGTCCTATGGTATCAGAGGTGCCTGCTATCACGCGTGTCCAGTTACTTCTTTAAAAAAATTGTGGGGCCAGGCTCAGCGGCTTACGCCTGTAATTCCAGCACTTTGGGAGGTCAAGGCAGGAGTATCTCCTGAAGTCAGGAGTTGGAGACCAGCCTGGCCGGCATGGTGAAACTCCATCTCTACTAAACATACAAAAATTAGCTGGGCGTGGTGGCAGGCACCTGTAATCCCAGCTACTCGGGAGGCTGAGTCAGGAGAATCGCTTGAACCTGGGAATCGGAGGTTGCAGGTTGGAGTGAGCCGAGATTGCACCATTGCACTCCAGCCTGAGCGACAAGAGCAAAACTCCGTCTCAAAGAAAAAAAAAAACTGTAGGCCAGGCATGGTGGCTCACACCTATAATCTCAGCACTTTGAGAGGCCGAGATGGGAGGATTGCTTGAAGCCAAGAGTTCGAGACCAGCCTGGGCAGCACAGTGAGACCCTCCATCTCTACAAAAGGTTTTTTAAAAAATTAACCAGGTGAGGTGGCATGAGCCTGTAGTCCCAGCTAATCAGGAGGCTGAGGTGGGAGGATTGCATGAGGCCGGGAGGTCGAGGCTGCAATGAGCCATGACTGTGCCACTGTACTCCAGCCTGGGCAACAGTGAGACCCTGAAGGAAGCAAGACATTGTAGTAAGATATAAATAACCCAGTTACTTTTTAAGTCATGTAACACAGGCAACAAAATTTAGCTAAAATTTAATTTTTAAAATTTTCTTTGTTATTTGCATAGTGTATTAGTATTTTATTGATACTAAATAAATTATCAGAATTTAGGAGTTTAAAGCAACACAAATTTTTTCTCTATAGGTCAGAAGTTCAACGTGGGTCTCACTGCGTTAAAATCAAGGTGTTGGCAGGAAGGTTTCTTCTTGGAATTTCCAGGGAAGGATCCCTTTCTTTGCCTTTCGCAGCTTCTAGAGGCTACTGGCATACCTTGGCTCAGGACCCCGTCCTCCGCCTCCAAAGCCAGCAAGGGAGGGTTGAGTCCTCACTTCATATCTCTCTGGCCTTCTTCCGTTATCACATCTCTCTAATCCAGCCAGAAAAGGTTCTCCGATTTTTTTTTTTTTTTTTGAGATGGAGTCTCGCTCCCATCACACAGGCTGGAGTGCAGGGGTGCAATCTTGGCTCATTGCAACATCCACCTCCCAGGTTCAAGCGATTCTCCTTCCTCAGCCTCCTGAGTAGCTGGGATTACAGGCGTGTGCCGCCACGCCCAGCTAATTTTTGTATTTTTAGTAGAGACGGGGTTTTGCCATGTTGGCCAGGCTGGTCTCGAACTCCTGACCTCAGGTGATCCACCCTCCTCGGCCTCCCAAAGTGCTAGGATTACAGGCGTGAGCCACCACGCCCGGCGAGGTTCTCCGATTTTAAGGACTCATGTGATTAGATTGAGCTCACCCACGTAATCCAGAATAATTTCCTTTTCTCAAAATTCAAACTCTTAATCACATCTGCAAAGTCCCTTTTGCCAAATAAGGTAATATATTCACAGGCTTTGGGGATTAAGGCGTGGACATCTTTGGCGGCCAACTTGGCTACCAGGCATAGGTACCTCTTATTTCTGGAAGTGATACTGTTTCTATTTAATATAGCAATACCAAATTTCCTTTTAAAGTGCATTTCTTTCATCTGGGCCAGTAGCAGATATAAAATAAAATAGGTTAGGTGCGGAGGCTCACACCTGTAATCCCAGTACTTTGAGAGGGTGAGGCAAGCAGATCACTTGAGGTCAGGAGTTTGAGACCAGCCTGGCCAACATGATGAAACCTTATCTCTACTAAAAAAAAAAAAAAAAAAAAAAAAATACAAAAATTAGCCAGGTGTGGTGGCACACGCCTGTAGTTCCAGCTACTTAGGTGGTTTACACAGGAGAATCACTGGAACCCAGGAGGCAGAGGTTGCAGTGAGCTGAGATCACACCACTGCGCTTCAGCCTGGGCAACAGAGCAAGACTCCATCTCAAAATATAATAATAATAATAAAATTAAAATAAAGTGCACTTCTGGCCAGGCGCAGTGGCTCACACCTGTAATCCCAGCACTTTGGGAGGCCAAGGCAAGCAGATCACCTGAGGTCAGGAGTTCGAGACCAGCCTGACCAACACGGAGAAACCCTGTGTCTATTAAAAATACAAAATTAGCCGGGTGTGGTGGTGCATGCCTGTAATCCCAGCTACTCGGGAGGTTGAGGCAGGAGAATCACTTGAACCTGGGAGGTGGAGGTTTCAGTGAGCTGAGATTGTGCCATTGCACTCCAGCCTGGGCAAGAAGAGCGAAACTCAGTCTCAAAATAAATAAACAAATAAATAAATAAAGTGCACTTCTCTCTCTCTCTTTCTTTCTTTCTTTTTTTTTCTTTTTTCTTTTGAGATGGAATCTCGTTCTGTCACTCAGGCTGGAGTGCAGTGGCGCAAACTCGGCTCACTGCAAGCTCCACCTCCCGTGTTCACGCCATTCTCCTGCCTCAACCTCCGGAGTAGCTGGGAGTACAGGTGCCCGCCACCTCGCCCGGCTAATTTTTTGTATTTTTAGTAGAGACGGGGTTTCACCGTGTTAGCCAGGATGGTCTTGATCTTCTGACCTTGTGATCCACCCGTCTTGGCATCCCAAAGTGCTGGGATTACAGGCATGAGCCACCGCGCCCGGCCAAGTGCACTTCTTTTTCAGTAAAAACAGTTGGCTGACTTCAAGGACATGTGAATTAAGTAGCATTACGTATAGTTCCTAGACAGGGGAAAAAGCCAAACTGGTGGAACCACTGGATAATGACTGAGGTTTGGGAAACTGAGGCTGGATGAGAAGGTTCCAGAGGCCTACCCTAAATCAGGAAGCAGCTGCGCTTGGTAGAAATAGTGTCTGTTTGGTCTGTTTGGTAGGAGGCCTGCCTCCCATTGAGCCAACAATAATCCTGTTGACATAACCCTGTTGATCAAAGCGATCCCCTGACTGCTCTGGGCCAGTTCCTTTGGCTCCTGGTGGAATGCACTCAGAGAATCCGGATCCGGTCAGTATAAAAGGTCTGGTCCCGCAGTGGGGGAGCCACATCCTGGAAGAGTGGCCTAGGACAGCTCCTCTCCTGCCAGAGCTAGGCAGGCGCCGAAGTAGCCGCATGGCCCCGTCAGAAGACCCCAGGGACTGGAGAGCCAACCTCAAAGGCACCATCCGTGAGACAGGCCTGGAGACCAGCTCCGGTAAGAGGCGGCAAAGGGACCCCAGCCCCACAGAAACACCAGCTGGGGGCCAGGTGCGGTGCCTCATGCCTGTAATCCCAGCACTTTGGGAGGCCGAAGCGGGCAGATCATGAGGTCAGGAGTTCGAGACCAGCTTGGCCAACATAGTGAAACCCCATATCTGCTAAAAATACAAAAAATTAGCTGGGTGTGGTGGCGGGTGCCTATAATCCCAGCTACTCAGGAGGTTGAGGCAGGAGAATCGCTTGAACCCAGGAGGCGGAGGTTGCAGTGAGCTGAGATCGCACCACTGCACTCCAGCCTGAGCAACAGTGTGAGACTCCATCTCAAAAAAAAAAAAAAAAAAAAAAAAGCAAGACCAGCTGGGGGTGGGTGGGGGTCTGATGGCAAACATGCTACCTCCCTTGGGTTGCTGGGATTCTCCAGCCAAGGGCGGGCTCGTTTTATTTCCTGTGCTAGCCAACCTACTAGAACATAAGCTTCCTTCTGAGCCCACGTCGTGTTTCACAGCACGTAGCTAAGAGAATGGATGTGTATGTTATTTGGGTAACTCAAAAAGTTACCTTTTTAAGAGCACAGGCTTTGGATTCAGATACAATTGCTCAGACACCTGCTTCATTGATAAGTCTATTGGCTGGTTTGTCCATCCCTCTACCCTGTGCTGGGCTCTGAGCGGGGGGATTGCCAGGGCAAATGCCACCAGGTACTGATGGGATTCTCTGAGGCTGTGGACAAGATTATCTGGGGAGGGGGAGAGTAGCAAGATGCTCCCTGAGACCCACCAACACTTGTGCAGGCTGAGCCTCAGTTTCCTCACCTGGAAAGATGGCCAGGGCTTTCCTCTCTGGGGTTGAGGACTGTGCTTTTCATAATATGGTCCATGGACCAGCAGAATTGGCATCCCCTGGGGACTTGTTAGAAACGCGAGTCTCAGGCCCCACCCCAGCCCCACTGCACCAGACTCTGCATTTTAACAAGCTCCCCAGGCAGCTCATGGGAACAGCAAAGTTGGGAGGCACTGACATGTTGGACTCTGTGTTCCTGGAAGGCAGATGGATGGATGGTAAGTGGAGACTTGAACTCAGGTCTCTCTGATGCTGAAGTCCATACACTTAAACCCTGACTGTCCTCCTCTGTTGGTGTATCAACCAATCCAGTTGAACCCTATCGAATGAATAAACAAATGAATTCAGGAAACCATGTCCCAGTCGGGTGCAGTGGCTCACGCCTGCAATTCCAGTACTGATTGGGCTGAGGCAGAAGGATTTCTTGAGTCCAGGAGTTTGAGACCAGCCTGGGCAACATAGGGAAACCTCATCTCTACAAAAAATTTTAAAATTCACCAGGCATGGTGGCATGAGCCTGTAGTCCCAGCTACTTAGGGGGCTGAGATGGGAGGATTGGTTGAGCCCCCTGAGGCTGAGGCTGCAGTGAGCCATGACCTCCAGCCTGGGCGACAGAGTGAGACCCTGTCTCAGGGGAAAAGAAAAGTCCCCTGCTTGTGCTAACTTTTGGTCTTTTCCTCTCTTCTAGGTGGGAAGCTGGCTGGCCATCAGAAGACCGTCCCCACGGCTCACCTGACTTTTGTTATTGACTGCACCCACGGGAAGCAGCTCTCCCTGGCAGCAACCGCATCACCACCCCAAGCCCCCAGTCCCAATCGAGGGCTTGTCACCCCACCAATGAAGACCTACATCGTGTTCTGTGGGGAAAACTGGCCCCATCTGACTCGGGTGACCCCCATGGGTGGGGGATGCCTTGCCCAGGCCAGGGCCACCCTGCCGCTCTGCAGAGGGTCTGTGGCCTCAGCTTCCTTCCCAGTCAGCCCGCTCTGCCCCCAGGAGGTTCCCGAGGCTAAGGGGAAACCCGTGAAGGCTGCGCCTGTGAGGTCTTCAACTTGGGGAACAGTCAAGGACTCACTGAAAGCCCTCTCCTCTTGTGTCTGTGGGCAGGCCGATTAGCTGGAAGGGCCGGGCTCTGATGCCCAGAGGCTGCAATTCCCAGGGCCTGGCCCTGCTTCCCCAGCTAAGCAGGAGTCTTTTGTGCTTGAGCCAAGGAAACATCATTAGATCCGCTAAGGGGCATCTGAAACATCCGTCGAGTGGCAGAGGCAGGATAAGTCACCTGCACATGAAGAGACTCATTCATTCATACAGCAAATATTACTGGTACATCTTCCACATGCCAGGCCCTGCAAAGTGCTGGGGAGATACCATGGTTTTCCTGGAGCTGGTATTTTTGGGGTGGAGGGAACCCACCCTGAATAAATAAAGTAACCCAATAAATAAAGAAGATGATTTTGAACAGCGATGAATGCTCTGCAGGAACTGAAACAGGATGCTAGAGGGAGAGTGATTGGGGTGAAGACCTTTCCTGATGCAGTGCTTGGTAAGGGCCTCTCTGCGCAGGCAACAAAGTGTGATCTAAAAGATGAGAAGGGGCCAGCCCTGAGAAAATCCACCCTCCCCAGGGCCACCTGCTGTCATCTTACCCCAGGGCAGGCCAGAGCAGTGGTCAGAATGCCCCAGCATGACGGGGAGGGGCAACGGGTTTCTTGCTGCCATCTTGGCTCAGAGGCGAGTGTGTAGGTCACTGCAAAGGCAGGGGATACCACGTGGGGAGACTCGAGGGCCATGCCAGTTGGGGCTGGGAGGCTCAGGGAAGTTGGCTCCAGGAGACTCCATCCCATAAGGCAGCCCAGGTGGGACCTGGGGATCTGAGATGGGAAATAAGGGGATCTGGCTTCTCAAAAGGGAGGGAGGTACTCAAAAATAGAGTATCATGTTTGAACGAATGAAAACAAGACATGTTATTTATTGAGCATCTACTGCATACCAGGCTCATGCTGCCCTCTAGGGATAGCAAAAAAAAAAAAAAAAGGTGGGGGGAGGAGGTTCACCCCTCAGGGCAATCGTGTTCCCTGAGCAGGAGGTGGAGTTACTGGTGTGGGTGTGAAGGTGTCTGTGAGTCTAAGGCATGCACAGCACTGTGAGAAACCCTAAAGCAACCTATTTAAGGAAGTCAGTCTCAAAGCTCCCAGATAAAAATCACTGGGTTTTTCTGTATTTATTTTAGAGACAGAGTCTCACTCTATCACCCAGGCTGGAGTGCAGTGGAACAATCACAGCTCACTGCAGCCTCAAACTCCTGGGCTCAAGTGATCCTCCTGCCTCAGCCTCCCGAGTAGCTGAGACTATAGGTGCACCACTACGCCCAGCTTGACTTCTTTTAGTAGAGAAGAGGTCTCACTGTGCTGCCCAGGCTGGTCTTGAACTCCTGGCCTCAAGCTATCCTCCCGCTTCAGCTTCCCTAAGTGCTTGGATTATAGGTGTGAGCCACCGTATCTGGTCATTAATTTATTCAATGACTATTTTACTAGGTTCCTACAAATACTAGCTGCTAACATTTAACATGTAATTGACCATTTACTCTGTGTCAGAGAAACAACATGGGCACTGTATTTGTGACCATTTTATAGATTAGAGAGCTGAGGCACAGAGAGGTTGAAGAATGGACTCAAAGTTCCATAGACTGGTACCATTGAGATTAGAACTCAGGCAAGTCTGGTGCCCATATTCTTGCTTGTAACTGTAAGGTATATACCCTCTCATCCTGGTAGCGTCTCTTCTAGGCAGAGGGGACACACAGAGGATAAATGTAACCCTGTCCTCAAGGAGCTCACAGCCAGGTGGGGGAGGCCAGAAAGAAAGCACACAATTGCCATAGCTTCTGAGAAGTGCAACAGTAAGGGCAACACAGAATGATGCTGGAGGACAACCAGCCCACTCTAGAGAGAGGAGATCAGGGAGGACTTCCTGCAGGAAGTGATGCCGAAAATGAGATCTGACCGGTGACTAAGCTATACAAAAGGGTGGGGTGGGGGAGCAAGTGGGGAGTGCTCTGGGCAGAAGGACCAGTCGTTCAGTCTGGCTAGGGTAATTGTCATTCATTCATTTATTCACCAAGTATTTATTGGGCATCCACTGAATGCCAGGCTTTGGGCTAAACCATGAGATGGAGCAATGAATAAGACAATGAGGCCCAGCCACAAAATAGTTTATCCTCTAGTTGGGGGAGACAGGCAATGCACACACACAAAACAAACAGATCAGAAAGGTGGCAGGAGGCCAGGCGCGGTGGCTCATGCCTGTAATCCCAGCACTTTGGGAGGCCAAGGAGGGGGAGGCGGGGGGAGATCACCTGAGGTCAGGAGTTCGAGACCAGCCTGGCCAACTTGGCGAAAACCCGTCTCTACTAAAAATATAAAAATTAGCTGGGCGTGGTGGTGGGCACCTATAATCCCAGCTACTTGGGAAGCTGAGGTGAGAGAATTGCTTGAACCTAGAAGGCAGAGGTTGCAGTGAGCCGAGATCTCGCCACTGCACTCCGGCCTGGGTGACAGAGCAAGAGCAAGACTGTCTCAAAAAAAAACCAAAAAAGTAAAAAGAAAAGAAAAGTGGCAGAAGCTGCATCAGGTGAGGCCTGGCAGGCTGCAACAAGACCTTTAGATCTTAGATCTTATTCCCAGATGGCAGCACTGGAAATTGTGAGCAGACAGCGTCATGGCCAGACGTACCTTTGGAAAGGATCCCTCCGGGCCTTCTGACTGCAGGGAGGAGGCACCGGAGGCTGAGTCTTAATCCTGAGAAAGGAGAGCAATGGTTTGGACTAGAGAGGAGGACGCAGTACAATCTGGTCGACATATGCCCATTCTACTCTCCTGAAGGCCCCAAGGACAAGGCTGCAGAGGGAGTTTGAGACCCTCAAGGAGAAAGGAGACCTGTGGCTGCACATCCGGCTTTTCACCAGCAGGTGTCGCCCTCTCATCAGACTAGAGGACACTGGGTCCAGGCCTGGACAGGGAAGGTGTGGACCTGCTGGGTCTGGGACTAAAGCCTTGGGGCCAGCCAACCAGTGGGTCTGTTTTTCAGAAGCCAGACTCATTCTAACCAATACTCCTTTCATCCAGAATAATGAATGTTTACTTTATGCCAGGCACCCAGCAAAGTGACATTTCAGAATTGAACCCTGGGGGGTCTTGGTGAGGATTCAGAGGAACCAGGCACTTATACCACTTATACTTGCTCCGTAAAGGGAGCTGTCATCATTACTATTGATGTCGTCAGTTACTATAGCTGTCGTCATTACGGGGCAATTGAATATACACCCCACACCCCATCAGTTCACCTGACCCCAGTCATGTGAGGTCGGCATGATTTCTCTTGCCATTTTACAGAGGAAACTGAGGCACAGAAAGGTCGAATACTTTGCCCAAGGTCACTAACTGGAAACCGGTAGAGCCCAAATCCAAACCTCAGGCAATGTGACTGCGCACTGCGCTTGCAGCCCCATACTGTGCTGTGAACACACTGGTCACAGCGGTTCAATAAGTGAGTGAAGAATGATCCAGCCTGGCACCCGGCAGCATGTGGGGAGTGTCCGGAGACTGAATGGGTGGTAGGGCCCTCGCTGAGATGGAGCACACAGGCGGAGTAGCCAGTGGGGACATGGGGAGATGACAGGTTCAGGAGGCGGATGTCGTGTGAGGGACTGTGGGACATGCCGGAGGGGATGTGGGCAGGTGGTGACCCATTCCCCATTGGAGCTCTGGTCAGAGGTTGAGGCTGGCAATGGGGCTGCATTGGTATATAGGTTGGTGATGAAGTTGCTCTGGGAAGGTGAGGTGTGAGACCAGGTCATCAGGCCTGTGAGAAACCAACTTACCTGTCCAAACCCAAAGAATGGGCTCAGAGGCACATAGAACAGTGGAAGAGAGACTTTTAATGATGGTCTTACGAGATCGGGTGTCTGGTGGGCAGGCACACCCAGCACAGTTACAACAAGCAATTTATCCCCTAGTGCGCAGGTCCCTCCCCTGGTTCCTCATAGGCTGAGTACTGTAGGATCACAATCTTCCTGGATGTCGCCTATTGGTTGTTGGGTAGGAGCTTTTAGGTGTTTTCTTTAGGATTTTCTTGTTGCATTTTGTTGCAGCCCACAATACATTGCAATCATAGCCAGCTTAGGGTTTTCTTAAGTATCTGACTTATGACCTAGGTAGTCAGGCAAGCTGATAAGAATAGACAAAGCGAGCTATTTTGCAGGCTAGTGAACTTTCATTCTAGACTCAACTTTTTTGGTTTGGGTGAGGGCAACTAAGCGGGCCCCGACAAGCAGGCGCCGGCTATCAAAGCAGGGGCCTAGTATATTCTGTTCTTCTGTAGTTTGCGGACTCAAACCTATTCAAGCCACTTTGTTTTGGAAATGGACCACTGTATACATTATTTCCTTTAGGCCCAAGGTGACAGAGGTGTGAAAAACTTGGAATATGCAAAAAAGATCACAAAACATATCCAATACCATCTACGCATCGTCTGATTCTCAAGGGGGTGAGCATTTTTCTTTGCCTTTGAGCTATTTTACAACTCTGTCTATTGTAAGTAGCCCGTAGGAATGCAACATACTTCTTGTCTACAGACAAGCAGATTCTGTCCTGTCCTGTTCAAGTCCAGTGGACTCTCCTTCCCAACTGTGGAAGAAGCCAGTGTTACCTCTGTGCACATTCATTTCAATATTCCCTGACCTACAGATATCATCTGTTCTTTGCCTCCTTCTTTGAACTGCTTGTGACATCTTACTGGTTCCTTCATTAACCATGAATTAAGTAAAATCATCAGTGAGAATGTAAAATGGTACAGCCACTTTGGGAAACAGTCTGGCAGTTCCTCAAACAAACATGGAGCTTTCAGAGGACCCAGCAATTCTGCTCCTAGATATATACTCAAGAGAAGTGAAAACATTCGTCCATGTGAAAATCTGCACAAATGGCCAGGCGTGCAGTGGCCGGTGTAATCCCAGCACTTTGGGAGGCCAAGGTGGGTGGATCACCTGAGGTCAGGAGTTCCAGACCAGCCTGGCCAACATGGTGAAACCCCGTCTCTACTAAAAATATAAAATTAGCCAGGCATGGTGGTGCACGCCTGTAATCCCATCTACTCAGGAGGCTAAGGCAGGAGAATCGCTTGAACCCAGGAGACGGAGGTTGTAGTGAGCCGAGATCGCGCCATTGCACTCCAGCCTGGGTGACAAGAGTGAAACTCTGTCTCAAAAAGAAAAAAAAGAAAATCTGCACGAGTGCACAGAGCAGCACTAGTCACCAAAACCAAAGGGTGGAACCAAACCCAAGCATCCATCAACTGATGAAAAGGTAAGCAAATTGTGACCTAGCCATGCAACAGAATATGTTTCAGCCTTAAAAAGGAAAAGATTATTGGTCCATGCTACAATATAGATGAATCTCGAAAACATTATGCGAGGTGAAAGATGTCAAATACAAAAGGTCACTTTTTTTTTCTTTTTCTTTTTTTTTTGAGACAGGTTCTCACTCTATTGCCCAGGCTGAAGTGTAGTGGCTCAAACATGGCTCACTGCAGCCTCAACCACCAGTGCTCAAGCAAGTCCTCCAGCCTCAACCCCCAAGTAGCTGGAACTACAGGCATGTGCTACCATACCCTGTTAATTTTTGCATTTTTTGTGGAGATGCAGTTTTGCCATGTTGTCCAGGCTGATTTCAAATAAATACTTTGTATTTATTGAGCTCAGGCAATCCACCCTCTTCAGCCTCCCAAAGTGCTGGGAATGCAGGAGTGAGCCACCACACCCGGTCATTTTTTATTTTATTTGAGTCAGGGTCTCACTGTGTCACCCAAGATAGAGTGCGGTGGTGCGATCACGGCTCGCTGAAGCCTCCATCTCCTGGACTCCAGCCATCCTCCCACTTCAGCCTCCCGACTAGCTGGGACCACAGGTGCACGTCACCATACCAGCTAATTTTCGTATTTTGTGTAGAGACGGGTTCTTGCCATGTTGCCCAGGCTGGTCTCTAAACCTTGGGCTCAAGAGATCCTCTCACCTCAGGCTCCTGAGCATGCGCTACTTCCATCTGACTTTGAAGACAGGGTTTGGGAAGGGGCTCTGAACATCTGCCTGGGCTCTTTGTGCTCTGGCTCTGGAGGGCTTCCTGGAGGAGGAGGCCTTTGGCCTCTGCTAGGCCTTCAAAGTGAGGAAACCTTCTAGGTCCTCTCTGCCCCTCCCAGTCTCTGGTACTACCTGACCTGGACTTTCTCACAGGTCTCCAGCCCCAGAGAGCTGCGTCTTTTCAATTTCCCCTACCTGCTGCCCAGGCCCACCCCCAAAGCTACAAGACGCGAGAGCCCCCTTTCCCTGTGGGGGCTGCCAGGGTGGGAGGAGGGAAGCTGCCTCAGCCCATTGGTGGTGGCGACTGATCCAGGTTGACCCAGCAGATGGCCTTCCAGAGCCATAGCAAGGATTCACATCCCAACCGTGCCACTTCCAGGCTGGGTGACCTTGGGCCAGTTGCCTGACCTCGCTGATCCTCCGTGTCCTTCTAGGCACACCGTTAATCATAGTACCTGCTTTGCAGGACTCTTGTGGGAATCAGCGGCGCGCCTGGCACACACTAGTTGCTCAATGAATGGGGCGGCTATAATTACTCTTCCGGGTGGGGGCGGGGCGCAGGGCCTGCAGCCAGGCCTATATTTAGCCTGGAAGGGGGTTGGGGGCGCTGGGAGACAAAGCGCCGCGGCCAGTCTGGGCGCCCAGGGGGCGGAGCCGGCGAAAGCCCCGCGGCCGACCCGCCCTCCCCTACCGCAGGGTCACCTTGGCCGGGCTGGCGGCCAAGGGCTCCTTCAGACCCGACGTGCCCCAGCGGCCCAGCGGCCGCTTGGTCCCCTGAGCAGTCCTCATCCTCGCAAACTGCTGTCTGGGGAGGGGGCTGCTGGGGGCTGGGGGTGGTTTTCGGCCCCACTGACCACTTGGGAAGCTGCCCCCTTTCCCAGCACCGGCCGGCCGAGGGAGGGCTCGCTGAGATCCGTACGCCAAGGTGAGCCTGACCCCGGGTGGGGGGCGTGGGAGGGGGAGCCAGGCTGGCTCCTCCCCCAACCTCGCGCCAATGAGTGTCGGGGCTGCAAATAGCCCAGTGGAATCAGTGAGTCATGGAGGCTGGAAATACCGCGCCCCCTCTGATCCCCTCCCCTCCTCCTGACCGCAGCCGGTGGAGCTGCACTGGGGAGCAAGCCTGGGGGTGTGAGGGGTGGGGGACCCCTCCGGAGAGCTCCCCTCCCCAGGCTCCCTGAACCAACCCGGACACCCCCGCCCCCAAGTTCCAGCTGGCTTTGCCTCTGGGGCTGTGTGACCCTGGGCCAGTCACTCAGACTCTCTGGGCCGCAGAATCCCCATTAGGTACAAGAAGGGCTTCAAGAGGGCAGGCGACCCGGTGCAGCCTGCCCACCTTTGCGTCCCTGCGCCTGGGACTGAAACAGTGCCCGCCACATAGCAGGACAGTAAATATCTCTGGAAGGAAAGAAATAATAAAAAGGGAAGGGCAGGCAGTTGGACGAGAAGGTGTTGCAAGGGTTTTCCAGAAACAATCCTGGGGTTCCTGCCCAGGGGGGTCTGGGGAGCCCACGGAGGAGGCCGAGGAACGCCCACATTTTGTGAGGTCTTCAGCTTTAACTTGAGCTACAACCCCCATCCCCAAATCTCAAAGAAGGTGTGTCTGTTTCTCTCAGGGTTTCCAGCCCTGCCCTAAGTTTGAGAACTCCAGGCAGGCGGCCTCCAGAAGTCTGTGAGACTGTCCTTTATTGTGTATACAGGTTCCAGCGTCAGGGCTCTCCCACGGCCCCCTCCCCAGTCCTCCCCCAAGGGGCCCAGAGTGGTGGGAGTGAGAGGCCACCCTAAGGCACACTGACCAGAGAGGCATGGAGGGAGGAGGCTGACTTGCCCTGGGGACCCCTGCTAACTGAGACCCACCCTTCCCCTCCACCCTGCTTCTGTATGTGGGAGACGAAACCAAGAGTCATTGGGGGCAGCAGGCATTTCCCAGGGTTAAGGCTGATGGAAGGTCCCTATCCCAGATGGGAGATGGGGGCTTTTCCTATGACTCCCCCCCATCCCCCAGCTGGAAGACGTGGGGAGGGTTGCATAGCCTTAGAGAGGTAGAATGAGGGGAAATACTCCTCAGTGCCCAGAGGTGGGGAGTTGAGAGCAGCAGTTGACACCCTGGGTTCAGATCTAACCTTCAGTGACAAAGCACAGCACTCAGTGGCTCGGGGATGTTTCCCCGTTAATGAAAATGGAGATTGTAAATCTGATTTGAGAAAGCTCTGAATTTGGCCTCAACCAATGGTAATGCTGAGTATTTGAAGGACAACGATAGGGGTGTGTGTGTTACACACACCGAGCCTATAGATTCATAGATTAAAGAGGGGGATGGATGGAGAGCTGACTGCCCGGAGGGGAAGGTGGCAAGAAGCTGGGGTCCAACCTCGAGGACCCAAAGCCCCATCCATGCCCTGGCTTCCATCTCTGTTAGGTGATCCTGTCTGCATGGGAGCAGCCCCAAGAACACAGGCCTGTGGGAGGGAGAAGGACCAGCCCCACCCCCAACCCCACTTGGCCTTGCCTGGAGGCCCCAGCAGGCGCAGGACGGCAGGAGTTTCATGCAGTTTATCACGAACCAGCTGTATTGGAAAAACCCCATCTATATACAGATGTGGCATGGCTCTGCCCTGGCACAGCCAGCTGGCTGGGGGCACGGGGTGGGCAGGCAGCCTGCTCGCTGGCGTGGGGCTTGGAGGCTGGTAGAGGGGAAGTTTACCGTCACGGCTGTCTCCTCTTGGCCTTGCTGAGCCCTCGGGCAATTAGTTCCACTTAGATAGGCACCCTTGCCTGTGACCTTCCCTCTGTCCCTCCCACTCCCCTTGGCCAAGAGGGTTCCAGGTCCCTGGTCCCCTTGCCCTGCAGAGACTTCATAGATCAGAGGGTTTGTCTGTCTGTCTGTCCTGCAGAGCTTGCCCATATGTCCTGCTGGTCCCATTCCCCTGACCCACAGTGGGTTCTTTAGATCTTCCTTCCCTGACCCCAGCCCCTGTACTCTGGATTAAGTGACGGAGGCCAAATCTGAAATCTGGGCATCATGTGTCAGGCCAGGGAGTCCCTGGCCTGCCCTGGATAGAGTGGAGGGCCCTAGTTTGGGAGGATGGTCCACCTGGGGTCTGGGGTGCGTGGGGGCTAGAACCTGGGCTGAGATGTCCTGGAGCTGTTGTAATGGGGTTAGCGAGGCTTTGCTGGCAGGCGTGGGGCGGGGGGACAGGGAAAGGGAAGGGAGAGGCACTCAGATTTTGATCTCCGTCCGGAAGGTCTGCTGGACGTGTTCTGTATGCGGGTGACGCCGTGCCCGGATAGTGAGGCTGCCGTCCTCCCGCAGAGCCGAGGTCACCGACGTCGGGTCCACGTCCTCCGGCAGCTGGCACTTGTGAGCGAAGGTGTTCATGACAGTGCCGTCAGCCGCCAGCTGGGGAAGGGGTGACCCGTCAGGCAGGCTGCCCCGACCCCTGTCCTGCTTGTGACAAGCCAGAGCCCTCTTCTCCCCATTCTAACCCCAGCCAGACCCCACATGCCGAGGGGCTCTGCCCTCAGGTGCCGAGGGGCTGCCCAGGGTGGTGATGGCCACAGGCCAAAGGCTCTGCAGGGACAGCGCAGGGGTGCTTCGCAGAGCTCCAGTAGCTCCAAGGAACAGGCCAGGGACATGGGGAAGAGGTGGGGCTTGGAGAGAGAGGAGGCTCCGTGGCAGTGGCTCCGAATCTGGGGCTCCTGGGGAACGTGGAGGTGACAGAGGAGAGCCGTGCCTTCCTGGATCCCCGGGCACATTGGGCATCTGCCCGCCAGGGCTGAGCGCCGGCCCCTCCCCCGCAACTCAGCCAGCACATAGTGTCCAGGGGAGTTTGGGGCGGCTGAGTCACTGTTGGGGGTGGCAGGGCTGGCACATGCTGCCTGTGGGTTTTGGTGCCCCCAGTCCATGGCATCCCTGGCAGGGACGCCCAGAAATCCACCCTTGAATGTGGAGGGGAAGAAGCCAGTCCTTGGGGGCTTAGGAGGAGGCTTGGGTCAGGTCCTCTCCTCTCTCCTGGCAGCCGTGGCTGTCCCTGGGCAACGCCCCTGTTCAGGCCTGGCCATACCCTCTCCAGGGTGGAGGCCCCAGTGCCTCCTAGAAGTTCGGACTCAGACACGCTAGAGACCCAGTGACCCTGAGACCTGTGGGCGGGCGCTGTGTGTGGTTTGGAGTGTGTGTGACCCGAAACTGCAGGGCCCCTGCCCAGCCTCGGGCCTAATTTAGGGGTCCCAAGATGGGGGATGGGTCTCCAGCTGTGGGAGGGAAGAGGGCTTGAGGTGGGTCACATGGAGAAACCCCTCCCCCCACTGCCCAGGTGAGTTCCCCACCTACCCGCATCCGCCCCCCTATAGCTACCAGAGGAGCTGTCCTCACTCTGCCATCACCATCTCACACCTGTCATCTCCCACCCTCAAGCCCCACCCCCTCAGGCTCCCTCTGCCCACATCCCTCCATCCCTCTCCCATTCCTCGGAGGCTCCCTCAGCTGCTCAGGCCCTGGAAGAAAGGATCTGGGAACCTCGGTGCAAAGAGAGGCAGTGAGGGGGCCCCATGGCCATGGGTTGCAGGGACAAGGCCTTCAGTTAGCCCTGGGGGAGTTTGGGTGGGGAAGGGACACTGGCCAGGGTCTGGGGTCCCAGGATGGTAAGGGGGAGTAGGAGACATTGGAGGCAGGAGCAGAATTTGGGATGCGGTGAGTAGGGGGTGGGGGGCTCACCTTCTCAGCCCGCACCTCGATGTGGTTGTTGGAGGTGGTGACAATGATGTCTTCAGGTGAGAAGTCTCTCACGTCCACCGCAAACTCATAGGCGTCTCCTAGGGTCTTGATGTTGCCTGCCCCACCGGGGCGGGCTGTGGGATGGGCTGCTGTGAGCGAGGCATGGAGCAGGCCTTGCATGCAGATCCGGGGGTTCTGGCTCCTTCTCTTGGGGCAAGGGGCGGCTCCCCCAGGCCCTACCTCCCCCCTAGCTGTTTCTCCCTAAGCTCCTCCTCATTCCTACAGCCCACCTTTTCTGGGGTGGGGGTGGGGCCTCACCCAGCACAGTGTGTGTGTATATGAGGCTAGGTCTGTAACAACCCCACCCCAGGCCTGGAGCCTGGGGGCTGCCCCCCACCGCTCACCCATCCAGCCCTCCAGGGCTCCAGCTGGGATTGGCTGTGGTTACAGAGCATGGGTGGCCATGGAACCATGTCCAACCCCCAGGGCCACAACTGTTCCTTAGAGGCCCACCTGTTTTCATGGCCACATCTGTCCCTGTGGCCACATCTGTCTTGGTGGCCACACATGGCTGCAGGCTGTGCAGCACCTGTTCCAGGCCGACCGGCAGCCACAGCGCCTTCGGTGGCGCCCTGGAGCAGACGTCCCCTCCCTGTGCACCTCCCCTCCCCTCAGGGCCCGGATCACTTGCCTGGGAAGGCCAGGGGCTCCGAGTGGGGCCGCATGAAGCTGCCAAAGTCATCGGAAAACATGCTCAGGGCCTTCTCCATGGGCGGGTCCTGGGCCGGGAGAGCACGGGAGGCCGAGGAGGAGGTGGAAGAGGAGGAGGAAGAGGAAGAGGAATGGAAACTTCTCTCCGCTCGGAAGGTGGAAGAGGTTCTGTGGCTCATCCACGGACGGCGCCGGGCCCTGCCCAGGCGGGCGAGGGCTGGACAGGAGAGGGTGTGGGCGCAGGCCTCTGGGCGAGCGTGCCAGGCTCCGACTGCGGCCGCTTTATAAGGCCGACTGTCCCTGGGCTTGGGGCCAGCCCCTTGTCTACTAGCTAAATTTAGGCCTCTCCATGGCCCAGAGGGGGCTGGAAATCTTCTCCCGTGCGCCGGCCCTGCTGACAGCCCGACACGCAGGCCGAGAGGGCTGAGCTCACAGCCTGACATTCCAGGCTGATCACAGCAGCCCCAGGGGCCTCCTCACCACTGCACAGGGCTGGATCCTGTCTCCTTGCCACTCGGACCTCGGTGCCTGCCCCAGAACCTTGCAAGTTTGGGGTTTATTGTGTGTTTTGTTTCCCCCGTCAGCCTGGGGGCTCCTGAGGACTGTGCCTCCCCTCCAGACTCTGGTTCTCCTCCACGGCTGTACCTCCTCCATCAGTGTGCAGGCTCCTTGGGGACAGGGTAGGTGGAAGCACCACCGCTCTGTGACGTCAGGAGCTCCTTCCCTCAAGGCAGACAACCTTCACAGCCCATCTCTAAGGAAAGGTTGAGCCCTGCCAGGGGGTGTAAAATGTGCAGCTGTCCCCTGCCAGCCCCCATGGGGACCTGGATTCTGTGCCTGCACTCCCTCTGACTCTCAGAACATTCAGCAGCCCCAAGAGGACAAAGTTGGCAGCTTTCTCCTTAAAGGTCTAGAAGGTTGTGTTCCCGGCAACTGTCTGCTCCATCTCTGTGTCAGAGGTGATGCCTGCGAGCGCCTTAGGTGGGATTTCAGTCAGAGGTAAAAGAGAATTCCGGAAGACAATTATTCTAGCCCTGAGTTCTAGAATGCCTTCTGGGCATGGGCTCCTGGCTGCAAGCTGTCCAGCACGGCCCCGTTTGATCCCCACACAGCTGGGAGGGTGGAGGGGCTCTTCCCATGTTACGGACGGGGAAGCGAAGCCTCTTGGAAAGGGCGGGGCTCGCAGTTGCGTAAGTGGCAGAGCTGGGATTCGAACCTAGATGTGTTGGACCCAAAGCCCTTCAGAGGCCGAGGTGGTTTGAACATGTGCCTATGGAGACAGGCTGGCCCGGAAGAGCCAGAGAAGCCCCTCCCTACCCACCTGCTTGCTCAGCAAAGCTGGGACTGACCTTGCCCTGGGCCAGGGTGGAGGCCATTCTGAGAGGCGGCCAGGCCCTCTGCTCTGCCCAGGTTGCAGTTAAGGGCCTCTGCTGTCCTCTCCAAATCCGTCCCTTCCGTCCCAGATCAGCTCCAATGCCTCCTCCCCCAGGGAGGCCTCTCTGACTGCTCCTGCTCACATGGGCCCACACCCAGTCCAGATGCCCCCAGCACTGACTGTCTTTGTCCTCCCACAGCACCTGGCAGTGTGACATAGTCTTCCTGTGTGCTGTGACTCTCTGCTGTGTCCCTTCTTCCCTATCCAACTGGCAGTTCCCACGGGGGCGAGGGTTCACCTGTCTCCCCATTAGATTGAAGGTTCTTGAAGACGGGCAGTTTCTCTTTTGTCTGAGCCCCCTACAACCCAGTCTGGAGCTTCATCCTGGAGAGCTCCTTCTACAGGGGTATTAGCGGTGCTGGTGGTATGTGGAGTGGAAGCAGAGCAGGGCACAGGGCACAGCGGCGGGCCAGGCTGTTGCCTGGAGCAACAGGGCCTGTTGCCTCTGGCAGAGTTTCCTGCCCGTGTCGGGGCCTGTGACACCCAGCCTGGCTGAGGGGTTTCTAGGGCAGCTGGGAAGCCACCAGCACTGAGGTGAGATGGAGAGAGGGTGGGGCGGGGTGGGGGGCCCAGAGCCTGCCGCTCGCCAGGGAAACAGGAGCCGGTGGCTAAATGCAGACACACTGTCATGGTGCTGAGGGCCTGAGTCACTGCCCCTGGATGTCAGATCCCGTTACCCACCCCCGCCCACCATTCCTCCTCCCCTTTTTCCCCCTTCCCGAGGCATCACCCACACAAATACTGGATCCTCTGGCTTCACTGACCCAGAGGGACCTCAAAAGGTCATCAAGGACATTCCCCTGCCTCTACCTTCAGATCACAGAGACAGAAGGAGCTACAAAGATGATGCAGTCCTTTGAATCCCAGTCACCCAGGAGAGCTTTTCACAAACACAGACCCTTTCCTTGGACCCCAGGATTTTGATTTGGGATCTGGGGAAGGGACCTCACATCTCTTCCCATCAGCTCCCCACACAGCCAGCTCATAGGCCAGTGATGAAGCCCTCATCACTCAGTAGGTATTCATTGAAACCTTGCTATAAATAGGTGCTGGGCACTGTTCTAGGCTCTGAAGGACTCAGAGATGAATAAGGCAGAGACAGGCCCCTGCTTCCAGGCTCACCTCATCATACAGAAGAGGAAACTGAGGCTCTAGTTGATGAAAGAGTTAGGGTCAGCAGAGCTGTGCTGGCTTCAAACCGGTCATCCTGCTGAGCCACCCTGGCTGCCCTCTTCTCAGCCTCCTGGTGCACACAGGGCTGGGGGGTGAGGGTAGATGTGGACGTGCAGTGCTGGCTGTGGGACAGTAGCCAGCAGCTGCCCCAGACCAGACACTGGAAATCGGGATGTTGACAGGGCAGCCAGTTCTGGTGCTGTGCAGAGTCAACAGGTCGGGGTGGCCAAGGTGAAGGTGGGCTCGAGTCCATACAGAGCGGCAACTCCCATCCCACCTCCCACAACACACATCTTTGATTTTGATTTGACTTGCCTGGCATCTAGGGGCAAAGGGTGGCCCAGGGTCCCAGATTTTAACAATCATCCAAGGGCTATCATAAGCTTCAGAGGGTGGCTTTGTCTGGGTGGGAGTGGAGGCAATTGTCCCCAACCTCTTGCCCAAAAGTGGCATCAGACACAACTCTTCTGTTCTGTGCCCAAACCATTGCCCTGGTTCAGCCTCAGGAGCTGGAGGAGCTTTGGGCAGGGGAAGAGCTGCACAGTGTGGGGCTGGGTTCAGCCTCTGCTGTGTGACCTTGGATGAGTGACTCACCTCTCTGACCATCTACAAAATGGCGAGGCTCTCCCCATTCACAGGGTGTGGGAAGGAGGACTTGAGCTGCAGATGTGACGCTCCTGACACGTCGCAGGCACACGGCAGGTGCTTGTTCCTCGCCATGTCCCCTCACACCTGTGCTGCCATCCTCTGTTGGGGTGGGACAAACTCTGTGGAATTACCCAGAAGTCCCCACCAGAGCCGCTGGCCCTTGGACGTGTGCTTTGAGAAGCATTTCCTGAGCCTGGAGGGTCTGGACACAGGATCAAGTCCGAGTTCCTGACCCCAATTCACTGCCTTGCCCCAGGTGTCGGCCTCCTCGCCAGCCCTGGACAAGATGGGTCATCAGGATGGGACCGTGTGGCACAGCCTGCGGGCTTTGGAGCCAGGCAAACCTGGGCTGGGAATCCTGGCTCTGCCTCGGCCTCCGTGATCTTAGACAGGCAGCCCCAGCTCCCTGAGACACCATTTCTCTACAACGGGATCACGCTGCCTGCCTCGTGGGATTTCCGTGGGCACTCAGGGTAATTAATCTGGGAGAAGGCTGACTCTCTACCTGACACACAGGGAGGCTGTGGTCATGCTGGCCCCACTCACCATTGCCCCCCTGCCTTCTCCTTCCCTTCCCAGCCTCCTCCCCTCTCCCTCTGTGCTTTTTCAAACCTTCCATGTCCAGCTCTGAGACCCCTGGACCCTGAGTCTCAGCCTTGGCAGATGACCCCTCTCTGTCCTGCTGTGTGCATGAGCTCCCCCTTCCCAGCCCTCGTCCAGCAGCACCCAGGAGCCTGAGTACAGCTGGGCACCACCCTCTGTGCAGCTGTGATGGGTGGGGAGGCTCCTGCTCCCCTTCTCTCTTGGCAGTTCTGCCCTGCACAGCTCTGGCCTCCACAGTTCTGGTTGGTTTGTCAAGGACGTTTTTAATCTCCATGGTAAACCCCGGCCGGCGGGGAAGGGGGGTGGCAGGGAGAGAGTGATGATTGGTAGAGCATATACCTGTCCAGGTGCACTGGAGCTGGGAGCAAAGGAGGCTCTGTGAGAGGAGGGCCAGTTCAGCCGCAGCAGGAGGACTGACAGGTGAGGGGTCTCTGGGCGTGGACTGGAGTATGAACCTGGAAGGGCCAGGCAGGCAGGGCATAGGGGATGGTAGGGGCAGTAGCCAGCACCTCACTTTGGCTTTGCAGAGGCCTTCTGGTCCTGGGGTTTTCCTGCCTCTGTGACCTGAGCTGTCGGGGAGAAAGGAGGGTGCTCCGAGATTGGCAGGGAGAGTCGGAGCCATCCATGGGACTCTGCAGTGAGAGAGTCACAGCCCTGGGCAGAGACTGCTCCCAGTAGTGGAAGCACCAAGCGACCCAGGAGGGTGGGAGCGGTGTCCACAGTCTGCTGCTGGACACAGGGGGACACCTAGGAATCCCACCCTCATCCCACAAAATGACACACACAGGCACACACCCTCAGTGACGGAACCTCAGGGATGAGGGCACACACAGACCTAGTGTGATAACACACACACACACGCACAATCCTTCCTCTTCATTTGGGTGGGGAGAGCACTGGAAGGGCCCAGAGGCAGCGCGAGGACGTGCAGCAGCTCACCCGGGTCCTTCCCTCCATCTGCTTCTCCAGGGGCCTGATGGAGGAGTTGGTGGGGCTGCGTGAGGGCTTCTCAGGGGACCCTGTGACTCTGCAGGAGCTGTGGGGCCCCTGTCCCCACATCCGCCGAGCCATCCAAGGTGAGAGCCAGGTCCTCTTCCCTACCCGCGGGGGACCACTCAGGACATCATTCCTGCCTGGCTCCCACCCCACCTCTCTGCCCAGGAACCACCCTCCTGTCATTTGTCCAGGACATGACTGCCCAAAGTCTCCTGGGTGGCAGGGAGGGAAGGGGTCTGTCTGTCCAGCTGTCTGTGGGTCAGATGGGCCAGGCATCTGCCCTCTGCCTTTCAGGAGATACAGCCCAAGGCCTGGTCACTGTGCCTATCTTCCACCCAGGCCTCTCCCTCACCTACCTGTGCCAATGAGGGGACGTGGGGGTTAGCTGCTGGGACAGCTGGGGGCACAGCAAGGGGCTGGGGCAGCCTGCACTTGGCACCCTTCCTTGGAGCCCCATGTGCCTTGTTCACTTTGAGACCTGACTGTCCCCTCAGCTACGGGGCAGAGCAAGTAGGGACCACAGAAGGAGACTAAGTGCAGTGCCAGTGGCTGGTGCCCACAGCCAGTGAGGGCCAGCTCCCAGGCTGGGCTGCAGCCAGCGGGCCAGGGGCATTGCTGGGGACCCAGAGGATACCTGGCGCCACAGGCCCTGGGACACGCAGAAGTCTGCTAGACCCTGGTGCTCTCTAAGCTATGGATCCTGCAGGGATACAGGTGAAAGCTATAGCTGCCAGCCCCCTTCACACTCCCTGTCCCCCAGGAACCTCCCAGTACAGGCACGGGTGGGGAGAGTGGACAGGTCAAAGGCCTTCTGGCAGGGGCAGCAGTCCTGGCATCCACTGTGCCACCACTGTCACCTGCCACAAATCCTGCCCAGCCCCCAGTGTGAGGCAAGCCAGCAGAGGGTAGCTCCAGGCTCACTCAGTGGTGGCCTGAGGTTCTGTTCAGGGCTCCTCCATCCTGACACAGCCATCTGCCAGTCCCAGTGCGAGGAACGTGGACAACTTGCATTCCTCTCTGACTCAGGCGGGGCCCCCTCAGGACTACCCCAGACTCAACTACCAGGGTCCTCCCTGCCTGGAGCCAAGCAGACCTCCAGGGAAGGGGCTGTCTGTGCCCCTTGCCCCAACATAAGCTGGGACTCCGATACCCTGCCCCAGGTGGCCTGGAGTGGCTAAAGCAGAAGGTGTTCCGCCTGGGAGAAGACTGGTACTTCCTGATGACCCTCGGGGTGCTCATGGCCCTGGTCAGCTATGCCATGAACTTTGCCATCGGGTGTGTGGTCCGAGGTAACTCTTCCCTGGCAGGTGCTGCTCTGGGCCAAGGGATTCTAGGCACGCTCTGGGGATACCAGATGGGCCACCAAGTGCAGCGGTGCAGGGACGGACCTGGGTGCGGGGAGGGCTCTGGCTCTACTCCTGATTTGCTCTGTGATCCTGGGCAGGCTCCTGCCCCTCTCTGGGCCTCAGTCTCCTCAGCCGCACAAGGAAGAGAGACCTGAATATTCCCAAGAGCCCTTCCTCCTCTGAGCTCTCTGGCTCCTCTTCCAGCCACCCCGTTCCTTCTCCTTCCCTCCTCCGTGCCTTGGGGCAGGAGTGGGGACACTTGCCTAGATCACCAAACTTGGAGTCTTCCCCCTGCTCCCTCAGCAGCCTGCCTCCACCCTGAGGCCTCCCTGGAAGAGGGGGTGTGGGCAGGAAGGGTCTAAGACACTTTCTCTGGAGACCCTCAGCTGCCAGAAGCAGCACCTACTATGGTGTTACGGTGTTTGGTGCTTCACACCTGTGTCATGTAGTTCTCAGTGGCCCTTTAGTCTTTAATGTCTTTAGTCTTCAATGAGCCTGTGAGGAAGAGCCAATCACTAGCCCACTTGGCAGATGGGGAAACTGAGGCTCAGAGAGGCTGAGTGGCTTGCCCAAGGTCACTCAGCTAGGCAGTGGTAAACCTGGGATATGGACCCAGGGTCGTACTCCTGCCTTTTCTTGGGGGTCTGCACCTCACTCTGTGGCCTGGTCCTCCCCTCTTCGTGACTCCATTTCCTGGTCAGTAAGTGGGCACCACAGTGTCTGGCCCTGAGGGCTGCAGAGGCTGTGGGTGCCTCCCTGATACGCGGCTGTCCCCAGCACACCAGTGGCTGTACAGGGAGATTGGGGACAGCCACCTGCTCCGGTATCTTTCCTGGACTGTGTACCCTGTGGCCCTCGTCTCTTTCTCCTCAGGCTTCTCCCAGAGCATCACGCCCTCCTCTGGAGGTGAGTCCACGGTCGCCATGCCAGTCCCCAGTGCCAAAACCTTCTCAGATCCCAGGGGGCTTCTGATGGGGGGAATCGGGAAGCTGCAGCCTCATTTCTCAAGCCCAGAAGAGTTATGTGGCTTGCCTGAAGGCACACAGCAAGAAGGCCAGATCTTGACTCTTGGGTCACTGCTGGCCCTACTCGCTTTCCAAGGGCTCCTTGGAAGGAGATTGCCCTGTGGGGCCTGTGCTGGTGCCAGGAAGGGGCCCATGGAGGAGGTGCCGCTCCCTCAGGCCACTCAGCCCTTCCTCCAGCTCCAGGCCAGCAGAGGGGAGCTCCAGGCTCACTCAGTGGTGGCCTGAGGTTCTGTTCAGAGCTCCCCCATCCTGACACAGCCATCTGCCAGTCCCAGTGGGAGGAACGTGGACAACTCGCATTCCTCTCTGACTCTAGCATCCAAATCTGCAAAATGAGTTTATGCATCCTAACCTCTGAGGGTTCTGCGTGATCATAATAGGACTAGGTGCAGTGACTCAGTCTATAATCCCAGCACTTTGGGAGGTGGGTGGATCACTTGATCCCAGGTGTTCAAGAGCAGCTTGGACAACATGGTGAAACCCCATCTCTACAAAAAATAAAAAACAACCACCACAACAAAAAGTTAGCCAGGTGTGGTGGTGCCTGCCTGTAGTCCCAGCTACTTGGAAGGCTGAGGTGGGAGGATCACTTTTGAGCCTGAGGAAGTCGGGGTTATAATGAGCCGAGATCGAACCACTGCATTCCAGCCTGGACAATAGGGTGATACCCTGTCTCAAAGGAAAAAAAAAAATCATAATGTGAAAACACCGTGCGGGTAGAGTTATGAGAGTTTTTTTTGTTTGTTTGTTCGTTTGTTTTTGAGATGGAGTTTCACTCTTGTTGCCCAAGGTGGAGTGCAATGGCACAATCTTGGCTCACTGCAACCTCTGCCTCCCAGGTTCAAGCAATTCTCCTGCCTCAGCCTCCCAAGTAGCTGGGACTGCAGGCACCCGCCACCATGCCCGGCTAATTTTTTGTATCTTTAGTAGAGATGGGGTTTCACCATGTTGGCAAGGCTGGTCTCGAACTCCTGACCTCGCGATCCGCCTGCCTCGGCCTCCCAAAGTGCTGGGATTACAGGCGTGAGCCACTGCGCCTGGCAGAGAGTTTTAATCTAGAGATTGTCCCCTGCTTGTTCCTGTCCTGTCTGGCTAAGGTTCTGGAATCCCGGAGCTGAAGACCATGTTGGCGGGTGTGATCTTGGAGGACTACCTGGATATCAAGAACTTTGGGGCCAAGGTGGTGGGCCTCTCCTGCACCCTGGCCACCGGCAGCACCCTGTTCCTGGGCAAAGTGGTATGGTCAGGTGTGAGGGCACCCCAGCCACCCCGCCCACCCTACCCTGCCCCAGCTCTCCCCCATACCCCACCAAAGCTGGGTCAGAGCAGACTCAGGCCAGTGCCTGCCTTCAGGGAGCTCAGTCTTAGGGGAAGAGCCAGGCCAGGTCCCCAGTGTGACAAAAGCTACCTGAGGACAGCCCTGGGGGTTGGGGAGATGGAGGAGGGGGTGTGGTGGGGAAGCCGTGCTGCCTCGGGGTGAGACTGTCTCTGCTGCCCTCACCTGGGCCCACCCTTCCCTCTGCAGGGCCCTTTCGTGCACCTGTCTGTAATGATCGCTGCCTACCTGGGCCGTGTGCGCACCACGACCATCGGGGAGCCTGAGGTTAGGGACTCGGGGGCTTCCTTGGAGAAATGGGAGTGGGGAGGGAGGGGGCTGACTCTGAGCCCTGGACTCGGATCCCCCAGAACAAGAGCAAGCAAAACGAAATGCTGGTGGCAGCGGCGGCAGTGGGCGTGGCCACAGTCTTTGCAGCTCCCTTCAGCGGTGAGACCCCCCTCATGCCCCGCCCCCTGGGTCCCTCAAGCTCCTCCCCTCACACCCTGGGCTCCCTCGGCCCAGCTGAGAGCCTGGAGGAGGGGATGGGGCTCATTCTTGTTCTCACTTCAGCCCCGCTTTGGGTATAGCCACCCCCCGGGGGCGGCGGGGCGGGGCGGGTGGTTGGGGGCGTGGTTGGGCGGTGCTGAGAGGCTTCAGGATAACATTACACAGACTTGGGTTTGAAATCCACTGGCCCCTTGGCCTCTCTGAGCGCAGCTTCCTCCTCTGTAAAATGGGGATCAAACCGTTCCCACCCGATAGGGAGAGGGCGCACACCTGCATTCCAGGCTGGATGGATCCCTGGGCAGCGGGGTCCTCCCCGCCCAGGGCGCAAGCCCTGCCCTCCCCTTCTGTCTGTCCCTGTCCGGGCTGTAGGACAGCAGGACAGATGGCTCAGGGAGGAGGCGAGATGGGGGAGGGGGCCCTACAGCCACAGGTGGGTGGGGGTGGGGGCCCACCTGACATCAGTGTCGCCCCCAGGCGTCCTGTTCAGCATCGAGGTCATGTCTTCCCACTTCTCTGTCCGGGATTACTGGAGGGGCTTCTTTGCGGCCACCTGCGGGGCCTTCATATTCCGGCTCCTGGCAGTCTTCAACAGCGAGCAGGGTGAGCCCCCTGGGCTGCCTGACCCTGGCCCTGCCTGGGGGCCGGGGCGAGGGAGACCTCCCTTCTCCTCTGTGTACATCTCTTGCTCTTCCCTTCCCTCTCTCTCCCTCTTTTCCCTCCTCCGTGTTCCCACCTCCTTCAGGGAGGATGGAAGGGGCTGACCTGTGTTGAGCCCCTGACCTGTGTTGAGGGGCAAGGGGCCCTGAGGGTAGAAGGGATGAGGCTGGGCAGGGAGGCAAGAGCCTGGTTGTGGGGGCCTGGAATGCCAGGACACAGATTCCGAGTCAGGACCTGGCACCCCCTCCACCCTGGGCTGTTAGTCTGGGACTTGAGTTTGGGTCGGGTGGGAGCGCCATCTTGGCTCCCCACTGCCCTCCTTCCCCAGAGACCATCACCTCCCTCTACAAGACCAGTTTCCGGGTGGACGTTCCCTTCGACCTGCCTGAGATCTTCTTTTTTGTGGCGCTGGGGTGAGTGGGTGCCTTGGGCCCCTGAGAGTCCAAAAGGCATTCCCCCCAAGGCCTGGACTGCGGCCCCTGGTACTGGGGTCAGGCTCTGGTCTTACCTCCCTTCACCCCGCAGTGGCATCTGCGGCGTCCTGAGCTGTGCTTACCTCTTCTGTCAGCGAACCTTCCTCAGCTTCATCAAGACCAATCGGTACAGCTCCAAACTGCTGGCTACTAGGTAGGCTCTGGGCTAGGGGCTGGGGACATCTCAGTGAGTCCCTTGTGGACTCCAGACCTTATGTAGAAAGCCCCACCCCCATCCTCCCACTGAGCCCCTAAATCCCTCCCTAGCCCGTGGAGCATCTAACAACCCTCTCCAAGTCCCCACAGTCACTGTCCCCCCTTCCTTACTGGGCTACGAACCCCACATTGAACCCCCATCCCTCCTTCATTCTACAATCTCTCAGCGAAACCCCACCCCCTCACTGAGCCTCAAACCCTGTGCCCCTTCAAACCTTGTGTGGCCCCTGGCGTTGGCCTTGGCATTGGCCAGCCCTCCTGCCCCGGAGATGCACATGGCCCGCCCCGGCCCGGCCCACTGTCTCCTCCCTCCTAGCCTGCCTCTGCCCCAATTCTCCTCTCAATCTCCTGCGTGATTCCTCTGCCCTCAGTCATACCCAGTTGAGGGGCTCACCCCACGGGTTCTACCCGCTGGAGGGGGCCATGTTCCCTGCTCCCGCCCTTCCTCCTCACCAGTCCTTGCCTCGGTATCAGCCCCCAGGTGGGGAGCTCTGCTGCTGCCTGGACCAGGTCCTACTTCCCTCTCCTCGGGATGTAGGAAAGGGAGGGCCAGCCCTAGAGCTCACCCACCCCCCACAGCAAGCCTGTGTACTCCGCTCTGGCCACCTTGCTTCTCGCCTCCATCACCTACCCGCCTGGTGTGGGCCACTTCCTAGCTTCTCGGGTAAGGGGTCCTGAGCGGGGGTGGCAGGAGTGGGAACCCCCATTTGTTTTCCCCTTTGCATGTGTCTCACGTAATACCCTCAGCACCCCACCAGGGTGACACCTGGGCATCATTCTGCAGATAAGGAGACCATGGCTCTGGGAGGTCAGAGCCCTGCCCAAGGCCCCCCGCTGGGAAGTGGCAGGGGAGGATTCCAGGCGGGGTCAGGCGGTGCGGGGGAGGCTGGGGTCTGCCGCTGGGGGGGGCCCCTCATGTCCAGTTCCCACCTGCCCCGCCACAGCTGTCCATGAAGCAGCATCTGGACTCGCTGTTCGACAACCACTCCTGGGCGCTGATGACCCAGAACTCCAGCCCACCCTGGCCCGAGGAGCTCGACCCCCAGCACCTTTGGTGGGAATGGTACCACCCGCGGTTCACCATCTTTGGGACCCTTGCCTTCTTCCTGGTTATGAAGGTGGGCCCCCTGACCCCCAGGTGTGCACAGAGCCAGGACCAGCTCTGGTGGGGAGGGGCGGGGGTGCCTCCCTGCACCTGGTGGCATGGAGCCCAGGCCTCTCACCCACACTTCCTTCTGTGCCCCCTGCCCACTGCATGGTCCTGGATAAGTGGCTTCAGGTCTCTGGACCTCAGTCTTCCCATCTTTAAAATGGGGTGGTTACTGGGAAGGCAGAGAAGGAAGAAAGGAATGTACCTGGCACAGTGCCAGGCATACAGTGGGCATTTCTCAGGGTGAGGACCCTCCCCTAATGCCAGACTCTGGCAGTGGGTGCATGGCTGGCACCCTCTTTCTATCTAGGACACTCCCCTGTCCCCTGTCCTGTCTTCTCTTGTCCACACCTTGCCCAGCGGCCTCTAACCTCTGCCCTGGGCTCCCCCTTCCTGCAGTTCTGGATGCTGATTCTGGCCACCACCATCCCCATGCCTGCCGGGTACTTCATGCCCATCTTTATCCTTGGTGAGTCTGGGGTCCTGAGGTTCTGAGAGTTTTGGGGTTCTTGGGGCAGGGCCATGCATCCTGGTTCACCCTCTTCCCGGGTGGTACTAAGGATGGTCCTCAGGGATGGAGGGCTGTGGGGGCCGGGTCAGCCTGGCTCCCCCTCACCCTAAGTCTGTGGCCAGGAGCTGCCATCGGGCGCCTCTTGGGAGAGGCTCTTGCCGTCGCCTTCCCTGAGGGCATTGTGACTGGAGGGGTTACCAATCCCATCATGCCCGGGGGGTATGCTCTGGCAGGTGAGTGGGTCACGGCCCTGCTGGGTGGGCAATGTCGTGGGGCTGGGCTGGACCTGGAGAATTGGCTGGTGGTTCCCCAGGGCACGGAGCAGTCACTGAGTCCTCCAGTGAACCCCCTACCCCTCATGGGGGTCTGTCCCTCCTGAGCCCCACCATTCCCCGGGGCCCATCACTTCCTCGTGGCTCCTGTCCCCAGCCCTGCGGCCTCCCTTATCCCTCTCCTCTCACCAAGCCCAGGCCTTGGGGCACTTCCCACAGTGCCCAGGCTGTGGCCTCTTACAATTCCCACCCTAGCCCCCGGCAGCAGCCAGGCTAGTTATTCCCTCACATCAGGCTGGCCCCTGCCTCCTGGCCTGAGCCGACCTGTGTGGCTCTGCCCCGGCAGGGGCTGCAGCCTTCTCAGGGGCTGTGACCCACACCATCTCCACGGCGCTGCTGGCCTTTGAGCTGACCGGCCAGATAGTGCATGCACTGCCCGTGCTGATGGCGGTGCTGGCAGCCAACGCCATTGCACAGAGCTGCCAGCCCTCCTTCTATGATGGCACCATCATTGTCAAGAAGCTGCCATACCTGCCACGGATTCTGGGCCGCAACATCGGGTGAGTGGTGCCCACCTCAGGCTGACTGAAGGGGGTCACAGTGTTTGGGCTTGGCTGGGGGTGGAGGGCACCTCCAAAAAGAAACACCACCGCAGCTGACCTCCGACATGGGGGCTGGGAGGGGCTGACACACAGCTGTGCTCTCATCTCCACTCTCCCCAGTGCCCTGGGTGACCTTGGGCAAGTCCTTGGCCTTGAGGCCTCAGTGTCTGTCTAGGGGTCAGCTGGGCTTCACAGCAGGAGGATGAGTATTGCCCCGTGTACAGATTGAGGAAACCAGAGCTCAGAGAGGTGCCGTGTCTTGCTCCAGGTGACACAGAGAGTCAGCACCAGATCCGAGAGGTCTCCTCCCCTCTCCCCACTCCTGCTGTCCTTGCTGGGACTTTGGGAGCAGGAGGTGGAACGAGAATGGAAATGGGCTTTGAAGTCCTCACTCAACCAGATAGGACCAGAGCAGCTTCTGGCGCCAGAAAAGCAGACCAAAGAGGCTCTGAGAGTCCGAATCGGAGGCCCCGCTCCAAACACAAACAAGCTGCTGCCTTGCTCTGAACCTGTTTCCCCATCGGGAAAATGGGGCTGTTTATACCAGTGATTTTCAACCTTCCAAGTTTTTCCTTGGGGGTGACATACACTTTTATAATCAAATGGAATTATCCAGGGAAGGCTGCTGGGTCTGTACTCCAATCTCATTATTCATTAATGGATGGCCAGTCACTGACCACCTGGCAGATACTGGTTTTCCGTCATCTCACACTCAGCTCTGTCCAAGGTGGGACAAGACCCAAGTGAAGCTGGTCTGGGGGACATGGGGGACCAGGGGGTTGGGGATTTGGAACTGGGCCATCAGTAATGTGGTCCCCAGGTTTCCTCCCACTGTGGGTTCTAGGAGTCCCTCATTCCAGGAACCTCTCCAGCCCTGCTCACACTCCAGAGCCGTGGGTCCCTGGTTCAAGCAAAGCTCCCCTCAGATCCCCTTGCTGGCCTGGGTCTGACATCCCCGACTCCGGGACCTGATGGGAGCCCCTCTGCCTGCAGCTCCCACCATGTGAGGGTGGAGCACTTCATGAACCACAGCATCACCACACTGGCCAAGGACACGCCGCTGGAGGAGGTGGTCAAGGTTGTGACCTCCACAGACGTGACCGAGTATCCCCTGGTGGAGAGCACAGGTGCCCAGCTGGAAGGGAGGAGGAAGTCGGGGGTAGGGGATGCCCTCTGCCTCCTTCTTGAACCTGTCAGGCAGACAGGATCTGCATCCAGGCTCTGTGACTTAGCAACCAACCGTGTGACCTTGAGCAAGTCACTTCACCTGAGCCTCAGTTTCCTCATCAGCAAAATGGAAATCATGGCTACCCTCCCTTGGGGTGGTTGACATGTCTAAAGAGAGTCGGCTGGGTGCTTGTAAGGCAGTCCCTGGGCAGCTGCTGGGGTAGGAGCATGGGGACACCACCAAGGTCTTCCGGAAGCTTGGCCCTCAGGCCTGTTTCTTCATAATGCACCTCCCTCCCTCTCCCTCTCTACTTGCCAGAGTCCCAGATCCTGGTAGGCATCGTGCAGAGGGCCCAGCTGGTGCAGGCCCTCCAGGCTGAGCCTCCTTCCAGGGCTCCAGGACACCAGGTGGTTACTCCTGAGGGGCGTGGGGATGGGGCGGGGGTGGGTCAGCAGGGATGGGAGGGGAGGGACCCGCTGATCTCCTGAGGGAGAGGTGGTCTGAGAGAGGCATCCTGGGGAGGCCGGCCCTGCACCCATAACTCTTCCCCACTCCCAGCAGTGTCTCCAGGACATCTTGGCCAGGGGCTGCCCCACGGAACCAGTGACCCTGACGCTATTCTCAGAGACCACCTTGCACCAGGTAACAAGTATTGGGGAGTGTGACACACGCAGCCCCCGGGGCAGGGCAAGAGCTGATGAGGAGCTCAGGCTCCAGCCTCCCGTCCCAACCCCGCCCCGCCCATCTTATCCTGCTTCCTGCTCCTCCTGGGCCTGGACAGGGCAGCTCCTGCCGTCGCCCCTCACTGCCAGGGTTGCGGGGATGATGCAGAGAGATGAGGGAATTGGGGGGCTTGGCAAATGGAAGTCTCTGGGTGGAGAAAGACAGTGGAGTTGCACCAAGGCACACGTGCGTTTCAATTTCAGGTCCACCCCATTTTGCCTGTGTGATCTTGGACAAATTATGTAGCCAGTTGAGACAGAGCCTGACACAAGGATGGGGCAAGGGCGGAGGCTGACAGGGGACCTGGAGATGGCCCCGCCCCCTCTGTGCTGCTGGAGGGTGCTGGATGTTGGGTCCTGTCCACTTGCAGCCCCGCCCAGACCCTTGAGTGGCCTCTGGCATCCCCCAGTGGCCCACACTGGACATTGCAGGCCTGGGTCTGTTGCCTCCCACACATATCAGGCCCCGCCCCTCTTCCTGGCTCAGAGGCGTGGCAGAGTGGGCCAGAGGGTGGGCTGGGCGCCATCTACCCTCCAGTGTTTCCTAACAATCCCCCATCCAGGCACAAAACCTCTTTAAGCTGTTGAACCTTCAGTCCCTCTTCGTGACATCGCGGGGCAGAGCTGTGGGCTGCGTGTCCTGGGTGGAGGTACCAGGGTCCCGGGGGCAGAGCAAAGCAGGGGACCCATGCCTGAGAAGGCTGGGGAGATGGGGAGGTGGGGGGACACCAGCATGCTCCCATCCAAACCTGGGGGGATTCAGAGGATACTTATGAGTCCCTCTTTCTGGCCCAGATTGGCCACTGGGCCTGGCTCCCCTACCTTGTTTTCTGGCCAGTGGCCAGCCTGCCCTTCTCGGCCTCAGTGATCCCATCTGTGCAATGGGGTGGCACAGGCTCTACTATTCAGCCTGGAAATGAACCTTAGGGGACTAAAAATGCTGGAGCCCCCCTCACAACCTCCTCTACATCCCCCCCCACCTCCACCCCCTTTCTCTGTTCTAGATGAAGAAAGCAATTTCCAACCTGACAAATCCGCCAGCTCCAAAGTGAGCCGGCCCAGCAAGATGAAACAGGGCACCCCAGCTGACCTGGTACTGAGGTTGGGCTGAGACCCTGCTTCTCTTCCCCCATCACCACCTGCCCCTCCCTCCAGCCCAGCTCCATTCTTTGGCATAACAGGCAACTCTAACCTAGCCCAGAAGAGGATGGCTCATCCTGGGTGGGACGATGGCTCCTGCCTTGAAAGACAAAAATCCCACCTTGGGCAGAGCTGAGTGTGAGAAGATGGAAAACCAGTATCTGCCAGGTGCTCAGTGACTGGCCATCACATTAATGAATGACGAGATTGGAGTACACTGTCACCAAGGGCAGGCAAAGATGCCCTCTGGGGTTGTCTGGTTCCCAGTGAGAGGCTCCTGAGAAAAATAAAGCTGGTTCCCAGAGCTGCTGTCCATCCCTCATCTCAGCTGCAAGGTTGCTGGTCTGGGACTGGAGCTCCTTACCTGCGCTGGCCCAGAGTGAGTTTCCCGTGGTCACGTGGGCACTGCAGGCTCGGGCCCCTGGGCTCCTCCTCATGCTCCATTTCTTGGCAGGGAGATGATAGGGAGAGAGGTTCTCCCACCAGGTCTATGATGCTTGTCCTCATGAATAAGTGGGATACTGTGTCACTCAAACCCTAGTCTCCTGCTTGGCTGGGCCACAGCTCATAAAGCCAGGACCGAAGTGTGGCTCCTTCTGGAGTCCACAGAGCCCTGGGCATCCTCCATGAGCCTTCTATGCCTGGGTGGCCCAGGTTGACCGGCTGTGTATGTGTTGGGGTTAAGGATCCCCCCTGACTCCCTCCGGACTCTGTCCAGGGGCCCAAGGTCACATCTTCCCCAGCAGAGACCAGGCCAAGGTCATCCAGGGTGAATCCACCACTTTAATGTCCTCAAAGAAACTTGAGTGAGATGGGAGGGAGCTGCAAGGAGGGGGAGTGGGCTCCCAGGGGTGAGGAGCAGGGGACACGGAGGAAGCAGGTTCAGAGAGGGAGGGACAGACAGACAGACACTCCAGAGAGACAGATGTCCTGGGTGAAGAGAGCCGGGGAGCAGGTGCTTAGCTACCAGAAGTGGTCACCCCACCTTTGCTGGGGGGCAGATACACAGAGAGAGTGGGGAGGGACTGAACCCCAGGTAAAGGCAGGGTTCCCAGACCCCACTGTAAGTGGGTCTCAATTCTCTCCATGGCTGTCCTCCTGGGGGCCTGGCTGTTGCTCCTCTGGGCCAGGCTGCCCTGGTGTCTCTGAGAGTCCTTGAGTTCCCTGAGGGCAGACACCCTGCAGGGGAAGGTGCCCACCTGAGTGAAGTAATGAAGGGGGAGGGGGTTATGGCTCCCACTGCTGGGGCAGGTCCACCGAGGCACAGAGAGGCCACCATGAGCACTGGCCCCATCCCTGCCGCACCTACCCTGTGCCTACCCGAAGGGTCAAGAGATGCCCTCCCCTGGACCCCGGGGTCCAGATATGCCTGGGCTGCCCACCAGGCGAGGTCATGGTGAGAGCAGGTGCTGGACCAGCACAGCCCCCACCTCAGTTATAGAACACCTCGTCCTCCTCCCAGAGGGAGCCGCTGTCCATGGAGGGGAGGGAGCCCAGGGGGTGGGTTCCACCCTCGGGTCCTTGGGCCCCGGGCAGCCGCCGCCGATGCTGCAGCTCTGGGCTGGGGGGCTGCGGGATGCCAGCGGTGCTGGGGGGCTCCTCAGGTGAGGGACAGCTGTCAGGGGAGGGGCTGAGCGAGGAGAAGGCCTGAAGGCTGTCATCCTGTGAGGGGCCGCTGGGAAGGCTGTCCTGAAGGTAGATGCTCTCCAGATCTGGAAAAGCAAGGGGGTGATGGGGGAATGGCGTCCCGGATCCAGCTCCTCGCCCTCCCTCTCTGGGGGTGTGAGAAAGGGCAAGGGGCAGAAGACCTGCCTCCAAATCCAGCTGTGTGACTGCCGAGCCTTGTGACCTTGGTCAAGTCACCAAAACTCTCTGAGTCCCAGGTTCCTCCTCCAGGCAGTAAACGGAGGAGTTAAGAGTGGGCTTGGAGCCAGCCTGTGCTCTCTGAGAACTGGGACAGCCAGTGCTGCTCTGGGCCTCTGTCCCCTCCCCGTCCCTCTTGGGGCAGGAGGACTAAGTGCAGGCTTCCCCCAGGGCCAAGGCTCCTTGAAGCCCTCAGTAGTAACCTGGGCTTCTAGAAAGGTGGTTGCTCGTGCCTGGTGCTAAGTTTCAGATCCGGCTCTGACGCTTCTAGCTGTCATTTGGAGTAAGTTTCTGAACGTCTGAGTGCCTCTGTTTCCTTATTTGTAAAATGGGGACAACAGGACCCACTCCCTAGGGCTGCTGTGAGGATTCTGTGAGGTGCTCGTGCACAGCCCTCGGTGTGGTAAGCGCTCGATTCCCGCCCCCACTGTGCTCACTCTCTCCTTCCTGCTCCTGCCACTGCCGGGCAATGGGCAAGGCAAGGATCACTGCCCCATTTTGCAGATGAAGAAACTCGGGCTGAGAAAAGGAAGGGGCTTGGCCGAGGTCACACTGCATTTGGTGATGGACAGGCATCTAGCGTCACCTCCACTCTGCCCCCTCCCCCCGGACCCCCTGGGCTGTACCTTGGAGCTGGACGATGCCCTGGGGGCTGTTCTCGGGGTGCAGCTCCTCTTCGTCCAGCGAGGACCAAGCGCTCAGTGTGGCCTCTGTGATGGCAAACTGCTCGGCGACCCCTGGGGGAACAGCGAGATCCAGCTCAGGGGGGCATGGGTGGGGACGGCCTCAGTGCCTGATGGAGCTGCTCCAGGACAGGCGGGAGGGTGGCCACCTCTCTGGGCTGCCAATCCACACCCCAGTGGTCAAGAGTGCTCACTTAATACCCACCCACCCTATGCCATTATTTTTTCCTGCCCAGACAATGCCCATGCAGTGACCTGGGCCCCCCAAGGACCCAGCTTCACCCCCACAGAGCCCTGGCCAGTCCCCCTCCTCGCTGACCTGCAGCAAAGCGGGCCTCACTGAGCTTATCCGGAGGCAGCAGTAATGCTCGTCCTCAGCTGGGGACAGCTCCCAGCCTGCCCGCTGGGCACTCCAGCCCTTCCACTCGATGAGGTGGGCCACGCGGCCTCGGGCCATGGCCGTGGGCTTTGTGATGTGGTCCTTGATGCTCTGCACCACCCCTGGGGCATGGAGGGCATCTGGGTGACTGTCCTGACACAAGGCTCAGCGCAGGGCCTGGCCCCCATGCCTCAGGCCCACCCAGTGGCCTGTACCCCACATTCCCTCAGTGCACCATGATCTCCATCAGTGCCCCACACCTCCCCAGGGGCCTGTACCCATCTAACTCCTCACACCTTCCAAAGCCTCCTGCTCACTCCTGCCCTGAGCCCTCTGAGCTCTGTGGCCCCCTCCCCTCAATGCCCCCACCCACTGGCATCCGCATTTCCTCCCAGCATCCTACTCCCAGTCCATGTTCCCGCCCACTGGGTGCTTCTTCCCCAGATCGGCCACACCCCTCACTCCCTTTCTGACCAAGTTCAGACCCTTCCATCCAAGGAGAGCCACCCAAGGACCACTCATGAGCCCCCAGCTTTCTCCATGATCCATTAAACACATTCTGAGAGAGCATCTCTGTGGCTGTGCCAGCTCTGCTGGAGGTGAGATCTGGGTGGGTGGAGCAGGCAGGGAAGGCTTCTGGAAGAGGGGACCTGGGATTGGAATTTGAAGGTGGGTTGGGTTTGGACAGATAGAGGCAAGACTGGAGGTTTCATTTCAAAGATGAGAAGAGGATGAAGGCATGGAAGAATCTGGCATGAGTCCAGGATTAGCTGGGATGAGACATGGGGTCCACACTAGGACTGGGAGACAGGAGAAGCTGGGAGCAGATCAGGGCCAGAGCATGGTTGGAGAGAACCAGGTGGGGGGCTCAGATGTTCTCCTTGCGCAGTGGGGAGCCCCAGCAGGGTAATGAGCAAGAGAGTGACCAATTGGCACAGCTGTTTAGGAAGAGTGCCCCAATTGGAAGATTTGGGGTTACTGCAGGGACCCAGCAACAGACAAGGCAAGGGCTGGGCAGACAGAGAGGAGAGGTCGGGGGCTTTGGGAGGAGAGGAGTTGGATGTGGAAGATGGAGGGGCTGTCAGCAATGGTTCAGGATTGTCATTAGCCAAGTCTGCCAACACAGATCTGGGAGTCACCCTAGTCTCCGAAGCCATGATGTGAGGAATGGCGATATTTAAGAAAGACAAGTCTGGGTGTGGTAACTCACGCCTGTAATCCCAGCACTTTGGGAAGCCAAGGCAGGAAGATCACTTGAGGTCAGGAGTTTGAGACCAGCCTGGCCAACGTGGTGAAATCCTGTCATCCTGTCTCTATTAAACACACACACACACACACACACACACACACACACACACACACACACACACACACACACACACACACACTAGCTGGGCATGGTGGCCTGTAATCCCAGCTGCTTAGGAGGCTGAGGCAGGAGAATCGCTTGATCCCGGGAGGCGAAGGTTGCAGTGAGCCAAGATCGCACCACTGTACTCCAGCCTGGGTGACAGAATGAGAAGAAAGACGAGGTATCCACAAAGGAAATTAGAGAGCTGGGAAAATGGGAAAGATGGGTGTGTGGAAGAAAGGGGAGAATCTCGCTCCCAACCACTAAAGCGGGGGGTGTTGGGTATCTAAGAAGGTGTTTTGGAGGAGGTGGGTGTTCAAGTGGCCCTTGAAAGGTAGGTGCAGCGGAGGAAGGTGCTGTGGGTGGAAGAAAGGCACAGGCCAATGTGGGGAGGGAGGGCCCCAGGGGTCCCGGGGGAGCTGGGTGGGCTGTAGTGAAGTGGAGCCTGCAGGGCATGGAGCAGAGCTGGGTATGCACAGACAGGTGAAGGCCGTCCTGGGGCCACCTGATGCCGTGGGGGGCCACCTGATGCTGTGGTGATCACCAGCACCTCCTGTACTGTGCTACGAGCCCATCCCCATCTGCTTCAGGTGCTGCTACTGTGAGCTCACACCTATATCCATATCTGCAGAACCGCCCTGAGCCAATGGGAGCCGCCTCACCCAGAGATGCCCAGGAGGCTGCAAATTCCTCCCCCGGGGCAGCCAGTGAGTCAGCAATGGGGGAGTATAAAGTCCAGCCCCTGGCCGGGCACTGTGGCTCAGGCCTATAATCCCAGCCCTTTGGGAGCCTGAAGCAGGCAGATCACCTGAGGTCAGGAGTTCAAGACCAGTCTGGTCAACATGGTAAAACCCTGTCTCTACTAAGAATACAAAAATTAGCTGGGTGTAGTGGCACACACCTGTAATCCCAGCTACTTGGGCAGCTGAGGCAGGAGAATTGCTTGATCCCGGGAGGCGGAGGTTGCGATGAGCCGAGATCGTGCCACTGCACTCCAGCCTGGGTGACAGAGTGACACCATCTCTCAGAAATAAACAAATAAAATAAAATAAAATTTAAAAAGTCCAGCCTGTCACCATAGTGTGCCATAATTCTGGGGTACTATTCATGCTCCCAAGCTGTGGTGGGACCAGCTTGGTGAAGCTAGACTCCTGCAGAGCCCCTTCCGAAGGCCCCTCTGCCTCCCCCGCTGCCTGCTGGCTTCTCTTGAGGGCCATTCCCCAGGGAATCACCTGCACAGTCATGCCCATGTCAGGCTCTGCTTCCAGGGAACCTGAACTAAGGTGATGGGACTGGCAGAGAGGCAGGGAGACCATGCCAGACAGACATCTGAAAAACTCTGCCCCACCCCCTCAGAGCTTCTTGAGAACCCAGCAGTTTAACCTGTGGAAGCAGAACCCTGAGCCACTGGTCCCCCCGTGACCCGCATAACCCAGCATGGACTCTGGCATTTAGAACATGGAGAATCCAACAGGGCTGCCATCCTCCCACCTGCAACTCAGCCATGCCCTTCCCACAGCCAGGGTCTAGGGTGGGACCGTGCATTCTCCACCGGCAGGAGAGTTGTGGCCAGAACCTACCCACAAGGAACGAGGTGGCCAGGGCTGCCACGTTGTAGTTGCCGGGGCAGGACCTGGAGTCGGACAGGTGGCCGTTGGTGGTCTGGAAGCACCTCTGGAGGAAGTGGCAGGAGGATTGAGCAGGGTGGGCCAGGCTTCCGGCCGACATCCCTCCAGCACCACCACCCATCCCCGTCTCCCAGCTCACCAAGTCCTCTGGCCAGTGGGCAGGGACAGGGCAGCTAAAGCCAGGGAGATCCTACTAACTCCCACGGGACAACCCCCACCCACTGTTTCATCAGATTCTGGTCTTAGGGCTAGTGGGACTGTGTGCCTGAGCTGGGCACAGGGGAGAGAGGGGTGGTGGTGTCAGCTGGGGCCGGCTAGAATGGGGACACACAAGTGCACTGACCTGCCAAGGATCCCAACAGAAATCCATCTGTTTGTCCTAAAACAAGAGGAGAGAGAGGATCAGGCAGGGCCTGGCACGCTGTGCCGGCAGATGGCCCGAGTCCTGGGGCCCTGGGTGAGGGTGGGGGTCAGCCTTCTGGTGCTCCGTGAGGTCGGGGTCTGCCCTCTCATGGGTCATGCTCTGGTGTCCCCCGGCATGCAGAGGAAGAAGGTGGGGGCAACAGTGGTGCTGGGAGGAGAGGCAGCAGGTGCCGCTTATAGAGCAGGCTTGGGTGTGGGCTCTGACTTTGCCATTTCCCAGCTGGTGTCCCTAGACTATTCCTAACAGCTCCGAACACGTCTCTTCCTCTGCAAAATGGCGACAATGTCATTCACCTCACGAGTTGTGGTGAGGACTAAATAACATAACGGAGGCTGAGAAGAGCTGAGTGCAGTGCTTAGCAGGAGGGGTGTGCCACTGGAGAGAAGGTAATTATATCATCCAGTGGGTTCATGCCACAGACCCTGGAGCAAGGGCGGAAATTATGCACCAGAATTTGGGGCCTCTAGTGACCCTGAGTGACATCTTCCAAATCTATCTAGACTGAGAATTCTTTTTTTCTTTTTTCAATTCTTTCCACCCCAAATCACCACCCTGCCTGAGCCTTTGCTCACATCACCTCCTTCTCCAACAAAGAGCTTTTCCTGCTGCACTTAAGACCTTCTCGCCCGTCCATCCCGGACTGGCTCCCATCCCTGCCCTCCCCCGGGGGGCCTTGCTCTCTCTGCTGCGGCATGACCGTGCCATCTCTGCTCCATCAGCCCGGAAGCATCCCGCCAGCATCGCACGTACTGCCATGTCTCTTGGGCTCGGGACTTTGTCCTGCAGTGTCTCCCCTCTGTCCCCTTACCACTGGGTCGGGCCGTCAGCACCCCAGCAGCCCAAGCATCTTCTTTTTTTTTTTTTATCTTTTTGTTTTGTTCTTTTTTTGAGACAGAATCACACCCAGGCTGGAGTACAGTGGCACGATCTCAGCTCACTGCAACCTCTGCCTCCCGGGTTCAAGCGATTCTCCTGCCTCAGTCTCCCAAGTAGCTGGGATTACAGGTGTGCGCCACCTTACCCAGCTAATTTTTGTATTTATGGTAGAGACAGGGCTTCGCCAAGTTGGCCAGGCTGGTCTCGAGCTCCTGGCCTCAGGTGATCTGCTGGCCTGGGCCTCCCAAAGCGCTGGGATTACAGGCACTGTGCCTGGCTCCGCATCTCCTGTCTTTTCAGATCCTTGTCATGACCACTGTTTCCCTCCAGCGTTCCTCTGCTCCCTTCTCATTGGATGTGCAGAAGTCTGTGTCAGCCCCAGCCTCTCGGGATGACCTTAGCAGGCGTCTCTTCCTCCCCGACCTCTGTCCCGTGCTTGGTGGGTCCTCAGCCCACAGGCCAGTACACCTAGGCTGGCACCCCAAGGCACCCGGCATGGAGTGGCCAAGTGAAGGGGAAGGGACCTGGTCACTGAGGAAACACTCAGATCCCCTCCACCTGGAGCTGGGCCCAGCCAGAGACTGCCTAGAACCTTTGGGGTTTCTGGAGCCACCCTCAGACTCTGGGAGCCTGGTGTTCCTAAGGAACCCCCAGCACTCCTCACTCTTCAAACTCCCTTCCCCTCTCACTGAAGACAGTGGGACCAGGTAAGGCATGGGAAGGGGCTGTGGGGGTGAGCTGGTAAGGCCTCTGTCTTGGGAAGGGGTGGGAGATGGGGGGTCTGCTAGCTCCCCAGCTGTCCCCACAGTTCCTCTGGGAAGCCAGGAATAACCAGAGCCTCCCTCCCCTCCTAGGCACCTGGCAGTGGGGGTGTAACCATTGGAATAAAAGCAGGGCAGGGGACCCTGCTTCATGTCACCTGCCAGGATGCAAAGTAGTGTGGGGACTCAGTGACCTCTGAATGTGGGTTCTCTGTACCGCCCCGCTCCCACCCATACCTGCCCTGTCTCTTTCAGCGTGCCCTGTCCCCCATCCCGTCCTCAGCTGCTCTGAGGCGAGGGGGCTGTGCAGGTCCTGGGCACCCGACCCCCACTGTCATGAGACAGAGACCCAGGTCTCAGGCTCAGCTCATTTGACAGAGGAGGAAAACAGAGGCTCCGGATGGTGATGGTGTTAGGGTCACAGAGCCGCCCTGGGTTCTCCCCTGCTGTCTCTCTACTGAGCCCCCGCTACTGCTGCCAGGCGACTAATATGGAAGGGGAGAAATTAGGGCTGATGTGGAGGCAGTGGGTTTGGGAGGGACCTGCATTGGGTCCTGCGCCCCCTGGCTGCCCTCTTCTCAGCCTCCTGGGGCACACAGGGCTGGGGGGTGAGGGTGGATGTGGACATGCAGTGCCGGCTGTGGGACAGTAGCCAGCAGCTGCCCCAGACCAGACACTGGGGATCCGGATGTTGACAGGGCAGCCAGTTCTGGTGCTGTGCAGAGTCAACAGGTCAGGGTGGCCAAGATGAAGGTGGGCTCGGGTTCATGCAGAGCGGCAACCCCCATCCCACCTCCCACAACACACACCTTCAATTTTGATTTGACTTGCCTGGCATCTAGGGGCAAAGGGTGGCCCAGGGTCCCAGATTTTAACAATCATCCAAGGGCCATCATGTTATTCAGAGAGTGGCTTTGTCTGGGTAGGACTGGAGGCAATTGCCCCCAACATCTTGCCCCAAAGTGGCATCAGACACAACTCTTCTGTTCTGTGCCCAAACCATTGCCCTGGTTCAGCCTCAGGAGCTGGAGGAGCTTTGGGCAGGGGAAGAGCTGCACAGTGTGGGGCTGGGTTCAGCCTCTGCTGTGTGACCTTGGATGAGTGACTCACCTCTCTGACCATCTACAAAATGGCGAGGCTCTCCCCATTCACAGGGTGTGGGGAGGAGGACTTGAGCTGCGGATGTGACGCTTCTGACACGTTGCAGGCACACGGCACGTGCTTGTTCCTCGCCATGTCCCCTCACACCTGTGCTGCCATCCTCTGTTGGGGTGGGACAAACTCTGTGGAATTACCCAGAAGTCCCCACCAGAGCCGCTGGCCCTTGGACGTGTGCTTTGAGAGGCATTTCCTGAGCCTGGAGGGTCTGGACACAGGATCAAGTCTGAGTTCCTGACCCCAATTCACTGCCTTGCCCCAGGTGTCGGCCTCCTCGCCAGCCCTGGACAAGATGGGTCATCAGGATGGGACCGTGTGGCACAGCCTGCGGGCTTTGGAGCCAGGCAAACCTGGGCTGGGAATCCTGGCGCTGCCTCGGCCTCCGTGATCTTAGACGGGCAGCCCCACCTCCCTGAGACACCATTTCTCTACAACGGGATCACGCTGCCTGCCTCGTGGGATTTCCGTGGGCACTCAGGGTAATTAATCTAGGGGAAGGCTGACTCTCTACCTGGCACACAGGGAGGCTGTGGTCATGCTGGCCCCACTCACCTTTGCCGGCCTGCTTTCTCCTTCTCTGCCCAGCCTCCTCCCCTCTCCCTCTGTGCTTTTCCAAACCTTCCATGTCCAGCTCTGAGACCCCTGGACCCTGAGCCTCAGCCTTGGCAGATGACCCCTCTCTGTCCTGCTGTGTGCGTGAGCTCCCCCTTCCCAGCCCCCGTCCAGCAGCACCCAGGAGCCTGAGTACAGCTGGGCACCACCCTCTGTGCAGCTATGGTGGGTGGGGAGGCTCCTGTTCCCCTCCCTGTTGGCAGCTCTGCTCTGCTCTGCTCCGGCCTGGGCAGTTCTGATCGGTTTTCAAGGACATTCTAAGTGTTCGCCATAAACCCTGGGCCCAGGCGGGAAAGGGGGGAGGATGTTGATTGTTGGAACACACACCTGTCCAGGTGCAGGGGAGCTGGAGGCTCTGTGAGAGGAGGGCCAGCTCAGCCACAGCAGGAGGACTGACAGGTGAGGGGTCGCTGCAAGATGCTGGGGCCTGCCAGGGCCAGACAGGCAGGGCGGGGGGGGGGGGGTGGTAAGGGCAGGAGCCAGCACCTCACTTTGGCCCTGGTGGGATCTTCTTCTGGGCCTGGGGTTTTGCTGCCTCTGTGGCCTGAGCTGGGGTCAGGGGTGCTCATAGGTGGACAGGGAGAGTCAGAGCCATCCATGGGACTCTGCAGTGAGAGTGTCACAGCCCTGGGCAGAGACTGCTCCCAGCAGTGGAAGCGCCAAGTGACCCAGGAGGGTGGGAGCGGCTGCCACCGAAGGGGAAGGGGCTCTGAGCAGGGCTTGGGCTCCGGCCTGTGCCCAGTCTGCTGCTGGACACAGGGGGACACCTAGGAATCCCACCCCCATCCCACACAATGACACACACAGGCACACACCCTCAGTGACGGAAACTCAGGGATGAAGGCACACACAGACCTAGTGTGATAACTTCACATACACACACACACACACACACACGCACAATCTTTCCTCTTCATGGGTGGGGAGAGCACTGGAAGGGCCTAGAGGCAGTGCGAGGACGTGCAGCAGCTCACCGCGGTCCCTCCCTCTATCCGCTTCTCCAGGGGCCTGATGGAGGAGTTTGTGGGGCTGCGTGAAGGCTCCTCAGGGAACCCTGTGACTCTGCAGGAGCTGTGGGGCCCCTGTCCCCGCATCCGCCGAGGCATCCGAGGTGAGAGCCAGGTCCTCTTCCCTTCCCCCTGGAGGACCACTCAGGACATCATTCCTGCCCAGCTCCCACCCCACCTCCCTGCCCAGGAACCACCCTCCTCCTGGCATTTGTCCAGGACATGACTGCCCAAAGTCTCCTGGGTGGCAGGGAGGGAAGGGGTCTGTCTGTCCAGCTGTCTGTGGGTCAGATGGGCCGGGCATCTGCCCTCTGCCTTTCGGGAGATACAGCCCAAGGCCTGGTCACTGTGCCCATCTTCCACCCAGGCCTCTCCCTCACCTACCTGTGCCAATGAGGGGACGTGGGGGTTAGCTGCTGGGACAGCTGGGGCCACAGCAAGGGGCTGGGGCAGCCTACACTTGGCACCTTTCCTTGGAGCCCCATGTGCTTTGTTCACTTTGAGACCTGACTGTCCCCTCAGCTACGGGGCAGAGCAAGTAGGGACCACAGAAGGAGGCTGACTGCAACCCCAGGGGCTGGTGCCCACAGCCAGTGAGGGCCAGCTCCCAGGCTGGGCTAGCAGCCAGTGGGCCAGGAGCATTGCTGGGGACCCAGAGGATACCTGGCGCCACAGGTCCTGGGACACGCAGGAGTCTGCTAGATCCTGGTGCTCTCTAAGCTATGGACTCTGCGGGGATGCAGGTGAAAGCTGTAGCTGCCAGCCCCCTCCATACTCCCTGTCCCCCAGGAACCTCCCAGTACAGGCAGGGATGCGGAGGGTCGGCAGGTCAACGGCTTTCTGGTAGGGGCAGCAGTCCTGGCACCCACTGTGTCACCACTGTCACCTCCCACAAATCCTGCCCGGCCACTTATGTGAGGCAGGGCCCCCTCGGGACTACCCCAGAGTATACCACCAAGCTCCATCCCCCTGCCCCAGCCTCTCTGCCTGAAGCCCAGCAGGCCTCCAAGGATGGGACTGTCTGTGCCTCCTGCCCCACCCTGTGCCGTGACCCCATGCCCTGCCCCAGGTGGCCTGGAGTGGCTGAAGCAGAAGCTCTTCCGCCTGGGCGAGGACTGGTACTTCCTGATGACCCTCGGGGTGCTCATGGCCCTGGTCAGCTGTGCCATGGACTTGGCTGTTGAGAGTGTGGTCCGAGGTAACCCCTCCATGGCAGGTGCTGCTCTGGGCCAAGGGATTCTGAGCTCTCTCTGGGGATGCCAGGTGGATGTCGCCAGGTGCAGCGGAGGTTGGGGGGGGTGCTCTGGGTGGGGATCTGGTCCTGGCTTTACTCCTGACTTGCTCTGTGATCCTGGGCAGGCTCCTGCCCCTCTCTGGGCCTCAGTCATCTCATTTGCACAAGGGAGAGAGGCCTGAATGTTCCCAAGAGCTCTTCCTCCTCTGAGCTCTCTGCCTCCTCTTCCAGCCACCCTGTTTCTTCTCCTTCCCTCCTCCATGCCCTGGGGCAGAGTGGGGGCACTTCCCTATAACACTAAGCTTGGTGCTTCCTCCCCATCCCACCCCATCCCTCAGCAGCCTGCCTCCACCCTGAGGCCTCCCTGGAAGAGGGGGTGTGGGCAGGAAGGGTCTAAGACACTTTCTCTGGAGACCCTCAGCTGCCAGAAGCAGCACCTACTATGGTGTTACGGTGTTTGGTGCTTCACACCTGTGTCATGTAGTTCTCAGTGGCCCTTTAGTCTTTAACGTCTTTAGTCTTCAATGAGCCTGTGAGGAAGAGCCCATCACGAGCCCACTTGGCAGATGGGGAAACTGAGGCTCAGAGAGGCTGAGTGGCTTGCCCAAGGTCACTCAGCTAGGCAGTGGTAAACCTGGGATATGGACCCAGGGTCGTACTCCTGCCTCTTCTTGGGGGTCTGCACCTCACTGTGTGGCCTGGTCCTCCCCTCTTCGTGACTCCATTTCCTGGTCAGTAAGTGGGCACCACAGCGTCTGGCCCCGAGGGCTGCAGAGGCTGTGGGTGCCTCCCTGATACCCGGCTGTCCCCAGCGCACCAGTGGCTGTACAGGGAGATTGGGGACAGCCACCTGCTCCGGTATCTCTCCTGGACTGTGTACCCTGTGGCCCTCGTCTCTTTCTCTTCAGGCTTCTCTCAGAGCATCACACCCTCCTCTGGAGGTGAGTCCACAGTCGCTACGCCAGTCCCCACTGGCCAAAACCTTCTCAGATCCCAGGGGGGAGTCGGGAAGGGGCAGCCTCATTTCACAGACAAAGGCCCAGGAAGAGTCATGTGGCTTGCCCAAAGGGACACAGCAAGAAGGCCAGATCTTGACTTTTGGGTCACTGCTGGCCCTACCTGCTTTCCAGGGGCTCCGCTGGGACTTGATGGGAGGCCTGGTGGGAGGATCTTCTGCGAAGCCTGTTCCAGTGGCCAGTGCCAGGGAGGGGCCAGTGGAGGAGGCACAGCTCCCCCAGGCCGCTCAGCCCTGCCTCCTGCTCCAGGCCAGCAGAGGGGAGCTCAAAGCTCACTCAGTGGTGGCCTGAGATTTCATCCGGGCTTCCCCTATCCTGCCACAGCCTTCTGCCAGGCCTGGCGGGAGGAACGTGAACAACTCACATTCCCTCTGTGATGCTCGGTGTCCAAATCTGCTAAATGAGTTTAAGGACCTTACCCTAGGCTGGGTGCAGTGACTCATGCCTGTAATCCCAGCACTTTAGGAGGCTGAGGCAGGAGGATCACTTGTGCCTAGAGTTTGAGACCAGCCTGGGCAACACAGGGAGACCCTGTCTCTACAACAAATAGAAAAAAATCAGCTGGGCATGATTGCATGTGCCCGTGGTCCGAGCTACTCAGGAGGCTGAGGCGGGAGGACTGCTTGACCTGGGGAATTTGATCCTGCACTGAGCAGTGTTTGCACCACTGTACTCCAGTCTGGGGGATAGAGTGAGACCCCTGTCTGAAACAAACAAACAAACAAACAAACAAACAAACAAAGGAATCCTAACCCAGCTGGGCACACTGGCTCATACCTATAATCCCAGCACTTTGGGAGGCGGAAGTGGACAGATCGTTTGAGGTCAGGAGTTCTAGAGCAGCCCGGGCAACATAGCTAGACTCCATCTCTTTAGAAAAATAAGGTGGGCGAAGTGGTCTCCACCTATAGTCCCAGCTATTCAGGAGGCTGACGCAGGAGGATAACTTGAGCCCTGGCAACTGAGGCTGCTGTAAGCTATGATCCTACCACTGTACTCCAGCCTGGCCAACAGAGCAAGATCTTGTCCCCAAAGGAAAATAATCCTAACTTCAGAGGGTTCTGCTGATCTGGCGAGATCGTAATGTGAAAACATCACACAGGTAGAGTGTTGAGATTTTTAACCTAGAGATTGTCCCCCTCCTGGCCCTGCCCACCCCCGCCAAGGTTCTGGAATCCCGGAGGTGAAGACCATGTTGGCGGGTGTGGTCTTGGAGGACTACCTGGATATCAAGAACTTTGGGGCCAAAGTGGTGGGCCTCTCCTGCACCCTGGCCTGTGGCAGCACCCTCTTCCTCGGGAAAGTGGTATGGGCAGGGGTGAGGGCATCCCAACCACCCTACCCACCCCAGCCACCCCAGTCTCACCCCCATCACCCCACGAAAGCTGCGTCAGAGGGGACTTGGGCTGGTCCCTGCCTTCCAGGAACTCAGTCTTGGGGGAAGAGGCAGGCCAGGTCCCCGGAGTGTGACAAAAGCCATCTGAGGACGGCCGTGGGGGCTTGGGAGATGGAGGAGGGGGTGTTGGGGGGAAGCCGTGCTGACTCTGGGTGAGACCGTCTCTGCTGCCCTCACCTGGGCCCTGGGCCCACCCTTCTCTCTGCAGGGCCCTTTCGTGCACCTGTCTGTGATGATGGCTGCCTACCTGGGCCGTGTGCGCACCACGACCATCGGGGAGCCTGAGGTTAGGGACTCGGGGGCTTCCTTGGAGAAATGGGAGTGGGGAGGGAGGGGGCTGACTCTGAGCCCTGGACTCGGATCCCCCAGAACAAGAGCAAGCAAAACGAAATGCTGGTGGCAGCGGCGGCAGTGGGCGTGGCCACAGTCTTTGCAGCTCCCTTCAGCGGTGAGACCCCTTCATGCCCCGCCCCCTGGGTCCCTCAAGCTCCTCCCCTCACACCCTGGGCTCCTTCGGCCCAGCTGAGAGCCTGGAGGAGGGGGTGGGGCTCATTCTAGTTCTCACTTCAGCCCCGCCTTGGGCACAGCCACCGCCCCCCACCGGGGGGAGGGGGGGCGGGTGACTTGATTGGCGGTGCTAAGAGGCTTCAGTGTAACATTATACAGACTTGGGTTTGAAATCCACGTATGACCCTGGCCCGTTGGCCTCTCTGAGCCCGGCTTCCTCCTCTACAAAATGGAGATCGCAACCGTCCCCACCCGATAGCGAGAGGGCGCACACCCGCATTCCAGGCTGGACGGGTCTCTGGGCAGCGGGCTCCTCCCCGCCCAGGGCGCATGCCCTGCCCTCCCCTCCTGTCTGTCCCTGTCCGGGCTGCAGGAGAGCAGGACAGATGGGTCAGGGAGGAGGTGACATGGGGAGGGGGTCCTACAGTCACAGGTGGGTGGGGGTGGAGGGCCCACCTGAGATCAGTGTCGCCCCCAGGCGTCCTGTTCAGCATCGAGGTCATGTCTTCCCACTTCTCTGTCTGGGATTACTGGAGGGGCTTCTTTGCGGCCACCTGCGGGGCCTTCATGTTCCGGCTCCTGGCGGTCTTCAACAGCGAGCAGGGTGAGCCCCCTGGGCTGCCTGACCCTGGCCCTGCCTGGGGGCCGGGGCGAGGGGGCCCTCCCTTCTCCCCTGTGTACACCCCTTGCTCTTCCTTTCCCTCTCTCTCCCTCTTTTTCCTCTTCCTTGTTCCCACCTCCTTCTGGGAGGATGGAGGGGGCTGACCTGTGTTGAGCAAGAAGGGCAGGGGCCCTGAGGGTAGAAGGGATGAGGCTGGGCAGGGAGGCAGGAGCCTGGTTGTGGGGGCCTGGAATGCCAGGACACAGATTCCGAGTCAGGACCTGGCACCCCCTCCACCCTGGGCTGTTAGTCTGGGACTTGAGTTTGGGTCGGGTGGGAGCGCCATCTTGGCTCCCCACTGCCCTCCTTCCCCAGAGACCATCACCTCCCTCTACAAGACCAGTTTCCGGGTGGACGTTCCCTTCGACCTGCCTGAGATCTTCTTTTTTGTGGCGCTGGGGTGAGTGGGTGCCTTGGGCCCCTGAGAGTCCAAAAGGCATTCCCCCCAAGGCCTGGACTGCGGCCCCTGGTACTGGGGTCGGGCTCTGGGCTCATGTCTCCATGCTCCCCAGGGGTCTCTGTGGCATCCTGGGCAGCGCTTACCTCTTCTGTCAGCGAATCTTCTTTGGCTTCATCAGGAACAATAGGTTCAGCTCCAAACTGCTGGCCACCAGGTAGGCTCCGGGCTAAGGGCTGGGGACCTCTCAGCGAGCTCCCCCCTCACCGTACTCCCAACCTTATGTAGAAAGCTCTACCCGCCACCTGAGCCCCTAAAGCCCATCCTAGCCCATGCCCCACATGTGGAGCCCCTAACACCACCTACAAGTCCCCACAGTCACTGCCCGACTACCTTACTGGCCTCAAACCTCCCCATTTAACCCCCATATCTCCTGGAGTCTATACCCCCTCAGTGAACCCCAACCCCCTCACTGACCTTTAACCCCCTGTTGGTCCCTCTCTCCCTTTAAACCATGTGTGCCCATGGCATTGGCCAAGCCCTCCTGCCCCAGGTGCATGAGCCCTGCCCTAGCCTGGCCCCACTCTGTCCTCCCTCCCAGCCTGCCTGTGCCCCAATTCTCCTATCAGCCTCTACCCCTAAAAATACCCAGGAGTGTGGGGCTGACCCCACAGGTTCTGTCCCCTGGAGCTGGCCCAGTCCATGTCCCCCATTCCTGCTCTTCCTCCCCAGTCCTTGCCTTGCTAGGCCCTGCTTCCCTCTCCTTGGGATGTGGGAAAGGGAGGGCCAGCCCTAGAGCCCACCCATCCCCCACAGCAAGCCTGTGTACTCCGCTCTGGCCACCTTGGTTCTCGCCTCCATCACCTACCCACCCAGCGCCGGCCGCTTCCTAGCTTCTCGGGTAAGGGGCCTTGAGTGGGGTGGCAGGAGTGGGGAAGCCCTATTTGTTGCCTCCTTTGCGTGTATCTCACTTAATCCCCCCAATACCCCATAAGGGAGATGCCTCAGCATTATTTTATAGATGATACTACAGCTTCGGGAGGTCAGAGCCCTGCCCAAGGCCCCCCGCTGGGAAGTGGCAGAGGAGGATTCCAGGCGGGGTCAGGCGGTGCGGGGGAGGCTGGGGTCTGCCGCTGGGGGCCCCTCATGTCCAGTTCCCACCTGCCCCGCCACAGCTGTCCATGAAGCAGCATCTGGACTCGCTGTTCGACAACCACTCCTGGGCGCTGATGACCCAGAACTCCAGCCCACCCTGGCCCGAGGAGCTCGACCCCCAGCACCTGTGGTGGGAATGGTACCACCCGCGGTTCACCATCTTTGGGACCCTTGCCTTCTTCCTGGTTATGAAGGTGGGCCCCCTGGTCCCCAGGTGTGCACAGAGCTGGGACCAGCTCTGGTGGTGGTGGGGGGTACCTCATCGCAGCTGGTGGCATGGAGCCCAGGCCTTCCACCCACATTTCCTGATGTGCCCCCTGCCCATTGCATGGTCCTGGACAAGTGGCTTCAGCTCTCTGGGCCTCAGTCTTCTCATCTTTAAAATGGGGTGTTTACTGGGAAGGCTAAGGAGGAAGAAAGGAATGTACCTGGCACAGTGCCAGGGCATACAGTGGGCATTTCTCAGGGTGAGGACCCTCCCCTAATGCCAGACTCTGGCAGTGGGTGCATGGCCGGCACCCTCTTTCTCTCTAGGACACTCCCCTGTCCCATGTCCTGTCCTCCCTTGTCCACGCCTTGCCCAGCAGCCTCTAACCTCTGCCCTGGGCTCCCCACTCCCACAGTTCTGGATGCTGATTCTGGCCACCACCATCCCCATGCCTGCCGGGTACTTCATGCCCATCTTTGTCTATGGTGAGTCTGGGGTCCTGAGGTTCTGAGAGTTTCGGGGTTCTTGGGGCAGGACCATGGCTCCTGGTTCACCCTCCCCAGGTTGTACTGAGGACGGTCCTCAGGGATGGAGGGCTGTGGGGGCCGGGTCAGCCTGGCTCCCCCTCACCCTAAGTCTGTGGCCAGGAGCTGCTATCGGGCGCCTCTTTGGGGAGACTCTCTCTTTTATCTTCCCTGAGGGCATCGTGGCTGGAGGGATCACCAATCCCATCATGCCAGGGGGGTATGCTCTGGCAGGTGAGTGGGTCAGGGGCCTGCTGCGTGGGCAATGTCGTGCGGCTGGGCTGGACCTGGAGAATTGGCTGGTGGTTCCCCAGGGCACGGAGCAGTCACTGAGTCCTCCAGTGAACCCCCTACCCCTCATGGGGGTCTGTCCCTCCTGAGCCCCACCATTCCCCGGGGCCCATCACTCCCTCGTGGCTCCTGTCCCCAGCCCTGCGGCCTCCCTTATCCCTCTCCTCTCACCAAGCCCAGGCACTGGGCACTTCCCACAGTGCCCAGGCTGTGGCCTCTTACAAATCACACCTTAGCCCCTGGTCGCAGCCGTGCCAGCCTTGCCCTAACATGAGGCTGGCCCCTGGCCTGAGCTGCCCTGCCTGACTCTGCCCTTGCAGGGGCTGCAGCCTTCTCAGGGGCTGTGACCCACACCATCTCCACGGCGCTGCTGGCCTTCGAGGTGACCGGCCAGATAGTGCATGCACTGCCCGTGCTGATGGCGGTGCTGGCAGCCAACGCCATTGCACAGAGCTGCCAGCCCTCCTTCTATGATGGCACCGTCATTGTCAAGAAGCTGCCATACCTGCCACGGATTCTGGGCCGCAACATCGGGTGAGTGGTGCCCACCTCAGGCTGACTGAAGGGGGTCACAGTGTTTGGGAAGGGCTGGGGTGAAGGGCACCTCGAAAAAGAAACGCCACCGTAGCTGACCTCGGACATGGGGGCTGACACACAGCTGTGCTCTGTTCTCCACTCTCCCCAGTGCCCCGGGTGACCTTGGGCAAGTCCTTGGCCTTGAGGCCTCAGTGTCTGTCTAGGGGTCAGCTGGGCTTCACAGCAGGAGGATGAGTATTGCCCCGTGTACAGATTGAGGAAACCGGGGCTCAGAGAGGTGCCGTGTCTTGCTCCAGGTGACACAGAGAGTCAGCACCAGATCCGAGAGGTCTCCTCCCCTCTCCCCACTCCTGCTGTCCTTGCTGGGACTTTGGGAGCAGGAGGTGGAACGAGAATGGAAATGGGCTTTGAGGTCTTCACTCAACCAGATAGGACCAGAGCAGCTTCTGGCACCAGAAAAGCAGACCAAAGAGGCTCTGAGAGTCCCTGGGTCTGAGGCCCCGCTGAAAACACAAGCAAGCTGCTGCCTTGCTCTGAACCCGTTTCCCTATCTGGAAAATGGGGCTGCTTACCCCAGTGGTTTCCAGACTTTCAAGTTTTTTTCCCTGGGGGAGGCATATACTTTTTTTTTTTTGAGATGGAATCTCACTCTGTTTCACAGGCTGGAGTGCAGTGGCACAATCTCAGTCACTGCAACCTCAACCTCCCAGGTTCAAGCAATTCTTCTGCCTCAGCCTCCCAAGTAGCTCAGACCAGGCATGTGCCACCATGCCCAGATTATTTTTGTAATTTTAGTGGAGACGGGGTTTCACCACGTCAGCCAGGCTAGTCTTGAATTCCTGGCATCAAGTGATCCACCTGGCTTGGCCTCCCAAAGTGCTGGGATTACAGGCGTGAGCCACCGTGCCCAGCCGCATATACTTTTTACTCAAATTAAATCCTCCAGGGAAGGCTGCTGGGTAAAACAGGCTAAAGTGGAGCTGGTCTGGGGGACACGGGGGTCCAGGGGGCTGGGAATTCGCAACTGGGTCATCGGCGATGTGGTCCCCAGGTTTCCTCTCACCGTGGGTTCTAGGAGTCCCTCATTCCAGGAACCTCTCCGGCCCTGCCCACACTCCAGAGCCGTGGGTCCCCGGTTCAAGCAAAGCTCCCCACAGATCCCCCTGCCAGCCTGGGTCTCACATCCCTGACTGTGGGGCCTGATGGGAGCCCCTCTGCCTGCAGTTCCCACCGCGTGAGGGTGGAGCACTTCATGAACCACAGCATCACCACACTGGCCAAGGACATGCCACTGGAGGAGGTGGTCAAGGTTGTGACCTCCACAGACGTGGCCAAGTATCCCCTGGTGGAGAGCACAGGTGCCCAGCCGGAAGGGAGGAGGAAGTCGGGGGTAGGGGATGCCCTCTGCCTCCTTCTTGAACCTGTCAGGCAGACAGGATCTGCATCCAGGCTCTGTGACTTAGCAACCAACCGTGTGACCTTGGGCAAGTCACATCACCTGAGCCTCAGTTTCCTCATCAGTAAAATGGAAATCATGGCCACCCTCCCTTGGGGTGGTTGACATGTCTAAAGAGAGTCGGCCGGGTGCTTGTAAGGCAGTCCCTGGGCAGCTGCTGGGGTAGGAGCATGGGGACACCACCAGGGTCTTCCGGAAGCTTCCCTTCAGGCCTCCCTTTAAGCATTCCCCAGATGAGTCCCCTCCTCCAAATCCTTGTTGCCACAAGGAAAACATCTCTTTAGAGACAAAAGCATGGTGGCTCTTGTTAAAAGGCATGGAACTCACTTCTTGCAGAAACCTTAACTAGAGCGTCATTTCCTGTGGGTACAAGTCCAGTATCTGCATTTAGAAGATAAGGCGGGGTTGGGGGGTAACCCTGCTCACTCAAGGCTGCTGTCAGCCCATGTGTCCCCCTGTGCAAGTGAGACAAGCTGCACACCTGGCAAGCACACCACAGCTGGATTTTGGTCTCCACTTGCACTTTGGGCAGGCACCTTGTGCAGTGAGCAACCTGTACAACCATATGGGTCACCCCTATGCCCACCCCAAGAGGGATAAGGCCATTTATGAGCTAAAGAACTGTGAGTATACCACTTAAGCTCTATGTACTGCATTTTCATCATCTTGAAAGTAGGGATCAAGAGAGTATAGGATTGCCAGACGTTCTCACTCCAAATGCTAGGCCCTTCTTTCCCCCACTAACTGGAAGACCGTTAGCATTATGCTGTGGAATATGCCAAATATCTCATCTGAAAATGTTTGCATTCGGATGACCCCACCAAGAGCCTTCACTTCCTGGATCAAAGAAAGAACTAGCCTCAAAGACAAAGACAAAGTCCTCTTTTACCCTCAGAGCCACAGCAAAGTGCTCCAACCAACACAGGCCCAGGCTGTGGGACCCCACTGCTCACCCAAGAAATAGCCTTCAGTGTTCATTTAAAAGGGAAGGGGGACATTTATATGTCTAGGTGTCAAGTTTTTATTCCACTCAACAGAAAGCAAAAACACCAAGCTGGGCCCTCAAAACTAAATATCCGACAATGCCATTGATGCCCCAGGGCCAGAGTGAAGTTGCCAAGGCCCCAGCACACAGTAGGACCTCAGAACACAGTGTCCTCCTGGGTTCACACCTTCACTGTGCTGCGCCAAATGTGAAGCCTCTTGGGAAATGAAGGAGAAAGCCCAGCCCTGACACACAGACTTCATCGTGCTGGCGTCCCTAGCTTGCTCCTGTCTTGAGGCCTTGCAATGTGGGGGATCTCAGTGGTGGCCAGGGTCCCTCCTGGCTCCCTGGCAGCCTCACTCAGCCATCCTCAGCTACCACACCTGAATGACCTTGGGCAAGACAATTAGCCTCTCTGTGCCTCTGAGCCAAAGTTTCCTGTCCTTTATAATGGGTGACAATAGTCACAATAGCCCCATAGGAACACCAGAACAGTTCTTGGCTAAGTAGGTGCTAAGTAAATGTGAGTCCCTGTTTCCTCCTAATGTGCCTCCCTCTGGCTGTCTCTCCACTTGCCAGAGTCCCAGATCCTGGTGGGCATAGTGCGAAGGGCCCAGCTGGTGCAGGCCCTGAAGGCTGAGCCTCCTTCCTGGGCTCCTGGACACCAGGTGGGTACTCCTGAGGGGCATGGGGATGGGGCGGGGGTGGGTCAGCAGGAATGGGAGGAGAGGGGCCCGCTGATATCCTGAGGGAGAGGTGGTCAGAGAGAGGCATCCTGGGGAGGCCAGCCCTGCACCTGTAACCCTTCCCCACCCCCAGCAGTGTCTCCAGGACATCTTGGCTGCAGGCTGCCCCACAGAACCAGTGACCCTGAAGCTGTCCCCAGAGACTTCCCTGCATGAGGTAACGGGGAGAACTGGGGAGTGTGACACATGAGGCCTCTGGGTGGGGGAAGAGCTGATGAGGAGCTCACGCTCCAGCCTCCCCTCCCAACCCCGCCCTGCCCGTCTTATGCTGCTTCCTGCTCCTCCTGGGCCAGTGTCCTCATCAGCAGACTGGGCAAAGAAGCTCCTGCCCTGTTGCCCCTCACTGCCAGGGTTGTGGGGATGATGCAGAGAGATGAGGGAAGTGGGAGAGTGGCAAATGTAAATCTCTGGGTGGAGAAAGACAGTGGAGTTGCACCAAGGCACACGTGCGCTTCAATTTCAGGTCCACCGCATTCTCCCTGTGTGATCTTGGACAAACGACTTAACCACTCAGGACAGAGCCTGGCACACGGGTTGGGGAGGGGCAGAGGCTGACAGGGGACCTGGAGATGGCCCCGCCCCCTCTGTGCTGCTGGAGGGTGCTGGATATTAGGTCCTGTTTACCTGCGGCCCCGCCCAGACCCTTGCATGGACTCTGGCATCCCCCAGTGGCCACATTGGACATTGCAGGCCTGGGTCTCTTGTCTCCCACACACATCAGGCCCCGCCCCTCTTCCTGGCTCAGAGGCGTGGTGGAGTGGGCTAGAGGGTGGGCTGGGCACCTTCTACCCTCCAGTGTTTCCTAACATCCCCCATCCAGGCACACAACCTCTTTGAGCTGTTGAACCTTCATTCCCTCTTTGTGACGTCGCGGGGCAGAGCTGTGGGCTGCGTGTCCTGGGTGGAGGTACCAGGGTCCCGGGGGCAGAGCAAAGCAGGGAACCTATGCCTGAGAAGACTGGGGAGGTGGGGAGGTGGGGTGGGGGGGACACCAGCATGCTCCCATCCAAACCTGGGGGGATTCAGAGGATACTGATGAGTCCCTCTTCTTGGCCCAGATTGGCCACTGGGCCTGGCTCCCCTACCTTGTTTTCTGGCCAGTGGCCAGCCTGCCCCTCTCGGCCTCAGTGATCCCATCTGTGCAATGGGGTGGCACAGGCTCTACTATTTACCCAGAAACCACCCTTAGGGGAACCAAAAATGCTGGAGCCCCCCTCACAACCTCCTCTACATCCCCCCGCACCTCCACCCCCTTTCTCTGTTCTAGATGAAGAAAGCAATTTCCAACCTGACAAATCCGCCAGCCCCAAAGTGAGCCGGCCCAGCAAGATGAAACAGGGCACCCCAGCTGACCTGGTACTGAGGTTGGGCTGAGACCCTGCTTCTCTTCCCCCATCACCACCTGCCCCTCCCTCCAGCCCAGCTCCATTCTTTGGCATAACAGGCAACTTTAACCTAGCCCAGAAGAGGATGGCTCATCCTGGGTGGGACGATGGCTCCTGCCTTGAAAGACAAAAATCCCACCTTGGGCAGAGCTGAGTGTGAGAAGATGGAAAACCAGTATCTGCCAGTTGCTCAGTGACTGGCCATCACATTAATGAATGATGAGATTGGAGTACACTGTCACCAAGGGCAGGCACAGATGCCTTCTGGGGTTGTCTGGTTCCCAGTGAGAGGCTCCTGAGAAAAATAAAGCTGGTTCCCAGAGCTGGTGTCCATCCCTCATCTCAGCTGCAAGGTTGCTGGTCTGGGACTGGAGCTCCTTACCTGCGCTGGCCCAGAGTGAGTTTCCCGTGGTCACGTGGGCACTGCAGGCTCGGGCCCCTGGGCTCCTCCTCATGCTCCATTTCTTGGCAGGGAGATGCCAGGGAGAGAGGGTCTCCCACCAGGTCTATGATGCTTGTCCTCATGGATAAGCAGGACCCTGTGTTGCTCAAGCCCTAGTCTCCTGCTTGGCTGGGCCACAGCTCATAAAGCCAGGACCCAAGTGTGGCTCCTTGGGGAGTCCACAGAGCCTTAGGCATCCTCCATGGGCCCTCTCTGGCTGGGTGGGAGCAGGTTGACCAGCTGTGTGAGCATTGGCAGTAGGGACCTTCCCTGACTCCCTCCGGACTCTGTCCAGGGGCCCAAGGTCACATCTTCCCCAGCAGAGACCAGGCCAAGGTCATCCAGGGTGAATCCACCACTTTAATGTCCTCAGAGAACCTTGAGTGAGATGGGAGGGAGCCGCAAGGAGGGGGAGTGGGCTCCCAGGGGTGAGGAGCAGGGGACACGGAGGAAGCAGGTTCAGAGAGGGAGGGACAGACAGACAGACACTCCAGAGAGACAGATGTCCTGGGTGAAGAGAGCCGGGGAGCAGGTGCTTAGCTACCAGAAGTGGTCACCCCACCTTTGCTGGGGGGCAGACACAAGGAGGGAGTTGGGAGGGACTGAACCCCAGGTACAGGCAGGGTTCCCAGACCCCACTGTAAGTGGGTCTCAGTTCTCTCCATGGCTGTCCTCCTGGGGGCCTGGCTGTTGCTCCTCTGGGCCAGGCTGCCCTGGTGTCTCTGAGAGTCCGTGAGTTCCCTGAGGGCAGACACCCTGCAGGGGAAGGTGCCCACCTGAGTGAAGTAATGAAGGGGGAGGGGGTTATGGCTCCCACTGCTGGGGCAGGTCCACCGAGGCACAGAGAGGCCACCATGAGCACTGGCCCCATCCCTGCCGCACCTACCCTGTGCCTACCCGAGGGGTCAAGGGATGCCCTGCCCTGGACCCCGGGGTCCAGATATGCCTGGGCTGCCCACCAGGCGAGGTCATGGTGAGAGCAGGTGCTGGACCAGCACAGCCCCCACCTCAGTTATAGAACACCTCGTCCTCCTCCCAGAGGGAGCCGCTGTCCATGGAGGGGAGGGAGCCCGGGGGGTGGGTCCCACCCTCGGGTCCTTGGGCCCCGGGCAGCCGCCGCCGATGCTGCAGCTCTGGGCTGGGGGGCTGCGGGATGCCAGCGGTGCTGGGGGGCTCCTCAGGTGAGGGACAGCTGTCAGGGGAGGGGCTGGGCGAGGAGAAGGCCTGAAGGCTGTCATCCTGTGAGGGGCCGCTGGGAAGGCTGTCCTGAAGGTAGATGCTCTCCAGATCTGGAAAAGCAAGGGGGTGATGGGGGAATGGCGTCCCAGATCCAGCTCCTCGCCCTCTCTGGGGGTGTGAGAAAGGGCAAGGGGCAGAAGACCTGCCTCCAAATCCAGCTATGTGACGGCCGAGCCTTGTGACCTTGGTCAAGTCACCAAAACTCTGAGCCCCAGCTTTCTCCTCCAGGCAGTAAACGGAGGAGTTAAGAGTGGGCTTGGAGCCAGCCTGTGCTCTCTGAGAACTGGGACAACCAGTGCTCCTCTGGGCCTCTGTCCCCTCCCCGTCCCTCTTGGGGCAGGAGGACTAAGTGCAGGCTTCCCCCAGGGCCAAGGCTCCTTGAAGCCCTCAGTAGTAACCTGGGCTTCTAGAAAGGTGGTTGCTCGTGCCTGGTGCTAAGTTTCAGATCCGGCTCTGACGCTTCTAGCTGTCATTTGGAGTAAGTTTCTGAACGTCTGAGTGCCTCTGTTTCCTTATTTGTAAAATGGGGACAACAAGACCCACTCCCTAGGGCTGCTGTGAGGATTCTGTGAGGTGCCTCGTGCACAGCCCTCGGTGTGGTAAGCGCTCGATTCCCGCCCCCACTGTGCTCACTCTCTCCTTCCTGCTCCTGGCACTGCCGGGCAATGGGCAAGGCAAGGATCACTGCCCCATTTTGCAGATGAAGAAACTTAGGCTGAGAAAAGGAAGGGGCTTGGCCGAGGTCACACTGCCTTTGGTGATGGGCAGCCATCCAGAATCAGCTCCACTCTGCCCACCCCCGCCCCCTGGACCCTCTGGGCTGTACCTTGGAGCTGGACGATGCCTTGGGGGCTGTTCTCGGGGTGCAGCTCCTCTTCGTCCAGCGAGGACCAAGCGCTCAGTGTGGCCTCTGTGATGGCAAACTGCTCGGCGACCCCTGGGGGAACAGCGAGATCCAGCTCAGGGGGGCATGGGTGGGGACGGCCTCAGTGCCTGATGGAGCTGCTCCAGGACAGGCGGGAGGGTGGCCACCTCTCTGGGCTGCCAATCCACACCCCAGTGGTCAAGAGTGCTCACTTAATACTCACCCACCCTATGCCATTATTTTTTCCTGCCCAGACAATGCCCATGCAGTGATCTGGGCCCCCAAGGACCCAGCTTCACCCCCACAGAGCCCTGGCCAGTCCCCCTCCTCGCTGACCTGCAGCAAAGCGGGCCTCACGCAGCTCATCCGGGAGGCAGCAGTAATGCTCGTCCTCAGCTGGGGACAGCTCCCAGCCTGCCGGCTGGGCACTCCAGCCCTTCCACTCGATGAGGTGGGCCACGCGGCCTCGGGCCATGGCCGTGGGCTTTGTGATGTGGTCCTTGATGCTCTGCACCACCCCTGGGGCATGGAGGGCATCTGGGTGACTGTCCTGACACAAGGCTCAGCGCAGGGCCTGGCCCCCATGCCTCAGGCCCACCCAGTGGCCTGTACCCCACATTCCCTCAGTGCACCATGATCTCCATCAGTGCCCCCACACCTCCCCAGGGGCCTGTACCCATCTAACTCCTCACGCCCTCCAAAGCCTTCTGCTCACTCCTGCCCTGAGCCCTCCGAGCTCTGTGGCCCCCTTCCCTTAATGCCCCCACCCACTGGCATCCACATTTCCTCCCAGCATCCTACTCCCAGTCCATGTTCCCGCCCACTGGATGCTTCTTCCCCAGATCGGCCACACCCCTCACTCCCTTTCTGACCAAGTTCAGACCCTTCCATCCAAGGAGAGCCACCCAAGGACCACTCATGAGCCCCCAGCTTTCTCCATGATCCATTAAACACATTCTGAGAGAGCATCTCTGTGGCCTGCCAGCTCTGCTGGAGGTGAGACCTGGGTGGGTGGAGCAGGCAGGGAAGGCTTCCTGGAAGAGGGGACCTGGGATTGGAATTTGAAGGTGGGTTGGGTTTGAACAGACAGAGGCAAGACTGGAGGTTTCATTTCAAAGATGAGAAGAGGATGAAGGCATGGTAGTGTCTGGCGTGAGTCCAGGATTAGCTGGGGTGAAACATGGGGTCCACTCTAGGACTGGGCGGCAGGAGAAGCTGGGAGCTGATCAGGGACAGAACAGGGTTGGGGAGAACCAGGTGGAGGGCTCAGATGTTCCTGTGCAATGGGGAGCCCCAGCAGGGTAATGAGCAAGAGAGTGACCAGTTAGAACAGCTGTTTAGGAAGAGCAACCCAGTTGGAGGATTAGGGGTTACCGCAGGGACCCAGCAACAGACAAGGCAAGGGCTGGGCAGACAGAGAGGAGGGGTCGGGGGCTTTGGGAGTAGAGCTGTTGTATGCGGAAGATGGAGAGGGGGCTGCCAGGAATGGTTCAGCATCACCATTAACCAAGGCTGAGAATAGATCTGGGAGTCACCCGGGTCCCCGAAGCCATAATGTGAGGAATGGCAATATTTAAGTAGGAGGAAATATCCACAAAGGTAATTAGAGAGTGGGGAAAATGGGAAAGATGGGGGTACGGAAGAAAGGGGAGACTCTCCCTCCCACCCACTAAGTTGGGGAGTGTTGGCAATTGGAGAGGGTGTTTTGTAGGAAGTAGGGGTTCAAGTGGCCCTTGAAGGGCAGGTGAGGTGGAGGAAGGCACTGGAGATGGAGGAAAGGCACAGGCCAATGTGGGGAGGGAGGGCCCCAGGGGCCTCAGGGGAGCTGGGTGGGATTTAGTGCTGGGGCCACCTGATGCTGTGGTGGCCACCGAAACCTGCTCTACAGGCCTGGGAGCCCATGCCCAGCTGCTTCAGGTGCTGCTGCTGTCAGCTCACACCCTTATCTGGAGAACCGCCCTGAGCTCCTGGGCACCTAGAGAGGCCGGGAGGCTACCTAGTCCTCCCCAGGGGCAGCCAGTGAGTCAGCAATGGGGGAATATAAAGTCCAGCCCCCTTGCCTTGGGGTGTCATCAATTCTGGGGTGCTATTTGTGCTCCCAAGCTCCCAGTGGGACCAGGTGGGCAGGGCTAGACTCCTGCAGAGCCCCTTCCGAAGGCCCCTCTGCCTCCCCCGCTGCCTGCTGGCTTCTCTTGAGGGCCATTCCCCAGGGAATCACCTGCACAGTCATGCCCATGTCAGGCTCTGCTTCCAGGGAACCTGAACTAAGGTGATGGGACTGGCAGAGAGGCAGGGAGACCATGCCAGACAGACATCTGAAAAACTCTGCCCCACCCCCTCAGAGCTTCTTGAGAACCCAGCAGTTTAACCTGTGGAAGCAGAACCCTGAGCCACTGGTCCCCCCGTGACCCGCATAACCCAGCATGGACTCTGGCATTTAGAACATGGAGAATCCAATAGGGCTGCCATCCTCCCACCTGCAACTCAGCCATGCCCTTCCCACAGCCAGGGTCTAGGGTGGGACCGTGCATTCTCCACCGGCAGGAGAGTTGCGGCCAGAACCTACCCACAAGGGACGAGGTGGCCAGGGCTGCCACGTTGTAGTTGCCGGGGCGGGATCTGGAGTCGGACAGGTAGCCGTTGGTGGTCTGGAAGCACCTCTGGAGGAAGTGGCAGGAGGAGTGAGCAGGGTGGGCCAGGCTGCCGGCCGACATCCCTCCAGCACCACCACCCATCCCCGTCTCCCAGCTCACCAGGTCCTCTGGCCAGTGGGCAGGGACAGGGCAGCTAAAGCCAGGGAGATCCTACTAACTCCCACGGGACAACCCCCACCCACTGTTTCATCAGGCCCCCCCCCCCCCCGCCCCAGGGCCAGCAGGACTGTGTGCCTGGGCTGGGCACAAAGGATGGAGGGGCCGTGGTGTCAGCTGGGGCCGGCTAGAATGGGGACACACAAGTGCACTGACCTGCCAAGGATCCCAACAGAAATCCATCTGTTTGTCCTAAAACAAGAGGAGAGAGAGGATCAGGCAGGGCCTGGCACGCTGTGCCAGCAGATGGCCCGAGTCCTGGGGCCCTGGGTGGGGGTGGGGGTCAGCCTTCTTCTGGTGCTGTGTGAGGTTGGGGTCTGCCCTCTCATGGGTCATGCTCTGGTGTCCCCCGGCATGCAGAGGAAGAAGGAGGGGGCAACAGTGGTGCTGGGAGGACAGGCCTCGGGTGCCGCTTATAGAGCAGGCTTGGGTGTGGGCTCTGACTTTGCCATTTCCCAGCTGGTGTCCCTAGACTATTCCTAACAGCTCCGAACACGTCTCTTCCTCTGCAAAATGGTGACAATTTCATTCACCTCATGAGTTGTGGTGAGGCCTAAATAACATAACGGAGGCTGAGAAGAGCTGAGTGCAGTGCTTCGCAGGAGGGGTGTGCCGCTGGGGAGAAGGTAATTATATCATCCAGTGGGTTCATGCCACAGACCCTGGAGCAAGGGCGGAAATTATGCACCAGAATTTGGGGTCCCTTGTGACCCTTAGTGACATCTTCTAAATCCATCTGGACTGAGAAACATATATAAAATTTTAATATATATAATATATAAATTATATTCATATAAATTATATATAATATATATAAGTTATATATTATATATTTATATACAAATTATATGTATAACATAACATATATAAAATTTGTGAGGCTGCTCAGGAGTAGCGGGCTGGTAGCGGCATGTGTTGTCTGCAAGGCAGAGTTAATTTGCGCAGGAAGACCTTCAGGGTGGTTGGTCTTCTAAACAAGCCTGGTCCAGTCCCTGGATGCTCAGTCCAGTCCAGCCCCTCATGCTGCTGAATACCAGGCCTTAGGGCCCCTGGTCCCACAGGGAGAAGCGGGTTTGGCAGGGAAGGAAGGAGACTGGAATGGATTCTGCTCCCTGCGGGGAGGAGACAGGCCGGGAACCGGGGCGCAGGTAGCACAGGGATGAGGAGCAGCCAGTTACCTTGCCAATGACACAGTCTGGAGCCACGGTGGGAGTGCGGCCCGAGGGCAGATCTGGGTTCAAGGGGTCCGCACCCTGGGGCATGGGGCAGTTCTTGTGGGCACTTGTGAACAGGTCTGGAAATAAGAGCAAGAGGAGGAACTCAGCAAAGCCCAGCCCTCTCTTGCTTACAAAGCATGTTCAAGGCCCCCCCGTAAGGTGAGTATGGCCTTGTTTTTATCCAACAACATCGTAGAGAAAGCAGACTCAAGTCCACAGCAGGGAAGGGGTCCAGCCAGATGCCCTCCTGCCTGTGCCCCTCAGCGGGAATTACTGGCCTCATCTTCTTTTTACTCCCTTTTCTCAGTTTCTAGCACCCACACTCCAGCATGATTTTGGCCTCGTGGAGATCTTTAATCCATTTACCCTCATATTTCCAGACTAGATCCTCCCGTCCTCTTTTGCTCCTGGCCCGGCTGACACCCTGGCATGGCCTCTGAGCTCTCTCTCACAGACGCCCTTACCTCTCACCCCGGTTTGGGTCTGACCCTCCTGCCCTGTGCCTGGATCTGAGGAGCTGAATGTTGCTGGAGAAAGTGACCGCTGCATGCGAGATTGTAGCCCCAGCCTCCCGTGGGACGCTGCCCGGATCCTTCTCTGTTTCTGCATTTCCTGCTGTCTTTGTTTCCTGCCAGGTTGACAGCTTCACCCCATCCTTCCTTCTCAGACATGAAACACACCCCCTCCCCTACCCCACACACTGCTGGGGGCTTCTGCCCCTCCCTCACTGGGTCCAGGATCCTTGGAAAGGTGTCACCTGGATCTTTCCACCCAAATCACCAGAGCCTGCCTGCACCTTTGCCCACATCATCGCCTTTCCCTCCTGCAACAAAGGAAGAGCTGTTCCTGCTGCACCCAAGACCTTCTGGCCCATCCACCCAGGGCTGGGTCCTGCCCCTGCCCTCCCCCCAGAGGCTCTGCTCTCCCTCCTGCGGTGTCACTGTGCCCTCTCCACTCTGTCCACTTTGAAGCATTCAGCCGGGATCTCATATGCTGCGATGTGTCTTGGGCTCTGGACCTTCTCCTGCATTCTCACTCCTCTGTCCCCTTTACCACTGGGTGGGGCCGTCAGCATCCTGGCAACCCAAGCATCTCCTGTCTTCTCAGAAGCTTGTGACCACTGTTTCCTTCCAGCGACTTGGCCGTTCCTCTGCTCCCTTCTCGCTGGACGTGCAGAGAGCTGTGTCCCACATCTACTTCCTCGTCCTCCACTTCTCCTCCACCCATTCCAAGCAGGCTTTCATGAGGCAGCCCTTGCCAAGCTGCCAGGAAAATCCGTGGGGCCAACTCCAATGGGGGCTGCTCCAGCCTCTTCTTGGAGCTGGAGCTGTGCAGCCTTCCTGCCCTCTTGAGCCTCGCTCTTATCCTGGCCTCTGGCCTCTCTGGCTGCTGTCCTGGGTCCCCTCTTTGGCTCCTCCCTGGCTCACCCCTGCCCGTTGGCTGGCACACTTCTGTCCTGGCCCTTCTCCACCCTCTCTCCCCAGGAGGTCTCACCTTCCTGTTTCCGCTGCCCGCTGCCCATGTGCACACCTCCAGCCCTGACTCCTCACTTGAGCTCCCAACTGAGTTTCCAGCTCTCCACATGGATGCCCAAGGGGCACCCCAAGCACACCTGGGCAAAAGAGGATTCCCAATTCCAGGTCCACCTTCCCCCCATCCCCCACTGCACCAACTACAACCCTGGGAGTTTCTCAGGGTCCTGCCTTCCCCCACTCTCCCCGGGGCCACGCAGTCAACCGGCAAATCCTGTTAGCCCTCTCTTAGGTCTATTCCAGGTCTCCCGGCTCCCTTCTCCCAGGGCTCCCCTGCTGCAGGCATCCTCCCTCCCTGGAAGACAATGGTCCCTGCGCTCACTCTCTGCCCGCCAGCGGAGGGACTTAATGCTCTAGGCCAGATTGTGTCACTGGGGTTAGGGGACCATGTGGGTGCTGCCCCCAATTCCCCTGGATTCCTTTCTCCTGTTTTTGCCCTGGCGCCCTGCATGGCTTCTAAGAGGCACCACCTGTGGCTCTTTCTACAGGGGCTGCCCTAGGTAAATTTCTGTTGGCCCCACCCAGAGTGGCCCCAAGCCAATGACTACCAGGTGCAGAACCCCAGCTCTTTTGTCTGGGATCCGAAAATTCCCCTTCACTTACCCTCCGGAGTACCCTGCAGGACCAGGCTGAGGCCAGGCCTGAGACCACCCCACTGCCTGGCTGGCCTCCTCCATCCTCCTCTCGCTCCATTCCCTACTGGCTTCCTCTGGAAGGTTCACCTCATATCAGTTGTACCCAAATCCTCATTTCAGGGGCAGCTGGCAGGGGGAAGGTAAGCATTCAGTTGGAGGTGAGATTAAGGTTTTCTTTTCTTTTTTTTTTGGAGACAGAATCTCGCTCTGTCACCCAGGCTGGAGTACAGTGGCGTGATCTCGACTCACTCTAACCTCCGCCTCCCAGATTCAAGCGATTCTCCTGCCTCAGCCTCCTGAGTAGCTGGGATTATGGGCACCTGCTCATTTTTATATTTCCAGTAGAGACAGGGTTTCACCATGTTGGCCAGGCTGGTCTCAAACACCTGACCTCAGGCGATCCGCCTGCCTCGGCCTTCCAAAGTGCTGGGATTACAGGCATGAGCCACCACGCCCAGCCTGAGATTCAAGTTTTCATCCCAACTGGATTAGACTTAGTTTGCAGAAGAGACCGTAGGTTTCTGGGATCCACCCAAAGGTAAGCAGGTGGGCTAGTCAAGGAGGCTGGAGGCAGAGACTGGAGCCAAGGAAAGATCTTATTGACCACCCCACCCATGACCCAGGCAGGCCTAAGGAGGTGAGAGCACCTGGGGCAGCACGGGATCCTGTGGACTGAGCCGTGCGCCTGCACACCATAGCACTCAGCTCATCTTGTTCTTTTTCCTGAGTCCCTGCTGTGTGACCCTGAGCTAGTCCTGCCCCTCTCTGGGCTCCAAGGCCTCCATTTCCACAAAGGCCATGTTGTCCAGGCCCTTCAAAGGCAATGTTCAAACTGGGGGTGCATATTTCAGTGGGTCATGCAGCCGTTTATTAATTAGGTCTTATTTTAATGAAATAGAATGGAATAGAATGGAAAATATCAGAGCCCACTGCAAGTCAGGTTAAGTATTACTTTATGAAGCTTCTGTTTATGCAAACACAAGTCTGTGCAGATGTGTGTGCACAACACACACAGAGTAAAAATTTTCTCTGTGTGTATTCTGGGTCATGATGCAAAATATATTATTCCTATGGGTCCAGTCAAAAAAGTTTGCAAGTTGCCAATCCTGAGGTTCTGGAAATTCTGCATGTCCTGTACAAGCCAGGGCCCGCCAAGGTGCAGACAGGTGGCTCTGGCCATAGGCTGACCCTAGGAACTTGAGAGGTGTTAGGGTATTTCTAGGACCCCTGGCCATCCCCTGAAGCTTTTTTACAACTCTCCAGCCACAGACCAGGGAGCGAGGTTGATGGGGAGGGGAGCCGGGCACAGAGGAGGCTGGTGGTGATGCCAAAGCCTGGCAGAGGCATGACTTGAACAAGGTCATTTGTTGAGACGGTGGTGGGCTTGGAGGACTCCTGGCTCCCACCCCCTCCCCAGCCCGCCTGGCTCCCCACCTCAGTTGGGGTTCAGGTGCCTCCACCAAAGCTGCCTGCTCCCCCTGAGGACTTTGGCCCCATGATGTCACAGGCTGGTTGCCATGGGGACGTCAGGTAATGAACCAGCCCAGGGTGAAATCACAGGCTGTTCTTCGCCCAGCTGGGACTGGTGGTCACGTCACCACTGGCAACTGGAAAAACACAGAGTGTCATGTGGGGTGGGGGCTGGGAGGCAGCCCGAAGGGACCGCTAGCACCTGCTCCTGTGGCTCCCTCTCCCAGAAGGACACCCCCTTTCTTTCAGTCCACACCCTAGTCTCCTGACCTCAAGGTCAGAATTCCCTTCTCAGACCTGCTCCCTCCCCCACCTCCTCTGTCCACAAGAGTGACAGGCTTCTGGCTGCCATGGCAACCTGGAGAGGGCCATCTTGATTCTTCAAGGAGAGGGTGTCAACCAGATGTCTCCTCCATCCCTCTGTCTTCAACCAGAGCTTCTCCTCTGCATCTTGAGGGTGCTTCCTGCCTTCCTATGCCAGCTCCTCTTCAATCTGCTTTAGAGTCTAACCTCCCAGACAGTTCCTCCTGATGTCTAGCCTAAACCCCTCTTGTTGCAGTTCCCATACTGGTTGGTCTTCTCTACTTGATCCTTGGGTGAGTCTGCAGCACAACCCCTCAGGCTCCTCTCGTCTGCTTCAGGGCCTTCCAACTCCTTTAAGCTGTTCTCTGGGGCTCCGTGTCCCAACCCATTAGTCACCATGGTTGCCATCTACCCCAAGAGTGCCTCCCAGGGCTCTGCACCCCAGAGGGCAGAGAGGGACCGTGTTTGACTCTGCAGCAGCCCAGGGAGGGTAAATATCCTCTCAAAACCACACAGAAACTGAGCAGCAGCCTGGGGTCAAAGCGTCCCCTCATGCTCCTCCCCGGCCAGCCTCGGGCTTCTCTGCTCAGCTTCTCAGGGCACCTGCAGCCGATGCGGCCCCTCTAGCCAACCATTGCCCGGGTGTGTACTGCCCAGCTGTGATGTGCCGGGCTCTGCCCTTGGCTCTGAAGAGAACGTAAGCGGCCAAGGCATTCCTCTTACGGTCCCTGAGCTGGGTTTAAGTCCCCGCTTCTCACTTTCCGCTGCAGGGGGTGGGCATGGGACTTAGCCCCTGTGAGCCTTGGATTCTCATCTGTGAAATAATACCAGCCCAGAAAGGGCTGCAGCAAGGAGGAAGCACCTGCCACAGCAAGCAGTCCGTAAGCAGCAGCCGCTCCACCCCTCTCCCCTCAGTGTCTCTCTCTGGACAATGGGACACATCTTGGTCAGCCACTCCTCTGGTCCTGTCCCCAGGGCTGGAGCTGGCTCTGGAGGCTCCGCAGAGGGAAGCCCTTGAGGGTGAGTCCTTGGCCGCTCTGCCTGTTGAGTCACTGCCAGGGGAGCAGGCCACAGAGCTTGGCAGAGGCCAGGCCTCGAGTGGACTGAGTGTCCCCTCCTCCCCAGGACATTTGTTTACAGGTCACCTGAGCCGTGACAATAGCTCATCTGTGGGTTGGCTCAGCTCAGAGCTATCCAAGGGGGTCCCTTTCTCTCCCCGTGCAAGGATGGAGAGAGAAAATGGGCTCCTCCCCAGGACTTCCACACACCCCAGCTCCTCCCCACTTCCTTCCCCAGGCTCCCTCCCATCCTGTGACCTGGCCTCTGGGAACATCTTGCTCCAGCCTCACCTCCCACAAGCAACCTGCCCAGATTGGCCTCTGCTGGATTAGGTACCTCACCTGTGGTCCTAATGGCCAAAGTCTGGCCTGCAGTGATTTGCCGCCACTGTTTACTGAGCAGGTGTGACAGTACTGTGTCAGGTACTGTCTGTCCTAGGCCTGTTCACCCATGATCTCTCATTTAACCCACACAACAATCCTGCAAAGTACATGTTATGCCCATTTTACAGATAGGGAAACGGAGGCTCAGAGAGGATAAATCACTTATGCAAGGTCACCTGCTAATAAGCAGCAGAGATGAGGGTCACACTTCGGCCCTTGTGAAACTCCAAAGCTTGTGCCCCAACCACTAAACAGTGCTGATCTCCAGACAGGGTCCTCGGGGCATCCTTCCAAGGGTTCATGCATACTGCCTCCCCCATTAGGCTACTCCACGGGCAAAGCTGTACCTCTCTCATCAGACTGTGAGCTCCCGAAGGGCAAGGTCCCACCTACCCTTTCCTCAGTGCCTGGTGTAGGACTGCTCAGGACTTGGAAACTATGGGTGGCTCTGGTCGGCCCCCTTAGAGCTTGTGCCTTCACCCAGACATGATCAGATGTCTGAGTTTCCAGAAGAAAATTCTCGGTCTCTAATTTCTACTCTCACCCCCGACCCCACCGGCCCCCAGTGCATTGGATACCCCCAAGGTGGGGCCAGGAGGCTGATCAGTTGGCCTGGAGGAGAGGGCTGGGGCATGAGTGAGGAGGCAGAGTGGTTATGGCACCAAGGGCATGGAGCGGGTACTGAGCCCCTGGAACTGGAGAGAAGGGGGGCAAATATTCCTCTCTGTTCCATACAGACTGCCATTGGTTGCAGAGCCCCCAACAAATAGGGACCATTCAAGTGTTCCAAGAGGTTGTTTTTCTAAGCACTGGCCATATACTTAGCACCTCTTTTTGTTTTTGAGACAGGGTCTTTGTTGCCCAGGCTAGAGTGCGGTGGAGTAATCACAGCTCACTGCAGCTTCGACCTCCTGGGTTCAAGCCATCCTCCTGCCTCAGCCTCCCAAATAGCTGGGACTACCAGCACACACCACCACAGCTAGGTAATTTTTAAAAAGTTTTTTGTAGAGATGGGGTCTCACTATGTTGCACAGGCTGGTCTTGAACTCGTGGGCTCAAGCGATCCTCCCGCCTCAGCCTCCCAGTATTTAGATTATAAGCGTGAGCCATAGCACCTCTCTCTCTATAGGGACGTAAGAAAGCAAAGGACGGGGTTTCCACACTCAGGCTCTGGGGTCACATTGACCTGGATTCAAGTCCTGCCTCTCCATGCCCTGGCCATGTGACCTGAGGGAAGACCCTCCCGTTCTCTGAGCCCCACATCCCTTGTCACAGGGTTGAATGAGAACTAACTAGGTCAGGAGAGCAAAGGCTCAGCCTAGCTCAGGATAAGCGCTCAACAAACGGTAGCTTAAAAATAGATAATGAATGCAAAATAGCTCCTGGAAACAGCATTTGTTGCCTTAATCTGGTCCCAATCACTTTCTCAATGTCCTCAGCACCTCGAGTGCCTGCCACCCGCTGCCTTTCCCATGAGGCAGGATGTGGCTTAAAACCTCTGTAGGTTTCCCCTTCCAGCCATGAAGGCCCACATTAGCTGTCTGCACAGACAGGTAATAAAAATTAAAGGCCGGGTGCAGTGGCTCACACCTGTAATCCCAGCACTTTGGGAGGCCGAGGTGGGAGGGTGGCTTGAGGCCAGGAGTTCGAGATAAGCCTGGGCAACATAGTGAGAGCCTGTCTCTATTATAATATATACAATATTAAAATTAAAAGTAAAAATGAGAGCAATAGCTAATATGTACGAGTGCTTACTATGTGTTGGGTACTGGTCTGAATGCCTTACATGAATTAAGCCATTTAGTCCGCCCAGCAACCCTATGACATCAATACTATTATAATTCCCATTTTAGAGATGGGAACACTGAGATACACACACAAGGTCAAGTCACTTGCTGAGGTCACAGAGCTAGTAAATGGTGGAGCCCTGCTTCGTATTCTGCACTCCTAGCCTCTCTACCAACTAGGCAGACGCTAACTGCTGCCGATGCTGGGATGGGGTGATTTTCCCAGGTGTGGCCTGACCTAGGTTTTGGGGTTTGGCTGGGTGGCCCCAGCTGGGTGCAAGCTCTGGGCTCAGTATGGGCATCAGCCTGAGGCCTGCAATCCTTGGCCTTGGCCAAGGGTGGACGCACTCCCTCCACCCTTCCTTCTGTAGCAGTGCCTACCTGGCCTAGGAGGCACTGAGCGCTCAGAGGCTATGATTAGCAATCGATTGCTGGTGCAGGGGCCAGGTGGGGGGCTCAGGAGCCCACAGCAGCCTGCAGCTCCAGGAGAGTAGACAGGTGCAGGCACCAGGGCCGAGGGCTGGCTGTGAGTGCAGAGACTGAGGCCCTAGGCTGTGGAGTCAGCATGCCATGGTTTAAATCTTGGCTTATACTATCCTAGCTGTGTGGCCCTGGACAAGTCACTCCACTGCCCTCTGCCTCAGTTTTCCCACTTGTAAGATAGGGACTGTGTTCATATATAACCCAAACTAGCTTTATCTGCCTAAAACTTTCAGACTAGTATGCACTCGGAGAGCATCAGTGATAAGGAGAGGGCAGGGTGGGTCAGTGATGCAGCCACCCAGAGTCTCTGGGACCCTGGCTGTCCCCTGCCCACATGGCTCCCCATATTCCTTTCACCTCAACCCAACTTTCCTGGATGCATGTTGAGACTGCCAGGGGCCCCGTCCTCTCAGGAGGGGGACAAGGCTGGACTATACAATTAGATCTGGGGGGCGCTGAGGAAGCCCAGGCTGCAGAAGGAAGGGTGGAGAGAGCGTATCTTGGCTGCTGTGGCCCCAAAGAGCCCTGGCAGAGGGGGCGGTGGAGGGAGCCCCAGGTGTGGGGTCAGAGGACCTGGGCCCCAGCCTCTCAGGGTGACCTTAGCAGGCGTCTCTTCCTCCCCGGCCTCTGTCCCATGCTCAGTGGGTTCTCAGCTCAAAGGCCAGTCCTTCTGGGCTGGGACCCCAAGGTGCCTGATATGGGGTGGCCAAGTGAAGGGGAAGGGACACTGAGGAAACACTCAGATCCCCTCCACCTGGAGCTGGCCCCAGCCAGAGACTGCCTAGAACCTTTGGGGTTTCTGGAGCCTGGTGCTCCTAAAGAACCCTCAGCACTCCTCACTCTTCAAACTTCCTTCCCCTCCCGCTAGGCTGCAGGCCTCCCGTACCAGGTGCTGTGCTGGGTTCCTTGCTGCTGGATGCCCAGCATGCACACGGTGCCTGGCACACGGCAGCTATCATGTTAATATCAGCTTAATGCATGGATAAGTAAAGGAACCCCACACAGCCTGACCCTGTACCTTCCCCTTCCCCAGCCGGGATTCCACCCCGATACCTCCCAGAGACATCCTGAGCCACTTACCTGAATGCCCACAGGAACTCCTGAGCAGAAGCCCTTCGAGTCCAGAGGATGGGGGAAGGTCATTGTGCTCCTTGCTCAATACCCCCAGGACAAGGTCCCCTCTATTCTGGGTAAGCTACTAGGGGTGATGGGTGTGGTGGTGGTCAGTGGGTTTGGCCTCAGCCTGCAGAGCCTGAACCAAGGCCAAAGCCACCCCCACTCCCAGTCACACCCCCCTGATCCCACTGTGGGGTGAACAGACCAAGGTGGGAGAAGGGCTCAGCCCAATCGCTTGTCTAAAATGTTGCCCAACAGCCTGTTGGAAAGCTGGTGGTGATGGGTGGGGGTGGAGGTAGGGGGCTCCAAAGACCAAACTGCCCATCCCCCAATCTCTGTGCAAGACTGTGTGTCCCCTCCTCACAGATAGAAGAGGCTGGGGCCTGCCCTGGGCCCCCAGGCAAGGGCAGGTCCCCTCCACCTCCTTGGGTACCACGTGGGGGAGAGTGGAGGGTGACAGGTCAGACACAGAGAGAAAGGCCCAGGGGTAACTGGGAACATCAGCTGTGCTCTGGCCCTTCTGTCCCCTGTCCAAGGATGGGGGTGGGGAGGAGGATTAGGGGGCAGGGGAACCTTCTTTATAACCTGTGCCCCACCATTAACCCTTTCCTGCCAACAGGGTTCAGGGGCTCTGCAGATGGGGGCACCCGGTAAGACGTGGGAAGGGGCTGTGGGGGTGAGCTGGTAAGACCTGTGTCTTGGGGAGGGGTGGGAAAGGGAGGGTCTGCTAGTTCTCCCGGTGCCCGCAGTTCCTCCGGGAAGCCAGGAAGAACCAGAGCTGGTTCCCAGGCACCCGGCAGGGGGTGTGTGGCTGTAGGGATGAGAGCGCGGCACGGCACGGGACCCTGCTTCGTGTCACCTGCGGGGCTGCAAACTGGGGCGGGGATGCGGTGACCTCTGCACGTGCGCTCTCTGCGCTGCCCCCGCCCCCTACCGTCCCTAGCTCTGTCCCCCTCAGGACGCCGCGTCCCCAGGGGTGCGGCGGGGCCGTGAAGGGCGGGTCGCCAGCCCCATCCCCCAGGTCTCCGAGCGGCGAGGGGACTGCGCGGGTCCCCGGCACCCGATCCCCCCGCCCCCGGCCGGGCCCCCTCACCTCGCGACACGCAGGAGCCCATCACGGGGCCGCGGGGCCGGGCCGCTGCGCCCGGGGTGCGTGGGGCCGCGGGGCGTTCATGTCTCCGCGGGCCCGGGGCTGAGCGCTGCGGAGCCAGAGGACGGGCGGGGCGGGGGGCTCGGGCGCCCTCAGCTCGGCCTCAGCTCCAGCCTGGGTCGTCCCTGCTGCCGCCGCGCCCGGCTCGCCTCGCGCCGCCGCCTCCCGCGCAGTGCCCGCCGCTGCCAGGGGAGGGCGACACCGCGGGGCGCGGCGGGCGGGGCCCGGGGGAGCGCAGCCGGGAGGCTCGGGCACACCTGTGGCCGCAGCGCGCGGGAGGGCCATCTCTGTCCCTTCGGGGCTCCCCCACCTCCTGGGGTTGCCCGGGCTGAAGGTCAGGGAAGGGGACAGAGGGGGCGGGGAGACTCCTGGCATTTGGGGCACAAAGTAAACAACATGAATTTAACCACACCAACGACGACTGGGCACGAAGGCTTGGGAGCGAGGAGGGGTGCGCGCAAGAACAACAGTTCCATTGGGCCTATTTTTAGAGGATGAAAGTGAGGCTCGCAGAAGTTAGAGGCCTTGCCTGAGAGCCCTAAGCTGTGAGTTCAGCGACTTTTGACTGTCAGCGCCTCATTCAGAGCTATTGAAATTAACATATGCAAAATAATATATGCCCAGAGGTGGGGTAGAGAGAGTGCGGGTAGATAGTGCGCTGGTGGCCTGGCGGCGGGATGAAGGGTCTCCAGCGATGGTTGAAGAGGGGGGCAAGGCTGCCTCTCAGGGCTTGTCTAGGGCAGAGTAAACTGAGGCACAGGTTTTTTTCCCCAGCCCTGGACGGCCTCTGTAGTCATTCACACTTACTCGCACGTACCTACACACACACTCTCCCATGTGTACATACCCCTCATTCACACACTGATGGTCATACACACACATATATATGCACACTTGCATTTACATACACGCACACACACTCACATACCTACACATGAATACACAGTCTCCCATGTGTACATACCCACTCACACCCACACAATGACAGTTATACACTCACATTGAAGCACGCTTGCATTTACACACACACACACACACACACATCCCAGCTCCTGAGGTGTGAAGATCCTTTAGCAAAATTTCCCATGCACACAGCACTCAATGTCAGTGTCTGAGACCCTCACTCACACATAGCATCTCGCTCTCTCCTTCATGCCCACCTGTGCATCAGGCAGGGCAGGCACTCTTGTGTCTGTTTTCCAGTTGAGGCAGCCAGGTTCACTGGTGGCAGCAGAGAAATGTTTTGAAGAATGAATAAGGAGGGGCCAGGCGCGGTGGCCCACGCCTGTAATCCCAGCACTTTGGGAGGCCAAGGCAGGCAGATCACTTGAGGTCAGGAGTTCGAGACCAGCCTGGCCAATATGGTGAAACTCCGTCTCTACCAAAAATATAAAAAATTAGCTGGGTGTGGGCTTGGCACAGTAGTTCATGCCTGTAATCACACCACTTTGGGAGGCCGAGGTGGGCGGATCACCTGAGGTCAGGAGTTTGAGACCAGCCTAGCCAACATGGTGAAACCCCGTCTCTACTAAAAATACAAAAATTAGCCAGGCATGGTGGTGGTGGGCGCCTGTAATCCCAGCTACTCAGGAGGCTGAGGCAGGAGAGTTGCTTGAACCCAGGGTACAGTGAGCCAAGACCATGCCACTGCACTCCAGCCTGGGCTACAAGAGAGAAACTCCATCTCAAAATAAATAAATAAATAAAAAGCTAGGTGTGGTGGCACAAGCCTGTAATCCCAGCTACTCGGGAGGCTGAGGCAGGAGAATTGCTTGAACCCGGGAAAGTGGAGGTTGCAGTGAGCCGAAATCGTGCCACTACACTCCAGCCTGGTCGGCAGAGTGAGACTCTGTTTCAAAAAAAAAAAAAAAAAAAAAAAAGAATGAATAAGGTTTGAGGCAGCAGCGTGGGATAGGGCTGGAGGCCTCTCAAGGGGCAGGATCTGGGCCAGGGCGCACTGCCAGAGCAGCTGAGCCAGGGAGTGGGTGCTGACTTCTTTCTCTTTCTCTAAGCTAGGTGCTCTCTGCCCAGTAAAGTCCGGGTGGAGAGCGGTTCTGTGCCTGGCCCTGGTGTCAGCAGACCTGGGTGAATGAGGGCTTAGCTCACACAAGCTGTGCGACCTTGGGTAAGTTGCTTCGCCTCTCTGAGTCTCAGATTTTTCATCTGTTAACTTAGGGTAAAAATCCCACCTCGTGGGATTGCTGTGAGGGCTGATGAAATTAATATATGCAAAATCACTGGCACGTAGTAGGTACTCAACTTAGGACTAAAAATAAATAATAGTGATAGTGAACACAAACAGGTATGATGTGTTATTACTCCACCACAGCTTCCCGACAGCCACAGGGAAGTCTGAGAACTTCCGTTCAACAGATGCATATAAAGCACCTACTGTGTGCCAGTGTGAACAAGACAAATGTGCCAATCCTTGAGTCAGCGCTGTATTCAGTCACAGTTGCTCAGAGCCCCCCTAACTGTACCCTCCAGGTCTGGCCTTGGAGAGGGTGGCTCAGAAAGGACAGCCTGCTATCACCTTGGATGCCCTGGTGCCAGGTGTGTGCCTGCCCTTGTGTGGAGAAGGAAAGGCGGATCTGCCTGTGCCAGGCTCTGGGGTCCCGTCCTGTGTGGCCTGGGCTTGTAAAGGCAGTGGTGTCCTTCTCTTCTTCCTGTCACGGAGTGACTGGATCTGGCTTGGAAGGAGGGCTCTGACTCACTATGACGCAGGATGCTCCGTCATGGCAGCTGATGCTCCCTGCTGGCAGCCTGACAGCTTTGGGGGTAGATGGGACAGGGAGAGGGACACTTGAGAAGACGACAGGGCAGCTCACAGGGGAGAGGATGCCTGGTCACCCCACTGTGCCCCATTTAGCCTAAGCCAGGGACAGGAGGGCAGGGCAAGGCAGTGGCCCCACCTAGGGTCCCTTGCTGACCCACTCAGAGATGTGGCTGGGCTGGAGATCTGGCTCTCCAGCCTCTGGTGTTCATGCTGGTCAGTTCCACATTGACTCAATCCTCTCCTTGTACACATTGGCACTCAGAGAGGGGCAGGGGCTTGCCCAAGGTCACACAGCAAATCAGTGGTAGAGCGGGGACTAGAACCCAGGTCTCCTGCCTCTCAGCCCAGCCCTGGCACCAGCCTGAGACCAGGCCACGCAGGGCCGGTGGCTCTCCTTGCACGCTCACATTCACCTTGGAATTCTGCTGAAGTAGACGATGTCCAGACAGCTCTGAGCTGTGTGGTTGTCCTCCCCGGGGCCACACTGTCCTTTCCCAGTTCACCCCATAGCCCATCTGCCCTGTGACCTTCCACTGCCCGCCCCCAGGGCCCTCTTTGCCATGCCGCTGCTGGGCTAGAGTGGAGAGGAGAGAGTGTCCAGGCTGTGCCCTTCACACCTAGCAGCCCATTCTCTTGCCATGATTTCGGGGATCCAGGCAGAACCCCCACTCCGGTGGCCTTGCTCCGAGCATGCATCAGCCCTGAGTGCCTGGCCCTGATTGGCTGGGCACTGGAGCGTGAAGAGGAGCTGCTGCAGGGTTTGATCAGAGAAAGATTAATCAAGGCCAACCATTACAGCGATGAATCAGACCAGGCCCTGCCCTGGCAGCCCTGGGGGTGGGGCGGGGACGCTGCAGGAGCCACGTGCATAAATAGCGCAGGGTCAGGGTGGACAGTGCTGCATCTCCATGCCAGCCAAGTGTGTGACAGGAGAGTCACTTCTGCCAAGGGCTATGGGGATGGCTTTCAGGCGATCGTGACCCTAGAAGCGGATTTTGAAGGTCGAGTGGGCTGTTGGTGGTAGAAGGCTCTGTGTGCACAAATGTTTGGAGGCAGGGGGCCACAGCAGACTGGCATATATGACATCCAGGGACCAGTGGGAGAGGGTGGGGCTGGACCCCTTCCCCAGGCCCCAAACATCGCAAGAAGGGCAGAGCTTGAAAAGCAGAAAGAGAACAGCATCAGAAGCCAGTCAGATCTGGGTTTGAATCCTGTGCCAAAACCAACATGCAGTAGATCCATGCTCAATAAGTATTTGCTGAATGAATGCGAGAAAGTGAGACTTGCCCAAGGTCCCATATCTAGAACGTGGGACTGGTTCAATCAGCCAGGACTGATTCAACCTTTCATTCATCCAGCAATTGCTCACTGAGCACCTGCTGTGTGACAAGCGCAGTCTGTGCCGAGATTACGACATGAATGAGACGGACAAGGGCCCCGCTCATTGGAGCTTATGGTTCTGGTGGGGGAGGCAGGTGTTAATTCAATAATGACCCAGATACATTTAGAATCACGGCCCTGGAAGCGCTCAGAAAGGAGCCCTTGAGAGTGAAGAAGAGGACTTCATCTGGTCCCAGGCATGAAAGGCACATCCAGAGAAATGACAATGACAGAGCCCACAGCTGATGGATGGGTGGGATTTAGCTAGGTAGAGAGAGGGGAGGGCCTCCAAGGCAGAGGGGCTGGGCAGAGAGGCTAGGCCATGGCCACGGTCCGGAGGTGGGAGGGAGGGACCAGGTCCTGGGAGGAGGATAGAGGTGGCAGCTCCTGCAGGGCCTCACAGTGGAATCTGGTCTTTGTCCAAAGCACATCTCTTGTTTCCTCATCTGTGAACCAAATCCCCCCTCCATTCATTCTCGGTGAGATGGAGGTGCACATGAGTTTCCAGGAGAATTCCCTGCTTTCTCTGGAGGTTTGGCCCTGCCTGGGGGGTTCCAGGGGCCAGGACTTGGGGCCTTTTGGTGGAGGCTGAGAAAGAAGGCCACAGGCTGACCTCAGAATGGGCCCACTTTCAGCTCCAGGCTCAGGACTGGGGGCTGCTGGCTGGAGTTGGGTGTCAGGTCATCTCCCTGCCTCACCCCCAGGCAACCAGCTGGACTAGGGAAAGAGAGAGAAGGGTAAACTCTCAGTCTGATGGGGGAGACAGAGCCCTCAGGGAGCTCCAAGTCTGACAGAAGAGACACGGCAACTGTGCTGGGCATGGGGACACTGAGGTGAGACCAGCCCCCTCCCTGGGAGCTTTCAGTCTGATGGGTAAAGAGGTGTTCTGGGCTGGGCACGGTGGCTCATGCCTGTAATCCCAGCACTTTAGGAGGCCGAGGCGGGTGGATCACCTGAGGTCAGGAGTTCGAGACCAGCCTGGCCAACATGGGAAAACTCAGTCTCTACTAAAGATACAAAAAAAAAAAAAAAAAAAAAAAAAAAAAGCCAGCGTGGTGACATGCACCTGTAATCCCAGCTACTCTGGGGGCTGAGACAAGAGAATCGCTTGAACCCAGGAGGCGGAGGTTGCAGTGAGCCAAGATCACGCCACTGCACTCCAGCCTGGGTGACAGAGAGGGACTCTGTCTCAAAAAAAAAAAAAAAAAAAAAAAAAAGAGGCGCCCTGAGTTCATCTCTAAAATGCCCGGCCCTGTCCTGGCCCATGGTGGCTGCTATGTGACAGGGTCCCTTCCTCAAGGTTCAGAGGGCTGGTACTCCAATTCCTAGATCTCAGGATCTCTGCAGGTAGAAGGAAGCCCCCCTGCTAGAACTGTTGCTTTTCCAGAGCTGTGAGTGTGAGGCAGCCGCTGGCCATCAGGGGGCAGCCTGAGACAGCATCATTCTCTGTTGCTTTCCTTTTCCTTCCTCCCGCCGTCTGCTGACCCAGAAAGTACCCTGCTGGTAACTCAGCCCCAGCCATGGCTCTGGGTGGTGCATGCTGCACCCTGCACAGAGGAGCCTGGCTGAGTGGGAGGGGACCAAAACCTGCCCGTGCTCTGGTCCCAAAGCCCTGAGCTCTACCGTTGTGTAGAGCTCTGTGTCTGCCCCAGGACAGGGAGGTTTTTTCCTAGCACAAAGGTGTCACTTCCTCTAAGCTGTGCACTCACAGGGTGCATCTACCCAGAGGGAAGGCCTTTTACAATTTTGCACAAAGTCTCTGTATAGCCTAGCCAGGCTCCTGAAGTCAGACAACACGTGGTCCTGACCCCCATTGTACAGATGCGGAGACTGAACCCCAGGAAAGGAACCAAGGCCAGTTAGGAGCACAGCTGGGACTGGAACACCACAGCCAGCAGGACCCGCTGCTCCAGTCTGGAGGAGTCAGGTGCTAGGTGTCACTTCTGGTGTCCTGGCCCCGCCTGGGGTTTCCCCGGGGCTAGGACTTGGGGCCTTTCTGGGGAGCCTGAGAAAGTCACAGGCCGTTCTCGGAATATGCCTACTCTCACTTCCAGGCTCCGACTGGAATTGGATGTTAGGTCAGAGCCCTCCCCAGGAAAGCAGGCTGGACTAGGTGGGATAGGCCGAGACAGAAAGTTGAGCCCCTAGTCTGATGGGGGAGACAGAGCCCTTAGGGAATTCCAAGTCTGATGCAGGAGACACAGCCATGCTGCCAGGCCCTGTCCTGAGCACTGGGAACACGGATGAATCCAGTCCCTGTGCCGGGGAAGCTCCTAGCCTGGTGAGTAAACAGGTGTTTACTCCCAGCCCCAGTGCGGCGAGAGCCCTGCTGACCAGGTCAAGCCATTAGTGGGAGCTTGAGGGGCAGTTTCAGGTGTCTGGGTTATTAACAGTGCCAATAATCGGCAGGGTGAGGTGGCTCATGCCTGTAATCCCAGCACTTTGGGAGGCTGAGGCGGGTGGATCACCTCAGGTTGGGAGTTCAAGACCAGCCTGACCAACATGGAGAAACCCCGTCTCTACTAAAAATACAAAATTAGCCGGGCACGGTGGCACATGCCTGTAGTCCCAGCTATTCGGGAGGCTGAGTCAGGAGAATCGCTTGAACTCGGGAGGCAGAGGTTGCGGTGAGCCGAGATCGCGGCATTGCACTCCAGCCTGGGCAACAAGAACGAAACTCCGTCTCAAAAAAAAAACAAACAAAATAAAACAAAACAAAACAAACAAACTAAAGAAAAACAGTACCAATAATCATCATGGCAGCTGAGGCCTTTCTGCGTGTCAGGAGCTGTCTGGAGACCCTTACCCTCCTGTCCTGTTTCACCCTCCCAGTAACTCTAGGAGGGGGAGAAGGTGGTCCAAGCCATCATCATGCTGGGGCAGCCCTTAAACTCTTGGCAGTCCCCTCTATCTTGACCTTCAGGGCGATTCTGAGCCTGGAAACCCCTGGGGCCTGAGCATCTCCCCCATTCCTGCCTCTGGACATTTGCACAAGCTGCACACCCTGTCACAATCAGTCCATACCTCACACATCCTTCGAGTCCCACAGAGGTCTTGCCTGTTTTACTCTCTGTTCACACCTTTATTCATCAAATATTGATTGAAGCAGCACCTACAATGGGTTATAGCTGACAGTGAACAGCCATGCTTGGCCTCCAAGGCAGAGGGAACAGCTCAGGCGGCAGCCATGGTCTGGAAGTGATCCAGCTGTCCTGGAGATAAGAGCAGGGGCCAGCAAACTATGGCCCATTGGCTAGATATGGCCAACAGTCTGTTTTTGTAAGCAAGGTTTTGTTTTATTTTATTTATTTATTTATTTATTTATTTATTTATTTATTTATCTGAAACAGAGTCTTATTTTGTCACCCAGCCTGGAGTGCAGAGGTACAATCTCAGCTCACTGCAACCCCTGCCTCCCTCATTCAAGCAATTCTGCCTCGGCCTCCTGAGTAACTGGACTACAGGCATGTGCCACCAATCCCGGCTAATTTTTGTATTTTTAGTAGAGATGGGGGTTTCGCCATGTTGGCCAGGCTGGTCTTGGAACTCCTTACCTCAGGTGATCCGTCCACCTCAGCATCCCAAAGTGCTGGGATTGCAGGCATGAGCCACCGCCCCCGGCCTAAACAAAGATTTATTGAAACATATCTACACCCATTTGTTTACCTATTGTCTCTGGCTGCCTCACACTCCCCCGACAGAGTGGTGTAGACAGAGATGACAGGGCCCTCAAAGCTGAAAATAGGCTGGACCTGGTGGCTCACGCCTCTAATCCCAGCACTTTGGGAGGTCAAAATGGGAGGATCACTTAAGCCCAGGAGTTCGAGACCAACCTGGGCAATATAGTGAGTACTTGTCGCTACAAAAAAAAAAAAATTTTTAATTAGCCACACATGGTGGCACGCGCCTGTAGTCCCAGCTACTCTGGAGGCGGAAGTGGGAGTATCACTAGAACCCAGAAGGTTGAGGCTGCAGTGAGCTCTGATGCTTAGAGTGTGGCAGAGGAGACAACATTAACAAGTCCCCGGAATAAATAATAAGTTGACAAATCCGAAGTGCCGGGAGGGGCACAACAGGGGGCAGGAACTGGCGCTCAGGGTCACACTGCTTAAGCATTTATTTTCACCTTTGGTCCCCCACCAGGTCAGCCAGGGCAGGGTGGGCTAGCAGACAGCATGCTGGCCCCTCTGAAAGCAAAGCTTTGGGTGGGGGCCTCCTCCTGGGTCGGTGTTTATGCCAGGCAGGGGTGAGGGTCCCGCCCAAATCTGCAGTAGGGGCCAATGTTCTGATCGCCACCTCACCTGGCCTCATCTGGCCTCACCTGGCCTCGTGGCCTTCACAGCGGTTCAGGAGCACTTCCCTGTCAGTCATCCCCTGGGAGGAAGGCAAGAGCAGGAAGTACAACTGGACAATACAGGCTCCTTATGTTCGATGACTTGGCCAAGGCCTTACTCCTTGCCTCTGTAGACAGAGATCTTGATGTCGTGGGAAAGCCCTGGATGGCATTTAGGACACCAGGGTTCTAGCCCAGGACTCATCCGGGCAAGTCTGTTCCCCTCTGAGCCTCAGTATGTTCATCTGTACCCTAGAGGGCTGGATGAATGGACCTGTAAGTTCTTTTCTGCAGCTGCCAGCAGCACGCTGGGGCTCGTCCCATCACTCTCCAGGCTTTGGTTCGTCTCTGTAAAATGGGGAGATGAATACTGGGCCCTCCCACACTTCTGAGGCGGGTCCCAGGCCAGAGAGATCACAGATGGGAAAGTGCTTTGAGCTCGGTGGGAGAAAGGAGCTCTATAAACCCAGGGGTTTATTAGATGATCCAGGATCAAGGAGGGCTGGTGGCCTGGAGGCCTTGGGTCAGTGTCTGGTCTGACCAGCAGAGGGCACTCTGGGGAAGCTGGGGCTGGTTCTAGGACTGGAATCCACTTTGTTCCTCTGAGAATACATGCTGAGGCCCTACTGTGTACCACGTCTGCTGTGCTGGGCATGGGGACGTGGCCATGAATGAATGGGACCCAAGGGGGTGGGGTGGGGTCATGGAGCAACCAGGCCTAATGCAGAGTGAGATGGGAGCTATGGTGGGGGCTAGGCAGGGATGGTGCCCGGGGCACCTCTGCCACCATAGCTCCCATCTCTCCTTAGTTGGGAGAGCCCAGGTCAGAGGTCTAGGCTGGAGAGCCAGAGGGGCAACCTGGAGAAGCAAGTGTGTGGGCTCTGGGGCCAGGCTGCCTGGGTTTGAATAGGGCTCTGCCACCTATGGTCAATTTCGTCCCCTCTCTGGGCCTCAGCTTCCTCACCTGCAAAGCAAGGATAAGAAGAGTACTCACCTCCCAGAGCTGCTGTGAGGACTGAGCAGCTAATCTTGGGTGACACCTTTTAGAACAGAGCGTGGCCCATGCAAACTCTTGAAATGGCATGGTTATGGCCTGGTGCCAGTGGTTTGGATGTTGCCGCCAGGGGCTTGTGCCCACCCTGGGGGAGACTGATGAGGACAAAGCTGAGGATGGAGCTGCCTGGAGAAGAAAGAGCGAGAGGCACAGCCTGGGAGATTTGGGGAAGGAAACACGACTTCGGGGGGAGGGTGCAACGAGGGGACAGAGGGAGTTTGAAGGAGGAGAGGGTAGCCAAGCACCCAGTGCAACCCCAAAATAAGCCCTCCTCCTGAGCCACCCCCTGCCAGCCCCTTCCTCAGCTTTCACTGAGTATATCACTGGGCCTCCCTGAACCTCAGTCTCCTCCTCTGTAAAATAGGAAAGTAGCACCCGTGTCACTGGGCTTCAAATGTTCCCTAAGACGACATGGCCCTGGGGGGACTCTAAATGCCCCCCTCCCACATAATCTTCTGTTGGAACCCCCTTGGCCCCAGGAGGGGCTGGGGCTGGCTCCGTCTCCACAACCATCCAGGCCTTTTGTTTAGAGAACCAGTCTAAGAGGAAAACCCCAAAAACAAACACAGCCCAGCTGGTGTCCCCTGCCCAGCCCTGCCCAGCCCTGCCCAGCCCTGCCCAGCCCACTCCTGCCCTTCCCACTCCGAGAAGCGGCTGGGCGGGGGGGTGGAGAAACTCACATTGTGGGAAAGTGTTTTTCCCAGCAGAGGTATGGAGGGGGCACAAGTCCAGGTCAGGGTGGTGCCAGCTGAGGGGTGGGCCCCAGGCCTCACCTGCCTTCGAGATGTTCCTTCCTAGGGGAAGAGCAGTGGGCAGAAGCCCCCCAGCAAGCTCACTGAATGTGTGGATTCTACAGTCCTGCCACCCCCACTCCTTGCCACCAGGTCCTGGTTCCCTGAGTTGGTAGGAACTTTGAGCTCCCTGCCGGGATGGGAGATAAGGGACTGATGTAGGAGGTCCCCAAATGGGGCTTTTTTCCCTTCTTGTAAAAAAATTCCGGCCGGGAGTGGTGGCTCATGCCTGTAATCCCAGCACTTTGGGAGGCTGAGGCGGGCAGATCACTTGAGCCTAGGAGTTTGAGACCAGCCTGGCCAACATGATAAAACTCCGTCTCCACAAAAATACAAAAATTAGCAGGGCCTGATGGCGCACACCTGTAGTCCCAGCTACTCGGGAGGCTGAGGCAGGAGAATCTCTTGAACCCAGGAGGCAGAGGTTGCAGTGAGCCAAGATCACACCACTGCACTCCAGCCTGGGCGACAGAGCAAGACTCTGTCTCAAAAAAAAAATTCTTCCCCAACTTTCCACTTTTTTTAAAGACAGGTCTTGCTTTGTCTCCCAGTCTAGAGTCCAGTGGCACAATCATAGCTCACTGCAGGCCCGAACTCCTGGCCCCAGCAATCCTCCTGCCTCAGCCTCCCAAGTAGCTGGGACTACAGGCACCCGCCGCCACACCCGGCTCCCTGAACTGGGCCTTAAGACCTGCTGGGAAGGGCAGAAGCCTCCAGGTGGGGAATGGTGAGAGGAAACAGGCTCCAGGACACGCTTTGTCAGGAAAGGGGAACTTCCACAGACTTAGAGGCCAAAGAGGAGGCAACAGTGGAAATTAGAAAGCCAGATGTGCGGGAGAGAAGAGGATGGGTGGGAGACACAGAGGGCGAGCGAGACAATTAGAAATAAACATTCCTGGCCAGGCACGGTGGCTCACACCTGTAATCCCAGCACTTTGGGAGGCCGAGGAGGGTGGATCACCTGAGGTCAGGAGTTCGAGACCAGCCTGGCCAATGTGGTGAAACCCCCCCCCATCTCTACTAAGAATACAATAATTAGGCTGTGCACAGTGGCTCATGTCTATAATCCCAGCCCTCTGGGAGGCCAAGGCAGGTGGATCACCTGAGGTCAGGAGGTTGAGACCAGCCTGACAAACATGGAGAAACCCCGTCTCTACTAAAAATACAGCATTAGCCGGGCATGGTGGCACATGCCTGTAGTCCCAGCTACTTGGGAGGCTGAGGCAGGAGAATCGCTTGAACCTGGGAGGTGGAGGTTGCGATGAGCCGAGATTGTGTCATGGCACTCCAGCCTGGGCAACAAGAGCAAAACTCCATCAAAAAAAAAAAATTAGACAGGTGTGGTGGCACAGGCCTGTAATCCCAGCTATGTGGGAGGCTGAGGGAGGACAATTGCTTGAACCTGGGAGGTGGAGGTTGCAGTGGGCCAAGATGGTGCCATTGCATTCCAGCCTGGATAGCAAGAGTGAAAGTCCATCTCAGAAAAAAAAAAAAAGAAAAAGAAAAGAAAAAAGAAATAAACATTCATATGATTCTGTACCTGCTGGGTGAGGCTCCTCATGAACATTGTCCCTTTTCGTCCTCACGACCAGCTGAGGAAGTGGGATTATTTAGAGGATGGTTGTGCGGATAAGGAAACTGAGGCTCTAAGAGGCAAGTGCTAGGATTCCAAATTCCATCGCCTGAGAGGGCATCCAGAGCACAGGTCTCCATATCTCGAGGTGGAGATAGGAGGGGAGGAGGAGAGCGTGGGTCAGCTGGGCTGGGGCTGCTCCCTCTGTGGACCCTGGGCTTCAGGGTTGAATTGCTGCTGACACTTCCAGGGCCTGGCTGGGCCAGGATGGAGTTCAGGGCTGAGTGAAGGCAAGGTCAAGCCTTCTGATCCTGGAGGGCTGGGGGTCGTGGGCTTCAGGAGTGTTTGCCAGGCCTCGGACTGAGGAGGGGAGAGATGTGGCTCTGGGGACGGTAGTCACTTCCTCTTCCCTTCAAGGGAGCCTCCCAGGCCCTGCCAAGGAAGGACTGCTCCTCCCCATGTCCCTGGTTCTCACCAGAAACCTCAGCAGTGCTCTTAGGAAGTCCCGCTTTGGGGACCCACTTTTCTGGGGACACACCATGGCACTGTCAGGTGGAGAGTCTGGGCTGTGCCTTTTTTTTTTTTTTTTTTTGAGATGGAGTCTCTCTCTGTCACCCAGGCTGGAGTGCAGTGGCACAGTCTCAGCTCACTGCAAACTCCACCTCCAGGGTTCAAGCAGTTCTGCCTCAGCCTCCCAAGTAGCTGGGACTACAGGAGTGTGCTACCATGCCTGGCGAATTTTTGTATTTTTAGTAGAGATGGGGTTTCACCATGTTGGTCAGGCTGATCTCGAACTCCTGACCTCAAGTGATCCACCAACCTTGGCCTCCCAATGTACTGGGATTAGAGGCATGAGCCACGCCCGGCCACTTTTTTTTTTTTAAATAGAGACAGGGTCTTACTATATTGCCCAGGCTGAACTACTGGACTCCAGCCATTCTCCCACCTTAGCTTCCCAAAGTGTGCTGGGATTACAGGTGCGAGCCACCATGCCTGGCCTTGCTTTTTTTTTTTTTTGGCTTGACCTCAGCTCACTGCAGCCTTAACCTCCCATGCTCAAACAAGCCTTCTACCTCAGCCTCCTGAGTAGTAATGCCACCACGCCCGGCTAATTTTTTAAGTTTTTTGTAGAGATGGGGCTCGCTATATTGCCCAGGCTGGTCTTGAACTCCTGAGCTCAAGCGGTCTTCCCACCTTAACTTCCCAAAGTACTGGGATTACAAGCCTAAGCGATTGTGCCTGGCACCTTGCTCTTTTTTTTTTTTTTTTTCCTTAAGCAACAAGAACCTGTTTTATTTTTTCCAAATACAAATACAGAAGTTTGCATGTTCTGCAAATATTGCTTCAAAGCAACATTTCTATTTAGGGTGCCTTCTGTTCGAATAGCACGTGGACGTAGAAATGCATCCACGGTGCAAGGTTGGCTCGCCCAGGACCCACACTGCATACACTTACCGCTTAAAGAAACAAAATGGGAGGCCGGGCACAGTGGCTCATGCCTGTAATCCCAGCACTTTGGGAGGCCGAGGTGGGTGGGTCACCTGAGATCAGGAGTTCGAGACCAGCCTGGCCAACGTGGTAAAACCCCATCTCTACTAAAAATACAAAATTAGCCAGGCATGGTGGCGCATGCCTGTAATCCCAGCTACTGAGGAGGCTGAGGCAGGGAGAATCGCTTGAACCCGGGAGGCGGAGGTTGTAGTGAGCCAAGATCGCGCCACTGCACTCCAGCCTGGGCAAAAAGAGCAAAACTCAGTCTCAAAAAAAAAAAAAAAAAGAAACAAAATGGTCCAGGTACAGTGGCTCACACCTGTAATCCCAGCACTTTGGGAGACCGAGGTGGGTGGGTCACCTGAGGCCAGGAGTTTGAGACCAGCCTGGCCAACGTAGTGAAACCCTGTCTCTACAAAAAATACAAAAAAAAAAAAAAAAACTAGCCAGGCCTGGTGTCCGGTGCCAGTAATCACAGCTACTCAGGAGGCTGAGGCAGAAGAATCACTTGAACCTGGGAGGTAGAGGCTGCAGTGAGCTGAGATCGTGCCACTGCACTCCAGCCTGGGCAACAAGAATGAGACTCCATCTCAAAAGAAAAAAAAAAAAGAAACAAAATGATCAGTCAAACCAGAATTGTTTTTGTCAAGGTAGTTTTTTATAGGTGGATAGTTTTCTCTAAAGACAAAAGAGGTTGTGCACGTATTTCTAAATGGTAACAATAATATTTGCAAATAACAGTTTTCCAGTGCTCCAACTTGGGGTTAATTCAGCTTGACCCAGGACTTGGGAATGGAGCCCATCAACATGGCTTTAAATTGGGGAGGCACAATGAGGTCGTGAGAACTTGGGGAGTCCTCTCTGCCTAGGGCCGCTCGTTGATATGTCCTGGGGCGGTGTCACTGTGGGGAGGGTAGCCCTCCTCCTCACCATTGAGAGGCCCTGGGTCCCAGGCTTTAGATGGAAGAGAAGTAAGAGGTTGTTGGGGCTGAGGGCGGAAGCAGGAGGGTGAGGAGGCAGGAACAGAACCCTGCAGGGCCACTGACTCTCAGCCTCTGAACCTCCCCAGTCCCTCTCCCTCCTCCCTGTGCCTCCCCACACAGTCTCTCTCCCCGCAGCTCCCAAACCTTCTCCTTCCTGCCAGCCAGCTGGGGCGGGCAGACCAGGACCACCTTGGTCCAGGTGCCCCCTGATCTAATTTGTACTTTCTAACACTTCCTCCCATTTCCCCACCCCAGCCCGGGCTGGGCACCTCCTGGGAGGAAGAGGGGGAGGTAGGGCAGGGGTGGGGACAGGGAGAGCAGATTCCTAAACAGGAGACAGGAAGAAGCTCTGAGATGTTGGACAGAAAAAGGAGGTTCGGCTGTGACCAAATGAATAAACCTCACTCTGTCCCAGCCCCGCAGGCTGGCGGTGAGGACATGGGGATTGTGGGCCTGGCGTAGGTTTGGTGCTCAGGGAAAGATGGCTGTTACTACTGGAGAGTGGCCTCCCATGACCTCGCCTCACCTCCTCACTTCTCTGTAGGGAAACCAAGGCTCAGAGAGGGCGTGGGCCCAGTCCTGGGTCACACAGCGCTCACAGCCCGCTGGGGTGGCGCCTCCCCTGGGTGGCTCCCTTGGGGTGGGCTCCATTGTGCTCTCCCCAGCAGGAAACCGCTGTGCTCAGCAGCCTGGGCAGTAGGAGAAGAGGAACGAGTTTGGCTACGTGACCGGCAGGCCCTGGAGGCTGAGCCAGGCCCAGCCGGGAAAACAACCTGCTGGAGGCCGCCTGGGCAGGGCCAGGAGGGTGGGCACCAGGGTGGAGACCTCACTGCCCAGAGAGGGGGAAGTGGGCCGAGCTGTGGGCTTCCCCTGGGACAGAGTTGGGAGGAGTCCTTGGGGACCTGTGCCCCGAACCTGCCTGTGAGGGGTAGCTGGGCTCGTTACTTCCCTGATACGCATGGCCCCGGGGAGCAGCAGGTGGGCAGGTGGGCAGCGGGGCCAATGGGCACACACAGCACTGAGGGTGATTTGCACAGAATGCCACCCACTCTTCACCTCTGATTTATGAGGATTCGAGAAGCCAACAGGGCAGGAGGAGGGTTCAGCCTTACCCATGGGCCACTTGGCTCCCAGGGGCCCAGTGCCTGCAGGGGCAAGACCCAGGGGAAAGGGGCAGGGCCTCTGCTGAGCTTCCCCACCATAGGACTTGGAGCATGGGACTTGAGGCCCCTCTCGGGGCCTCAGTTCCCCTCAGCGACTCGTGCAACCGTTGCCTCCCTCACCTCCACACACAGGGCTGACTCAGCGCCTGGACACTGGCTATCAGGGGAAGGCCCCGCAGGCCCACGTACTTCACCGCTTGGCCAGTTTCCGCAGGGCAGGCACTGAATGCCAGAGCCACTAGTCAGGACTGCATCAGGAAGCAAAGGGGAGCTGTTGAAGGATTCAGCACTGGGGCAGGAGGTGATCAGATGAGAGTGCAGGAAGGGGCCAGGCTGGAGGCTAGAGGGAGGTGGGTAGAGTCCAGGTGAAAGGAGGAGGCCACAGCTTGGACCTCAGTGAAATGATAGAAGAGGGGTGACAGAATAAGGTTTAATGGATGCCTGTGAAAGATGGCAGGGGAAAGAAAAAGAAAGAAATTGGAGGCCGGACACAGTGGCTCACACCTGTCATCCCAGCACTTTGGGAGGCCAAGGCACAAGACTCGCTTGAACCCAGGAGGTGGAGGCTGCAGTAAGCCGAGATCGCACCACTGCACTCCAGCCTGGGTGACAAAGCAAGACTCTGTCTCAAAAAATAAAAAAGAAAGGGAAGGGGAGGGGAAGGGAGGGGGAGGGGGTGGTGGCTCCCAGCACGTTGGGAAGCTGAGGCACAAGAATCTCTTGAACCCAGGAGGCAGAGGTTGCGGTGAGCCAAGATCGCACCACTGCACTCCAGCCTGGGTAACAAAGCAAGACTCTGTCAAAGAAAGAAAGAAGGAAAGAAGGAAAGAAAGAAAGGAAGGAGGAAGGAAGGAAGGAAGTAAGTAAGTAAGTAAGTAAGGAAGGAAGGAAGGAAGGGAGGAGGGAGGGAGGGAGGGAGGTTGGAGGTGCAGGCACTGGGGTCAGGCAGCCGGTCCTCTTCCTGATGGCATGGCCCACTGTGTACCTGATGGTGTGTGAAGTCCATCCCTCTTGTCTTTTGAACATAACAAAAGTAAGGTTGGAACTGAGGCAGAACAAAGAAAGCCTCCTGTCTCTCTCTCTGGACACCATAGCACAAAACACCCTGGGCCACAGATGCCCAGAACCCAGAAACAGATGCAAGGAAGCAGGAACGGGGACCTGCTTGCCAGTGCTCTCACATCCTTATTAGGGGAGACCAACTCTGCAGCTGTGACGCATTGCTTCAAGAAATGAAACTCTGGAAGGTGACCAGGAGAGAACACCCTGCCTAGATTACAAGAACCCCCTGAGCCAGAGCCAGTGCAAGCCCAAGCTGAGCCGTCAGCCTCTCCTGCATGCCACAATCCAAGACCCTGCCTCACTTGCCTGCTCTCTGGGAGAGGAAAGGGACCCATAGGATGGACATCTCCTGCCCTACCCAGTGCCCTACCCCAATCTCCTTATCTGTAAAATGGGCCTATAATGGTGCCTGCCTCAGAAGAAGAAGCCAAGGGCACTGTGTACAAGGGTGTGTGGCACATATGATGTGCCTGGTACACTGTGAGTGGCACATATGATGTACCTGGTACACTGTGCATGGCGCATACGAAGTGCCTGGTACACAGTTTGGTCTCACCCAGGCCCTGAGAGTCAAATACATGCTGCCCATCATACAGAAGAGGAAAACTGAGGCTCAGAGAAGTTAAAGGAACTGGCTCATGATCTCCCTACAATTCTAACTGTGCAACTCCTAGGCCTGGGTTCCCTTGGCTGGCAATGTGGAGGGAAATGGGTGTGGGTAGGTGGGTGCAGGCTCCACATGCTCTTCACTTGGCAAGAGGGAGAGGGGACCTACCCCCTTCCTCCATCTGTCCTGGCCTCTCTTCCACCTCCCAACCCCACCAAAGGCAGGTCCTGCAAGGAAGCATCCCTTTCTGACTCCAGAACTCCTCCGTGGGCTGCAATGACTCTCTTGGGTCTAACCTGAGTCCTTCCTACTTTGGGTACAGACTGCTTCCTCTCCACCTGCCTGCTGGGCTGGCAGATGGCAGCCACCTCTATCAAGACCCCCAACGCTTCAGTGATGTGGAAAAGAGGGGTCACCAACCCCTCTTGCAGGGCATCATCCTTTCTGGGCCAGGGGTGCCCTAAATCTCTGCCAGCCTCCCCTGCAAAAGGAACTGCAGCTCCTCACACTCCAGGGCTGCTGTGGGCACGTGAGGGAAATCAGGCAGAGAGGAAATCAGACATCGGGTTCTAAGCAAAGACCTGCAGTCGTCCTCTTCTGGTCACCCCTTCAGTCTCGTGCCCTGTCCCAGCGGAGCCAGAACCTTGAATGCCAACTGGGCCAGGCAGGAACAGCCAGCCTCTCCTGGCACACCTGGCCAGGTGAGCAGGTGATGAAGCCAAGAGCCAGCTCATCACTTGGGTGTAAACAACTGCCCAGTGGGAGGTTGGCAGCCACCTCCTCTGCTCTATCCCCAGTCCCTGCCCCGTGAGCCCCGCCTACCCAGAGAAAGAGGGTGTCCCAACTTGTTGGAGGAGTTTCCATCCCACATCGGTGCCTGGTGCCTGTACTGGGTGTGTGTGGGGGACTCTGATGGGGGCCCACAACGGATCTTTGTCCTCCAGACCTGCGCCCCTCACTGTCCGGGAGGTGCCCAGCTCTTTGGAATGCCAAGGCCCCTGTCTCACCCACCCACCCCAGATGGCTTTGCCATTCCCTCCCAGGGCCCTCGCCAGCACAACAGAGCAAGGGCCGTCTGGGAACTAGGTCGTGCCTTAAGCGGAGGGAGCTTGGCTCTCTCTACCCACCAGCTGAGAGCTGTGTCCCTTGGAAGAAGGCGTGCAGTTCCAGGTTTCCAGAAGGAGGACGAAAACAGACCTCCACTGAGCACTTGGCCCCGATGCCCTGCATTTGACAGATGTTGCCTGGAAGACAGATACTGCCACCCTCACTTTAAAGATGGAGAAACTGAGGCAAGACCACCAATTCCATGAAGGCTGGGACCTTCTCTGCCTTGTTTGCTCCCGGCACACAGCAAGATCTCAAGGTGTACTTGTGGAAGGGATGAATGGGGTTCGGAGAGGGCAAGTGACGTGGCCAAGGTCACACAGCCAGAAAGGAGCTCAACTGGGGATAATTCAGGCCGGTTTGAACCCTAAACTCAGGCTGCTTCTGAGACCCACCCACCGAGGTGGAGGCATCACACCTGCCCACATGAACGTGCACCCACCCCGCTGTCAGAGTCCTGCTCACACACATATACACATCTACACCTGTGTGGGTCCACCCAGGCACACAGCCCCCACCCACACCACTCAAGCCCATGCAAAGGGCCCTCCCACCATCACCTCCCAGTCACCCTCTTAGACACCCCTCCCTTTCCTGAGGTGTGCGTCTTCCTTCGTATCAATGAGCAGTAAATCCAGCTTTGTCCAGGTGTGTTTCTGGTGGTCTTTGGAAGTCTGTGGGTACACAGACTTCCTTCTGTGCTGTTCTCACACCCTCCTTGTCACCACCCCCTCCTCCACACCTGAGAGGCAGGATGGTACATGCCCTCTTCCACCCCCACAGCCCTGGTGCCTTCTCTGCCTCTCCAGGCCTAGCAGTTGCACTGGCACCACCGCTGTTCCGGAGAAGGCTAGAGAGTCACAGAACGTCACTTCTGGAAGGGCATCCCCCCAGCATATAGAGGGTCAGTCTCAAGCCCAAAGAACGCAGCACCCTGCCTGCGGCGATGGAGCTGACACCTGGGCAGCATTGGGGGAGCAAGGGGCTGGGCTGCCTGCAAGGTGATCCCATGGTGCAGGACCGGCTCGCTACTGTGTCACGTGGTCCAGCCTCCGGAGCAGCTGAAAGTGTAGACCGGAGAGGGAGGCCCAAACCCCAGGATCTCCTCCTCCTGCTTTGTGCACTCCCAGATCTGCCTGGGGACCAGCTGGGGTCTCAGCTCCCTGGGCTGTGGGGCGGGGGCCTTGTTCTCCAGAGCGGGCTGAACCTGGAATGGGCCCTGGTTCTCTACTAATAAAGGGCCCACTAGGCAGAGGTGGTTAAGGAGGCCCAGAGGACCCCTAGGAGGTCCAGGTGGCATGTACTGGACTCTGTGCCTGAGCCTGTACACTGAGTTTTCCATTTGACCTCACGGCAACCCTGGGAGTAAGGCATTAATTTGTTTTACGTACCAGCAATAGTCTTATTTTCTTTCTTTTTTCTGTTTTTTGTTTGTTTTGTTTTGATTTTTGTTTTGTGTGTGTGTGTGTGTGTGTGTGTGTGTGTGTTTTGTTTTGTTTTGTTTGAGATAAGGTCTCACTCTGTGGCCCGGGCTGGAGGGCAGTGGCGCGATCACAGCTCCCTACAGCCTTGACCTCCTAGGCTTAGGCAATCCTCCCACCTTAGCCTCCTGAGTAGCTGGGACCACAGGCATGCGCCACCACGCCTGGCTAATTTTTTTTATTTTTATTTTTGTAGAGACAGGGTCTTGCTTTATTGTCCAGGCTGGAATAGTCTCATTTTCTAGAGGGATAAACTGAGTCCCAGGGAGTTAAGGCACTGGCCCAAGGTCCCCAAAACCTGGCATACAGTGGCTGTTCACTAAGTATTTCTTCAGAGAATGAAGTTGCAAAGGGGAAAGCGACTTGCAAAGTGACCAAAAGCGTGAGCAGTCAAGATTAGGATCCATCTGATGCCAAAGGCTCTTCAGCTTCCTGAACTCGGCAGAGCCTCCTCTGCAGCCTGAGGGCTCGCAAATGACACATGGCTGACATTTGCCCCGCATGAGCACCCTGTGCGATGCGGCCAGCTTTCCAGGGCTCCATGCTGTTCGCTTTCAAATGAAGAAAGAGGGAAGCAGCCCCTGACAACCTGGAGCTGCCTGGCCCTCCCAGCTAGCCCTTGGTGTGATCCTGTTAGAGAGAATCCATTTCACACATCACCAGCATTACACAAGGCCACCCTATGACCGTGATGATCAAGACAAAAAACAAGACCACTTCACAATTATATCCGAACATAGACAAAAAAAAAAAGGTGACCCAAATCACAAAAATGATCAAAAGTCCCTCTCTCCTGGCTAAGCAAATGACAATGGCTTCTTTGCCTATTATAGCTTTGGTTTCAGTTCACTCCTCTCACTCTGCAGATAAAAATTCCTAAGATCTCCAATCACAGAATGACCTCCCCCTTCGTGACAGCATACAATTCAGAGCAAACTCCACTTCCCTGAACCCTCCTCAAAAGCATCCAACACAAGCCCGAATCCTCTAAGTCCTTCCTGCACCCTCTTAGACACCCCTAGCTTTCCTGAGGTGTGTGTCTTCCTTCGTATCAATGAGCAGTAAACTCAGCTTTGTCCAGGTGTGTTTCTGGTGGTCTTTGGCTAGAAGGCATTAACAAGGTCTTAGAACAACTGAACGAGACGTGTTTTGTTCAGCCCATTTTGTTGATGCCTCTGGAGCCAGGGGCCAGGAAAATGTCAGCCTCCAGTGAAGTATGACAAGGTGAGAAAGGACCTTGTCATCTCCAGCTGTTCCCAGGAGGCCGCATTTCCAGGTTGTTGGGTGGAGAAGGTTAACTCCTTGCTGGCCCTGCAGCTCCATTCACCACAGCCCAAATGTAAGCCTTGACACACCCACCACCACCACCACCACCACTGTCACCACCACCACCGTCACCACCGTCACCACCACCGTCACCACCACCGTCACCACCATCACCACCGTCACCGCCACCGTCACCACCACCGTCACCACCGTCACCACCACCACCGTCACCACCGTCACCGTCACCATCACCACCATCACCACCACCACCACCATCACCACGACCACCATCATCACCACCATCAAGCGTCTGTGTGGAGAGGATGGCAGAAGGTGGCAAGCACTGGGCCAGGAGTCACGAGATCCTGGTTCAGTCTTGCCTTTGCCTCTCAGTTGTCATGTGACCGAGCCTCAGTTTATCCATCTGGACAATGGGGTGGGGTGGAGGCGAGTGGGATAACTGATTGAAGGGAACCCTTCTCCAATTGAAACTACTCGCTCAACTCCCTACTATTGGCCAGGTGCAGTGGCACATGCCTGTAATCTCAGCACTTTGGAAGGCTGAGGCGGGAGGATCATCTGAGGTCAGGAGTTCGAGACCAGCCTGGCCAATATGGTGAAACACCGTCTCTATTAAAATACAAAAAATAGCAGGACATGGTGGCATGTGCCTGTAATCCCAGCTACTTGGGAGGCTGAGGCAGGAGAATCACTTGAACCTGGGAGGCAGAAGTTGCAGTGAGCCGAGATCACGCCACTGCACTCCAGCCTGGGTGACAGAGTGAGACTCAGTCTCAAACAAACAAACAAAAACCTCCCTTCTATCAAACTTTGAGTGGTCAAGACAGGAATCTTCTAGTCTCCTCTATCAAGCCGTGGTTCCCTGAGGGTTAACCCAGCCTTTTTCCTCCAGGTTTGATGTTGGGGTGACCCGAAGAGCAGGTGAGGTCCAGGGATCCCATGTGTCCCCGGTCACTACACTGTTGGCCGGGTAGGAAGAAGTGTTGCTTGTGGCCATTTCCAAGGGTTCAAGGTCAGGGCTCCATGCCCTTCCATTCCCATCCCTCCTCGTTCCCTGGATCAGGGACCACATCCAAGTCAAACAGGATGGCCAGGACAGAGCCGGAGGTGCCACAGGAAGGTCCCGTCCCGGCAGAGCCTCAGGGCTTATAAGGAGGACACTGGCAGGCAGTTGAGGAAGACAGTCTCTGTACCTCCATTCAGCCCTAAATCCCACCTCTCTTGCGCCAAGGGGATGTGGCATCCTCCATTCTGCCCCGGGCAGAAAGAGAGGTGGCAGAAGCTGAGGACTGAAGTGTGCGCCAAGGGCAGTGACCTTTCCAAAAAGGGATCATTTCACACGGAAGACGCAGGGAGTTTGCTTTCCCTCAAGTGTGGGGTCCTCCAGGCTTCCAGCCCCATCTTTTGGAGGGGAAGAGGGAAAAGGGGAATTCATGCTGGGTGCGGTGGCTCATGCCTATAATCCCAGCACTTTGAGAGGCCGAGGCAGGAGGATGACTTGAGGTCAGGAGTTCGAGATGAGCCTGGCCGACATGGTGAAACCTTGTCTCTACTAAAAATACAAAAATTAGCCGGGCATGGTGTCGGGCGCCTGTAGTCCCAGCTGCTCAGGAGGCTGAGGCAGGAGAATCGCTTGAACCCGGGAGATGGAGGTTGCAGTGAGCCGAGATCGTGCCACTGCACTCCAGCCCGGGCAACAGAGCGAGACTCCATCACAAACAAACAAACAAAACAAACAAACAAACAAACAAACAAACAAAAAAAACCGAAAAAGGGAATTCATAAAGCCAGACAAGGATGCTGAATCCACCTCCTGCTTCACCCGTCAGTCCCCTCCTCCCTCACACTCCACTCTGATTCACTGCTACGCACCTTCACAGATGTCCTTCACTCTGCTTGGAACGTCCTTTGCTCCCACATTCCTGTTTGCCTGATAATTGCTACACATCCTTCAAGCCTCAGCTTATATATTACCTCCTCCACGAAGCCTCTCCTGGTTGGACTTCCTTGCAATACACCCCATGGCTCTATTTCTCCCTCCCGAACTTGATCACACTGGGTTGTTGCCTACTGTCATTCCCCTCCTCAAGGGTAAGAACCAGCCTCTGTCCTGTTCACAGCTGAATCCTCAGTGCCTGGGATGGGCCTGGCATATGTGGGTGCCACATAAATGTTGGATGATGAGTGACCACAGTGATGGAGATGTACACCCTAAGGACCAGAGTTGAGAGCAAGGGACCTTGACTTAGGGTGGCTTCTGGTGGCAAAGGTCTGTGCAGAGCTTTGAGATCAGGAGACAGGTAGAGAGAGGGTTCATGCTGGGCTAGGCACAGCCTGATGCCTGTGGGAAATTACAACTTTGCAGGGGCTTCCGCTTTGTGTCATGATGGGATCTGTAATTTGAACCAACACTCCTTCTGAGGACAACTAAATTCCCTTGATCCAATTTCTTAAAAATCATCTTCCGGCTGGGCTCACTGGCTCACACCTGTAATGCCAACATTTTAGGAAGCTGAGGCGGGAGGATCGTTTGAGGCCAGGAGTTCAAGACCAGCCTCGGCAACACAGTGAGAACCCCATCTCTACAAAAAGAAGTTTTCGTGTGTGTGTCTGCTTTTTTTTTTTCTTTTTTTTGCTTGTTGTTGTTTTAATTAACAAGGCAGTAAGAATCCCTTATCAGCCAGGCTAGGTGGCTCACACCTGTAATCCCAGCACTCTGGGAAGCCAAGGTGGGCAGATCACCTGAGCCCAGGAGTTCGAAACCAGCCTGGCCAACATACGGAGACCTCCATCTCTACAAAAAATACAAAAATTACCCGGGCATGGTGGCATGCACCTGTAGTCCCAGCTACTCTGGAGCTTGAGGGAGGGAGGATCATCTGAGCTCAGGTGGCTACAGTGATTGTGCCACTGCACTCTAGCCTGGATGACAGAGTGAGACCCTGTCTTAAAAAAAAGAAAAGAAAAAAGAAAGAATCCGTTATCAAAAATCTAGGAGAGGAGAAGGTAAGAATCCAGAGAAGAAAGCCCAGTGCAGAAAGCCACATTTTCCCTGAGGGCATTTGCCAATCTGGAAGAAACAGCTTTGAAACTGAGCTGTAGCTTTGATGGCCTCACGGGGGCTGAGAGGGGCAGGATAAAAGGCAAGCCCAGCCTTCTGTCTGAGGTGAGGAGTCTGATACCCCACAATACCTTTGAGACATCCTCAGAACAAGGATGAACCAGATGAAAACCAAATCTTGAGTGATTCAAGAAATGCAAGCCTTGAGACCGGGCACAATGACTCACGCCTGTAATCCCAGCACTTTGGGAGGCCAAGGTGGGAGTATCACTTGAGCCCAGGAAGTCGAGACCAGCCTGGGCAACATGGTGAAACCCCATCTCTGCAAAAAATTAAAAAATTAGCCAGGCCTAGTGGCATGTGCCTGCAGTCCTAGCTATTTGGGAGGCTGAGGTGGGAGGATCACTTGAGCCGGGGAGGTCAAGGCTGCAGTGAATTATGATGGTGTCACTGCAGTGCACTTGAGCAAGACCCTGTCTCAAAAAAAAAAAAGAAAAAAGAAAAGAATTATTAGATGAAAGCCTTGAACTTGAATTAAAGTGGCCTTGGATTCGTGGTAGTGTCCCTAAGTGCTTGGTAGAAGCAAACAAAAAACTTGTCTGAAGGGACAATTTGGGTGTCATCATCCTAGGCCTCAAATTATTCTCACAAATAATTTTCAAATACAATGAGCAGGTCAGTCAGAAATAACCAAGCAGGCTGGGCATGGTGGCTCACACCTGTAATCCCAAAGCTTTGGGAGGCTGAGGCAGGCGGATCACCTAAGGTCAGGAGTTTGAGACCAGCCTGGCCAACATGGTGAAACCCCATCTCTACTGAAAATACAAAAATCAGCCAGCGCCTGTAGTCCCAGCTACTTGGGAGGCTAAGGCAGAGAATTGCTTGAACCAGGGAGGCAGAGGTTTCAGTGAGCTGAGATCACACTACTGCACTCCAGTCTGGGTGACAGAGTGAGACTCGGTCTCAAAAAAAAAAAAAAAATTCAATGGGGAGGTGGTTTTCAAGAAATTATATTGGGAAAACTGGATTTTTGGAAAACTGGATTTTTTTTTGAGACGGAGTCTCGCTCTTTCACCCAGGCTGGAGTGCAATGGCACGATCTCGGCTCACTGCAACCTCTGCCTCCCGGGTTCAAGCGACTCTCCTGCCTCAGCCTCCTGAGTAGCTGGGATTACAGGCACACACCACCACACCTGGCTAATTTTTTTGTATTTTTAGTAGAGACAGGGTTTCATCATGTTGGCCAGCCAGACTGTTCTCAAACTCCTGACCTCAGGTAATCAGCCTGCCTCGCCCTTCCAAAGAGCTGGGATTACAGGAATGAGCCACCGCGCCTGGCCAGACTGTCTTTAAAAAGAGGAGAGGAGAAGGGAGAGGAGGAGAGGGGAGGAGGGGAAGAGAAGCAAAGGGCAAAGTGTGGGGGATGGGGCACGGAGCTTCCATGCCCTCCCTGGGTGCGCCCCCCTCCAGTAACCTCCACCTGTTCATCTGTCTGGAAGCTCTCCAGGTCTGGTCCTTTGGGTTTTTGTGGAGGCTTCGTTACGTAGGTATGATTTATTAAAACATTTGCCATCGATGAGCAATTTAACCTTCAGTCCCTCTCTCCTTCCCAGAGGTTGGGAGATCGGGCTGAAAGAACTAACCCCTTAATCATGGCTTGGTCTTTCTGGTGACCAGCCTTAGCCTAAAGCTACTGAGGAGCAGCTAGCCATTAGTCCACTTATTAAAATACACAAAGATCTCACTTTGGGGATCCTAAGCGTTTTAGGAGATGTGTGGTAGGAAATGGAGTTGGAGACCAAATACATGACATATAAATAAAAGCAAAGAAAAAATACATGAATTGCACTTCATCAAAATACAAATACATGTTTCACAGTATCATAGACTTAATGTTTGTGTCCCCCCTGCCAAATTCATAGGGTGAAATCCTAACTCCCAATATGATTGTGTTAGGAGATGAGGCCTTTGGGAGATGATTAGGTCATGAGGATGGAGCCCTCAGGAATGGGATTAGTGCCCTTAGAAGAAGATACACAGGAGCTTGCTCTCTCTGTCTCTCTTCCCTTTTTCTTTTATTTTCTTATTTATTTATTTATTTTGAGACAGGGTCTTGCTCTGTCACTCAGACTGCAGCACTGTGGCACGATCACAGCTCACTGCAGCCTCAACCTCCAAGGCTCAAGAGATCCTCCTACCTTAGCCTCCAGAATAGCTGGGACTACAGGCACATGCTAATATGCCCAGCTAATTTTTTATTTTTTGTAGAGATGGAGTTTTACCATGTTGGCCAGACTGGTCTTTAACTCCTGGGCTCAAGTGATCCTCCCGCCTCAGCCTCCCAAAGTGCTAGGATTACAGGTGTGAGCCACTGTGTCCAGCCTGCTCTCTGCTCTTCCTGCTGTCTGTCCTATTCTCTGCTGTCTGTCTTGTGAAGATACAGCAGGAAGTCATCTATGAAGCAGGCAGAGAGCCCTCCCCAGAACCTGACCATGCTGCACCTTGATCTCAGACTTCGTGAGGAATAGATTTCTGTTTAAGCCACCCAGTCTATGGTATTTTTGTTATAGTAGCCTGAACTAAGACAATATCATTAGCAATTAGGGAAATATAAATCAAAACCACAGTGAGACACTCCTTCACACACACCAAGATGGCTACAACCAAAGACAGACAATAACAAGCACTGTTGAGGATGCAGAGAAATTGGAACCCTTACATTGCTGCTGGGAATATAAAATGGTGCAGTCACTTTGGAAAACAGTTTGGCAGTTCCTCAAAAACCTAAACAAGGCCGGGCACAGTGGCTCAAGCCTGTAATCCCAGCACTTTGGGAGGCCGAGGTGGGCGGATCACGAGGTCAGGAGATTGAGACAATCCTGGTTAACATGGTGAAACCCTGTCTCTACTAAAAATACAAAAATTTAGCCAGGCGTGGTGGTGGGCTCCTGTAGTCCCAGCTACTCGGGATGCTGAGGCAGGAGAATTGCGTGAACCCAGGAGGCAGAGCTTGCAGTGAGCTGAGATCGTGTCACTGCACTCCAGCCTGGGTGACAGAGCGAGACTCCCTCTCAAAAAAAAAAAAACCTGAACGAGGCCAGGCACAGTGACTCACACCTGTAATCCCAGCACTTTGGGAGGCCAAGAGGGGTGGATCACCTGAGGTCAGGAGTTTGAGACCAGCCTGGCCAACATGGTGAAACCCCAACTCTCCTAAAACTACAAAAATTAACTGAATGTGGTGGCGTGCACCTGTAGTCCCAGCTACTCAGGAAGCTGAAGTGGGAGAATCGCTTGAATCGGGGAGGCAGAGGTTGCAGTGAGCCAAGATCATGCCACTGCACTCCAGCCTAGGTGACAGAGCAAAACATCATCTCAAAAACAAACGAACAAAAAAACCACCTAAATCAGTAGTTACCATATGGTCTAACAATGCCACTCCTAGGAATACCCCAGAGAAGGAAAAACAGAGGTGATGTTAACAACAGCAGTGTTCATGATAACCAAAAAGTGGGAGCAACCCCAAAGCCCATACAATGGTGAATGCTAAATAAAATATGGTCGGCTGGGCACGGTGGCTCTTGCCTGTAATCCGAGCACTTTGGGAGGCTGAGGCGGGTGAATCACCTGAGGTCAGGGGTTCAAGACCAGCCTGGCCAACATGGCAAAACCTCATCTCTACTGAAAATACAAAAGTTAGCTGGGCATGGTGGTGCATGCTTGTAATCCCAGATACTTGGGAGGTCGAGGCAGGAGAATCACTTCAACCCAGGAGGCAGAGGTTGCAGTGAGCCAAAACCATGCCACTGCACTCCAGCCTGGGTGATAGAGTGAGACTCCATCTCAAAATAAAATAAAATAAAATAAAATAAAATAAAATAAAATAAAATAAAATAAAATAAAGTCTATCCTCTCAGAAAAAGGACAATTCAAAAGAAAATGTTCATAGTGGCCCACGGTGGCTGCAGTCAGGCACGTGGGTAATAAAACCTAGACCTATCATATAAAGCTGACCTCTTAACTGCACGACTGGAGTTTGTGAAATATTTCACTGAAAGGTGCTGGCTATAAACCTGTTTATCAGATGCAGAAAAAAGTCAAGATGGAATCAGTTGCCCTCCACCAGACCCTCCTCCAGACCCTAAGACGCCTAACATTTCTCTCTACCCGCTCGACGGCATGTTTATCTGCTCTTACACAATAGCGTCACGGAACTGAGACCAGAATTGCAGGAATGCAGCCGTTGCTTCCCACTGCTTCTCCCACTTTTTGTGCTACGCATATCCCTCTGTTAGAAAATTATATACTGTGCCTCACAGAACCTACTTCTGGACACATTCTTGGTCTATACTGTCTATACTGAGTACCTATTATTTCACATTTTGATCAACAATCCATGCAGTGAACATTATTCAGTCATAAAAAGAAAGAATAAAATTCTGATCCATGCTACATGTGTGAACCTTGAAAACATTAGGCTAAGTGAAAGAAGCCAATCACAAAGGCTTTATTTTGAGACAGGGTCTTTCTCTGTCACCCAGACTGCAGCACTGTGGCATGATCACAGCTCACTGCAGCCTCAACTTCCAAGGCTCAAGAGATCCTCCCACCTTAGCCTCCAGAATAGCTGGTCTACAGGCACATGCCAATATGCCCAGCTAATACTGTATATTCCAATTTCGGGTTTTGTTTTGTTTTGCTTTGTTTTTGAGATGGAATCTCACTCTGTCACCCAGGCTGTAGTGCAGTGGCATGATCTTGGCTCACTGCAGCCTCCACCTCCCAGGCTCAAGCGATTCTCCTGCCTCAGCGTCCCAATTAACTGGGACTACAGGCGTGAGCCAGCACCACGCCTGGCTAATGTTAGTATTTTTAGTAGAGACGGGGCTTCACCATGTTGCCCAGGCTGGTCTTGAACTCATGAGCTCAAGTGATCTGCTCACCTCAGCCTCCCAAGGTGCTGCGATTACAGGCGTGAGCTACTGCACACAGCCTGTATATTCCATTTATATGAAATGTCCAGAATAGGCAAATCCTAGAGGCAGAAAATGGATTAATGGTTGCCAGGGTGGGGGACAGAGAATGGGGAGTAGCTTACAGGCTTCATTTTGGGGTGATGAAAATGTTCTGAAATGAGACCATGGTGATGGCTGTGCAACCTCGTGACTATAATAAAAACCACTGTTGTGCCGAGACCAGCTCAGTCAGGGAGAGCCTAACCCAGTGGCACTAGAGGAATTAAAGATACACACACACAGAAATATAGAGGTGTGAAGCGGGAAATCAGGGGTCTCACAGCCTTCAGAGCTGAGAGCCCCGAACGGAGATTTACCTATGTATTTATTAACTGCAAGCTAGCCATTAGCATTGTTTCTATAGATATTAAATTAACTAAAAGTATCCCTTATGGGAAACGAAGGGATGGGCCAAATTAAAGGAATAGGTTGGGCTAGTTAACTGCAGCAGGAGCATGTCCTTAAGCCACGGATCGCTCATGCTATTGTTTGTGGCTTAAGAATGCCTTTAAGTGGTTTTCTGCCCTGGGCGGGCCAGGTGTTCCTTGCCCTCATTCCGGTAAACCCACAACCTTCCAGCATGGGCTTTATGGCCATCATGAACATGTCACAGTGCTGCAGAGATTTTGTTTATGGCCAGTTTTGGGGCCAGTTTATGGCCAGATTTTGGGGGGCCTGCTCCCAACATGTCCCCATTCTTTGATTTGCAAATCGATAAACGCAAAGGCAGCTTTGTCACGGTGAGCTACTTCTCACAGGAATCAGGATCCGCAACTGCAGACTATACAAAGACAAATGACACAGATTAAAAGCACAATCATCATTGAAATCACAGAACTTCCAAGTGTTTGTATCCATTTTCAACTCCTTTAAGCACTCCAGTTCCTGGAATTAAGGTCAGGTGTGCCTGGGATGCTTTAAATATTTGTTCTTTTAATTTTAAAACCTTATGTTAAGCTCCTAGAGTGGGCCATATCATTTGAGGTTGAGGTGCCACTCTACTGCCATGGTTCCAGATAATAGGAACTTTTGCCATACTTCTTATCATTTCTACCATCTGACCATTTTGTTCAGATCATCTGAACATAGTGTGGCCATGGCACGCAGACTGAGAGGTGCAATTCAAGCTAAACATCCCCTTAGGGGACCAATTAATAATGATTCTACAGGAATCGTTGTGCAGCACCTCTGCCTGTTCTGCAATGCAATCTTCCTAAACAAGTAGGTTCATTTTTTCTATGTTTACAAATAGGTCCAATCCTGTTTATAAATAGGTTTTTGAGGGCAGTATGCCTCAATTATAGGAGCAGATTTATTATGGTAAATACTGAGACCAGAAAGCATGTGTAACTGTGTCATAGAGTGATTGCATCCAGGCATTATTGCCAGCCAAGATTGATAAATATACCCAATAAGTATAATTGTTCCCTGTGTCAGCCCTTATTGAAGGAATACTCACGGCAGTGGTGATAACCGCTATCATAGCTACCATTAAATTACTCGTTGTGACTGGTTGTCCCGCTTTCCTCAGGTTTTCTTCTGCCATCTGTGACAGCTTCTTGATCTGTCCTCAGGTGGGTGGCTGTGTTTGACGAGTGTTGCTTGTGACAGTTGGGGTCCTCCTCAGCATCAGTCTTGACATGGCTGCAACCGGGGGGTCCTCGGGATCCTCCCGGAATCTCTTCCTTGGCATCTGGCTCATGATAAGGTTTCAGGTGTCTTGATGGTATCCAAATGGGCTGTTGATTTTGGCCTGAGAAACACAAGCATAACCTCTACCCCAAGTTATTATTTTACCTATTTCCCAACTTTTTCTTATTGGATCTCTCCACCAAATCAGTTGTTCTGCTTCTATCTTTGCAGCTGGTTTCTGTAGATGCTGTTCAGCTACTGATAACATTTGGCCTTTGGGCAGGCTCAAAAAATTTAAAGTTAATAATGCTAGGTTCAATTGCATTTGTGGGGTTCCATACTCTCTGTCTCCCCTTCTGCTTTTGCAACTGCTGTTTTAGGGAGAGATTCATTCTTTCCACTATGGCTTGTCCTTGAGAATTGTATGGGATACCAGTAATGTGTTTAATATTCCACATAGAGAAAAATGTAGCTAGAGCTTGGCTAGTATAGCCTGGGGCATTATCTATTTTAATAGAAGCTGGAATGCCCATCACTGCAAAACACTGCAAAAGGTGACGTTTAACACAGGCAGAAGACTCTCCTGATTGGCATGCAGCCCAGACAAAATGAGAAAAGGTGTCCACACATACACGTACATAAGCTAGTCTCCCAAACGAGGGAACATGTGTGACACCCACTTGCCAAAGGGAGTTAGGTTCCAATCCTCAAGGATTAACTCTTCCTTTACTGTAAAAGATGAGGAATGTACCACTTGGCAAGTTGGGCATTGCTGGATAATAGCTTTAGCTTCTTTCCAGGTAATGCTGTATCTGCATTTAAGACCAGAGGCATTAACATGGGTTAAATTGTGAAAGTGTCTAGCATTAGATATTGCATTAGCGACTAGGCAATCAGCCATTTAACTTCCTTCAGTCAAAGGTCCTGGAAGAGGTGTATGAGCCCTAATGTGAGTGATGTAAAAAGGGTGCATTCTACTTCTAACTGCTGTTTTGCAATTGGGTAAATAAAGTCATCAGTTGTTTATTTGTATGAAATCGTAACTGAGGATTTTCAATTAACTGTGTGGAGTGAACCACGTATGAAGAATCAGAAATCACATTAATAGGCATATCAAAAGCAGTCAATACCTCAATTACAGCTACAAGCTCCACTTTTTGAGCTGAAGTATAGGGCATCTGCAAAACTTTATCTTTTGATCTAGAATAAGAAGCTTTACCATTACTGGACCCATCTGTAAAAACAATGGAAACACTTAGCAGGCCTGCAGGTTGTTTACTGCAGGAACTGTAAATGCAAACTGTTCACAGTCTTGCTCAGCTAAAGGGATAGTAAAGAAACAGTCTTTTAGATCTATGACTATTAAAGTCCAATTTTTTGGAATTATAATGGGATAAGGCAATCCTGGCTGTAATGCTCCCATAGGTTGTATAACTGAATTGATAGCTCTTAAGTCGTTAACATTCTCCATTTACCTGATTTTTTCTTAATTACGAAAACCGGAGAATTCCAAGGGGAAAATGTTGGAGCTATGTGCCCATTTTCTAATTGTTCAGTAACTAATTTCTCTAAAGCCTCCAGTTTTTCTTTACTTAGCGGCCATTGTTCTATACAAATTGGCTTATCTGTTAACCTTTTTAAAGGTATAGGTTCTGGAGACTTAACAATGGCCTCCATTAAAAATGACATCCTAATCTTTGGTGGGAACTTTGTCTTTCTGTTTGAAGTGGTTCTTGCAAACCTTGCAAATTTTTTTCTAGTCCCATACCAGGGACATACCCCATTTCATGCATCATATGTTGACTTTGAGGGCTATATAATTGTTCTGGAATTAGAACTTGTGCTCCCCATTATTGTAATAAATCTCTTCCCCATAAATTTATAGGTACGGAAGTTATAATTGGTTGAATAGTCCCAGGTTGTCCATCGGGCCCTTCACAATGCAAAATATAACTACTTTGATATACTTCAGGGGCTTTACCAACTCCAACTATGTTAAGTTGAGCGGGTTGAATTGGCCATGTGGATGGCCAGTGCTGTAGAGAAATGATTGAACTGTCCACTCCTGTATCTACCAAACCTTTAAATTTCTTTCCCTGAATAGTTATTTCATAGGTAGGATGTTTATCAGTAATTTGATTCACCGAGTAAGCTGCTTTGCCTTGTTTATTTCTGCTTCCAAATCCTCCTATTTGTTTAATTTCACTTTTTCCCATTCCCACATACGACACAATCAGGAGCTGTGCTATATGCTCTCCTGGCTCTGCTTTCCAGGGAACAGAAGTAGATATAACAATTTGAATTTCCCCAGTGTAATCTGAATCAATGACTCCTGTATGTATCTGTACCCCTTTTAAACCTAAACTAGACCTTCCTAAAAGTAATCCTATTGTCCCCACTGGCAAGGGTCCACGGACTCCTGTTGGGACCTTTTGCGAGGGTTCCCCAGGTAGAAGGCTCACAGCTTTTGTGCAGCATAAATCTACTGCAGCACTACCAGCTGTGGCAGGGGACAGACAGTGTACAGGGATGAGGGAGTGGCCTGAGCTGGAAATGCCCCAGTTTAGAATGGGGCCCGGGACAGGCCCCTCATGGCGTTTTCCGAAATCAGGTTCCTTTCTTTATCAAACTTAGAGTGACACTGATTAACCCAATGTTTTCCTTTTTTACATTTTGGGCATATTTCAGGATCAGCAGTTTTCTTTTTTCCCCTATCTCGCAGCCTGACTCGCTGATTTTTTCTACATTCTTTTTTAGTATGACCATGCTTCCCACAGTTAAAACAAGCTCCAGGAAATGGAGTATTTCCTTTATCCACTCTCAGTCCTGCCATTGCCTGTGCCAACAAAGTAGCTTTATGCAGATTACCTCCAATACCATCACAGGCCTTGATACAATCAACTAAATGTCCTTTCCCTCTGATAGGTTGCAGAGCAGCCTGGCAATTGGGATAGCATTGTCAAAAGCTAATAACTGCAGCACTGTATCCTGAGCAGCCGAATATGCAATCATCGTTTTAAGAGACTCCTGTAACCGAGCTATAAAATCAACGTATGGTTCTCTTGGTCCCTGTTTCATAGCACTAAAAGAAGGGTATTGTTCCCGACCTGAAGTGATTTTTTTCCCAAGCTCTAATGCACACTCCTCCAAGCTGTTCTATGGCATCATCCTGCATGACAAGTTGTACATCTAAACCAGCCCAGCCGCCAACCCCCAAAAGTTGGTCTGCAGTTATATTAATTTGAGGTTGGACCTGGGCATTGCAAGCAGCCTGAATGGAAGCTTCATCTGCCCACCAAGTTTTAAATTGTAAGAACTGAGCAGGAGTTAGACAAGCTCGAGTAAGAGTGTCCCAGTCAGTAGGAATCATCCGACTGGAAACAGCAACATTCTTTAACAGCCCCATTACAAAAGGAGAACCTGGTCCATACTGATTTACAGCTTGTTTAAGTTTTTTGAGTAATTTAAAAGGAAAAGGCTCAAATGTAGCTATAATATTTCCCTGTTGATCTGGGGGGTGTATTCTAACAGAGAACTGCCAAGCCTCTAAATCACCCTCTCGTCTAACTTGCTGAATTCCTGCCTGAATAGAACTAAGAGCAGTCACTTGAGGTGCTGCTCAAACAGTCACTGGGGCAACTACTTTTTGCCCAGTGTCCTCTGGAAAAGAAAGATCAGGAGGGTCTTTTTCTTCCAAATAATAAGGAGGGGGTGCAGAAGGGTAAGGATGAACCTCTCCTTCCTTTGCCGTTTAGCTTTAGCTGGTAAATAAACATGCTCTGTAACCTCTTCTGTTACTTCGCCATACTCTCCTTCCTCCTCATCATCAGTGTGAAAAAGTTCCAAGGTGGAACGAACCACACCCCACACTTGTACCACTGTTACCCTGATGCTTCCGAGCTCCCCTTCTTACTCACCACGGGGATTGCTTTAAGAGTACTCGGGTGTCCTCCAGTTAGTTTTCCATTTCAACCATCGCTCTGGTGACCCTTCGACCTGGATTCGAGCCCCATGTTGGGCACCACTTGCTGAGACCAGCTCGGTCCGGGAGAGCCTAACCCAGTGGCGCTAGAGGAATTAAAGACACACACACAGAAATATAGAGGTGTGAAGCGGGAAATCAGGGGTCTCACAGCCTTCAGAGCTGAAAGCCCCGAACAGAGATTTACCCATGTATTTATTAACTACAAGCCAGCCATTAGCATTGTTTCTATAGATACTAAATTAACTAAAAATATCCCTTATGGGAAAAGAAGGGATGGGCCAAATTAAAGGGATATATTGGGCTAGTTAACTGCAGCAGGAGCATGTCCTTAAGCCACAGATCGCTCATGCTATTGTTTGTGGCTTAAGAATGCCTTTAAGCGGTTTTCTGCCCTGGGCGGGCCAAGTGTTCCTTGCCCTCATTCCAGTAAACACACAACCTTCCAGCATGGGCTTTATGGCCATCATGAACATGTCACAGTGCTGCAGAGATTTTGTTTATGGCCAGTTTTGGGGCCAGTTTATGGCCAGATTTTGGGGGGCCTGCTCCCAACACTGTTGTGTATATTTTAAAAGGATGAATATTATGGAATGTGAATTATATCTCAATTTTATAAAAATCCTCAGAGATGATGCTAGCTAATAGGAATAATGGCTCACAGGCCGGGTGCAGTGGCTCACGCCTGTAATCCCAGCACTTTGGGAGGTCAAGGCAGGCAGATCACTTGAGGCCAGGAGTTTGAGACCAGCCTGGCCAATATGGTGGCCCCCAGTAAAGAACAGCAACCAAAATGGGGGAGGGGTCACAGTAGGGACATCAGGAAGTGCTCACCAGGAAGCTGTGGGTGCAAACTGGGCAGCCCTTTCTTTCTGAGATGGGGAGGAGCTTGGAAGTTGGCCCAGAGCTGTTTGCTGACCCCGTTCCCAGCCAGAAGGCCCCTGCCAGCCCAGAGCCCACAGACTATCCCCTTTCATCCCCTTCTGCCCCTCTGCCTGGCATTGGTATCTCCGTGACTCTCCCACCAGCTGCACGGTCCTGTCCCAGTCTCCCCAAAACTTTTTTTTTTTTTTTAGAGACAAGGTCTTGCTCTGTTGCCCAGGCTGGAGTGCAGTGGCATGGTCATAGCTCACTGCAGGCTTGAACTCCTGGCCTCAAGGGACAGCAAGACAAGGACAGGAAAAGAAGTTTTGGGGAGGCTACACATGGAGCCTCATACTTGTAATCCCAGTGCTTTGGGAGGCTGAGATGGGAGGATTGCTTGAGTCCAGGAGTTTGAGGCTAGCCTTGGGGAGAGTGGGGCCCTCCTTAGCTACTCCAGGTCCCCGTGCAGGACTTAGCACAGCCCTCAGACTCACTCCAGTGCTCAACCTACCCTGCTCCACCCAGGGGGCATGAGGAAGGGGCCTGCTTCTTTCCAGGCCTCTCCTGCTCAGCTCTGGGTCTGGAGGAGGGCAGGGCTGTCACAAGCTGCTGTATCCAGTGCCTGGGAGAGTCAGCAGTGACTCAGTGGTTGTAGCCCCACTGAGGTGACTAAGACCTGGGGCTCCCTCCCTACACCTGGATCCCCAAGTCTCCTCATTGTAGGGACCTGCCAACAAGAGCCTTAGCTCCCTGCTGATCTGGAGTGAAGAGGCCCCCCCTTCTTTCTGGAAGCCACAGCTCTGCTGAGAACAGAGCTTCAGGCCCAGAGTGGGGAGGCTTTTCCAGGGAGAGGGAGGGACAGGGGCCTGGGTTGCAGGACGTGCTTTCTGGTGGCGAGACATATATTCAACTCTCTGTGGTGGTTAGAGAGTGAACCTGGTGCTGTGTGGTGGTTAGGGAGTGAACCTGGAGTCAGCCCGCCTGGGCATAAATCCCACCTCAGGCATTGACTAGCTGTCACTTTGGGCAAATGACTTGCTGTCTCTGAACCTCAGTTTCCCCATCTGTGAAATGAGCACAACTACAGTGCATGCCTCACAGGACTGAAACTAGTTAACAAGCAAAGTCTCCTAAGCAAAGCTTCCTGGCTGTTCTAAGTGAGGTCTCAATCGTGTCACTCAATACTGTGTGTGCGGGTACTGCCGAGAGCCAAAGTCCCTGGCCATCATGGAGCTCAGAGCCAAGTGGAGGGTAGACAAACTGTAAATAAGGATCTAAATGAATTAACAAGATTCTCACGATGTGGGGATGAGTGCTGCAAAGGAAAGAACCAGAGGTTTGGGATAGAGAGTGCAGGCAGGCTGGGGGTATCAGGAAAACCGCTCTGAGGAGGGGATTTTGAGCAGATTCTCAAAAAATAGGAAGGAAGCAGCTGTGTGATGATCTGCGGGGAAGGGCATACCGGCCAAAGGTAACAGCAAGTGCAAAGGCCCTGAGGCAGAAATGAACATGCCATGCATGACACGTGCTAGGAACAAAAGAAAGGTGAGTGCGCCAGAAAATTCTCTGTTGCAGAACGATTATAGCTTCCTTGGCCTCTGCCCATCAGATACCAGCAGTGACATCCCTCCAACTGTAACAAAGAAAAGTGTCTCCAGATAGAGCCAAATGTCCCCTGGGTGGTTGGTGGGGTGGGTTATTGCCCCTGGCTGAAGACCACAGGGTTGGGGAGAGCATGGATAATAAGGTGGGCAGGTCATAGGGCCAGTGGGGCCTGGCAAGCTCCTTCCAGGGGTCAGAACATGGGAAGATCAAAGAGGGTCGGGGACGTGACTGAGGAGAAGGGGACACCTCACCCTTGCCCTAGCCCTGCCCAGATGGGGGCTCTGTACTGGCCTCCCCTCCACTGCAGCTCCTTTTGAAGGGCCCCCAGGGCTCCCTCCCCGATCCACTCCAAGCCTGGGGGGCCACCCAGGGGCCAACCCTGGCCCCCCCTGAGCCTTTGCTCCCTAGGTAGACCCCCGCTGGGATGCAGGTATCGGGGTCTCCAGAAACTGCCCTCAACCCGAAATAAAAATAACCATAAAGGGTCCTCCCTCCATCTCCCACTCAGGGTAGGGGAGTCGGGAAGCCCCTTCAACTGAACAGCTGCCCTCCCCTCTGGAGGCCCATCTTCCCTCTTCTCAGCTCTCTGGGTCTCTGGATCCCTCTTTCTCAAACTTTTTATTTTTTGAGACAGGGTCTCATTCTGAATCACAGCTCACTGCAGCCTGGAACTCCCAGGCTCAAGCAATCTTCCCACCTCAGCCTCCAGAGTAGCTGAGACTACAGGCACGTACTCTTTAAAACTATTTTTGGTAGAGACAGGGTCTTACTCTGTTACCCAGGCTGGTCTCGAACTCCTGTGCTCCAGTGATCCTCCCGCCTTAGCCTCCCAAAGTGCTGGGATTACAGGCATGAGCCACTGTGTCTGGCACCCCCTCTCTCAAACATGCTCTCTGTGGGCCTCTCTTGGGCCTCTCCTTGTCTCCCACCTTATCTGCCCCCTTATCCTCCATCATCCTGTCTGCCTGTCTGTCTGTCTGCTTCACCCCTACCTCGTCCCCTGCCCGGTCCTTGGCTGCATCTGTCCTCTCTGCCTTGATCTCTTTCCCTCCCTCAGCCTCAGTCTTGGTCTCTCCAGCCTCATCACCCACTGCCCCCCTTCCCGAGTCTGTCTCTCTCCCTCAGTGTCTCCAGTGGTTTGGACAAGCTCAGCTCCCTTCTGCCCAGATGACCTCATTCCCCACCACGTGCACACACACACACACACACACTCACTGTCACACACAAATCCACACAAAAGCACACACTCCCACAAAGACACAGTGACACATACACTCATATACATATGGAAACACACTTACAGGCGCACACGCCCAGGGACACCAACACACACTCTCATATGCTCAGACCCGTGCACAGGGGTCCCTGGCTGGGTTTCTCTGAATCTGACGTGGCCCTGCCCACGGTTGGCCTCCGTGCAGGCTTGGCGCATCTAGTCAGGTCCCAGGGAGGAGTGAGCAGAACCACAGCAGGCAGCCCAGGCAGGGCTTGCGGAAATCAAGCTCTCTGCTCAGACACACTCGGCCCACTCCCTCTTGCCAGCCTCCCTCCCATCTCCCCCTGGGGCTGGGGGTTACTCATGGCTCAGGGTCCCCTAACCCTGCCCCAGGTGGACGGGCCATCTCCTCTGCCCCCACAAGCTAGTCTGCCTTCTGCAAAGGCAGCCAGCCCTGGCCAGAGACCCAGAGACACGGGTCCAGCCAGCTCAGCCACCATCACTCTGGGAGACCTTGGGCACATGCCTCAGTTTCTTCCTCTGTCAACAGGAACCTTTACATCGGTTCTGCAGAATTGCTGGCACAAAGCGGGCACTGGACAGTGACAGGTATGAAGATTCTGTGGACAGCCTCCCACCCTCCTCTAGGCTCTTGGGCCTCCCTAGTCTCCCTCTGAGGTTGGCTCCTGCTGGCAGCCTGTCTCCAGGAGAACTTCCCGGCAGACTTGGGGGGTCAGAGGGAAGGGGGAGCCGACCTCCTGCCTTCTAATTTAGATTCCTGGGTTTATGGCAGGAAGCGCAGCAAGGCTGACACTGTAATTAAGGCGATTCCTGAGGCTGCGGGAGGAGGCAGGCAGAGGAGCCCACCACAGGGCTGGGCCCCCACTTCTTTCCTCCCTCTGCCAGAAGCCCCAACCTCAGAGCTTCAACAGGCTCCTCTGCCTTAGAGCCCAGGCTCTGGAACTCCACTTTGCATCCCAGGAAACCAGAGATGGGCAGCTGCATCCCAAGGGTCACACAGCACACGATGGCACGTGCCTGAGCCACCCCTGGGGGCCTCCCTCTGCCAACTGTGGTCCAGCTGGGGGTGCAGAGAGAGCCCAGATACATGGCTTCTTTGTTCCATCCACCCCGGATCCCAGGTCCCTCTTCTCTGAGTCCCCCTCCCCCTGCATTCCTGAGGTGTCTGGGCAGAGTCCGGCAGGGCTGTGGCAGGAGGGGCAGCTCCCCCACTCAGGGGTCAAGGCCAGGGCAGCAGCCGGGCCTGAGCACCGAGCAGTCTCCAGCTGAGGCCTGGGGCTGTGCTGGGTCTGTAGTGCCCAGGGGGAGACTTGGGGGCTCACTGTCCCCCTCCCTACCCATGGACTGGAGCTTTAATTCTCACTCTGCTCCTCTGGGTGACCCTGGGCCTCTCTTCTTGGAGTCTCAGTGTTCTCATCTATACAAAGGGTGCCACCATCACCGGGGAGGCCAGTTCTCCTTCCTGCCCTGGGCTGAGCTGGTGGTGCGGCCCCACCAGAGCACTTAGGTGGCCTTCACCAGCCTTCCCTGATTCTGGTCCGTGCCCAGTCAGGCTCTGTGGCCTTGGGCAACCCCTGCTCTCTGGGCCTCCACACCTTCTTTAGTAAAAATGAGGGGCTTGGACAGAGTCAGGGTCTCCCACTCCGGAGTTTCTCAAGCCAATACTGATCCAAAAAATCAGTGACAGGCTGGGTGCAGTGGCACACACCTGTAATCCCAGCACTTTGGGAGGCCGAGGTGGGCAGATCGCTTGAGGTCAGGAGTTCCAGACCATCCTCGCCAACACGGTGAAACCCCATCTCTACTAAAAGTACAAAAATTAGCCGGGCGTGGTGTTGCATGCCTGTAATCCCAGCTACTGGGGAGGCTGAGGCAGGAGAATTGCTTGAGGTGGAGGTTGCAGTGAGCTGAGATCGCGCCACTGCCCTCTAGCCTCGGTAATAGAGCGAGACTCGTCTCAAAAAAAAAAAAGATCTAGCCTAGGCCAGGTGCGTTTTCTCATGCCTATAATCCCAGCACTTTGGGAGGCCAGGGCAGGTGGATCACTTGAGGCCAGGAGTTTGAGACCAGCCTGGCCAACATGGTGAAACCCCATCTCTACTAAAAATACAAAAATTAACCGGATGTGGTGGTGCACGCCTATAGTCCCAGCTACTCTGGAGGCTGAGGCATGAGAATCACCTGAATCCAGGAGGTGAAGGTTGCAATGAGCCAAGGTGACAGAGTGAGATTCCATCTCAAGAAAAAAAAAAAAAGTAGGGCCAGGCGCGGTGGCTCACGCATGTAATCCCAGCACTTTGGGAGGCCAAGGCGGGTGGATCACGAGGTCAAGAGATGGAGACCATCCTGGCCAACTTGATGAAACCCCGTCTCTACTAAAAATACAAAAATTAGCCAGGCGTGGTGGCGGGCGCCTGTAATCCCAGCTACTCAGGAGGCTGAGTCAGGAGAATCGCTGGAATCCGGGAGGCAGAGGTTGCAGTGAGCCAAGATCACGCTACTGCACTCCAGCCTGGCAAAAGAGTGAGACTCCATCTCAAAAATAATAATAATAATAATAATAATCAGGGACAGGCGTAGGTGGGCACTGCCCACGTGGTTCTCCATGGGCCCCTCTCGGTTCCCAGCCAGCTGGGGACACCTTTGTCCTAGACTGCTTTGATTGTGACCAACCCAAGGGCCGGGCTGTTTGGGGAGCCAGGGCTGCATGCCTTCGCATGTGCATGTATGTAGTGGGGCATGTGAAGGTGGGGGAACAGTGCTGAGGAGGGTGGTGGTGCTCCCACCCCATAAAGGGCCATGGCTGCCTCTCGGGCTCTGCCTGGGCTCCACAGAGTGAACACTGGGGTCTGGGTCCTGACAGTAGATATGGAACAAGGCAGAGGCGGGAGGGGTGCCAGGCATTCCTCCAGCTGGGGAGAAAGGGGGCTTTGTTGCCCGAAACTGAGCCGCCCCCGGTCTCCTTGCATGCCCAGGCACTCGGCCAAAGATAGAGAAGCTCACACCATACAGGCGGGTGTGCCGAGGCCTCTCCTGAAACTTTGGCCTCCCCCGGCCCGGGCGCCCATGGTCAGTCGCTCTCTCCTCCCAGCCTAGGGCCCAGACAGGTCCATTAAAGGGTGCCGATGCCAGCCTGGAAGGGGGCTTGGCTGGGGACTGGAGTCCAAGGAGAGACAGAGGTTGGAGTGGTTGGAGTGTCAGGATTAGGGAAATACCTGCACCCCAGCTGAGCGTGGGGCGAGGTGTGAGTAGCATTCTGGATGCCCACACACTCTCATCCGGACTCCCCCACACCCCGTAAGGGAGGTACTGTCAGGCCCATTTTACAGACGAGTAAACAGAGGCTCAGCAAAGGGAGGACATGCAAGTTAGTGGCAGAGGAGGACCTGCAAATCAGTCCTCTGACCCCAAAGCTCCAACCTTGGAGACTCAGGGACACCTGGGAGAAGGAGGGGGCTGCCAAGTTGTCCCCAAGCTGTCCCCATGAGAGGCTTCCCTCTCTAAGTGCCTGTACAGAGCAGCCAGGCCTGGGGCTGGTGCCAGCCACTACCTTCCAGGGTTGTGAGATTAAATGACCCCCACACAGACCAGTGTAGCTCTCAGTAGATGTTTAATAAGTGCTCATTGGTGCCCTGGGTGACAAGTCCCTGTCTTTCTCTAGGCCTCTGTCCCCCACCTGTGCCCTGAGGTTGCTTCCCCCAGGCCTGTCTTTCAGGGATTGGGGTCTTCTTATCTTCCAGCAGACTTGTGGCCTCCTTCTCCTGGCCCCCTCCTCCTCCCGCTGGGAGGCCCCCCAGGGCTCTCCTCCTCACCCCACAGGTTCTGCTTGCAGCCTCCTCTGCCTGGGATCTGGCCCTAGATTTGACAGTGGCGCGGGCAGGAGGCAGGGGACCTGGAGCTCCTTTATCTCTGTGGTCTCCCTCGTGGGGGACTGGGGGGCAGGAGGGCTGGGGCATGGAGACAGCCACGGGGGTGGCAGCAGGGTCTCCAGTCTGACCTGGAGGCCCAGCTGGTGGGGGCGGGGGGAGGCGGCTCTGGAATGCACAACCTCTTGCCGTCCCCTCCCTCAGACATGGGTAAAACACAAAGCGCCTTCCTTTGTCCCCAGCCCGTGCTTAATAGGATTGGAGGCTGGGGGTGGGGAGCAGGCCTCTGGTGGGGGACACCCTCCTGCGCAGCCACAATGGGGCCCTGTGACATCACGCTGCCCCCTGCTGTGATGTCAGAGGCCGCCACAATGGACCTTCCCAGCCGCCCAGACTGCGGGTGGGACAGATGGCTGGGGCGGGGGTCGTGGGGGCAGGGCCAGGACACCTGCGTCCTCGGTGGCTCAGCCCCACCGGCCGTGGTTCTGAAGAGCAGGCCGGCAGGGCCAGGCAGCATTGGCTGCAATGCCACTAAGGACAGGCAAATAAATCGACTTTTCTTTGGTGTGAGTCAACACTTAGACCGTTTTTTTAAAAGAGGACAGCGCCGTTTTGAAAAAATTAAAAGTTGAGATATTCTTGCCTTTTATCCTGGCTCACCACCACCACCTGTCAGTTAAGGGGCATTGAGCGGCTTCCTGGTGCCCACCCTTAGGATAAAAATAAAATCCTCAGCACAGCAACAAGGCTCAGACCCTGCCCACCCCTCCAGTCTTGTCCCTACCTGCCACCCGGCCCCCTGCCCTCTGCCTTCAGCCACACTGGCCTTCCTTCAGCTTCTGAGCCAAACAGTTGCTGTTCCCTAGCCTTGGAATAACCTTCATTCTTCCCTACCGTTTCTTCCTTCAGATCTCAGCTTGGATACCGCCTCCTCCAGGAAGCCTTTCTGACTCTCCACAGGCTGAGCACGTTGTTCAGTTCCTGGGTCCCACAGCCCCCACGCCTGTCATATCACATTTATCTTTTGAATATTCTCTCCAGCGACTAGGAGTTCTGTGACGGTGCGGCCTGGGATCTCCCACCCCTTGCTGTCTCCCCAGCATGGAGCAGCATTCATTGAGTCCATTGATTCCTTCATCAAATATGTGGGGGTACCCACCGGGTGTCAGGTCTGGGGATCTAAGGGAAAAACAGGCCTGTCCCCACCCTCATGGAGCTGGCCACTGAGTGGGAGACAGGGGTCAGTGATAGAAAAGTATCTCACCACGTGGGACCACAGAAGCAAGGTCAAAAGCGGCACAGATGAAACATGCCTCTATGTGGTAGAGGTTGGATGCACCTTTAAGATGGGTGATGGGAGGCGGGACGCGGTGGCTCAAGCCTGTAATCCCAGCACTTTAGGAGGCCCAGGCAGGCGGATCACGAGGTCAGGAGTTCGAGGCCAGCCCAACCAACATGGTGAAACCCCGTCTCTACTAAAAAATACAAAAATTAGCTGGGCGTGGGGGCGCACGCCTATAATCCCTACTCAGGAGGCTGAGGCAGGAGAATCACTTGAACCCAGGAGGCAGAAGTTGCAGTGAGCCAAGATCGCGCCACTGCACTCTAGCCTGGCAATAGAGTGAGACTCCCTCTCAAAAAAAAAAAAAAAAAAATGAGTGATGGGGGCACCCTCTTCCAGGGTGTTACTCACGAGCTGGTAAGATCGTGCTGAGGATGTGGGGAAGAGCTCCAGGCAGTGGGTGGCATTCAGCAGACCTCAAGAATCTTGTGTAGAGACTGAGTCAGATGTGATAAAATGGAAAAAATAAAAAACAACAACAAAAAGAATCTTGTAAAATAAAAGGAGGGTCGAGAGAAAAGCACAAGGAGACCTAGGCTCACTCACTGGGAAATTCACCGATAGCTTAGAGCAAAGCCCTGTGGCAAGGGGCTGGGCTCGAACCTTGGCGCTGCCACTTGCTAGCTGTGGAGCTCTGGGCAAACCCTTCACTTCTCTGCGCTTCATGATAGGGTGACTGGATCAATTATTGTCCACTTAAAGACAGAAGGCGAAAGGGGGAGCTATTACAACCAATTATACCAGGACAACAGGCCAAAGCCAGGACTGTCCTGGACAGACGGGAGATATGGCCCCCAGCTTATGGGGCAGTAGTAGGACTAGGTCACAGAGTTTTTGGGAGGATTAAATGAGTTAATCCTTGGGAAACACTTTGAACAGTGGCAGCACATGCAATGCGCTTAATAATTATTAGCTATTGGCATTTTATTACATACGCGTGCACACACACACACACACACACACACAAGCTCAGAGGAGAGGGCCAGACAGACACACCTGAGTGTCATTCAAGCCCTCTGTGATCCACAGCCGGCCACGATAGGAGCCTGAGGGAGGCAGGGTTAATGTGTCCCCATTGCCTGGCAGCAGAGCGGGCTCTGCAAAAGTCTCTCTCTCTTTTTTTTGAAATGGAGACTCGCTCTTGTTGCCCAGGCTGGAGTGCAGTGACATGATCTTGGCTCACTGTAACCTCCACCTCCTGGGTTCAAGCGATTCTCCGATTCTCCTACCGCAGCCTCCTGAGTAGCTACAATTACAGGCATGCGCCTCCACGCCCAGCTAACTTTTGTATTTTTAGTGGAGACAATGTTTCACCATGTTGGCCAGGCTGGTCTCGAACTCCCCACCTCAGAAGATCCACCCACCTCGGCCTCCCAAAGTGCTGGGATTACAGACGTAACCCACCACACCTGGCCTGCAAAGGTCTCTTGGAAAATGGGTGATTTGATTTGAGCCTGGAAGGGTGGGTGTATTTTCCACAGACAGAAATAGGGAGGGATGTGTGCGGGGGTGGGCGAGGGCTCATGGGGAACTGAGGGCAGGTCCGGGAGTCTAGACCGCATTAGAGTACAGGGGAGGGGTGCAGAGTCTGGGGAAGTGTGTCCTGTGCCCAGATGCTGGGATTGGTTGGCCGGGCCCATGAGGCCTGGTCCTGGGGGAAAGGCCCCTCCGCCCAGCAGGAGACCTGATCATGCAGCCGCCTGCTCTGCCAGCCCAGTGTGGAAGCTGCATCCATCCATCCATCAGGCTGCTGAGGCCGTGGGGAATGTGATGAGGCTGCTGAAATGGGGCCCGGGCCCAGCAGGAGAAAGGGGGCCCCCACCCCAGGCAGGGGTGGGATGTGGCTGCAGCTTCCCAGAAACTGGGTCTGGTTCTGCCGACAGAGACTGGCTGACGGTTTGGACTGGAAAGCCAGACCCAGAGGGCTGGAGTGGGGCCTGCTGGCCGGGCTACCTGGGGCTGCCCAGGGCTGCCTGGGGAGAGGGTGCCAGGAGTGGGGAGGGGGCAACTCTGTGGTGGGGGCAGGGGCCCCTCATCTCAGCCAGGACAGACTTCCTGGAGCCTTCCTCACTACAGACGGACAAACTGAGCCCCCGTGACACAAGGGACATGCCCAGGAGTCCACAGCCAAGTCAATAGTAGGCGCCCAACAGAACCTCTGTCTTCCCTTCCCAGTCCAAGGGTCTTCCTGCCGTTTCCTGAAAAGAACCCCAAGGTCCCCAAATGTCACCGAGCAGCAGGCAGTGGGATGAGCTGACTCTTGTCTCCTATGCCGCTTTGTCACCTCCTAGCTGTGGGAACTTGGTCTGATTACTGTAACCTCGCTGAGCCCCAGGGTCCCCAAAATGGGGATAAATGTATGCCCCTCAGGGTCATTGTGACCCTTGCATAAGACGGTGTGGGTCTTGGGCTGGGCATGATCACTGGCATGGCACACTCACTGGCACCGTGGCAAGTTAAAACCGTGTCGCCAGGCACCAGCCTTAGATTTCCTAATTAATTAGCAACTCCTCTAGGAACAGGCAATGCTAGAGGAACGCCCACCACCTACAATGGTAGGTGTTCAGAAACATTCAACTGCTTCTCCTTACCAGCTTTTGTGGTCCCTCCCGGCCAGCCAGAGGGAGCCCAGGACCATTGCACAGCACTCACCACATTCCCAAAACCCATATCCAGCTCCACAGGGCTCTTGGATCTCAAAAGCCCAGTCCTTGTCCCCCACAGTTCATTTGTTTATTGAACAAATGTTTATTGAGGGCCTACTGGGTACCAGACATAGTTCCGGGGAGGGACGATGCAGGCGCGATGCACAGAATGGGCAAAGGCACAGAGGGCCGGAGCTAAGGACTCAAGCACTTCCCGTACACATTCATTTGCCCCCTGTTCTAGCAGCATCTATGGTGCCCAAGGCCCCATCCCAGGCCCTGGGCTGCAGCTGGAGCTGAGGGGGTGTGAATGGGGAGGCGAGCAGAGAGCTTGCCTGTCCCTCCAGAATTTGCTAATTAATTAGGAAATCTCGGGCTGGTGCCTGGCGACACGATTTTAACTTGCCATGCAGACTGGGAGCAGCAGAGAAAGCAGGCATCTCCCTACCCAATGCCCCAGTCACCACTGCCTTCACCTCCTTCAGGGCTTTGCTGGATGCATCAAAGGCCCACCAAGGTCCCTGCAGCTCAGAACCCAGAAAGGGCTGCAGGCCCACTTCTCAGCAGAGAAGGCTAAAATCAGAGATGAAGGTTCTGCTAGGGGTGGGAATGAGGGCAGGGCTGCTGTCCTACAGCTGCTCCTGACACAACAGCCAGGGGTTAGGGTGGCATAGCAGATGGAGGAATCTTGTCTTGGTCAAATGGGGCCCAGATGTTGGAGGGGAGACTCAAGCCCCACCCACAGAGGTCTGGAGTCAGAGCCAGGCTCTTCTGGGACACTTCTTCCTCCGCCTGGTGGACTCTCACTTGACCTCCACCTCAGCTTGGATGGCTCCTCCTCCAAGCAGCCTGCCTGGACTTTCTAGGCTGGGTCAAGTGCCCCTCCCCCATCCCTGCCCCAACCTCTGGCTCCTGTAACACCCAGCTCTGCCCCTTCTTAGCCTGGGTCCTACTCTATTACCATTGCTGCCCCCACCAGACTGAGTCCCATGAGGGCAGACAGGGCCCTTATCCATCTTTGTGACCTTGTGCCCAGCCTGGCATAGAGCAGGAACTGGCCACTGAGAGAAGGGACAGAGCAGCAAACTATCTAGATACCTGGGGTGTGGGATGTGGTGGCATTTGGAGACCATGGGCAGGTTATGTTGCCTCAGTTTCCCCAGAACCAGTGCTTCTCAGACCTTATCTAGGGAAGTGTCCATGATGGCAGAGAGGGGAGAGGGCGGCTCTGGCCAGTTATGTAACCTCCCTCCCCTCGGTGTTCAAATCTGTAAAATGGGATATTAATAGCATCTACCTTGAAGGACTGTTGGAAGAATGAAATAAGTAAACACAGGCTAAGTGCTTAGAACAGTGGGTGGTGCCCAGAAAGCCTTGTGTAAGTGTTTGCTGATACCTGATCTTCAATTCAAGCTCAATGTTGGTTTGTTTGTTTTTTCTCTGATGATATTAACTTTGATCACTTGGTTACGGTGGTGTTTGCCAGGTTTCTCCACTGTAAAGTTACTTTTTGTTTTCTTTCTTATTTTTTTTAACCCTTTCTATACCTCCCTACTGCCTTTCTTTGGAAGGGTGTCCAGTCCGCAGTCCAGGCAGTGGGGAAGTAAGCTTTACCCACTAGAGGGAAAAGAATCCACCCCTTTGAAATTCATCTGTAAGGAAGATTTGTCTAGGCTCCCTCCACTTATTTATTTATTCAAGCATTTTTTTTTTTTTATTTTTTGAGATGAGGTCTCACTCTGTTGCCCAGGCTGAAGTGCAGTGGCACAATCTCGGCTCACTGCAACCTCCACCTCCCAGGCTCAGGCGATCCTCCCGTTTCATCCTCCTGAGTAGCTGGGACCATAGGCACGTGCCACCATGCCTGGTTAATTTTTTGTATTTTTGATAGAGACGGGGTTTCGCCATCTTGGCCAGGCTGATCTCAAACTCCTGAGCTCAAGCGATCCACCCACCTCGGCCTCTCAAAGTTTTGGGATTACAGGCGTGAGCTACTGCACCCAGCCTTTAATCATTTATTTATCTCAGTATAGACTCGTGAATATTTATTTTTGACTTTGGATTTAATCTAATACCTCATCGTTTTGTTGCTCAGCTTGTTCTAGGTTTAGGCCCTGGGAGTTCTTTAGGGCTGGCTCCTGTGTGTCTCTGGCACAGCCCCACCTGTTTATTTTTGAGCACTTCTTTACTCTCTGATACTCCAAGATGCTCCCAGCTCATCTTGTATTTTCCCTGCTTCAGCCCCAGAATCAGCCATTTCTCTAAGGAGCCCTGGTCCCTTTCATTGGAGAATGGTTTTTAGGAAGCAAGATGTGCGGGCTGGGTGTTCTTATTGCTACAGGGGTGTTCCTGCATCTAGGCCCTCTAGGAGACAGATCTGGATTTGCTTTAATTTAAAAATAAAGTTTCCCCTCCTGCCAATTGCAGGGTCCATTGGAGACTGCAGACAGCTGCTCACTGGGTTTTGAGCATCGGACCTGTCCGTGGCCCACAGGTTTATGGGTTCTCACATGCCCTTGGAAGGGTCTTATGTCCAGGACTTCAAGGGAGAGAGCACACGAGGCCACCTCCCCCCATGCTGAGCCACTTCCTGAGTTCATTCCTGCTCATCAGCAGGGCCATGGCTGAGTTGCTTTGGGAATGGGACTCAGGCCTGGTCTTGATGTGCCCTCATAGCCCAGATTTTTGTGGATTTGCAAGCTGCAGGCTTATTCCCTGCTGGGCCAACAGCTTTGTCAGTGGTAGCAACAGTAGCCATAGCCCAGCCACAGAGCTACAGTGGCCACCTGGGTCAGGCCAGGCCAGGGTCAGGCACCAGGAAGGCCTGACTCAGCCATCATGCCCAGCACACTCAGGTGGCCCAACACTAATGGGAGGAAGGCCCAGCCAGGTGCTCCCTGCACTCCCATAGCTCACCAACCCCAGCCGCACCTGACACAGTCAGGTGTCTCATGGATGCCCAGTGGGCCAGGACCCAGAGGGTGGCAGCTCTCCTGCAGCAGCAGGGGCCAGGGCAGAGCATGCCAGCTTTGAGACCCCAGGGCAGGCCGAACACCCTCTCGACTTTTGCCAGCGCCTCTCCTGTATCTCCCCAAAGCTCCAGGCTGAGTCAGGAGCTCTGGGTTGCAGACCTGCCTCTACCAGTGACAACAATCATGCCACTCCCTGCTTGAAACCTTCAATGACTCCTTATTGCCCTCAACTTGAAATCCCCACTCCTGGGCCTGCTTTACAAGGCCCTAGAGACTTCTCCAGCACCTCACGTCATGCCTTAATAACACCAAATTGCTTGTGGTTCCCTTGCACAACCATGTGGTTTCACGCCCCCGCGCCTCACTCTGCATCACCCTCCCTTGGCTTCGCTGGTTAATTCCTAGTAGTCCCTGAGGTCTCAGCTCTGGGACCACCTCCTCCAGGAAGTCTTCCTCCTGGGCCTCAGATCATCTCTGCTCCCTGGTTACGTTCCTGGTGACCTGTGTTTGACACCTTCCTAACCCCCACTATGAACGACCTCTGACATGCAGGGCTGCAACCCGGTAGAGTGGAGAAGGCTCAGGTTTGAAATTAGAACTCTGGTGCTGGGCGCAGTGGCTCACGCCTGTAATCCCAGCACTTTTGGAGGCAGAGGTGGGCAGATCACAAGGTCAAGTGATCAACACCATCTTGGCCAACATGGTGAAATCCCATCTCTACTAAAAATACAAAAATTAGCTGAGTGTGGTGGTGCGCGCCTATAGTCCCAGCTACTCGGGAGGCTGAGACAGGAGAATCGCTTGAACCCGGGAGGCAGAGGTTGCAGTGAGCCAAGATCGTGCCACTGCACTCCAGCCTGGCGACAGAGTGAGACTCCGTCTCAAAAAAAAGAAGAAAAAAAAAAGAAATTAGAACTCTGGCTTTTCTTGAGACTGCTGTGTGACTTTGGGCAAGTCGCTGCATGTCTCTGAGCCTCCATCTCCTCATCTATGAGAAAAGCATCCCACTGAGATTTCTGACCTTGCTTTCAATTCTGGCCTCTGCCCCTAACTTGCTGTGTGGCCTTGAACAAACCCAGTTGCTGGGCTCCAGCTTGGTTTTCCTTTTCTGTAAAATGGGGCCGCCCACAAAACTCATAACAAAGTGTTGAGGTTCCGACAAGCCGAAACCTGTGAAAAGCTTGTGTAAACCTCAGAGCTGTACATGGATGGTTGAAGGATCTATTTCGACAGCTCCGGGGAGCCGTGGGAGGGAAGCTGACGGCGGCTCTTGCTGTTCTCCTACCTCCCAGCCCTCCCGAAGACTCTGAGCAGCCTGGAGATCAAAGGTGATTGGGGCCTGCTGGCATGGAGGCCGGGCTCGGCAGAACCTGCTTCCCGGCCCCCTGCCCACCTCCCACCCACCCCTGCTCCCAGGGTTAAGTGACGTGTCTGCCTTGTGCACGAATCTCTGTTTAAACACTAGGGGTTTGGGGGGAACCCTCAGCCCCTCAACTCCCACCCAGGAAGCTCTGGGACCCCACTGCTTTTCCCAAGACTGAAAGCCAAGATCGGTTTGAATCATCTGCAACTTTATTCCAGAGCAGAAATAAGTCATTTTCTAACAATAAATATAAAAAAAATAATAAATTAAGATTCGAAAAAAATGTCCAACAAAACAAAATCTTTAACACTGACAGAATAGAAACTTATCCAAAAGGATGAGAGATGGGGCCGACTGGGGCATGGGCAGGACACTCCTGCAGCACCGGTCCCTGAGTCCCCAGCTCACGAATGTTTGACACCCTCTGTCCCCAGCCCTGGCGGGGCCCCCTGCCACACACACACATTCTCTCCACAAAGTACAAAATATATATTTAAAAACCTCAACACAACCAAGCATCTTGCAAAGGCCCAGGAAAGCAAGGGTTTGGCCAGTCAGGGATGAGGATGGGGCCCGAGGGTCTAAAGAAGGCACTAGAGGGACAGGGACCGCTTTGGGTCTCACCCAGTCAAGTTCACAGTCTGCCCTCTTAGTGTGAGGAAATGGGGCTTGAGGTACCCTGTTTACTTGGCGCTGGGCCAAGCCCTCCATCTCCTGAGATGGCCTCATGTGGGAGAAGGCGGAGGGAAGGTCGGCTTGGGAATATCCCATATGTCTGTCCGAAGGCTGTGGCGGGGCTCCTGCTCCAGGGATGCTGGGACGTGGCGGTGCCTGCTAAGTGCTCAGCTGTGTGCGTCTCGCAGGGAAAGAGGGCCCAGCCCAGCATCCCTGGTCATCTCCTCAGTTCAGGCCAGGGTGTCATCCGAGACCCCTCAGCGGAAGTTGCAGGGGGAGGAAAGAACTAGAAATAAATAAAGTCCCCAGTGGCCCAGCATGGCACAGCAGGGAGGCCACTCTGTTTCTTCAAGTATTCTTGGCCGATGGGGCTCCAGGCCCTGTCGAGGCTCAGATGGGGATCCCCACAGTGTTCACCTGGTCCTTGAGTCCCAGCAGGCTGTAGGCGATGCGCTTCTGGTGGCCGGGCAGCCGCACCCCAATCCTCTTGATGTCGCTGTGGGCCGGGAGGGAGAGAGGGAGAGTTAGGGGCTGGAGCAGGGGAGGGGGCCGGGCTGGGTGGGGACAGGACTCGGTGGGCGGCTGGGGAGGGGAGTGGAGGGAGGCAGAGGAGGAGGGTGGAGAGGGTGCCTTGGGGACCTGTAGGGCAAGAGAGCTCTGGTTAGGTAGGCCTGGGAGAAGGAGCCACAGCCTAGAAGCTTGCCAAGGTGGCCCACCATCAACAAAGTTAGGAAAACGACAGAAGCCTCAACTCTGTACGATGCTTTAAAAAAATAAAAATAAATCAAATCTTCTGAATTATCTGTGAGGCAGGTGCTCTTTTTCATCCCCATTTTGCAGATTAGAGAACTGAGGTCAGAGAGGTAAAGTGACTTGCCTGAAGTCACACAGCTAGGAGGTGGAAGAGCTGGGAATCAAACCAGCTATGAACAAATGCCTTCCCTCCCCTCACCCCTAGTCTGTTCCCAGTGCCCCCAGCTCAGGCCTCCTTCCCAGGAACTCTCTAGGGATGTCGCTCAAAGCCTCTCTGCCCAAGGTCTCTTCCCACCTGCTGCCTCATTTCTCCCTCACTCCTTCCAAGTTCCCACTGCTGATCATGAAGGAAGGACTTGGGAAATACTTGAAGGGTTAAACTTTGCGAGTCTTCATGGGTGAGGCTTGCGGGTCACCAGATCCAGTGACTAGGAAGATGTCTTCCCTTGGGGAAACCTCAGTTTCCTCCCGTGTAAAATGGGAGCTACTGTCCATCTGGAGGGCGAGAGACCTCAAAACCAGCAGCCGAGGGGGAAGGCAGCATCAGTACCAGATGGACAGATGTGCCCAGGAGCCCACAGCCCTGCTTTCCCACCCCCACAGGGTACACGCTCTCCTGGGGCCCCCTTCCATGCCCCTCCGTCCCCTCATGAAATCACTTATGCTCCCAGGAACCTGTGAGGAGGGCATTTATTACTCACTTTGGGAGTTTTCTCCTCCACCGTCCTCACCCACTAGCCCAAACCCATGAAAACACCCAAGTTTTTATGGGCCGACTTTTGGCTGTAAAGGGAGCTAATTATATGATGCAAGATCCTAGTTGCAGTTCTGCAGACATGACTTTCCCACAGGCTCCGGGAGCCCCGGCACAGGCGCAGAGCAGGGAAGGGCAGACCCAGGTGAGTTGGGGGGACTCCAGGACCTCCCGCAGAGGCTGGTGCTCCCACAGCAGCAGGAAGGCCGAGACATTTGGGACATTTGGGAGAACTTCCTACGCTACCTGCACAGGACGTTTCTAACCTATACAGTTGGAGGTGCTGAAAAAGCAGCAGTTTCCCACACACTTGAAGGTCTCAAATTGTGGTCCCTGGAAAAGCGCTCAGACCACGGTGAAGGAGACAGGACCCCCGGCCTGACCCCAGATTCACTCGATTTGCAGTTCCGCAGGTGGGGCAAGGAGTCTGCATTTGGTTGAATCCCAGAAGAAACCTGACATCCGGTTTAAAAACCAGTGGGTTGTAAGCTCCAGGAGGACAAGTGCTGAGACCTTGTCATCTGGGCCCATCACCCCCACAGCACCTGCTCCCGCCCCCACCCCTGCCCAGGGTCCAGGATAGGCCTGGCACATAGTAGGTCCCTAGGAAGTGTCTGCTGCATGAATGCATGAGCGAATGAATGCTTTAGCGGAGGTTGGGCCGTTGCTGGGCCACCTCTGGTCCCTCTTGCAAATGGTAGTGGTTAATCTCACAGGATGGGAGCACAGTTTGCTTTGGAGGCCCTGCGTAGAAAACTCCAAGGCCATATACTCGGTGAGCTCCTACTGTGTTCTGGCCCTGGGTGCAGGGAGACGGGAGTAAGAAATGGCTCCTGGAGCCTCACGTGTCAGATCATTCATTCATTCAGCAAGCATTCCTTCAGTGCCAAGCCTATGCCAAGGGCACTGGAGACCCTAAGATCTACAGCCTGTGCCCTCGACCCCCACACAGGATGCAAATGCTGTAGTCCCAGCTCTAGACAGAGCCTGGGGTTGGGCTATTTTTCTGGGGTGCAACATCCACGCCTTTCGTCAGCTGCTCACAAAACATCTGGGACCACTAGTCTAGCTAGAAACCCAACTGACTCCAAAATAGCACAAATGGAGAAGAGACAGTGGCTGTGGGACCCCAGGGGACCAGGCAGCTGGTCCCCTGGGAGGGAGTCAAGAAGGCAGGAGGCTGAGAAGGGGAGGAGGTGGGACACTGAAGCCTAAATCCTGATCCCATTGGGAAAGGCACGCATTCCCCTGCTACCAGCTCCAAGTCTCCCGTTGGGACCCATGGCGTGTGTAGACCCAGGCTTCAGGTTTTAAAAAGTCCTTTGAGATCCCCATTTATTTGGAAAGAGGCAGAGGGGAAGGAGGAGGCATGCAGGCCCCAGCTCTGAGCACCAGTGGCTGGTGGGAGGAGCGGGTGGTGGGTGGTGGGGGGCGCCGAATGACTTCCTGCCTTTATCCAGGCCCTTTCACAACAACGCGCACTGCAGCGCACACACACACAGCCTCCATCCATCCAAGACTGCCCCGTCCCTGCTCGTGGGAAAGGAATTGGCGAGGAGCACCCTGGGCTATTTAGGGAAGCTTCTAAGAACATGTGTTTCCCATAAGCACTTCTCCGTGCCCTCAGCTCTGGTCCCCAGAAGAGAGGCTGTGTTGTCCTTGGTGGGAGCCCCTGGAGGAGCAAAGGGTCTGGTGGATGTTCCCAGGAAAAAGGAGAAAAGGAGGGGGCATTTGCACAGTGCTAGGGGAGGAAAGCAAGGGAGTGGAGGAAAAGAGGAGAGCAATGAGGATTTAGCACCCACTGTATACCAGTCGTGTCATCTGCGCTGCACCCATGCAATCCCATCAAACTTGATCAAGGTCACCCGCTAGGAAGTGGCAGATGCGGGACTTGAACCCAGGTATGTGTGCAGAGCCCAAGCCTGTGGCCCTGCTGGGCTGGCGGGCAGCAAAAGACATCCTGTGATCCATCTCCCCTCCCTACGTGTCCCCGCCTCCCCTCTGGTCGGCTCTGTTCCTGCCTGCTTCCCATCACCGACTGTCCCCTGAGGGAGGCTATGGCCTTGGCCAGCAGGTTGGGAGCCCAGCTGAGCAATTTCCAAAGGCCCTAGAGAATGTTCATGAACAGGCTCAAATCCCAGAACTTCTGTGACCTAGAACCATGGGAGGCCCAGGTCATCCCCTCCATACGGTTCCCAAAACCTCCCAGCCTCCCGGTCTGTTCCCGCCATGATCTTTGACCATGCACAAGCTGGGTTGTTGAAACTGGCCACTATTTTTAGAGGCACAAAAGGCTAAGAGGATAGGGTCTCCCCCTTCCTGGGACAGGAGGAGGTGTCTGTGCCAAGGCCATGCCGGGAAAAGTCTCAATGCTGGAGTTGGGAAGGGGAGAAGAGCTGCCAAGGGGCAGCTTGACAAAGGGGCAAACCCAGGGCCAGCAGAGAGTAAGTGGCACTTCTCACCAGGTGGGACTGCAGGCTGAGAGCCAACCAAGTGGAGAGAGGTGCCCGGGGTAGGCCAGGGGTTCTCTCTCCTGGGCAGCAGTCAGGGCATCTTGGAGAAGACTGCCCCAAACTGGCTGTGTGACCTCAGGCAAGCCGGTAACATCTCAGCCTGTTTCTCTACCAATGACCTCTCCGATCCCTGCGCTCTGGGATCCCGACTGACTGGGCCTGGAATCCTGCTCTCCCCCTCATGGCTGTGGGACCCTGGGCAGGTCACTGCACTTCTCTGCATCTGTTTCTCACCTGCACCTGTTTCTCACCTGTTAACAGGACTCACCCCGCTGGGTTCTCATTCAAAGTGCTCAAGCAGAGACGGCACATAGCCCTCAGTAAACAGTAGCTACTGTTATGATTACGGTTACTATTATTTCCCCACTCTGGTAAAGGATGTAGGAAGAGGAGAGAGCTGAGAGTGGGCACCCAGAGCTGCCAGCTGCTGGCGGAGTTCTGCCCTTCTCTTCCAAGGAGCCTCTTCCCAGAAGAGAAAGAACAAAGAGAGGAGCATTGAGGGGCAGGGAAGAGGGCTGGGGGGGGCATGGAGGCAGCCTCTGGAGTGGGAGGCGGGAGGCGAGGGGGGACGGAAAGGGGCCTGACTTACTCGTTGGTCATCTGCACCACCTTCTCGATGGCAGTGTAGCCGGCCGCCATGAAGTGCTCCGTATACTGCTGCATCTTGATGGACTCCAGCCACTCGGACACCGTGCGGAAGGGCACCCCCTCCGAGCCGCTCGTGCTGGGGAGCCGGATAGACACGCTGCAACAGGAAGCACTGCAGGTGAGGGGCTGCAGCACCCAGTCCACCCTGGGCCCTGCACCTGCTGCTCCCTAACCTGGATGATTGACTCGGCTGCCCCGTGCCTCCGTCTCCTTATCTGGGCAACAGGGAAGCCCAGTCAAGTAGGGTTCAATGAGACCTCCTGGCACGTTGGGAGCGCTCAGCATCTGTAACTACTGCTGCCCCTCCACTCCTACTAACAGGACCACCACCAATAACTACCACATCATAAAATGCTACGAGCAGAGATTCCAGATCCTGAGGTCACAATCCCAGCCTGACCACTTCCAGCCATGTAAGATATTCAATCGCCCTGTGTCTCAGTTTCTTCTTCTACAAAATGAGGATCACTGGAGGACTCATCTCGTAGGTTGTTTAAATGAATGAAAACATATTAAGTGCTCACGCAGTGCCCTGCACACAGACACATAAGCTGGTTGCTTCTATTAGGATTTCCTGGGCCATCGTGTCCAGTCTAAGTCAAGTCCACACATAACCTCTTAGCCCCCAGCACCCCCCCTACCAGCTTCACCTGGGTGGCCACTCTACCGAAGTGGTTCAAGAGTCTGCAGAAGGAAAATTGAGGTCATCATGGGCAGAGGGCATAGAACTCACCGGGGGTCAAAGTCAGCCAGGGTCTTGAGGGAGTCAGGGGCACGAATGAGCTTGTCCAGGATGCTGACGATGTCAGCGAACTTGGGGCGGCGGGCACGCTCCTGCTGCCAGCACTGCATCATGAGCTGGTAGATGGCGGAGGGGCAGTCCATGGGTGTGGGGAGCCGGAAGCCATCATTGATGGCTTTCATCACCTGGCGGGGCACGAAGGTCAGGGGCGCTGTTGCAGAAAGCCACTGAAACCCTCTGCAGCCTCCAGCCTATGGAGGTGGGCAGGGGAGGGGAGGGGAACAGGAACATCCCAGAAACAGACAGGAAGGGCCTTTCTTGAGCTGCCACCCAACCTTCAGAGCTGCCCAAAGGGCAAATGCCTAAGGGTCTGTGTCCAGAGTTCACTGGAAGGGACTTTTTTTTTTTTGACTGAGACAGGGTCTCAGTCTGTCACCCAGGCTAGAGTGCAGTGGCGCTATCACACCTCACGGCAGCCTCAACCTCCTGTGCTCAGGTGATCCTCCCACCTCCGCCTCCTGAGTAGCTGAGACTACAGGCACGTGCCAACACACTTGGCTAATTTTTTAATTTTTTGTAGAGATGGGGTTTCGTCATGTTGTCCAGGCTGGTCTCGAACTCCTGAGCTCAAGCGATACTCCTGCCTCAGCCTCCCAAAGTGCTAGGATTACAGGCATGCGCCATTGCTCCCAGCTAGAAGGGACCCTGCTCCCTCACAGGGCACCAGGCAGCAGCCACACTGTGTACCCTCAGCCCAGCCTCCCTCCCATCTCTCTTCCCCTCCCTCTCATCTGGCTGCCTTACAGTGCCCTTGGTCTTGGCAGAGATGTGACCTCTTCTGAGAAGCCTCCCAGGCCACCAGGCTGAGAGAGGCACCAAGCACACAGACACACACACACATGCATGCATGCACATGTGCACACATACGGATGCACACACATGCATGGACACACGGATACACACGTACACCCCACTCCTTTTTTCATCTCTGCACTCTCTGAATCAGCTCCTGGAACCCAGCACAAGGCCTGGCACGCAGTAGATCCTCAAGAAATATTTACGGGGCTGGGTGCGGTGGCTTACCCCTGTAATCCCAGCACTTTGGGAGGCTGAGGCATGTGGATCACCTGAAGCGAGGAGCTAGAGACCAGCCTGGCCAACATAGTGAAACCCCGTCTCTACTAAAAATACAAAAATTAGCTGGGTGTGGTGGCGCATGCCTGTAATCCCAGCTACTCGGGAGGCTGAGGCAGGAGAATTGCTTGAACCTGGGAGGTGGAGGTTGCAGTGAACTGAGATCATGCCAGTGAACTCCAGCCTGGGCAACAAGAGCAAAACTCCGTCTCCAAAAAAAAAAAATAAACATTTATGGAGCAAGCCTAAGAAGGTTCATCTAAACTGTCCTCTGCCCAGCCCCTGCAGTTTGAGATGAGTAAAGGGCTTGAGTTCAGGTCCGGACAGGCCTGGGGAGGGCAAGGGCACCCACCTCGTGGTTGGACAACTCCCAGTAGGGCCGCTCGCCATAGGTCATCACCTCCCACATGACAATGCCAAAGCTCCACACGTCGCTGGCAGAGGTGAACTTCCGGTAGGAAATGGCCTCCGGGGCGGTCCAGCGGATGGGGATCTTGCCGCCCTGCAGGGAACCCAGGCCCAGTCACCACTGTGCCCTCTGGCTGGCCCCAGGACCATTGCAGCCAAGCCCCACGACCCCTCCCTGGACTCCTACAGGTGTTCTGCCTCCTGAAGCACTGCCCAGGTGTGCAGGTGAGAGGACACCATGCAGGGCGAAGGCCGCTTCTCCCTTGAGGTCCCCTTCCCCAACTTACACTGGTGGTGTAGGTGGCCTCGGGGTCGTCCTCCAGCACGCGGGACAGGCCAAAGTCAGACACCTTGCAGACCAGGTTGCTGTTGACGAGGATGTTGCGGGCAGCCAGGTCACGGTGCACATAGTTCATGTTGGCCAGGTACTTCATGCCAGCTGCGATGCCCCGCAGCATGCCCACCAGCTGCAGCACGCTGAACTCGCCATCCTTCTCCTGCCGGAGCACAGGCGCTCAGCTGCAGGCCAGCCCTGAACCCGCCAGGCCAGCCCCGGGCTCAATGGCCAGGCATCCCCGCCCCCTACAACCCACATCCTTACCCGAAGGAACTTGTCCAGGGCCCCATTCTCCATGTACTCAGTGATGATCATCATGGGCTTGTCTGTAGGGGGGTGGGCACAGGTGAGAGGTAAGTGGGCCCAGGCATGTGGGAGAGGTGGGCACAGATATGGGGGAAGGTGGGCACAGGTGTAGGAGAGGTGGGCACAGGTGTGGGGAGAGGTGGAACAGGTGTGGGGAGGGTGGGTACAGGTATGGGGAGAGGTGTGGGGAAAGCTGGGCACAGGCGGAGGAGTGGGCAGAGGTATGGGGAGAGGTGGGTTCAGGTATTGGGGAGGAGGGCACAGGTATTGAGGACAGGTGGGCACAGGTGTAGAGGAGGTGGGTACAAGTATGGGGAGAGGTGGGCACGGGTGTAAGGAGGTGGGTACAGGTATCGGGGAGAGGTGGGCACAGGTGTAGAGGAGGTGGGTACAAGTATGGGGAGAGGTGGGCACGGGTGTAAGGAGGTGGGTGCAGGTATGGGGGGAAGGTGGGCACAGGTGTAAGGAGGTGGGTACAGGTATCGGGGAGAGGTGGGCACAGGTGTAGAGGAGGTGGGTACAAGTATGGGGAGAGGTGGGCACGGGTGTAAGGAGGTGGGTGCAGGTATGGGGGGAAGGTGGGCACAGGTGTTAGGAGGTGGGTACAGGTATTGGGGAGAAGTGGGCACAGTTGTAGAGGAGGTGGGTGCAGGTGTGGGGGGAAGGTGGGCACAGGTATAGGGGAGGTGGGCACAGTCACAGACAGAGCCCCTGCTAAGTGGCCCCTCTCCACCCAGTGTGGGCAGGCCCCAAGCCTCACATTTGGAGATGACGCCCTCTAGGCGGATGATGTTGTGGTGGCTGAACTGGCCCATGATGCCGGCCTCGCCGAGGAAGTCCACTCGCTGCTTCTCTGTGTAGCCGGCTTTCAGCGTCTTGATGGCCACCGGCACCTCCTTCTTCCCCGAGGATGTCTTCAGCATGCCCTTGTACACCTCCCCAAACTCTCCTGTGGGCAGACAGGGTCAGGGGAGTGCCCTGGTCAGCCCCGGCATGAGGGCTCCCACACTGTGTCACCACCGCTGCCTCCTCAGGGCCCCTTGGCAGGGGGCCAACCTCACCTGCTCCGATCACCTTCTGCCGAGTGACACAGGATGGATGGATCTCGGTAGTGAACTTCAACACAGCCTGGTTGGGGTCCTCATATGTGTGGGGGTCCACGTATGTCTTCAGGGGCTTCAGTTGTTCTGGAAGGAGAAGGGGTGGGGTCACAGGCAGCTCAGGAGGGGCCCCATGGGGGGTGCTCTGGAGTCAGAGGAGAAGGTCACGTGATCTTCAGAGACTTGGACCAGGCTGTGGGGGACGGACCCCTCAGAGCTGCCCACGGAAGCCTGTGGCCCCACCCCAGTGCCCTGGGAACACCCTGGCTGCCCCCACCTCCCCCACAGAGCTGGGGACGGTGCGGGCAGGGCTGGGCCTGGAGCGGGGGCTGCGTCTCACCTGACTTGGAGAAGTAAACGTCCTCCGGGGACTGGCGGGCACGCTGGTTCTTCCTCCTGAAAGAGCCCCACGGGGAACCAAATGCAGGGAGGTCAGTGAGGTCTGCTCCGGCCAGGGAAGCCTCCTGGCCCTACTTTGGTCCTAGGAGGACCTGGGGTGCTCAGAATGCGGCCCAGTCCCCGCTTTTGCTGCCCAAGCTCCACTCTCAGGGCCGAGGGTGCGGAGAAGGCGGGTGGAGGAACAGGGAGGAAGTGAGCGAGCCAGGACTCCCTCTCCAGGATCTAGGCCCCAGAATGGCCCCTTAAGCAGTCGTGACGAAGGCATTCCCATTAGAGCTACTCGGGGATTCCTGCCTGCGTGTCCAGAGGAAGTGTGGACACATCATTAATAACAACAAGAGCAGAGGTAATGACCCCCGTGTCCCGGCCCCGCCGCGTGCCAGGCACTTCGCTACACACTCTAACTCGTATATCCTCGCACCATCCGGAGGCAGGGATTAGACTCGACTAGCATCCTGTGGGCCCCATCGTTCAGATGAGGAAATGGAGGTTCCTGCCCCATTTTCCCACCCAAGCCCATGTGGAGCCAGGGTATGGGCTCTGACGAACCTGCGGTGGATAAAGAAGCCAACTCCTGCCAGCACCAGAAGCAGGACCACACCGACAGCCACGCCGCCAATCACCGCCAAGTTGCCAGATCCCTCCGGGGCTGGTGGAAGAAATCAGCTGATGACAAGGGAGTTCCCCCACAAATTACAGCAACACCCGCGCTGCACCCAAGACACCTGGGCCCCTACTGTGTGCTGGGTGCTTGCACTTGGGAAGGCTCCAGAGGGTACTTAGTCCCATTTCATAGACGGTCAAGCGGAGGCCTTCCCGAAGGTCTCACGGGAGGTATTGCAGGTATGTGGGGCTCAAAGCTCTGGCTTTTTCTGAGATGCGGATTTGAACTTCCTCACACCACTGTCGTGAATCCACATCCCGGCTCCTCCACCCCTCAGCCTTCCATGCTTCCCCCTCCCCAGGCTTGGGGGCAGTCCCCGAAGGGCTGTCCCAGGCCGCCGGTGACCGAGAAAGGGGCATTTCTAAGTTATTTGATTCACTTCCTTTCCCAAGATGTCTCAATTGCTTGGTTCTGGGCCCTGGCCTGGTCCATGCCCAGGGTCCCCCAACTCACACAGCGTCTGGAATTCGTGCACCTTGCTGCCGGCCCCCTGGCCCTCCTGCGTCAGTGCCTGCACCTGGACCAGGTAGGTGGTGTCTGGGGCCAGGTCGTCCAGGGTCACGGAGAAACCCTCGGTGCGGCGCACATTGTAGCTGTTGGAGTCTCCCTGTGGGTGGGTGGCCGGCGGAGGAGCAGGCAGTGAGGGCAGGGCAGGGGCCTCGGCTCAGCCCGCTGGAGACCACCCCAAGCTAGCAAGGTGGCTTGCCTTTGTTAGCAAACTTGAGGCTCTTCTTACAGAGGAGGAAACTGAGGCTCGGAATTAAGTGACTCACTCAAGGTCAGAACCACTAAATGCATGAGCCAGGACTCAAACTGAGTGTGTGGGGTCCCAAAATTCTGCCCCTGTCCTCACCCTGACTGCCTCTTCCAAGGACGCCATGTCTTCTCTCGTACAAATCTCTGCTGTGCTGCCTTGGGAGATGTAACCCCCTGGCAGACCCCAGGCCTCAGTTTCCCCATCTGCAGAAGGGTGCTTCTTCAGATGGCTGGGTGGTTTGGTGATCATCTATGTGACCAGCCTGTCCCCTGCTGTCGGCCCAGCTAGAGCCAGCCCCGCCCCTCTGGGAGTTACCTTCTTGCGGTAAGTGACCTCGTACTTCCACACTCGGCTCTGCTGCGGCGGGGGGATGCTCCAGGAGACGCTAAGCGAGGTGGTGCTGCGGCCCTCCAGCCTCACCTTGGGGGGCTCTGGGCAGGACAGGCAGTGGGGGAAGTGGGTAAGAAGCTGCCTACGAGCAGGCAGGGTTTGGGGGGACAAGTGGACGTGGAGCCACATCCTCCACAGCCCAGATTCTTTCATTTTTTTGAGACAGGATCTCGCTCTCTCACCCAGGCTCGAGTGCAGTGGCATGATCTCGGCCCACTACAGCTTTGAACTCCTGTGCTCAAGTGATCCTCCTGCCTCAGCTTCCTGAATAGCTGGGGCTACAGACACATGCTACTGTACCTGGCTAATTTTTGTATTTTTTGTAGAGATGGGGTCTCCCTATGTTGCCCATGCTGGTCTCAAATGCCTGAGCTCAAGCAATCCTCCTGCCTCAACCTCCCAAAATGCTGGGATTATGGGCGTGGTCACCACGCCCAGCTCCCAGGCTCTTTAGATCCCAACCTAGGATCCTAAACTTTCAGCTCCAGAGCACAGGGCCAGAGCCCCAGGCCTCCACCCTGGCCCCATCACAGGGGCTGGCACATCAGAGGTGCCCCATATTTACGAGTGCATAAATAATAATAATAATAATAATAATAATAATAAAAGGCCAGGTGTGGTGGTTCACCCCTGTAATCCCAGCACTTTGGGAGGCCGAGGCGGGAGGATTGCCTGAGGTTGGGAGTTCGAGACCAGCCTGACCAACATGGAGAAACCCCGTCTCTACTAAAAATACAAAATTAGCTGGGCATGGTGGCGCATGCCTGTAATCCCAGCTACTCAGGAGGCTGAGGCAGGAGAATCACTTGAATCCGGGATGCAGAGGTTGCGGTGAGCCAAGATTGTGCCATTGCACTCCAGCCTGGGCAACAAGAGCAAAACTCCGTCTCAAAAAAAAAGAAGAAGAAGAAGACAGAAGAAGAAAGAAGAAGAAAAGAAGAAAAGAAGAAGAAAGAAGAAGAGGAAGAAGAAGAAGAAGAAGAAAAGAAGAAGAAGAAGAAGAAGAAGAAGAAGAAGAAGAAGAAGAAGAAGAAGAAGAAGAAGAACTAACTTTTGCTGAATGCTTTCTTTTTTTTTTTTTCTTTTGAGACGGAGTTTCGCTCTTGTTGCCCAGGCTGGAGTGCAATGGTGCGATCTCGGCTCACCGCAACCTCCACCTCCTGGGTTCAAGCGATTCTCCTGCCTCAGCCTCCTGAGTAGCTGGGATTACAGGCATGCGCCACCACACCCAGCTAATTTTTTGTATTTTTAGTAGAGATGGGGTTTCTCCATGTTGGTCAGGCTGGTCTGGAACTCTCGACCTCAGGTGATCTGCCCACCTCAGCCTCCCAAAGTGCTGGGATTACAGGCATGAGCCACCGCGCCCAGTCTCAATTCTCAATTATTATCCCACTTTACAGGGGAGAACATTGAGGCCCAGAGAGGTTAAGTAACCTGCCCACAGTCACAGAGCTCAGAAGCGGCTCTGGAGCAGGAGTGTCCAATCTTTCAGCTTCTGTGGGCCATAATGGAAGAATGGTCTTGGGCCACAAATAAAATACAGCAACACTAACAACAGGTGATGAGCTAAAAAAAAAAAAAATTGCAGGCTGGGCGCAGTGGCTCACGCCTGTGATCTCAGCACTTTGGGAGGCCGAGGCGGGCGGATCGCAAGGTCAGGAGATCGAGACCAGCCTGGCCGACATAGTGAAACCCTGTCTCTCCTAAAAATACAAAAAATTAGCTGTGTGTGGTGGCACGTGCCTGTAATCCCAGCTACTCCAGAGGCTGAGGCAGGAGAATTGCTTGAACCCGGAAGGCAGAGGTTGCAGTGAGCCGAGATCAAGCCACTGCACTCCAGCCTGGGCAACAGAGCGAGACTCTGTCTCAAAAAAAAGGGAAAAATATTGCAAAAATAATATCATAATGTTTTAAGATAATTTACGAATTTGTGTTGGGCCGCATTCAATGTCGGCTGGGGCCACATGTGGCCCACGGGTTGGACAAGCTTGCTCTAGACACTGTGCCTTTAACCACTTGCTCTGCTGCCTCTCTCTAAACACACCCGAGCCCCAGATGGCCGTCCTCCTTAAGCCCCACCTGGGCAGGCCCCATAGGGCACAGCTGCCACCCCTGGACCTCACCTGTCTGGTTGATGCTGACACTGGCAGTACGGAAGCTGCGGCTGGTTACCAGGCCTGAGACGCCATTGCGGGCCTCCACGGTGAAGGTGTAGTTCATGTGGGGCTCCAGGTCGCTCACTGTCACACTGGTGCGGGTCAGTCCGTGAGGAGGCTCCGAGTAGCGCACACTGGCCTCACACGGCCCGCATTCCCCAGACTCGGGCCAGCACTGTTCGCAGGTGACGCTGTAGACAATGTCCTCGCGGCCCCCGCTGTCCTGAGGGGGCGTCCAGCGCAGCTCCACCTTGGCACCCATGCCCACGGCTGTGAGGTAGTGTGGGGCGGAGGGGGGTCCTGCACAGACAGGAGGAGTCAGTGCTGTGCTGGACCCAGGCGGACACGTCACCCTCAGTCACGCCACCCTGACCCACTGCAAGACTCACGTGTGCAAGGCATCGACGCTGGGTCCTGAGGTGCCCGGAAGAAGCCTTCCTCACACTCGCAGGAGGTGGCACCCTCAGGGGATGGCAGCGTGTGCTCAGGGCACTCCAAGCAGGGGCTCTCAGATGCCTCAAACTTAAAAAATCCAGGCGAGCAGGCTGGTGGACACAGGACAGACAGAGCACAAGGACATCAGTTCAATCTGCTTCCACCCCACGTGACTGTCTCATTCCCTCACCAGGGACCCCTGCCCTGCAAGCAGGTCAGTAAATCTCTATGGACCTGTTTTCTCATCGGCAAAATGTCTTGTGATGGAAAAATGCATGGCAAGGGCCTAGCATGTACCGGGCACCCAGGAAGTGCTTCACACACATGCTGCAAACCTTTGCTTCACTCCCCACTGGCTCCTGCAAGAAGCACCACGCCCCTGAGCCTGGCATTCAAGGCCATACCTCGCCTTTCAGCCAACCAAGAATCCCATCACAGCCTAGCTCAGCACTTGACCAAGCACGCTGCCCACCGGCCTCATCCCCTTTCCTCCATGCAGACTAGCCTGTCCGGTCCCCACCTGGGTAGCTGAGAGCTGCCCAGGGCAATGACTGCCTCTTCTTGACCATGTGTGTTTGTTGACTGTCACCACCACCCTGACTCACTGGCCAGCCTCATCAGTTCAGGATGCCATCCCTGCAGGTGTTACCTCCAGCCCAGGACCTGCCCTCCTTTCCATCCGGGGCTGACCAGGAAGCAGGAAAGGCCAAGCCCCCTGGCATTTTCTCTGGCTCTGCTTCCAGGACCGAGTCATATCCGCCACTCACAAGGACAGCCAGGAAGTGACTCTTCCTCCCCCAGTGGCCAGTCCTGTCCTGGCCCAGCAGGCTGGGGGCTCAGGCACCTGACTCCGGGGGCTTCTTCCTCCCACCGCCCTATCCTGTCTCATCCCGCCCCTGCCCTAAGCCCCTTCCTGGCCCTACAGGCAGGAAGCTGCCCAGACACAGGGCTCACGGTGCAGGGCTGTCCAGGGCTTGGGCAGCTGCTGAAGTGGCCAGGGTGGGTAGAGGTCACCCTAGGGAGCTCCTCCAACAACCCTACAATTATAATCCTTCAGATTGTTCTGATGAGAGGGTCCTGAGACACCTCCAACCTCAGCACCGTGTTCACCACACACACAATGATCCTCTGCTCTGTGCCTGGCCCACCCCCAGTGCTGGGTATGCACCAAGATGAAAACAAACTCCTGATCTCAGGGAGCAGAAGCACCTGACAAGGTCTGCAAGACAGAGGGAGGAAACAAGCTAACAGCTAAGGGGGTGGAGAAGGGGAAACAACCTTGGCCAGGAGTCTGAGAAGTCACAGAGGGGACATTTTGGCTGGGGTTCAGAGGCTGCATAGGAGTTCAGCAGGGGAATGATAGATGTTGGGAGAGGGAGTTAGGAGTGAGAAAGTGCATGACTAATACGGAAGGTATGAGTGGGTTTGTGGGCACAAATGTGGGGAGCAGCAAGCAATAAAACAGTTGAGAAAGGCCTTCAATGCCAGGCCAAGAAGCTGGGACTTTATCCTGGAGGCAATGGAAAGCCGCTGGAGGTCTGATGTGGAGAAGTCAGACCCCTGCCGTCAGGAAAAATCTGTGCCTGGAGGCAGCTTTTGTCCAAGACCCTGGGGACAACCTGGCCCCTAATGGCCTAAGGACAACCCCCTCCAGGGAAGCAATTTCAAGTGCCCTGACCCAAGCAAACCTGCTAACTCTCAGGGACAGAATCTGGAGCGAAGACTCTCGTCATCCAGTCCCCTGTGTGAGCAGAGGTGCAGAGGGGGACCAGGAGTCAGGGGAACAGGACTCAAAGGACACCCAGCTCTGTAAGGTGCCAGATAGTGACCTCCTGCTGATGACTCTGCTCTCAGAGCCAGGCTGCATCCCTGTCCCCTCCCAACCCTGGCCCAGGGACCACACAAACAGCCGCTCTCACCCCCTTGGTCCATCCTGCTTCTGCAGACCCTCAGCATTGGCCCTGCAAGAGCTCAGGCACATAGGGCAGGGAAGGGGGCTTGTCCCAGGTCATGCAGCAGGACAGAGGAGGCCCGGGACCCGACTCCTGCTCTGCACAGAGCCTGGAGTCCCAATGACAGTACCTACTATGCGCAGGGCTCGGGCTAAGCACTGTACCCTCATTTAGTCCTCGCAATAGACCTGCTATATACAGGCACTATTAGCGCTGGTTCCACTTTGGAGGTGAGGAGAGACAAAAAAGCTTGTCCAAGGTCACCAAGCTCCCAAGAAGGAAACCAGAACTCAAACTTAGGATGCCTGATTTTCAGCCTCTCTCCTCTCCCACTCCTTTTTCATTATTTATTTATTTTGTTTTTGAGATGGAGTCTCGCTCTGTTGCCCAGGCTGGAGTGAAGTGGTGGGATCTCAGCTCACTGCAACCTCCGCCTCCTGGGTTCAAGCAATTCTCCTGCCTCAGCCTCCTGAGTAGCTGGAACTACAGGCACCGGCCATCAAGCCTGGCTAACTTTTGTATTTTTAGTAGAGATGCAGCCTGGTCTCGAACTCCTGGCCTCAAGTGATCCACCCGTCTCGGCCTCCCAAAGTGCTGGGATTACAGGCGTGAGCCACCGCGTCCGGCCTATTTTATTTTTTAGAGACGGGGTGTGTCTTTGTTGCCCAGGCTGGTCTCTTGACCTCCTGGCCTCAAGTGATCCTCCCACCTCGACTTCCCACAATGCTGGGATTACAGGCGTGAGCCACCTCACCGGGCCTCCTTTCCCACTTCTGTTCTTAGGAACACTTCAATTTGGAGCAAAGATAAATCAACATTCTGAAACAAGCCTGAAGAGAGAGGAGATAAGGCCTGACCCACTTCAAAAGCCAGAAACTCCTGACGAATTTCAGAGCAGCTGTGGGTCTATGTGTTGTGGAGGAGGGGAGGGTATTCCCCACCACAGATCTTCTCAAACTGGGCACTTTTGTGTCTGTGAGCAGAAAAGTGTAGACTCCAGCCCAGGGGGGTTGGTTGGGGTGGCTGAAGTGGTCTCCTTCAAGCCCCGAATGTCTTCAAGTCTCCTATTGTATTTGGAAACCCATGAGTATATTGCATCCCTCCCCATAACATATCTGCATGATACAAAAATAGCTCTCTCCTCCACCAGATCTGTGAGTAAAACTGAGACTCCAGAAAGCTGGGCCATGTTTATCCTGGGGTCAGTTCCCCCAAATGCCCTGACTTGTCTGTGGAGGAGACTTCACCTGGCTCAGTGCTGGTTCAGGTGGTCCAGGGCCAGCTGACTTGGGAAGCTCGGGGGCGTTCCCAGCCCAGGCTCTCAGGCCAGGCAGGGGCCATAAACCCCCACAGCCCAGGCTCGGACCCACTGGAGGCTTTAGCCACCTGCAAACCCTCACAATGCCCCGACTCCCCACCGTGTGGCTGCTTCTATGCCAAGAGGAGGAAGTGGGGGAAGAGATGGGCTCTTTGGCCCCAGCGCCCGGGGGTGGCCTGCCTGCCTGCTGCCGCCAGGAAAGAGGGAATTTGGAGAGATTTCCGCTGCGGATGTGCCAGATAATACAGCAGAGAGGCAGCGTCAACAGGGCATGTGCCTGCCTGACGAGATGTGCTTCCCCTCCTCCAACCACAAAGCTACCAGGGGCTGTCTCCAGGGCCCCGCCAGAGTTTCCAAGTGCTCAGGGGTCCCAGAGTTCATGAGTAGGACACCAGCAAGCCCCTGTGTTCTTCCTGACTTTATCTAGTTGGATTTCCTGGCATTCTAGGCGGGCAAGTGGGGACAGGGGTCACACACACTCAAACACACCCACATACACCAGATACCTACTGTTCCTTAGCCAACCAGCAAACTCCTATGCATCCTTTAATACCCAGCTTAAGCTCCTCTACACAGCCCTCCCAGACTGCCCAATTCCTGGCCCCCCGGCCCCCATTAGGGCATCTATTAATCTTATGTTTACCAAATAGAAATGGGCACTTCATACGTGTCTGGCACAATGCTGGGTGCTAGGATGCGATGGTGAGACAGATAAACACTGTTTCAGCTCCAGGGGAATTCAAAACTTGGCTTTTATGCTCCATTTGAAATTATTCCTGCATGTATCAGGAGCTTCCGTGAGACCAGCAGCTCCTGAGGAGCAGGAATGGAGACCAATTTATCTGTGTCCCATGGCCCAGCGGTGCTCAGTTAATGTTTGCTGAATGGATGGACAGACAGATGGATGGATGGATAGATGGGTGAGTTGGTGGGTGGATGGGTAGATGAGTGTGTGGATGGATGGGTGGGTGGATGAATGGATGGATGGGTGGAGGGGGGTATGAGTGGGTGGATGAATGGACAGATGAATGGACAAATGGATGGGTGGGTTGGTGGGTGGACAGGTGGATGAGTGGATGGATGGATGAGGGATGGATGGGTGGGTGGGTGGAGTGGTGGTTGGATGGATGGATGTATGGATGGGTGGGGAGGATGGACAGATGAATGGACAAGTGGATGGGTGGGTTGGTGGGTGGACAGGTGGATGAGTGGATGGATGGATGCGGGATGGATAGGTGGATGGCTGGGTGGAGGGGTGGATAGATGGATGGATGGGGCGGAGGATGGACAGATGAATGGACAAGTGGATGGGTGGGTTGGTGGGTGGACGGATGGATGAGTAGATGGATGGATGAGGGATGGATAGGCAGGAGGGTGGGTGGGTGGAGGGATGAATGGATGGATGGATGGATGGATGGATGGATGGGTGGATAGGTGGGTGGTTGGGTGGAGGGGTGGGCAGATGGATGGGTGGAGGGGGGTATGAGTGGATGGATGGATGGATAGATGAATGGACAAGTGGATGGGTGGTTTGGTGGGTTGGCGGGTAGACGAGTGAATGGATGGATGATGGATGGATGGATGGATGGATGGATGGATGAATGGATGGATGGATGTAGGGGTGGATGGGTGGAGGGGTGGATGGATGGATGAGTGGATGGGTGGACAGGTGGATGGAAGAGTGAGTGGGAGAGAGAATGGGTGGCAAACCTACCATGTGCATGTGAAATATGCACTCCAGGGCCAGAGAAATGAGCAGTGTTTCAGCGCCCAGAGAGACACTGTGGAGAAGGTCCACCAGGATGCCTACCTGCCTTACACAAGAGCCTAACTTTGGCACACCTGTGGCACACCTGTGGAGAGCTGTTCTGGCCCCGGTTGTCTGGCAGGCCTGGGCTACTCCGAGCAGGGGAACTGGGGCACAGTGGCTGCACCTCCGGCTATACCCTGGTTTTTCCAGTTCCTGATGCCCGCCCCTCAGGTGGCAGCATGAGGTGACTCAGGGACAGACGCCCTTATCGTGACGCAAGTCCAGCCCCCAGTGGAGCCCCTCCTCCCAAGGCACAGCCACCTCCCAGGCTGGCAATGGCAAGGTTGTGAGGTCAAGAGGTCATGGTGGCAATTCACCTAGGGCCAGTCACCGCCCAAGCCAGGCCCAGCAGGTGACCGCAGGAACCACCTTGGCCCAGGGATGTGGAGCTTGGACTTTGTCTCTGGGCCCTGACAGACGGCAAATGGCGACCTATGGGTTACTGACCCAGCAAATGAGGGAGCTGACAACCTCAGGCCCTGGTGGCTTCTTGCTCCCAGCAGGCCCTGTCGTCTCTGCAGAAGGGGGGCTGCCCCCAGGGCCTGACGGCTGCCAGCACCCTGTCCCTTTCACACACACCCTAGGGAGCTATCTGCAGGCACATTCCTCCACCATTGATAAGCACCACTCCCCACCTCAGCCCCCGCCTACCGCTCCTGTCCTGCCTCCAGCCTTTCATCTTCTGTTTGCTTTCCCTCGCCTCCTTCCTTCCGTTCTGGGGACCCACTTACCTCCAGGAGGGAGAGAGGGAGGGAGGGAGAAGCCGGTGCCCGCCCAGCGGAGATGCCAGCGCCTAGCTTTGCCCCCAGTGTGAGCTGAGGGTGGGGCAGACAGGGCACAGAGGTGAGAGCCACCATGGGGGGCTGGGGGTGCTGCCACCGTGGTCCCACCTCTGTAGGCCAGAAGAAACATCACAGAAATAAGGCCTGGTGGGACTTCCCAGCAGGGGACAAAGCCTGCGAGCCACAGCCAGCAGCTCCCAGAGTCTTCCACCTGGGGGACCAACTGTGATCTGATGAAACAGGAATCCTGCCAGCAGCCCCTGCCATGGCCCGAGACCACCCTGTCTAAAGACCACCTTAACCACAGACATACCCTGGCCAGGGGACTCCTCCCTGTCAGCTATGGACTTTAGGCCACTGGGGCTGTAAGCAGTGGGACCCCTCCTCACCACACTTGTGTCACACAGTCAACAGCTTCCCCGGTGTTCAGACTGAGCCCCAGTGGGAAACCACAGGAGGGAAGCTCGGATCACCAGGTTGACAGCGTCCTTCAGGGCCACAGGTCCAGCCCACTCATTTTACAGATGGGGGTGGGACCCCAAGGGGACCTGCTAAGGTCATACAGCCTGTGGGTGGAAGGACACACACCAGGGGCAACTGCCTTCCTGTGCCAGGCCCCCGTTCTTTTGGTCACTGTTCACTGCTTCCTCTCCGGACCTCAGTTTCCTCATCTGTAAAATGGGGATCAAGTCCTCATCCTCTCTGGGTTGTGTGTGAAGATGGAAGAAAGCCCTGCTTATGAGATGTCCAGCATGGTGCCTGGAATGCGGTGTCCCTATGAACTAGGGGATCATGAAACTACAGTAGGGAGGGGACCTCCCCAAGGGGCTGGGCCCCTTGAGGGAGCAGGAGCCTCTCAGGAGGGAATCTCCAACTCCCCACAACCCCAGCTCTGGCCTCCCAGCTGTTCAGCTGAGCCACTGGCCAAGGCTGCTGGCCACCTGCTCACCTGACCAGCGGTCCCCAGGGCTGAGGCGCCAGCAGGGGCCCCGCCAGCTGCTGAGGCCAGCACAGGAAGCGGAGACATGGAGACAAAGCAGCCCCCGGGGGACAGCGGTCAGCCCGAGCGACTCCACTGTCCCCGCAGGCAGGGCCGGGGGCAGGGCGGGGGAACCAAGGGAAGCTGGCTCATTCCTGACATAGTTCATGGGAGCGCTCCGGGCAGCGTGCCCACCTGCCGCACACAGCACCTGGGAGGTGCCTCCCTTCCTCTGCCCACTTAACTCTTTCCTGAGCTCTGGGCTTCCTGGGGAAAGAACCCTGAGGAGAAACGGACAAACTGGGAATAACCTAGACAAGGTGCCAGGTGACCTCAGGGTGCCCCGCCTCGCTCTGGGTCTGGTTTGTCACCAGCAGGAGCCCCAGTGAAAGAATCTGGGTCTCCAGGCCTGGGGAGGGTCCGGCAGGGAGGGCAGACCCTGTGCCTCCCTCTGGTTCTCCCTCAATGTACCCAGCAGTGCCCTCTCCAGGACCCCTGCCTCCAACAGAGCCCCCAAGCCCCTGCAACAGACCCTGCCATCCCCAGGGCTGGCCAGAGAGCCTACCCCAGGGCCAGGAGCTGAGTCAGGGATTCCAAAGGAACTGGTCACTTCCCGCCCCATTTCCTGACCCATCCTGCAGCCTGGGCGCCGCTGCACCGCCTGGATTCAGATCCTGATGCAGCCACATCCTAGCTGTGTGACTTCAGGCAAGCCTCTTTAGCTCTCTGAACCTCAGTTTCCTGGTCTATCAAATGGGATTGATCACAGTCCCTGCCACGCAGAAAGGCGGTGTGGATTCCGCTCGCATGTCTGATAAAGCGCTTGCTTGGCTCAGCGCCTGCCCCTCGGACGACACCCGTCTACGGTAGCGACTGTCATCACTTCCAGCAGCAGCATGGCCAGGGGCTGCTGAGAGAAGTCTAGAGGTATAAAGAGGAGCCAGCCGGGCGTTCCTGGCATCTCGCGCACCGGCACCCAGCCACACTGAAAGGAATTTTGGTGGGAGGATCCCGAGGAGGAACAATCCGGCAGTAGGTGACTAGCGATTGACAGGGTTCCACGAACTAAGTCGGAAATTTCGCTCTTGGAAACTTGTCCTCCTGCTGGGCTGATCTTCCCAACAGGGGGCTGCTCGGCTCTCTGCAAACAAAATCTGCCAGAACCCTGACCCCCCACCTCTAGAGGAGGGAAGGCTGCCCCGCTTCCTGGAGAGACACCCCCACCCCAACCGTCCACTTATCTCTGCGGGGCCTGCCTCACCAGCCTGTGGAAAGTTTTCAGCTGCCCCTCACCCCCACCCCCGCATTCTTGTGCGAGGATGTCATGTGGGAGGAGCCTGCTCGCCCCACTGGGCTGCCTCGTCCCGGCCCCCTCAACCGCACTCATTGTCTGAAACTGAGAGTATGCATTCGAGGTCACCTAAAGCAGGGGCCGCCTGGGGAAGGGGGGCTCGCTCAGCAGAGGGGAGCTGGGAAGACAAGGGGGCGATGGCATGGGCCGGAGCAGAGCCTACACCACAGGCTTATGGCCAGAAAGCTCGTAGGGAACTTCTCATCGGGGGGTTTACAGACCGTGTTAAGTAAGGTTCTGAGGACTTGCTTTAGGAGGCAAGTAGGGCCCATCACAAAGGGCTTCAGTGTCCTCCAACCCTTCAACCCCCTCCAGGGGCTGCAGGATCCATGGCTAGAAAACAAGCATAAAGTCTGCTGGTGCTGTTGAACTTTCTCATTTTACTCAAAGGAAACCCAAGACCAGAGATGAGGGGGGAGTTAGCCAAGGTGTGTGCAACGCAGCCACTAAACCTCCAATTCCTTAACGTCCCGCTTATCTCAGCAAAGAAGCTGCCAGAGAGAGGGAATGAGCCAGCCCTCCAAAGGTTGGCCTGCATTCCACAAATGCTCTGCCTCATGGCCATTTCCAGAAAAAGTCACCCATTGAAAATCCACATTGCTGTGGAGATTTCCGCTGTCACAGGCCCTGGCCACACCACGCCACGGCTTCCTCCATGTGAACTCACTAATGCCCAAGCCTCATTCCCCAAGGAGAGTCTGAATGAATTGGCCCTTTTCTGGGCCCAGTGTGTCATCTATAGAGGCCCCAGTGGAAAATCAATAGAGGTCCCAATGGGAAATTTGTGGCCCTGGGGACATTCAGACAAGAAAGGCAGACCCTTGGCCCCCCTCCAACCTCTCCCTCAACAGAAGCATTTCCCAAAAGCTCCGCGGGTGATCCTGATATGCAGCCAGGGGATGTGCACCCCGGGTCCAACTCAGTCACTTCTATGTACGAAAGAGGAGTTTGAGGCCCAGGGAGTTTAAGTATCTTGCCTAAGGCCACATAGTGAGCTGATAACAGACATGGAACTTGCTCCTGGTACTCCACCGTGGGACCACAGTGCCGCTGTACCAGAGCTACTCAGTATACATTCGTGGGATGAATCAAAAATAACAGCCACATTTAAAAGTACTCATGTGGCAGGCACTGACCTAAGCACTTTACTATTAAGTCATTTGATTATCACAGCCACCCTACGAGATAGACGCTATGATCCTCTCCATTTTACAGATGAGGAAACCCAGGCACAGAGAGGTCAAGGAAATGGCCTAAAGCCACACAGCTAAAAATGTAGACCTGGGATTTGAACACAGGCATTCTTGTTTCAGAGTCATCAATCATAAACTCCACATTCTGCTGTTTCTCAATTCATTCATTCTTTTTTTTTTTTTCAGACAAGCATCTCCTCTGTCACCCCAGGCTGGAGTACAGTGGTGCGATCTCAGCTTACTGCATCCTCCACCTCCCGGGTTCAAGCAATTGATTCTCGTGCTTCAGCCTCCCAAGTAGCTGGGATTACAGGTGCATGCCACCACACCCAGCTAATTTTTGTGTTTTTGGTAGAGACGGCGTTTCATTATGTTGCCCAGGCTGGTCTCAAACTCCTGGGCTCAAGTGATCCACCCACCTCAGCCTCCCAAAGTGCTGGGATTACAGGCATGAGCCACCGTGCCCAGCCACAATTCATTCATTCTTAATGAATGAGTTAGTCCAGCCTTAATAAGGAAACTGATGTCTGGGAAGGATCTATAATTTCCACTAACAGAACTAATGTGTGTCAAAGCAGGGATGAGCTTACCAAGATTCCATGATTCCAAAGCTAAAGACCAGAACCTGGGAATGCAGAACCCCCTTCCCTGCAACCCAGAACCGTCACTCACCCTGGCAGGCATCCTCCACCTTCTCGTAGCCTGCCTGGCACAGGCACTGCCCAATGGGCACCAGCCACTCGCCATCCACTGCACAGTGCATACGGGGCTCTTCACCCCCCGGTGGCACCACGGCATGGTCCACACAGGTGCCGGCCACAGTGGCCAGGGAAGGTGCATCAGAGCCGGCGATGGTCTCAGGGAAGTGGGCCAGGCCCTGCAGCAGCTCGGGGCACTTCTTGTAGTAGACACGGACGGAGAGCAGCGCCACACAGGCACCGATATCCTGGAAGGCCAGGTAGAAGCCTTTGCGGGTGAGCGGCCCCACGGAGCGCTCCTCCACGTTCAGCTTCACGTGGCGTGCCTCGAAGTCGCTGCTGACGGTGATCTCATCGGGCGCAATGGTGTCAATCTTGGTGAACAGGCGCTTCTGGAAGTTGGTGCCGTAGTCCAGGTCCGACTCGGCATAGTAGAGGTTGAAAGTCTCCTTGCAGGAGCTGGCGCCACCAGGGAAGCTGTTGCAGTCACGTACAGTAAACTTGAGCTCAATGAAGATACGCTCAGCCTCTCCTCGGTACACCCAGTTGGTGCGGAGCCAGTTGTCCTGGTCGCCAGACATCACGTTGCACACGGAGTACATGTAGATCGGCATGTCATTCATGATGTTCTGCATCAGGTCCCACTGTGGGGGGAAGATACAGGTTAGTGTGGGCAGGTGCCTGGGGAAACTGAGGCCCAGGTGGCAGAGTAGGGCACTAGGAAGATGCTTTCCAGTTCGTGCTCTCCGGGTTCTACGGTGAAGGAAACTGAGGCCTGAGGCGGGTGGGGGCTGCATCCATAAGTGGCTGAGCTGGAATCTGGCCCCTGGTCTTTCTGGCACATGTCTGGAAGCCAAACCTCTCTATTAGGTTGTGAGCCTGCAGGTGGAGTCCGGGACTCCATGTGACCTCAGGTGGGTTATGCTCTCTAAGCCGCAATTTCCTCATCTGTACAATGGGAGCAAGACCCCCTACCTCACAGAATTGCTGTGAGGATAAAGGACAGAATGTCTACACTGGCTGAACACAGTGCTTGGCACAAGGTAACAGGCATACGGGCAGCCAGTATGATTATTGTTACTCTTGGTATTATTCACCATGCACCCATGTGTGTTGGCAAACGCAGGAGTGGCATTAAGTCAAAAACAACGGATGATGCTCTCCGTCATTTAGAATTTGGCTTTGCAGCAGATGAACATGTTCCTCCCTCCCTGGATCATAACTCAGCCTTCTCCAGAAAGAATTCCCAGGTTAGGCTACAGTTGGGCCAGGTGCCCCCCGCCACCCAACTCCCAAAGTTGCCATGTTCCCTTTACCCTGTACCCCTTGCCATTTACCAAAGTGCACTTGGCACGGCACATGGGGACACCCACATCTGGGCTCCCACATGAGATTCTGAGCTCCTCAGCCAGAGTCTGCATCTAATTCACCTGTGTCCTGTGTCCCGAGAGCCGGCCTGAGACAGAGTAGGTGCTCAGGGAAGCGTTTGTTGAATGAATAAACAAAAGAATGAATGAAAGCACAGGGGAGGAGGACAGAGGCCCGGGCTATACTGTGTGGCGTTGGCCAAGGCCCTACATGCCCTTGGGCCTCAGTTTCCCACTCTGTATAAAGACTGGGTTGTATTAGGTGACCCGTGTTCCCTCCCAGCTAGACTTCCAGGATCCTAGAAACCTGCTCAGGGCTACACCCCAGCCAAGCCTGCCCAGAGCTAGGGTGACCGGGGACAAGAACTCGACTCATGCAGATCTGGCCAGCTCTGGGAACTATTCCAAGTAGCCCCTGGGAGACAGCCCCCTTTCTCAGCTCAGGGTCCCAGGACAAACTCAGCAAGGGCCCATTGTATAGAGAGGGAAACTGAGGCCCCGAGAGCCACATCTTCCCCAAGATCACACAGCAGACACACACAGCCAGGGGAAGAACCCCCAGCCCCTGCCCCCATTCCTGGTCACATCAGGACGGCATAGAGGGGAAGACCTGGGTGAGAATGAGGCAGAGAAATGCAGCCCCCCACAGGAAGGGGAAGCAACAGCTAGAGGTGGGAAAGGGGCGGGCAGGAAGGAACTTGATCAGGTTTTCCTGTTCCCTGTCTCTTCTTCACCCCTCACCTCCTGGGCTGAGACCTCAAGACAGGGGGCATCTTTAACCCCTTCCCTCCCAAGAGGTGGATGGGTGGTGCCAGAGATCCCTCTGACTGTCAGCCCTTCTGGAACATGGAAGGCCCAGCTCCGCTAGGGCCTTCTCTGTCTCCCCAGTTCCCCCCACCTCTCAGGCTTACACCCACACCCTCGTACCTTCCCACGCCCATCCAGCCCTGGCCTGGGCCGGCTGACTCTGAGCCTGGTGTGAGAAGCTGGACCCTGAGCCTGAGACCTGGCTGAGCTGCTGAATTGAAGCCAGGCCCCACGCTCCCTGGGCCTCAGTTTCTCCATCTCTACAGGGGACCAGCAGCCCCATTCTCACACCTCTCCCCACCCCGAAGGCTTACATACCCCTTTGCCATACGGGTGTGTGAGCCAGCCGAGCTCCCCTCCAGCTGCAGCAAAGTCCAGCAGTACCACTGAAAGGGAGAAGGGAGAGGGGGTGAGCCTGGGGGTGTCTTCAGGAGTCAGACCATGGCAGGAAAGGTGAGGATCCCTCCAGGAACCCCAACTCTCAGACAGAGCGAGAGGGACCCCACCACACAGGGTCACCATATCCAAGAAAATCATCCCTCGACTCATGAGGGAAACAGGCCCAGAAAAAGGATGGAACCCAGCTGAAGGCACACAGCAGGCTGGGGTCAGGACTGGGCCTCCAGTCTCCCAGGCCAGGATTCCAGCCATCCTGTCCCCCTCCGTTAGTCCCCAGCTGGGCAGAGCAGGCCAGGGAGCTCAGCCCGGCAGGAGAACAGCAGCTGGGCAGAGAGCTGGGCTGAGCAGGGTATTAAGTGACACCACACCGCCCCCTCTGCTTCCTTGAACAAGGCCCTTTGGCAGCACTTCACGTGCATGTGGGCCTTAGGGACACTGGTGTCTGCTTCTGCCACATTCCCCCCAGCAGGAAACACACCAACCCCACTCAGGTCATGTAGCACACACATATGCACCTATATGTACACGTGCATCTTGCGGTACTCCAAGAAGAGAGTGCTGTGAACAGGTGGGAACAGCTCCAGGGTGGAGGAGGGAAGAGGGTATCTGGAAACCGATCTTCTCACCACAAAAGCCACAGAGCAGGCAGGATAAAGCCCTGGACCCATAGGGCCCCTAAGAGGGGCCCAAAGATACACACAGCTGGTGAGGTCCCCTCCCTGGGAAAGTCACTCCCACCACCCCTGCCCCTCACATCCTGACCACTGCCCTGCCAGGGGTGCCAGAGGTTCCTGGGGGATCAGGAATAAAAGCCCTTGTAGGGGACATTCTAGGCCCAGAGACCAGGTGTCAGGACCATCCTGTTCCCAGAGAGGCAACTGGAGCCTGGCGGAGGGATACACTCCCGGGGTCTTCCCTAGACCTAGTCCTGCCATTGGGCACCTCCCACTGATCCACCCCAGGTTCTCTGCCAGGCTCAGAGGCCATAGACAAAACCTAAGACCCTAGGTACTGTCCCCACTCTATTTCCAAGTAAAGTCCAGGTAGCTGCCAATAAGTGCTACCCTCCCTAGAGGGTAAGGAGATAGGAGAAACCGGGGCATAGAACCTATGCAAGATGGATTCAGAGGGTAAAGCCCTAAGGTGGGGGTAAAGAAACCAAGTCAATGCTTCCTTTGGGCCCTGGAGCATGAGGGATCTGCCTCAGAAGCCCCATTCCTCAAGGCCAGGACCGGAGAAGGACTCAAAGGGTGGACAGAGCTCCAGGCAGGCTGGGAGCAGGGATGGCCTGGTTTGTGGAGATGGGAGCTGGGCTCTGAGGGTGGTCTTGAAGACCGCCTCCTGAAGTGACATGGCCCTCCTACCTGGGCTGAAGGCCCCCAGGCTGGGGCGTGAAATGCTGCCACCCCCACTACTGACCGGGGCCAAACCTCTCTAGGAAGGGTCAGGCAGCCCAGACAGGCAAGAGGAAATCCAATGTGACACCGGCCCCATGACAGAGGCTGTGGGGATAGGGGAGGGTGGCTGGGGGCAGCGGGGTGGGCAGGGGCAGGGATTTGTTCAGACATGCCCAGGGCCGGGGCTTTGAAACTCACTAACCCCACTAGCAAATGGAATGTTCCAGCTACACAGGAAGGAATCTGGAGGCTCCTGATTTCAGCTGGGTGGGTAGAAGGACAAAGGTTCCTCACAGTCCTGCAGCCCCCCCTTAGATTGACAGGAGGCTGAGGTCTGTGCCCAAGTGAGAGGGCTCACCGCTACCAGGCTTCTGAAGGGTTAACCTGGCATGGAGGGCCCTCCCTTTCCAGCCTAGGCCTGGCTCTAGAAGTAGCACAGGGCTCAATCGGAGAAGAAAAGAAGCCCTCACACAGGAAGGAGCCCCCCCTGCAGGGGTTTCCAACCCCGGCCCCCTCCCAGGGAAATTCCCTCGAACCAACCACCAGGAACAGGAGGCGCCCAGCGCTGGGTCCCTCCGCCCTGACGCGGGCGCGGCTCTTTCCCCAGGTTCTTCCAGGGACAGAGGCTCCCGCTTCTCTGGAAAGGGTGGGAGCCTGGGAGCCCCTCGGCTGACCCAGACGGCTTCCTGGAGAGGCTTAGGCTAAGCAGGGCTTATCCATGAGCTCTCTATCCCCTTACCTTCCCATTTCTGGGGGGAAAAAAAAAAAGCAAAAAACACCTCCTTCTTTGCCATGAGTTCCACCGTAAGTGCCATCTTTGTGGGTCCACATTGCTCCACAGCTTCTTCCACAAATGCAGGACTGCCACCCACTCCCGGTCTCCGGTCCTTCTCCGCAGCCTCCGAGGCTGTGGTTCCCTCCCCGCTTCCCCCATTCCTCTCTAACCAAGACTAGCTAATCCCTAAAGGAAGCAGGGAGGTGGGGACTCTGGGGAAAACATGAAAGAAAAGGGAAAGGGGACAGAGGGCAGACTTGGCCCCGGTAGAACCAGAAACCAAGGACTTCCTGGCACTCTCCAGCCCTCTTCCCATCAGCAGCACCCCAGCTCAGCACCCCCTGCCACCCGCCCAGGCCCCTGCCCAGCTATGCCTGCTTCCCAGGAAAATCTACCATGACACCAACCACAAAGCAGGCAGGGCCTTGGCTCTGGCAGCCAAGAAGCGGGATGCTCAGGTCTGGTCCTCTGTCCAGAAGGCCCTGGTTGGCAAGGGCTCGGGCCTCCCTCAGTTTCCCCATTTGTAAAAATGAGGGCAGATTCAGTGGCTGTTGATGACCTAACAGGAGCCACGTGGGCAACCAAGTATAGCCTAGGGGTGAGGGGGCAAGAAAGAAGTCTGAAGCAGCCTGGGGGTAGGTGAAAAAGGCACCTGTGTCCTCCTGCCTGCCCCCTAAGCCACCCCCAGGCAGACCCACCACATACAGCCTGATTCCCAGGAACTGAAACCAGCAGCTGCCAGCTAGGCCATCATGCCCACCCCCACCTAGGCACACTTCTCTAGGGACTCTTTCACGGGGACTCAGAGTCGAAGCAAAAATGTACCCCCACCCCAGTGCAATACACAAGCCTTTCCCCCTGCATCCCATGGGGTGTGGGGGTGGGGTTTAATCACACAGGCTGGGGAGAGGTGGACACAGGGGACAAGGACAAGGCAGCTCCAGGCTTCCAGGCCAGCTTGGGGACTGCAGCAGCAAAGCACCCGCCTAATCCCCCACCCCCCCATGGGCAGCCGAGGAGAAAGGCCTATAGTGATTCCAGCTGTCTCTCCCCTTCTCTCCAACCACAGTCCCCCAGGAAGGGGGAGGACCAAACGTTGGTGGGGCGGATATTGAGGGTGGCAGAAATCCTTGCCATGAGCTCCTGCAACCAGAAGTCCCGGTTGAGACCCCAACCCGGGCCCTGTCACTCCAGAGACTGAGACAGGATGCCACCCCCAACACCTGCCACTGCCCAACGGCTCCAGATCCGGCCTCTTTTCCTCCCAACACAGAACAGCAAAACCTCCAAACCCAGTTTGGGAGGCAGAAAAAGAAGGAAACAGGCCGGGGGTGGTGGCTCATGCCTGTAATCGCAGCACTTTGGGAGGCCGCGGCGGGTGGATCACCTGAGGTCAGGAGTTCAGAATCAGCCTGGCCAACATGGTGAAACCTCGTCTCCACTAAAAGATGCAAAAATTAGACGCGCCTGGTGGCGGGCACCTGTAATCCCAGCTACTAGGGAGGCTTGAGACAGGAGAATAGCTTGAACCCGGGAGGCAGAGGTTGCAGTGAGCCGAGATTGCGCCATTGCACTCCAGTCTGGGCAACAAGTGCGAAACTCCGTCTCAAAAAAAAAAAAAAAAAAAAAAAAGAAGGAAACTTCTCACCGGCCCAAGTTTCCTCCCGGCTTCCCCCTTGTGGAGCCTGCGGAAACCTCGCTCTGCCCAGGCAGGAGGGGAAGCCTTGCCCTCACTGTTGGAAATTGAAGCTGGCCTGGGCTGGGTGGACAGGAAGGTCTTCGGCCAGGGCAGGAGCCCCCATCCTCGCCCTGACCCTAGCGGAGGGACAACACCCCCACCACGCACCCGCTGCGCCATGAGCAAAGTCTGCGGCCCCTCACTCGGCGCGGCTCCGGGAACACTGGGGCGGGGGTGGGTGATTCAGTCCCCCACCCCCGGGTGTCCTGACTCCCTGGTGGCCCTGGGCTGACAGCTCCACACCTTGGGAGGCCGCACCCCCACCTGCCGCATTTCCTCGTTCTGAGTCACCCTTGCTCAGAACGCTTGACTTTGGGACTTCCTGTCCGCACTCGCGGCCCCTAACCTGCCCCGGGAGCCCGGGAGTGCGGCTTGGGAAGGAGGGAAAGGAGTGTGTGAGCAGGGATTGGCCCGAACCTATCTCCACGCTCTCCCCCGGGACTGGAGGTGAAGGGGGGCGTGGAGAAAATCTCAGGGAACAGGGGCTTCGACAGGGGGCTCCCGCCCGCCCGAGCCCCCTCCCCAAAATGCGAGGCCTGCACAGTATGCCTTCTCCGCAAAACCTCGGCAAGCGGGTTAGTGAATTCAGGTCACTAAGAAGCTGAGCCCGCGGAAAGCTGCCCAAACACCCCCTTCTCTAGGGGACTCCCCACGCCCCCCGCCGGGACGCGTTCCCGAAGTCGCCGCCTGGACTGCAACCGCGTGGCCTGCGCCGCGTCCTCTTCTCCGCAGCCTCCGAGGCCCGTGCGACCAAGCTGAAACCGCTTATTCTCCGGAGCCCCTATGACCCCGGGTGGGGGCCAGGGCTCGCCTCGATCGCAGCCCGTGCGCCCTCCGGACTCCAGTTCGCCGGGACTGGGCGACACCAGGTAGGTTCCAAAGTTGCGCGCGTCAAGGAGCGCCGGGCTCTAGGGGGCACTGGGGCCCGGGGGCCAGGGGTCCAGACGCCGCGCGCACTCACCTTCCTTGCCCTGCGCCGCCGCGGCCGCGGCCAGCGCACAGCCCCACAGCAGGGCGAAGCAGGCGCGGGCTGCCTGGAGCTCCATGCCGCGCTTCTCGCTCTCGGTCCGATCCCCCCGAGCCCGGCTCCCGCACACCCGCACGCCTGCACGCCGGCCTCGGTGTCCGCTCCCGCCCGCCGGCCTGCGCGCAACTTCTGCCCCTCCTGCCCCGAGTCCTTAATGGAAGTTGGGTGAGAACCGACTCCTGTTCATTCATGCCCTGCGTGACGTCACCAACGCCCGCCCTCAGGAATGTCTTTAAAGGGGCCGGGCTGGCACCCGGAGGAGAGGGAGGGGAAGTCCGGAGGGGTTTGGAGGAGGACCTTGGGGCCCTCTGGACTCGCGGGCTCCCCGCAGGCCTTCCAAAGTTTGAGCGTCTCAAAGCGCCAGCGCCCCTACGGATTAGCCCCCAGGGATCTCTGAGCCTGGTATCCTCGGTGGAAACGTTTAATGGTTTTGCGCTGAGCCATACCCATTCTGCCCTTCACCTCTGAGACTGAGCTCAATGCGACTGAGCTCAACGCTGGCCTGAAGGTCTGAGCTGAAATGGATTGGGGGTCCAATAAGCAGTTGCCTCCTAAGCAGCAGGCCTGAGAGAGTGGCCCAGAAATAGACCTGGATGCCCTCCTTCCTAAAACCCTTGAAGAGTATATCAAGCTGCTGATGGTCAAAAAGAGTATCTCTGTTCAGAAGCCTATAAGCCTACTATGATCTGAGAATAGGTTCATTTCCTCTGGGAATGGATCAGACATGCACTATCTTATTTATTAATAATTCTCATCTGGGAGGCAGGGGTCATCATCCCCATGTTACAGAAGAGGAGACTGAGGCTCCAAGAGCAGAAACAACATGCCCAAAGGGTGCACAGCTCACGGGTAGTAGAAGCAGGATTTGAATCCTGGTGGTCTCTGCTTGAACCACTGCTTCTTTTTGGGGAAGGGGGCAAGGGGCACCCCTGGCCCCCGACCCTGGCATGGGTTGATAGGTTTTGACAGTTTGGAGGACACCTGCCTACCACCTGCCCCTTGATAAGGCCTCTTCACAAAACTTCCTCAGACATGAGCTCATCTCCCTTCCTGACAGAAGCGGCTAGTGTGAGTGAAACAAACGGGAAATTTGCTCTGGCCCGCCTGCCCAGCCACCCACGGCTGCCTGTTGGCCAATCACCATTTGACCAGTCCAGGAAGAGCAACTGTGGCAGGCCTGATTTCCTGGGAGGCCCCAGACTCCCTTTGCCTACCTCTTCCTCTCTGACCCCATCCTCGCTTTGATGCCCGGGACCTGCTACCCAGGTACGTGGGTCTTCTCTGCCGGATGTGGACATCTTGGCCTCTCGCCTTGGTGCCTACTCTTGGGAAGCGGGTCCAGACATCTCTCCTGCAGGAAGAGAGGAAGGGTTAATTACAGGCGTTGGGGATAATTAAAGCCTTTGACCAAGAGGATGGGAGGAGAGCCTTGGTCCTCTGAGAGCCTGTGAGTGTGCAAGTGCCTGTGAGAATAAGTGCATGTGTATGAGGGTGTGAGATTTTGTTGAATGTGCATTCGTGTGTATAGACATGAGAGTGTTGATGTATGTATGACTGTGTGTGAGTGTGTGTATGGACATAAGTGTTGTATGTGACTGGGCAGGGTGGCTCAGGCCTGTAATTCCAGCACTTTGGGAGGCCGAGGCAGGCAGATCATTTGAGGTCAGGAGCTCCAGACATGCCTGGCCAACATGGTGAAACCCCGTCTCTACTAAAAATACAAAAAAATTAGCTGGGCGTGGTGCCACTCACCTGTAATCCCATCTACTAAGGAGGCTAAGGCAGGAGAATCACTTGAACCCCAGAGGCAGAGATTGCAGTGAGCCGAGATTGCGCCACTCACTGCACTCCAGCCTGGGCCAGCAAGACTCTGTCTCAAAAAAAAAAAGAAAAAAGTGTTGGTATATGTGTGTATAAGTGTGTGTGCATGGGCATGAGAGGATTTGGGTATGAGTGTGTGTCTGTGTGTGTTTTTGTGGATTGTGTGGATGTGTCTAGATGTGTGTATGAGTGTGCATGTGGGTGTGAGAGATTTGTGTATGAGTGCATGTGAGTGTGGATTTGTGTATGCATGTATTTGTGAGTGTGCCATACTTCACAGTAGATGTGGAGTCAGCCCATGAGTTTCTGAACAAGTTATTTCACTTTTCTGAGCCTCAGTTTGCTCCTGGAAAGATGTAAAGCCTATTTAGGAGAGTTACTGTAAAGATCAAATAAAGTCATGCATGTAAACCACAGGGGCCAGGACTACAGAAAGCACGCATGAAATCTCAGCTGTTACTGGGTTACATGCGGTTCAGCAACAGGAAGCCACATCCGTGGAGAGCAGGGCATGTGTTGTGCCCAGGGCTCTGTGGACAGGCACATGGGGTGTGTGGATGAGTGTGAGCATGTGTGTAGTACGTGGTTTGGATAAGTGTTTTGCATGTTGTATTGGAGCCTCTGGGCTAGGGACACTGGCGTGTGTAAGACTCCATGTGAGTTGTGTGGAAGCCACTGCTTGTACATGTGTGTTACATGCCACTTGCAGGCTCCATCTGTCAGATGTGTCACTAGAGGACACACTGCAGGAGGACAGGGATGTTTGTAGAAAACAGACAGTGCCTGGGCCAGGCGCGGTGGCTCACGCCTGTAATCCCAGCACTTTGGGAGGCCGAGGCAGATAGATCACTTGAGGTCAGGAGTTTGAGACCAAGCTTGTCATCATGGTGAAACCCCGTCTCTACTAAAAATACAAAAATTAGCCGGGCGTGGTGGCGCATGCCCGTAATCCCAGCTGCTCGAGTTGGAGGCAGGAAAGTCGCTTGAACCCAGGAGGTGGAGGTTGCAGTGAGCCGAGACCGCGGCACTGCACTCCAGCCTGGGTGACAGAGCGAGAGCCAAAAACAAAAAAAGAAAACAGACAGTGCCTGATACATACTAGATATTCAGCAAGCCTCCGCTGAATGAATGAACTAATGAGTGAATGACAGTGTTGCGAGTTCTGTGTTGCGTGAAAGTCTCTGTGTGTAGTGTTGGTTGGTCCTTCTGGTGGCAAGTGTGGGTTTCCATGTGTGGCCTCAAAAGGTTGAATCCAAGCACACACACGGCAGGGGTGCAGGCAGGCCCTGATGGCTGTGGGGCGTGTGCCCAGCAGTATGTGCACAAGTTGGGGGCTGAGAGCATAGGGCAGGGTGTTGCTCATCTGCAGCATGTGACGTGAACAGAGGCCTATGGAAAGGAGTGGTATGTCAGGTGGTGGCAAGAGGGTGTTCCACCTGGCTTTTCCCTGGCTTTTAGTCACCCATTTAATGACACACCCTTCCCTCTTTTCCTGTCCGACTCAGAGTCTTTCCCGCTCTAGGTGACTGGGTGCTAAGGAGGAAAGTTCTTCAGTGAGTCTTATAAAGCGGCACCAAAACGCGGTATTTATAGTGACATAATCAGCCCTAATGGAGATGGAATTACCCCATAAAGGCCCCAAGGAGCCCTCAGGGCCTCAGCGCCACTGCAGCAGACAAGGCTCCTGTACAGGCAGGTGGAGCCCGAGTGAGTGTGTGTTTGTGTGTGACTGCCTCTCCTGCCAATCCCTGCCTCCGGCCCACCAGCCTGCTTAGGGGCCCACCTTTGCTAGGACTTAGCTGGGGCTGGGTACTGGGGGCAAGGAGATGACAAAGGTGAATGCTGAAGCCATGGCCTCACTTACCCCACCTTTGATCTGTGCCTGCCTTTGGCCAAGAGCATCAGAAAAAAAATAATGCGGCCTGGGCAATACAGTGAGACCCCATCTCTACAAAAGAAAAAAGAAAAAAAATTAGCTGGGCATGGTGGTGAGCACCCGTGGCCTCAGCTACTCGGGCGGCTGAGGAAGGAGGATTGCTTGAGCCTAGGAGGTCAAGGCTGCAATGAGCCGTGATTGCACCACTGCACTCCAGCCTAGGCAACCAAGTGAGACCCTGTTTCAAAACAAAATTTTTTTAAAAAAAGAAAAGCAAAGAAAAAAACTGTAGCCAATACTTATGAAGCACTACTATGTGCCGGGCCCAGTTCTAGGCACTTATCTGTACTGATCCACTTAGTTCTCATGACACCTTCAGGGAGGTGGCCACTGCTCCTGCCCACATTTTGCAGAAGAGCAAATTTGGAAGTAAAATTTGGAGCTGGCATTCTGGCCCAGACAGGCTAGATCCAGCGCGCACTCTCATGGGTACCTGCCTCAACCATTGCCTCTGAATTCCACTGAACCTGGAGAGCAGTGCCCCGTCCTGGAATGTGCCAACTCTCCGCAGCTGGGATCTTTAAGGTCAGTCTAATTACTACCTCTTGGGTGAAACCCCCAGGGATCAGGCCCCCCCTAGAGCCCCAGGGGCCTCCATGCTACATGCCTACCAGCACCCTGCTCTCAACCAACTGAACTCTTTTTTGTTTTTCAAAGCCTCTGAACTATCTTCTCAACTAGACTGTAAATCCCTCAGAGGCAGGGTATGAATCCAGCAACAGGTAGAACAGTTCCCCACACATTCTGCTCAATAGATGCTAATTTTTTTTTTTTTTTTTTTTTTGAGACAGAGTCTTGCTCTGTCCCCCAGGCTGGAGTGCAGTGGCGCAATCTCAGCTCACTGCAACCTCCACCTCCCGGGTTCAAGTGATTCTCCTGCCTCAGCCTCCTGAGTATCTGGGATTACAGGTGCACGCCACCACACCTGGCTAATTTTTGTATTTTTAGTAGAGACAGGGTTTCACCATGTTGGTCAGGCTGGTCTTGAACTCCTGACCTCATGATCCGCCCTCCTCGGCCTCCTAAAGTGCTGGGATTACAGGCGTAAGCCACTGTGCTTGGCCTTAGATGCTCACATTTGATGGTGACATTCTAAATTAGTTTCCTCCATTCATTTCCTTTTTTTTTAGACGGAGTCTTGCTCTGTCACCGAGGCTGGAATGCAGTGGCGCAACCTCGGCTCACTGCAACCTCCACCTCCCGGGTTCAAGGGATTCTCCTGCCTCAGCTTCCCTAGTTGCTGGGATTACAGGCACACACCACCATGCACAGTTCATTTTTGTATTTTTTAGTGGAGATGGGGTTTCACCACGTTGGCCAGGCTGGTCTTGAACCTCTGACCTCAAGTGATCCTCCCACCTCGGCCTCCCAAAGTGCTGGGATTACAGGCGTGAGCCAGCACGCCCAGCCCCCTCCATTCATTTCTTTTTTTTATTTTTTATTTATTTATTTTTTAGACAGAGTCTCCTTCTGTTGCCAGGCTGGAGTGCAGAGGTTCGATCTCGGCTCACTGCAACCTCCACCTCCTGGGTTCAAGTGATTCTCCTGCCTCAGCCTCCCGAGTAGCTGGGACTACAGGCACGCGGCACCACGCCCAGATTTTTGTATTTTTAGTAGAGACGGGGTTTCAGCATGTTAGCCAGGATGGTCTCCATCACCCTCCCAAAGTGCTGGGATTACAGGCGTGAGCCACCACACCCAGACCCCTCTGTTCATTTCAATCCACATTTCTTGAAGGCCTGCTCTATGCCAGGCCACTTCACCTCTGTAAACTCATTTAATCCTCTCTAGCCCTGGAAGGAAAAGCTAATATTGCCTCCATTTTTGCAGAAACAACGTGAGGCTCAGAGAGAAGAAATGACTAAAATTACACAGCTGGTACATGGCAGAGGTGGAACTAAAAAGTTAAGTGTGTCTACCCCAGAGCCGAGTAGACCTGCTCTTTTTTGAACACTTCCTGGACTTTCATGCCTTTGTCCCAGCTGTGCCCTCTCCCTGGATGCCCCTTCCATCTGGGCAGCTCCTACTAGACCTGCCTTGGCATACATAACACAGGAGAACGGATTGCCAAAGGGTAGGAGAGTGCCTGGTCTATAGTGTGCGCCCAACACAGATTTGGTGAATGAATGAACACTGGGTCCAGCAGACCTGGATTCTTCCATGTAACCCACTGTGTGGCCTTGGTGGAGCCATGCGGGTGCAATAATCCTGGTTTCCACCCTTCAGGGCTGCTGCTGGGACTCAGTGAGATCATCATGTATCTAATGCCCTTTGCTCAGTGCTGGGCACACAGTCAATGCGCATTGAATCTTAGCTATTGCTACCTTTACAATCAATCAAAAGTCACTTCTGAAGAATAGACAGGGCTCCCCCAGGCCAAATAAATAATTCCTCCCGGGACAAACCCCAGCTCTCACTCCCTCCTCTTTAGGCAGGGGGCTCCCTGAAGGACAGAGACCCGGTTTTATTCCATCTTGCCGTCCCCCATGGTGCCGGGCATACAGTGGTGCCCAGTAAACGTGTGTGTTGCACAAACATGCGGTAACTAGGGCCCCATCTTTTTCAAAAGAACACACTCCCCAGGTGCAGCCGCAAAGAGAGACTGTTCAGCTGTTCAGGTGAGGTTTTGGGGTGAAACTCGTCTGAATAATAGTTTTACTGAACACAGCCTCACCCCCAACAAGGAGGCAATTTGAGGTGGGGGTGGGGAGACTTAAATGTGGGCTCCCGGGTTTTAAAGGGGGTAGCGCGGGAGGAAGCCCCCCAATAATTGCGGGGCTTCCCCCACCCCCAGAGCTGGATTAGAGGCTGCGCCACTTCCTTTGGGGCTCGCTCGCGCTTCCTGGGAGCCTTTGATGTGGGTTCTTGGTAGATCCTGCCCGCGGGGCCTGGATGCGGGCGGAGCCTCCGGGCAGGGCGGGGCCTCAGCCTGGGTCCGCACTGGGGAGGCGGCCACCCGGTAGCTTGGGCGGGTTCCGCCCACCTCCCGCCTGTATTTACAGCCCCCTTCCAACATCCCCGACTCCCTGAGGGCGCCCCTCATTCTGCTCGGCCTTGCCTTCCCCATTCGGCCACATCCTCCTCTCTCCCAACTCAGCTTCGACCCCCAAAGCCTTTCCCTAACCATCGGAACCACAGGCTTTTCTCCGGCCTCTGAGTGCCAGTCTTCAACTAGGTGTCTTTTAAAAAATCAAAAAGCATCTCATCCTACGGGATGTGTGTGAAAAAATAAAAATAAAATAAAGAAAAAGGGGGCCGGGCGCGGGAGCTCACGCCTGTAATCCCAGCACTTTGGGAGGCCTAGGCGGGCGGATCACCTGCAGTCAGGAGTTCGAGACCAGCTTGACCAAACTAGAGAAACTCCGTCTCTACTGAAAATACGAAATTAGCCGCGCATGGTGGCGCATGTCTGTAATCCTAGCTACTCTGGAGGCTGAGGCAGGGGAATCTCTTGAACCTGGGAGGTGGAGGTTGCAGTGAGCCGAGATAGCGTCATTGCACTCTTGCCTGGGCAATAACAAGAGCGAAGCTCCATCTCCAAAAAAAAAAAAAGAAGAAAGAAAAAAAGAAAAAGATAGCCCATCGCTCCTCCATTGCAGACCCAAAGGCTGTCAGCTGAATGGAAGGTGCTTCCTCACGACCTTTGGGATAAGTAAATTTGAAGTAATAGAAATAGCCAGCTGGGCGCGGTGGCTCATGCCTGTAATCCCAGCACTTTGGGAGGCTGAGGGGGGCAGATCACCTGAAGTTAGGAGCTCGAGACCAGTCTGGCCAACATGGTGAAACCCCGTCTCTACTAAAAATAATTAGCCAGGCGAGGTGGCGTGCACCTGTAATCCCAGCTACTCAAGGAGGCTGAGGCAGGAGAATAGCTTGAACCCGGGAGGCAGAGTTTGCAGTGAGCTGAGATCGCGCCATTGCACTCCAGTGAGCCGAGATCGCACCATTGCACTCCAGCCTGGGCAACAAGAGCGAAACTCCATCTCAAAAAAAAAATTTTTTTTGAAAAATAGGCCAGGCCTGCCTCAGTGCTCTTACACGTACTGTCCCCTCTGCCTGGATCAGTTTGTGCCCCTGCCCCCAAATTTTCAGGGCTGGCTCCCTCGCCTCCTTCAGATCTCTGTTTGAAGTTCAGCTCATGTCTGCCACATGTCCTAACCACCGTATTTAAAATAGCAGCCTCAGGCCAGGTGCGGTGGCTCACGTCTGTAATCCCAGCACTTTGGGAGGCCAAAGCAGGCAGATCACCTGAGGTTGGGAGTTCGAGACCAGCCTGACCAACGTGGAGAAACCACATCTCTACTAAAAATACAAAATTAGCCGGGCGTGGTGGAGCATGCCTGTAATCCCAGCGACTCTGTCTCAAAATAAAATAAAATAAAATAAATAAAATAAAATAAAATAAAATAAAATAAAATATAAAATAAAATAAAATAAAATAAAATATAGCAGCCTCTCACCCCACTCCACCTCTGGACTCCCTGTCCCCCTTCCTTGCTGTATTTTTCTCCATAGCAATTACCACCACCAGCTGCCACACTCCAGAGATTACCGTTCGTTTGTCTATTGTCTGTCTCCCCCTGCTCACACCACCCCCATTCGTGTGTGAGCTCCAGGAGAAGGGCCGGGGTTGCTGCTGCTCTGTGAGTCATGAACCGTCCCCACCCCCTAGTCTGTCCTACAAATTTGTTAAATGAATGAGCAAATAAACATAGTGGCTTCCCAGCTGACCAGTGATGAAAGCTTACACTGCGTGATCTAGGCTAGTCACTGCTGTCTTTCCCTCCCTCTCCTCATCAGTGCATTGAGAGATGACAGTAGCTCGGCCTCTTAGAGCAGTATGACGATGGCACAAGTTACTATTTGCCAAGCACAGAGCATGACGTCATGCCCAGAAGCCCAGGATACAATCCAGAGACAATGACAAATGGGGGATTCCCGCTTCTGCAGAAGGTGGGGCGACTGGTGCCCAGGGGCCCCCAGGAAGTGCCCTTACCTGACTCCCAGGATCCTCCTCTGTGACCCTGGGGCCTTCCAACCTGCCAGGTACTTTTCCTGTATTATCTTATTTTATCCTCCCAATAGCCTCTGTGAGCAGCACACTCCCCATTTCACAGACAAGGAAACTGAGGCTTACACAAGTGAAGTGACCTGCTCGACGTTGCACAAGGAAGTGGCAAAGTCAGCCTCTGAATCCAAGCCGTTGGGCTCTAAAGGCCCTGATGCCACTCAGCTAACCATGTGGCCTCTGGACATCACTGCCATCTTTTCTCTTACCCTCCTCTCCTCCTTGCACTGTGTTCTGAGGGTCAGCCTGACAACCCGTGTCCCCTGGGCAGATGTGCAGAGGAAGATCAAGTTGTTGTTCGCCAGGGGCCGAGGGCAAATTTCTGGCTTCCCACGGCCACCACTTACTGGGAGTTTCGGATGAGGTGCTTCACTGCCCTGAGCTCTTCTTCCGGGTCAAGTGGGGATAAAAATAAAACAATACCCACCTTGTGGGAAGACATGGGATCCTGAAAAACCTGGCAACGTGCCTGGCACATGGCAAGTACTCCGTAAATGTCAGCTAGGATTATTTTTATCATTGACACCATATTTGGGGGCCCCAGGCTGGCAGAGTACCTGCCAGGTGTCACCCCCTTCCTGAGTCCTGACAGTTTGGCTGCAGGCCTGCGTGGAGGCTTGGAAGGAAGAAGGGAGGAAAGGAGGAAAGGAGGAAAGGAGGAAGGGGTCAGGGAAGCCCCTCTGTTTGTTTTCTGTCTCTGAGAACTTCCCAGTCTGACTCTAGCCCCTTCCCCTCCCTGCAGGCACTAACACACAAGTCCCCCATTCACCAGAAATCTGTCCCAGGCTCCCTGGCTGCCATGCTCCCTGGATAAACCCACCAGGATGCCCTCAGCCCCTGAGGGAAGAGGAGAGAGCTTACACTCCTCCGGGCCCCTATTTCCACGCCCATCACCAGGCCTGGGCCCTCACAAGGCTACACACACACCAGGAAGTGCCAGGAACACAGCCACGCCAGAGCTCTCACAGATGCCTGTGCACACACACACACACACACACACACCTTTCCAGGCAAACTTGCATACACTTTCCTAATGGCCAGGTCTCAGGGGCTCTGTAGGGACCACCTCGGGACAGGACATGGTCTTCCCTCCCCCATTCCCATTCCCCTTCCTGCCCTGTTTCCCTCTGTCTGTCCATCCATCTTCATCAACCAGTCCCAGTGGGCCCCTGCTCACTCCCTCCGTTCCCCCTCCATCCGTCCGTCCACACATGGGTCCATCTGTCTGTCGCCTGCCTGTAGCTAGCCCTGCAGTGAGCAGTCTATCCCTACCCAGCCCTGCCCATCACTTCTGCCACAACACCCCTGCAAGATCCTGTCCCTGTCCTCAGCAGGGTCTCTCATCATTTCTCTAGAACCCACCCATCTATCCCCCCACCCCTTCAGCTGTGTCCTTCATCTGTCAATCTGTCCATCCATCCAGCCATCCATCCATCCATCCATCCATCCATCCATCCATCCAGCCATCCATCCATCCATCCAGCCATCCATCCATCCATCCAGCCATCCATCCTTCCTTCCTTCCTTCTTCCTTCCTTCCCACCTTGGCCCAGCCCCTCTCAGCCCCCTCTGCATCCCATCCATCACTTCTCAGACAGGCCTCCCCAGCCAGGTAGTCACCTCCTAGCGGCTCCATCTGTCTGTCTGTCTACCAACCCATCCATCCATCTGTCTGCCAGCCCATCCATCATGCCACAGGCCACTTGTCCATTCTTGCCACCTTTCACATGTTCCCTAGTTAGGCCCCTGTGGTATCCCCCAGCCAGCGCAGTGTAGGTGGGGGGCGTGTGTTCATGTCAGTAGATATGTCTGTGGCCGCCAGCATGCCTTGTGCTGAGCAGAGGGCAAGGGACCTGGATGAGGAGCTGGGGAGGGGTTGGGGACAGGAAGACTGGGAACCTCTTGGTGGGGGGCACAGCAGCTTCCCTGTGTATTCTCCCTGTGGTCTGTTGCACCATAGGCATCAATGGCCTGCTCAAAAATAAATACACGACTGGAAAACTCTCCCACCTCCATTCTTTTTCCTTTTTGGGGGGGTGGTGGGGACAGAGTCTTGCTTTGTCCTCCAGGCTGGAGTGCAGTGGCACGATCTCAGCCCACTGCAACCTCCACCTCCTGAGTTCAAGCAGTTCTCCTGTCTCAGCCTCCCAAGTTGCTGGGATTACAGGCCTGCGCCACCACGCCTGGCTAATTTTTGTTTTTTGGTTTTGTTTTTTCTTTTCCGGGATGGAGTCTTGCTCTGTCACCCAGGCTGGAGTGCAATGGCCGGATCTTGGCTCACTACAACCTCCGCCTCCCGGATTCAAGTGATTCTCCTGCCTCAGCCTCCCAAGTAGCTGGTATTACAGGCACGCGCCACCACGCCTGGTTAATTTTTGTATTTTTAGCAGAGATGGGGTTTCACCATTTTGGCCAGGCTGGTCTCGAACTCCTGACCTCAGGTGATCCACCTGCCTCTGCCTCCCAAAATGCTGGGATTACCGGCATGAGCCACTGTGCCCGGCTTCCGTTCTTCCTGATTACTTAAGAGGGGCCTGACTAATGCCCAGCATGGTTGGGGACCCAGGCCCCTCAAGCCCTGGAAGTCCCTTGCCTGGGGTCATCCAGTCTCCTCCCTCAAAGGGCTCTCACTCCCCACCGCCGCTCCCTCTCCTCTTCCTGCTGCTGAGAGACGAGAGACCAGCAGAAAGAGACTTGGAGAGACGGAGACACAGAGGCAGATGGAGAATGCTGGGCGCCCGGGAAAGCCCAGGAAGGAGCCCGGGCCACGTGGAGGAGAGGCAGGTGGGAGGAGGCAGGAGAGAGCAAGGCTGCCCAGGACAATGGAGCGGGACCGGAGGAGACGCGGGGAGGGACGCGGGCCAGGGGTGCGGTGGGGGGCACGGGGTGGAACTCCGGGTCCCGTAGGGCGGGGTGGGGGAGTGGGTGGGGGGATGGCCCACCTGCCGTGGGAGCGGGTCCGGAGGAAGCTAGGGTCTCGGGGTGGGAAGTGCTGTGTAGAAGCGAGCGCAAGAGGCGAGAGGAAGCGCGGCGGGGCGGCCCCTGTCCCAGCCTCACCCCCATCCCCCCAAGTCTCGCACCCCGGTCCGCCCCAGCTTCCGGCTCCGCAGGTGCCGCCTTTGAGGGCCGCCGCTCGCAGTTTACCGCGGAGCCGGAGCCAGAGCCCCTTCCCCGCGGCGAGGAACTGCCTCTGCGTCTCGTAAAAGGGGTCTGGGCCTGGGGGGCGGCGGCCTCCGTCGCCATGGAAACCGGGGCGGGGAGGCGGCGGCCCGGAGAGCCCCATGCACTTTGCATACCATTGCAGGTTCCTCCCCTTGGGCCCCGCCAGCCTCGCTGGGCCCGCCTCTCTCTCCGCCCCTCCTCCCCAAACCCATCACCCTTGCCTTTATTTGTCTTAAATTTATTTTAAAATGTATTTATTTATTTTTTTCAAACAGGATCTCGCTCTGTCACCCAGGCCAGAGTGCAGTGGTGCGATCATGACTCTCTACAGCCTTCCATCTCCCCAGGCTCAGGTGATCCTCCCACCCCAGTTTCCCAATAGCTGGGACCACCACGCCTGGCTAATTTTGTGTGTGTGTGTGGTGATGTCGCCCTCTGTCACCCAGGCTGGAGTGCCGTGGCCAGATCTTGGCCCACTGCAACCTCCGCCTCCCAGGTTCAAGCAATTCTCCTGCCTTAGCCTCCTGAGTAGCTGGGATTACAGGCGCGTGCCATCACACCCGGCTAATTTTTTTGGTATTTTTAGTAGAGACGGGGTTTCACCACGTTGACCAGGCTGATCTCAAACTCCTGACCTCGTGATCTGCCTGCCTCAGCCTCCCAAAGTGCTGAGATTACAGGCGTGAGCCACCGTGCCTGGCAATGCCCGGCAATTTTTGTATTATAGAGACAGGGTCTTGCCATGTTGCCCAGGCTGGTGTTAAACTCCTGGACTCAAACAACCTGCCCACCTCCGCCTCCCAAAGTGTTAGGATTACAGGCATGAGCCACTGCACTCGGCCACCCCTGCCTTTAAAAGTCACCTCCTCCAGGAAGCTTTCAGCCACCACCACCACGCCCGGTGGCACCACTGACACTTCATAACAATAATAATTCATCATCACTGTGATCGTGGCTAGGCTTGGCTGAGCTTTGTCTCTGTGCTTCCTTCACCCCCATCTTCTTCTGTCCTCATACCAACCCTGTATGGAGAGGCCACTTTTGTCGATATTTACAAATGAGAAAACTAAAGCTGGTAGGGGGTCTGCTCAAGGTCTCACACCTGGAAAATTCCCTCCTCATTCTAGTCTCAGTGTTCTCATTTGTAAAAAGGGAAGCTCGCACCAGGCGCTTGCCGAGTGACCACGCAAGGGTGGGAATGAGACCGCAGGTTTGTCTGAGCAGGGGCTGAGTGTGGCATTCTGACTCTGAAGGCCTGTAGTCAGGGTATGCATGCTCTAGTTCACCTCAGCCCGGCTGCGTCACACCCCCACTCTGTCCCCCAGTGCATCCCCACCCTTGGGACCCTAAGTGAATCTCTCCAGACCAAGCTCCTAGTGACTCAAGAGACATCTCTAAGGGGTCTTCCAGCTCTGCCATTCTGAAGTCTTAGCTTATTGAGAGGGTGACTCCTTGTGCTGTCTCCCTCCTCTGACTGGATGCTCCTGGGGGTGAGGGGCTGTGCCTCTCCTGTCAGACGGGACACTGCTAAGGGTTAGGACACCTCTGTCACTCCCCTAGGTCTGTGGTCACTAGAAATGCCCAAATCCAGGCTGAAGGCTGACCATGTCTCTCCAAGCACAAGCACACCCCAAGGTGCCCCAGTCCCTTGTCCTGATCCTGAGATCTGAGGTCTACAGGACTGGGTTCTTGGTGGGGAAACCTCCAGCTCTGCCATAAAAAGAAAGCCTCATCCCAGACCTTCAGACCCGTTCCAGCACAGGCTCAGAAGAGGAGAAATGGGCCCAGAGACAACTTCCAGGGCAGCAACACCACAATCATCATCCCTTCTATTTAGTGATCTTGGCTATGTGCCCAAAACCTTTTTTTTTGAGACAGAGTGTCACTCTGTCGCCCAGGCTAGCGTGCAGTGGCATGATCTCAGCCCACTGCAACCTTCATCTCCTGGGTTCAAGTGATTCTCCTGCCTCAGCCTCCTGAGTAGCTGAGATTACAGGCATGCGCCACCATGCCCAGCTGATTTTTGTATTTTTAGTAGAGATGAGTTTTCGCCATTTTGGCCAGGCTGGTCTCGAACTCCTGACCCCAAATGATCTGCCCGCCTCGGCCTCCCAAAGTGCTGGGATTTCAAGCATGAGCCACTATGCCGGGCCATGTGCCCAAAACCTCGTGAATGTGAACAACAGTGCAGGGAGGTGGTTATTTCACGCCCATTACATGGAGAGGGAAACCGAGGCTTAAAGAAGGAAAGTCACTTGACAAGATTACCCCCTGACGAGTGGCAACCCTATTCTTTGACCCGTGCCCTCCTGCCTTTCTGTGTCTCCCAACATATTTCACGCTGACTTGAAACTGGTTGTTGACAAGTTTCCAGTATTGGGCAAGCATCTTCAGGGAAGGGATGGAGCAGGCCTTGGTTTGCTTTTGCTTTGTTTTTGATCTGAGGACCAGTACTCAGCTCAGGCCCTGGGACATAACAAATTTGTTGAAGACACCTGGTAACTATCTGTTTTCTTCCACACTCCAGAGAGGTCCTGCCTTCCCAAGTCAATCCAAGCAGCATTTAGTGAGCACTTACTATTTCCTAGGCACTTTATAAGCAACACACTTGACATAGGTCGTCTCACGGAGTCCACCCCTACCCGCTGCCTCATGATCTCCCAAAGACTATTCATCTCCACATTTTACAAATGAGGAAACTGAGACTCAGGGGCAGAGTTGGGATTTGAAGCCAGATCTATGTGGCTCTCACATGCTTGTACTCCCCTTGTTAACCTGGCATTTCCCCGGGAGAGGGGGCAAGGAAGGGGCACTGAGCCTGTAGATGTGGGAGGCTGCCCCAGAGATAGAATGCTGCTGGTGGAGGGGGTATGAGAGCTCCCTTTGGGGTCCTGCGGTCTTTGCCCCAATCCTCCACCCTTTTTTTTTTTTTTCCTTTGGAGACATAGTCTCACTCTGTTGCCCAGGTTAGAGTGCAGTGGCTCCATCACAGCTCACTGCAGCCTTGAACTCCCGGGTTCAAGCGAACCTCCCACCTCAGTCTCCCGAGTAGTTTGGACCATAGATGTGCACCACCACACCCAGCTCATCTTAAAAATGTTTCTGTGGAGACAGGGTCTCCCTGTATTGCCCAGGCTGGTCTCGAAATCCTGGGCTCAAACAATCCTTCTGCCTCGGCATCTCTAAGTGGTGGGATGACAGGCAGGAGCCGCCACCCCCAGCCCCTCTAACTTCTTATACAGGTGTGTGTGCACTTGGGTGAAGGCGTGCAAGCCAGGACATGGGTGCACATTGCATGTGAGTTCCCAGGTGAATGTTCAGGGTCGTATATGTGTCCACGTCTGACAGTGTGTATGTCCTGAGCAATGGAACTGGGTAGGGGACGGAGGCCCTGGCATACACAGGTGTCACGTGTCCAGGCAAGCCCGTGTTATTATCCTCCTTTTACAGATGAAGAAACTGAGGCATGGGGAAGTGAAGGGATTCGTTGAAAATCATGCAACTAGTGAGTCTGCCCATGGGGGTGTGTGTGTGCAGGTGTGTGTGCATGGTGGGTGGGGTGGAGTGAAGGGGGGGGGGCTGCCTGCAGCTCCAACCCTGTAATAGACCCTCCCTGTCTCGCCAGCGACGGGCGGTAATAACTGTTTTGCCCAGCAGAACTGCCTCATGCCATAGCTTGAGAATGTGCCTCGGGGCCCGTCTGCAGAGACCACCCCCCAGTCAGGGCAGCCGGGCCAGACCTCGCCCAAGCCTGACCCTAGGCTGATCCCTGGGAGGAGTAGGGATCTCTGGGCCCTGCCCTGCCCTGCCTTCCTCACCTCCAAGTTGGCCTCAGCAGGCCCAGCAGGTGAAGGGCCCAGGCCCTGGGCAGCCCTGCGAGTCAGTGCTACGTCTGCCCGCCTCTGCCTTCAGATCACAAACTTCCCGAAGATAAGAGGTGGTGACTCCTCTAGCAGACTGGAGGGCTCTTCCGGAAATGGAGTATATGTCCCCTCCTCAGAGGGCAGAGGCTGTGGCTTCCCCATGAGAGTGGAGGCTTCAGCAGGACAGAGGCCAGGCCTCTGCTATCAGACTAGGAGCTCCCTGAGGGCAGAGGCTGTGGGATATTCCCGGGGCAGAGGTGACCTTCCCCCATCAGACTGGGACCTCAGCTCAGTCCAGCAGCTCTACGGTGAATGTCTCCGAGGGAGGGGCATTAGCACAACAGACACTGCCTCTCAGCCCCGAGTCCCCAGATCCATGTCATCTATTGGAGTCTCCCCCACTGTAAACCTGCAAGGGCAGCCACGGCCGGGAGCAGCTGGTCCTGAGACTTGGGCAGAGGCCCTGGACAGTGGGGCAGAAGCGCTTGGCTGGCCAGGAATTGGATCACTGCCCCCTCCCACCCCACCCCATTCAGCCCTGTCTCCCACGGACTCTGACCACCCCTTGGTTCTCTTATCAAAAACCGCCAAAACCCGCCATCGAAACTCCCAGCCTCCTGACCCCCATGCCCCACCCGGCTCCACCCGTCTTCCCAACCTGGCATCCAGTGCCCCAAACCTGCCTATTCCGTTCCTGGGAAGACCCAGAAGGGAGCAGAGCTGGCACCAGGAGGCCAACAACCCAGGCCCCCTCCGTCCCTAGCCCCTCCTGGCCCTGGGCCCTCCACCCTACTGTTTCTCCTGGGGTGTGCCTTTCTTTGCCTTATGCCTCGGCATCTCTAAGTGGCAGGGGATGGAGTGGAGTGAGGGCGGCAGGCCAAGGGCATGGCCCATAATGAAAAAGGAATCTGGTTGGGCATGGTGGCTCACCCTTGTAATCTCAGCACTTTGGGAGGCCAAGGCAGGCAGATCATGAGGTCAGGAGATCGAGAGCAGCCTAGCCAACATGGTGAAACCCCGTCTCTACTAAAAACACAAAAATTAGCTGGACGTGGTGGTGGGCGCCTGTAATCCCAGCTACTCGGGAGGCTGAGGCAGGAGAATTGCTGGAACCCGGGAGGTGGAGGTTGCAGTGAGCCAGGATCACGCCATTGCACTCCAGCTGGGGCCAACAACAGCAAGACTCCATCTCAAAAAAAAAAAAAAAAAAAAAGAAAAAGGAATCTGAGCATGGAGGCACCCTCCACCTTCGGATTGCTAGGAGATCAATGTCTGGCCCCGAGTGGGTGAGGCCAGCCGAGGTCACTTGAAGGGTATCAGCCCTGAGGAGGAGTTCACGGGGCCTCTTCCTCTCGGCCAACCCCAGCAGAGCTTGGAAACTGAGGCCCAGAGCAGGAGTCCAGGCTCATAGAGCCGGCCTGGCAGAGGAGGGGTGGGGGAGTTGCGTCCCCACCATTCCCACTGGGGCATACAGCGCCTTTCTGAGCGTCACAGGCCTGTCTGTGTCCTTCTTTTGCGGAAGAACTAACCACACCTCAGGTTCCCCTTATGAAAGACAGAGGCTGAGGAGAGTGAGTCAGTTTTATTATATGAGATAAGGCGGCTGGACAAAGCAGCGACACAGGGACTGGCACACAGACAGTGCTCAGCGAAGCAGTCGCCTTCCTTCAGGTCTGAAATCCTCACTCAGCTCCCCAGCTTCTCTGGGGGATCTCCCTTCCCCTCTCTGGACCCCTGGGCCTGACTTCCCCCACTACTCCCAGCCTTTGTCCCACTCCTGCCCCAGGCACCCCTCCCTCCTTCATGGGAAATGGAGCTTCCTCCTCTGGTCCTGCCACCACCTTCCTGGTGAGGGTCGGGCTCTGCTGGGAGTGCCAGAGCTGCCCAGCCTGCTGACTCAGCGCCTGGGGATAGGGCTTGCTTTAGGAACAGCCCAGGCCTCGGGCAAACAGAGCCACGGCAACCACACCCCTGCCACAGGAATGCAGCAACATTCCTGGGGGGTGCCGTGGCACCGTGCCTGTGACTGGGGGGCAGGTGGGGGGCAGGTAGACACCTGCCTCTGTTACCTTGCCACAGGTAGAAGGGAGCCAGGAGTCAGGGCCCAGTGTCCTGGGGCAGGGGGATGGAGTGAGGTCATGAGGCTTTGAAATCTGTACCAGCCATGTGACTTGAACAAGGCCTCTCTGAGCCTCAGTTTCCTCACCTGTAAGGTGAAGGGAGAATAGCGGTAGCCTTCTGGTGGGCTTATGGGGAGGACTGAACGAGAGTGCGCCCGTCTGGGGCTCAGCATCAGCCTGCCTCACCGTGAGGATTCCGTGAAGCAGACCCTCACCCCTGTAATAGAATCAGGGGGTCTTCTGGCTCTGGGCCCTAGAATGGGGCTGAAGCCCAGAGAGGCAGTTGCACCTCCCCTAGGCCACACAGCAGGTATAGGCCCCAGGGGCTGAGTGCCCATCATGCCTGCCCTCCTCTCCATCCACCCAGAGCCTCACTAGCCAGACCCGCACTCTCCCATCCCCTGGGCAAGTCTGCACCCCAGGTCGGTGAGGACTCCCAGATTCTACTCCCACCAGCCAGGGCCAGACCTGGTGCAGGAGGCTCCACAGTTCTCCTGCTCGGGGCTCCGTCTCCCCACTTCCTGGAGCTCCATCCAAGTGGGGAACCCTGCCCGTCCTCTGCCCCTCAAGCCAACCAGGCATTTACGGGGGATGGGGCAGGGAGGGAGGCCAGGACCTGCATCCTTCCAGCCCTGGCCCTCAGCAACCCCATCAGGCAGTCAGGGGAGGAGCCTCCCCCAGGGAATCCTCCCTCCCTCTGTGTTGGCCTGGCCAGGTTCTCCTCTCTCTGTCTGCCTTTGTCTTTTTCTCTCTGTCTCTTCATCCCAGGAAGAGGCCACAGGACAGGGGTGTCCCAAGCACAGAAGAAACTTGTCTGATGAAAACAGGCCTTGGCTGGGAGCAGGGCCATCTGGATTTGCACCCTGATTCTGTCTGACTTGCTGTGTGACCTTGGGCGAGTCCCCTCCCCTCTCTGGTCTTTCCCATTATTATCTACCCAGCACATAGTAGGTTCTCGGAAAAGGGGAGTCACATATGCGTGCCCCCAGCTCTCAGCCCCTCACTGCCTCCTTTAATCCCCACAGATCTGCCAGCCTTTGATACTCCTGTGGGTGGCCGAGCCGGGGTTCTGAATAGGAAGCTGAGGGCTCATGGGCTGCGGGGAAGCAGGCAGGGGCTGAGCCTGCCAGGCCTGCCCGAGGGAGGGGGCTGTGGGCCCCTCGCCATTCACTGCTAAGCCTGGATCCGGGCGCCTTTGTGCCAAGAACAAAACCCGGGGGATCAGCTGTTCTCAGGCCTGCCTCTCTCAGCTCCGGAAGGGACGGAAGCCTGGGCCTGAGGGGTGGGCCGCACTCCCTCCATGGGCCCTGGGGTGCCGGGGCTGGCCCCATACCCCAGAAGCTCCCCACTACCTCCGGGTGTGGAGCTATGGTGGGCGAGCAAACCTGGGTTCAGATCCCACCTTCTACTCATCATGAGACTTGGGCAAGTGTTTTAAGCCCTCGGAGCCTCAGTTTCATGATCTGTAAAGTGGACATTAGAGTCGCTCGGGATGCGGGATGCTTGAATGAGATGATGCACTCAGCACGCGGCAGGCCCTGGGGCCCTGTGTGCTCTACAATTGCAGCTGCTATTAGACCAGCTTCTTTCTTGCCTGGGTATGTGGGGCTTAGGCCAGAACAAATCTTGGGACTGAGTGTAAAATATATGTGAGGGGGTGGGAGGGGGTGGGATGGGGCTCGGTGCGGGCCTGGCAGGTGTGCTGGGAGGCAAGGCCTATGACTCCTGTGGGCCTGCTCTTCCTCCCATCCCACCCTCCACAGTCCCCACCTCAGGGGCCCTGGGCCTGGGGCAGCAGGGGCCGGGATGTGTCTCTCCAGAGCAGGAACGGAGGGGCCTCCGCAACTGGTTGGGGAGGGGGGGTGGATGCCAGCCCCCGCTGATTAGGTCTCAAATTAAAGCCGAGCTTGCTCCTGTCGCTGCTCAGGCAGGCCCTCCTCCTGGCCACAGTTCCCTGCCTGGCCCTCTGCTTCGGGCCTCATGGTGGCTGGTTGCTCCCAGCCTAGAATTGCTAAAAGGCTCCCGTAGTGGGTAGGAGCCTCAGGGGACCTGGGAGAGGCTTCAGGGGCCCTGCCTGTGCGGGGGTCTCTCCTGTGACCCTCAGACCTGAGCCAGTGTCTGGGGACAAGTCACCGTGTCAGAGGCTGCGGAGAGCAAAGCCCAGGCGGTGATGACTTGAGTTTCCAGGCCGGGTGCCAGGAGGCCCGCGGTCACACTCCGCCTGGGGCCTGGGCTCCGGCCAACTGTCAGCAGCAGAGATTGTTGGGTTGGTTTTATTTTAAACAAAAAAGAACTTTGAGTGGAAACATGTGTTTCTTTTTTCTCCCCCTTCCCTCTCTCCCTATCTCTCTCCATCTCATCATGGAATATTTCTCTTTTTTGTACCTCCCTTTCTCTGTTTTTCTCTCTGTCTTCCTCTATTTGTCCCTGCCTCTGTCTCTCTCTCTCTCTCTCTCATTCTTTCTTTGTTTTCCTATCTCTTGATTTCTCTGTCTCTTTCTCTATTTCTTTTTCCGCAGCTTTCAGGAGTCAGGAGAGGTACCAGACTTCCTCCCTCGGGGTGTGGCCTGGGCCCCTGCCATAAAATCCCCAGGCGTGCCACGGCCCTATGTCGGGGGTCTGCCGCTCCAGGGGAGGGAGGGGGTGTCTAGCAGCGGAGGCTCCAGGACCCAAATGCTCCATCCTCCTCCATCCTCCTCCTCCAAGCTCCCACTGCCCCTGCATCTGCCCTTCCTGTGTCTGTTTTCTCTACTAAGCATCTAGAAAATAATTCTGCAGCTTGAGACAAGTTTTAAAACACTGGTCTGGCCCAAACCACCCATCTACAGCCAGAGACTGGCGCCGAGGAGGGGACCATGGCCTGCTCAACACCGCACGGAGGGTTAGGGGCAAAGCCAGGCCGACCCAGGTCCCCCACTCCCAAGTGACATTACTGACACCCCCAAACCCACAGTCACCACACTTCTCAGGTCCCTGCGTCTTTCAGAGGGGTGGTCTGCTTCCTAGGAAGTGATGTGCCCTCCCCTAAGGTGGTCACCCAGCACAAGGGTCCCCCTGGAAAATGTCCTGCCTTGGCTGGTCACCCCTCCCCCAGGACAGACAAGCTTTTGGGCCCCCACCTTTCAGCCCCTTCTGCCAGGCAGTAGAGAAGAGAGAAGAGAGACTCGCAGGCACAGTGGCTCATGCCTGTAATCCTAGCACTTTGGGAGGCCGAGGTGGGCAGATCACAAGGTCAGGAGATACAGAAGAGAGACTGGCCACCCATGCACTGGGCCCAGGTCCTAGCTCGACGTCTGAGTCCTTGTGTGACTGTGAATATGACTTTTCCACTGGCTGGCCTCAGTTTCCCCATCTTTGTAACAGAAGCCTTGCCTTTGCCGCGGATCCCCTCTCTGCTCTAATATGTTATGGTGTTCTCCTCTCCTTCCATGGAGAGGAATTCTGGAACATCAGACCAGGAGTGCCATCTCCTCTCCCAAAGTGAGAGGGACTGTCCTCAGTGTGGCCTCAATAGGTCAACTCCCCTTCACTTCAGGTTCCTTGTCCCCTGTGTGCAAGGGCCCCAGATGCCACCACCAAGGGGAGAGGTGCCACCATGACCTGGTGCACCATTGTCAAAGGTGCACTTTCTTGGGTGTCCGGGGTCATGCCAGGATTCATGCAGGGATAGGAGGGGCTGCCTGCGTGTCAGGGGCCCATTCCACCCCTGTCTCCCACAGCCCCAGGAGTAAAGTCAGGGTAAGTGTGCGGGATTAGTAAGGTGGGGACACGGGAGACTGTCTTTCCAGATTTGGGCAAACTCTGTCACCAGCACCTGGCTACTCCGACCTCCCCACTGCCTGGCTTCTGAAAGTGGCCCAAAGAGAAGGGCAGGGAGCCACATGGTCACCTCTGCTGGTAGGGAAAGAAAGACATGCTCCCAGGAGCCTATGAAGGGTGAGGCACCAGCCCTATTTCTGCCATCCCCTGACACACCTCCAAGGGCTGCAAAATGTGACCTTCTCCTGTCCTCACCAGTCCCTGAAGATCCTGCCACCTCTAGTTTGGAACATGGAAATGACTCCTTATAAGAGCCTTGAAGGTAGCAGCCATTACCACCCACTTTACAGATAGGGAAAATGAGGCACAGAAAGAGGAAGCATTTGCCTGAGTTTACACTGAGTGGTGTGCTCGCCCAGTTGGCTCTTGCAGGCTCAGGGAGAGTAGATTGTTCCATTTTCATGCATTTTGCAAGCCAAGTTTCATTGGTTGCTTGAAGTCAACTGTAGTGGGAGTATTTACACCACAGCAATCAGCAGTGACACTCTTCTTTTTCCTTTTTTTTTTTTTTTTTTTTGAGACAGAGTCTCACTCTGTCGCCCAGGCTGGAGTGCAGTGGTTCAATCTCGGCTCACTGCAACCTCAGCCTCCCGGGTTCAAGCAATTCTCATGCCTCAGCCTCCCAAGTACCTGGGATTACAGGTGCCCACCACCATGCCTGACTGATTTTTTTTATTTTTAGTAGAGACGGGGTTACACCATGTTGGCCAGTCTGGTCTCGAACTCCTGACCTCAAGTGATCCACCTGCCTCAGCCTCCCAAAGTGCTGGGATTACAGGCGTGAGCCACCACACCTGGCCTTCTTTTTACCCTTTTCATTTTTTTTTCTCTTTTCCTTTTAGAAAGCAGGTTGTTAAACATTTACCAGCTCACCACTGGCTGGAGGCCACAGCATTTATAGCGTCTCAGAAGGGTCTGGAGCTTAGAAAGTTTAAGAGCTTAGCAAGACTCCTCCTGTGTCTCAGGACCTGTGATGGATCTGAGCCTGTCTGACACCAAAGCCAAAGAAATGCCTTCCTTCCCTCACGAGGCCAAGAGTTAGCGTCTCTTTCTACCCCATCATGACAACTTCCTGTCCAGGGCAAGAAACTGTCCTGATTGTCCCTTGGGGGCAGGGATTAAAGGTACTACAGGTTCAGAGCCCCTGGCTAGCGTGCCCTGCCCTCTGACCACGTATGATCAATTCCATAAATATTTACCCAGCGCCTCACTTAACCTCCCTGAGCCTGTTTCTTCAAAGCTGCAAAATGGGGCCCTTCAGCCTGACTACTTTAATTCATCCATCCACCCATTCCTTCAGTTAGCGGCTCCCCTGTGCTGGGTGGTGTTTTTGAAGGATACTGGAGTCGGGATGCCTGCTTTGAGTCCTGGCTCTGGCACTGGCTTCCTCGGTACCATGGGCCTCAGCGTTCCCATCTGTACAATGGCACCCACATAAGGGTTCCTTCCAACTCCTTTCCCCATCTCAGGGGGTTGTTGCGGGATATCGGGGCTGGGGAACCTTGGCTAGCTGAGGAACTAGGCTAGCTGACACACAAAGGACCAGCAACAGTTCACGCCCTGGAGACAGAACGCGCCCACGTGATTCACACCGGCAGCAGCGGACTCTGTTTCTGTTGCCTTGAATGAGGTGCGCTCTAGTCTTGCAGAGTTTAGAAAACAAGGAGGTGTGGAATGTTCAGGGAAGACTTCCTGATGAGGTAATAATAACACAGGAACAGCTAATATTTGATGAGCACTTGCTGTGTGCCAGGGCTTGTGCTAAACACATGCTTCATCTTATTTAATCCTTGCAAAGAACTTGCCGGGTGGGAACGCATGTGCTACCCGTTTTGTAAATGAAGAACCTGAAGCCCAGAAGCCCAGAGAGTGGAAGTGATTTGACCAAGGTTTTTTTTTTATTATTATTATTATTATTATTTTATTTTTTTAGACAGAGTCTCACTCTTGTCGCCCAGGCTGGGGTGCAGTGGTGCAATCTTGGCTCACTGCAACCTCCACCTTCTGAGTTCAAGTGATTCTCCTGCCTCAGCCTCCTGAGTAGCTGGGATTACAGGCGCCCACCACCACGCCTGGCTAATTTTTGTACTTTTTTTTAATAGAGACAAGGTTTCAACATGTTGGCCTGGCTGGTCTCAAACTCGTGACTTCAGGTGATCCGCCCTCCTCGGCCTCCCAAAGTGCTGTGATTACAGGCGTAAGCCCCGCGCCCAGCCAAGGTTATTCATTTGTTCAGAAAACATTGATTGATGGGGAACTTTTGTTGAGTAGAGTTTCAGTTTGGGATGATGAAAAAGTTCTGCAGATGGACGGTGGCGAAAAGTTGCACAGCAATGTGAATGCACTTAATGCCACCGACCTGTACACTTCCAAACGCTTAACATGGTCGATTTTATGTTACATATATGTTACCACCATAAAAACACAAATGAAAAAGATTTACTGGGCCGGACATGGTGGCTCACACCTATAATCCCAGCACTTTGGGAGGCTGAGGCAGGCAGATCACTTGAGGTCAGGAGTTCGAGACCAGCCTGGCCAACATGGTGAAACCCCGTCTCTACTAAAAATACAAAAATTAGTCAGGCGTGGTGCTGCACACCGTGGTGCAGCTACTCGGGAGGGTAAGGCAGGAGAATCACTTGAGCCCGGGAGGTGGAGGTTGCAGTGAGCCGAGATTGTGCCATTGCACTCTAGACTGGGTGGGTGACAGAGTGAGACTCCATCTCAAAAAAAAAAAAAAAAAAGATTTACTGGTCCCCTGTTGTGTTTTAGGCATGAGTCAGATGCTGTGGATATAGCAATGAACACAGCAGACAAAGGTCTCTGCCTCTGTGAAACTGACATTGGAGAACAGCAGTCTAGAAGAACTTGCTGTGGATGGAATGATGAATGGATAGAAACGTTTTACATCTGCTCCGCACTGGCCGCACGCGGCTACTGAGCACTTGAGATGCGTCTGGTGCACCTGAAGAGCTGACTTTAATTTTATTTCATTTTAATTAATTTAAATTAATTATTTGTTTATTTGAGACAGAGTCTCGCTCTGTCACTCAGGCTGGAGTACGGTGGCGCAATCACAGCTCACTGCAACCTCTGCCTTCTGGGCTCAAGCCAGCCTCCTACCTCAGCCTCCTGAGTAGCCAGGACTACAGGTGTACACCACCACACCCAGCTAATTTTTTGCGTGCTTTTTGTAGAGATGGGGTTTCACCATGTTGCCTAGTCTGGTCTCGAACTCCTGACCTCAAGAGATCCACCCACCTTGGATCCCAAAATGCTGGGATTACAGGCATGAGCTACTGCGCCCGGCCTCTAGATTTAAATAGTACCTACCGAACTGGCCAGTGCAGCTCTAAAAGGTCAGCAGCATGTGAGTGGGAGAGCTGGGCCTGGCTGTGTGTTATTCACGTTCTTGAGTGTTGGCTTTCCACAGTTTGGGCCTCTGGCAGCAGAATCACCTGGGAAGCCAAAACTTCAGATCCCTGGGATCCCAGACCCACTGAATCAGAATCTCCGAGGCCAGGGCTTGGGCGTCTGCCCGTTCACCACACACCCCAGCTGATTCTGATGCACATGAGGTCAAGTTTGAAACCCACCCCACTGCCCTAGTTGTTCAAGACTCCCAGCGCTGGCTGGATGCAAAGTCTTATGCCTGTAATCCCAGCTCTTTTGGGAGGCCAAGGCGGGCAGATCACTTGAGGTCAGGAGTTCGAGACCAGCCGGGCCTACAGAGTGAAACCCCGTCTCTACTAAAAATACAAAAATTAGCTAGGTGTGGTGGTGGGCGCCTGTAATCCCAGGAGGTGGAGGTTGCAGTGAGCCGAGATCGCGCCGCTGCACTGCATCCTGGGCAACAGAGCGGGACTCCGTCTCAAAAAAAAAAAAAGACTCCCGGCCAGGAAGAGAGCTTGAATGAAGTCTGACCTGCACCAGGCCTTCTGGGCCCAGACCAGGCCTGCTTAGGGGCATGTGCCCTGCTCAGAACTTCCCCATCCCAGCTAACCCAGAAGATAGCTGGGATGAAGATAGCTACTTCCGGCTACCAGCCCATGATTCTTTGCCAGCCTGCACTGTTCCCTGAAGAGCAAAAAGACTTGGAATTTCCCTGCTCTATCCAGAGGGGCTGGGATGAGGGGTCCTGAGTTCCCTTATCCCATGTCCTACCAACCTCTGGAGCTCTCCAGTCAGCCAGCTCGAGGCTCTGGCCCTAGCTGGTGGGCAATGGGAGGGAGAGGCTTGGCCCAGCACCCCACCCCACAGATCAGCCTGGTCCGGCAAGGGGAGGAAGGAAGCAGAGGCAGCCTGGGCCAGCGGACACAGGGTTGGGGGTGACACAGGCCTCAGGAATTTGAAAACAAACACTTCGCCAGGGAAGGAAGAGGCTGCTGTTGGCTGCTGAGCCCGGGCGGGCCCAGGTCCCTCCCTTTCAGGGCAGGGGTGAATCCCAGTGCTGCTGACCATGGCCCCCGGCTGGACCCAGTGCTCGGGGAGTTTCCACTCCGCTGGTGGGATGGGAAGGTCATGGGAGGTGTGGGGGGATCCAGGCTCTGTCCAGATACGGGAGCATCCTGGCTGGGGTGAGGACAGGAAGGGACAAAGAGCTGGGAAAGCCACGAGACCCCAGGAGAAGGCTCAGCAGCAACAGGATGCCGCCTCAAGCATTTATTGAGCACCCATGGTATTCCAAAAACTGAGAATATAAGCACTGCCTAGCTGGGGAGATCAGGGGAAGCCTAGAGCCCTGTGGCCTTCCTGGAGGAGGTGGCATTGAACTGAGCCCTGAAAGGTAAACTAGGACCGGGGAGGACAGAATCTTACAAGTCTCCCCCCTTCACACTCCCAGAGCCGGCGCTCAGTGAGTGCATGAGTGAGTAAGCGGCTGACCAGCGACTATGCAGCATGAATGAATGACAGACTGAATGACATGAAGCCTGGAGTCTCAAGGCCGAGACTGCAAAAGAAGAGTCCATCCTCCTATCCCCTCTGCTCTGAACTCTCTTCATGATCCTGAAGGTGCTTGGTACCTGGAGACTACGGAGCCAGCCTGCCGGGGTTCTAGTCTGAACTCAGTCACTTCCCAGCTGTGTAACTTTGGACAAGTTACTTAACCTCTCTGTGCCTCTGGTCCCTTCTCTGTAAAGTGTAGTCATCGGCCGGGCGTGGTGGCTCACGCCTGTAATCCCAGCACTTTGGGAGGCCAAGGCAGACGAATCACTTGAGGTCAGGAGTTCAAGACCAGCCTGCCCAACATGGTGAAACCCTGTCTCTACTAAAAACACAAAAATCAGCCGGGTGTCGGGGGCAGGCACCTGTAATCCCAGCTACTCGGGAGGCTAAGGCACGAGAATTGCTTGAACCCGGGAGGCGGAGGTTGCAGTGAGCTGACATCTCGCCACTGCACTCCAGCCTGGGCAACAGAGTGAGACTCAAAAAAAAAAAAAAAAAATACAGAGGTAATCATAGTGCCTCCTTCACAGGGTTTTTGAGAGGACTGAATGAGTTTTACAAGTGAAGTGCTTAGAACGACGTTGCACATGTAGTGAGAACTACATGAGTGTTGGCCAATGCTATTACTGAGGTTCCAGCTTACGCGTTCATTGAGTCACTCACTCACTCACTGTTCATTCACTGATTCGCTCCTACATGCCATCCGCCACTTACACACCCCTCCCTCTTCACCGTCATCTGTTAAGCAATCCCCGTGTGCCCGGCTCTCTCCTCTCGGTCCTCCCAGCCCCCCTTTGCCAGTCTTGGATGGTGCCCGCCGTGCTGCCAATTACCCTAACAATTTCATTAATTCCTCTCAAGCCCAAAACAAACAAGAAGGACCTATCTGGAGCAGGGGTCACGTGCTAAGACCAGAAGCAGGTGTGGGACAAACCCTCTAGGACGAGTTCTTTGACCAGAGTTCATCACCGGAGCTGCTCCAGAGATGGCCAGGCCTCCCCACCTGCAGGTGCCCGGCCAGTGCCCCCCACCCCGGGCAGCCTCACCCACTCCCCTCTTTGAGTAAAGGTAAAGGGACTTGCCCAAGGCTGGGTTCTCCCACATCCCGACTGCACCTGTCCACATTTCAGGCTTCATTCATGCCAGGAGCCCCAGACCTGCTCCATGCACCAGCTCCGCCCAAGCCTGGAGCCCCGGGCTGGCTGAGGTGAGAGCCCCAAAGCTCGAGCCCATTTCAGCAGCTAACAATTAGAGCTGGTGTGAACATGATGACTGCATGCTGATTAATGTAAGATGGCTGAGCAGAAGATCCCGCCATTTCCTTCCCCACAGGCCCTGGGAGAACAGGTCCCGCTGGGGAAGACTCTGTCGTGTTCTGCAAAAGCCATTTCTTGAGCACGTCCTGCAGGCCGGGCACTGCGCTGGGCACTTGATTCCTTTCAACAGCATGACATGGTGGGAGGACAACTTGCCTCTCATTGATGAAGAAACGGAGGCTCAGAGAGGTAAAGGAACTTGCCCAAGGCCACACAGCCAGTCAGTGTGGTCCTGGAATTCCAATCCAGGTCTTCTCTTGCTGATTCCTACCCCCAGGGATGAGCCAGTTTGACATTTGTGGAACTGGAGAGAGGCTGGGTTTGGGCATAAGGTAATGTTTAGGCCAGAGGGTGGAGAAGGAGAGGACAGCCAGAGAGGCAGAGCCAAGCGCCAGGCAGGAACAATGGTACAGGGCAGGTAACGGGAGCCCGGCCAGCTCTGGGACTCCTGGGCAGGCCCTGCTGGGCCCTGCGAGCAACAGGCTCACCCTGTGGAGCTGCCAGGGTGACAGCAGCCTCGATCTGCTGACTCAACGAGTGCATCGGCCTTTTCCTGGAAAACAGTAGACGCAGTGTGGGTGTCGGAGGGAGGCACCTGTTTGGGAAAAGGGTGTGTGGGAACCCTGTCCTGCCCTGCAGCTCCCCACAGCCAGTGTACAGGTACTTAGCTCCAGGTGCCCCCCGAACCTCCCACCACCTGCCCAGACCCCAGAAGCCACCGGATCCAGGAGTCCGAGCCAGCTGTGGGCTGAGTCCATGGTGCCACCAAGGCTCTGCATGACCAGTGCTGCCAGCCACCACCTCAGCCAAGCAGCACAGCCTCTCAGGGCATGTCCCCACTTGCTGTCTGCAGAGCCTTGTTTTGCCCCACCCTGAAGGGGCAGGTGTAGACGAGCATTGAGGCAGGTCTATGTGACACCACTTGCTGTCACTCTTCTTTGGGAGGTATCAGGGCCACTCTGCCACGGGGCACAGCTTAGGGCCTCCATGGAATCTGGTCTGAAGGATCCCGCTGCCCAGAGGGGGGTCAAGAATACGGAATGGGTTCAGGAGCACCCCCTGTCTTCAGGATCCAGTTGGGGGAGGTCCCAGCAGGGCCAGTCACAGACACTTGTCACACCCTGGAGGGGATAATAGGATCTGGGGCTCAGCCTCCACCAATTTCATCACCACACACCACACCCAGGCAAGGGAGAGCAGAGGCATCAGCAGGGCCTGGCTGAGGGGCTGAAGCCTGGTGGGGAAGCAGGGAGGGCCCCTGGGCCTCTCGGTCCTATCTCTTCCCAATCCAGGCCTCAGCGGACTCCAGGGCAGGGGTGCGGGAGCTGATTTCCAGGTGCAATATTCACTGTCACCATGGCCGCTTCCAGCACCCAGCCTGAATTTCCTAGTGCAATGCTGGGAAGAACTAGTCTTTTTCTTTTTTTTTCTTTTTTTCTTTTTTTTTTTTTTTGAGACAAACTCCTGCACTGTCGCCCAGACTGGAGTGCAGTGGCACGATCTCAGCTTGCTGCAACCTTCGACTCCCAGGTTCAAGCGATTCTCTTACCTCGGCCTCCCAAGTAGCTGGGATTACCAGTGCCCCACCACCACGCCTGGCTAATATTTTTTTTTTTTTTTTTTTTGAGACGGAGTCTTGCTCTGTCACTGAGGCTGGAGTGCAGTGGCGCGATCTCAGCTCACTGCAAGCTCCGCCTCCCGGGTTCACGCCATTTTCCTGCCTCAGCCTCCCAAGTAGCTGGGACTACAGGCGCCCGCCACCACGCCCGGCTAAGTTTTTGTATTTTTAGTAGAGACGGGGTTTCACTGTGGTCTCAATCTCCTGACCTCGTGATCCACCTGCCTCGGCCTCCCAAAGTGCTGGGATTACAGGCGTGAGCCACCGTGCCTGGCCAATTTTTTTGTATTTTTAGTAGAGATGGGGTTTCGCCATGTTGACTGTGGCTGGTCTCGAACTCCTGACCTTATGATCCCCCTGCCTTTGCCTCCCAAAGTGCTGGGATTACAGGTGTGAGCCACCGTGCCTGGCCTCTTTTTCTTTTTCTTTTGAGATAGGGTCTCACTCTGTCACTCAGGCTGGAGTACAGTGGAGTGATCATGGCTCACTGCAGCCTCTACCTCCCAAGCTCAAGTGATCCTCCCACCTCAGCCTCCTGAGTAGCTAGGATACAGGCACTCACCACCACACCTGGCTAATTAAAAAAAAATTTTTTTTTTTGAGACAGAGTCTCGCTCTGTCGCCCAGGCTGGGGGGCAATGGCGCGATCTCGGCTCACTGCAAGCTCCACCTCCTGGGTTCACGCCGTTCTCCCACCTCAGCCTCCTGAGTAGCTGGGACTACAGGCGCCCACCACCACGCCCAGCTAACTTTTTGTATTTTTAGTAGAGACAGAGTTTCACCTTGTTAGCCAGGATGGTCTTGATCTCCTGACCTCATGATCTGCCCGCCTCGGCCTGCCAAAGTGCTGGGATTACAGGCATGAGCCACCATACCCTGTCAAAAAAAATTTTTTTAGAGATGATGTCTCACTATGTTGCCCAGGCTAGTCTCAAACTCCTGAGCTCAAGTGATCCTTCTGCCTCAGCCTCCCAAAGTGCTGGGATGACAGGTGTGAGCCACTGTGCCCGGCCTGGGCAGAGCTCCTCCTGAGAGCCCGTCTGAGTGGGCTCGGGTACAGCACTGGCACATCCTCCGTGTCTTCACTTCCAGCCTCTCAAGCTGTTGTGAGAATCCTGGGGGCTGGGGAACATGCTTACACTTTGAGCTGGAATCGCTGCAGAGCTAGGGTCGGGGAAGTTGTGATAGTCAAGGGCTTCGGGGAGTAGGCCTAGGTCTGGTGGGTCTGGTTTCAAAGAAGCTCTGCCTTTTACTTGCTGTGTGACTTCAGGCAAGTCACTTCTCCTCTCTGAGCTTCCCTTTCCTTCTTAGTAAAGTTTGGCTGAGTTGAACAGAACCTGCTCCTAGCAGAGTTACAAGGATTAAAGGGCATAATTGGTGCCAATGGAGTGGTAAACAACACTCAGTGCACAGTGGCGGTGATTTTTATTGTCCCCTTATTCAGTCAAGAACTTGGCATATCCGGGGCAGTGGCTCACGCCTGTAATCCCAGCACTTTGGAATGCCGAGGTGGGTAGATCACCTGAGGTCAGGAGTACGAGACCAGCCTGGCCAACATGGCAAAAACCCATCTCTGCTAAAAATACAAAAATTAGCCTGGCATGGTGGTGCATGCCTGTAATCCCAGCTACTCAGGAGGCTGAGGAAAGAGAATCGCTTGAGCCTGGGAGGCGGAAGTTGCAGTGAGCTGAGATTGTGCCACTGCACTCCAGCCTGGGTGACAGAGCGAGACTCTTAAAAAAAAAAAAAAAAAAAGGGAGGCATGGGGGGCTAGGGAAGGGATAGCATTAGGAGAAATACCTAATGTAAATAGCGGGTTGATGGGTGCAGCAAACCACCATGGCACGTGTATACCTATGTAACAAACCTCCATGTTCAACACATGTATCCCAGAAATTAAAGTATAAAAAAAATTACACCAATATAAAGAATGGATACATTATGTGAGTTACTGTGCCATGTGATAATGAAGTTCAAATTGTAAATACAACCACTAACTATTTCTGTGATTCATATTTTTATATAAGAAAAATAAAAAGAAGAAGAAGAACTTGACATGAAGGACTGGGACATCATAGGACCAAGGGGGTGGTCTCTGGAGCCTCTGAGCATGTTTCAGACTTAGGAACCCTCACAGCTGAGGCCAGGACTGGCCATGTGCTCCTGTCTCCAGGGCTCTATGCCCTCCCTTCCCTCTACCCAGCCCACTGCCCCTGCCCCTACTCCCTACCCCTGCCCCACAGACACAGCCAAGCCTCAGGAGGACTCAACCCACAGGAATGTGGGCAATGAGCAGGCTGCGCTCGGAGGACCCCGCTATCCCAGCCCTGGGCTCTGCCGCCCTCTGGTGGCTGGGCTGGGAAGGATGCTGCTCCCATTACTGCCGTTGTAGAACCGCAATTGCCCTAAAAAAATAAAATGCTGTTGCTGCTACTCATGATGATGACGATGATGGCGATGACGATGATGATGATATTCATTGCTTTATGGTTTGCCAAGTACCTTCTCCGTCAATCATAGGCTGCACCAAACAGAGTGCAGGGTTCTGGACTGAAATCAGATGGGAATGTAAGTCCCTAGTCAAGTTCCAACTGATTATGTGACCTTGGGCAAGTCATGTCACTTCCTTGAGCCTCAGACTCCTCATCTGTGGAACGGGGTGACAAAAATAGGGTTGTTATAAGGATTAAAAGACCTAACACCTGGCCGGGCGTGGTGACTCATGCCTGTAACACCAGCACTTTGGGAGGCCGAGGTAGGAGGACTGCTTGAGCTCAGGAGTTTGAGACCAGCCCGGGCAAATGGTGAAACCCCACCTCCACTAAAAATACAAAAAATAGCCAAGCATGTTGGCACATGCCTGTAATTCCAGCTACTCAGGAGGCCGAGACTTGAGAATCGCTTGAACCCAGGAGGTGGAGATTGCAGTGAGCCTAGATCACACCACTGCACTCCAGCCTGGGCGACAGAATGAGACTCTGTCAAAAACAAAACAAACAACAACAACAACAACAAACCATCTATTGAACTAAATTGGCCTCCAAAATATACCCTTCTGGAATTTAGGTGGCTATTAAAAGACCTAACACCTGGCACTTGGGTTGGAGAGAATAACATGGCTGTCGTTATATACTAATCCTTGGCCAGTCTGTCCTGGGAGATCAACTCCCCTTTGCATAGGGCTTTTTCGAAGTCCTTTTCCAAGGCATCACCTTCTTGTAGCTGCATTATCATGCCCGTTTACCAGATGAGGAAACTGAGGCTCAGAGAGGGGAAGCAGCTTGCCTAGAGCATCGTGGCTTATAAGTTAAAGCAAGACTCAAGCCAGGTCCACCTGCCTCCAAACCCGGTGCTGGACTTTCCCACACCCTGCTTTGGAAACTCTAAGGAACCTTCCAATCCCCCAAATCCTATTGCCTCATTTAAGTAAAGCAGGCCTGGTTTCTGCCTCCTTCAGTGCCCCTCTTCTCCTCCCACACCCTTCCAGCAGCCGAAACGCTAGACCCAATAGCTTACCCCTTCCTCCTTCCTGACCAGCTCCCAACCCTCAGGGCAGCTCATGAGCCAAGAGCTTGAGAGTGGCTTCCAAAGGTCATCCTCTCCACCCCGCTGTGCCCCACCCAAGCAGATGACTGTTCATCCTGTTCTTCACGCTGCTCAGGGGAAGAAATTCCCCAGCTTCACTCCCTCCACTCGCCCAGGTGTCTGAGACAGTTCCCACAGTTGGCAAACTCTGCCTTAAGTCCCACCAGAGTCCCTCCTGCTACAACGTCAGCCCATTTATTTTAGTTCTTTCTCCCAGTAGCATCAGAAATACAATCTGGGGGGAGACAAACGCCGGGAGAGTGGGATCCTGGGAAGGGGAAGGCACACTTGGGGACAGGAAGTGAGAGCAAACCCAGGTTCAAATCCCGGTCAGGGTGACAAGAGTGGCCAAGCGAGGCCAGGCGCAGTGGTTCACACCTGTAATCTTAGCACTCTGGGAGGCTGAGGGGGGCAGATCACTTGAGGTCAGAAGTTCGAGACCAGCCTGACCAACATGGTGAAACTCCGTGTCTACTAAAAATATAAAACTTAGCTGGGCGCTGTGGTGGGCGCCTGTAATCCCAGCTACTCAGGAGGCTGAGGCAGGAGAATCGCTTGAACCCAGGAGGCAGAGGTTGCAGTGACCCAGAATGGTGCCACTGCACTCTAGTCTGGGCGACAGAGTGAGACTTCATCTAAAAAAAAAAAAAAAAAGAGCGGCCCAGTGGGTCTCCTGGTGTCCAGGGCAGTCTCAGCCCAGATGGGGCAGCCCCGCCCACAGCCCGAGGGCATCCAGACCCTCCACCCCACCATACTGGCACCAAGTAGCTCAAATGAGGGAAGAGAGCTGGGGTGGGACTTGGAAGCAGAGCGGGTCTGAGGGGCAATTATGAGCTCGGGCTCAGGGTTCATGCAGAGCCGGGCTCAGACCCAGCAACAAATATTCACTGAGCTGCTCCTGGGTTCCAGGCATGGCAGTTGGCAATGAGGCCACAGCACTGGGAAGACAGCCAGAGGCCCTTTCTTCATGGATTTCACGGTCCAGTGGGGGAGACAACAGAAAACAGGTCACCACATGGATCAACAAGGAATCCCAGAGTGGCCACTCGGCTCTGCACTGTCCCCCTCCTGTCACCTCCATTTCAGCTCTCAGGATGCAGCTTCAGTGGCACCACCTCCAGGAAGCCCACCCTGACTGCCAGTGAGGACAGGCTGCTCCCTTATTTGTGCCCCCACAGCCCCACAGTTTGCACTGTGTAAGCTTTCAGCTGAAATTTAACTCCCATGCAGAAAAGCACACAGATCTTAGGCGCCCAGCCTGATGGACTGGTCCCAAAGTGCACAGCCCTGTGGAAGCAACATCAGCAGTCCCTCCCTAAGCAGTCACTACTTCAGCTGCAGGCGCTCCCCACCCTGACCTCGATCCATCAATTAGTCTGCCTGGTTTTGTACTTTATGCAAATCAACTAATTTGTTTTGTTGTTGTTTTTTTTTTTTTTTGGCGTCTGGCTTCTCTCACGTTCAGTCTAGATTCGCCTATGCAGACACAGACAGTACTTGTAGTTGTAGACAGTTTAGTCTCGTGACTGTGTAGTGTTCCACTGTGTGAATATACCAGGATTTTCATTTTACTATTGATGAGCATTTGGGTAGTTTCTAGCATTTTGGCTATTAATGGATAATACTGCTAAAAACATGCTAATTCAGGTCTTTTTGGGCACATATGTACCCATTTCTGTTGGGTGTATACCCAAAGAAAGCAGTGGAATGTCTGGGTCATAGCATAGGCAAGTTCAGCTTTTGCAGATGCAGCCAAGCTGTTTTCCAAAGTAGCTGTGCCAATTCACACCCCACCAACAGTGTAGAATTCCTGCTGCCCCACATCCTGACAACACTCTGTGTGGGGCCCTGCACTTCACCTGTTTACTTGTCTGTCTCACCATTAGGGAGTGTCACCAAGGATGGGGATGCTGCTGATGTCCTTTGGTCCATAGGTGACACAATCAGAGAGGAGAATGAAGGGGATTGGAAAGATGGAAAGAGAGCTGGGCGTAGTAGTGTACGCCTGTAGTCCCAGCTACTCGGTAGGCTAGGACAAGAATCACTTGAACCCAGGAGGTGGAGGTTGCAGTGAACTGAGATCGTGCCACTGCGTTCCAGCCTGGGCGACAGAGCAAGAAAAAAGAAGGGAAGGAAGGGAGGGAGGGAGGGAGGAAGGAGAAGGAAGGAGAAGGAAGGAAGAAATGAAGGAAGGAAGAAGGAAGAAAGGAAGGAAGGAAGAAAGGAAGGAAGGAAAGAAGAAAGGAAGGGAGGGATGGAGGGAGGGAGGGAGGGAGGGAGGACATCAACAAAGAAGCAAGCCACACTGTCTGCCCCAGAGCTGAAGTGCCTGCTGGGCTGAAGCCAGGGCTCACTGGTTCTTATGAAACCTCAGTGTGCCCTGAAAATGAACAATCAAATAAGTTTCTTTCTCAACAGTTTCATTTCAGGACAAAATCTTCTAAACAATAGGCTCAGAGTTTGGGGACCAGGAGGAATGAGGAGGGGTAGCAGGGTCCCTACAGTCTCTGCAGAGCAGGATCGCTGCAGAGAAGGGCATGGGCACTGGGTGGGGAGGAGCTCCTGAAGGACTGGAGACTGGCTGGGCAGACAGCCTCAGGGGCCAAAACTCCCACCCCAGACGCCATCTCCAGGTCCTGTCCTGCAGATACCACCCCCCAGCTTCCTCCTCCTTCTGCGGCAAGCAGGAGCAGGGCCCTGGGTCCTTGGCCAAAGCCCTACCAGGGCAGGGCATGATGGGCAGAGGCAGGCACCACTGAGAGAGGGGCTCCCCTGAGATGCCTGGCCCAGATCTACCCCCTGGGCAGGTGGGCAGGGAGCAGGTGAGGAATGAGGGAAGTGGGCCAGGTGAGCAGCCCTGGCCTCCTTGCCTGAAGCACAGCCCCAAAGCCAGCCCCCTGGCCCCCAGCAGTCTAACCCAGACTCAGGTGTCAGCCAGATTCCAGATGTGCCAGGGCAGGCTGAATGCAGGAGAGCCTGTTTCCTCTGCTCTGCCAAGCTGCTGCCAAGTTGGGCGCTCTTCAGGCAGACTCAGCACTGGAAGAAACACACAGGCCCCTTGGTCTCTACTCAGTACAGGAATCCCATTCCCAGACTGCCTGAGTTCCTTCAATCCTCAGGGGACGGGGGCCTCCCCACCTCGCAAGGGCCCCCATGCTCTGGCTGTGCAGCTCTGACACAATAAAAGCCACCACTTCTCTTGACTAATTATGGGCCAGACACTGTGTCAACCACTTACATACTTCATTTCATGGTGGCTCCATGAGGCAGGAAACGTTATCACCGTCCCCATTTTGCAGATGGGGCTTGGAGCCTTAAAGAGGCTGTAAAGAGAGTTGGTGTCTTGCCTAAAAATCACATGGTGCGTATATACACACACGTATATATTATATATGTATACATACATTATATATGTAAGTATATATTATATATTAACATATATGTATACATGTGTATTTATGTATACATGTGTATTTATATATACATATATTTATATATGTGTATACATAGAGACACACATATATGTATATACATATAGACATATATGTGTATCTATATGTATACACATATATAAATATATGTATATATATGTGTGCGTGTGTGTGTGTATATATCTATCTATCTATCTATATATATATTTCCCACCTCTGTCTGATGAGAGGGCCTAGAAGCAGTGACGCCTCAGCAGCAATAAGCACACCCTGTCTCTAAAATAAAAGGATCAGACTCCTTGGAGAAATGGCTGATTCTAGCACTGAGGCAGGAAAAAATGCAAGGTGATTCCAGAGCATCTTGCTCTGGAATGCAGCGCAAGAAAGCAAGGAAATGCTCAAAAAACAGAAAGATGGGGGCATGTCAAACAGACACAGGAGCTCATCTGAAAGAGCTCCTAATGGCCAAAGCCGGAACCATCTGAAAAATAAAATAACAGTCTGGGCATGGTGCCTCATGCCTGTGATCCCAGCACTTTGGGGGGCAGAGGCGGGTGGATCACCTGAGGTCAGGAGTTCGAGACCAGCCTGGCCAACATGGTGAAAGCCCATTTCTACTAAAAATACAAAAATTAGTCAGGCGTGATGGTGCACTCCTGTAATCTCACCTACTCTCGGGGCCAAGGCAGAAGAATCACTTGAACCTGGGAGGCGGAGGTTGCAGTGAGCTGAGATCACGCCACTGTACTCCAGCCTGGGTGACAGAGTGAGACTCTGTCTCAAAAAATAAAATAAAATAAAATTAAATTAAATTAAAATAAAATAAAATAAAATAATAAATGCAGAGGTCCATGCTGATAGAAATGCAGTCATATGCTGCATAGTGACATTCTACATTGCCAGTCAACAATGGACCGCATAGATGATGGTGGTTCCATAAAGTTACAGCGGAGCTGAAGAATTCCTATTGCCTAGTGATCTGTGTTACAGTACAGTAACGTGCCTACGGTGTTCGGTACAGTAACATGCAGCACAGGTTACCAGGAGCTGTAGGCTACACCACATAGCCTAAGTGTGTAGCAGGCTCCTCCATCTAGGTGCGTGTAACAGCCCTCTATGATGGTCTCACAATGACCAAATTGCCTAACAGTGCTTTCTTTGAATGTATCCACCATTAAGCAATGCATGACTGTAAATGACTTCCCAAATAAATGGAAGGAAAGGAATAAAACTTCCTTACAGAAGAATTCCAAATAATTGGCCCCAAGTATATCCGCCCCCGCCAACTTGAATGTGGGCTCAAATTGCTTCCAAAGAACAGAATTTGAAAAGGGGGCTGGGCATGGTGGCTCATCTCAACCTCATGGGAAGCTGGGGTTAGTAGATCGCTTGAGCCCAGGAGTTCAAGACCAGCCTGGGCAACACAGTGACACCCCGTCTCTACAAAAAATAAAAATAAAATAGTTGGCCAGGCATGGTGGCTTATGTCTGAAATCCCAACACTTTGGTTTTTTTTTTTGTTTTGGTTTTGTTTTGAGACAGAGTCTCACTATGTTGCCCAGGCTGACACAGGTGATCCGCCCGCCTCAACCTCCCAAAGTGCTGGGATTACTGGCATGAGCCACCACACCTGGCCAATCTCAGCACTTTGGGAGGCTGAGGAGGGTGAATTGTTTGAGACCAGGAGTTCAAGACCAGCCTGAGCAACATAACAAGACCTCTTCTCTACAAAAAATTAAAATTAAAAAAATTGACTCACACATGTAATCCTATCACTTTGGAGGCCAAGGCAGGCAGATCACTTGAGCCCAGGAGTTCAAGATGAGCTTGGGGAACATGGCAAAACCCCATCTCTACAAAAAAAAAAAAAAAAAAAAAATTTAGCCAGGTGTGGTGACATGTGCCTCTGGTCCCAGCTACTCGGGAGGCTGAGGTGGGAGGATGGCTTGAGGCTGGGAGGCAGAGGTTGTAGTGAGCCACGATTGTACCACTGGACTCCAGCCTAGGCAATAGAGCCAGACTCTGTCTCAAAAAGAAAGCAAGAGAAAGAGAGAAAGAGAGGCAGGAAAGGAGGGAGGAAGGGAAGAAAGAAAGAAAGAAAGAAAGAAAGAAAGAAAGAAAGAAGGGAAGAAAAAGAAAGAGAGAGAGAAAGAGAGAAAGGGAGAAAGAAAGGGAAAGGGAAAAGGAGAGAGAAAGGGAGAAAGAAAAGAAGAAAGGAAAGAAAGAAAGAAGGGGAAGGAAGGAAGGAAGCTGGACGCGGTGGCTCCCGCCTGTAATCCCAGCACTTTGGGAGGCCAAGGCGGGCGGATCACGAGGTCAGGAGATCGAGACCATCCTGGCTAACACAGTGAAACCCCATCTCTACTAAAAATACAAAAAATTAGTCGGGCGTGGTGGCGGGCACCTGTAGTCCCAGCTACTTGGGAGGCTGAGGCAGGAGAATGGCGTGAACCTGGGAGGCAGGGCTTGCAGTGAGCTGAGATCGTGCCACTGCACTCCAGCCTGGGCGATAGAGCAAGACTCCATCAAAAAAAAAAAAAAAAAAGAAGAAGAAAGAAAGTAAGAGAAGAGAGAGGAAAAAGAGTAACTTCATAAAAGAAAAACCTGGCAGACACCACCTTCACCAAGTCATCAAGGCTAGCATTGCCAGAGACGAGTCACGTGGACATCGCGTGCCTCCTGGCATCACGTGATGAGAAGCGCACTTTATTTACCTCTGTGGTATTCCTCCCCCAAACCCATAACTCCTGGCTAGTCATGAGAAAAACATCAGATAAACCCAAATTGAGGGATAGTCCACAGACCAGAACTTCTGAAATTGTCAAGGTCATGAAAACCAAGGAGACACTGAGAAACTGTCACAGACCACAGAAGACTAAGACACGGCAACTAAACGCAATGTGGGATCCTGGATTGGATCCTGGAACAGAAAAGGACATTAGTGGGAAAACTGGTGAAATCCGAATCAAGTCTGGAGTTGAGTTAATAGCAGTGTACCAGTGTTGGTTTCTTAGTTTTGACTACTGTACCGTAGTCACGTAAGACGCTAACAATGGGGGAAGTTGTGAAAGGGGTGGATGGAACTTTCTGTACCATTGTTGCAACTGTTCTATAAACCTAAAAGTATTCCAAAACAAAAAGTTCATTTCTTAAAATCACATGGGATATAGATGTCAGAAGCAGAATTCAAATTCAAGGCTGGAGGCTGGGCGCAGTGGCTCACGCCTGTAATCTCAGCACTTTGGGAGGCTAAGGTGGGTGGATCACCTGAGGTCAGGAGTTCGAGACCAGCTTGGCTAACATGGTGAAACCCTGTCTTTACTAACAATACAAAAAGTAGCCAGGTACGGTGGCACACACCTGTAATCCCCACTACTCGGGAGGCTGAGGCAGGAGAATCACTTGAACCTGGGAGGCAGGGGTTGCAGTGAGCTGAGATTGCACCACTGCACTACAGCCTGGGTGACAGAGCAAGACTCCGTCTCGAGAAAAAAAAAATCAAAAAAACAAAAAACAAAAAACAAAAAAATTCAAGGCTGGGCATGATGGCTCACACCTGTTTTCCCAGCACTTTGGGAGGCTGAGGCAGGAGGATCACTTGAACCCATGAGTTCAAGACCAGCCTGGGCAACACATGGCAAAATTTCAACTTAAAAAAAATTTAATTAGCTGGGCAGGGCGGTGCACACCTGTAGTTCCCGCTACTCAGGAGGCTGAGGCGGGAGGATTGCTTGAGCCTGGGAGGCTGCAGTGAGCCATGATCACACTACTGCACTCCAGCCTGGGCAACAGAGCAAGACCCTGTCTAAAAAATAAAAAAATAATAAAAAAATTTAAAAAATTCCAATGTGTCTGCTTCCTAAGCCCACATGCTCCTTCGTCCCTATACTACACCATGATAGAAAGTCATTCCCAGAGACTTCCTCATGGATCTGAGCTTCTCCCCACCTGTCCCACGTTTGCCCTCTGGATCACCCTGACTCACCTGTTTTCTTTGCCCCATGACCTCCCTTGGAGGGTTGAAGGATGCTCCCAGCCCCACAGGTGTTCACATCTCCAAGTTCATTATTCCCAGGCCCTTCCACTCTTTTGGGTGATGTAATAAGCATTGGCCTCTCTAGCACCCACCCCTCCTTTGCAGCAGCCACCACGTTCCACTTGGGGATCCACGGGATTCCAGGGAAGACAACTCCCCAGCCTGGCTCCAGGGATAGAGCACAGGACTTAGGCTAGGCCCATCCGCACCGCCATGATCAGCCCAGAGGTAGCCATGTGAGCCAAGCTGATCCAACCAGAGAGAATCCCAGGACTCTGGGAAGGCTGAGACAAGGACAATTCTCTTATTCCATGTTTGATGTGAATGAAGAAGCCCCTGGAAGCCTTAGGATAAAGCCAACACCAAGGACAACAGAGTAGAAAAATGGAAAGATCTGGGTCCTCAGTGACATCATTGAGCCACTGGATCAAGCCTTGCCTGAAGCCTGCATTGGTTCTATACTTCTCAGTGACAAAAACTGTGGGAGGGGCTGGGCATGGTGGTTCATGCCTATAATCCCAGAACTTTGGGAGGCCGAGGCAGGTGGATCACTTGAGGCCAGGAGTTCAAGACCAGCCTAGCCAACATAGTGAAACCCCTTATCTACTAAAAATATAAAAATTAGCCGGGCATCGTGGCAGACACCTGTAATCCCAGCTACTCAGGTGGCTGAGGCAGGAGAATCACTTGAACCAGGGAGGTGGAGGTTGCAGTGAGCCAAGATTGCACCACTGCACTCCAGCTTGGGCTGAAAAATGGCCCCCAAAAGATATCCATGCCCTAGTCCTTGGAACCCGTGAATGTTACCTCATATGACAAAAAAGTGGGGGGCGGGGGCGCAGAGGGTTTTTGCAGATGTGATTTAAATTAAGGATTATGAGATGGGAAGATTATCTGGGTGGGCCTGAAATGCAATCACTTGTTTATCAGAGGGAGGCAGAGGGAAATTTGGTATAGACACACAGAGAAGGCAGTGTGACCACGGAGGCAGAGATCAGAGTGATACGGCTGCAAGTCAAGGAACACGGCAGCCACCAGCAGCGAGAAGAGGTGAGGAACCACTCTCCCCTCGAGCCCCGGGAGGGGGTACAGCCCCTGGGTGTGGGCCCAGTGCTGCTGATTTTGGACTCGGCCTCCAGAACTGTGAGAGAAGAAAATATTGTTTTAAGTCACTCAGTTTGAAGTAATTTTGTTATAGAAGCCACAGGAAACAAATAAAGAACTAATCAAATCTCTTTAATGTTTAAGCCTATTTGTATCTGATATTTTGTTACTTGCAGCCAAAAGCAGCCTAGCTGATACACAATCGTCCCCCTGCCCCCTGGTCACCCTTACAGCTCAGAGATGAACTCTAGAGAAATGCAAAGCCCCAGTTGGGAGCCAGCCGGAGACTCTCCTGGTCTTTAGCTGGGAAAATAGGACTGTGGGGGTGGGGGCAGCATCAGATGGATCACAGACTCCAAGCAAAGGCATGATAGGAGTTTATTTACAGACAAGACACAGCAACCAGCACCCACTCAGGCTCTGACCAGGGGAGGTGGTAGACAAGACCCCAGATATATATAAATATACATATAGGTCCCAGCACCATCAGCACCAGAACGTTCCCCAGCCAGGTCCCTGCCAGAAGGACCAAGAGTCAGGCAGGATTGAGGACATAGAAAGGAGAGGGCCCCAGTCTTTGCCAGGTATCAGTGATCACCTGTTATGGTCCCCATGTCAGAGGAAGAAACTATCCTTGGCCTTGAAGTGTGGACACTGAGGAGCATGAGGACGGAGAGACCCTCTGGAGGCGCCCCCATTCCTGTGTCCAGCCTGTGCCCTCAATGCCAAGGCCACAGAAGCGAAGTGCCAGCAGGAGCAGCTTGGGGAATGGAGACACTGCAGGCCCCTCCAGGACCATCCAGGAGCCAGGCATGGAGGTGGGGTCCTAGGCCATGGCTGCCCATCACACAGGAGCCTCCCCCAGTTTGCTGGTGGCACTTGTGACTCGCTTATTCTCCCGGAGGTTTCGGAGGCGGGCGCTGAGGCTGCTGATCTCTTCCACATAGGCCTGGGGCACCCACCCCTTCTCACCATCTGCCAGGCGGACCCCTTCCAGCCAGCCTAGGGACACATAGGCCAAGAACAACAGCATCAAAGGGGTACCAGGGCCAGGCCTGGAAGGGAACACCACAGCCCTGATGCAAGCTTTGTCTGCACCCTTGGGGCCAAGGTGACATCATCTCAGCATCTCTCAGCTCCAGGAAGGACCCTGTCTTGAGCTGTCTTGCAGATGAACTTCTGACCTGTTTTTCCTGATATCCTCTGAAAGGGTATTTCCCACTCTCCCCCATCACTCTCCATCCTATATCTTTACAAGCAGGAAGTTCCTCCTCTCATCTAACCTGATTCCCACATGCTGTGGCAGATCAACACTTGCAGAACCTTTCCCTGTGATATCTTAGTCATCTAGCCACCTCCTGCCCACCCAAGCCCCATCAGGGACACTTTCCCAGGAGGCCCCCTCACCGTCACTGGTCCAGGTCCTCACTGACAGGATGTCAGTCTTCTCCAAGGTCAGCTCATCTGGGTGCAGTGCCTTGTATGTCCTAACACACTGAACCTGGGGGCAATCTGACAGCCCAAGGGAGGCTCAGGGAGTCCCAAGGGCAGGATGGCAGGGGGAGGAGCATGGGTAGGGCAGGGAGGGGCAGTAGGAGGAAGTAAGGGGGTGGGAAGGTGGCCATTGAGGCTTCTATTCCTCTGCCACTGCCATGCCACAGGCCCACGTTCAAGCAGGCATACCCTCTGCCCACCCTGGCCTATCTCCTCTCCTACCCTAAACACAAGTGCAGGATTAATCCAGTCCCTCCCAGCTTCAGTTTCTGCCTCTATACCAAGGGCTGTCCCCTCCCCAGCTCAAGCCAACACCTTGCTTGTGACCTTCAGACCCCAACGTCCAACTGCCCCCAGATACCCCACAGAAAACAGTAACGGCCCTGCAATGTGCCCCTAACATCACTCTGGTGCTCCCTTTGGCCCATCCTTCCCAACTGGGATTCAAGCTGCATCGCTCCCGTTTAAAGCCCTCCAGGGCTTCCCAGTCCTCTTAGAATAAAATCCAAAGTCCTCCCTAGGCCCTACAAGGCCCTTCATGGTCTGGCATCGCCCCCTGCTATCCTCGTCTTCTCCCCTCCACTTTCCCTCCCTACTCTCCCCTCCACTTTCCCTCCCTACTTTCCCCTCCACTTTCCCTCCCTACTCGCTCACAAAGCTCCAGCCACACCAGCCTCCCTGCTGTTCCTCACTCTAAGCTCCCTCCTGCCCCAGGGCCTTTGTGCTGGCTCTTCCTTCTGCCAGATGCTCTTCCCCAGATCTTTTCGTGACAACCTCTCCTCATCCTTCAGGGGTCAGATGTTAATTGCCAGGGACCTCCCCTGACCACCTGGGAATAGAGAGCTTACCCCCACCCAGGTGGGACTCCTAGCTCAAGCCAGAGCATCTACCCCCTTCCTGGTCCTCAGCTCTTTTCATTAGACCAGGTGGGCTGGTAGCATCCAAAGCCACAGACTGAGGGGCCAGACCTCGCTTGAATCCCAGTTCTGCCGCTTACTGGCTGTGTGACCAATTTACTTCACCTTCTAAGCCTGAGTTTTCTCAGATATGAAAAATGTCTACCTAGTAGGGTTGCCATGAGGATTAAATTAGATTTAATGCAAATACAAGGCCCCTAGCCCTGGGCCTGGCCTATGGCAGGCGCTCAGTGGGCATGAGTGCCCTTTCTTTCCCTTTACTACCTAAAGCTCAGCCCTAACTCCTCTGCTCAAAAGCCTCCATTAAGGCTGGGTGCAGTGGCTCACACCTGTAATCCCAGCACTTTGGGAGGCTGAGGCAGGTGAATCACTTGAGGCCAGGAGTTCGAGACCAGCCATGGTCAACATGGCAAAACCCTGCCTCTACCAAAAATACAAAAATTAGCTGGGCATGGTGGCAGGCGCCTATAATCCCAGCTACTTGGGAGGCTGAGGCAGGAGAATTGTTTGAACCTGGGAGGTGGAGGTTGCAGTGAGCCAAGATTGTGCCATTGCACTCCAGCCTGGATGGCAGGGTGAGACTCTGTCTCAAAAAAAAAAAGCCAGGCGTGGTGGCAAGTGCCTGTAATCCCAGCTACTCGCAAGGCTAAGGCATAAGAATCACTTGAACCCAGGAGGTGGAGGTTGCAATGAGCAGAGATTGTGCCACTGCACTCCAGCCTGGGGTACAGAGTAAAACTGTGTCTCCAAAAAAATAAATAAATAAAGGCCTCCAATAAGCCAGGCACAATGGCTCATGCCTATAATCCCAGCACTTTGGGAGGCTGAAGGGAAAGGATTGCTTGAGTCCAGGAGTTTGAGGCCAGGCTGGGCAACATAGCAATACCCTATCTCTACAAAAAATAAAAATAGAGGTGTGGTATCCAGGTGTGGTAGTGCATATCTGTGGTCCCAACTACTCAAAAGGCTAAGGCAGGAGGATCACTTGAGCCCAGGAGGTTGAGACTACAGTGATCCATGATCATGCCACTGCACTCCAGCCTGGGCAATACAGCAAGACCCTGTCTCAAAAAAACCCCAAACAAACCTTCAATAGCTCCCTAGGGACACTATAGGAAGGCTCTCTATGATTAGGTCGCACCCTGGCTTACCAGCCTCACTTCACACCCAAAGGAAAAACCTTTATTCCAGCTGAGCAGATGCCTCACCTGCCACCACTACCCCCACCACCCCTCATACCCTGGCTCTGGCTGCTTCTTGTCTTGTTTGCAACTGACGCAAAGATGGAGACAGACCTGGGCTCTGGTCTCGGCTCTGCTACTTACTGGCTGGGTGAACTTACACAAGTCCATTTATCTCTGAACCTCTCTTCTAACTTGTAAAACAGGGGTGAAATGGGAGGCTACGAAGGCTTTATGATCTCCAGGATGCTGCCTGTGGACACAGAGTCCACCTGTGCTATGTAAGTTCTGCCCAGCCTTCAAGGTTCCTCAGAGCTACCCCTGACTGCCCCAGAAGTTGGTCTCTCTCCCCATAGCCCTGCCAGCAACACAGCACCCAGGATGGGAGGGGAGGAGAGCGGGCGAGGGTCCAGCCCAGGGATGTAAGCAGCAGGGATGAGCTACTACCTTCCCCCTCACTGATGACCTCCTTGTCCTCCTGGGGGCTGGAGGGGCACAAGGCTGAGATCCATCGCTGCTTCTCACTTCTAGGGAAGGGGGAGGCTAAGTTGTCACAATATGCAAAGTGCAGTTGCCCAGGGCAGGGTGCTGAAACCAAGGCTGGGGGAGCCAGACATGATGTCCAGGCCTAGGACCCAGGCCTACCCTAGGGACCCATGTCTGCCCCACCCCAGGGCCCACCCCACAACCCGGTTCCCAAGCCTGTGCCCCACCCAGCTCTGAGCATAACAGGCCCAGAACCCCCTGGATGCCAGCCCTACCCCCATCCTGCCTAATGCCACAGTCCTGAAGCCAGAGATAGCAGGGTGTGGAGGTTTACATCCAAGAGATGCCCAGAGGCTGAGGAGGAGGTGGCAGCCCCCTGACACCACCTGTGGGGCAGGCACCCCTACTCTGGCCTCCAGCCCTGCCCTCTGCCCCTGTGTCCTGCCCAAGTCAGGGAAGAGTTGAGCACTTGGGGAGGAACAAGGCCAGGATGTCCCAGGGGTGCCCGCCATGGGGACGGGGTGCCCATCATGGGGACGGGGTGCCTGTCATGGGGAGGGGGAGCCTCCTCTCTCCCATATCCAGGCCCACTCACTCCGTCCGGGCCCGCAGCAGGAACTGGTGCTTCATGTGCTGCCCGTGGAGGAGCTGGAGGAGGAACACGTGGCCGGGGATGCCCTGCAGCTTCAGGCTCAGGTCCCGCACCTGCAGCTCAGCCATCTTGGCATGGACGAAAACGGCAAACTTCCCTAGCCTGGAGGACCGGGGGAGGGGAGGTCAGCCTGGCCTGGGCCCTGGCTCTAGGCACCCACCCTCGGGATCAGGTGGGTTCTGACTGGAAGTGGGGAGAAGGGGTTGCCTGCCCTGCCAGCGTTCTCACAGGGTCCTGCTTCTGGATAGGGCACTGCTAGTCCCCACAAGGAACCAAGAGCTCCTTCCCCGCTGGCTTGCTGGTGGAGGCTGGAGGTGATGGAGACCAGTCCCTGAGCCCCAAGCACACTTTTGACCTTTCTCTCTCTCTTTTTTTTGTTTTTTTATTTGTTAGTTTTTTGGCTTTTTGTTTTGTTTTGTTTTAAGACAGAGTCTCGCTCTGTCTCCCAGGCTGGAGTGCAGTGGCATGATCTCGGCTCACCACAACCTCCGCCTTCCAGGTTCAAGCGATTCATGACCTCTCTCTGAACCTCTCTGCCAAGCGTCTGTTCCAAAGAGCCAACTGGACAGCTCCCCTGAGGAGTGTCTAACTCTCTTCCAGTATATAAGCCCCACGAAGGCTGAGCCTCGTCTCTTTGCCACTGTATCTCAGTGTCTGATGATACTGCCTGACCCACAATTTGGGCTCAGTAAGTACTTGTAGGCAGGATGGGTGGAGGGTGTTCCACAGACGTCAACTCATTCAACAAAACTCGGCATCAGAAAAAACTCAGCTTCTCCCACTCCAAGCCAGATCCCCTTTACTGTTCTCCATTCCAGTGAAAGACCCCACCAGTTTGCCCAAGAGGAAACTCAGACGTCATGCTCACCTCTTCCCTTTCCATCCCCCCTACACCCATCTGGTAGCTATGTCCTGTCTTTCCTCCTTATTGTCCCTTGAATCCACTTATCCTGAAGTACCCTGCCACTTCTGGAGCATCTACCCTCTCCTGAGCAACTGCAAGACCCTCTGGCCTCTCCCCTTCCAGTTCATCCTCCAAATTGGCCAGGAGCAAAATATCATCCCTCTGCTTAACTCTCCACGCTCCCTGCTGCCTCAGAAAAAGTCCAACCTCTCTATCATGACCTTCAACATCCCAACTTCCCTCTGCTGCCTTTCTCCTTTACAAATCCAGCCACATTAGGCTTCATGATTCCCAAACACACATTCCGCTCTTCTACCCTACCATGACTCTGCTGTACTCCTGCACTCAAACTACCTGTCTACCTGGAAAACTCCTACTCATCCTTCAAAACCCAGCTCAAATGTCCTGTCCTCTATGAAGCTTTATTGATTCTCACTCCACACCAGGAAATACCGCAGTACACCCTTATATCAAAACCCTGATGATATGGTTGTCAGAATGTATTTTCACTGTCTGAGAGCTTCTGTGAGCAGAAAACAAGTCTCATTCATATTTATGTCCCTAGCACTGGCCTGCTACAGAACAGAGATTCAGTGACTGTTTACTAAATGAACAAACAAATCAGGAATGAATTCTTCTTATAGCATAACATGTCCATCCTTTTTTGTTTTAAGAGATGGGGTCTCACTATGTTGCCCAGGCTAGTCTTGAACTCCTAGACTCAAGTGATCCTCCTACCTTGGCCTCCCAAAGTGCTGGGATTACAGGTGTGAGCCACCGTGCCCAGCCCACATGTCCATCCTTTATCCCATTCACCTTATCCAGGTAGTCTTCTACCTCACTCTTCCTAACAATCCCAGCTAATACTGAACAAGTGTTCACTGTGAGTCAGGCATGGTGCTGCCATCAGACAGAGCTGGCATCCTCCTGGCTCCCCCACCTACTAGCTCCATGATCTGAGAGTAACAGAGAAGCCTATTTCCCAGGGAGGTATTTGGAGGATTAAAGGGAATAATCCACGTAGCATGCCTTGCACAGAGTAGGTACTGAGTAAATGTTGGCTTCTGGCATAGCTGTGACTCAGGGCAGAGTTGGGACTCTAGGGCTATGCTCTTAGTCTCTGCTCTTACTGGCTGAAGCTCACAGCATCTCCAAGTCCTCGGCATACAGTCTAGCCCTTGATTCTCCCTTCTGGAACATGGACTTGTCTCACATCTCTGCCTTTGCTTCAGGAGCCTCCAAATCTCAGGGTGCCCTGGCAGCATACCCTGGCACAGGCAGGGACTCCCAGGCCCAGGGATGGACTGGTCATAAGCCCAGTGGTGGGGAGGAAGAGAGCCTGGCTCCACTTTACCTACCCACCCCTGACTGCCCCGACTCACTCCTTCCGCCGAGAGAGCAGCAAGCAGTCATTGAAGAGGTGGAGGTAGACTGCCTTGCTGGACAGCTTCAGCTTGGCAGGGGGTGCTGCAGGCAGTGGTGCCAGCTCTACCAACTCTCCATGCCGAACCAGCCAGCGGGCCTGAGAGATCAGCGGGAAAATCTAGAGGGATGGAGAAGGATGGGTCAGGCCCAGGGGCACCAGGCAGAGAGCACAAGATGGTAGATGGGAGGGTGTGGGCAGCGATTAACTGGCCTGAAGCCCCCAGGGCAAGGAAGAAACAAGAGCTGCCCCTTGGGGTCCCCATCCCGCTGGCTGCAGACACACACCTTGCCCTCAAAGTGGATCTTCTTGCTCAGGTGGATGAGTTCCTCTGTCCTCTTCATGGACTGTACACTAGCATTGCACTCCTGCACCAGCTGGGGGAGCCGTGGGGAGGTCACCTGCAGCCCCTCAGCTCCGGCTCCCAGAGCCCAGCCTCAGACTCTTGCCTGGGGACCGGAGACTCTGACAGCTGGGGGCTGTTTTAGAGACGTGCTGGGGGTCCAGGGGGGGCCTCAGGAGCCAAGCAGCCCCTGCCCTGCCCAGCTCACCTCCTTGAGCGCATTGAAGGCCTTGGTGGCCATGTCTTCGTCTTCAGAGCCCTGTGCTGTCCGCTTCAGGATGTTCTGGAAGGTGGGATCAGCACAATGAGGCAGTCCTCATACTCCCGAGACCCGGCCCGCCCACAGGTGTATCTCCCTCGCCCAGCCCTCACTGTGGCCTGTCCCCTCGAGGTACCTCCACCAACATCTTGAGGCGGGTGATCCTCTGGAAGGGCAGGATAAGGAAGGAGGTAAGGGGCAGACGCTGGCACACAGGAGACTCCTCCAGGCGAGCCAGGATGCCAGGGAACCTGGGGTTCTCCAGGCTGGAAAATGGGGAGGACTCTGGAATCACAGGTAGGCCTGAATTCCTGGGATCCACAACCCTGGCCATCCACGGGGTCCTCAGGGGGCTTCTCAGCACATCCTTACTGCCCTTTGGGGTTGCATCTCACCTTATCCTGGTCACAGAGACCTTTTCAGGGACCCCTCCCCTCCCAGAGTCACCTTACGTCACCCAGCCCTCAGTGCCTACACCTGCCTGAGACTCCCTCCACGCCCCCGCCCCTTTCAGAGCCCCCAGCCCTACAGCAGGCGCTGGTAGGTGCGCTCCTGGTAGGCCTGGTTGGTGACATAGGGCAGGTAGACTCTGCGGAAGGCCGGGCAGTGGTCCAGCACCACGTCGCACACGCTGAAGCGCAGCACATCTGCCTCCAGCCGCTGCTCCAGGTCCTGCAGGAACCTGAGGAGTCAGAGCCAGGATGGAGACCCCAGATCTGGGAGCTGGCCAACCACTGGCTCCGTCCCCACCCCGGGCCAGGCCAGACCACTTCTTCACCTCTCGCTGGTGCTCTTGACCTCGGGCAGTTTGGAAAACAGCCACTGCTTGTCCTGCGCCCCCAGACACTCGCTCAGCTCGGCAGAGCCTAAGAAGTGGCCCACAGCCACCGACAGGCTGTGGATGTAGGAGGCCTCGGAGGTGATCAGCTCAAACTTGGCCTGAGGGAGGGCACACACGGGGTCGAAAGGGCAGGACCAGTTCACCTCGGAGGCCCTGGCCTCACATCCCCAGACCCCAGGACGCCACACCTCGCGTCCTCGCCCCTTCTCTAGCCCCACTCCTAATCTGGCGCCGGGCGGGCCCGGCGACCCACGTCCCGCCGCGGGAAATTGTGCAAGCCTTTCCTGTCCTCGATCCCGCCCCTCTCCTAAGCCCCGCCCCGACGCGTTCTTCCCAGAGCCCCGCCCACCCCCCAGGTCCCGCCCCTGATCCTGGCCCCGCCTTGTTCCGCGCCCACCAGGCGTTTGCTCTTCCAATGGTTCCGCTCCTCATCCGGCCCTGTCCTATCCTAGGTTTCGTCCCGCTGGCTCCGCCCCCTACCCGCACCCAAGCCCGGCTCCCCTCGCCTCTCGCTCAGCGGCTTGCTGTCCTCGCTTCCAGACGGCCTCGTGTAGTCAGGTCCTAGAGCCAACCTTCCGCGCGGACAGTCGCGCCAGCAACCCCCTTTGTGTGTCCCCCTCCCTCTATGGCCCGGTTCCCGCTAAGTCCCCGGACCGCGTACTCCCCGGCCCGCCCCCGCCCCGCCGGGTCCCCGCGCGCGCCCACCTCCTGCAGCTTGCAGTCCCGCAGGCTCAGCGTGGCCAGGACGCCGCTGCCGCGTACGTCGGGGATATCCTGCCACAGCGAGAAGGTGGAGCCTCGCGCCGAGCGCTGCGCCCGGAAGGAGCTGCTGGGGGAGAGGTTGGCCCGCGGCGGCCCCGGCCCCTCCTCTGCGCCCTCGGCCTCGTCCCCCGGGCCCTCCTCCTCGCGCTGCTGCCGCCGCAGTTCGCGGGCGCTGGCCACGTCGCTGTATTCCTGATAGAGGACGGCTGGGGGAAAGACGGGCGGGGGAGAGCGTGGGGCGCCCGCCAGCCCCTGCCCGGCTTTTCCTCGGTTCCCTCAAGAGCCCGCGTCACTTAACCTTTGCCGCGGTTCGGATATCTGGACACAGTGAATTCATTCATTCATTCATTCATTCCATAAACAAATTGAGCACCTACTGAGTGCTAGATACCGACAGTTCCATTCTCCGTTTCTCACTCGATCCCTACCTCTCAACTCTCCAAACCCTCTTTTCCCCGTTTCCACACCGCAGCCCCTTCCTCCGTTACCTCCTCCCAGGGACCCCCCTCCCACGTACAGTTAAGGAGGAATCGAGACTGGCGCCGCTCGTTGGTGCTCCTGGACCCCAAAGGCGGCTCTTCCTGTGTGTCTAGCCTAGGAAAGAGAGAGCGTCACGGCCCTAGTTCGCCTGCACCCTGTCTCGGACCCAAGCCCAAACGGGAGGTGGTACCTGGGCTCGGACCAATCGCCCTCTCGTGAGTCACCAGGGGCTGGCCGCGACACCCGGTCCCCGCTCATCTCTACACTTCGAGCCTCCATTCCAGATGCTTTCCCTGGAGAGGGCGAGAACTGAGGGTGGGGGGTCCAGAGAGTGGGCCTGGGGCCTGGGCCCCGGCCCAGGCACCCTGACGGCCTCAGGCGGCCGGTGAGTGGGCATCGCCCACCCCCACCCCCACCCGGCATCTGGCTGCCCTCAGGGCCCATGGGAGGAGCTGGTACCTTCCCGGGCTGCTCCGGTGCCTGACCCAGAGATGAGTGCCCGGGCTGCTGAATTCCGCCCCAGGCGCAGAGAAGAGTGCAGCCGGGTCATCAGCTCCGATGCCGAGAAGCGCCTCCGCTCAGGACCTTCGAGGCTCACTCGGGTGGACCCAGACAACTCCACCCTGGGCTCCTCTGTGCTCAGGGCCTGCTCTTGCACTACCTGGCCAGGCTCTAGGAAGACAGCGTGGGCCTCGGGGCAGCCGGGGACCTCTTCACGCTGGTACACCCGCATCTTGCGCCCTAGGGTTGGGGGCAAGGAGTGAGAGCACGGGCTGGGGTCTCCCCCAACCTCCTCCCTGCTGCTGCCCCTGGCCCTGAGCACCTGGGGAGGTTCAGGCACCATGCCCAAGGGAAGGGCCTGTGTTTCTGCTAGCATCTGGTCCCCAGAGCCCTGGGGTCCACGAGAGGGGTAAGGAGAGCACAGGGCCTGGCTGCAGTAGACAGAGGGATCAGGCTGCCCAGAATGGTGACTCACTCACTGCATAACCTTGGACAAGTCACTTGCCTTCCCTGAGCCCCACTAGTTTCCTTATCACTAATCTACCACTTGTCCTGACTTTTGGGGGAACCTTGGGACATAAAGGTTAAGGAGCTGCCCAGCCCCTCCCCTATCCCCCTGCCATGGCACCCACACCCGCCTTCCCCAGGGTGACTCACAGGCAGACTTCTTCTCCGAGCCGTGGCTGGCCCGGCGCTGTGGCTGTGTGTGTCGGGGACTCCAGGGTCCCTCCAGAGCTGGGGGCTGGGCACCAGGACAGTGTGGCCAGCTGCCAGCCCTGCTGGGCCGCATCCCCCCGCTGGTGATCTCTGTATCTGAGCCTCCTGGGGATAATGGCCATAGCAACCCTTGGAGAGGGGCAGGGGTCCCCAGGGACCAGCGGCTGCCAGGAGCCCGAAGCTCCTCTGGGGCAACAGGGAAAAGGTCCAGACACACTGGGCTCGGGGGCTTCAGGGCGGGCAGCTCTGCAAAGGACAGACTCTCCTGCTGGCACACTGCTACAGGGTGGTGGGCAGTGCCAGGTGGCCCAGTCAGGTGGGGCTGGAGGGTAGCAGGTGGCCCACAGTCCATTCCTCTTTTGCTCTGCCACCCACCTGGCCCTGCAGAAGAGAAGATATCAGACCTAGACAGAGGACAGTGGGGCTGGCCAGTAAGCCACCACCCCTGGAGGCCTGGACAAACCCCTGTGTACACTTGTGTACACACATCTCCACAAACACACTCACATGTCTAATTATATAGAAATAGCTGATACTTGCTTGGCATTGCCTGAATGATAGGCCAAGTACTTTACACATACTATCTCATTTAATCCTCACAACAACGCTGTGAGTTGATGCTCTTATTATCCCCATTTTATAGGTGAGGAAACTGAGGCACAGAGAGGTTATTTGGTAAATGGTGGAGCCAGGATTCTAACCTGGCCGTTCTAGCTTTGAAATCGATGATTTTAACCACCTTGTACTTCTCTAAAACACACTGACATGTCACCAGACATGCAAATACATACATTGTCACACAAATCCATTTCCCAACATATACATCCACACTACATTTTCTCCCAAGTATAGAATGACATGTACACTTTCATAGATACAGACATTTCAAACTCAGGCTCACACAGTCACAGACACACACATTTTTACACAACCGCATACATTCACAGACAACTCCTCACAAACACGCTGACCCGTCCGATATTTACACAGGCACCCAAGATTTCTCACCCTCCTGTTCCCTTCACATGCACACAGACACACACCAGCCCACAGGTCCTTGCTCTGATGTTTCTCCCCCCATCTCCCCGACCCTTGCCCAGAGTTGCGGCCTTCAGTGCTGAGTGGTGCCCACACCCATGCCAAGTTGGCTGGGAGGGTCATGGACTGGCAGGCGGGCCACCACCCAGATCAGGCAGGGGCCTTCTCGAAGTTCAAAGAGGTGCCCCAGCACCCCCGGCTTGGAGTGAAAGAGGGGCTGTCCCCCACCCCAGCTTCCAGCCCCTGGGTGGGCCAGGCTGGATGGGTCCTTTCTGGGCAGGAAGTTATCCCTGGGGAGCCAGCCCTCCGATCGGGGCAGGCCTGATGATCTGAGAGGCCCAAGCCCCCACAGCTCTTGCCCTGTGGCCCTCTGCCAGCCTCCCTCCTGCAGCCCCTCACCTCTCTGGGCCCAGGCCCGCTGCTGATGCTGTTTGGCTGTTCCGGCAGGGGAAGCCCTCTCTCTGCCCAGCTGGCTGGGGGAGATCCCACCCAGACAAAGAGTTTGATTCATCAAACCCTGTGGTGAGGCAAGCAGGGAGGGAGGGAGGGAGCAGGCAGCGGGCTGGGCGGGGGCCTACCCTAGCCTGGCCTCGCTGTGGGCAGGCCGGGCAGCCAGGACCCCCCAGAGGCCCCCTCAGGCCAAAGGGGCAGTGCCCAGCCTGGCAGGACCAGGAGAGCCAGGAAATGAAGACTGAGAGAGACCCAGAGAAACAGAGACCACTTAGCCAGTAACTGAGAAACCAAGACCCCAAGACGTTCAAAAACAGAAAAACCACAGATGCTGAGACATTCAGGGACCCAGAGATGGAGACAGAGACACTGACAATTTCAGGCCAACCAGATCCTCAGAGACACAGATGAAGCCCAGAAAACCCAGGGAGACAGATGGACAAACATTTCATGCCCGTGGGCTGCCAGTCTAGTGGGAGAGCCAAAAATGAAAACAGTTACAATCCAGGTTGGCAAGAGCCAAGCCAGAGGAACCATCAGAGGAGGGTGCTCGGCTCAACTCAACCTGGGTATTCCAGGAAGACTTCCTGGAGGAGGTGATAGTTAACTGCTCCACGGCTGAAATACATAGTGCACTTAGAGGGAAAGCCTTGGCCTGAACAGTGACAGTGTCAGTCACTATTGGAGACAGGGAGGGAGAAGAGGACCCAGCGAGAGATGGCTGGGTCTATGGCAGGCCCCAGTCTCTCTGCACAGCTTCTCAACTGCTTCCCCCTGCTCCCTTCACCCTGCTGTCTGGGAGGGTGGGAAGAAGGGGACTGGCTGCTCCAAAGGGGTCCTCTCTACGGTGGCCACTCTGGCTTGTACCATCAGCCTCTGTCCCTCTAGCCTGAAAAGTACCCATCTGAGCGAGTCTCCCTAAGCCTCGGTCTCCTCATCCGGCAAATAGGATAGTATTTTTATTATCATCAGTCTTTCTCTAGACAGAAGGCAGCTCAGGCCTTCACACAGATGGGGAAGATGAAGGAGTGAGGCTGAGACACACATTATATCGCAGGAGTGTGCACAAGGAGGCCCCTGCCCACAGACGGGTCTCTTTCTCTGCAGGAATCAGAAGTCCTCGACACAGAAGTCCCACTTGCTTCTGGGGGCACACATGTGCAGGCATGTACACATGCCCCCTGCCCCTTTGTATGCTGGGAGATTCTAGCACTTGGGTTCTGGAAGCTCCTGGAGGGCAGGGAGGGACCCTCTCTCCCATGGCTCACAGGGATAAGTAGGCAAAACATTGAGGCTTTGCAGCAGGAGCACCCCCAGTTAAGGCTGCAGAGGAGAAGGCTAGGTGAATGTGGGGAGAGGGGACATAGAAGGCTTCCCGGGGAGATGAAGCTGGAGGCAGGTCCCTAGCAGGGAAGAAGTCAGGAGTGTGTCAGCCTCCACCTATGCTCAAGCCAAGGGGTAATAAGAATGACCCATCTAGCTGGGATGCCAGCCCTGTGGCCCTCCAGGGGTTTGGCCCACCCAACCTCAATGCTGGGGAGCTAAGAGGGACAAGCTGTGTTCATATTGTGTGTAGCTCATCTCTGTTAGAAAAAAACAAACAAAAACCTCAGAAAGAGAACTGGCCCCAGACAGCAGGGACATTACCTTCCCAAGGCACGATCACAGGATAGAGACTCTTGTGTCTACTAGGCAAGGGCCACTCTGGAGCCCAAAAAGAATAACCTCCGCCCAAGCTTTGAGGCCCAGTGTTGACACTGACCAGCTGTGTGGCCTTAGGCAATTCACAGCCCATCCCTTGGCCTCAGTATTCCCATCTGTAAAGTGGCTCCTAAGGGACCGCACCACCGCCCAATGCCCTCTCTAAGAAACATGTCTCATCATAAATGTCTCTGGGCCAAGAAGGATGGGCAGGGGCCGAGGAAAGTACCCTTGGTGGGTGCTGCTAATTACAGAAGACGATGGGCCCACTTAGCAAGGCTGCCAGAGAGTCCCTGGACACTACCATGATCAGAAAAAGTGTTTCTGGCCTCCTGTACCTAGCTTTTCCCTGCCCCCTCCCGGGTGCCCCTTGCCTTGCTGCCCAGGAGAGCTGGTACCCTGCCAGAGCCTCTCTGCCCTTTAAGGAATAAAGCCAGGTGGGAAGTCATGGCTGGAAAGTGGATCCAGGCCAAGTGGTTCACAGAGCCCCAGAAGGCCATAGTGGGTCAGAGCCAGGATCAGAGACCAGGCGGGCAGCACAAAGGGCTCACTCAGCGGGGAAAACTGGCGGGAAGAGAATGGGACTGCTGGCACCCAGGTGGGGCCCTACCTCAGCCAGGGAGCTCCGTCCAGCTGCCAGCACGGTCCAGGGCTCCGGGACACCCTGGGGGCTCTGGGGTTGCAGCCAAGTCCTCAGGGGGCGATGTCAGCATGTCAGCATGGCCCCAGAGCCGAGCAAGGCAAGCTCCTGGGTATTGTGTGGGGCAGGGAGGGGGAGGTGAAGGAGGAGGGAACCTTGCAGAGAGAGGCAGGCGGCTGTCTCAACGTGCCTGCTCCCCGCCCCCCTTCCCCAGAACCGGTTTGGCTAGTCTGGGGTACAAGAGGGGGGCTGGAACAATGGGAGTCCTATGCCCAAGTGAGGCTCTGAAGGACCCTACACCCAGGTCCTAAAGACGGGGGAGGCAGTGCTTCTGCTCCTAGGAGACAGGTCACCACTCTTCTGGAGCTTCCCAAACATGAGCATGCTCAGGGGACTTCTTGGAGCTGGGGAGCATCCTGGGAGCTTCACAGAGAGCCTCCCAAGCCCTGCACTCCTTAGGGACCCTGAGAACCCTGATGACCCTCTCTGATCCTATTACTACATCTATCAAATTGGAACACTCATCCCTATGATTGGGAGACAGAAATCAGTCCTGAAAGTTGATGATGTGACATGTGGCATCATCCTGGACAGCCTCTCCTCATCTAGTACAGCCACTGCTTGCAAATCCCCATCCTTTCCCACGGCCTGGAATGACCTGCCCCACCATCTCCAGTGGCCGCCTCCACCATGAAGCCTTCCCAGACTATACCAATTGAGCCCTCAATAAACCAAGCCAAATAGCCAAGTCAAACTGCCTCCAATAAGAAGGGCATGCTCTATGCCCGGCATGCAATCTTCCCAACCCTGTGGAATGGGAAGCTGCATTTTCCCCTAATTCTACCTGCCATCTGTTTGAGCTACCAGCAATTGCCAGGCACCTAATATTAATATGCAGATGTGTACACAGACTAATAGTCATGAAGCTAACTTATTGTTCACCTACTAGGTGCCAGGCACTGTCCTGAGCACTTCACATGTATTTACTCATTTAATCTCCACCATGACCCTGTCAGGTAGATACTGCTACCACTTATCAGGTGAGTACAGTTGTCCCTTGGTACCCAGAATCTGTGGGGAATTGGTTCTAGAACCCTCCCATACGAAAATCCATGGCTGCTCCAGTCCCTTATACAAAATGTCATAGTGTTTGCTATAACCTTTGTACATCCTCCAGTAAATTTTATTTTATTTTATTTTATTTATTTATTTATTTATTTATTTATTTATTTATTTATTTATTTTTAAGATGGAGTCTTGCTCTGTCACCCAGGCTGGAGCAAGTGGTGGGATCTCAGCTCACCGCAACCTTTGCCTCCCAGGTTCAAGCAATTCTTCTGCCTCAGCCTCCCCAGTAGCTGGGATTACAGGCGCATGCCACCACACCCTACTAATTTTTTTTGTTTCTAGTCAAGACAGGGTTTCACCATGTTGGCCAGGCTGGTTTTTGAACTCCTGACCTTAAGTGATCCACCCGCCTCAACCTCCCGAAGTGCTGGGATTATAGACGTGAGCCACCGCACCCAGTCTATTTTATGTATTTATTGTCAAAAAATAAAATAAAATGTCCTCAAGTGAGAGGGTCTCACTCTGTCATCCAGGCTGGAGTACAGTGGTGCAATTACAGGGCTCACTTGCAGTCTCGTCGACCTCCTGGGCTCAGGTGATTCTCCCACCTAAGCCTCCTGAGTAACTGGGACCACTGGTGTGCACCCCCACACCTGACTAATTTTTGTATTTTTTGTAGAGATGGGATCTCACCAGGTTGCCCAGCCTAGTCTCAAACTCCTGGGCTCAGGCGATCCACCAGCCTTGGCCTCCCAAAGTACTGGATTTATAGACATGAGCCACCACGCCCGGCACTCCAGTACAGTTTAAATCAATTCTAGATTACTTATAACACGTTAATACAGTGTAAGTGCTATGTAAATAGTTGTTATCCTGTAATGTTTTTTATTTGCATTATTTTTTATTGTCATTATTTTTGTTATTTTTTGTTTTTATTTTCATTTTCCATGCATTGTTGGTTGAACCCAAGGATGCAGAACCTGAGGATATGGGGGGCCAACTTAACAAGTTAAGTCATGAGCATTATCCCTTTGAAATCTCTCATCAGTTCTATGAAGTCCCTATTTTACAGATGACATTAAGGTTTGAGAGATTAAATAACTTGTCACACAGCTAATAAGGGGCAGGACTAGTATTGAAACCCAGGTCTGGCCGGGCGTGGTGGCTCACGCCTGTAATCCCAGCACTTTGGGAGGCCAAAGTAGGTGGATCCCCTGAGGTCAGGAGTTCTAGACCAGCCTGGCTAACATGGTGAAACCTGTCTCTACTAAAAACACAAAAATAGTCTGGGCACAGGGGCTCACACCTGTAATCCCAACACTTTGGGAGTCTGAGGCCAGCGGATCACGAGGTCAGGAGTTTGAGACCAGCCTGGCCAACATGGTGAAACTCTGTCTCTACTAAAAATACAAAAATTAGCCGAGCGTGGTGGCGCACACCTGTAATCCCAGCTACTCAGAAGGCTGAGGCAGGAGAATTGCTTGAACCACGGAGGTGGGGAGGCAGAGGTTGCAGTGAGTTGAGGTCACAACACTGCACTCCCGCCTGGGTGACAGAGCGAGACTCCATCTCAAAAAAAAAAAAAAAAAAAGAAAAGAAACCCAGGTCTGTCTGACCCCACCACCAACCTGAGTCCTTCACCACTGCCTGGTACTGCCTCACCAGGCTTTTAGGAGGGTCTCGTGGTGAAAAGTGTGTGAAAGTGTAATCCGGGGTGTCTCGGCTGACCTAACTAAACTCTTATTGGTCTTATTATTCTTACACTACAGGCTCGGAATACACAGCAGAGGTTTCATGGCCCATGCCCTAGTCCCCCAAAGTATTTATTTATTTATTTATTTATTTATTTATTTATTTATTTATGAGATGGAGTTTTGCTCTTGTTGCCCAGGCTGGAGTGCAATGGCGCAATCTCGGCTCACCGTAACCTCCGCCTCCCGGGTTCAAGCAATTCTCTTGCCTCAGCCTCCCGAGTAGCTGGGATTATAGGCATGCGCCACCACGCCCGGCTAGTTTTGTATTTTTAGTAGAGACGGGGTTTCTCCATGTTGGTTTGGCTGGTCTCGAACTCCTGACCTCAGGTGATCCACCCTCTTCGGCCTCCCAAAGTGCTGGGATTACAGGCGTGAGCCACCGCGCCCGGCCCCAAAGTATTTTCCTTAGCTGCCAACCGACAGCCATTAAGTTCAGAGTCATTAGGGTCCCTCTGCTCCCCCATGTTCACTTTGGCTCCCTAGAGCATTGCCACATAGTGAGGAGACACTGCACCGTGTGGGTGGGGACCAGGTGGCCGTGGAGAGGTGGCAGTCTGGGACGCAGAGACAGGTTTATTGTCAGCATTGCACAGAGGCCAGGAGGCAAGAACACGGAAGGGTAGCAGTGCAGGTCTGGAGGTCTCCAGGGAACTCCAATCCTCTCATCCAACTCCCGGACCGGCCTTGGGACACTGCCCAGATGCGTAACTGGAAGCCAGAGGACCCCAATAGGAGGAGCATCCTGGGGAACCTAGGGTCCTGGAAGGGCAGCCCTGCCTCACTCGCCCCTGCGTCCTGGACGCCCCTGCGTCCCTTGTGCGGACATAGAGCACAGCTTGGTCAGGCTGAGCAGGCTGGCACTCCAGAGCAGAGCCCCCAACCCCAGCTTGCAGATAAAGTAGAAAAGGGGGCTTGGCGGGGGCGGAGCTTAATGATGGGCGGGAACAGGCGGAAACTACAGGGAGTCCAGCCAATCCCTCCAATGGATGAGGCCAAATAAGGGGGCGGGGCTAGAGAGTGCTGAACTAGAGAGGGCTGAGCTGAAGCTTGAGGGCAGGCCAAGGGGCGTGGTCATTATGGTCATTATGTTGCGGGTGGGGCCGGGGTCCGCCTGCCTTGCTGACTGAAACAGCGTCTCCCGGTTGTCTGCCACCGCCTGCTTGGCCAGGTAGCGCTCGCGCAGTTATCTTGGTAGCCAGGGCTGGCACATCGGGCACGAGCCGGTCGTTGGGGCACAGGAAGAAGAACACTACATTCTGGGGAGAAGGGGGCCAAAAAGAGAGAATGATTGCCTTAGCGATCTTAACTCATGGAGCGCTTACCCTGAGCCAAACCCTAACCTGAAGGTTTTCCGGATATGAATTCATTTAATCCTCACAACAACTCTATGAGCTGGGGGTAATTTCTACTCCACAAGCGAAGAAACAGAAGCAGAAAGGGGTTGCCATTTGCCCAAAGACATAGAGGTATGATTCGAACCCCTTAACACTAGGAACCACGTCAGGGCAGGGCTTGTAAAAGAGCAAAGCTGGTGGGAGAGTGCTTCCTCTCGTTTCTCCTTTCTCTTGCCAAGAGATAATGTTATTATTATTTGTGATATTAATTCATTGAGCACCTACAACATGCCAGGCACAGTGCAAATGCTTGACACCGAACCTTCATAACGACCCTATGAAGTAGATCCTATTATATAATATATCCCAATTTCCAGCCGGTCGGCGGCAGAGCCTGAACTTGGAACCAAGTCTGTCCAAGACAGATGGCTGAGCCTACCTCGAAGGCGATAATGAAACCCAGATGCACATGCACAGCCAGCAGCTTCCAGTAGAAGAGGGCGAGGTTCACCCCCACGTCGCGAGAGGCCTTGTATCTGGGTTGCGGGGTCTGGAGAGGCTCTCGGATCTCGACTCCGAACCCCGCATTTCCTCCCCTCCTTCTCCCTAGAATCTGGCCCTGCCCGTTCAGCCAGTACCCTAGCCGGCTCCGCGCATTTGTCCGGGGCAGAATCAGCTCACTGCACCCCAGCCAGGCACCACCCCACCCGTCCAGTTTCGGCTCCCGGCTTCCCAGCTAGGCCCCGCCCCTCCCTCCTCAGCACCTGCCCCTCCCAGACAGGCCCCGCCCACCAAAGCTTAGCACCCGCCCTCTCCCAGGCCGGCCTCCCTCACCAAGGCTCAGCGCCGTGCTTCCCAGACAGCCCTGCCCCTCCCGCCTCAGCGTCCCGCCAACCAAGGCTCAGCGCCACGCCCTTCCCAGGAAGGCCTCGCCCACCAAAGCTCAGGGCCCCGCCCCTCCCGCCGCGCCCCTCCTCCCCAGCCTGAAGGGCAGAGTGTGTTTGCTCTGGGCCAGGTGGGCATGGGGCGCGGGTGCCCGCGTGAAATTCACAAATCCGTGCAGCTGGGTGTGGTGTTCGTACTGTTACGGGATATGCGGCAGAAGTCCGAGATGAAGGCGAGACGAAAGCCTGCAGAGCCAGAGGGCCTTCAGGGCCCAACCCCCTAACTCACCCCAACTCGGATCCAGACCCCCTCCCGTGGCAGGATGAGCCTTTGGCCCGGGATCCTAGCCTCCTCTCCCCTATTTCCCAAACTCTGACCCGGATTTCCTTCTCCAGCCCTGTATTTCCCTATTCCTGAACCCCCTTCCCCAGTCTCTGAGCTCCATCTCCCCCGCCCCCTGCCCCTGTATTCCCTTCATCTACCTCACTCCCATTCACGGTGACCTCAAGGTGTACCATGGCCTCCAGCAGGAGCAGTCAGATCCAGATGTCCAGCCGCGCCCAGCCATTGGTCGCTGGTACTTGCACAGGAACTTGTGGGCGTCCAGTCCAATCTCTACCCGGTTGTTGAGCAGAGTGAACAGGGGTGCCAGCAGGAAGGCTCCCACAAAGATGGTGATGAACCCAAACTGCAGCTCTGGCAGGCAGGGAGTGTCAGGCCCGGGGCCACCTCCCCTGTTGTGCCAGGCCCCCAGGGGCCCCACTCATGCCCAGGGCACACGCTGCTGAGCGACTGCTCCTCCATCCCTGGGTATTCATCAAACAGGCCCTGACACTTGATGAGCTCATAGTCCTTCCTTCTCCCAGTGCTGCAGCTCCTGCCCGATCTGGGTGTCCCTCTGCCCTGCCAGCTGCCACTTCTGCCACCAAGCCTTCCGTTTCCTGGAGGCAGGGCAACCAGATAATGGTCATAACAGGGCCTTGTGCTAGGAACTGCCACTTCTATCACCAGCACCCCTTAGAGGCAGGCACCATGATGATTTCCACTGTATTGATGAGGAAACACACCTGGAGAATTTGGCCCAGGCTCCCCAAATTGTAAGTGGTGGAGCCAGTGTTCAAATCCAATCTGTTAGACTCGAGTCCAGTGCTCTCAACTCTGCACTTCCCACATAGTCATTCTTGGTCTCTGAAATATCACTGCCCCCTGAAAAAAATAGTAATAGAAAGCCCTCCATTTGCAAAGCTGTTTCCTGTTGAACGCCTCATAATCCCCTCAACTCTCATGGAGAGGTATTATTGTCTCCATTGTACAGATGACGAAACTGAGGCCCAGAGAGACACAAAGCCACGCAGCTTACAAGAAGCAGGGCTAGGACTTGTGCCCGTATCTTCTGTCCCAGTAAAGGGTTTTTCTGCTCTGCTCTTATAAAAGCCCTCCAAATGGCCTGATTAGGCCCAGCCTTGTCCCCCGTTCTTCCCCCAACACTCACAGCCCAACAAATTCTTCCATGTGGTTGAGCAGCTGTTTGCCCACCATGATGATGATGAGCTGCTGGGTGACCTGAATGTGGCAGCCACCAGGACCGCACTGTTGTTGGCAGACACAGAGCACCTTACTCAGGGCTTTGGGGCTGCATAGGGGTTACCCCACCTCCCTGCTGGTGCAGAGAGTTGGCCACCTGCTCCTCCTACCCACTTTGGAGGCCCCAGAGGCAGATCCTACCCCTGCCAGACCTGAGGTTGTGATGACTACCCCCTAACCCCCCAGAATCAGCAACCCAGGGGTACATAATCACATCCTCACTCGGCATGCTGAGCAAATGTGCCATACTGACCGGGGTATCCCACAAACCTGAGGGCCCCCTGCATCTGTGGGTAATTTGCTCTCCCTCTCTGGAGCCAGGCTGCAGCTAAACTCCATGCTGAGGCTGACCCCCTCTCCCCACTGCTCCTGGTCCTCTGGCCACCCCCTGAATTGACAGCTAACCCTGCTGACAGAGCTGATGGGAGGCCTTGCCTACCCTACTAGGCCCCAGAAGTCTGCTGGGACCATGGCCTGAATCTATGTACTGCTCAACCCATGATCAGCCAATGTGGCATTTATGGCCCAGGAAGATGGGGTCATTGTGCTGGGGAGTGGGCTCTTTTGGTGACCATCCCTCCCATCCCATCAAATGACAATGGCAATTACACAATAACAGCACCTCCTGAGAGTCCAGCATTTTATGACTCCTAACCAGATCTCATTAAAGACTCAATGCTTCTAGGAAAAAGGACCAGCTCTGATTCATTTCTGTGTCCCTAGCATCCAACCAAGGGTGCACAGCAGGAAGGCCCCCAAAAGATGGTGATAAACTCAAACTGCAGCATTGGGAGGTGGCATTGTCAGGCCTGGGGCCACCCAGTGAGGGCTGTAGGACAGACTGAATGCAGGTGTTAGATTTTACAGCTGTGCAATGGTGTACCCATAAATTACAGTTGCTAAGACTTTCGCCCAGGGAAATCAAGAACCAGCTTCAAGGTCCATAGCAAGACCTGGCTAGGAACAAATCTGGAGCCCAAAGGGTGCTGCTGCTTTGCTGGGCTGCTTCCTTGGGAGGCGACAGCCCTAAGGCTGGGGTTTGGGGAGTGGTCCTTACCTGCCTTTGAAGAATGCCATGTAGAAGGGAGAAGAATAGAAATTGACAAACTGAAAATGAAAGTGAAGGCATTTTCATGGAGGCATCTCTGGACAAAGGGCAGAGCTGGTCAGAATTCTATTGGGCGCAAGGGGGCAGGCATAGCCCATCAGGTCAGCCCCTATGCTCCTGTCCTTAACCTACCAACCCCTAATGCCAGCCATGTGTCCCTGGCCACTCTCGCTTGAGGGTGACTGGAGACACCAGACTCCCAGTTCCCAGATGACACAAAGATAGCCTTGCAACACATTACCTGGTTTTAGAGGAAGAACAGGCCAGGCACGGTGGCTCACACCTGTAATCCCAGCACTTTGGGAGGCTGAGATGGGTGGATCACTTGAGGTCAGGAGTTTGAGACCAGCCTGACCAACATGGTGAAACCCCATTTCTACTAAAAATACAAAAATTAGGCGGGTGTGGTGGGCCATTACCGGGAGCCCATCCATTGGTGGGATGAAAAAAACCTGAAGATGCCCACATTAGGCCTGGAGCCTGGAACAGTGCTCTCACCCTCCATTGCCCCAAAGGACATTCGCTTGGGTCATGAGCACAGAGTTGCCAGTGTGGAACATTGCAATGCTGATGATGCCATGGTAAATTATGACAGATACCAGGAAAATCATCACCACACAGAGCTGGGGGCCAGGAGAGAGGGCTGTCAGAGCTGGAGAGTGGACTGCCAGGGTTCCAGTGCACCCACCCTGGAGGAGCCAGTCCTTCCAGAGCAAAGGCCCAGTGTCCCCTCACCACAGTGAGGATGGCTGCAGAGCTGGTGAGTAGGTGGGAAAGGCAGCTGTGCGGTTGGAAGTAGGGCTCCTTCAAGCCTGTCACTGGGTTCTGGGTCATCTGCAGGGCCAGGGCAGCAAACTGTAGATGTGGGCACTCCTATCACAGGGGGCAACAGAAATGTGCATCCTAGGGCCAAGAGGCTGGTGCCATGATCCTAGGCTAGGGGAAGCCCCCCACCTTTTCCTGACTGCAGAGGGAGCTCTGGAAGTGCAGCAATGGGTTCTAATTCATTTTTGGTTTTGCAGGACCTTTTTCCCCAGGGCATGGTTAAAAGCATGTGGATGGATGGCTAGATGGATGGTGGGTAGACGGAGAAGTAAACAGCAAATGAGTGGACATGTGGAAAAGGGATAGATAGACAGATGAGTGAGCAGGCAGTAGGCCGACAAATGGGCAGGTAAACTAGGCAAGCAATCAGTAAATTTCTATAGTTTATTCACAAGTAAGTGAGTAGACAGGCAGGTGGGTGGAGGGATGGATGGATGGCCAGGTGGGTGAGCAGATAAAAGTCTAGTGGGATGGTTGATGGACATGAGGATGGATGGATGGATGGATGGATGGATGATGGTTAGGTGAGTGAGCAGATGAAAGTCTGGTTGGATGGTTGATGGACATGAGGATGGATGGATAGATGGATGGATGGATGAATGGGGGGATGGATGGATGAATGGAGGATAGACAGATAGCTAGGTGGGTGAGCGATGAAAGTCTGGTTGGATGGTTGAGGATTGATGAATGGATGGATGAATGGAGGATGGCTGGATGATTAGGTGGGTGAGCAGATGAAAGTTTGGTGGGATGGCTGATGGACATGAGGATGGATGGATGGATGGTTAGGTGGATGAGCAGATGAAAGTCTGTTTGAATGGTTGATGAACATGGGGATATTTGGATGAATGGATGAGTGGGATGGGTGCATGGATGGATAAATGGATAAATTTATTAGTTTAGTCAATAGCTATTAACCATGTACCACTCTGCAATAGATACTGAATATGCCATAGTGAACAAACTGGAGAAGATCCATGCCCTAATGAAGTTTACAAACTAGTTTGTGAGACAGGTTAAATGAATGAACAGAGACATATATATATGTCCTATGAAGGAAAACTTTTTCATGGATGGTCTGAAGAAATGACACTTTAGCTATGACCCAAAAGGTGAAAAGGTGCTAAAGGGACAGTGGAGAGAAGCTTTCTGGGGAGGGAACAGTGGGTGCAAAGGCAGGGCCACTCTTTTTTTTTTTCTTTTTCTTTTTTTTTTTTTTTTTTGAGACAGTTTCACTCTGTCCCCCAGGCTGGAGTGCAGTGGCACGATCTTGGCACATTACAACCTCCTCCTCCCAGATTCAAACAATTCTCGTGCCTCAGCCTCTCGAGTAGCTGGGATTACAGGTGTGCACTACCACACCCAGATAATTTTTGTATTTTTAGTAGACATGGGGTTTCCCTATGTTGGCCAAGCTGGTCTTGAACTCCTGACCTCAAATGATCCACCCTCCTCAGCCTCTCAAAGTTCTGGAATTACAGGCATGAGCCACTGTGCCTGGCACTAAGTTTTGTATTTTTAGTAGAGATGGGGTTTTGCCATGTTGGCCAGGGTGGTCTCGAACTCCTGCCCTCAAGTGATCTGCCTGCCTCAGCCTCCCAAAGTGCTGGGATTACAGGAATAAACTACTGTGCCCAGCCCGCTCTTTTTAAATTAAATTAAATTAATTATTTTTTTTGAGACAGAGTCTCACTCTGTTGCCCAGGCTGGAGTGCAATGGCACGATCTCGGCTCACTGCAATCTCCGCCTCCTGGGTTTAAGCGATTCTCATGTCTCAGCCTCCCAAGTAGCTAGGATTACAGGCACATGCCACAATGCTGGGCTTATTTATTTATTTATTTATTTATTTATTTATTTATTTATTTTGAGACGGAGCCTCGCTCTGTCACCAGGCTGGGCTCACTGCAACCTTCGCCTCCCGGGTTCAAGCAATTCTCCTGCCTGAGTCTCTCGAGTAGCTGGGACCAGAGGCGCGTGCCACCACGCCCAGCTAATTTTTGTATTTTTAGTTGAGACGGGGTTTCAGCACATTAGCCAGATGGTCTCAATCTCTTGACCTTGTGATCCACCCACCTTGGCCTCCCAAAGTGCTAGGATTACAGATGTGAACCACCGCGCCCAGCCGGGGCTAATTTTTGTATTTTTAGTCGAGATGGAGTTTTGCCATGTTGGTCAGGCTGGTCTTAAACTCTTGGCCTCAAGTGATCCGCTTGCTTCAGCCTCTCAAAGTGCTGGGATTATAGGCATCAGCCACCGTGCATGGCCAATTTCAATTTTAATTTAATTCTTAATATATTTTTTAGCGACAAGGTCTTGTTCTGTCACCCAGGCTGGAGTGCAGTGGCACAATCATAGCTCACAGCAGCCCCAAACTCCTGGCCCCAAGTGATTCTCCTGCCTCAGCCTACTGAGTAGCTGGGACTACAGATACATGCCACTGCACCCAGCTAATTTTTTATTTTTTAGTAGAGAGAAAGTCTCACTATGTTGCTGAGGCTGATCTTGAATTCCTGGGCTCAAGTGATCCTCCTGCCTCAGCCACCCAAAGGGCTGGGATTACAGGTGTGAGCCACTGTGCCCGGGCCAGGGCCACTCTTTAAAGTTACCTGAGTTATGTACTGCACTATCCAAAGGGTACCACTGACATTTACTTCGTTGCCTCAGTGTTCCCTTTCTGCTTTTTCAGTCCCCCAGCACCTGTTTAACCAATACCTTATATATTAAATTATCTCTGTTAAAATATCTTGTTTGGTTTTCTATCTTCCTATAACCCTGTTGAATGGATAAAGTGATGGATGGCTGGACAAATGGGTAGGCAGAAGATAGATTATTCACAGATTCACTCAACAAACATTTATGGAGCATCTTCTATGTGCTAGAGACTATTCTGGGCACTGGGGTACAGCAGCCAACATCACACATAAGGTCTCTGCTCTCATGGAGCTCACACGCCAGTGGGAGAAGACAGATAATAAACAAACAAACCATAAAATACAGTGATGAATGCTGCAATTAAATTAAAACAGTGACAGGGCACCTCTCTGGATTAGTGATCAGGGAAGACCTCTCTAGGAAGGAGATATTTGAGACTTGAATGACAAGGAGTAGGCCACATAAGATCTGAAGGGGCTGGGCGTGGTCGCTCATGTCTGTCTGTAATCCCAGCACTTTGGGAGGCCAAGGCAGGCAGATCACCTGAGGTCAGGAGTTCGAGACCAGCCTGGCCAACATGGTGAAACCCCATCTCTACTAAAAATATAAAAAATTAGCTGGGTGTGGTGGCACACACCTGTCATCCCAGCTACTTGGGAGGCTGAGGCAGGAGAATAATTTGAACCTGGGAGGTAGAGGCTGCAGTCAACTGAGATTGCACTACTGCACTCCAGCCTGGGCAACAGGGCGAGACTCCATCTCAAAAAAAAAAAAAAAAGTTGAAGGAAGAGGATTCTGGCAGAGCATAGCCAATATAGCCAATGCCAAGGCTCCAGGATGGAAATGAACTTGACCTATTCAAGGATCTGGTGGAGCCAGTTGGGCAGAACTAGACACAGGCCAGATGGCACAGGGCCTTGCAGGCCACTGTGAGGGGTCTGGATAGTTTCCCAGGTACGTCTCAAATGAGACTGCCCTGGAAGGCTTTGAGGAAGGTAACACAGATGTCACTGTCCTGGCAGCTGAGAATGAATTAAGTGGGGCAAGGAGATCTGTTGCGAGGTCACTGCAGTGGTCCAGGAAAGAGGAAATGGTGACTTGGACTGGAGTGGGGAGAGCTGGGGTGTGGCAGAGGAGGTAGGGAGAAGCGAACAGACTTAGGATCAATGATAAGATGTTTGGATAGACAGGTAGGTAGCTGGATGGGTGGGTGGGTAGGTGGAATGTTTTCTCCTTCTCTGTTCTTGGGAGGGTCTCTTTCCAAGGCCCGGCTTATTATATAAATACTCTCAGTGTTTCACCTCGCCAAGCCTGTATCATCCTGATGTCAGGGGAGGGTGGAAAGTGACCCAGGAAAAGTGTGAGGAGAAGCCAGATTTGGATCCCAGGATGTTGGACTCCAAAGTCTGACCTCTTCCCAGCACACTTTAAGGCCTCTGAGAACTCTGGGAAGTGGGGTTGTGGCCTGGAGGGCTGAACTGGGCATCACCTCCTGGTCCTGGAAGTCGCTGCAGTCCCAGTGGTGGAGGGCTGAACTGGGCATCACCTCCTGGTCCTGGAAGTCGCTGCAGTCCCAGTGGTGGGGGGCTGAACTGGGCATTGCCTCCTGGTCCTGGAAGTCACTGCAGTCCCAGTGGTGGGCCAAGGTGGCACTCCCTGCTTCCAGTGCTCCAGGAAGGCCATGGCCCCAGAAGGACATGAAGATGCTGAAGAACACGGTTCCTGGGTGGTCAAAGAGGCAGCTCAGCTGTGAGGAGGGGAGAGAGGGCACAAGGTAGGGCCAGCATCCAGGCCCAGGTTGGGTCCAAAATACCTACCTGGTTTTTTTGCCCCTTTCCTTGGCTCACCTTGGCCATGGGGCAGATCCCAGAAATATTCCACGTGGCACAGGTATCACAGAGTGGCACCCCCACTGGCACAGATCTCCTGTCTGTGAGCAGAGGGTGCCTATCCTGGGAGGGCCTATCCTCAACCAGGCAGACAACCTAGCCCACCCAGCCCATCCCCCAACCCTTCCACAGCCACCCACACTAGTGTGTTGGTCCCCACGGTGACAAGGCTAGAGATAAAGAGCAGGGTGCCCACCAGGGTCACAGGCAGCAGACAGGCCATGTAGAAACCTGAAGGGTGAGAGAAAGCTCATGAACCCCCATCTCTGCACTCAAGCCCCACTCCCAGTCCCCACCCCAGCGCCAGACTCATCTAGCCAGGCAAAGTGGATGACCACCTTCACCCCAAAGTACTCTCATACTTTGTCCAAAGGCTGGTCCAGGGGCTGGTACTTGTGCCAGTATCCCCAGCAAGCCCAGTATGGGTACAGCAATTGGCAAGAGTTGAGATCTGAACCGGGTACCTGGTACCCAGGCAGTTCAAAGAGGCCCTAGGAGGACAAAAGGAGGGAGAGCTGCAGGGAGGTTTGAGAGTGCTCTCCGGATGCCCCAGCCACTGCTGCTATGCTGTCAGGCCTGGGAGAGATCTGAGCTTGGGACATCTCTTCCTCACGCAGTGGGAAGGCCGCAGTGTAGACTCCCTCTACCAGCAGGTGGGCGATGCCCATCTCTGTATGTTTCTTCTTCCTGGAGATTGTGCGGTCCAGGATTTCTGCCACTTGCCAGAGGAGTCCTCGTGTCAACTGCCCGCTTAAGGTCCCAGCTGGACTCACCCCAAGCAGCCATCTCACCACTCAGTGCATCCACATGTAAGAGAAGTAGGAGCCATGGGAATCTCTGCCCAGGAATCTGTGAGAGGAACAGGGGTCAGAAGCCCAGCCCTCTGCCCGATCTGAAACCTAATACCAGTCCAGAGCCTCTCCGTTGGAGACAGGCAGGTGAGACATGCCAGCTGCCACTGCCAGAGAGCCCTTCTGGCCACAGAGCGCAGCCTGGGCTGGGTGTGCTCCAGTCAGGTGTGCATCAGAGCGGATTGAACAGGTGGGAATCAGAGATGGTGGGCAGGGCTGGGGCCCCAGTTTGCGGAAAGGACAGGGTCAGAGACCTAAAGCGAGTGAGGCGGGAATTGCCTCTGAGGCACGCCGAGGAAGGGCAAATCAGCCTTGGCTGGGCTAAGGCTTCTGCTGGCTCCAGCCCCTCCGCGGACAGACCCTGCCCACCCAAGGGGCCGCCTGGTCTCACTTGTCCGGCTCCGAGCTGCGGAAGGCGCACGAATCCTACGGCCGGCTGGGCACCTACTGCTGCAGAGGGTTGCGCAGGCGCAGGCGTCGCCGTGGCTCCGCCGAGCCCTCAGAGTCGGGGTTGGGCCGGGCCTGGGGTCAAGGGCAGGGTTACGGCCCCCTAGGGAGACTCCGCCCCTGGCGGACCCCGCCCCACCCCTCCACATGAGACGGCGCGCGCAGGCTCAGTTCCTCGGCGTAGCACAGCGGCTCCCAGGCGCGCTCAGCTCGGCGAAGGGTGCGGCGCTATGCCGGGGTACTCTCCTGGGCTGCTCTCCCAGGAGGAGAGGGAAGGACCCCTAAGCCCCTCCCCTCACGATCTCGGCCGGGAGGTGACAGATCCCTTTTTTTGTTGTTGTTTTGTTTTTTTGAGACAACATCTCGCTGTTGCTGGAGTGCAGTGGCGCGATCTTGGCTCACCACAACTTCCGCCTCCCGGATTCAAGCGATTTTCCTGCCTCAGCCTCCCGAGTAGCTGGGACTACAGGCGTGCGCCACCACGCCCCGCTAATTTTTGTATTTTTAGTAGAGACAGGGTTTCACCATATTGGCCAGGCTGGTCTCGAACTCCTGGGCTCAGGTGATTCGTCCGCCTCGGCCTCCCAAAGTGCTGGGATTACAGGCGTGAGCCACCGCGCCCGGCCAGATCCCATTTTTCGCGTCGGTCCTTTCCGCCTTCAAAAGCGCTTTGACATGCCTTTCCTCGTTTAAATTTCAAATGAGGAAAACGAACACCTTCGTTTTTCAAACGCGGAGACAGACGCCGGGTGGGCCGCGTCGTATAGCGACTGATCTTGCTCCTTTCTTGGGCACCTCCAATGTGCCAGGTCCTGGGCTGAGCGCTTTACACCCTGCGTCCGTGTAATCGTCACAGCCCCTGCCTGGGGCTGACACTACGGCCAAATCCATTTGACAGATGAGCTGCTGAAGGCTCTTGTGCGGGTCTCAGAGCTGGCTAGGGGCGTCTGCGCTCGGCCTCGGGTCTCGCAGCCCGCCGGCTCCGTGCTCACCTCCTCCAGGTTCCGCTGAAAATTCTCGCGCCAGCGCCGCTGCCGGAGTCGCCTCTCTCCCGCCGCCGCGGGGGTCGCAGCTTCTCCTCCCAGGCGAGCACGAAGTCTAACCCATCGCGGGGTCAGGGGGACAGTTAGGAGCGGTCTGACCCCGCTCTGTCCCACTTTTATCTGGGTGGAAAAGGGGATCTGAGTCCATCAGTCCCACTAAGGCCAAAATTAAAGGAAATTTGAGTTGTAGCAAAAGGTATTAGGGTTAGTTCGAGGAAGGAACTGCCCATTGCAAGAAAATGACAAGAGACGCTGCGGGATTCCTCGGGGAGGGGAGAGGGGGTTTAAGGGAGAGCCTGTGGCCTGGCCACTCGGGCCTTCTGGGTGAGGTGGGACAAGAGTATGGGTGAGTCTGACCCAAGTCTCACCAATGCAGGTTTTCCCGTCTCAGAAAATGTACCCCTAGAGTCCGGCACATAAATGCCGCCGCAGGGCGCGAGACACAGTCGTCGTCCTGTCGGTGGCGTCATCGCCGTCTTGGTGCAGCAGGCATGGGGTGAAGGTGAGGGGACAGGGCGCAGTTGCAGGTGCCAGAAGCTTCTCAATTGGCCCAGTTGGGCTGCCCCTCCCTCCCCGCACCCCTGACTAAATTTGAAGTGTAACAGTAGAGGCGCTCTCAGCGCGATCTGAGAGGCTTCTTCCTCCCCTCCACCTGCTCTCTGACCAGAACCGCCGCTGCTACTGTAATAACAAGGACGATGATAACAGCCAACATTTACTGGGCTCTTAACTTGGTGCCCGGCACACGCTAAACATTTCACATGCATTTACTTCTCACAACTCAAAGAAGTGGGTGCTGCTATCTCCATTTTACAGATGTGTCAGCTAAGCATAAGATAATTACAAAGAACATCCAAGGTCACACAGTTCCCCTTCAACCTCCTTCCCGACCACCTGTAACTAGGCCTCAGTCCCACCCTTGCCTCTCAGGATCCACCCCTTCTTTGTAGAATATAGCTGAACACCAGCTCCCCTGCTTCTCCCCACCCACCAGAGGCGGAAGGGCCTACAACCCGCTCCTCCAGCCCATTTTTTGTTGTTTGTTTTGTTTTGTTTTTGAGATAGAGTCTCACTCTGTTGCCCAGGCTGGAGTGCAGTAGTGTAATCTTGGCTCACTGCAACCTCCGCCTCCTGGGTTTAAGCGATTCTCGTGCCTCAGCCTCCTGAGTAGCTGGGATTACAGGCGCTTGCCACCACACCCAGCTAATTTTTGTATTTTTAGTAGAGACGGGGTTTCACCATGTTTGCCAGGCTGGTCTCGAACTCCTGACCTCAGGTGATCTGCCCACCTTGGCCTCCTAAAGTGCTGGGATTACAGGCATGAGCCACTGCACCCAGTGGAGCCCAGGAATTTGAGACCAGCTTGGTCTCTCAAAAAGTTTTAAAATTAGCTGGGTATGGTGGGAGCTACTTCCGGGGCTGGGGAGAAACGGGGAGGATCACTTGAGCCCAGGAGTTCGAGGCTACAGTGAATGATGATTGTGCCACTGCACTCCAGCCTGGGCGACAGAGCAAGACCCTGTCTCTAAAAAAATAAGAAGGGCATCAGCAAGAGGGCAACAGCAGAGCATTAAACCAGGTGTGGGGCTCCTTGGAGTTTGAGACCCTGTGTGACTGGACGGGTCACAGTCCCATGCCATCAGCCTGAACACGTGCATGTAAGAACACACTCTCCTCTCACTCACTCTCCACAGGGCTGCCCAGAGACCTCCCAGGAGGCACAGGCGTCGACTATTCAAAGCATTGTGGCTTCCAGTTCTGCACTGTGGTGATGGAGGTCCCGGGGGTGGCCTACTAAATACTAAAGTGGCACCGGTGCTGCGCTGGGAGGAGCTGAGAAGGCAGCCCTGGATGGCTGGTGGAGGGGCTCTAAGCCCCAGCCCTGTTGCCCTCCCCACTTTGTCCTCACCCAGGGAGACACCTCTTGTTTGGGGTAAAGGTGGATGAAGGATCAATTCTATGACCAGAGCAGTGCCAGCCAGGAGAAGACTGCCCTGCCTCGCCGTGGGGGGGTCAGGTTATGCTCCAGAGCAGCTTTCTGGCTTTTGGCTGAGCTGGTGCCCAAGAGGGACAGGAAGCCTCCTTTCTGGGGGGTGGGGGTTTATGCCCAGAGATGACCGGCTGGGATGTGGGGTAGCTGGTGCCCAAACACAAACGCCTGTAGCTGGAGGCCCACAGTCAGGCCTGGGGCTGCCTTCAGGGCCCTTCCCCCAACTCCATTGCTGTCCACGTGAGCCAAGGTCTCCTGGAGTTAAGGACAGAGGGGGACGTGGACAGGCCCACCTGGAAGCAGGGCTGAGGGCTGCAGGAGTGGGAGCCGGCCTGCAGGCTCTGAGGTGGGGGTCCCGCCCAGGGACATTCCTTCTTGGGGTGTGGGATAAGTGCAGGGCCTGAGCTCTAAGCCTTAGTCAGGGGTGAGAAGGTGCTGGAATCAATTCTTCCTCTGGCCCAGACCCTGGAAGGGTTGACAAATGTAGGTGGCAGTACCCAGGGTGAATAGGCTGGCAGTGTGCATGGGCATGTGAGCAGTGTGCTTGGGCGCGGGCATCAGGACAGGTGAGTCTGGGCCTCCTGTGTGCCAGCCGGCAGGAGTGGAAAGTGCTTTCGTCCTAGCACAGGTGTGTGAGCACAGGTCATACTGTGTGAGTGGGGCCTGGTTACAGCTGCAGAGTTCTGAGAGTCAGCTGGCTTTGGGGACACTCTGCTTTGAGCCAGACGCACGCCAGGCCTCAGCCCAGGGGTTCATCTATGGGGCCCAGCAGGGGCTCATTGGAGGGGATCGTATAAAGGTCCCTTTCCCTGGGGACTTCCCCTCATCCTCCTTAGCCTACTTCCACCAGTCTCTGGCTTATGGGGCAGGGCCAAGACACAAGGCTGGGCCTACTCACTCCTCTCCCAGCTCCTGTCCTCAATGGCCTCCCACGGGGCAGAGCTGCCTCTCAGGCCAGCTCACGCCCTGACCCCCACTGGGATGGTCGTTGGCCCTGCATGGTGCTGCTTTCGGGTGCCCCTGGGCTGCCAAGACTCCTATCCTAAGCCTGGCCTGACAACTCCATGATCAAGAAAGGCATTGCAGGCCGGGCGCAGTGGCTCGTGCCTGTAATCCCAGCATTTTCGGAGGCTGTGGCGAGCGGATTATTTGAGGTCAGGCGTTCGAGACCAGCCTGGCCAACATAGTGAGACCCCCATCTCTACTAACAATACAAAAATTAGCCAGGCATGGTGGTTGGCATCTGTAATCCCAGCTACTTGGGAGGCTGTGGCAGGAGAATCGCTTGAACCCAGGAGGTGTAGGTTGCAGTGAGCTGAGAGTGCACCACTGTACTCCAACCTGTGCCACAGAGCAAGACTCTGGAAAAAAAAAAAAAAAAAAAAAAAAGGGCCCTGCAGCGCGACGGGCTTAACTCCTGGACTCACAGGTGGACTCCATGTCCCAGCCTCCCCCACAGCGCCACATGACCACATGACTGCTGGGTGCTGGCCTCTGGAATGTGGGCAGAATGAGGTGCCACCCTGGGCCTGGTCCACAGAAAGCGGGGGGACACCTCCTGCCTGCACTCACTCCCTGGCTGCTGACTGGGTGCTGACACCCTAGGGCAACTGGGCAGGGTAGGGTCTCTGGGGCTGGGTCTCTGCAGGAGCGCCTGGAGCAGAGCCCCACGCCCACTGTCACCTCCTCCCGAGCTGAGGCCTACGTGAGAACGAACACGTCTCTGGAGTTCAGCACTGGGATTTCGGGGTTTATCTGTTACAACAGATGGTGTCACCTCAACCAATACAGGTTCTTGATTGAAGTAACTTGAGAGGCACCCCCTCTCCCAGTCATCCTCCATCGGTGCTGCCAAAGGGGGAAAGGCCACGGGAGATGTTCGAGCTCAGGGCCTTGGTCCCCACCTCCCTGCCATGAATTCTGCAAGGAAAGCGCTGCTCGCGGGTGGGCCTTCTCTGGCCACATCCTCCCTGATCAGGCCATGCTGGCCAGTCCTCCAGATAGGATCCATGTTCCTGCCCCAGCCTCCAGCCCTATGTCGAGACCTGAGGGTTGGGGGTGGGATCACAGGCAACCACTCGTGACTCATTCAGGAGCACTCTCTGGGGGGTTGGGAAGCAGGCCAGCCGCCACCTGGTCCTGGTGCCACAGCTGCTCAGCAAGGCCATTGAGTATGTGGGCAACGTCGGCCAGCCCAGCCCGCCCGTCCAGTGTGCGCCCATCAGCCAGCCGCCGCCCCGGCACACTCTTCACCCGTAGCAGGGGCAGCTCCCAGGCCTGCCGGAAGGCTGTGAGGTCCCGCTCGGGCACGTCCGTGTGCATGTACTGGTCAAATCTGGAGGAGGGTCAAGGAGCCTAACTGGGTGCCTCTGCACAGCCCCCCATCAGACCCTGCCTCTCCCTCCTCCCTGGAGCCCACACCCAGGAGCTGGGGTAGCCATGCTGTACCCTTTAAGTAAAAGCCCAGGTGCTGAATTCCATGCCTGGGCAGAGGCTGGGCCCCTGACCCCCTGGCTCCGTGACTTGCCAAGGATATCCAAAGGATACTTGGAGCCGATGACCATCCTGACGACACCAGGGGCCTCACCTGCTATGCGGGCCAGCTGTCCAGGGAGGTCTTCAAAGGAGGCACGGTCAGTGAAGGAGAAGAGGAAGAGGAAGGCATCTGTGTTCTCCATGCAAGCCTGGTGATGGAGAGGCATATAACCATGTCACCCCCCATCAGCTGCAGGGCCCTCAGAAGAATCAGGAATAATCCCTCCTTTCACAGATTGGGAAACTGAGGCCCAGAGCAAGGAGCGGCTGGTCCTAGGACAAGCATGGGCTGGGACTGTCTCCAGTGCCAGCTCAGGTCTCTGAGCAGTGCCTTGAGCTCATTAATACCCAATCGGCCCCTGGCAGAACCCACCCAGGCCCACATGCCTGCTCACCAGCAGCATATGATCGAACTTTTTGAGTGCAGACTCTCCACAGTCCCAGAACTCAAAACGAAACATGACGACACGGCTGCTGGCCTGCAGCTTGGCTGGCCAAAATACCACGGTGGTCTGGATGCCTGAGGGGGAGCCAGGGTCAGCCACTCACCATGGGAGAGGTGGAGATGGGAGGAATAGGGGACCAGGAAGGAATAGGAAGAAGAGATACATCCCTGCCCTGATGGGTCCCTAGTTTGATGAGGGAGGCACAGTCCTTGACCCGGGATAATTCTCAGTCTGATGGGAGAAACAGAAACTGGCCCTGGAGGAGACTCTGGTACACCAGGAAGATGCAGCCCTAGCTATGGCAAAGCAAGTTTCGTTTGTATGTCCAGGGAGACCCAAAGGGCCCAGGACGCTGGGAGATGTTTCAACATGGTGGAACAATCAGCATCCAGTGGTGAGAAACAACAAAGCAAGATTAGCATTTCCTGAGCATTTACCTTGAGCGTAGCTTGATGCTAGGCATGTTACCACCACCACCACCTCTAGTGGCAACCACACAACAACCCTGTGGTACTATTATCCCCTTGGGACCAAGGAGCCCATGTAGGCTCAGAGACGTGAAGTGACTTTCCAAGGCTACAGAGTAAGAGGTGGTCCAGGGCCAGGTTCTTGCCTCCACCCCCAAGGAGGGCCTCCCAGGATGGGCAAAGGATAGAGGTCCCACTCACCGGTGGTCTCGTGGTGCACCACAGGCACCTCCAGGCCAGCCAGCTTGGCCACCAGCGCCGTCTTGCCCACACCACTCTTCCCGGACACAAAGATCTTGTAGCTGGCAGTGTCAATGGACACAGGCGGCAGCAGCACTGGCCGCTCAAGCAGCCCTAGGGCAAAGAGAGAGCCAGGCAGGGTCAAGGGGTGCTGTGGTTTGAAGGTGTCCCCCAGAGTTCATGTGTTGGAAACTTAATCGCCAATGCACCAGTGTTAGGAAGTGGGGCCTAACACAAGGTGATCAGCTGCCCTCATAAATGGATTAATGTTGTTATTGAGGGAGTGGGTTTGTTATAAAAGCCAGTTTGGGCGCCTCTTGCTGTCTTGCTGTTGCCCTTCTGCCTTCTGCCACGGGATGACACAGCATGAAGGCCCTTTCCAGATGCTGCTGCCATGTTCTTAGACTTCCCAGCCTCCAGAACCATGAGCCAAATAAGCTTCTGTTCATTATAAATTACACAGAGGAGGCCTGGTGCGGTGGCTTACACCTGTAATCCCAGCACTTTGGGAGGCCAAGGCGGGCAGATCACCTGAGGTCAGGAGTTCGAGACCAGCCTGGCCAACATGGTGAAACTCCATCTCTACAAAAAAAAATACCAAAAATCAGCTGGGTGTGGTGGTGGGTGCCTATAATCCCAGCTTCTTGGGAGGCTGAGGCAGGAGAACTGCTTGAACCTGGGAGGTGGAAGTTGCTAAGCCGAGATCACACCACTGCACTCCAGCCTGGGCGACAGAGCGAGACTTTGTCTCAAAAAATAAATAAATAAATAACTTAGAGTGTGGTATTCTGTTGTAGCAGCATAAAATGGACTAAGACGCGGGTAAATCCTGCACTTGCCCCATCAGATCCTGGGCTGGACAGTCTCACTTATTTATTTTTACTTTTTTTCTTTACCTTCTATTTTTAATACGGATGGGGTCTCACTATGTTGCTCAGGCTGGTCTTGAGCTCCTGGGCTCAAGCAATCCTCCCACCTTGGCCTCCGAAAGTGCTGGGACTACAAGGCATGAGCCACCACATACAGCCAAGGACAACCTCATTTCTAATGGCTTCTTCAGGGCTAACCAACCATCTGTGGTTCTTTTTTGTTTTTTTTTGAGACGGAGTTTCGCTTTTGTTGCCCAGGCTGGAGTGCAATGGTGTGATCTCACTGCAACTTCCGCCTCCCGGGTTCAAGTGATTCTCCTGCCTCAGCCTCCCGAGTAGCTGGGATTATAGGCATGCGCCACCATGCCTGGCTAATTTTGTATTTTTAGAGATGGGGTTTCTCCATGTTGGTCAGGCTGGTCTCGAACTCCCAACCTCAGGTGATCTGCCTGCCTCAGCCTCCCAAAGTGCTGGGATTACAGGCGTGAGCCACCGTGCCCGGCCTCATCTGTGGCTCTTAATACTCAACCTAATTTTACAGAAGTCTGGGATACAAAGAGACTAGCCTAAGCATTATAGTCAGTCTGTTGATATTTATTTACTAGCTGCTCTCAGCGTTTGTTGTGGGGCCTGCATGACAACCACTGAATGATACATTCAGGTGCATAAACCCAGCTGTTAAAAAAAAACCCAAATGTCTGCAGTTAAAGTAAAAACACAAAAATTAAAAGCCATCACTGCCATTCCTCTAAGTTATGGCTGCTTAATCCTATCTGTGGCATAGATAATATGGTCAGTGGATTCTATGATGTTCCCAGAAAATCAGCTCAACCTTCACTCAATTCTCTTCCACTCAACACAACTAAATGCAAAATAAATACAATAACAGCCAACCTTCAGTGAACACCCACTGCATGCCAGAACCTGCTTGGTATGTTACAAACACCCTCCTTATTAATTTCCCCAGTAACTCTATGGGGTAAATACTGTGATTATCCCCATTTTACAGAGGTGGGACTTGAGGCTAGAGTTCACTTATTCCCAGCCATACAGCTAGCAGTGGTGGAGCCTGGGTCACTTGCCTGGGTATGTGTGACCCCAAATACAGTGTTGCCAGCCATCATGGGATTAGAGGGACAGTGGCCATATTAGAGGGTCTTTTTTTTTTTTTTTTTTTTGAGACGGAGTTTCACTCTTGTCACCCAGGATGGAATGCAATGGCTCGATCTAGGGTTGCTGCAACCTCTGCCTTCTGTGTTCAAGCGATTCTCCTGCCTCAGCCTCCCAAGTAGCTGGGATTACAGGTGCCCGCCACCACGTCCGGCTAATTTTTGTATTTTTAGTAAAGATGGGGTTTCGCCATGTTGGCCAGGCTGGTCTTGAACTCCTGACCTCAGGTGATTTGCCCACCTCGGCCTCCCAAAGTGCTGGGATTACAGGCCACTGCGCCCAGCCTTCTAGAGGGTCATTTTTTGAATTTAATATAATTTCTTTTAAAAAAACAAACAAACAGTTGACTTATTCACAAATTTTGGTTCTAGCTATCTCACTCTCTGGTCTTAAGTCTTCTGGCACCTTGCTTCTCCTGGCCAGAGCTGGGCTCCACAGCTGATTCCAGGCACCTCTGCCGGCCTGACAGCTGGGCCCTGCCTGGGTGAGTCAGTTTCACCATGGGGAACACCAGCGTCTCATCCCAGAGACAGCAGGACATGGAAGAGGCTCACCTCTATTTATTGGGGTGTGATCTTAGCCAAGTCTGTACCATGTGCTGTTGAGAGGTTAAATGGGCGTGCACTGTGTAACGTGCCCAACAGAGGGCCTGGCACCAGGGGAGTGCTCAATCAACTGCATCTCTGGTGACAGTGGTTGCTGGCAAGGTTTCTGCTGTTTCCATGTTCCTGGCTCTGACGATGGAATTAGCTCTAAGGAGATTTAGGTGTGGGGGTCCCAGAGCTAGGGCTTTCAGTCCCCCAGGCTGAAGACTGCTGAAGACTGCAGTGGAGCAGGCCCTCACTGCCCTGCCTCTCTGCTCTCCTCAGGGAGCAACAGGTGACACTCTTCTCCCCAGGGAAAGACAAGTGGCGGGCTAGAGGAAAGGGGGAGGCACTTACCAAACACCCGCCGGCGGTTCTTGCGCAGAATGCAAGCCAGGTACTCCTTGCCCTCGGCACTCTCGTGCCAGTTTGGGACAACCACCGAACCGGGCACGGGAGGTCTGGCCATGGCTGGGCACCGCGACGGGGTAGGGAGGTGACAGAATGCTGAGAGCAGGGAGTGGGAAGGGGAGTGACAGTACCAAGCCGGGCCTGTGATCCCTCTTAACTGCCCTCTGACTCTCCCGGGGGGCCCCAGAAAGTGCAGTCCCTCAGCCGCCTCTCTCCTTCGCAATGCTCCCTGGGGATAGTCATCCCATTACTGCCCATGGAGGGTATTCACACAGCCCCTCTCCCCTTGTCACCTCCGGGGGTCAGACAGCCCCGCTTCTCCTCTACCTTCTAGATCCCGACTCCCAGGGCTACCTAGCCCTCCCCGTCAGCAGTCCCGGCGGCGAACCGACCTGGGTGCCGAAGGCCCCTTTAAACGCCCACCCGCACTCCCGCCGCCCCAGCCCGCCGGGCCCACTTCCGCCCCGCCTGCGTCCGCCTTCTGCGCGTGCTGGCAGCTCCGGCGCAGGTGCGCGCGGCGCATGTGCGGAGGTTGTTGCCATGGAGACGCCGGAGGTTGGGTTGGGCGGGTTCCGGGAGGCGTTCGTCCCTCCTACAACGTCCGCAGCCTGCGCCGCGCGGTGGCTCTGGACTAGGCCTTTTCCTCTGGGTTGTGGATCCTCTTCTCTATGACTCCGTCCGATCCCTAGTCTTTCTTCCAAAACATCATGAAACCCCCCCTCCAGGAGCCTTTCATGCTTCTCTGTGTCTCAGTTTCCTCTTCTATAACGTGGACGTAACATGTTATTCCCTCCATAGCAGTGCTCCATATGTTTAGTTATGATTGTTGCTATTATTAATATTATTGCTCTATTAATCCTGCTTGGCAGGACCTCTAGATGACTTAAACATCTCTGGCTTCACTGATGGGGACACACACCAGCTCAGAGAGGTCAAGGGACTTGGCTCAAGTTTTAAAAAATGAGTCAGAGGCCCGCTGGATTGTATTTTTCATTCATTCATTCATTCAACAAATACTGAGCACCTAGCTGGGAATACAGTGGCCAACAAGAAGTCCCTGCTCTCCTGGAGCTGACTTTTCAGCTCTGAAACTCTGAGCTCCTCTCCACCGTTCCAGCACTGGACACCAGGCCTGTTACCCAGAAGGTGGGTGCTCAGTAAATGCCCACTGGTTGGAAAGAGTGCAGGTGGGTCATTACTGAGAGTTTGTCTATTACATTTAATTTTTACCATTATCTTTCCGCAATGCCTTCAAGTAGGGCAAATCACTGTTTTGAAAGGAATAATTTAGGAGTTAAGCTTTACCTAAGGCCACCCAAGTGCCAGACAGTGGGGACTTTACAGGGGTCACCTGATTTAATTCTATAAACAAACCTGTGTAAATAGTATTACCCTCTTGTACTGACGAAGACTCTCAGAAACATAACGTGACTTGTCTGAGGTCACACCGCACAGCTAGTCAGTGTGAAACCGACTCAGAACCCACAGCTGGCTGGGTGTGGTGGCTCACGCCTGTAATCCCAGCACTTTGGGAAGCTGAGGCGGGCAGATTGCTTAAGCTCAGGAGTTTGAGACCAACCTGGGCAACATAGTAAGACCCTGCCTCTACAAAAAAAAAAATACAAAAATTAGCCGGGCACAGTAGTGCACGCCTGTAGTCCCAGCTACTTGGAGGCTGAGATGAGAGGATTGCTTGAGCCCGGGAAATGGAGGTTGCAGTGAGCCGAGATCATGCCACTGCACTTCAGCCTGAGTGACAGAGCTAGGCCCTGTCAAAAAAAAAAAAAAAAAAAAAAAAAGAACCCACACTTACCTGACTCTAAAGTACTTATCTGTTCTGCCAGTTTGGGTTTTGTGTTTTTAAAACTTTGCCCCTAGCCACTAGGAGGGCTGTTCCTAGGGAAGCAGAAAGCAGCCAGAGGACTACGAACTCACAGATTTTTAAGGCCCATTATGTCTAAGAGAGGGGATGAGGATGTGTAAGACAAGGTGCTTTCTCTCAACTTGCTCACGCTGTGGCTAGGCAGAAAAACCAGATGAATAACCATTCCTACAGGATTCTGCAGGTGGAATCCTTTGCCCATACTCCCAGGTCACATGGTTCCCATTCCTGCAGCTGTCACATCTGCCCAGTCAGGGAGATTCACAGCTGTCCAGAGCTCTCTCCATGGGCCAGGAGTCACTCAGTGGCAGGGCTCTGATCTGAATTATTTCTGGATTTCCAGACTTCACATCCACCCATCTTTGGCTCGTGGAGGGCTCAGTGAGCGTGTGAGAAAATGAAGCAACTTGGCAGAATGAACGTGCCTGTTAATCTGCAACCCAGAGAAGATGTAAAGTCCTCTTGGGGCCATGTGCGGTGGCTCACGCCTGTAATCCCAGCACTTTGGGAGGCTGAAGCTGGTGGACCACTTGAGGTCAGGAGTTTGAGACCAGCCTGGGTAACATGGCAAAACCTTATCCCTAAAAATATACAAAAAAATGGCTGGGCGCGGTGGCTCACGCCTGTAATCCCAGCACTTTGGGAGGCTGAGGCGGGCAAATCACCCGAGGTCAGGAGTTCAAGACCAGCCTGGCCAACATGGTGAACCCTGTCTCTACTAAAAATACAAAAATTATCTGGCTGTGATGGCAGGCGCCTGTAATCCCAGCTACTCTGGAGGTTGAGGCAGAAGAATCGCTTGAACCTGGGAGGTGGAGGTTGCAGTGAGCAGAATCATATCACTGCACTCCAGCCTGGGTGACAGAGCTGAATAAATAAAATTATGTATTCAGTGGAAGGCTGATCAAGGACTCAAAAGAATGCAATCTTTTGTCTCCTATCTACTTTTTTTTTTTTTGAGACAGAGTCTCACTCTGTCGCCCAGGCTGGAGTGCAGTGGCACAATCTCGGCTCACTGCAACCTCTGCCTCTGAGGTTCAAGTGATTCCCCTGCCTCAGCCTCCCAGGTAGCTGGGACTATAGGCATGCCCCACCATGTCCGGCTAATTTTTGTTGTTGTTGTATTTTAGTAGAGACGGGGTTTCACCATGTTGGCCAGGATGGTCTGGATCTCCTGACCTCATGATCCGCCCACCTCAGCCTTCCAAAGTGCTGGGATTATAGGCATGAGCCACTGCACCTGGCCTTGTCTCTTATGTATTTCTAACCTGGAAGCCCCTGCTTCAAGCTGTCCTGTCTTACCAGACCAAACCAATGTACATCTTACACATATTGATTGAGGTCTCATGTCTCCCTAAAACTTAAATGCAAACTGTACCCCTGACCACCTTGGGTATATGTCTCAGGATTTCCTGAGGCTGTCACGGGCACATCCTTAACCTTGGCAAAATAAACTTTCTAAATTGACTGTGACCTGTCTCAGATATTTGGGGTTCACACATCCAACCCCGACATTCTGTGTCAGGGGCTGGGTAGGTCTGTGAGCCTGCAGATTTGACAAAAGCACTAGGCAGTTCTGAAGTTGGGGTCTATATGAGTCAGCCCAGGCTGCTGTAACAAAAATACCACAGTCTGGGTACTCTAAACAACAGAAATTTATTTTCTCATAGTTCTAGAGGCTGGAAGTCCAAGATCAAGGTGCCAGCAGAGTTGGTTTCTGGGTGGGGCCTCTCTTCCTGGCTTACAGATGGCCTCTTCTCTGTGCTTATACATGTCTGGTGTCTCTTCCTCTGTTACAAATAGGACATTAGTCCTACTGGATTAGGGCTCCATGCTTATGGTCTCATTTAACCTTGATTACCTTTTTCTTTTATTTTTTGAGACAGGGCCTCACTCTGTCACCCAGGCTAGAGGGCAGTGGTGTGATCTCAGCTCACTGCAGCCACGACCTCCTCAGGCTCAAGCAATCCTCCTGCCTCAGCCCCGAGGGGAGCTAGGACTACAGGTGCATATCAGCACGCCTGGCTAATTTTTTTTTTTTTTGTATTTTTGTTTGTTTGTTTGAGACAAAGTCTCGCTCTTGTGCCCCAGGCTGGAGTGCAATGGCGCGATCTTTGCTCACTGCAACCTCCATCTCCCAGGTTCAAGTGATTCTCCTGCCTCAGCCTCCCAAGTAGCTGGGATTACAGGCGCCTGCCACCACACCCAGCTAATTTTTGTATTTTTAGTAGAGACGGGGTTCTACCATGTTGGCCAGGCTGGTCTTGAACTCCTGACCTCGGGTGATCCGCCCGCCTTGGCCTCCCAAAGTGCTGGGATTACAGGCATTAGCCACCATGCCCGGACTTTTTCTTTTGTATTTTTTTAGAGGTACGGTTTTGCCTTGTTGCCCAGGCTTGTCTCAAACTCCTGGCCTCAAGTGATCTGCCTGCCTTGGCCTCTGAAAGTGCTGGGATTACAGTCATCAGTCACCATGCTCACCCTTCATTACCTTTTTTTTTTTTTTTTTTTTTAGTCTAGATGAATTTATTGCCATTCACATATTTCATAGAAAAAAAGATGTAGCAAATGGGTCAGGGTTGTACCAAAAAAATCCAGGTTTATAAGGTTGCTCTATTTACATCTGAGAGCAGGGCTGTCCTGGCATCAGGCACAGCAGCTGCAGTTGTCCGACGTCCCTTTGCAGATGCAGCCCTGGGCACACTTGGCACAGCCCACAGGGCAGCAGGAGCAGCAGCTCTTCTTGCAGGAGGTGCATGTGCACTCTTTTCATTTGCAGGAGCCGGCACAGGCGCAGGAACCATCAGGCGAGCAGGAGCAGTTGGGGTCCATTTAGAGGCAGGGAGAAGCAGGAGTTCCTGATCAAGAGGCAAACACTCAGCGGGACAGATGAAAAGCGTGCCTTAATTACCTCTTTAAAGGACCTATTTCCAAATATGGTCACATTGGGGGCTAGGGCTTCAATGTATGGATTTGGGTGGAGCAGGGCATAATTCAGTCCATAACAGGGTCCACAGACCTCATGTAAACACTGCTGCTGGGCAAAGGAGGCCAGCTGACTGTTGGGACCTGAAAGTGACATGGTTAGAACTGCGTTTCAGAAGGACGCTTGTGGACCGTGTTGGTCTATGAGTTCTGCTCTCCTGTGCCCCTCTGACCACTAAACTATGTGTCCCCCTAAGCCAGCTGCTTCTCCTTTCAGGGCCTCAAGCAAAACATGTAGAACATCTCCCTAAGGACTCTTCTAGTCTAGAGCCCTCTGATTTTTTTTTTTTTTTTTTTTGAGACAGAGCCTTGCTCTGTCGCCAGGCTGGAGTGCAGTGGCATGATCTTGGCTCACCGCAACTTCCACCTCCCAGGTTCAAGCAGGTCTCCTGCCTCAGCCTCCCAAGTAGCTGGGACTACAGGCGCATGCCACCACGCCTAGCTAATTTTTGTATTTTTAGTAGAGACAAGGTTTCACCATGTTGGCCAGGACGGTCTCAATCTCCTGACCTCGTGATCTGCCCGCCTCGGCCTCCCAAAGTGCTGGGATTACAGGCATGAGCCACTGTGCCCGGCCTAGAGCCCTGTGATTAATCCACTCATTTCTTCTTGGTTTGGTCTCCCCACAAATATTTATTAAAAACCTCTTGGACAAGGTCCCCACAAGACCTTGAGAGGACTCCACAAGGCAGGGACACAGTCACCAACTTGACAGAGTGGATGGGAGGCCCAGGTGGGCAGACACACAGGCCGAGCTGGGGTGAGAATGAGGCATGGAGAGCCCTGCCTGAGGATCCTGGGTAGGTGTGGGGCGGGAGGTCAGCTAGGACACCAGGCTTAAAATCCTCTTGGCTCCTAGAATAACACCCACCCCTCCCTCAGCATGGCCTGGCACCAGGAGTGCTCCACTCCCACCTGGAATGCTTGCTCTGCCTCCTAGCAGTCCTTCCACCAGGCTCACTGGCTTTAGGGATTCTCCAAGCTGGAGCCACAGCCAGTTAATCAAGTCAGGTCAAGGGCACCAGCCTCGCCACCAAGCTCAGTGGTCAATTCTCCATCCTCAGATCACCTGACCCTGGGATCATTCCCAGGTGACTGGATGGATGGTGGTGCCCCTAACTGTGGGGGAAGCATGGAGGAAGCGCACAGGGTCAGAGGAGGAGCCCCTGGGGAGTGAGGGAGGGTGGGGGGCTGCCCAGAGAGGACACACTCACAGCAGATGTTGGAATGTAAAGCGCAGGTGAGCGGCCTGAGTGAAGCTGGACATTACTGACGGCGGAGGGACCAAGCCTGAAGCAATGGGTGTAGACAGATGAGAGGTCCGGATGCTGTGGACAGACAGCAGAGCCTTGGATGCCACCTGGGCAATGACAACGACGAGGTCAGACCCAGGAGAGGCAGAAGAACCGGAAACCCCCTCCTCCAGCCCGCCCTGAGGCTCATGTTTGGTGTGCAGGGAGGCTTGCCCAAATCCCAGGGAAGCATGGCTGGGGAGCGATGCTACTCCTTGGACGCCATCTCTTGTGGGCCTTCTGCTGCAGAGAGCACTCTGCTCTGTGCCTCTGCCGTGGCCCCAGCCATGCGGTCCTAAGTGTTGTCTTCCCACTACGGATTCCACTCGGGAGCTCCTTTCCCATTACATCTGAGGGGATGACCTCTGGCCATCAAGTCCACATGGGTCACCCTCCATTGTCCTCAGCCCTGACCACTGGCTGCTGCGGCTTATAGGCTTATCAAGACCCTGCATTACTGACTGCCAGAAGCGAGGCCTAGACCCCACCCATCTGGGATGCCCCAGATAGGTTCTATCCTCATCTGCCCCCCTGCCACAGGTTAGCAGGACGAGGCCAAGTGCCATGATCTGAACGTCCTGCCAGATTCACATGTTGAAGTTTAATCACCACTGTGACAGTATTAACAGGTGGGGCCTTCAGGGAATGACTAAGTCATGAGGGCAGAGCCCTCACGATGGGATTAGTGATGTTATGGAAAGGCGTGAGGGGCCAGTTCATCCCATCCACGGTGTGAAGACACAGCCTTCACGATGGAGCAGCAACAAGGCAATGTCTTGGAAGTGGAGACTGGGCCCTCACCAGACACCAAGCTTGATGGTGCCTTGAGCTTGGACTTCTAAGCCTCCAGAAATGTGGGAAATACATTTCTGTTGCTTATAAATCACTCAGTCTGTGGTATGGTATATAGCAGCACAAGGGAACTAAGACACCAAAGCAAAGAGAAGGCTAACTTCTTGGCTTCTGGCTTCCCGAACAACTGTCCCAGCCCTGGGTGGCTGCACTGGTTGCAGATGGTTCTACTGACTCCATCCTCTTTGGTATCTTTTTAGTATGATACCTGGATTGTCTTTTGACCTTAGAATCTCAGGATTTGTCATTTTTGTTTAGCCCATGTGACACCTCCCTGGTTTGTGATTAGGCTGTAAGCTCCTTCATGGGTGGGCCTCTTTTGTGTCTTGTGTGTGTCCCAGTGCCTCGGGGGTCACAGATGCTCAGGGAATGCTTGCTGAGAGTGAATAGTCTCCCAGTCAGTTCCAGGTGTTCTAGGCCTTGTCAACGGGCCACAGCCCATGTCCTCGGGCAGGAGCATCCTCCCTCTCCCCAGGCTTCTGCTGGAAAGGAGCCCTCCTTCTCTTCCTTGCAGTAGGTGGGCAGACAGGCTCCCTGGTGGGTGCAGAACACACTCTGCTAGGACTTTTTGGCATTTACTTAAGACATGGGCTTGGCTTTGTGCATTCCGACAGGCTCTGGACCCAGAGCCCAGCCCCATGAGAAAGATGGTAATTTTCCCACAGCTGAGGGCTGGGGAAGGAAAGGCAGGTAGGCCAGCTGGAGGATGGTACTTGAAACAAGGCAGGGGCCAGGGACGGGTGCCCCCCAGGCTTAACTGACAGAGGGAGGGGAGAAACAGGCAAGCATTTTCTTACTCCTGCCCATCTGCTTTCTTTCTCAAGACTGCCTCCGACAGATCGCCCAAGCACACTTGAAGCCTTTCACAGGGTGCCCTCAGGTGGCCTTTTGGGGAATCACACCCATCCAATGGATTAAACGATTCTTGGCTGGTTCCAGCTAAGTTGCTAACCTGTGAGGCTGGCTGCCATCATTGCCATTTTACTGATAAAATTGAGGCTCAGTGAGGCAGGATGACTTGCTCCAGCTCAAAGTGACAGTCAGCTCCTGAACCTAGGTCTGCCCTGTCCTACTGCCTCTAAGTCCCTTCTGAGTCCACAGAACTACGTCTCAAAAAATTGAAATGGCATCAAGCGTTTCCTTGGTTCCAATCTTGATCTGATGCATCTCTGTTATTTCCTCCCATGCAGGTGGTCAGACCCTGTTTGAACACTTCCAGCCGTGGGCAAATCATCACCTCACACAGCATCCACTGACATGCTGGCAGTGTTTGTGGGAAGAGAAGTAGTAAAGCCACTGAGACCAGAAGGTGGAACTTAGCTGGGAGTCTCTCCTTGGCCTGGGGGAGGTGAAAAGGCACAGAGCACTAAGACCCAGTCATGTGCGGCAGCACCACGCAGAGGCCAGCCTGCAGGATTTTCACGGGCAAAATTTTGGTGGATGCTTCCTCTCCTGCCTGGACGTGGGGGTGCTCAAAGCCTACCACTTCTAGGAACCTTTCTCAGGCCTCACGGGAGGAGTAATGAAGGCAAAACCTTGGGCTGAGGTGCTGATTCCTGCACTGTCTCCCCTTCCCCAGGCAGATTTTCAATTTACACCCGAATGTGCATAGGCCTCTGGCCCTTTATTTATTTGTTGGGAGATGGAGTCTCGCTTTGTTGCCCAGGCTGGAGTGCAGTGGTGCAATCTTGGCTCAATGCAGCCTCCACCTGGGTTCAAGTGATTCTCCTGCCTCAGCCTCCTGAGTAGCTAGGATTACAGGCGTGCACCACCATGCCTGGCTAATTTTTGTATCTGTAGTAGAGAAGGGGTTTTGCCATGTTGGTCAGGCTGGTCTTGAACTCCTGACCTCAAGGGATCCACCTGCCTTGGGCTCCCAAAGTATTGGGATTACGGGCGTGAGCCACCATGCCCAGCCCACTGACCCTTTAGTATCCAGAAAAGCAAGAACCCTGGCTGGGGAGTGCTGTGCTGGCCCTGCAGTGGAAGGCAGTAGCTGCCAACTTACTATGTGCTGGGCGTTGTGCTGGCGCTTTTCACATACAACTTCAATTAACCCACAGGCTCCTATAAGGTAGAAGCAACTACATTTACAGATGAGGAAGCTTGTATCCAAGGTTAAGTAGTAAGTAGGGAAAAGCAGGATTAAGCCATAGGCCTTCGGAGCTTCGGGACTGCGTTCCAAACCATCATCTGCTGTGCCTCTTCATGCCCCTGGGGCCCTGTGTCTTCATCTTTGCTTAGGGGGCCAGGGAAGATGCAAATGTCGTCCTGGCCCCTGGGCCTCTGCTCCAAGCTCATGACCACTCTTGGATGTCCATTGCAGGCTGGTACTGAGGCTCTGAAACACCAAGCCCTTCAAGCGTGATGGAGGGAGCTGGTTTATTATTAAATGGCATTGTCCCCAAGGAGTGGCAACTCTCCACCTCTCCATGAAAACACAACCTCCTAGAGAAGGTATCTCTTTCCAACTACTGTGCCTTCAATCTCCAACCTCAATTGTTTCCCATCAAGACAATTTTTTTTTTTTTTGTAACAGGGTCTTACTTTGTCGCCCAGGCTGGCATGCAGTGGCACAATCATGGCTCACTGCAGTCTTGACCTCCCTAGCTCAAGTGTGATCTTCCCATTCAGCCTCCTGAGTAGTTGGGACCACAAGCATACACCACCATGCTTGGGTAAATTTTTTTTTTTTTAGAGATGGGGTCTCACTATATTGCCCAGGCTGGTCTCAAACTCCTGGTCTAAGTGATCCTCCTGCCTCAGCCTCCCAAAGTGGTGGGATTACAGACATGAGCCACTGTGATTGACCTCTTTTTTTTTTTTTTGAGACAGTCTAACTCTGTTGCCCAGGCTGGAGTGCAGTGACACAAACTTGGCTCACTGCAACCTCTGCCTCCTGGGTTGGAGCAATTCTCCTGCCTCAGCCTCCCAAGTAGTTGGGATTACAGGTGCCTGCCACCATGCCCGGCTAATTTTTGTATTTTTAGTAGAGACAGGGTTTCACTATGTTGGCCAGGCTGGTATCAAACTCCTGACCTTGTGATCCGCCTGCCTCGGCCTCCCAAAGTGCTGGGATTACAAGCGTGAGCCACTGCGCCCGGCCAGACCTCTTTTCTTTTTCTTTTTTTGCTAATAAAACAGTTAAGACAATTGTCCATTTTATTTGTTAAATTGCTAAAAAGTCATCAGGGGAAAACATTAACAAAAAATGAAATTGACAGATTTAAATATCAATGAAATCCATGTTTCATTCCTACACTGTTATGTGCCCAAAATGACTATCTCAGGGTAAGCCACCTGGCATCCCTGAGTTGTATGGGAAACATCACTCACAGCACCAGCTTCGCCAGGGCACATGGGGTGTGCACTGACATGAACCCTGGTTGGAGGGAGGGGAGCAGAGCAAGTAGAGTGTACAATGGAGCCAACACCTAAAGTTTGCTCTCATTTGACAATGAACACGGTGAGAGGGAGCCACTTACTGGTAACCATGCAGAACATGCCTTCTGCAGTTCATGGAGAGGCTACATGGGACGCAGGCCTGGAAATTCAGCTTCCTCACCACCAGGCGTGGTTAGATCCTCCCCACTGACTTGTGCGCTGGTAAGAGACCATGGATAATGCAAAGTGGAGCATATCACCATGCCAGGATCACCACAAGGACAAGGACAGACAGACAGACCAACCAGGAATACCACTTTTAAGGGGGAAGGAAAGAGTGAAGCAGAAGGAAACCCAGAATGACAAGGTGAAAGAAAGGAAAGGGAAACATCTCTTTGTTCTCCATTGGCTGGTGGCTTTCTGTCCTCCAAAGTCAAGGCTTCTTAAGTTGGTTTTCTTTCTTCCTCCTCCTCCTCCTCTTTTCTTTATTTTAAAGAGTTCCAACACAGTTCCTAGAATAGTTCATGGTTTTCAGCTGTTGCTGTAAAACTCGAACATTAAAATCAAATCAATCCACAGACAGCTGGGAGGAGAGTAAGCCCAGTATGCCCTAAAATGAAATTTAAGCTTGTTTCAACACCAAATTTGTGCTCCCAAAGTGTAGGGTAGGGTGAGGTTGTGGAGTCCACCAACCAAATGAAGGGTGGAAATAGGAATGAAAACACAAAACCCGCTCTGCTGTATAACCTGTGAAATAAGAGAACAGGAAGCTCTGTCCAAGAGGGTAGGGAGAGACTAAAATTCTTAAGTAAGATGGACAAGGTGACCAGTGAAGTCACTAGGCCATGGGAGCTCTCAAAAGGCACACTTGCAGGAATGGAAGGGGTTAAAGCTTCAAGTAGAAACAAAATGAATTTTCAATAAATACGGATAAATATTTGCTTCAGGTGCTCCTGAGGGTTAAAAAAAATTTAGTCTCATTTTTCTCAGTGAATTTTAAGACAAAATTGGTATCATGTGAAAAATGGGGTCATGGTTCAATCTGGCCTGACTGCAGCATCCACGGCATTGTGGAAATGCTCGCCTTGGCCGAGACACGTGAAGTCCCACCGCACAGGTGGCTTCAGGAGGCCTGAGGAGACAATCACCTTCACTGTGTTGAATCACTTTCCCATGGTACACGCCCACAGTGCCCAGGAGCTACCAAGACCAACCATAATGGGGGCAGACAAGGCAGATTTTTCTTAAAAAGCTGTAAGCAAACAGTCTGGTTCCAGGCAGTATGCGTCAAACTGGAATTCAATGGAGTTCAGAGGAACCAGATTACTTTCTAAGACAATCAACATATCTGTTGCCTGCCTACTTGGGGGAAGTGGAAGGAATCAACACGTTAACAGCTGGCTTAGGAAGGCCACAGGACTAAGGGAAAGACTGTAAGGTTGAGATTCTGTACTTTCAGGTTTCTAATATACTTTATATTTAGATAGGAACTACTGAGTTTGGAGGCACAGTCCATGCACAAACACAATGTCCTAACACAAGGTACAGCAATAGCGGTAACACCTGAATTGCTAGCCTTCTGGCCCAGCTTTCCCTTGTAAATAAGGACCCCACATGATCGAACAGTCTTTGCCAAGCAAGGATTGGCAACAGCACCAGAGCCTGAGTCGCGAAAGGGAAGTGTGGAGCTCCAAGCAGTTGGATGCCACATAAGTAGACACATGTTGTTTCCTCATTGAAGGGAACACAAAGAGCAGTTTCTGGAACACATACCCCTCCCCACAAGCTAGGCTTGGCACCAGGGTGGCTTTCCTACGAAGACCACATCATAAAAGCTAATGGCTAAGGGAAAGGATTCAGCATGATGTAACAGGAGAAAACACACTTATCAGTACACTTAGGCTGCCAGATGCTGGCTGAAAGCCAGGACCCAGGGCCAGCTGCAGCAGGCTTTGTGCCTGAGAAACGCTAATAATAAAAAGAGGAGTGTCAGGGTGGCAAGGTGATGTTTTGAAATTAGGATTTAAATTTCAAAACAAAACAAAGGCAAAACAAAAATCCTCTTTCCACTGATGAGAAATCACCAAAAATCCCTATTTAAATGGTGCCATTTGAAATAAACTTATTTTGACATCTCCTATGCCCAGGCCATGGTTGAGACTAGTAACTTTCTGTATCAAGCAAAGAAATGCTCTACTTGGTTACACCTTAATCTCAGAAATGAAGTGAAAGTAAAAACCCAAGCCCTATTTGGGTGACACATGAAGAAGACAAGTGCAAAGGATGGAGCTGTTTCTGAGGTCAGCCATGCGTCAAGAAGTCAAGTACATGATTCTCAACTCCATCACCTGCCAATAGCCAGGAAGAGGAATATATGTCACCACAAGGAAAAAAACATTTCTAAAAAGAACTGTTATTGGAATTCCCTTCCAGAATCAATTTCCACATTCTACAAATATGGGATGAGTGTGCTCAATGTGCTTTGGAAGTAAAAAGAAGCCCATAGGGAAAAAACAGTATCTTTTGATGCTTGCTTCAAAGATTTCTCACAATATTGGCATCTTAGAATTCCCTACTGGCCCCCTAGTGACACCAGGGAAAGGGTTCCACAAGTATTTCTAAGCAGCTTCTGATTTCTGTAGGCACCTGAGCTTTGTAAAAGAAACAGAAAGTCAGACAGGTTTTAGGACTTCACCACATATGAAAAAAAAAAAAGAAAAGAAAAAAGGTAGAAGAAAAAAGCAGCCTGTAAGTGAATGGAAAAGGCAGTTTCCAAGTACCATGTTCTAAGGGAAGAAAGAGGAGAATAAATATGTTTTTTGGCAACTTGCCACCAAATATGATTGATTGTCAGAAATTTCCACAATCAGACACAAAATGTTTTCTGAGACACACAAGAAGCACTCCAAAGACCAATGGACACTACTAGGCGGTCAGATGTTGGCTGCATAAACATTATTTCACAATGACCCGGCACACAAATGTGGAATAAAATCCTTTGTTGGGTAACTTTCCTCAGCCATAAAAGGCAAGAGGGGGCCAGGCACTGGCATTTCTGCAGAGCTGTCACAGGTCCTCTGTGGTTTTAAGAGAAGGGGAAAAACAGTTACTTTTACCCCGACAGCACCTGAAGCATGAGAGTCTAAAACCCTCCACCTTTGCAACTTACATATGCCCTTTCATTTTTTAACTCCAAGAAGGCCACATAAAGATTTACAGGGGGCTCTTCAGTTTCTTTTGGGAAGTTACTGATGTTAGTCTATTCTCTAACTTCTTGGTCTAGTTACCAGCAAGGTAGAAAAAGGCAGCCCAGCCCCTGTTAAAACACAGCAACAACTTTATCTGAACCAGGATGGAAATCTCTCCCTTTTTTTGTCAACAGAGTTGGCTATATAATATATATATATATATTTATATATAATTTTTTTTCTTAATGGAGATTTGATCCCAGCCTGGAGTGACTTCGGTTGGGAATTAAAGAGTTTTGGCTTCTGGGAGTAATTTTGTTTTCCCAATTCTCAGTCCAAATGCTTACACACTGGAAAATTCCAAATTAAAAGCCACAGAAAAGGAAAGGGGTTTAGAACACATTATCTCTTTGCTCGTACAAAGTACAAGGCGTTTGTTTTTGGATAGTACTTCACATTCTGTTTCTTGTCCATGAGTCCTCCAAATATGATGAGTTCACCCCTGCCTTGTACCACGGTATGCAGGCTGGTTTCAGGAGGTCCAACCACAGAACTGCTATTAAATACTTTCCATTTGACCCGCCCCTTCTCCTTGGTGTCTTTAATGTCCAGCACGTACATCTGCATGGGCTTGCAGTTCATACTCTGGTATAGGGGTTTGCCAACATTTAGGGACTGTGGAGGGTGGTGGCCCAGGCGGCGAGCAATGGGAGGTAAGGAATGTCCATCTCCTTGGGCAGGCCCTGGGCGAGGGATGGGCACTGTTTCTCCACTGCTCAAACTCTGGCTCCCAGGAGAGCCTGGAGAAGACCCAAGAGGAGGACTTAGTGCTGCAGAGGCCGAGGGGCCTTTGGAGGACATCGCTTTGATGGCTTCCAGACTCCGACGCAGGGCACCTGGGGAGACGGCCCCTGCAAGGGCACTGGCCACGTGAGGTGGGGTATGCACACCATTTGTCTGTTCAGGAGGGTGTCTCATACTTCCCCCAACTGTCCTATTGTCCATGCCATCCATGGGATTACTACTGGAAGCGGGTTTCAGATCCCAATTCAGATCTATGGATCCTAATCTCAGATCTTTCTGATCTGGTAGTGATCCTCGTCGGGGGGCCAAAGAAAGTCCTATTTTCAGGTCGTATCCTTCAGGAGCAGATGGAGTACTTGGAGATATGGCCTGTACAGGACTGTCCAAAGAAGAGCCACCCACAGCTGCCGTTCCTGGAGACAAACTCCCACCATTGAGGATAGGAGAGCCGTCTCCTCTGGCTGGGGAAAGGCTCCCTTCCCGGGAACCTGAAGGAGTCTGCCTTTGAGCCCTGGGTCTCAGTGTTCCCCAGCGGCCGTTAACACAAGGAGCTTCATCCATGCTTCTTACTGGAGACTGAGAGCGGTACTCTCGGGTTTCAGGAACGAGAGCTGGAGGAGTGGCACTGATAGGTGATGGGCGAGAGTTCAAACTGGGGCTGAGTGGGGCTCTCCCACTAGGAGCCTGGCTGAAGACCACCACACACTGTCCCACCTGGAAGACAAAGGACCAGTGCTCACACTCTTCTATGATTCTGATTGTTCATTCAACTGTCAAACATTTTATCATGAGCATCTGTCATGTGCCAGACATTTTGTAGGTACCTGAGATATGAAGATGAAAATGATGTAGTCTGCCCTCTAGGCTAGAAGTCAGACATGGGAACAATCGCTGCTTTGTGTGACATATGCTATCATTAGAGATATGTATACAGAAGGGGTGGGGAGAAGGGAACAATCAATTTTTGTTAGAAGGAGAAGGGAAAGTTTCACAGACAAACAGATGCTTAAAGTTGGGACTTACTGAATGAGTAGGGCCCCTGTAAGTTTTCCCATTTAGTGAGAAATGCCAAAGGAGCTATGGCTAATGTTCACCTCTTTTGTGACACCAAGGTGTTTTCTATTTTTGTACAAATTTCTTTGTAACCTGACAAAGTAATGTGGTTTTCCACAATTTAGGACCTGTCCTCCTGCTAGCCTGTCAGCTCCCTGCTTACCCGGCAAGCTGGATGGCACCACAGTTCTGGGGCCCCATGCTCTTCATTTTCTACCTTGAGTGGCTGCCAGGCCCAAGGACCAGAATGCATGTGCAACAACCAAGCATCCTTGAATAGCTGTAAGAGAAAAAACCAATAACAAGACTCAGGTGTGATATGCGTTCCAAAACACACACACACAGAGTTGCAGTCTCAAAGCTCTCCTGTCTGGTCTTGAAAGGATGTGGACTCTTCAGAAGGATAGCAAAATCCTCAGTTAATTATTCAGTTGTGCATGCATCCACTTACGCTTTCATTCATTCATATATTACCACTGGCTTAGCACATGGAATTGTGCTTGTGACCCATGAATCAACTGAGTGGTTTTGACACTTGCCCATAATTTTATGTGTATGTATTGGGGATTGAAGGAGAGGATAAATAATACATATCCACAACTTTCTGAATCTGCTTTCTTAAATACTGTGTGAACTCTGACAGTTATCAACCTGCTTTTTTGTTCCACTGCCCTCTCCCCTTTGAAAATATGATAGCAGTAAACTTTATAGCCTAAAAAGGAAATAGGAATGGGAAGAATATAGATATGAATATTCAAGAGACAAATATCTATGATTAAAAGGATCCCCCCACAACCCTAAAAAAAAGCAGAAACAAAGGCCAGAAAATACAAAGGCTATACCCAAAAAGCATTCCTTAAATTAAAATGCCATGGAAATAGTCTTGTATACTCCTAGAAAAGAAGACAGGGGAAACAGGTTTTGAACACTTAGTAGCATGCACATGGGAATGCCACAGAAGCAATACTCACAGCATTGGGACCGCCACACCCTCCGAGGATTAAGATAGTTGCATCATCTATGACAATCTGAGGAGGGGAAGACATTGAAAATAAACCTACAAAGACACAGGTTTCTGACTTTCTATGCTTCACTGGTATATGAGAATAGCCTACCTAGCTCCCAAATGGGAATATTCTAGTTACCATAACCTCTCCATTCTCCTAAAAACATATCAATTCTGATCCCTGTGAATAAATTACTGATAATTCACCTGAAAGGATACATTCTTTGTTGATCAAATATTAACATGAATGTCAACCACATAAAATGCAGGATTCTCTTGAGAAATGACACAGCAAAGTAAATGCTTTGGGGAGGAGCATAATATAAAACCACTATAAATAATATGACCCATTAGAAGTTGAAAAATAAATACCAGTAAAAAAGAATGATACATTTTCTTTGGCTTAGTGCATATTGGCATCTTACCTGACTCCCTCCTCCCTCTCCCGTCCTAACTGAAAGACGCTACAGTGTTTGCTGAATAGTTATTTTAATTCCTGAGCACCTGAGATTGGCCACCTCGAGGATGAGGACTGGGGCCAGAGATGTTCGGCTTGGACCACGCCCACTGCTCAAGGTCAAGGACCCAGACATCATTGCTCCTGTGAATTAAGGACAGAAGGATAAAGGTAGTTAGGAGCTCCCAGGGACCATAATGGTGGCTGGGGAGTTCCACATGCCTGTGGCCCATCTGGCAAACTTGCACCATTTTCACTTTCACAGACTGTGTGGGCTGGAGCAGGTTTTAGAGATGCCCTACTCAGAGTTCAGGGGCTTCTGAACCAGAAAGAGACCATGTTGCTGAATCCCAGCTCTGTAGCCTGAACAAGTCACTTAATTTTCTCTAACTCTGACTTTATCTCTAAAATGAAAATACTGTTACTACTGTCTGAGGAGCTGATATAAAATGAAGGGACCTTTATAAAGATGCGCAGCAAAGTGTTATGCTCCTACTTAGCACTTAGGCTGTATCTTTCTTCCCCTACTTTCCCTAGAAGTCATCCTGAGACCCTCCCTCTGCTCTTTCCACGAGGCCTCATCTGAGCCACGTCTGCGGCCAGACACTAGTGCCTAATGAGATTATTTTTTTAACCATCTATTAACTGAAGTAAAAGCAGATGATTAAAAAATAGTTAATTGGTGACAGCAGGAAATAGACACTGGTTAAGCTACAGTTTTCAAAAGCAAAAACCACAAAGAAGAGAAAAAACGATTCAAAAGGCAGCTTCATCATTGTCCAGGAGTTAAAAGCTTTATCGATTCTGGCTACAAAAAGTAATTGCACAATGACTAATGAAAGCTGCAGTTTTATCAAGGACAGACTGGCATCTCTAACCCTCAAGGGACCAACATGACGAGGACAGACTCCTGGATGGCAGTCTCTCTTTCATGGTCACTTAAGGTCATTGATTCACCCACAAAAATACAGGAATAATAGTTCCAATATCTGAAATCCTAAACTCTCTCATTGGGAGAGTAGCTCCTATAATCTCTCTCCATAACTGTTTTAAAATATGAAGATGGAAATGCCCTAAGGGAGGACAGGTGTGGGATGGTCTTGCTGCTGACAGCTCATCAACTTCCACTTCAGAGCACAGGGGGAATGACCACAACTGCTGCTACCGCTGAATCAGACAGTGATACAGATGGAATGCTCTGGCTCCTGACTATGGCTTGAGCTGTCCAGTATGGCCAGAAGTGGACAGGACAGGAGGTAGGGACAATGACCTCACAGAAATGTCATGCCTGACACAGTTTTCCTGTTCCTACCCATTCCACAACCCATCCCATTTGTTTTTTTCTTTTCTTTCCTTCTTTCTTTCTTTTCATGCCCTTTACATGTGGCTCAACCAACCTATCACATTTGGAGGGCCCACCATTTCCACTTGTCCTGTCAATCTCCCCCTCTTCTCCTCTAAAGCCCAAAAGGGCAAGAGCTGGGTAATAAAGTAGAATAAGTAAAAGCATTCTGTTCTCGAAAGTTGGCCTTCTGCAGGCACAGCACAGCAGGCAAGGTGGAGGTTCCATCAGAATTTGATCCTACTGAATAGAACCATATGTCAAAGAGATTCTATATAACTATGATTTTATAGAGCAAATTTTTCAATTTATTGGTCTGTGATTAAGGGATTAAAGAACAGAATGCTAGGATGAGATAACTAATTGGATTAATTAGAGCCATGCTCAGGAATACTGACCCTAACTTACTTTTTTTTTTTTTTTCCTTAAGAGTCTCGATCTGTTGCCCAGGCTGGAATGCAATGGGGTGATCTTGGCTCACTGCAATCGCCACTTCCCAGGTTCAAGCGATTCTCCTGCCTTAGTCTCCCAAGTAACTGGGACTACAGGTGTGTGCCACCATGCCCGGCTAATTTTTGTATTTTTAGTAGAGATGGGGCTTCGCCATGTTCGCCATGCTGGTCACAAACTCCTGACCTCAGGTGATCCACCCACCTTGGCCTCCCAAAATGCTGGGATTACAGGTGTGAATTAGGCACCTGGTCCCTAATTCACTTTTAAACCTGTTATTCCCAGGAGTATTTACCTTCAGGCTCATATGGAGCAAACCAAATGTACTTACATTTGCCGGGATCCTAAAGAGCCACCAAAGACAATCATTTTATCATCTATCACACAGGAGGAGTGGCCAGCCATGGGAGGTGGCCCATGGGTTGTCACAATGCAGTTCCACCTAATGTAAAAAGACAGGAGGAAGTCAAGAAGTCAGCACCACACACTTTATGTAAAAATAGTAAGTAGGCATCCATTTAAAATGATAATCCTATCACTTTCAGCAGAGATTTGTTGGGATAATAAGTAGAGGATGGCATAATGTATTTATGCCTTTCCTACAAGTTTGCTTAAAGTTATCTTCTTTCAAGTTCTGAATGTAAACGGTCTGGAGGGAGAGAGATGAGAAAACGATGACAAGAGACAAGATCATGGCTTCTTTGGCCTGGTTTGCTGACAAAGCACCACCTGCCACCTGCTACCTTTCCCTATGGTCCTGATCAGTAACAGCTAACAAGCGCCACGTACTAAGTCTTCCATTACAAGAAACGGCGGTTGCTGTCATTAAGAGATATATGTTTGAAAAACAATTCAGAGTAAGTCTTGGAGACACAGTTAGGAGTAAGGAATCATCTGGATCTACAACACTCCTGGAGTGTTAGCAGCCAAAGCTGAAGAGCTCGCTGTTCTTCAACTGGCTCATTCATTTTTCTTGAAAGAGGAATAAATCTCTTCTATTTTTTCTCTTTAGAATAAGGATTCTAAATGCAGGGTTCTAAGAGAGTCCTGTAAACTCTCTGAAACTGTTGGTAAAATCTGTGAATATGTGCATTTTTCCCCTCCTGGGAAAAGAGTCCACAGCTTTCCATCTAATTCTCAAAGGGACTCTTGACACAAAAAAACAAAGAATCCACTGATTTAAGGCCTTTTCTTCCAGATTTAAAGAGTTTATCTTTGTGACTTACCAATTTTTAGAGGGTGAGTAAGTGTGTATTTCATCAAAGAATCTCTCTGGCTGGTGTAGGGGATAAGGGCTTGGCCGCGTCCAGCCACCAAACAGCACTAGCAAGTCCTTGTACACGACCAGAGTTGCTCCAGCTTTGGGGGAAGGATAGGACCCTAGGGAAAGTCAGTAACACCATGGTTAGCATTCAGGATCTCACAACAATCCGTAGTTAGGCTATCCATAGATCACCTTTCCCTGGAAGAGCAACAAAAGGGGAACTAATACTACAAAGTGTAGAGGAAAGGTGGAAAGAAAACTGGGTTTGAGTCTGAGAGAAAATCATCACTAATTCACACGTCTTTTATTATTAACAGAGAAATATGAGTTAGAGAAAAGTTACTTAGCCTCTCTCATGTTTATAATTTGCTCACCTAAAATTAGGGATGAGAGTACCTATCTCATAAGGCTGTTTTGAGTATTAAATAGTATATTCAAAGCACCTAACATAATGCCTGGCACATAGAAAGTGCTCAACAAATGAGCACCCCTTCCCATCCCTTTAACAAACTTAACAGAGGTCACAAAGAAAAGAAAGAATGTAGAGGACCAGGGAGAAGTATACATAGAGGCTGGATGTCTGGATGCAACTTAAAAATAACTCGTTACAAAACACAGGTAAGAAAAGGAGGCAGGAGGCAGTTCTTATTTGTCCCGTGAGTCAAATTTTAACATAGGGACCTCCAGGCCCCTAGCTATGGGCTTCACATAACCAGATAGCCTCAGCCTAGCACAAATGGGGCAGACCTTCAAGGATTGGTGTGAAGGAATTCCAGTGAAACCATAAGTCTTACACCAAACACCATCTAGACTGGACCTCTGGGCTACACTGACCAAATTCTGAAAAAAAACACTTTGGCTTATGCTGGAAAACTTTAGAGATAACAAATGTCTTACAGGAGCATAATTTTTCAAAATCTATTGTCTTTGAAATAACAATTGCTATTTTTCCCCATCCCTCACTCTACATGTCACCTTTAGTTTCCTCAAGACCAAAGTAACTTGTCCCAATATCCAGGTGTCAGTAAATACCAGAATACTTTTTTTTTCCTTTGGAGGTGGAGTCTCGCTTTGTCACCCAGGCTGGAGTGCAATGATGCAATCTCGGCTCACTGCAACCTCCACCTCCTGGGTTCAAGTGATTTTCCTGCCTTAGCCTCCTGAGTAGCTGGGATTACAGGCATCTGCCATCATGCCCAGCTAATTGTTGCATTTTTAGTTGAGATGGGGTTTCACCATGTTGGCCAGGCTGGTCTCAAACTCCTGACCTCAGGTGATCTACCCGCTTTGGCCTCCCAAAGTGCTGGGATTACAGGCGTGAGCCACCATGCCTCGCTGAGAATACTTTTTTTTTTAAAATCTTTTTTTTTTCTTTTTGGTTAAAGCTGCAGGACTCATTTTTCAAAGGATATCTTAAGCAGAAGAAATCCCAACACTACATTAACCTGACAGCAGTCGAGATGCTCCAATCTAGGTGGAGAGCTTTGCTTCCTCTTTCAGTAGCACATTACAGAACACTGTTTGAAAAGCCCTGCTCAGACTGCTTTAATGGTGTCACTTACAAAGTCTCAAGGTTGAGAAGGTAGAGCAGAGGACTGTCTTTCTTGTGATCTCACTTAGGGGAACAATACGATTTACTGAGAAGGCATCAGTCCTGAAGAGTACAGGGTGAGCATCTAAGAACACCATGTGGCATCAGCTATTTTTCATTTCTTCTTCCTTTTTTTTTTTTTGAGACAGGGTCTTGCTGTTGCCCAGGCTGGAGTGCAGTGGCACAATTACGGCTCACTGCAGCCTCAACCTCCTGGGCTCAAGGGATCCTCCCACTTTAACCTCCCAAATAGCTAGGAATACAGGCAAGCACCACCATGCCCGACTAATTTTTAAATTTTTTGTAGTGATGGGGACTCCCTGCATTGCCCAGACTGGTCTCGAACTCATGGGTTCAAGCAATCCTGCCGCCTTGGCCTTTCGAAGTGTTAGGATTACAGGTGTAAGCCACTGTGCCTGTCCGTGTCAACTATTTTGAATACTTTCATAAATAAAACCAACACTAATCCAGACCACAGGAACTGACTGTAGAAATGAGTCTTTATTTATTTATTAATCTTGAGACAGGGTCTAGCTTTGTCACCCAGGCTAGAGTGCAGTGATGCGATCATGGCTCACTGCAGCCTCGACTTCCTCAGGCTGAAGCAATCCTCTTGCTTCAGCCTCTCGAGTAGCAGAGGCTACAGGCATGTAATACCATATCCAGCTAATTTTTAAAATTTTTTTGTTGTGATCAGGTCTTGCTATGTTGCTCAGGCTGGCCACGAACTCCTGGCCTCAAGCGATCCTCCCGCCTCAGCCTCCCAAAGTGCTGGGATTATAGGCATTACCCACCTCACCCAGTCAGAAATCTTCTCTAGGAAGAGTTATCACATCAATCTGAAGTGCTGAGGTATTCTCTACCCTCAAATCCCACAAGAATAGTGATTAAAGAGGCTGTTGTCTTTCATATAGCCTTACTGTTCCTGGTCAAAAACATTTACCTCCCCAAGGGGATCTATCTCCTAGCCCAATTAGAAAGCCTAAGTAATATAATGGTCTAGTTAAAACACAACTATTGCTCTAAAATAATTTAATTTGTGAAATACCAGACAAAGCTTCCAAGTTCTTGCCTCTAACTTGGAAATCATCAGTACTATGAAACAGTTAGAAAAAAGAAAAAACAAATAAACACATCACAGACTTCAGCAAAATAGTAATGTAAACTCTCTAGACTAGAATGTGGATTTGGATTTGAGATACTGGGCTTAAAGAAATTATAAATGCAGTATAAGAATATATACCTCTTGCCAGGCGCAGTGGCTCACACCTGTAATCCCAGCACTTTGGGAAGCCAAGGCAGGCAGATCACTTAAGGTCAGGAGTTTCAGACCAGTCTGGCCAACATGGTGAGATCCTGTCTCTATTAAAAATATTAAAAAATTAGCCAGGCATGGTAGCCCACGCCTGTAATTCCAGCTACTCAGGAGGCTGAGGCACAAGAATTGCTTGAAACTAGGAGGTGGAGGTTGCAGTGAGCCGAGATTGAGCCACTGCACTCTGGCCTGAGTGAAAGAGCAAGACTCTGTCTCAAAAAAAAAAAAAAAGAAAGAAAGAAAAAAAAGAAAGAAAGAATATATACCTTTTAAGGTGGGACATATTCATAGAATTTTTAAAAGTATTCATAAAACATGGCATACATAATGTAAGTAGAGGAAAGACTACACTTTAGATCTGTACTGCCCAACAAAGTCACCACTGGCCACATGTTGCCCGTGGTTATCAAACTGAAGAGCACAGATGTAGGACATTTCTATCATTGCAGAAAGTTCTATTTAATAGCGGTATTTTAGAAAAAGGTTTTAACTTTGTCAACAGTGTGCCTATGCTTGGGGATTACGGGAAAGTAGCAGGGATAGATGAATAACTTAACTCCAAGAGAAATGACAATTATTGTTACTATAACTCTTACTACTGCTACTGATGGTAATGACTAATATTTATTGAGCATCTACATCTATTATGTACTATGCAGCTTTTTTTTTTTTTTTTTGAGACAGAATCTCACTCTGTCACCCAGGCTGGAGTGTAATGGCACGATCTCGGCTCACTGCAACCTCTGCCTCCCAGGTTCAAATTATTCTCCTGTCTCAGCCTCCCAAGTAGCTGGGATTACAGGCGTATACTGCCACGCCCGGCTAATTTTTTGTATTTTAGTAGAGACGGGGTTTCACCATGTTGCCCAGGCTGGTCTCAAACTCCTGAGCTCAGGCAATCCACTGGCCTCAGCCTCCCAAAGTGCTAGGATTACAGGTGTGAGCCACCGCGCCTGGCCCAATTACTATGCAGCTTTTTAAGTGCTTTGCATGTATTAATTAATTTAATCCTTCTAAAATTCCTAGTTTTATTCCTATTTTACAGATAAGAAACCTGAGGGCACAACTCTTTAAATAACTTGTCCAAGGTCGTAGAACTAATAAGTGAAGAGCCAGGATTCTAATCCATTTATTCTGGATTTTAATTTTTAATTTTATTTTTTTGAGATGAGGTCTCACTCTGGCACCCAGGCTGGAGTGCAGTGGTGTGACTGATCATGGCTCACTGCACTTCTGACCTCCTGGGTGCAAGGGATCTTTCTACCTCAGCCTCCTAAGCAGCTAGGACTACAGTCACAGGCCACTACATCCAGCTAATTTTTTTCTTTTTTTGGGTAGAGATGGGGGTCTCTCTGTGTTGCCCAGACTGGTCTTAAACTCCTGGCCTCAAGTGATTCTCCCACCTCTGCCACCTCCCAAAGTGCTGGAATTACAGGCATGAGCCACCTCACCTTAAAAGAATGAGCTTTAAAGTCAGAATATATCATGCTGCACTTCATGCATACAGATACATTCCTTCTGAATAGTTGCCACAAACAAGTCTGATGCCTTAAAAGGTCTAGTGTTTCAAAGCTGAAGAAGTTCTTTCTTCAATCTTAATCCGGTAAAGCCAAAGACCTAGTCAGAGAGAAGTAAATTAAACAGAAGGCTATTCTTAGAACCTCTTTTTCTCTACAAGGCTCTGGGACACACTCCACCTCTAATATAGGACCATTTACTTATTCTCCGAACTCTCCAAGGAAAGGTAAGCTGAGGCCAGTGATAATGATAAATCAATATAAGAGATCCTCTAGGATTATCTTAGGTAAGGGCTTTCCAAAACGACGTCTCAGATATCTTGACCTTTTAGAAAGGCAAAATCTTTCCCTCTACTTTTTATCTCATGAAGTTGGAGAACTCCTCCATCTAGAATTTATCTCCATGGCCTATTTTATGTCACAAAGTAGGAGCATCTTAAATAGCTCAACTTAATTTCAGCATCTTAATTATCTCAACTAAGTAGGGGAAAGTTAAATCAATTGTATACCCCCACCTCAATTTGTGGGTGAACTGGAAAAAAACTTACCATACAAGAACAAATGAGGTGGCAGAGATCAACATACAGCTTTTATACAGTGAGTTCAGCAACCAGAAGTCAAGGATACAGGTATATCAATTTTTTTTTTTTGTTTTTGAGACGCGTCTCACTCTGTCGCTCAGGCTGGAGTGCAGTGGCGCGATCTCGGCTCACTGCAAGCTCCACCTCCCAGGTTCAAGGGATTCTCCTGCCTCAACCTCCTGAGTAGCTGGGACTACAGGCACCCCCCGCCATGCTCAAGCTAATTTTTTTTATTGTTGTATTTTTAGTAGAGGCAGGGTTTCACTGTGTTAGCCAGGATGGTCTCGATCTCCTGACCTTGTGATCCACCCGCCTTGGTCTCCCAAACTGCTGGGATTACAGGCGTGAGCCACCGCGCCTGGCCCAGGTATATCAAATTTTATGTGACCCTGAGTGCCCATATAATATTTGGCATATTTATTGCAAATTGGATACTTTTAAATTATTGCTACTTTAAGAATTGATATTGTGAAGCCTTTATAAAGAACTCCTACTTCCATTATTTCTAAAAATCTACATATTTCATATATATGTGTGTGTGTATATGTATATATATTTTAAGATGGGGTCTTGCTATGCTGCCCAGTCTGGTCTTTAACTCCTGAGCTCAAGCATTCCTCTTGCCTCAGCCTCCTGAGTAGCTTGGACTACAGGAGTATACCAAAATGCCTGGCTCATATTTCATACTTTGAATTTGTTTAAAGCAGATGGTCCTTAATTCCCTCTCGATGATCTTAAAGCAAAATCTATAAATCAAATGAATTTATGGTGAGATCACATGGGGTGTGGTGGCTCAAGCCTGTAATCCTAGCACTTTGGGAGGTCAAGGCGGGTGGATCACTTGAGGCCAGGCGTTTGAAACCAGCCTGGGCAACATGGCAAAACCATGTCTCTACTAAAAATACAAAAATTAGCCAGGTGTGGTGGCATGTGCCTGTGGTCCCAGGTTCAAGAATCGCTTGAACCTGGGAGGTGGAGGTTGCAGTGAGCCCAGACCGTGCACCAGTACACATGGGGTGGTCAGAGATTACGCGGATCCATCAATTTTGGCAATTTCTTTTTCTTTTTGAGACAGGGTCTCACTCCGGTTGCCCAGGCTAGAGTCTGGAGTGCAGTGGCGTAATCGATCTCAGCTCACTGCAACTCCGACTTCTCAAGCTCAGGTGATTCTCACACCTCAGCCTCCCAAGTAGCTGGGACTACAGGCACGTGCCACCACGGCAGGCTAGTTTTTTGTAATTTTAGTAGAGACAGCATTTCACCATGTTGTGTAGGCTCGTCTCAAACTCCTGGATTCAAGCAATCTGCCCGCCTCGGCCTCCCAAAGTGCTAGGATTACAGGCGTGAGCCACAACTTTGGTAATTTCTATATCAAAGAATAACATTCTCTTTAGCCAAAGTGGAGTTCTGGAAAACAAACAATAAGTCTCTACTAGAATTTCAAGAAAAACAAGAAAAGCCATATTCAAATTACATAACTTTATTCATTTTTTTTTAAGTTCCAGGAAAAGCAAGCCATTTAAAGAGTGCCTAAGCCAGGCGCGGTGGCTCATCCCTGTAATCCCAGCACTTTGGGAGGCTGAGGCGGGCGGATCACGAGGTCAGGAGATCGAGACCATCCTGGCTAACATGGTGAAAAATACAAAAAATTAGCTTGGGTGTGGTGGCAGGTGCCTTGTAGTCCCAGCTACTCAGGAGGCTGAGGCAGGAGAATGGCGTGAACCCGCCAAGCTTGCATTGAGCCAAGATCACGTCACTGCACTCCAGCCTGGGTGGCAGAGCGAGACTCCATCAGAAAAAAGAGTACCTACAAACTTTCTTTAAAAGCACACGGCCGGCCAGGCGTGGTGGATCACCTGAGGTCAGAAGTTCGAGACCAGCCTGACCAACATGGTGAAGCCCCGTCTCTACTAAAAATACAAAAAATTAGCCCGGCATGGTGGTGCACACCTGTAATCCCAGCTTCTTGTGAGGCTGAGGCAGGAGAAACGCTTGAACCCGGGAGGCAGAGGTTGCAGTGAGCCAAGATCGCACCGTTGCACTCCAGCCTGGGCAACAAGAGCGAAACTCCGTCTCAAGGAAAAAAACAAAAAAAAACCGAAAAACCAAAAAACAAAACAAAACAAAACAAAAACAAAAAACCCACGGCCATACATTAACTTTTTTTTTTTTTTTTTTTGGAGGCAGAGTTTCACTCTTTTCGCCCAGGCTGGAGTGCGATGGCACAATCTTGGCTCGCTGCAACTTCCACCTCCCAGGTTCAAGCGATTCTCCTGGCTCAGCCTCCCGAGTAGCTGGGATTAGAGGTGTGTGCTACCACACTTGGCTAATTTTTGTATTATTAGTAGAGACGAGGTTTCACCATGTTGGCCAGGCTGGTCTCGAACTCCTGGCCTCAGGTGATCCACCTGCCTCAGCCTCCCAAAGTGCAGGGATTACAGGCATGAGCCACCATGCCAGGCCAACAATAATTTTTATATGGAGTAGCCGTAGATAAAATGTCAAGTAATGACTTTGAAGAACTGCCCGAATGTGCATGTAATTCATTCCAAACAGCAGCTACAGTTATAGCACATAGGTTTAATACATTTTTATTAAAACACACATATCTTCCACACTAGCACCTGAGTAACTGGAAATCTTGAACAACATGGAGTACTCTCGGAATAGCTGATATTCGATAGTTAAAAAGGCACATAACCACTATGGTGACATATGATGAAATAAATACTGCTCCTGCAAGAACACTTATAAAATGAAGGTTTTATACTCATTAGGACATTTCCTGGCCTGCCTTCAAAATAACAAAGCCACTGGGCTTCTAAATTCAGTCTAAGTGCCATTACTGCACAAAAGTGAAGAAAGGAAGGGTGTCATTCCCATTGAGTTCCCATCAAGCACGACAGGACCAAATGTGCCCACATCAAGCGTAGATGAACATGTTACTTGAGCCTCTTCCCCTAGAGCCCTCTTCCCCTAGAGCCAGGAGTCACCCTCATGGGCTTCATTCCCCAAACACATCAAAGGCCTCCTAAATCGCACAGCAGATATGATCAATGGAACAAATTTCAAAACAAGGCACAAGCCCAAAAGGCAGCTGTGGCAAACTGAATAATCAGATAGACACCCTATACAACAGAACTAACATTCCCTAAAACTGCTAATAGGTTCAGCTGTTTCCCAAGGTTCCTATGAAATCAGAATAAAATTTCACATATGATGGTGGTATAATTACACGGCATTCTTGTTTACGTTTGCAAAGAAGCTGGTTAAACAGTGAAGCAGTTCCAAATCCTAGTTTGATTTCTATGCCACTTTCCCACAATTGTAGTGTCTATTTACACAGAACCCAGGACTACATAGAGCAGCTCAACTATTTGATAACAAGATAAAACAATCACCTGTTTTAATTGGGGATGCCTGTATTTTATGCACGATTTAAAAATGTATGTATATATTTTTTGAGACGGAGTTTCGCTCTTGTTGCCCAGGCTGGAGTGAAATGGCGCAATCTCGGCTCACCGCAGCCTCTGCCTCCCAGTTTCAACGGATTCTCCTGCCTCAGCCTCCCGAGTAGCTGGGATTACAGGCATGCACCACCAAGTGGCTAATTTTGTATTTTTAGTAAAGATGGGGTTTCTCCATGTTGGTCAGGCTGGTCTCGAACTCCCAACCTCAGGTGGTCCTCCCGTCTTGGCCCCCCAAAGTGCTGGGATTACAGGCATGAGCTACCGTGCCCGGCCTAAAAAATATTTTTATATCTCCATGCTATTATCATTTTTTAGTATTAGTTTATTGTTAAGGAGTTATAAATAATACTGTTTGATGGCCTATTATGTGCTAACTACTGAGTGCTACAAATTTTATATTTATTATCTAATTTAATCATTATAACCTTAAAATGCAGGTATTACTAGCCTCATTTTACAGATGAATAATGGTAGGTGAAGCTAATGCATAATGCTTACACTGAGCTAGACACTGTTCTAGGTACCTCTTGAAAACTAAAAAAGAAAAAAAAAAAGGCAAATTCCATGTTCTGAGTAATCAAGAAATCCAACCTAAAGGGTTATTTAATGAAAGAAGAGTTAATCCCTTGTCCTTGGAAGTTTAGGTTCAGATAAGTCCCTATTAAAAAAAAAAAAAAAGACATTTCAAGGCCTCCTAAAGGAGCTCTATATGGCTCACAAAGCCTTTTGGTCCCTGATCTGCATACTACACAGTTGGCTCTGAGTACAGGTGTCTTAGGCAATAATAGCCAAATGTCACAAGATGAGAAGCAGGTATATAATCCTACCATTTTCTCAATATCACTTACATTCTCAACAAATAGAACTGTTACTCTAGTCTTACACACTTCAGACTTTTGGGGAGAAACTGACTTATTTATTTTTATTTCCTTAAGAAAATGAAAGTGCTTTAAAACACTTTCAAATAAAATAATCAAACAAGATAGAACTTTTGAAAGAAAAAGTCAGAACCCTTTCTACCCCACGGAAAATGGCTATTTTCATGGCTGTTTTCAAAGTATAGTTTTTTTTAAAAAAAATAGAAACATCTCTTTCATACATATATAGAGTAAACATGTGTTAGGATATATTTAACTTATTAATAAGGGAGCAAGCAGGAAGTAATGCTAATTCAAAGGAGAATTTGAGGAAAAGAGCCATGCTAAAATAAGTTTGCTAACAGCTAGGCACAGTGGCATGTACCTGTAGTCCCCAGCTACTCAGGAGACTGAGGCGGGAGGATGGCTTAACCTCCTGCCTTAAGATAGGTTAAGTCTCCCCATCTTAACCACTCTGTGCAGACTCGCTTTCTCAGAGTGGGTCCAATATAAAGCATTCACTTCCAACTCCAGCTCCACAGGCAGTATACCAGTCCTTCACACACAAAACTGGCCTTGAGGGCAAAGTAATGCCAGATAGACCAGTTAACTAAAACCCTACCCCACAGATGCTGTTTTTTGTTTTGTTTTGTGGTAGTGAGGAGCCTCAAACTGGCGTGTGTATGGGGGGTGGGAAGGATGGATTTTGCTGATAAAACCAAAGCTGGGTCTTGGAAAGCTCTGACTAAGCATCTGGCTTGATAAAGCTGTCATCATGGTATTGTGTGAAGTGACTGACCTCAACAGCAGGAGTTCAGAGATCAGGATAATTTGGACAGATATTTCCCAGAATACCATATTACCATCATAATCAGAAAACCTAGAGGGCACTGGAGGATAGCGTGGCACATATAACTTTGAAGGAAACAGATTCCTTAAAGAAAAACTGCTGGTGTTATAATTTAACTGCTTACTCAAAACTATTTTGATTTTACAGGCAATACTTCGTAAGGGCAACAACAAAAGCATGTTTCATGGTTCTGTGGTGTGAGGAGGTAGGGATAAAAGGATAATTGAGAAAAACACTTCAAAATTCATGAGTATAAAGTCTGTCTTGACCATAAACACCTTGAAGACAACTATTTGGAATGGTCTCCAAAATACTGCAGCCCAAGGACCAAGGGGTTTCTATCTGGAACAGATACTAGTTTCTCTTCTGGTAATAAAAATATTTCCAACTTAACATCAATGTGGCCAATAATAATTACAAGTCATTGCATTTATATAAATGCCCATGAAGATACAAGTACATAATGCTTTAAAGAAAGAAATAGGAAGTAAATACAAAGTTACAGAACCTCTAAACTCCTGCTTCCTAAGACTTGGTTCTACCCAGGAGTGCTCTTTAATTGCAGTTCTAATCAGGGGTGTTGAAATTATCCATTTAGATTCTCCCCAGTAAGACTACACTATCCTAGAAGACAGGGACTATTTCTTATGAAAATGTTTGTTGAATTGAAGCCATCCACGGAAGCCAAATGGTTATAGATCTCTCAGGAGCTGAGATCAGGGTCGGCTCCAGCTACTTATAACATACCCTAGAGGCATCAGCCCACCTTTGGGTGGGGTTAAAGCCAAACATTTTTTTGGGTCTCCCCCTCTACCCACTCCATTTTTTTCTTCCTATTTTACTCCTCAATTGTAAAAAGGCCAGAAAAGTTACTGATTGACATCAACATTCACTGGTATTAGACAAAACTTGTCTGGATCTCAGGATTCAGGGTATACATTATTATTACAACTATATCCACATCTTTAAAAACATCATTCTATGGGTCATTTATGAAATATCCAAATAACAGGAACTTTTGTAATGGGCATGAGAAACTTTTAGATCTTATCTAACTATGCCACAGGCATGAACTAAAGGAAATTCTCTATTGGCATTGTTTTCACTTCTTAACAAAACCATATGAAAGACCACTTGATGAATAGGGCAGCACTTATCAGCTAAAAATGAACAATACAAAAGCCAGTAATAGTTCCTTGTTACCATTTCAAGTAGTCTTTTGATTCAATTTCTGAGGGAGGAGAGGAGGTCCAAAGTCTCAGTTTAATCTGATAATTTGTTAATTGCAGTTCTAATGGGGGTGGGGGGCATAGGGGGTACTCTTTCAAGTAGGGACTTTAAGAAGTGAAAACAATGTTACCAGTCATAAAGTTTCTAGCCTGGTGTCAAAACAGAAAAATCCTTGTCAGCCCTGAGAGTGAGCCAAACTGAAATATGGTAAAATCTTACTTATTCTCTCCCTGGGAGGACTAAAAGTTACCCAGATCTGTCCTATACAAATTTTCCCACTCTTCTCTTTAGCAGGAGGTAATGTGTATACACCTTAGAAAAGCATGTATTCTGGAAAAATCCCAGGGTCTGAACTTTCTAAATAAACAAGAAGGATTTCTTCCTTTTCTAAGGGAACCTACTGGCTCTGCTTTCATTCACATGTCCTGAGACCATCACAGGTCCAGGTTGTTACAGGACTGCAAAGGGCTACAGGAAACAAGGAAGAACCACCACCTCATGAAGAAGGTTAACCAGGAATAGGTCCATGGGTCAGGGAGGAGCTAATATAATAACTTAAAATATTCCCTTAAATAACATCTTAACTCCTTCTTAATCAAAAGCACATCACTTTAATAAGAACAAAGAGGCCGGGCACAGCAGCTCACGCCTGTAATCCCAGCACTTTGGGAGGTCGAGGCAGGCAGATGACCTGAGGTCGAGAGTTCAAGATCAGCCTGACCAACATGGAGAAACCCCGTCTCTACTAAAAACGAACAAACAAACGAACAAAAAAACAAAATGAGCTGGGTGTGGTGGCACATGCCTGTAATCCCAGCTACTCGGGAGGCTGAGACAGGAGAATTACTTGAACCCGGGATTCTCCGGTCTCAGCCTCCCGAGTAGCTGGGACTACAGACACGCATCACCACACCCAGTTAATTTTTGTATTTTAGCAGAGATGGGAGTGTTTCACCATGTTGGCCAGGCTGGTCTCGAACTCCTGACCTCGTGATCCACCCACCTCGGCCTTCCAAAGTACTGGGATTACAGGCGTGAGCCACCGCACCTGGCTTTTTTTTTTTTTGTGACAGAGTCTCTGTCTCTGTCACCCAGACTGGAGTGCAGTGGTGCAATTTCAGCTCCTGGGTTCAAGCGATTCTCCTGCCTCAGCCTCCTAAGTAGCTGGGACTACAGGCACATGATATCATACCCGCCTAATTTTCTATATTTTTAGTAGAGATGAGGTTTTGTCATGCTGGCCAGGCTGGTCTCAAACTCTTGACCGTGGGTGATCTGCCTGCCTCGGCCTCCCAAAGTGCTGGGATTACAGGTATAAACCACCGAACCCAGACTTTTTTTTTTTTTTAAGAGAGTATCACTCTGTTCCCCAGGCCGGAGTGCAGTGGCACTATCTCAGTTCAAGCCATTCTCGTGCCTCAGCTTCCTGAGTAGCTGAAATTATACATGTGCCACCACATCTGGCTACTCATAATTTTTTGTTTATTTGAGACAGAGTTTCGCTCTTGTTGCCCAGGCTGGAGTGCAATGGCGTGATCTCGGCTCACTGTAACCTCCGCCTCCCAGGTTCAAGCGATTTTCCTGCCTCAGCCTCCCGAGTAGCTGGGATTACAGGCATGAGCCACCATGTCCAGCTAATTTTGTATTTTTAGTGGAGACGGGGTTTCTCCATGTTGGTCAGGCTGGTCTCAAACTCCCAATCTCAGGTGATCCGCCTACCTCGGCCTCCCAAAGTGCTGGTATTACAGGCATGAGCCACCATGCCTGGCCTATTCTTTATGTTTTCTTTGTTTTTTCTGTTTTGTTTTGTTTTGTTTTGTTTTTGAGATGGAGTTTCACTCTGTCACCCAAGCTGGAGTGCAGTGGCTCAATCTCACTGCAACCTCCGCCTCCCAGGCTCAAGTGATCTTCCCACATCAGCCTTCCAAGTAGATGGGACCACAGACATGCAAACCACAGCTGGCTAATTTTTTGTATTTTTGGTATAGACAGGGTTTCATCATGTTGCTTAGGTTCATCTGGAACTCCTGAGCTCAAGTGATCAGCCTGCCAAGGCCTCCCAAGGTGCTGGGATTACAGGTGTGAGCCACCACGCCCAGCCACTTTCTCTTCTTATAAAGCCACCAGTCCCCACTCCCAGTCTAACCCATTAATCCAGGAACGAATTAATCCATTCTGCTGTCATGACCCAAACACCTCTTAAAGACCCCACCTCTCAATACTGCTACACTGGGGATTAACTTTCAACACATGTTTCAGAGGGAACAAACATTCAAACCATGGCAAGCCCCATCACTTCCAGTGTCTCTGCTAGATGGAGTTAGGCAGCAGTAAATGGAGAAAACAATTTAATTAGGCCTAACAACTGGACGCTGAAGTACTTAGGATTTGTCCAGAAAATAATTCCCAAGGGAAGATTGGGGATGAATTCATAAATATAATCATGTCCCTTTCTTTTCATCATCCTTCACTTATTCACCAGAGCCTTCAAGATAAAGGCCAGGCCAGGTGCAGTGGCTCACGCCTGTAATCCCAGCACTTTGTGAGGCTGAGGTGGGAAGATTACTTGAGGCCAGGAATTCAAGACCAGCCTGAGCAATACAGAGAGACTCTGTCTCTCAAAAAAAAAAAAAAAAAAAAAAGAAAAGAAAAGAAAGAAGAAAAGATAAATTCCAAATCCCTTACTTACCATGAGATACACACACACACACACACACACACACACACACACACACACATATAAAATTCCATTCTTTGAGCAACTACTATGTGCCAGGTACTAGAGTCAGCAGTGACTAAAACAGACAAAAAGCCCTCAGCCCCAGGAAGCGTATAGCTTGCTGAGGGGAAGAAAGACAGTGTGACATATGGTGATAAGTGCCAAGGGGGGAAAAAAAAAACAAAACAAGAGGAAAAGGAGTCAGGGAAGTTGTCCTTTCAAACTGTAGTTAGGGAATGCCTCACAGAGGGAGACATATGAATAAAGACCTGTGAAGCAGGTAAAGGAGAGAGTCACAAGGACATGCAGGAAGAGTGTTCCAGGCAGAAATAGCAAGAGCAGAGGCCCAGGTGTGAGGCTAAAATACAGTGAGGGACAGGAATGCAGCAGGCAATGAGGTCAGAGAGATGAGGGGACAGGATGACTGTGCAGGACCTTGTTTGGCCATACTTTGATCCCTAACTACTGTGTGCGTGTGTGTGTTGGTGTGTGTGTGTGTGTGTGTGTGTGTGTGTGTGTGTGTGTGTGTTGGCATCTAACTCTGTTGCCCAGGCTGGAGTGCAGTGGCATGATCTCAGCTCACTGCAACCTTCGCCTCCTAGGTTCAAGCCACTCTCCTGCCTCAGCCTCCCAAGTAGCTGGGATTACAGGCGCCTGCCACCACACCTGGCTAATTTTTGTATTTTAAGTAGAGATGGGGTTTCACCATGTTGGCCAGGCTGGTCTCGAACTCCTGAACTCAGATGATCTGCCCACCTCAGCTTCCCAAAGTGCTGGGATTACATGCATGAGCCACCGCACCTGGCCCCTAACTACCTTTCTAATACCCACTTGTACCACTCTCCCCTCACATATCCTGGCTCAGGAACACCCAACCTATTTGTAAGTCCATGAACATGCCAAACTCTCTTACCTCCATCCACAGCCTTTTTTCAATGGCTATCCATAGCCCTCTTCATTTACCACATAAGTGTTTGGTTTTCTTCTGCTAGATGGAGAACCTCTTAGGATTAGGAACTCCTGTTACTTAGTACTATACCTGCATACCTAGCATAGTCATTGGATGCTCAATAGTCCTCTGTAGGCTGGGCGCAGTGGCTCACACTTGTAATCTCAGCCCTCTGGGAGGCTGAGGCGGGTGGATCACCTGAGGTCAGGAGTTCGAGACCAGCCTAGCCAACATGGTGAAACCCCGTTTCTACCAAAAAAAAAAAAAAGAAAACAATACAAAAATAGCTGGGCGTGGTGGTGCATGCCCATAGTCCCAGCTACTCGAGAGGCTAAGGCAGGAGAATTGCATGAATCTGGGAGGCGGAGGTTGCAGTGAGCCAAGATTGTGCCACTGCACTCCAGCCTGGGGGACAGAGCAAGACTCCGTCCCAAAAAAAAAAAAAAAAAAAAAGTCCTCTGTAGACTGAAATGATTAATGTCTAACAGCATGAAGTCTGGCCAGATGTCCACAGAGACGCAAACTATAAGGCTCACTGCAACTCTCTTTTTTTTGAGACAGAGTTTCGCTCTTGTTACCCAGGCTGGAGTGCAATGGCACGATCTTGGCTCACCGCAACTCCCGCCTCCCGGGTTCAAGCGATTCTTCTGCCTCAGCCTCCCGAGTAGCTGGGATTACAGGCATGCACCACCACGCCCAGCTAATTTTGTATTTTAAGTAGAGACCGGGTTTCACCATGTTAGTCAGGCTGGTTTCGAACTCCTGACCTCAAGTGATCCACCCGCCTTGGCCTCCCAAAGTGCTGGGATTACAGGCGTGAGCCACCGTGCCCGGTGGGTCACTGCAACTCTCTAATAGGTAAAGGCTTGGCTGAAGGAACAAGAGTATGCACAAAGGTAGAGGTGGAGAGAAGGGAAGATTATGCAGGATCTTGTCAGCCACACTTTGATCCCTAACTACCTTTCCTATCCCTGAGACCCAAGGTGGCAGCAAGTAGGATACTTTGGGTAAAAGGACATGTTAGTCATCGAAATTTGTGTACATAAAAATCCATAGCTTTTCCTGATGTTATAACTTCTAGCCTTTACACGAACAATGGCTAGCATTTGATGAATTCTTAGGAATATTTCATTTTCATGAAAGTATCAACCAGGGTCCCCAGAACAGGCAACTGCAAAAATAATCCTGTTGAATGGATGTAAAGTTCTTGTCTCGATTCTTTTTGTTTCTTTCAGATTCCCTAGAGACAAAGCCAGTTTGCCTGACCTCTCAACCAAAGAACCCTGACAACTTACTCCTTAGCTAGTATCTCCGTATATATAAAGATGTCAACTTCATCATCAGTTCCCAGAAACCCTCTCCAACTGAGTACTGTATTGTATGTAATATGAACAAAAACTATGAAAGGTAGGTATTACCATCTCTACCCTAAAGGTAAGGCAACTGGGGTTAAACAACCGGTAACCAGCAAGTGACAGGGCTCAAATGAAAAAGTATGCCTCCTGGCACAAAACCCATCATTTTTATGGTATTACTAACGAGCCTCCTTCCCTCCTACAATATCTTCCTCACATTACTTTAGGTCATTAGCCCCTAATAATTAGTATCTTTTATTATTAGCCAAGTGGTCTTTCCTCCCCAAACTTCTGTAATACTTAGTTATATCATCAGATCTTTCAGATGGAGCAGGACTAAGGAAATGGAGAGCTCTCTGGGATGCTTGCTATGTCTAAAATATCTCTTAAAGTTGACAAGTAGGAAATGAGTGCATATATCCACTGAAAAGTACAAACAATGTTGATGGCAGCTATATTCAAAGTAGAAACAGCCCAAGTATCCATCAACAGGAGAACAACTTAAAAAAAAAAAAAATGAGGGCCGGGCATGGTGGCTTATGCCTGTAATCGTAGCACTTTGGAGGCTGAGGTGGGCAGATCTCTTGAGCCTAGGAGTTCAAGACCAGCCTGGGCAACATGATGAAACCCTGTCTCAACAAAAATACAAAAATTAACCGGGTGTGGTGATGCACATCTGTAGTCCCAGCTACTTGGGAGGCTGAGGTGGGAGGATCACTTGAGCCCAAGAGGTAGAGGCTGCAGTGAGCCAAGATTGTGCCACTGCACACTCCAGCCTAGGCAACAGAACGAGACTCTGTCTCAAACAAGAAAAAAAGTGGGATATTCATATTAAGAAGCACTCATGGTAATGGAAGGGAATAAACTACTGACAGATGCAACCACATAGATGAATCTCAAAAACGTGTTCAAAGAAAGAAGCCAGACATAAAATACTACCTATCACAGACGTCCATTTACACGAAGTTCAAGAACACAGAACTATACTTTGGGAATCTGAGGCAGGAGGATTGTTTGAGACCAGGCATTCAAGACCAGGCTGGGAGACATAGCAGTACCCCATCTCTACAAAAACTAAATTAGTCAGGCATGGTGGTGTGCATCTGCAATCCCAGCTACTTGGGAGGCTGAGGCAGGAGGATTGCTTGAGCCCAAGAGCTGGAGCTGCGGTGAGCTATGATAATCATGCCATTGCACTGCTGCCTGGGTGACAGAATGAAACTTTGTCTCAAAAAACACAAAAAAAAAAGAAAAGAAAAGAAAAAAAGAACAGAACAAAGCCACAGTGTTAGAAGTCAGAATAGGAGCTGACCTCTATGGGGGTTGTACAGACAGGAAAGGGGCATGAGGGGGCTTTTTTGAGGTGAAGAAAGTTTTCGTATCTTGATCTAGGTAATGATCACATGACTGTATACATATGTAAAAAACAAAATCTCTGAGTTGTGCACTTAAGATTTGCTCATTTAACTATAAGTAATGTATATCCCCCCCCCATACAAATTATGCCCCCGTTTTTTTTTTTTTTTTTTTTTTGAGACGAAGTCTTGCTCTGTTGCCAGGCTAGAGTGCAGTGGCGTGAACTTGGCTCACTGCAACCTCCGCCTCCTGGGTTCAAACGATTCTCCTGCCTCAGCCTCGCAAGTAGCTGGGACTACAGGCACCCACCACCATGCCCAGCTAATTTTTTGTATTTCAGTAGAGACAGGGTTTCATCACGTTGGCCAGGATTCTCTCGATCTCCTGATCTCGTAATCTGCCCGCCTCAGCCTCCCACAGTGCTGGGATTACAGGCGTGAGCCACCATGCCCAGCTATCAAATTATGTCTTAATAGAATAATATTGTTTTTAAAAAAAGAATCGCTAATGTAAAAGCTGGCAGTAAACTGTAAACCATGTTCATACTGGTGTCACATGGTACCACCAACTACTTTAGCCAGTAAGCAGAAATATCAGCAATCCATTATTAGAATTAAAATTCATTATATGAGGTCTTTAAGAACCCATTCATCACATAAAATGCAACTACCCTGTAACTCACATATGTAAATTCAATAGCAAGAAACATTCTGAGATTCAGCAGTGGGATTTCAGAAAGCTTACTAAAATGGGAGAGAAGACAAAAAAGGGACACAACATAAAAGCCAACAAATCAAATATAAAACCCACAACCCATCATCACTTCTAGAGAGAACTACAGAAAAGAGGAAATTATCAGGGGCACAATTTATTTGAAAAGTAGAATCAATTAATGCATAGTACATCAGGTGCGATGGCTCATGTCTGTAATCTCGGTACTTCGAGAGGCCAAGGCAGGGGGATCACTTGAGGCTAGGAGTGCAAGACCAGTCTGGGCATTACAGTGAGACGCTGTCTCTACAAATAATAAAATAAAATAGCTGGGCATAGTGGTTCATGCCTGTAGTCCTTGCTACTTGGGAGGCTGAAGCAGGAGGATCGCTTGAGCCCAGGAATTTGAGGCTGCAGTGAGCTATGATGATGCCACTGTATTCCACTCAGGGACAAAAAGCTAGACCCTGTCTCTTACCCAAAAACAGAAAAGGAAGAATAAAAATAAAAAGCCATAGTTCAAGAGTTCATCTCCTCAAGGGGGAATGAGAAATAGCTTCTGAGTTTTAAAAGGACAAAGGAGGCCAGGAGTGGTTGCTCATGCCTGTAATCCCAGCGCTTTAGGACGCTGAGGTGGGTGAATCACCTAAGGTCAGGAGTTGGAGACCAGCCTGGCCAACATGGCAAAACCCCGTCTCTACTAAAAAAATTAGCCAGGCGTGGTGGTGGTACGTGCTTGTAATCCCAGCTACTCGGGAGGCTGAGGGAGGAGAATTGTTGCCAAGAACAGCCTTGGCAACAGAGTGAGACCCCGTCTCAAAATAAATAAACAAAAAAGGGCAAAGGAGCCTCCTAGAATTCAAGGTGATATTTATAAGTCAATAAACGACCCATCACAGCTCTTACCCACCTAGGAACAGCACATCTCCTCACAGTTATGAAAACTGGAAAACTTGGCAGGGTGCGGTGGCTCACGCCTGTAATCCCAGCACTTTGGGAGGCCGAGGTGGGTGGATCACGAGGTCAGGAGATCGAGACCATCCTGGCTAACACGGTGAAACCCCGTTCTACTAAAAATACAAAAAATTAGCCGGGCATGGTGGCATGCACCTGTAGTCCCAGCTATTCGGGAGGCTGAGGCAGGAGAATGGCGTGAACCCAGGAGGCAGAGCTTGCAGTAAGCCGAGATCACACCACTGCACACCAGCCCGGGCGACAGACCGACACTCTGTCTCAAAAAAAAAAAAAAAAAGAAAAGAAAAGAAAAGAAAACTGGAGAACTTGAGAAACTGGCCTGATCCTAATTACATAGAAACTAAACAGCCAAACATTGAGCACGAGCCATGAATTGGTCCATGGCACTACCAAGTGTCCTTGAAACCAAGAGGGTCATTCCTGGGAAGCAGAAGTTAGAAATGACTCAGGGATAGTATCTTGCGTTCCTCTCCCATTTAGAATTAGCCTCTTATAACTACATTTAGGACATAAAGTTAATCTATATAGCATTGGAGATATACAAGGATAAGGCATCATATGAAATGAAATTTATTGTGGTAATAAAACATGAAGTACTGTTAGGAGATTACATGGATACCTGAGAATAAGAGAAACAATGCTAGATGATTTGAGACTTTTACTCCATGGGGGAACCCAAGAGTAAACAAAAACTGTCCAGATGGTAGGCAGACAGGATCACAGCATGTAGATTTGAAAGCTGAGAATTCTAAGAAATGTCACTGCTTATTTTCACTGACACTACTAAAATAAGAAGGTTTTATTTTAGATGGTTTTAAGAAAGAATAGAAAAGTCTCATGAGTTTGACCCAATGACTACAAGTTAAAGGAGGCAGGATTTTCAACATGGAGGAGAAATAGCTAAGGACAGATATTAATACATTTTGGTAATAAATACATTTGGTAATCAAGGAAAGATCTGTGAGTAGAACTGGATTGTCTCATTCACAAACAAAATACTAAAACAATGAGATCAATCACTCGTTTTTAAGACAGAATAGAAGCTAGGAGTATATTTGAAAGGCACGTGTGTCCTCTTGTTATACTGTCTGATATTCAGCAGTTAATCATCATCCACTTCTTCCCCATTGCCACAAGATTTGGCATTCTCCTAACACATTTGCATATTATAATTTTAAAAATGTATAAAGTGCTTAGTGCAAAACAATATTAAAAAGCAGAATCGAATAGTGACAAGCACATTAATACATCATTCTTTTTTTTTCTTTTTTTCTCCTCCCTGCCCCCACTACTAATATATTATTTTTAAAAATTCCATATCCAGGCTGGGCATGGTGGCTAATGCTTGTAATCCCAGCATTTTGGGGGGCCGAGGCAAGCGGATCACTTGAGCTCAGAAGTTTGAGACCAGCCTGGCCAACACGGTGAAACCCTATCTCTACTAAAAATACAAAAACTAGCCGGGCGTGGTGGTATGCACCTGTAATCCCAGCTACTCAGGAGGCTGAGGCAGAAGAATTGCTTGAATCCAGGAGGCGGAGGTTGCAATGAGCCGAAATTCGCCACTGCACTCCAGGCCGGGTGACAGAGCGAGATTCTGTCTCAAAAAAAAAAAAAAAATTAAAAAATTCCACATCCAGGCTGGGCGTGGTGGCTCAGGCCTGTAATCCCAGCACTTTCGGAGGATGAGGCAGGAGGATCACTTGAGCCTAGAAGTTTGAGACCAGCCTGGGCAACAGGGCAAGACCCTGTCTCAACAAAAAATTTAAAAAATTAGCTGGGCTTGGTGGCATATGTCTATAGTCCCAGCTACTAGGGAGGCTGAGGCAGGAGGATCACTTGAGCCCAAGAGGTCGAGGCTGCAGTAAACCATGTTCGTGCCACTGTACTCCAGCCTGGGTGATGGAGTGACACCCTGTATCAAAAAATAAATAATTTTTAAAAATCCACATCCAGGCCAGGCGTGGTGGCTCATGCCTGTAATCCCAGCACTTTGGGAGGCCGAGGCGGGCGGATCACCTGAGGCTGGGAGTTTGAGACCACCCTGACCAACATGGAGAAACTCCATCTCAACTAAAAATACAAAATTAGCTGGGTATGGTGGCACATGCCTGTAATCCCAGCTACTCGGGAGGCTGAGGCAGGAGAATCGCTTGAACCCGGGAGGCGGAGGTTGCAGTGAGCCGGAGATCACGCCATTGCACTCCAGCCTGGGCAACAAGAGCGAAACTCCATCTCAAAAAAAAAAACAAAAAACAAAACAAAAAAAACCACATCCAGCTGTTTCAATGTTAGCACCGACGTTTGGGACCTGAGCCAAAGGATGGACTGGGAAATCTTTTCCCAGAATAGACTACTGTCTTTTTTATTTTTATTTTGTTTTGTTTTTTGTTAGAATAGACTCTACTGTCAGCTGCTTTAGTTATACCTGGTACCAGGTATCAGTCCCAGACTCCCTTGTTTAGACATTTCCTGGTGATATTACCACAGGCTCAGGGAAGATAACCTAAGATTAAGCTTTTCCACTAGACACATGACAGTAAGCTTCATTAACGGGACTGACAGCCCCATATGTAACCTTTTTAAGGTATCATTTACACTGTAAAAGAAACAGTAATATTCTGGACAGTTATTTCTAGACAGTTATTTCTCTTTTTTTCTTTTTTTTTGAGACGGAGTTTCGCTCTTGTTGCCGAGGCTGGAGGCTGGAATGTAATGGCGCAATCTTGGCTCACCACAACCTCCGCCTTCTGGGTTCAACCGATTCTCCTGCCTCAGCCTCCCGAGCAGCTGGGACTACAGGCATGTGCCACCATGCCTGGCTAATTTTGTATTTTTAGTACACGGGGTTTCTCCATGTTGGTCAGGCTGGTCTCGAACTCCCGACCTCAGGTGATCTGCCTGGGTCGGCCTCCCAAAGTGCTGGGATTACAGGCATGAGCCACCGCGCCCAGCCTAGACGGTTATTTCTGAACAGTTCTAGCACTGGTCGTGCTCCCTATCCAATTTTTAAGGATATCCTGTGGTCTTCCTACTGACATGTGATATGACCAATACTTTTTCCTGCCCCCACCTCCGAAAGTAAATTAGCTTTTCTGCAAGATTACTCAGTGATTTTGGAAGATATTGTTCTTTTAGAGAATAGCCCTAAAAAAACAAAATTATTTCCAACGGAGCTTCTAACTCTGGATAGCTTGAAAGAAGGGAGGCTGAGGCAGGATGACTGCTTGAGTCTAGGAGTTTGAGGCTGCAGTGAACTAGGACCTATGACTGAGTCACTACACTCCAGCCTGGGCAACAGAGTGAGACCCCATCTCTTGAAAAGCAAACAAACAGGAAGAGATATCTTGTCTACATCTTGTCTAGCATCCTGCTCCTCACCAAAAAAATTTTAAAAGCAAATCATGTTGATATCTAAAAATTCTCTAAGCTGTGAAAAAGTTTCTTCAAATGATATACCCTCTTCTCATTATCCTTTCCTGACTCTAATGATAAACATAATAGTCAAATAGCTTAGTTATTCCCCTAAAATTCAATGGAACATCGAGAACCAAGGGCAATTACAAATGGGTAAAAGAGAATAACAGGAAAAGAAAGCAATAGACTATAAAAAAGAATTACAAGGCAGAGAAAAGAGTAACTCTACAGTGGAAAATCAAATGTATACTATTTCAACCAGGTGATCCTGGTTAATAGAAACAGTGAAAAATCATGTTGACAATGGTTTTTTTTTTCTTTTTTTTTTGAGACAGAGTCTTGCTTTGTTGCCCAGGCTGGAGGGCAGTGGTGCAATCTTGGCTCACTGCAACCTCTGCCTCCCTGGCTCAACTGATTCTTGTGCCTCAGCCTCCTGGGTAGCTGGGATTACAGGCCTGTGTCACCACACCTAGCTAATTTTTGTATTTTTTAGTAAAGACAGGGTTTCTCTATGTTGGCCAGGCTGGTCTTGAACTCCTGGCCTCGAATGATCCACCTGCCTTGACCTCCCAAAGTGCTGGGATTATAGGCGTGAGCCACCACACCAGCCAACAATATGTACTCTTGATCTGATGTGATGAGAATGGCATTATATCTCCACGGTCTTCTTCCCAAAAGCCATAACTCCAGTCTAACCATAAGATAAACATCCAAGTTGAAGAGTGGTCTATAAGATACCTGACCAGTATTCCTCAAAACTGTCAAGATAATCAAAAACAAGTTAACTCTTAGAAACTGTCACAGCCAAAAGGAGCCTAAGGAGACAAAAAGCCTAAATGTAATGTATCAAGGATGGGATCTTAGAACAGAAAAAGGATGTTATGTTAAAGAAAGAAATCAGAAAATCTGAATAGTGTATGCATTTTAGTTAATAATAACGTACCAATATTGGTTTATCATTATTCAATGGCAAAAACCGCAATTACTTTTGCACCAACCTAATAATTGTCACAGTGTGCTATACTAATACAAGATGCTAACATTAGGGAAACTGGGTGTCAGATATATGGAAACTCTCTCTGTTCTATTCTAAAATAAAACACTATGTTAGCACCTGAAGTCCCAGCTTCTTGGGGGCTGAGGAAAGAGGATCACCTGAACCCCGGAGGTCAAGGCTGCAGTGAGCCAACATCCGCCACTGCACTCCAGCTTGGGAGAGAGAGTGAAACCCAGTCTCCAGAAAAAAAAACAAAAGAAAAGAAGAACGAAAACTACTCACAGCATGGCTTAGTAGAAAGAACACAAACTTTAGAGACAAAATCTTGGGTTTCAATCCTTGCTCCATCACTTACTGGCTATGTGATTTTAGGTAAATTACCAGGTGATTGTGAGCTTTGGTTTCCTCACTTGTTGTGTGTGTGTTTGTTTTTGTTTTTGTTTTTGAGACAGAGTTTCACTGTTGTTGCCCAGGCTGGAGTGCAATGACACGATTCTCAGCTCACCGCAACCTCTGCCTCCCAGATTCAAGCAATTCTCCTGCCTCAGCCTCCCGAGTAGCTGGGATTACAGGCATGCACCATCACACCTGGCTAATTTTGTATTTTTAGTAGAGACGGGGTTTCTCCATGTTGGTCAGGCTGGTCTCGAACTCCTGACCTCAGGTGATCCGCCCGCCTCGGCCTCCCAAAGTGCTGGGATTACAGGCGTGAGCCGCAATGCCCTGCCTCGGTTTCCTCATTTGTAACATGGAGATAATTATAGTATCATCCTATTGAGTTGATATGAAGGTTAGATAATATGCATAAAGAATCTGGGCGAACCAGCACCTCATCCCTAACAACCTCTCAAGGTCCACGTACATCTCCTGGGACAGTATGCCACTCATGACTAACTGGGTTTGTAAAAGGTGGCTATTTCTTTTCTTTTTCTTTTTTTGTTTTTTTTTTTTTTTGAGATGGAGTCTCGCTCTGTCACCCAGGATGTAGTGCAGTGACAGAACATGGTTCACTGTGACCTCTGCCTCCCAGGTTCAAGCAATTCTTGTGCCTCGGACTCTTGAGTAGCTTGGACTACAGGTATGGATCACCATGCCTGGCTAATTTTCTTTTTTTCTTTTTCTTTTTCTTTCTTTTTTTTTTTTGAGACGGAGTCTCACTCTGCTGCCCAGGCTGGAGTGCAGTGGCAATCTTGGCTCACTGTAACCTCCACCTCCCGGGTTCAAGCGATTCTCCTGCCTCAGCCTCCTGAGAAGCTGGGATTACAGGCGCACATCACCACATTCAGCTGATTTTTGTATTTTTTATTAGAGACAGGGTTTCACATGCTGGCCAGGCTGTTCTCAAACTCTTGACCTCAAGTGATCCTCCTGACCTCAAGTGATCCACCAAGTGAAGTCACTTGACCTCAAGTGATCCTCGACTCCCAAAGTGCTGGGATTACAGGTGTGAGCCACCATGCCTGGCCAAAGGTAGCTATTTCTACAAAGCAGCCACTGAGAGCACAGAGTGGCTATGTTGCTTCCTAATGATAGCTGAGGAATCCAGTTTAGCACATCACATACTCACCTAATTTACTGTAATAACACTGAGAGAGCTCACATATTATACAGTAAGACTGCAAGAAGATATCATAGGGCTCCAGGATTTCAAAATTTAGCTATGTTTAGAATCAACTGAGACATTTTCTTTTTTTTTTTTTTCTTTTTTTTGAGACAGAGTCTCACTCTGTCCCCCAGGCTGGAGTGCAGTGGCGCGATCTCGGCTCACTGCAACTTCTGCCTCCTGAGTTCAAGTAATTCTCCTGCCTCAGCCTCCCAAGTAACTGGGATTACAGGCGCCCACCACCATGCCCAGCTAATTTTTGTATTTTTAGCAGAGACGGGGTTTTGCCACGTTGGCCAGGGTGGTCTCGAACTCCTGATCTCAGGTGATCCACCCGCCTCGGCCTCCCAAAGTGCTGTGATTACAGGTGTGAGCCACTGTGCCCGGCCATTTTCTCTTTTAAAAAAAAAAAAAATGCTGATCCATGACCAGGTGCAGTGGCTCATGCCTAAAATCCTAGCAGTTTGGGAGGCCAAGGTAGGAGGACAGCTTGAGGCCAGGAGTTCAAGACCAACCTGGGCAACACAGTAAGACCCCATTTCCATTTTTAAAAATGCTGATCGGCTGAGTGCAGTGGCTCATGCCTGTAATCCCAGCACTTTGGGAGGCCAAGGCGGGCAGATCACCTGAGGTCAGGAGTTCGAGACCACCCTGGCCAACATGGTGAAACCCCGTCTCTACTAAAAATACAAAAATTAGCCGGGCGTGGTGGTGGGTGCCTGTAATCCCAGCTACTCAGGAAGCTGAGGCAGGAGAACTGCTTGAACCCAGGAGGCAGAGGATGCAGTGAGCTGAGATCACACCACTGCAGGCCAGCCTGGGTGACAGAGTGAGACTCCGTCTCAAAAAAAAAAAAAAAATGCTGATCCACCATCTTATCCCCAACTCCTGAGATTAGGTGAGTCTGCTATGGGGCCAAGGAACCCACAGTTTAGGTAAGCTTCTCAGGTGATCTGAATAAAGGTGATCTGTTATCCAATTTTTATGAACAGTAATTTTGTCTCTTCTTCTTTTTACAGGAAAGAAAATTGAGGCCCAGAGAATGCAAAAAATGATTAAATTCAGAGGCAAATAACTGAGAAGTAGCAAGGCCAAGAACAGGCATCTAGGTTACACATCTCTATCTTCGAGTGCATTTTTCTAAAACAAAGGGCTTGGACCCACAAACCATCACCTGGAATTGCATGTGTGACTGAAAGGGAGGAAACTGCAAAGAAAAAGAAAATCCTTGGGAAAGACAATTCTGTGGGGAGAATGTGGTGGGAAAATCAACTGTGCTCCAGTACCAGTTAGTGAAAATGACAGACTGAGCTTTAAATCTTTACCTGGCATTTATAGACTCTTCTAACTGTGGCAAGTTTTTTTTTTTTTTTTTTTTTTTGAGACAGTCTCGCTCTGTCGCCCAGGCTGGAGTGCAGTGGCACAATCTTGGCTCACTGCAACCTCCACCTCCCGGGTTCAAGCAATTCCCTGCCTCAGCCTCCCGAGTAGCTGGGATTACAGGCACCCACCACCATGCCCAGCTACTTTTTGTATTTTTAGTAGACACGGGATTTCACTATCTTGACCAGGCTGGTCTTGAACTCCTGACCTAGTGATCCACCTGCCTTGGCCTCCCAAAGTGCTGGGATTACAGGTGTGAGCCACCGTGCCTGGCCTGTGGCAAGTTTTAAAACTGAAATTTGTTCCCTTTTTGCAAATGGGTTTGGGTTAATCTCTAAGCAGTTTTGAAAATCAGAATACTCCAGTTTTAATTTAAATGTAAAATTTCTACTTGAAAACTTCTATCTTGATTTAAAGTAACCGAAAAAGGCAGTATGACTTACGTTGACTCTGTATTAAACAGATGCCAAAATCAGTCTGAGTTTGAATAAAGGGTAATTTATTTCAGAAACAGTGGTTTAAACATTAGTCTTTCAAAGCACCTGTCCCAAGAACTGCTCATTTGTTTTGGGAATTGAACAAAGGCTAAGTCATACAAATCTGATTAAGAATTAAGGTGTTACCTTCAGACAATACTAGAAGGTGAAACATTCAACTTTCTAGAACCATTTGGCAAAGACTACAATGTACATAATTATACATTCACAATTACTGGCCAGGATTTCCAATGGTTTCTGTTCTACCCTCAATTATTTTACCTGAGTCATAAAGCGATCAATAGAGAACTTCCACCAGGATCCACTGCATCTACCCACTCACCAGCACCTGCAATCACATATTCCCTTTTGTTCATACAGATACACAATGTTCTTATCTCAGGCCAATGTCTCCATTTGATTCAGTGTTTCTCACTACTTGAAGATATTGCTCTAACAATTCTCCCCCTCTATCCACATCAACTTCTCCCCTCAGGAAGATCATTCCCATCAGCATACATGTATGCTATAAAATCTGTCATCTTAAAAAAACGAGCTGGGCGTGGCAGCTCATGCCCATAATCCCAGCACTTTGGGAGGCCAAGATGGGCAGATCACAAGGTCAGGAGTTCAAGACCAGCCTGGCCAAGATAGTGAAACCCCATCTCTACTAAAAATACAAAAAAATTAGGCCAGGCGCAGGGACTCATGCCTGTAATTCCAGCACTTTGGGAGGCCAAGGCAGGAGGATCATCTGAGGTCGGGAGTTTGAGACCAGCCTGACCAACATGGAGAAACCCTGTCTCTACTAAAAAATACAAAATTAGCTGGGTGTGGTGGTACATGCCTGTAATCCCAGCTACTTGGGAGGCTGAGGCGGGAGAATCGCTTGAACCCGGGAGGTGGAGGTTGCGGTGAGCCAGAGATTGCACCACTGAACTCCAGCCTGGGCAACAAGAGCAAAACTCTGTCTCAAAAAACAAAACAAAACAAAAATAAAGTTAGCCGGGCGTGGTGGCACGTGCCTGTAATCCCAGCTACTCAGGAGGCTGAGGCAGGAGAACTGCTTGAACCTAGTTGGCGGAGGCTGCAGTGAGCCGAGATCGCACCCCTGTACTCCAGCCCCGCGACACTGCAAGACTCATCTCAAAAACAAACAAACAAACAAAAAACACAACGAACATCTCAATTCTACATCTACCTCCACTTAGCACCTCAGCTCCTTGCTCTCCTTTAGCAAAATTCCTCAAAAGAAAAAAAAAATCAATGTATTGTTTATACTTAATGCCTTTAACTTCTGTCTTCCCATGCTCTGTTGCCCAGGCTGGAGTGCAATGGTGCAATCTCGGCTCACTGCAACCTCCGCCTCCTGGGTTCAAGTGATTCTCCTGCCTCAGCCTCCTGAGTAGCTGGGATTATAGGCAGGCGCCACCATGCCCAGCTAATTTTTGTATTTTTAGTAGAGACGGGGTTTCACCATGTTGGTCAGGTTGGTCTCGAACTTCTGACCTCCTGATCTGCCTGCCTTGGCCTCCCAAAGTACTGGGATTACAGGCATGAGACACCATGCCCATCCTGTCTTCCCATTTTCTAAAATGTATTACAAACTGGCTTCCATCTTTATCACTCACCCCACAAGCTTTCTTTACTAAATTTAAGGGTAATTCTCAGTCTTTACATGACTTGACCTCTTCGCTGCATTTGATGCAGCTGATTATTTCCTCCTTTCCTGGAAACGCTTTCCTCATATGCTGGCTTCCCAGATGCCACATTCTCCGATGTTCTCCTTCCTTACTGGGTGCTCCTTTTCGAGTCCCCTGATTTCCAAATGCTGGAGTCTCCCAGACTCAATCCTTACACCATTCTCTTTTTTGTTTTTGTTGTTCTTTTTGAGATAGGACTTGCTTCGTCACCCAGACTGCAGTGCAGTAGCGCAAACATGGGTCACTGCAGCCTCAACCTCCTGGACTCAGGTGATCCTCTCCCCTCACCCCTGCCCGCCTGCATCAGCCTTCCGAGCAGCTGGGACTATAGGTTCACACCACGCCCAGCTAATTTTTTTTTTAATTTTTTGAGGAGATGGCCAGGCTGGTCTCAAACCCTTAGGCTGAAGCAATTCTGCCTCAGCCTCCCAAAGTGCTGATTTTACAGGCGTGAGCCACCATGCCTGGCCTTTATACCATCCTCTGTCTTCACTCAGTCCCTTGGTAATCTCATGCAGTCTCATAGCTTTAAATCCATCTGGATTAGTCTATTCTCACAGTGCTATGAAGAAATACCCAAGACTGAGTAATTTATAAAGGAAAGAGGTTTAATTGACTCACAGTTCCGCATTGCTGGGAGGCCTCAGGAAAATTACAATCATGGCAGAAGCCAAAGGAGAAACAGGCACCTTCTTCCCAGGGCAGCAGGACGGAATGAGTGCAAGCAGGGGAAATGCCAGACAATTATATAACCATCAATAACTCACTCACTATCATGAGAACAGCATGGGCGAACCACCCCCATGATCCAATTACCTCCACCTGGTCCTGCCCTTGACACATGGGGATTATGAGGATTACAATTTGAGGTGAGATTTGGGTGGGGACACAGGGCCAAACTATATTACTAACTAATAGGCTAATGAGCCCTACATGGCTACCTCCAGCCTGTGTGTCTCCCCTGAACTCCATATACATATATCTCCACCTGGATGTCCTAATAAGCGTCTCAAACTCAATACGTTTCAAGTGGAATTTCTCATCTCTCCTGCCCCTTGCCAACCTTGATCACCCAGTCTTCCCCATCTCAGTTAATGAAAATTCCACCCTTTCAAATGCCCAGGATAAAAACCTGAAGAGTCATCTTGATTGCTTTCTTTCTCTTTCCTACTCTACATCCAAAATATGAGCAAATCCCTTTGGCTCTATCAAATCCACCCAGTTCTTACCTTTTGTGAATACTTTACTCCAAGTGCCTATCATTTTCAGCCTAGATTATGCTACCACCTTTTAACTGGTCTCCTTGCTTCCATACTTGCCCTCTTCTCAGAAACCTACACAACTAGCCATTCTATTCAGTGAATATGACAATGTCCTTACAACAGCCAGAAAGCCACACATATGTGATACATCCCTTTCATTTTCTGTCCAACCTCCTCTCCTTTGTTCACTCTGCTCCAGTCACAATGGATTCCTCAGTATCCCTTGACTATATCAAGCACACTCCCAACTCTGGGTCTTTGCACTGATTATTCTCTGTTTGAAACATTCGTTTCTCAGATACCCACATGGCTCACTTCTTGTACCCATCAAGTCCTTGTTCTAATGTCGCCTTCTCTCTGATTCTCCTAGTTATAATCCTCCTAGCCATACTGTAGTTTCTCAATAGCACTTTCCATCCTCTAACATACTGTTATATATTTGTCATTTTTAGTATCTGTCTTCCTTCATTTGAATGTAGTCTCATTAGGGCTGAGATGTTTGTCAGTTATTGACTCATGTGTCCCTGGCATATAGAACAATACCAGGGGGGCAATCCATGAATATTTGTTACATGAACAAGTGAAGGATGAGAGAAGAATTTAACTGAACAGAAGGACTGTAGAGTCATTTATTTTTTATTATTTTTGTAGAGATGGGCTCTTGCTATGTTGCTCAGGCTGGTCTTGAACTCAAGCCATCCTGGCCTCAGAGTGGCCTGGCCTCAAGCCATCCTCCCACTCAGCCTCCTGAAGTGCTAGGATTACAGGTGTGAGCCACTGTGCCTGGCCTGTGCTGTCATTTAAGGGAAGTCAGGCCCTTTGTTTTCAGTGTCAAACTCTCGGCCAGGCACAGTGGCTCATGCCTGTAATCCCAGCACTTTGGGAAGCCGGGGCGGGTGGATCGCCTGAGGTCAGGATTAACCTCAGGTGATGAAACCCTGTCTCTACTAAAAATACAACGTGATGAAACCCTGTCTCTATTAAAAATAGCCTGGCCAACGTGATGAAACCCTGTCTCTACTAAAAATACAAAAAATTAGCTGGGTGTGGTGGTGGGCGCCTGTAATCTCAGCTACTTGGGAGGCTGAAGCAGGAGAACCACTTGAACCCAGGAGATGGAGTGAGCCGAGATCATGCCATTGCACTCCAGCCTGGGAAACAAGAGTGAAACTCTGTCTCAAACAAACAATAATAATAGGCCGGGTGCAGTGGCTCAAGCGTGTAATCCCAGGAGGCCGAGGCAGACGGATCACGAGGTCAAGAGATCGAGACCATTCTGGCCAACATGGTGAAACCCCATCTCTACCAAAAATACAAAAATTAGCTGGGCATGGTGGCACATGCCTGTAACCCCAGCTACTGGGGAGGCTGAGGCAGAAGAATCACTTGAACCCGGGAGGTGGAGGTTGCAATGAGCCCAGATCGCACCACTGCACTCCAGCCTGGTGACAGAGCGAGACTCCATCTCAAAAAAAATAAAAATAAAAATAAAAATAATAATAATAATAATAAACAAATGTCAAACTCTCATAACAATGAATTACTAGATACTACTACTTAAACATTTAATAGGAACCAAAAACTAACCTCTCCCAAATATTTATTTTCCACTTCAGCAAATGGCCCCACCATCAACGTAGCTGTATAAACCTGAAACATAAGTCACCCTTGATTGGCCTTCTCATGCTCCTAAATCTAATTCATTAAGAAGTCTTGGCCGGGCGCAGTGGCTCATGCCTGTAATCCCAGCACTTTGGGAGGCCAAGGTGGGCGGATCACTTGAGGTCAAGGGTTCCAGACCAGCCTGGGCAGTATGGTGAAACTCCACCTCTACTAAATATACAAAAATTAGCCTGGTGTGGTGGCACACTGCTGTAATCCCAGCTGCCTGGGAGGCTGAAACACAAGAATTGCTTGAACCCGGGAGGCAGAGGCTGTAGTGAGCTGAGATTGCACCATCATACTCCAGCCTGGGTGATAGAGTGAGACTATGTCTCAAAAAAAAAAAAAAAAAGTTTTGTCAGTTTCTTACTGATATATGCTCATCTGAGTCTTGTCAATATTGATGGCCTTCTGTCTAGTCTGGTTTACTTTCTTGCCTTCCTTCATTTCCTAAATAGAAGCAAAATGTGCTCTAAAATGTAAATTGAGGCAGGGAAGGGCAGTGGCTCATGCCTGTAATCCAGCACTTTGGGAGGCCAAGGCAGGAGGATCATTTGAGGCTAGGAGTTGAAGACCAGCCCAGGCAACATAGTGACACCCTAGTTCTACAAAAAAAAAAGAAAGAAAAGAAAATGTCCCGATGTGGGGGTGCAAACCTGTGGCTCCAGCTATGCAGGAGGCCGAGGTGGGAGGATCACTTGAACCCAGGGGTTTGAGGCTATAGTCAATTAATTATGATTGTGCCACTGCACTCCAGCTTTGGCAAGGGAGCAAGATTGTCTCTTTAAAAAAAAAAAAAAAAGTAATCCAGATGATGACATTCCTCTCATTAAAATCTCAAAGGTTTCTGAGTCCCCACCTTAGTCTGTGAATAAGCTTGCTCCTGTCTTTATCTCAACTCCCCCTGTGCCACTCTCTCCCCTGCTCCTTAGGCTACATCCACAAAGGTCTGCTTTAAGCTCCTCTAACATGTCCTTTTCTTTGCTGCACCAGGCACATGCCATTCTCACTTCCCTCCACTATCATTCTTTAGGTCTCAGCCAAAAACAAACAAACAACAACAACAAAAACAAACAAACAAAAAGTCTCCTGTTTAAAGTAGGTCTCCCCTAACAGCATGGGCAACATAGTGAGACCCCATCTCTACAAAACAATACAAAAATTAGCCAGGCATGGTGGTGCACGTTTGTATTCGCAGCTACTCAGGAGGCTAAGGCAGGAGGTCGAGGCTACAGGGAGCTGTGACTGTGCCATTGCACTCCAGCCTGGATGACAGAGTAAGACCTTGTCTCAAAAAAAGGAGCTCTCCCCTTATTCTATACTTCATTCCGTTTGTTTCCTTCATAATTTATAACAATTTGCTTACTTGCTTCTTGTTTCTTTCCCGTTACAATATAAGCTCCATGAGGGCAGGGGCCACAAAAGCAGGTGTAAATGGGAGGAGGTGTTACCTTGTTGGAAATGTCTGAGAAGTACTAGCTGTGGGTCTCTTTTAGTGTAAGATCTGTCATCCCAACACTCGTCACCACTCTACCTCCAATACCACTCTTCCTCCAGATGGAGCACTTCTATCATTTTGAAAGGAACTAAAGACAAGATTTCACTGGGAAATTACATTAATTCCAACTGGTATAGATGGAATTGTGTCCTCCACCAAATCCATATGGTGAAGCCCTAACGCCAAGGTGATGCTATGGTGGAGATGAAGCCTTTGGAAGACAATGAGGTTTAGATGAGGTCATGAGGGTAGCCCTCATAAGATGAATCCCCTTATAAGAAGCACAAGAAGCTGGGCACAGTGGCTCATGCCTGTAATCTCAGCACTCTGGGAGGCTGAGGTGGGTGGATCACCTGAGGTCAGGAGTTCAAGACCAGCCTGGCCAACATGGTGAAACTCCGTCTCTACTAAAAATACAAAAATTAGCCAGGCATGGTGGCACACACCTATAATTCCAGCTACTCGGGAGGCTGAGGCAGGAGAATTGCTCCAACCCAGGAGGCAGAGGTTGCAGTGAACCAAGATCGCACCACTGCACTCCAACCTGGGTGACAGAGTGACAAAAAAAAAAAAAGAAGCACAAGAGATGCCAGAGCTCACTCTCTGCTACATGAAAACACACTGAGAAGGTGGCAGTCTGCAAACCAGGAGCTGGGAAGAGAATCCTCACTAGAAGCCAACGATGCCAGATTCTCATCTTGAATTTCCAGCCTCTAGAACTGTGAGAAATACATTTCTGCTGTTTAAGCTACCCAGTCTATGGTATTTTGTATGGCACCCTGAGCTGACTAAGACACCAACCAATAGGAGAATGCTCTAATCTCATAACCACATAACCAAATACACATGTAAAAAGACATCTGATGCAGCAGTATTCTCTATCAAGACTCTCCACTCCCAACCAAAAGTGTTCCACTCCTTGCTTGATGCTCTTACTTCTCCAACAGCTACACTTTTGAAGTCTGAACACTGTTAAAGCAACTATTACCTTCCTGTACATACTCTGTTAGAAGACAACCTCACAACTGACAGTGCCCTCCCCTCAGTCACCCTCCAATCTACCTACCTCGATGCACTAAAATGAGTGAGTCAGGTACACCAAGACTTATAAACAACTATGTTTTATTCAGAAGGACTAATTGACATTTCAGTTAGGAAGTGATTTTGATTAGGACTCATGATAGCATACAGAAACATTGTCTTAGGGCATCTTACATGGGGTTTCTGCCTAAATGAGAATCTCATGGGACTTTTTTTTTTTTAATTTATTATTTTATTTTGAGACAGTCTCACTCCGCCACCCAGGCTGGGGTGCTGTGGCGCAATCTTGGCTCACTGCAACCTCTGCCTCCTGGGCTCAAGTGATTCTCATGCTTCAACCTCCTGAGTAGCTGAGGTTACAGGCACATGCCACCATGCCCTGCTAATTTTTTGTCTTTTTAGTAGAGATGGGGTTTCGCTATGTTGGCCAGGCTCGTCTGGAACTCCTGGCCTCAAGTGATCCTCTCACCTCAGCCTCTCGAAGTGCCAGGATTGTAAGCGAGAGCCACCAAGCCCAGGCTATTTTTTGAGACAGGGTCTCCCTCTTTCACTCAGGCTAGAGTGCAGTGGAGCAATCATCACTCACTGTAGCCTTGAACTCCTGGGCTCAAGCAATCCTCCCACCTCAACCTCTCAAGTAGCTAGGACTACAGGCACATGCCATCATGCCCGGCTCATTTTTAATTGTTTTGTAGAGACAGGGTCTCACTATGTTACCCAGGCTGGTCTCAAATTCCTGGCCTCAAGAGATCCTCCTGTCTCAGCCTCCTAAAGTGCTGGGATTAGAGGAGTGAGCCACTGTGCCCAGCCAGGACTCTTTATTAAACAATTGTTTTTTATAAGTAGACATTTCAAAAAGCTCAGGTTTTCCTCCTTCTAAAACTAGCCTCTAATTGCAGATTAGGATGAGGGAGTAACTAGATTCTTTGAGACATTTTGTTAGAAAATTACTTTAAACATTCAGGAGTTTGTATGTTTTGTCAAAGGGAATATTCCAAATGCTCTATTTTTAAAAATTCATATTCCATAGAGAATGTAAATGATTGAAGCAGTTATTTCTCCAATATTTCTACTTTGGGAATTTCAAAGCATAACCTTTTCTTTGGCTTCCCTCCCTCCCTTCCTGCCTTCCTCTTTTCTTCCCTTCCTCTCTTTCTCTTTCTTTGTTTCTTTTTTTGAGACACAGTCTCACTCTCGCCTAGGCGTCTGGGCTTATATCTGTGGGCTCAAGCAATCCTCCTGTCTCACCCTCCCAAGTATCTGGGACTATGGAGGCATGCCACCATGCCTGGCTAATTTTTTGTTTTTATTTTTTGTAGAGATGGGGGTCTCACCATGTTGCCCAGGTGAGTCTCAAACTCCTGGCCTCAAGGGATCCTTCTGCCTTGGCCTCCTAAAGTGCTGGGGTTATAGGCGTGAGCCACTTCGCCTAGCCACAAAGCAGTCTTTAAACTTGATGGTTTAAAAAAAAAAAGTCTTACTCCATATTACAGGGAGAAATAAGCACAGTAGTTGGCAGAGGCTATGAAGGTCCCCAAACCAGAGCTCCATTTTAACAAGAAAGAGCACCACCCATGCTAAATTATCAAAGGCATAAAGCTTGTTTACAAAATAAAGACAGTAATAGTATTTTGTGACTGAAACTATCAAAGCTCCTCTGAAATAAGACCTGTACAAGATCCCAAGCATGGTGGCAATAGGATGCTTAAGCTGAGAAGATCTTCTATATTTTAGAATCCATAACTCAGCTGAGACTGCAGTAAGCTGTGACTGTGCTACTGTACTCCAGCCTGGGTGACAAAGCAAGATCTTGTCTCAAAAAACAATACAAAACAAAACAGAAGCTGTAACTCCAAATATTAATCAATTTGCACTAAGTGCAATATGGTATAAAGGGCTAGAAAAGGTTATTCTCCAAAGTACAAAATTCTCAGGGCCCTGAAATAGTTCTAGCTATCAAACTTTTTATATGATTACCATTTCTTTATTATTCCAATAGTTTTTGTGGAGACTTGCTCTGTTGCCCAGGATGGAGTGCAACCTCCACCTCCTGGGTTCATGAGATTCTCCTGCCTCAGCCTCCCAAGTAGGTGGGATTACAGGTACCCATCACCATGCCCAGCTAATTTTTGTATTTTTAGGAGAGACAGGGTTTCATCATGTTGGCCAGGCTGGTCTCGAACTCCTGACCTCAGGTGATCCGCCCGCCTTGGCCTCCCAAAGTGCTGGGATTACAGGCGTGAGCCAGTGGGCCTGGCTTGTAGGTTTGTTTTTGTTTTTGTTTTTTATGAATGGCACAAACGGCCTTTATTGGTTGTGACAGGAAGTGGAAGAGAAGGGGATATAATAGCTCCTCCTCCTGGTGTGGCCATCTGCAGACTGGACCACCACCCTCCTACCCTCCAAATGCCAATAATTTTAATAAAGAACTTCATCTACACAAAGCCCAGCTCCACCCATGGTATCCACTCAGTAGGCTCCTCCTATATTTGCCTAATGTAGGTGGAAAGAACAGGAACTTAAGTTTTAGGGAAGCAAAATGCAGCTTCTTCTCATAAACAGGTTTAAGTCCCTGGCCTAGACATTCACAGTAGCGGTTATAGAAAGGGAAACATAAACTAGCCTTTTTAGCCCATTTAAAAATAGTCATTTAGTACTACTCCACATTTCTCCCAGAGAAGTGCAATAACTTATTTATAGTTACATGGAGAATTGGTGACTATGCCAGGAAATGAAACTCATGTCCCCTCACTCTTAGTCCAGTGCCCTTTCTAATATACAATGATGCCTCCTATCTGGTAATCAAAGTAGTAAGGCAAGGCCTAAATAAATAAGGAACTTGCCCAATGGAAACCCAAATGTCCTTAGTCCTAAGACTGAGTCCTAATACTAAAAAGCCAAATGAATGTTTTGGGAAAAGCTTGCCAAAAAATCTAGCAGAATACTTTATACTCAGTGGACACTATTTCTCCATCACACCAACCCCTCCAATCTATGCCTCCTCAAATTGCCCTGCCTCATGAGTGCAAAAACCATTGTTTTTATTTTTTCCCCCAGGAGAGGTTAGGTCAAAAATAAGAAAATAATCTAGTTTCTTTCTGCCAGATTTCTGGCATAGTGGGACTGGGTAGGAATGTACCTACTGTAGAATCTTCCCACACCCCTGGGTTGTTAAGAGTAACTAGCAGAGGCACGTCCCATACACTCCCCAAATATCTGAGCTGGCAACAACAACAGATATTCAGAGACCTTAGCCCTAGGACAATAGCTTCTGTCAGTCAACTACAGTTCTCACGACTCTGTGTTTCTGTTCTTACTTCAACCTCCTACCAAATGATGTATCACACCTGTATGAGTATACTTGAGAAAACCATGCAAATGAATTCACACAGCAGTACAGCAATTTTGGCAGGGCACCATTACTAATGATAAAGTATAATTTAACAAAAAACAAAGACTTACACAAGCATATTACTATTATCATTTACATGGCACATTAAACTTAAGGACCTGAGTCCCAGTAACCCATCCTTGAGACCAACACCAAAAATGATCAGGTAGAGTTTCCATGCCAAGGGAGTCACCTGGTAAGGAGGCAAAGATCAGCATTTCATCTCTTACCTGAAGCCAAAGGTCGGATCCACTCTTTGCTGTTTAGGTCAAGTCTCCAGAGGTCATTGAAAGCAGCATTGCAGCTGCTCTGGGTACAGCCTCCAAACACATACATAGACTGATTAGCATCATAATAGCATGCACCTAGAAAGAAAATACACAAATAACTGCTGTGAAAATTCTGAGGCCCTTCCAACATTTTAACCATAACATATATTTTTCAAAGCTTATTTCACACATTCAGCAATTTTGTTACCAAGTACCAAATTTCTATTACCAGCCTCTTGTCTCCAAGTGGATCAATATATTACCCTTTAAAACAAGGTCCAGAGGAAAGCTATGAAAATTTTATTTCTGAGCACACTAAGCAAGTTGACAATGATGTAACAGTGTAAGTCCAGCAAGAACACATAATAATTCACATTAAAGGTGCTCAAATGAGGGAAATTTCAGCACAGCTACATAATTGATCTAAATCTGCATCATTATCCTCTAGAGCTAAGCAAAGGTATGCCAACACATGTACTCTGTCCTCCCATTCCTTTCCTCCAATTCTCCTATTGTTTTTGTTTTCAAATTAAACCTGAAGCACAAATCAATAAATGAATCTTTTTTTTTTCTTTCTTTCTTTTTTTGAGATGGAGTCTCCCTCTGTCAGCCAGGCTGGAGTGCAGTGGCATGATCTCGGCTCACTGCAACATCTGCCTCCCAGGTGCAAGCGATTCTCCTGCCTCAGCCTCCCAAGTAGCTGGGATTACAGGTGTGCACCACCACACCCAGCTAATTTTTTTGTATTTTTAGTAGAGATGGAGTTTCACCATGTTGGCCAGGCTAATCTCGAACTCCTGACCTCAGGTGATCCACCCGCCTCGGCCTCTCAAAGTGCTGGGATTACAGGCATGAGCCACCATGCCCGGCCAATAAATGAATCTTTATATGACACACAATGAAATGATTTTAATCAATACTATGAAGTAACCACACATAAAGTCCAATGTGATTGAAGAAATACAGTTTTTATTAATTCCAAAGGCCAGTGGGGGAAACTCAATAGTAGTATGGTCTTGGACTAGTCCCAAAGCAACAGATTGAAAAAGCATGGAAATCATTAAGTCCCAATATGTATCCAAGAGCTACCAAGGCATGCTGGTTGGAGCCGACTAGAAAACAGAACGGTAACATTTAAAAAACACCAGGATCTCTAAAAAAAGCCTTCTTTGATTAGATGATTGTATACACATCACCAGGCATTCCTAAGAAAAAGAGGCAATGACTATCAGAAGGGCTGTTACCCAAAAACTACAAAGACCAAAGCCAGAGTCTAGAAAAGATGCATGAGTGCTAAGTTCTGCCCCTTGCGGTCTCTATCCTTTGGAAATGACGATCACATTCCTTACAGTCTTGCATTTGCCATCTTGGATTTCAGGAAGAGGCCCAAGCAAAGCTTTCCTTGCCATCCATTTCATGCACGCAGGAGGTAAAAATAAAATAAAATAAAATTAAGTAAACAAAAAAGACTTCTCAATGTTCATGTGAAACTAACGGTTCAGTGTCATATAAAAGGAAGGGGAAAGGAAAAAGAAATTCACAGATTCAGGCCAGGTGCAGTGGCTCATGCCTGTAATCCCAACACTTTGGGAGGCTGAGGCAGGCGGATCATGAGGTCAGGAGTTCGAGACCAGCCTGGCCAACATGGCAAAACCCCGTCTCTACTAAAAATAAAAAAATTAGCCAGGCGTGGTGGCGCATGCCTGTAATCCCAGCTACTCAGGAGGCTGAGGCAGGAGAATCGCTTGAACCCGGGAGGCGGAGGTTGCAGTGAGCCAAGATTGCGCCACTGCACTCCAGCCTGGACGACAGAGCAAGACTCCATCTCAAAAAAAAAAAAAAAAAAACAAAAACAAAAAACACCAACAAGAAATTCACAGATTCATTGCCCTGTGCATGGCTTTAATGATCATCTAGCATATTTGTAGGTCTAATTCAGTTTAGCACACCAATATTTTTAAGGTCTCTTCTGAACTCTGGCACTAGTTACCCGAGTTCAGAAAAAGGGAAATGCTACTACTGTTGACTCATCCAATGCCACTACTATAATCACCTCTGTGATACACACTATACTAGCTCTGGGAATAAACTCCCCCCTCCCCCGCACCCCCCACCCCCCGCTTTTTGTTTTTTTTGAGACAGAGTCTTGCTGTGTGGCCGAGGCTGGAGTCCAGTGCCACAATCTTGGCTCACTGCAACCTCCACCTGCCAGCTTCAAGCAATTCTTCTGCCTCAGTCTCCCGAGTAGGTGTAACTGGGATTACAAGCACACACCACCACACCCAGTTAATTTTTGTATTTTAGTGAAGACAGGGTTTCACCGTGTTGGCCAAGCTGGTCTCGAACTCCTGACCTCAGGTGATCCACCCGCCTCAGCCTCCCAAAGTGTTGGGATTATAGGTGAGAGCCAATGCGCCCAGCCCCCCACCTTCTTTTATTTTCCCTTAATTCAGCCCTCCTGTTAGACCCCTGGGACTCTCTACGGTAAGAAGGCCAAGTCAGAAAACTGAGCAAGTTAAGAGGTAATGAAAGCAGTATGTTTAGTGCCTTAAACCCCATAATCTCAGTCAGTGGAAGGGTTAAATCCAAATTATCTGACCTCTGACACTGTGGAATAATGGAGCTGCAGGCTTTTAAAATTACCAAAGAAATTAGACAAAACAGATCTGAAGAAATAAAATACCATCTAGCCATCAATAGGCTCACACCTGCAAAATATTTATGGTATCCCCAGAACTCTACTAAGAAGTCAAGTCCAGGCCGGGCGTGGTGGCTCACGCCAGTAATCCCAGCACTTTGGGAGGCCGAGGCAGGCAGATCATGAAGTCAGCAGATCGAGACCATCCTGGCTAACACAGTGGAAACCCCATCTCTACTAAACATACAAAAAAAAAAATTAGCCGGGCGTGGTGGCAGGCGCCTGTAGTTCCAGTTACTCAGGAGGCTGAGGCAAGAGACTGGCATGAACCCGGGAGGCGGAGCTTGCAGTGAGCCAAGATCCCGCCACCGCACTCCAGCCTGGGCGACAGAGTGAGACTCCATCTCAAAAAAAAAAAAAAAAAAAGTCAAGTCCAATGAATCCATGGCTCACATGTCAGATCTGTTAAGAACTACAAATAACAGGCTGGGCACAGTGGCTCATGCCTGTAATCCCAGCACTTTGGGAGGCTGAGGCGGGTGGATCACTTGAGGTCAGGAGTTCGAGTCCAGCCTGGCAAACATGGTGAAACCCCTCTCTACTAAAAATACAAAAATTGGTCTGGCATGGTGGCATGCACCTGTAACTCCCAGCTACTGGGGAGGCTGAGGCAGTAGAATCGCTCGAACCCGGGAGGTGGAGGTTGCAGCGAGCTGAGATTGCGCCACTGCACCCCAGCCTGGGCGATAGAGCAAGACTCTGTCTCAAAAAACAAAAACAAAAACACCAAAGAACTACAAATAACAAAGGATCAAGTTAGAAGACATTAGACAAACAAAAGGACAATTACTGGAGCCACATTTTAATCTCCACTAAAGGAGCTCAACTCCAGATATCCTGGTCCTCTTAGACATATCTTGACCTAGTAATCCTAAAAAATGGGGCAATTTTGAAATGAGCCAACTGGTACCAGGTTGGCTCAGTAAAAGCACATTCTTCTCCTCTTGATATTCCAGACCTCCAGAAAAAGAAATTAGCAATGTCCTATGAGTTATTTATTTATTTTCTGAGATGGAGTCTCACTCTGTCACCCAGGCTGGAGTGCAGTGGCACAATCTTGGCTCACTGCAACCTCCGCCTCCTAGGTTCAAGTGATTCTCCTGCCTCAGCCTCCCAAGTAGCTGGAATTACAGGCGCCCACCACCACGCCCAGCTAGTTTTTGTATTTTTAGTAGATATGGGGTTCCACTATGTTGGCCAGGCTGGTCTCGAATTCCTGACCTCAGGTGATCCGCTCGCCTCGGCCTCCCAAAGTGCTGAGATTATAGGCGTGAGCCACCGCGCCCGGCCAATGTCCTATGACTTCTGAAACCTTAACTAGTGTCCATTATAACATTGCTTAATAAAACAAATCCATGATTTCATAACTAAAAGAGTCAAGGGTTTGTTACGTCTCCCAGTTCCTCACAGATAACTTCTTGGCAGCTGCTTCCTTAGTGTAGCAAAAGAACACAGTGCCTGTATTTTTCAAAAAGGTAACAAACATTTTTCCTTTTTAATTTTTTTTCCTCGAGACAGAGTCTTGCTCTGTCACCCAGGCTGGAGTGAAATGGTACAATCTTGGCTCACTGCAACCTCTGCCTCCTAGGTTCAAGCAATTCTCCTCCTCAGCCTCCCGAGTAGCTGGGATTACAGGCATGTGCCACCATGCCTGGCTAATTTTTTGTATTTTTAGTAGAGACGGGGTTTCACCATGTTGGCCAGGCTGGTCTCGATCTCCTGACCTCGTGATCCGCCCGCCTCGGCCTCCCAAAGTGCTGGGATTACAGGCACGAGCCACCGCACCCAGCCCACATTTTTCTTCTCTATTTGGACTGAAAACCCAGCCAACAGCGGGGCCCTGAGGTCCTTACCACATGTATTTTAATCCCACACTAAAATAGGGCAATTGGCATTTTCCTGCTTCTCTTGAGCAAACAAAGGTTTCTGGAAGAGGAAGGCACAGCCCAAAGTATGCAAAGCTAATGGCACTAAAATGGCAAGTTTCACACACTACTGTATTTTCAGTGACCAGCAGTCAATTATCAACAAAGTTGGGAGAGGAAGGGAGTCAGTTTAGGCAGCTATATTTAGAACTCAGATATAATGGAATGAGAAAATAACTATCAATAATACGCTTAATTATTATTATTATTATTTTTTTGAGATGGAGTCTCGCTCTGTCACCCAGGCTGGAGTGCAGTGGCACGATCTCGGCTCACTGCAACCTCCGCCTCCTGGGTTCAAGCGATTTTCCTGCCTCAGCCTCCCGAGTAGTTTGGACCACAGGCACGCGCTACCATGCCCAGCTAATATTTGTATTTTTGGTAGAGATGGAGTTTCACCATGTTGGCCAGGATGGTCTCAATCTCTTGATCTCGTGATTCACCTGCCTTGGCCTCCCAAAGTGCTGGGATTACAGGCGTGAGCCACCATGCCCGGCCACACTCAACTATTTTAAGCACCCTAGCCTACTGAACTTTACTTATTGCCTATTTTTTATTTAAGACACCTATAGATTGATCTGAGAGGGGCAGGGGCAGGGAGGAAGACCCAACAAGTTCAAATGAACCTTTTAGGAAAAAGAATTTGAGCAACTCCCAGTGCTCCAGTAGTAATTTCCCTTTTCACAAGTTCTCAACCTAAATAGAAAATTTTCCTTTCAGAACATCTAGACCACTAGAATGTGCTATACAGTTACAGCTCACAGTACAGTATGAATACTGGGCTAACAAATAATACTGAGAGTGTCTATTCCAACTGGTAAATCTCTTCAAGTTTTCTGAAATGGGCTTAGTTTACGACACATACTAATCATCCCTATTAAAATACAAGTCAAATAGTCACAATTTAATTACACACAGAGCAAGCAAACAGTTCTTCACAGTTCTGAATACTTCTCCACTATTCTATAATCATCTCAAGTGCAAGATCTTCCAGTAGTTTCATCTTTTCCATGGTGTATGGAGCATTCAATAAATGCTCACTAAATGAATGATATGCTTTTGCATTTTCAGACGTCAAATTCTCTTTTGTTTCTTCACCTGTCTCCAGGGAAAGATCCTGAGGCATTTATCCCATGCTTAAAGAGACTATGCTGTCATGTGTCTCACACCTACAAGCCAGAACATATTTGATAAGGTCTCTAATTACGTAACTATGAAGAAGCAAGGGCGGTTATCCAGTCTGGGCCTGCTGGCTCCTGCAGGAGCATGATGAGCATTGTGTATGAAACTACCTGACTATATGTGACACCTACAACACTGAAACATTTTTCAATGCATGATGTTGGGGACTCAGGAGACCCCCTACATCAATCTGAAAAGGACATTCTACATTAATTAAAGCTTGCATGATTAGCTATGCACACATTCACCAAAAAGCTAGAATTGGCCTTTTTTTTTTTTTTTTTTTTTTTGAGACAGAGTGTTGTTCTGTCACCCAGGCTAGAGTGCAGTGGCATAATCTTGGCTCACTGCAACCTCTGCCTCCCAGGTTCAAGCGATTCTCCTGCCTCAGCCTCCCGAGTAGCTGGATTACAGGCGTGCGCCCACCACGCCCAGCTAATTTTTGTATGTTTAGTGGAGATAGGGTTTCACGATGTTGGCCAGGCTGGTCTCCAACTCCTGGCCTGAAGTGATCCACCTGCCTTGGCCTCCCAAAGTGTTGGGATTACAGGGGTGAGCCTCTGCACCTGGCCCTAGAATTGGCCTTTTTACTTCACCTGACTTTTTTGTCCCAGACTTTTCCATAGGAAAGATACTATACTGTGCATACCTTTGTTGCACTTAAGTCCACAAAAATTATTAGGTATCAAAATATATTGATACCAAATTTATTAGATATCAACTATGAACAAGGTGTTGTGAAACAGTACAAGAAGGCTGGGTGCGGTGGCTCACACCTGCAATCCCAGCACTTTGGGAGGCTGAGATGGGCAGATTTCTTGAGCCCAGGAGTTTGAGACCAGACTGGGCAATAGGGCGAAACCCCGTCTCTACTAAAACTACAAAAATTAGCTGCGCGTGGTGGCAGGCACCTGTAATCCCAGCTACTTGGGAGGCTGAGGCAAGAGAATAGCTTAAATCTGGGAGGCAGAGGCTGCAGTGAGCCAAGACCGCGCCACTGCACTCCAGCCTGGGTGCTTGGGTGACAGAGTGAGACCCCATCTCAAAAAAAAAAAAACAACAAAAAAAAAAGAAACGGTACAAGAATGTCTAAGACATGGAGCCTGTCTATCTTCAAGTAGACGACAATCTTGTGGGGGAGACATCATCATCATCCTACTTTTTTACAGCTTAAAATATATACATATATTTTAATTTTAAATAGAGATGTTGCCCAAATTGGTCTCAAACACCTGGGCTCAAGTCATTCTCCTGCCTCGACTTTAAAACATATTTTTACAAGTGTTTTCTTAAATGCATTTCTCAGCAATCTATGGCACAAACAGAATTTGTCATATCCATTTTTCAGACAAAGAAACTGTGGGTCAGACAAGCCAAGAAACTTGCTTCCCACATCCAAAGGCCTTTCCTTTTTAGCATGCAGCCTCTCTCACACAGATAATAATGGCAAAAGACAGATGGTAATAAATAATGGAGGAAGGTATGAATAGTATATTAGGGAAGCAGAGAGGAAGAAAAGAGCTTAATATCTACGGCGAGGAATCTGAGAGAAGTTGGTAAAAAATGTGGCTTTTGATTTTATCTTTGAGATGACTTTTAGAGAACAGGACACTTTCAGTCCATTAAGAAGGGCAGGCCGGGTGCGGTAGCTCAACGCCTGTAATCTAGGCACTTAGCAAGACTGAGGTAGTGTATTAGTCCATTTTCACACTGCTATAAAGAACTATCCAAGACTGGGTAATTTATAAAGGAAAGAGGTTTAACTGACTCACAGTTCCACATGGCTGGAGAGGCCTCAGGAAACTTACATTTATGGTAGAAGGCAAAGGAGAATCAAGCAACTTCTTACAAAGCAGCAGGAGAAAGAGCACAGGGGAAACTGCCACCTTTTTTTCTTTTTTGAAACGGAGTCTCGCTCTGTTGCCCAGGCTGTAGTGCAGTGGTGCAATCTCAGCTCACTGCAACCTGCACCACAGGGGTTCAAGCAACTCTCCTGCCTCAGCCTCCCAAGTAGCTGGGACTATAGGCACCCGCCACCAGGCCCGGCTAATTTTTGTATTTTTAGTAGAGACGGGGTTTCACCATGTTGGCCAGGCTGGTTTCAAACTCCTGACCTCAAGTGATCCGCCCTCCTCAGCCTCCCAAAGTGCTGGGATTACAGGCGTAAGCCACTGCGGCCAGCCGAAACCGCCACTTTTAAACCATCAGATCTCATGAAAATTCTTTCACTATAACAAGAACAGCATGGAGGAAACCGCCCCCATGATCCAGTCTCCTCCCACCAGGTCACTCCCTTGACACATGGGGATTACCACTGGAGGAGATGAGATTTGGGTGGGGACACAGAGCCAAACCATATCTGGCGGGCACACTGCTTGAGCTCAGGGGTTCGAGACCAGTCTGGACAACATGGCAAAACACAATTAAAAATTTCAAAAACTAATTCAAAAAAGAAAAAAAGGGAAGGGCAAATAAGGAAGTTTAAGACATAACAAGGAGGTTCATGTGGCTGAAGTCTGGCTACCTAAGGATGCAGCAGTGAGTCAGGCTGAAAAGGCAAGCCAGGTCCTTGAAAGGCAGGCAGAATGAAAACTCCTACATGCAGCACACTAACGCTGAAGCTTGCTGACGGAAGAATGCAAGGCTAGTTGCATGTTTCAGACTTGCAGTATTTCCCAACAGGAGCTCTTATCATTTGGGGCAGGATAATCTTTTTATCTGTAGGACTGTCCTATGCACTGCAGGATGCTGCACATCCCTGCCCCTTGCCTACTTCATGTTTATACTGCTTTTCAGTGATGACAGTAAGCAATGACTTTACAGATTTCTTACAGATTTCCGAATGTCAGAGGAGGAGGAGATACTGTCCCCAGTTTTAGAGGTGGTTATTAATGGTCTTTAGTCCAGGTTCACATGAAGAGAGAAGAAAGGCAAGAAGATAATTTTTTTTTTTTTTTTGAGACAGAGTTTCGCTCTTGTTGCCTAGGCTGGAGTACAGTGGCATGATCTCGACTCACTGCAACCTCCGCCTCCCGGGTTCAAGTGATTCTCCTGCCTCAGCCTCCTGAGTAGCTGGGATTACAGGTGCCTGCCACCATACCTGGCTAATTGTTTATATTTTTATTTTATTTATTTTTGAGACGGAGTCTCACTCTGTCACCGAGGCTAGAGTGCAGTGGCGTGATCTCGGCTCACTGCCAGCTCCACCCCCTGGATTCACGCCATTCTCCTGCTTCAGCCTCCCCAGTAGCTGCGACTACAGGCGCCCGCCACCATGCCCGGGTAATTTTTTATATATATATTTTTTTAAGAGACGGGGTTTCACCGTGTTAGCCAAGATGGAATTGTTCATATTTTTAGCAGAGACGGGGTTGTACCATGTTGGCTATGCTGTTCTCAAACTCCTGACCTCAGGTGATCCGCCCGCCTTGGCCTCCCAAAGTGCTGGGATTAGAGGCGTGAGCCACAGCACCCAGCCAAATTTGTATTTTTTTTTTTTTTTTTTCTGAGATGGAGTTTCACTCTTGTTGCCCAGGCTGGAGTGCAATGGTGCAATCTCGGCTCACTGCAACCTCCGCCTCCCAGGTTCAAGCAGTTCTCCTGTCTCAGCCTCCCAAATAGCTGGGATTACTGGCATGTGCCACCATGGCTGGTTAATTTTTTTTTCTATTTTTAGTGGACAGGGTTTCACCATGTTGGCCAGGCTGGTCTCAAACTCCTGACCTCAGGTGATCAGCCAACTTCAGCCTCCCAAAGTGCTGGGATTACAAGCGTGAGCCACTGAACCCAGCCCAAATTTGAATTTTATAATCGACACTTGTCACATTCAAAATTTTTGTAGGAGTCCATTTAAATTTTGTGTTTGCTGAACATGTATTATGTTAAATAGCCATTATATGACCTAGTACTAAAATCTGACTACTCCCTAAGCAAAATCTTAGAAATACCCTCATGTACAGCTTTCCTTTGTTTTCCTCTTAGATAATGTCAGATGTTTAAAACGCTAAGCATAACACCTTGACCACTCTGGAGTAGAGAAAAATCCAATGAAAAAGCAGAGGGCTGGGCGCGGTGGCTCACACCTGTAATCCCAGCACTTTGGGAGGCCGAGGTGGGTGGATCACCTGAGGTCAGGAGTTCGAGACCAGCCTGGCCAACATGGCGAAACCCTATCTCTACTAAAAATACAAAAATTAGCCAGGTGTGGTGGCACACACCAGTAGTCCCAGCTACTCAGGAGGCTGAGGCAGGAGAATCATTTGAACCCAAGAGGTGGAGGTTGCGGTGAGCCAAGATTGCACCACTGCAATCCACCCTGGGCAACAGAGACTCTGTCTCAAAAAAAAGAAAAAGCAGAATATAAAATTCTTAACAAACTGCCTACAATATATTTAGGCTGACACTTTTCCCTAATTCTGGTTATAAAATTAATATAAACTCTCATTTTACATTCTCTTCATTAAAAAGTCAGATAATGGCCAGGCACAGTGGCTCACACTTGTAATCCCAACATTTTGGAAGGCCAAGGTGGGAGGATCGCTTGAGCCCAGGAGTTGAAGACAAGCCTGGGCAATACAGTGAGACCCCATCTCTACAAATAATTTTTTAAAAATTAGCCAGGCGTGGTGGCATGCACCTGTGGGCCCAGCTACTCGGGAGGCTGAGGCAGAAGGACTGCCTGAGCCGAGGAGGTCGAGGCTGCAGTGACCCATGATCACACCACCATATCACAGCCTGGGTGACAGAGTGAGACTCCATTTCAAAATAAATAAATAAATAATTAAAAGTCGGATAAAATACATGCCTTGGCTGGGTGTCGTGGCTCACGTTATGTAATCCCAGCACTCTGGGAGGCCAAGGCAGGCCTATTGCTTGAGCTCAGTTCAAGACTAGACTGGGCAACATGGTGAAACCCCATCTCTACAAAAAATACAAAAGTTAACCAGGTGTGATGGGGCACGCCTGTAGTCCTCATACTCAGGAGGCTGAGGTGGGAGGATCACCTGAGCCTGGGGAGGTGGAGGCTGTAGTAAGCTGTGATTATGCCACTGCACTCCAGCTTGGGTGATAGAGTGAGACCTTGTCTCAAAAACAAACAAAAAAACATGCCACCAAACAAGTTTCTGGAAATATGACCACAGGCAGGGTGGAATCTGCTTTCACAGTAAATACTTACTGTGCGAGAAGCGCTGAGTGATTGGGGTTCCAGGATAAGGATAGGTACGGCTCTCCCACTGAATGTTTCCTTCCTGGACAGCCTTCATGAAACCATGATAACACTGATGGGCTACACCTAAGACAGAAAGAGCAAACCCTTCAGTCCAGACACTTAACTTATCCATCAAATTATTAAAACTGTGTCTATTACCTGTTTTTATCATTTTTATACAAGTTTCTTTTTTTTTTCTTTTTTTGAGATGGAGTCTCACTCTGTCGCCCAGGTTGGAGTGCAGTGGCACGATCTCGGCCACTGCAACCTCTGCCTCCTGGGTTCAAGTGATTCTCCTGCTTCAGCCTCCCGAGTAGCTGGGATTACAGGTACCTGCCACCATGCCCAGCTAATTTTATTTTTAGTAGAGATGGGGTTTCACCATCTTGGCCAGGCTGGTCTTGAACTCCTGACCTCGTGATCCACCTGCCTCGGCCTTCCAAAGTGCTGAGATTACAGGCATGAGCCACCGCGCCCAGCCTATAAGACAAGTTTCTTTGAGGAATTCCAAATTTATCTGATTTTCATTCAAAGAAAGGAAATACAATTTTAAAACTGAAAGGCAATCCTTCCATTTTATCAAAGTTCATGGAGGTTAGGTGACATTAAAAATTACAAAATTAGCTCACACTGTAACTCTAGTCCCTTTTATTTTATCTCATAAGGCAACATATCAAGATCATTGATATTATTTACTCCAAAGCAAAGGTGTTGGGGGATAATTTAGCCTTATGAAAGAGTATGATAAAACAATGTCTAGAACATAACAGGTGTTCAGTAAATATCTATAGTTGGAAACTATAATAAAGCATTCTCTGTCTTAAATATGGAGATAATAATTAGTTTACAATTGATTATGTTTTGTTTATTTATTTTTTTCTTTAGACAGGGTCTCGCTCTGCTACCCAGGCTGCAGTGGCATGCATGACTTTAGCTCACTGCAATCTCTGCCTCCCAGGCTCAAGCAATACTCCTACCTCTGCCTCCTGGGTAGCAGGCACTACAGGCAAACACCACCATGCCTGGCTAAAATGGATTATGAAATACATAACTCAGGAAAGTTTGTTTTCTTTTTTTTTCTTTTTGAGACAGAGTCTCGCTCTGTTGCCTAGGCTGGAGTGTAGTGGCTCACTGCAACCTCTGCCTCCCAGGTTCAAGTGATTCTCCTGCCTCAGCCTCCTCAGTAGCTGGGATTACAGACATGCATCACCATGCCCAGCTAATTTTTGTATTTTTAGTAGAGACAGGGTTTCACCACAGTGGCCAGGCTGGTCTCGAACTCCCCACCTCAGGCGATCCACCCGCCTAAGCCTCCCAAAATGTTGGGACTACAGGTATGAGCTACCATGCCCAACCAGGAAAAGTTTTCTAAAAGATGAGAGGCCAGGCGCAGTGGCTCACACCTGTAATCCCAGTGCTTTAGGAAGCCAAAGCAGAAGGATAGCTTGAAGCCAGGAGTTTGAGACCAGCCCGGGCAACATAGCAAGACCCCATTTCTCTGCAAAAAAATTAAAAATTAGCCAGGCATGGTGGTCTGCACTTGTAGTCCTAGCTACTTGGGAGGCAGAGGAGGGAGGATCACCTGTGCCCAGGAGTTCAAGGCAGCAGTGATCATGCCTATGATCATGCCATGCCACTGCACTCCAGCCTGGGCAAGACAGTGAGACCCTGTCTCTTAAAAAACAAGCAAAAAAAAAAAAGACGAACATATAACAATGGAGAGGAATTGATTATGGAATCATAACCTGTCTTGGTCCTAGAGCTAATAAGCAAGATTGCAGGATACAAGGTTAGCATACAACAATGAACAAGTAGAATTTGAAATTAAAACACATAATTTGAAATTAAAACACATATACATTCGCACCAAAAAATGAAATACTTAGATATAACAAAATACATACAAAATCTATATGAGGAAACCCATAAAACTATGATGAAAGAAATCAAAGAACTAAATAAAGAGATAGTCCATGTTCATGGATAGGATAAGAAGACTCAATATTGTCAAGATGTCAGTTCTTCCCAACTTGATCAACAGATTCAATGCAATCCTAGTCAAAACCCCAGCAAATTATTTTGTGAATATCGACAAACTGTTTCCACAGTTTATGTGGAGAAGCACAAGACCCAGAATAGCCAAGAAAACATGGAAGGAGGAGAACAAAGTCAGAAGATTGATACCACCTGACTTCAAGACTTACTATAAAAGCTACAGTAATCAAGACAGTGTGGTATTTGCAAATAATAAACAAATAAATCAATGGAACAGAATAGAGAGCCAAGAAATAGACCCATACAAATACAGTCCATTCATTTTTTTTTAATAGAGGTGGGGTCTCACTATATTGTCCAGACTGGTCTCAAACTCCTGAGCTCAAGTGTTCCTCCCATCTCAGCCTCTCAAAGTGTTGGAATTACAGGCGTGAGCCACTGTGTCCAGCCTTTACTGATCTTTGACAAAGAAGCAAAAGTAATGCAATGCAGAAAAGACAGCCTTTTGCCAGGCTCAGTGGTGTATGCCTGTGGTCCTAGCTACATGAGAAGCAAGGCAGGAGGATCGCTTGAGCCCAGGAGTTCGAGGCTGTAGTGCACAATGATCCCACTTGTGAACAGCCATTGAATTTCAGCCTGGGAAACACAGTGAGACCCATCTCTCTTTTTTTTTTTTTTTTTTTCCTTTAGACTGAGTCTCACTCTGTCACCTAGGATGGAGTGCAGTGGCACGATCCCCGTTCACCACAATCTCTGCCTCCTGAGCACAAGGGATCCTTCCACCTCAGCCTCCAAGTAGCTGGGACTACAGGCACACACCACTGCACTCAGCTAATTTCTGTTTTTTTGTTTGTTTGTTTCATAGAGATGGAGGTTGACCATGTTCTCAGGCTGGGAGACCCCATCTCTGTTTTTTTTTTTTTTTTTTTTTTGAGAAGGAGTCTCACTCTGCTGCCCAGGCTGGAGTGCGTGGTGCAATGTCAGCTGACTGCAACCTCCACCTCCCAGGTTCAAATGATTTCCCTGCCTCAGGTTCCCAAGTAGCTGAGATTACAGGCATGTGCCACCATGCCTAGCTAATTTTGCATTTTTAGTAGAGACGGGGTTTCACCATGTTGGCCAAGCTGGTCTCAAACTCCTGATCTCAAGTGATCCGCCCACCTCGGCCTCCCAAAATGCTGGGATTACAGGCGTGAGCCACCATGCCAGGCCGGGAGACCCCATCTCTTTTTTTTTTTTTTTTTTTTTTTTTTTTGAGACAGAGTGTCACTCTGTCACCTAGGCTGGAGTGCTGTGGCGCGATCTTGGCTTACTGCAACCTCCAACTCCCAGATTCAAGCGATTCTCCTGCCTCAGACTTCCAAGTAGCTGGGATTACAGGCACGCGCCACCATACCCAGCTAATTTTTTTTTTCTTTTTGTATTTTTAGTAGAGATGGGGTTTCACCACGTTGGCCAGGATGGTCTCAATCTCTTGACCTCATGATCCACCCACCTTGGCCTCCCAAAGTGCTGGGATTATAGGCATGAGCCACCGCGCCTGGCCAACCCCATCTCTTAAAGAAAAAAACCTTTTCCAAAAATGATGCTGAAATAAATTAAAATCTACATGCAAGAAAATGAATCTAGACATCTTCCATGAAAATGAACTAAAAATGAATCACAATCCTAAATGTAAAACATAAAACTCCTCGAAGATAACAGGAGAAAATCTAGAAGACCTTGACTTTGGGGATGACTTTTTATACACAGTACCAAAGGCATGATCCATGAAAGAAAGAATGGCCAGGCATGGTAGCTCACGCCTGTAATCCCAACACTTTGGGAGGCCAAGGTGGGAGGATAACTTGAGCCCAGGAGTTCAAGACCAGCCTGGGCAACACAAGGAGACCCTGTCTCGACAAAGTATTTTTTAAAACATTAGCCGGGTGTGGCCGGGTGCAGTGGCTCACACCTGTAATCCGAGCATTTTGGGAGGCCGAGGTGGGTGATCACTTGAAGTCAGGAGTTTGAGACCAGCCTGGTCAACATGGTAAAACCTACTCTACTAAAAAAGGTTTTGTTCTTACTAAAAACAAAAATTGGCCGAGCGCAGTGGCTCACGCCTGTAATCCCAGCACTTTGGGAGGCCAAGGCAGGCAGATCACAAGGTCAGGAGATCGAGACCATCCTGGCTAACACAGTGAAACCCCGTCTCTACTAAAAATAGAAAAAATTAGCCGGGTGTGGTGGTGGATGCCTGTAGTCCCAGCTACTCGGGAGGCTGAGGCAGGAGAATGGCGTGAACCCGGGAGAGGAGCTTGCAGTGAGCCGAGATCACACCACTGCACTCCAGCCTGGGCAACAGAGCAAGACTCCATCTCAAAAAAAAAAAAAAAAAATTAGCCGGGCGTAGTAGCATGCACCTGTAATCCCAGCTACTTGGGAGGTGGAAGCAGGAGAATTCCTTGAACCCAGGAGGTGGAGGTTGCAATGAGCTGAGACTGCGCCACTGAACTCCAGCCTGGGTGATGGAGTGAGGTTCCATCTGAAAAAAAAAAAGAAAAACAAATTAGCTGGGTATGGTGGCATGTGCTTGTAGTGCCAGCTATTTGGGAAGCTGAATTTGGAGGATTGCTTGAGCCTGGGAGGTTGAGTCTGCAGTGAGCCCTGATCACGCCACTAGACTCCAGCGTGGGTGACAAAGCAAGACCTTATCCCCTCCCCAAAATAACTGATAAGCCAGAATTCATTAAAACTAAAAGTTTCTGCTCTGTGAAAAATACTGTCAAGGGAATGAGAAGATAAGCCACAGACTGAGAGAAAGTATTTGCAAAAGACATATCTGATAAAAGACAGTTATATAGAATATCCAAAGAACTCTTAAAACTCAACAATATTAGGGCCAGGCGCGGTGGCTCACGTCTGTAATCCTAGCACTTTGGGCAGGTGCTCAAATAAATTAAATATTATTTATTTATTTATTTGGTGGATCACTTGACATCAGGAGTTCAAGACCAGCCTGGCCAACACAGTGAAACCCTGTCTCTGCTAAAAATACAAAAATTGCCAGGAAATTGCTTGAACCCAGAAGGTGGAGGTTGCAGTGAGCCAATATTGTGCCACTGCACTCCAGCCTGGGCAACAGAGCCGGACTCCATCTCAAAACAAACAAACAAACAAACAAAAAAACTCAACATTAATAAACAAACAACCCAATTAAAAAATGGGTCAACGCCGGGCACGGTGGCTCACGCCTGTAATCCCAACACTTTGGGGAATGGCATGAACCCAGGAGGCGGAGCTTGCAATAAGCCGAGATCGCGCCCCTGCACTCCAGCCTGGGCGACAGAGTGAGACTCCGTCTCAAAAAAAAAAAAAGGGGGTCAAAGGCCTGGCATGGTGGCTCATAATCCCAGGACTTTAGCAGGCCCAGGTGGTAAGATTGCTTGAGCCCAAGAGTTCAGGACCAGCATGAGCAACACAGTGAGACCCCATCTCTACAAAAATAAATAAATAAATACAAAAATTAGCTGGGTGTGGTGGTACACACTTGTAGTCCCAGCCACTTGGGAGGCTGAGGCGAGAGGATTGCTTGAGTCCAGGAAGTCAAGGCCGCAATGAGCTATGACCATGCCACTGTGCTCCAACATGGGTGACAGAGCAAGATCTTGTCTCAAAAAAAAAAAAAAAAATATATATATATATATATATATATACATATGTATATATAAAATAAAAAATGGGTCAAAGACCTGAAACAGACACTTCACCAAAGAAGGTATGTGGGTAACACATAAGCGCATGAAAATACGCTCCATATCATTTGTCATCAGGGAAATGCAAATTAAAATGAGATACCACTACACATCTATGAGAATGATGAAAATTCCAACTACTACTACAAATGCTGGTGAGAATGTGGAGCAAAAGGAACTCTCATTCACTGCTAGTGGGAGTACAAAATGGTTCAGCCACTTAAAACAGTTTGGCAGTTCCTTACAAAACTAACGATGCTCTTACCATATGATCCAGCAATTGTGCATCTTGGTATTTATTTACCCAAAGGAGCTGAAAACTTATGTCCACAGAAACACCTGCACATGGATGCTTACACCAGCTTTATTAATAATTGTAAAATCTTGGAAGCAACTAAGATGCCCTTTCAGTAAGTGAATGGGTAAACAAACTGTGGTGCATCTAGACATGAAATATTACTCAGCACTAACAAAAAAAAAGCTAAGAAATCATGAAAAGAAATGGAGGAAGCCGGGCACGGTGGCTCACACCTGTAATCCCAGCATTTTTGGAAGCTGAGGCAGGAAAATCATTTGAGCTTAGGAGTTTCACACCAGTCTAGGTAACAGCAAGATCCTGTCTCTATAAACATTTTTTTAAAAAAATTACACAGGCATGGTGGTGCACACCTGTGGTCCCAGCTATTCTGGTGGCTGAGGAGGGAAGATGACTTGAGCCCGGGAGACGGAGGTTGCAGTGAGCCAAAATCGCACCAATGCACTCCAGCCTGGGCAACAGAGCATGACTCTGTCTCAAAAAATAAGGAGGAAACTTAAATGCAAATATTACTAAGTGAAAGAAACCAATCGGAAAAGGCTGTATACTGTATGATTCCAACTATATGACCTTCTAGAAAAGGCAAAACTATGGAGACAGTAAAAAAATCAGTGATTGCCAGTGGTTGGTGGAAGGAAAGGATAAACAGGGAGAGTATACAGGATTTTTAGGGCAGTGAAGCTATTATGATATTATAACAGTGGATATGTGTCATTATACATTCATCCAAACCCATAGAATGCACAACACCAAGCATGAACATTAATGTAAACTATGGAATTTGGGTTTATGGAATGTTTCAGTATAGGTTCATCAATTTTAACACATGTACCACTCTGGTGGGGGATGTTGATAATGGGAGAGGCTATACATGTGTCAGGGTAGGGGATATATGAGAAATCGGTTTTGTTTTGCTTTTTTTTTTTTTTGAGACAGAATCTCTGTCTGTCATCCAGACTCGAGTGCAGTGGCTCGATCTTGGCACACTGCAACCTCTGCCTCCCAGGTTTGAACGTTTCTCCTGCCTCAGCCTCCCGAGTAGCTAGGACTACAGGCACCCACCACCATGCCTCACTAATTTTTGTATTTTTAGTAGAGATGAGGTTTCACCATGTTGACCAGGCTGGTCTTGAACTCTTGATCTCAGGCGATCCGCCCACGTTGGCCTCCCAAAGTGCTGGGATTACAGGCGTGTTCCACTGTGTCCGCTCAGAGGAATTTGTTTCTCCTACTCAATTTTGCTGTGAACCTAAAAGTGCTCTTTAAAAAAAAAGTCTACTAAAATTAAAAACAAACAAACAAAACTATCTTGTCAGTGACTTCTGCCAGAAAGATCGATCTAAGATTGTGAGTACTAGGGTAGGGTTCTTCTCTAAATAAAAATAAAAAAAAAAGAAAGAAAAGAAGAAAGAGAGAGAAAGAAAGAAAGAGAAAAGAAAACAAAGAAAGAAAGAAAGAAAGAAAGAAAGAAAGAAAGAAAGAAAGAAAGAGAAAAGAAAGAAAACCAAAATAAGACTGCCAAAGAAAACCTAAGGATAAATTCATATATTTGATTAAATCACAGTCCCTTACCTGTGGTTTTCCTCCCTTTATTTGAGAAGTGAAACCATGTATTTCCACATTGCAGGGAGCCAATCTCTCCTGAAGAGCCCATCAACTCAGAATATAGAAGCAGGCTGTGTGTGCCAGTATTGGCAGTTATAATCAAATGAGCACAGGGCCAACAGAGCAGTTTCAATACAGCTGGTTCTTAGCCCTCTAGGTGGACTTTGGGAGTTGACAAGGACTCCATGAGAACCACCTTGATGCAAGGAAAACATTTTAAAACTGATTGATTTTGATCTAAAGATTGTTCTCTGTTATATCTCTGGCTGCCTTGTTCCCCCAGGAAAGAACACATTGAGACAACCCTCGCTTGATAAAAAATGACTCCACTTGATTGATCATCTTCAAACAAAAAATGGGCCCTTTCCACTTAAGATGCAATGAAGCCACTAACTGCTTTCTGCTAATTAAAAATACAGCATGTCTAGCACCTAAACATTTAGCAAAAAGTTGAAATCTTGATTAGGAAAAGGATGAAAAAAAGGACCAGAGTCTTGCTCTGTCGCCCAGGCTGGAGTCCAGTGGCGTGATCTTGGCTCACTGCAACCTCTGCCTCCTGGGTTCAAGCAATTCTCTTGCCTCAGCCTCCCGAGTAGCTGGGATTAGGTGCCCACCACCACACCTGGCTTATTTTTGTATTTTTAGTAGAGACAGGGTTTCACCATGTTGGCCAGGCTGGTCTCGAACTTGACCTCAGGTGACCCACCTGCCTTGGCCTCGCAAAGTGCTGGGATTACTGGTGTGAGCCACCACACCCGGCCAAGAAACATATTTTAAAAAGTAAAAGATGTATATAGGGTCTTTGCTGTTTAGAGATAAAATCAAGTGACAAATGTTTTCAAGAAAGCAGTTGCTAAAAGTAGCTACTCAGAGACAATCTGTAGCCTTAATAAGAGCATGGACTTTAAAGCCAGATCGCCTGAACGTGAATCTTTAATCCTGCATTTACTATCCGTGTAAATAAGTTAACTGTGTTTCACTCAGTTCTGTCATCTATAAAATGCAGGATCTTCTAGTCAGAGTTTGCTGTGAGAATGTAAAGCAGTTACAATAGTGCTTGACACGTGATAAAAGCTATGTTCACATTGGCTATTACTATTATCCCATATCCATTTCTATTTTGCCCATTCAAGAACAATACAATTAATCCATTTGGGACGCTGAGGCGGGCGGATCACGAGGTCAGGAGATTGAGACTATTCTGGCTAACACAGTGAAACCCCGTCTCTAGTAAAAATACAAAAAATCAGCCGGGCGTGGTGGCAGGCGCCTGTAGTCCCAGCTACTCTGGAGGCTGAGGCAGGTGAATAACATGACCCCGGGAGGCAGAGCTTGCAGTGAGCCGAGATTGCGCCACTGCACTCCAGCCTGGGCGACAGAGTGAGACTCCGTCTGAAAAAAAAAAAAAGAAAAGAACAATACAATTAACCAGATCAACTCTAAGAATATGAAGCTTTTAAAAACAATCCTCATTTTAAAATGCAAATGGGATTAGATACTTCAGTATTCAAGCTGTTCATTAAACTAACCAGGGTAAGAAAGAAAACCGGGTAGTATCGTCTAATGCTAGATTTTATAACCATAATACATTTAAGGGAGGAAAAAAACTAAATTTGGAGTCTAAAAATAAATCAGTGAAATTTGAAATCAATAAATAAACCTTTCTCCTATCCACAGTACCTTTGATAAGTCGATACCACTGTTTGCAGACAAGGGCCGCAGTTTTGTGTTCCTGATACGGTGAGAGAAAGGACAGGATATACTCCAAAACCTCTTCTGGCAGCTCCGACATGGACCTATTATGTCTAGTCTCCTCAGCCTCCAATACTGGGTGGGGCTCCTCATCTTGATCCATTGTCCCTTCCAGCACAGTTTCTTCCTGGTCCACAGCCATGAAACTGTCATCTTCACTGTCCGAGGAGCTGGCCATGACATTCCACTCAACAGCTGTAATAGGTAAAACATAAATATCAGTATTCCACTGAAAGCAGCTCAAAAACAATTCAGGCATGTACATCCAAGCTCTTTGTAATTTCGTTTCCACTCTCAGTGTGAAATCTGCTCTTCAGCACTTTCCAATACCACTTGTGAGCCACCTTAATTCGACAGGTACAGCTCAAATACCAAGCCCATCCCCAAAGGCTTTTGATTACATTTTTTCTCTTCACTGAAAACCAGAGTGGCAGCCAAGTTCTGGTATAATCGTAAACCAGAAAACTTGTTCTCCAACAATTCTTCTAACTCAAGGATCTGACTGACCGACAGCAAAGGGAAGAGCAACTAGCCTCCTTGGCCAGTAACAATGATCTAAGACCTCAAATTTTGAAGGAAAAACTAACTCTGGGTCTTGCAAAAAGTAATAACATTCTGAGAATATGGGTTAAGAAATAACCGTTTTTCGACCAGGCATGGTGGCTCAAACCTGTAATCCCAGCACTTTGGGAGACCGAGGCGGGCAGATCACCTGAAGTTGGGAGTTTGAGACCAGCCTGACAAACATGGAGAAACCCCGTCTCTACTAAAAATTGAAAATTAGCTGGGCATGGTGGCACATGCCTGTAATCCCAGCTACTCGGGAGGCTGAGGCAGGAGAATCACTTGAACCTGGGAGGCAGAGTTGCAGTGAGCCGAGATCATGCCACTGCACTCCAGCCTGGGCAACAAGAGCAAACCTCCATCTCAAAAAAAAAAAAAAAAAAGAAAGAAAGAAAAGAAAGAACAGTTTTTCTAAACTTTTATGCAAGACGATTCACTTAACCTTTTTCCTGTTTGCCCGGAGAATACTTGCCAGCGGTGCCTGCAACTGTGGTGTTTACCCCGAGATAACTTTGCCACAAAATATCTCTTTTGTTACTGTTTTCACATCGCTCTAGTACATCAACTTTAGAAACAAAAGACATCATTCTATTTATAGCATTCTGTTTTTAATAGTGGTTATTTCCACTTACAAAATATAGTAGTTCTTGGTTGGGTGCAGTGGCTCACACCTGTAGTCCCAGCACTTTGGGATTCTGAGGCCGGCAGATCACCTTAGGTCAGGAGTTCGAGACCAGCGTGGGCAACATGGCGAAATCCCATCTCTACTAAAATACAAAAATTAGCCAGGTGTAGTGGCGCGTGCCTGTAATCCCAGCTACTCAGGAGGCTGAGGCAGGAGAACTGCTTGAACCTGGGAGACAGAGGTTGCAGTGAGTCGAGATCATGCCACTGCACTCCAGCCTGGGACACAGAGAAAGACTCTCAAAAAAAAAAAAAAAAAAAAAAAAGATAGTAAATGTTCCAAGAATAGACTTCACTTGCTAAAATACCAAATACAAGGCAGTATTTACAATAGAAAATATGAATCATTAAGAGATCCAGGCAGTAAAAAACTAGAACAACATGAATGTCTATCAACAACAGAGCAAATAAATTGTGGTACATTCGCCATGAAATATAGAGCAAAGAACCACAGGTTATATACATATAAATAAATCTCTCAAACATAATGTTAAGCAAAAGAAGATAGAAGGCCGGATGCAGTGGCTCACGCCTGTAATCCCAACACTTTGGGAGGCTGAGGCGGGCGGATCACCTGAGGTCAGGAGTTCAAAACCAGCCTGACCAACATGGTGAAACTCCGTCTCTACTAAAAAATACAAAAATTAGGCCGGGCGCAGTGGCTCACACCCGTAATCCCAGCACTTTGGGAGGCTAAGGTAGGCAGATCATCTGAGGTCAGGAGTTCAAGACCAGCCTGGCCAACACAGTGAAACTCCATCTCTACTAAAAATGCAAAAATTAGCTGGGCGTGGTAGCGTATGCCTGCAGTCCCAGCTACTAGGGAGGTTAAGGCATGAAAATCACTTGAACCCAGGAGGTGGAGGTTGCAGTGAGCAGAGATCACTCCGCACTCCAGCCTGGGCAATAGAGTGAGATCGTCTCAACAAACAAACAAACAAACAAAAATCCAAAACTTAGCCAGGCTTGGTGATGCATGTGCCTGTAATCCCAGTTACTTGGGAGGATGAGGCAGGAGAATCACTTGAACCTGGGATGCAGAGGTTGCAGTTAGCCAAGACTGGCCACTGCACTCCAGCCTAGACAATACAGCAAGACTCCATCTCAAACAAGCAAACAAACAAACAAACAAACAAACAGAAGACAGAAGAATGGGCAGGCACAGTGGCTCATGCCTATAATCCCAACACTTTAGTAAGCCAAAACAGGAGGATCATTTGAGGTCAGGAATTTGAGACCAGCCTGGGCAACAAAGTGAGACACCATCTCTACAAAAAAATAATTAACCGGGTGTGCTGGCACACATCTGTGGTCCCAGCTACCCAGGAGGCTGAGCAGGAGGATCACTTGAGCCCAAGAGTTTGAGGCTACAGGAAGCCATGACCACACCACTGGACTCCAGCCTGGGCAACCGAGTTAGACCATGTCTCGAAGAAAAAAAAAAAAAGAAGAAGAAGAATATATACTATACGATTACAATTATATCAAGTTCAAAACGAGGCAAAATTTATGCTGTTACAAGTGAGGTATCTGAGGTACTAGTAAAGTTCTGTTTCCTGATTGGGTACTGGTTACACAGATGTTTTTTGTTTGTAAAAAATTTACTGAGCTGAATACTCACGCACTTCTCTAAAGTTTGTCAAAATACTGGCCGGGTGCAGTGGCTCATGCTGTAATCCCAGAACTTTGGGAGGCCTAGGCGGGTGGATCACCTGAGGTCAAGAGTTCGAGACCAGCATGGCCAGCATGGTGAAACCCGTCTCTACTAAAAACACAAAAATTAGTTGGGTGTGGTGGCACACACCTGTAATCCCAGCTACTCGGGAGGCTGAGGCAGGAGAATCGCTTGAACCCAGGAGGCAGACGTTGCAGTGAGCTGAGGTCGCTCCACTGCACTCCAGCCTGGGCGACAGAGCAAGACTCCGTCTTAAATAAATAAATAAAGTTGCCAAAATAAGCCATTATCAGCAGTTACTTCTAGTGGGAATATTATTAATAATTTTAAAAATGTCTTGCTTCTGCTTATCTGTATTTCCTAAATTTTCTACAAAGAAAGCATACACATAGAGGCAGGCATCTCATTTATACTCCTATGACATTATACACAAAGTCTGAGGTAAAACCAGTAAAATGAAGGAAATAGGGTGTTTTATGTAAGAACTGTGTTGCAGATTAGATTCTCCAGGAAGCAGATGCTAGACAGAATTCAGAATGGAAAAAGTTTAATGGGAAGTAACTTCTGGAAGAAGTGCAGAAGCAGCAGGATTGGGCAAGAGGAGCCATCAGACCACAATGCAGACCTGACAAAGCCTGTCCAACAGAGAGCTCGGGAGCAAAGACGGCCACTCAGGGGAATCTAGTACTGGGCAGAAAGGGCAAGGCTCTAAATCACTGCTTCGCTCAACCACTGGCAGAAGGCTCCAAAGCTGAGGCAGACCCTAAAGGAGCTAACAGCTTCAGCCAGCCTCCTTACAGATGGACAGTAAGTCCTTTTGAAGGGATAATTTTATTATTTTTTAATACATTTATTTCTCTTGCTCCACACACTCTACCCAGACCATTTACTATGCCACCCCACTTTACAAATTTCCAGCATTCCCTCTAGCACTGATGAAAGGAAGAATAAGAAGGGTCTTCCCAAAATTGGGAAAAGCTGGATTTGGCGGGGGGTGGGGAAGGAAACGAAGAGTAATCTCGAAATATACTTTGGGGCTTTGAGAAAGATCTGAAATGTTCCAAAAAGTGACAGACCGGGGAGAGCAGAGAACAGAAACCTCCTACCTCATCTCTACCACTGCAGTAATTCATGCACTAATTATGTGTAACATCTTTTAAAACTGGAAGAATCACATTAAGGAAAATGAAAACATGAACTCATAAAATTGCTTCCCAGATAATTTATCTACCAAACTGGCTGAAAGCTTATGATACTACAAATGTTTCCTAGCAAAGTGGCTATTAGAATCTTAGTGATAATCAGCAAATTGGTGGCTACTTGGAAGGACTGGAGTGGCTTAAGTCCACCTGGTGGTATGGGGGAAAGGCACTGACAGTGAGAAAGGAGCAATTCCCTTCATTCCCCAAAAGCAGAGAAGAGTATTATAATGGGTTTCCTGAAAACTGTATTAGAAAAAGGATCCTAGGCCAGGTGTGGTGGCTCACGCCTGTAATCCCAGCACTTTGGGAAGCTTAGGCAGGCGGATCACGAGCTCGGGAGTTCGAGACCAGCCTGGCCAATATGGTGAAACTCCGTCTCTACTAAAAATACAAAAATTAGCCGGGCATGGTGCCGTGCACCTGTAGTCCCAGCTACTCGGGAGGCTAAGGCAGGAGAATCACTTGAACCTGGGAGGCAGAGGTTGCAGTGAGCCGAGATTGCGCCACTGCCCTCTAGCCTGGGCAACAGAGTGAGACTCCATCTTAAAAAAAAAAAGAAAAAGAAAAAGAAAAAGGATCCTAGATAGTTATGCCTCTTTCCATGCTCACGTGGGTAAGGTGTTTTTCAACATGACTGACTCGCTAGAGGGAGGCCTTTCAAACAACAGAGACCTCCATTTCCAGCCCAAATTCCTATCCTAAAACGTACAGTCGCCGAGCATGGTGGCTCACGCGTGTAATCCCAGCACTCTGGAAGGCCAAGGCAGGCAGATCACCTGAGGTCAGGAGTTCAAGACCAGCCTGGCTAACATGGTGAAACCCCGTCTCTACTAAAAATACAAAAAACTAGCTGGGCGTGGTGGCACATGCCTGTAATCCCAGCTACTCGGGAGGCTGAGGCAGGAGAATCACTTGAACTGGAGAGGTGGAAGTTGCAGTAAGCCGAGATCATGCCACCGCACTCTAGCCTGGGCAACAAGAGCAAACTCCATGTCAAAAAAAAAAAAAAAAAAATCAAACCATGCCTTTTATTACTGGAAAAAATATCACTTCCCATAGTCCCTCTTACTTGTTCCCTTATATATTATCATTTCCTACTGGCTAACTTCACTGATTTATTAACTTTCATATATATTTTTTGTTTTATTATTTTTTTGAGATAGGGTCTCACTCTGTCACCCAGGCTGGAGTGAAGTGGCACGATCTGAGCTCACTGCAACCTCTGCCTCCCAGGTTCAAGTGATTCTCCCACCTCAGCCTCCCAAGTAGCTGGCGCACATCACTATGCCCAGCTAATTTTTTTTTTTTTTGAGATGGGAGTCTCGCTCTGTGCCCCAGACTGGAGTGCAGTGGCATGATCAAATTTTTGTATTTTTGGTAGAAACAGGGTTTCACCATGTTAGCCAGGCTGGTCTCAAACTCCCGACCTCAAGTAATCCACCGTGCCCAGCCTAACTTTCTTATATTTTTAACCTCCACTCAGCTCTAAATTCACCAAGGAAAAGAGCCCAAAGAAATGGATTCCTTGACTTTGGCTGCATGGTTGACATTTAAATTAAATAGTTGCTCCCTTGCACAACATTTTGACAGACTATAAGCCTAAGGTCTGTTGCAGAACAAAATGAATCAATGGAGGCTGCAAAAGTTTATTTACATTACTATTTTTCCCAATCAGAATAAATTTGATTCAATAAAACAACTCATTCTCTTTCCAAATTGTCTTAAAATACAATAGCAAGCCAACATAAAGAGACTCATACTGCTGTAATAGCCAATGTCAAGCAATTTCCACCATTCAACTGTTACACCCTCCACAAAAACATCAAACCCCATACCTTTGAGGGCATGTTTGCTAACTTGGCCCTAGCCACAGATGCCAAGGAGAACACACATGGGTGAGCTCAGATGCAATTCCTCTGTAATTACATGCCCAACACCAATTTGCATAGCCCTTCTTTTTCACTTCCATGATTAGGTAATAAAATCATCACTCATATTCCCCCAAGGATATAGAGGCATTTTGAAACTCTGAGTTTTTCTTGTTTTCATGCCAAAAGAAGCCCTACAAACTTTTCACACGTAAGCATACTAACTCAATGAATGTAATTTTCATGAAACTGTTTAAAAGAAGTCCTTCTCACCCTTCACATTTGTGTTACACCTTCTCAGCTTCCCCAACGTGACTGAATGAATGTACTGGAATCTGAACTCCCTGGAGGCAGGACCATTGGCCTAGGCATCTTTGTCTTCTTAGTACTAGGCATTCAAATGAGTGTAAGGTTTATTGACATGTCTACTCAGAACACCTTTGTGCTGAGCTCGCAAGGGTTTTTTTTTTTTTTTTAAAGATAGGGTTCTGCTCTGTCGCCCAGGCTAGAGTGCAGTGGCACAATTATAGTTCACTGCAGCCTTGAACTCCTAGGCTCAAGTGATCCTCCTGTCCCAATGTTCCAAAGTGCTGGGAATACAGGTATAAGTCACTGTGCCCAGTAGTTATTTTATAATAGAAATTACATCATTAGGCCAGGCGTGGTGGCTCACGCCTGTAATCCCAGCAATTTGGGAGTCCGAGGTGGGTGGATCACCTGAGGACGGGAGCTCAAGACCAGCCTAGCCAACATGGCGAAACCCTGTCTCTACTAAAAACACCAAAAATTAGTCAGGCGTGGTGGCAGGCGCCTGTAATCCCAGCTACCTGGGACATGTAAAAAAAATTACATCATTAGTATATCCAGAAAATGGTAGATCCTACCTTTATATGTTACTAGATGTTGTCAAAATATTTTATTGGTCAGAATTAATACAAATCTCTGGTTTATGGAATTTTGTACCTTTTAAGGTATATATACTGGCCTGAGAGTCTGCTGCCAGAGAGGAAACTATTTATTTGGCCCAGTAGTATCTTTTTCTTCCGAAAAACTACTATACTAGGCCAGGCGTGATGGCTCACACCTGTAATCCCAGCACTTTGGGAGGCTGAGGTGGGTGGATCATGAGGTCAGGAGTTCAAGACCAGCCTGACCAACATGGGGAAACCCCGTCTCTACTAAAAATACAAAAATTAGCTGGGCGTGCAGGCGCATGCCTGTAATCCCAGCTACTCAGGAGGCTGAGGCAGGAGAATTGCTTGAACCTGGGAGGCGGAGGTTGCAGTGAGCTGAGATCGCACCACTGTACTCCAGCCTGGGCAACAGAGCGAGACTCTGTCTCAAAATACAAAAAAAATTTTAAAAACTAAAAAAAAAACTATGCTACATATAACTAAACACAAATCAGTTTCTAAAGTCTGAATGCCTTACCCTTCTGAGGTATAAATTAAGGTTAAGATTTTGAGACTGGAAGATGTGGCCACTGTTTCTAGCTTTAATGCTGTGAAACCTAGCATAAGTCACACAGAGTAAGAAACAAAAACCTCCCTAAGTAATGAAAGTTCCCCACTTACTTCAGGAAGATTTTGTAAAGATAGTAGATATCAAGAAACTACTCTGAATTCATTGGAGAAAATCCGTAACCTAGAAAGAATCAACTCAAAAGAATTTCAACATGGGAATGAAACTGCTATGCATTTAAAAGCCATTGCCAGATTTGAGGGCAATATTTGATTAGTTTTTTGCCTTTGGTTTCTATTCAACTAGACATCTGACAATCCTCTTGTGGTAAACACATCTTTATTAAAGTTGGAATACACTTCATTTACCTAAAAGGAAGCTGAACATTTAAAATGCAATCAAACGTATTTGTCACAAATTCAAAAGGTTAAAAAATGTAATTGGCCAGGCACAGTGGCTCACGCCTGTAATCCCAGCACTTTGGGAGGCCAAGGCGGAGGAATCACAAGGTCAGGAGTTTGAGACCAGCCTGGCCAACATGGTGAAACCCCATCTCTACTAAAAATACAAAAAATTAGCTGGGCGTGGTGGTGGGCACCTGTAATCCCAGCTACTCGGGAGGCTGAGGCCAGAGAATCGCTTGAACCTGGGAGGCAGAGGTTGCAGTAAGCCAAGATCGTGCCACTGTACTCCAGCCCAGGTGACAGTGCGAGACTCCGTCTCAAAAACAAACAAACAAACAAAAAAAGTAATTAAGGGAACTTCTTACCGATAGATAATAAAATAAAGGACTGAGACCTAACTAAAGAATAAGGGACAGGGCCGGGCGCAGTGGCTCACGCCTGTAATCCCAGCACTTTGGGAGGCTGAGGTGCGCGGATCTTTTGAGGTCAGGAGTTCGAGACCAGCCTGGCCAATATGGTGAGACCCCTACTAAAAACAAAAATTAGCCAGGCGTGGTGGTGTGCACCTGTAATCCCAGCTACTTAGGAGGCTGAGGCAGGAGAATCCCTTGAACCCAGGAGGCGGAGATTGCAGTGAGCCGAGATCGTACCACTGCACTCCAAGGTGGGTGAGGTGACAAAGCAAGACTCTGTCTCAAAAAAAAAAAAAAAAAAAAAAAAGAATAAGGGACAAGAAGGAGGAGCAGAGAAAAATAAAAAGAAGAAGGGACTGGACTGAATGGAGGAACCCACAGTCATCCCACAGCATGAGGGCTTCTGAGGCTTTAGGGACAAAGCAGCAACCCTGAACAGATGTCATTATGAACTCATAAAGTGAACCACTTCAGCAGCACTAATGTAGGCTAAGTACTAAATGCTACTCTTGAAAATATACTGTTGAATGAGAGATTTAAAGAAGATCATAAAGTGATTCAATCTAAGACAATAAGCCTTCTTATGAATATACCACGGTTATCATTTTATCAACTCAAATGAAAAAGTTATAGAAAGTAGAAAAAGGATAAAATAAAAAATTCTACCTTACTCCGTGCATTCAACAAATATCAATGAAACATTTGCTATATGTAAAAATACCGTGCTTATTGCAAGCTTGACTGCTATCAAATATTAAAAACACAAAAAGAAAAAATATATTATGCTTAGATCCCACACAGGGTACAAAAAGAAGATATGTCACTATTTGCTGTCAAACAGATGGACCCACTAAGGGCCAAGGACACATAAATTAATAATACCAACACAGAACATTATATAATAAATGACCTATGAGACAAAACAAGAAGCCTTAACAGTTCAAGAAAGAAAGAGATGGCTTCTAACTAGTATAAGGAAGGTTCACAGACAAGCATTTCAGCTGAGCTCTAAAGACTAGGTAGAAGCCAAGTGTGGTGACTCATGCCTGTAATCCAAGCACTTTGGGAAGCCAAAGCAGGCAGAAAACTTGAGTCCAGGAATTTGAGACCAGCCTGGGCAACATGACAAAACCCTTCTCTACAAAAAATACAAAAATTAGTTGGCCATGGTGGCGCACACCTGTAGTCCCAGCTACAGGGGGTCTGAGGTGCGAGCATCGCTTGAGCCCAGGAGTTAGATGCTGCAGTGAGCCAAGATCGCGCAACTACACTCTAGCCTGGGTGACACAGCAAGACTCCGTTTCAAAAAATCAAAAAACAACAACAAAAATAAAGAAGAGGTAGAATTTCAGAGAATAAAATTGGGGAAGGTGAAGGGATTAAACATTGTCAAATTATTGTAACTTAAACTGATATCCTTTGCCACTTACAGAATTACCTTTAGAGCTGGGTGCAGTGGCTCACACCAGTAAACCCAACACTTTGAGAGGCCAAAACAGGCAGATTGCTTGAGCCCAGGAGTTCGTGACCAGCCAAAGCAACAAAGTGAGACCCTGTCTCTATAAAAAATACACAAGTTAGCCAGGCATGGTAGTGCAAACCTGTTGTCCCAGCTACTTGGGAGGCTGAGGTGGGAGGATCTCTTGAGCCCGAGAGGTGGAGGCTGCAGTGAGCCAATATCATGCCACTGCACTCCAGCTTGGGCAACAGAGCAAGACTCTGTCCCAAAACAACAACAACAAAACAGAATTACCTTTAAGACAAAACAAAACTAAACTAAAAAACACATTTTTTACCCAATTGTTTTTAAGTACACAGTTTAATATTTTAAATTCTACATTAACGAAGCATATAATCTAGAGACTCCTTATTATTGACAGTCTATGTTTTGACCAAAAAAAAAGCCTAGAAATAGAATAATTTGGCATAACCATTGTTGCTATTAGCAAACTGTGAGCTATTATGACAAATTCAGGAAGCTATTTTATAAAGCATACCAAATTTCATAACAGATACCAGCTGCAGTTTTTAAAAATGGTGAACTCATTAGTGTGCTACCCAATTAAGATTCCCTTAATAAAACAGAAAAAATTTAAAAATGGAAAAATAAAGTATTCCACAAACTACCCATCAATATACTTTCTTTTTTTTGTTGTTTTGTTTTTGAGAGAGTCTGGCTTTGTCACCTAGGCTGGAGTGCAGTGAACTCACTCGAGCGATTCTCCTACCTCAGCCTCCAGAGTAGCTGGGATTATAGGCATGCGTCACCACGCCCAACTAATTTTTGTATTTTTAGTAAAGACAGGGTTTCACCATGCTGGCCAGGGTGGTCTCAAACTCCTGACCTCAGGTGATCTGCCCACCTCGGTCTCCTAGAGTGCTGGGATTACAGGCGTGAGCCACCACACCTGGCCGAAAATTTCATATGGAGAACCATACGTTTTAAATTCAGCAAAATGCTTTATTTGGTAGAAAGGTAAAATGGAACTTCAGTGCCCAAATTTGTGTGTGTGTGTGTGTGTGTGTGTGTGTGTGTGTCTGTGTGTGTCTGTGTGTGTTTTGAGATGGAATTTCGCTCTTGTTGCCCAGGCTGGAGTGCAATGGCACGATCTCGGCTCACTGCAACCTCCACCTCCTGAGTTCAAGCGATTCTCCTGCCTCAGCCTCCCAAGTAGCTGGGATTACAGGCATGCACCAGCATGCCCGGCTAATTTTGTATTTTTTCGCAAAGACGGGGTTTCTCCATGTTGGTCAGGCTGGTCTCGAACTCCCGACCTCAGGTGATCCATCTGCCTGGGCCTCCCAAAGTGCTGGGATTACAGGCATGAGCCACCGTGCCCAGCCTCTTTATTGTTAATACAACTACTCGAGTTTTAAAATTTCTTCTTGAGGCCAGGTGCAGTAGTTCATGCCTGTAATCCCAGCACTTTGGGAGGCCAAGGCAAGTGGATCACTTGAGTTCAGGAGTTCAAGACCAGCCTGGGCAACATGGTCAAACTCCATCTCTACAAAAAATACAAAAATTAGTGGGGTGTGGTGGTGCACACTTGTAGTCTCAGCTACTCAGGAGGCCGAAGTGGGAGGATCACTTGAGCCCAGGAGGTAGAGGTTGCAGTGAGCCAAGATCACACCACTGTATTGCAACCTGGGCAACAGAACCAAACCCTGTCTCAAAAAAAAAAAAAAAAAGAAAAAAATTATTCTTGAGTTAATTCTGATAGGTGATGTTTTTTCTAGGATTTATAAGTCATCTAAAACACGTAAGCCAGAATCAACTACACCTTTCATTACTCACATAATTTAAACAAACAACTAATAAAACATGGAGATGAGCTACATAAATGTCATCTAAGTAATGGCTAAAGGCCCTTAAACAAGATAGGTCTGCTCTGAAAACATTCAGTTTACTATGAACCATTTAATCTTCCTAATCCCAAAAGGTGTCAACCAGGAAGCCTGCTCACTTACACAGCACCATCTCTCTCTCACCATCTCTCTCTATGACCCACTTCTAAATGTCATTTTAACTTCCTTTTTTCCCCATTAGAGTGTACACTACTTGAGAGCAGAGACTAAGCCATATTATCTTTGTACATCTGGCACATTAGTAGACACCTTAACAATATCGGTACTTTTTTGATGAAGATCATAAAGTACCTTACTGACGAGGGATGTTAATGACTCACTTACGGTTGCAAAGTATACTCTTGAGGTGTTCAGTGTTGAAAGACTTCACTGAACCGTACTTTCACATGGCCTTGCTTATGACCAAAAGCACAAAGCCATCTGTAAGACAGTTCATCTTAGTTGGGAGTAGAGCATAAAATGTATTTTTCTTCACTGACGAATTAACTGAAATAAAAACAAATCTTAAGCAAAGGCATAATTACACTTTTATGTAAATGTGCAATACTGTCAGAAGCCTAGCTGAAAAACCAAAAAGTAAAACAAAACAAAAATGCTAACTTTTAATCGTGGTAAGTCCCAGAAGAAAAACATTAAAAGGAGTTCAAAATTAGAAAGATAAATAGATTCAGAGTTAAAGATAGAGCCTAAACTATTTTGCCCAAACCATTCAATTCTTTAAAGCATTTTAAAATCCAAGTAACACAGAAAAGTGACCATCCTAAGAGTAGAGCTTGATGAATTACTGCAAAGTAAACACAATCTCATTTATTTTAAGATGGGAAAGTTTTTGTTTTGTTTTTTAAGACGGAGTCTCGCTCTGTTGCCCAGGCTGGAGTGCAATGGTGCAATCTCTGCTCACTGCAACCTCTGCCTCCAGGTTCAAGCGATTCTCTCACCTCTGCCTCCCAAGTAGCTGGGACTACAGGCACACACCACCACACCCAGCTAATTTTCGTATTTTAGTAGAGACTGGGTTTCACCATGTTGGCCAGGCTGGTCTCAAACTCCTGACCTCAAGTGATCCGCCCACCTTGGTCTCCCAAAGTGCTGGGATTACGTGTGTGACCCACTTTGCCCAGCCAGGACAGTCTGAAACAATCAAAATGATAGACATATCCAAGTCACGCAGCTTATACTGACAAGTGCCACTGTGAGAAATTCCAAGGTTTTCTATAAAACTGGTAAGACTCAAAGCTCACAACCCACATTTGTCAAAACCCACAGCATCAAAGAGTGAAATTTAATACATGTAAATTTTTAAAAAAAACCACTTACTCAGGAGGCTGGGGGATCCTAGATTATGATAAAACAATCCAACTATATTACAAATATATGAGACCACCTTGGGTGGAGGAAAAGGTGTAACCTAAGTAACTTTGGAAATAAGGGGCATCTATAAAACTAAAGGCAAAAGAAACTTCATATAAGCACTAGTCTCTACTTGACAAAGTTGTTTCTCACAAAAGCAGAGGCTAACAATACTAATCTAGCTATACATGTATATTGGCATTGAACGATTAAGTAAATAGTTGGCAGATGGCTAGACCAAATTTTCTTATTGGAGTGGGAATTTACAAATAGTCAAGGAAGGAAGATAGAATGATCCTGTGATAATGGATTAGAGTGGGAGACAGGATGAACTCATGTTTAAATAGATACAGATGGTTACATATAAATATTTACAATTGGTGCATAATATACACACACACACATATATACATGTGTTAGTATACACTCATCTACCACCTTGTTCTGTTAACTGCAAGGGCCTACAAGTAATAAGCATACCTAGCACCCAGAAGTTCTTTCTAATACCGTTCTCCAATAAAAGAAACCAGGGCTCCTTGGTGAAACGGCAGAATCTAGGAGGACAGGAAATATATAAGATGAGCCTGGAGAATCCAGTACTGCCACAAAGTAAGGAAGTGCCCTAAAAACAAAACAAAAGAAAATTGATGGGATTGGCCGGGTGCGGTGGCTCACGCCTGTAATCCCAGCACTTTGGGAGGCTGAGGCGGGTGAATCACAAGGTCAGGGGTTCGAGACAAGCCTGACCAACATGGTGAAACCCCATCTCTACTAAAAATACAAAAATTAGCTGGCCATGGTGGCGGGTGCCTGTAATCCCAGCTACTCAGGAGGCTGAGGCACGAGAATTGCTTGAACCCAGGAGGCGGAGGTTGCAGTGAGCTGAGATTGTGCCACTGCACTCCAGCCTGGGCAACAGAGTGAGACTCTGTCTCAAAAAAAAAAAAAAAAAAAAGAAAATTGATGGGATTGTGTAAAAGGGGCAAAGGAGGCAGATGAAAGAGCTCCTGATGGTCAAAACTGAAACAACTGGGCCATAAAATAAATTGGTATTGGATCAAAACCCCAAGTACAGGCCAGGTGCTGTGGTTCATGCCTGTAATCCTAGCACTTTGGGAGACTGAGGCGGGTGGAGTGCCTGAACTCAGGAGTTCGAGATCAGCCTGGGCAACAGGGTGAAACCCCGTTTCTACTAAAATACAAAAAATTAGCCAGGCGTGGCGGTGTGCGCCTGTAGTCCCAGCTACTTGGGAGGCTGAGGCAAGAGAACTGCTAGAACCAAAGAGGCAGAGGTTGCAGTGAGCCAAGATCGCACCACTGCACTCCAGCCTGGGAGACAGAGAGAGACTCCATCTATAAATCAATCAATCAATCAATCCCAAAGTACAAAATGAATATCCACAAATTCATATTGATATAACTGATTAAGAAAAAAAAAAAGGCTGGGTGCGGTGGCTTATGCCTGTAAACCCAGCATTTTGGGAGACCGAGGCAGGCAGATCACGAGGTCAGGAGTTTGAGACCAGCCTGGCCAACATAGTGAAACCCCATCTCTACTAAAAATACAAAAAATTAGCTGGGCATGGTGGTGCGCACCTGTAAGCCCAGCTACTCGGGAGGCTGAGGCAGGAGAATTACTTGAACCAAGGAGGCAGAGGTTGGAGTGAGCCAAGATCTTGCCATTGCACTCCAGCCTGGGAAACAGAGCAAGATACCATCTCAGGGCGGGGGAAACAAAAAGGGGGGAATCTCCCCTGCAGATTTCCAAATAATTCGTGTATGTACGTTTTCCTCTCACAGTAGTAGAGCATAATTTCCCCTACCTTCCTAACTTGTCTCCACCTAGGTGAAGTTATTATATTATTATCACACAATGTAGCTAGACACTAAGCTAGTTTTACAATGGACAGAAAGTAATTTCATTCCTGCATACCTTGGGCAAATAAAACTTTCTGTGTATCTATGTCAGAAAATTCATAATGGGGAAATGAAGATTAAAAAATTTAAAGTAGGCAGGGTGCAGGGGCTCATGCCTGTAATCCCAGCACTTTGAGACGCCAAGATGAGAGGATCACTTGAGCCCAGGAGTTCAAGACCAGCTGGGGCAACACAGACTAGGCCCTGTTTCCACAAAAAAAATTTAAAAATTAGCTGGGTGTGGTGGCAGCTACTTGGGGGCTGGGGTGGAAGGATGGCTTGAGCCCAAGAGGTGGAGGCTGCAGGGAGCTATGGTCTTACCACTGCACTCCAGCCTGTGTGACAGAGTGAGATCCTGTCCCCCACAAAAATTAATTTATTTGGCCAGGCACAGTGGTTCATACCTGTAATCCCAGCACTTTGGGAGGTTGAGGCAGGCAGATCACAAGGTCAACAGATTGAGACCATCCTGGCCAACATGGTGAAACCCTGTCTCTACTAAAAATACAAAAATTGGCCAGGTGCGGTGGCTCACGCCTGTAATCTCAGCACTTTGGGAGACCGAGGAGGTGAATCACCTGAGGTCAGGAGTTTGAGACCAGCCCGGCCAACACTGTGAAACCCCGTCTCTATTAAAGATACAAAAAATTAGCTGGGCATGGTGGTGGGCACCTGTAATCCCAGCTACTCAGGAGGCTGAGGCAGGAGAATCACTTTAACTCAAGAGGCGGAGGTTGCAGTGAGCCGAGATCCTGCCATTGCACTCCAGCCTGAGCAACAAGAGCAAGACTCTGTCTCAAAAATAAAATAAAATAAAAATACAAAAATTAGCTGGGCATGGTGGCGCGTGCCTGTAGTCCCAACTACTGGGGAGGCTGAGGCAGGAGAATCGCTTGAACCAGGAGGCGGAGGTTGCAGTGAGCCAAGACAGCGCCACTGTACTCTGGCCTAGTGACGGAGTGAAACTCCATCTCAAAAATAATAATAGGCTGGGCATGGTGGCTCACGCCTGTAATCCCAGCACTTTGGGAGGCCGAGGTGGGCGGATCACGAGGTCAGGAGTTCAAGACCATCCTGGCTAACACGGTGAAACCCCGTCTCTACTAAAAATACAAAAAATTAGCCGGGCATGGTGGCGGGCGCCTGTAGTCCCAGCTACTCAGGAGGCTGAGGCAGGAGAATGGCGTGAACCCGGGGGAGGCAGAGCTTGCAGTGAGCCGAGATCGTGCCACTGCACTCCAGCCTGGGCGACAGAGCGAGACTCTGTCTCAAAAAGAAAATAATAATAATAATAATAATAATAATAATTTAATTAAAAAGTAAAAACCGGCTTGGTGCGGTGGCTCATGCCTGTAATCCCAGCAATTTGGGAGGCCAAGGTGGGTGGATCACCTGAGCTCAGGGGTTCGAGACCAGCCTGGCCAACATGGTGAAACCCTGTCTCTGCTAAAAATACAAAAATTAGCCCAGCCTGGTGGTGGGCACCTATAATCCCAGCTATTCAGAGGCTGAGGCAGGATTTTCACTTGAACTAGGGAGGCGGAGGTTTCAGTGAGCCGAGATCGCACTACTGGGCAACAGAGCAAGACTCAGTCTCAAAATAAATAAATAAATAAATAAATGCAGCCAGGCGCGGTGGCTCATGCCTGTAATCCCAGCACTTTGGGAGGCTGAGGCGCGCAGATCACCTGAGGTCAGGAGTTCGAGACCAGCCTGACCAACATGGAGAAACCCTGTCTCTACTAAAAATACAAAATTAGCCAGGCATGGTGATACACGCCTGTAATCCCAGCACTCGGGAAGCTGAGGCAGGAGAATCGCTTGAACCTGTGAGGTGAAGGTTGTGTTGAGCCGAGATCGTGCCATTGCACTCCAGTCTGGGCAACAAGAGCAAAACTCCATCTCCAAAAAAAAAAAGAAAAAGAAAAAGTATATGATATCAGTTGCTGGTTATATCTCATTAGCTTTAATAGTTAGTCACTTCTGATACAGCATATGTTTTGTTCATTCTGGGATAACAGATTTAGGACAGGGAAAAACAAGTGAAATAAAAATGTAATCCCCTCTTTGCCACCTTTGATAAATTTAATCACATACACTGAGAGCTTTGCTTGCACTTAAAAATGACAGTAAATTTATAGGTTAAAATTTTAAAATTGTTCCAACAATGGGAGGCACATTGTTATTATTACCATTGCTATAGTTGAATGAAGGAAGATTAAATATATCTATTATTCTCCAAAAAAAATGCTTATGGAATTGATTAAAAGATTTAATAAATGACATTGCTATATTGTGATTTAGTAAGCAAATAAAGTTATCCTCCTGGAGGTTGGAAAATAAATCTTACTTGGTTTAACTACTCCTATTAACAATGTTTCAACTAATGAATTTCTTTTCCTTTTTTTTTTTTTTGAGACGGAGTTGTTCTGTCACTCAGGGCTGGAGTGCAGTGGCACAACCTCAGCTCACTGCAACCCCCGTCTCCAGAGTTCAAGTGATTCTCCTGCCTCAAGCTGCTGAACAGCTGGGATTACAGACATGTGCCACCATGCCCAGCTAATTTTTGTATTTTTAGTAGAGATACAGTTTCACCATGTTGGTCAGGCTGGTCTTGAACTCCCGACCTCAAGTCATATGCCTGCCTCGGCCTCCCAAAGTGCTGGGATTACAAGTGTGAGCCACTGCGCCTGGCCTCGACTAATGAATATTTTTGATAAAATGAATAAAATTATCAGGCAATAGTGACCAAAGCATGTCATGAATTTAACAATGAGAAGAGTAGTGGCTTTTTCCAACAGATTTCAATTCAGTCATCTGAAGTACTTGTTTGTGAAATACCTTAAACTCCTTTCTCATTTCTAGTCTCTGCTCTTGCTGGCCATCCCCTCTTGCAGAAATACCGTACTCCTACTTGCCAGTAGGACAAATTCCTACTCTGCCACGTAAGAGTTACCTCTTCTTGAGGTTCTATCCCCTCCAGCCAATTAAGTATTCCTCTGACCTTCTATTCATTTTGTACAGTATCTTCATTATCTCAAAGTTATATAAATATTTGTTGAGAGAGGTGGCCTACAAGACGTAAGCCAACATTAGATAAATACTAGAGATAGTTTCTACTTTTCACCACTTCATAAGTTACAATTTTGCTTATTAACCACTTGCCTAATTAAAACCCACATTAAGAGCCAGGAGTGGTGGCTTATGCCTATAATCACAGCAACTCAGGAGACTGCCACCAGAGGATCGCTTGAGGCCAGGAGTTCGAGACCAGCCTGGGCAAATAGTGAGACCCCCCCCCCCCATTTCCAAGAAGAAAAAAAAAATGCTAGGTATGGTGGTGTGCACCTGTAGTCCCAGCTATGTGGGAGGCTGAGGTGGGAAGATCACCTGATGATTGCACCACTGCACTCCAGCCTGTGACAGTGCAAGACGATCTCTTAAAAAATTAATTAAAATATGAAAAAATAAAATCCACATTTTACTTCTCATTGCTATGGCTTCCAATAAAGTCAAGACAAGGCAAGAGCACTAAAGCAATCAAGATGCAAAAATGCACAGCCACGAGTTTGCTTTAAGGAAAATATGCCTTAAGATGTGGTGTCCAGAAATGTGAAAATTGCCAATACCAATTGTCTTTTTATGTGTGTTGAATCATACTGTATTTCAGATGGGTAGTGTTATGGCTGAAAACTGTTAATACTAGTTCAATTTTAACAGTCAGCATTTAAAGGGATGGAATCCAGAAAACTAATTTCCATCTCTGACCTTCTATAAATTTGCTATGATCTCAGGAAAATTGATTTTGCATACTGTATCAACTGTACGGTAAAAATAATAATCCATCAGAAACTTCAAAAGGCTATATTCTGTACCATTTCTATGAAAATAAGTGATGACTGTGCAGAATACAAATATATTCAAAGATAGCTTATAATATGAAATTCAGCTACCAGACAGAAATATGGGGAGGACAGAAGTGTTCACTTCATTTAAGACTGATTCTAGGCCGGGCCCGGTGGCTCACGCCTGTAATCCCAGCACTTTGGGAGGCCAAGGCGGGCAGATCATGAGGTCAGGAGATCGAGACCATCCTGGTTAACACGGTGAAACCCCGTCTCTACTAAAAATACAAAAAATTAGCCAGGTGTGGTGGCGGGTGCCTGTAGTCCCAGCTACTCGGGAGGCTGAGGCAGGAGAATGGCGTGAACCCGGGAGGCGGAGCTTGCAGTGAGCGGAGATCGAGCCTGGGCGACAGAGTGAGACTCCGCCTCAAAAAAAAAAAAAAAAAAAAAACAGACTGATTCTACAGATAAGACTAATGACCTGAGAACACCTCCCTGGCACTTGGAGCAAAAGGCCAGTGATATGGTCTATGTTAAACAGTCCACTTTTCAATAATGTTTAAAATAACCCACAACTAACAACATAATTTCACTGCTTCATGTTTACTATTCTGTATCAGTTTACAAACTAAAATTAAACTGACACACACTTAACAGAATTCCCGACAACACAATAACATTACCATACAAAAGATAATACCAAGGTTGTTATGAGTTATCTAGTTCTCTGTTACTTCCTTAATGCTGTAAACTACAAATCAGAACCCCAAATAGGAGAAATGCTAAATAGAAAGTACATAAAGATGACTCATACAGGCAAACAGGTATGCAAAAACATTCAAAGTTCTCTCATTCTTAAACACTGAAATTCCTTAAAGCAAATACAAATTAAATGGAGTTCTAGAAGGGTAAACAGTGATCCTTAGTATCAGGAAGAAAAAACTATTTTAATAATGGCCACGCGCAGTGGTTCACACCCGTAATCCCAGCACTGTGGGAAGCCAAGGTGGGCGAATAGCTTGAGCCCAAGAGTTCAACACCAGCCCTGGCAACACAGCAAAACCTCGTCTGTACAAAAAAAAAAAAAAAAAAAAAAAAAAAATTAGCCAGGCTTGGTGGCTCTGTCTCAAAAAAAAGAGAAAAGAAAATAAATAAAATTACCAACATGGTGGCTTGTGTCTGTATCCCAGCGACTCAGGAGTCTGAGGTGGGAGGACTGTTTGAGGCCAGGAGTCCAGCTGGGGCAACATGGTGATTCTCCTGCCTCAACTTCCCAAGAAGCTGGGACTCCAGGTGCACACCATCAAGACCAGCTAATTTTTTTATTTTGTAGAGCCAGGATTTCGCCACATCGCCCAGGCTGGTCTCAAACTCCTGGGTTCAAGTGATCCTCCTGTATTGGCATCCAAAAGTGCTGGAATTACAGGTGTGAGACACCATGCCCCCGGCTCATATCACTTCCTAACTAATCTGCCACAATTAGAGAGAATTAGCTGGTTTCCCACTTCCTTCCTTCTTCCTTCTTCAATCTATTCTTTATTTCGCTGTAGTATTAAACTTCATGATGCAAATCTGGATCAAAAACTTTTGACTGGGCCAGGCACAGTGGCTCATACCTGTAATCCTACCACTTTGGGAGGCCGAGGCGGGTGGATCACCAGAGGTCAGGAGTTCGAGACCAGCCTGGCCAGCATGGTGAAACACCATCTCTACTAAAAATACAAAACATTAGCTGGGCGTGGTCGTGGGCACCTGTAATCCCAGCTACTAAGGAGGCTGAGGCAGGAGAATCGCTTGAACCTGAGAGGCAGAGGTTGCAGTGAGCTGAGATCACGCCATTGCATTCCAGCCTGGGTGACAGTGCGAGACTCCATCGCGCCAAAAAAAAAAAAAAAACCTTTTGACTGTTTTAAGGCCTATTCTTTAAAATTCAAGGTTTTTAAATTTTGTTTTGTTTTTGAGATGGAGTTTCGCTCTTGTTGCCCAGGCTGGAGTACAATGGCGCAATCTCGGCTCATTGCAACCTCACTGAACACCTCCTGGGTTCAAGCGATTCTCCTGCCTCAGCCTCCTAAGTTGCTGGGATTACAGGCGCCTGCCACCATGCCCGGCTAATTTTTCTGTTTTTAGTAGAGATGGGGTTTCACCATGTTGCCCAGGCTGATCTTGAACTCCTGACCTCAGGTGACCTGCCTACCTCAGCCTCCCGAAGTGTTGGGATTACAGGCATGAGCCACCGCGTCTGGCCTAATCTTACTTTTTGTGTGCCTCTCCTCACTCTGGTCTATTCCTCTCTCCTTCAGCCAAATGATCGTAATATTCTCTCTTCCCACCTCTATGATCCTTTATTCTTGCTGCCCTTTTTTGTTTGTTTTTGTTTTTTTTTTGAGATGTAGTCTAGCTCTGTCACCCAGGCTGGGGAGCAGTGGCGTGATCTTGGCTCATTGCAACCTCCACCTCCTGGGTTAAAGCAGCTCTTTGCCTCAGCCTCCTGAGTAGCTGGGATTACAGGCAGACACCATCACGCCTGGCTAAGTTTTGTATTTTTAGGGGAGAGGGGTTTCACCATGTTGGCCAGGCTGGTCTTGAACTCCTGACCTCAAGCAATCCACCTGCCTCGGCCTCCCAAAGTGCTGGGATTACAGGCATGAGCCACTGTCCCTAGCTGGGCCAAGGTTTAATTTGGACATATTCATAGAAGAAGGATGTCTGGGCTGGGTGCGGTGGCTCACGCCTATAATCCCAACACTTTGGGAGGCTAAGGCAGGTGAATCACCTAAGGTCAGGAGTTCAAGACCAGCCTGGCAAACATGGTGAAACCCCGTCTCTACTAAAAAATACAAAAAATAGCTGGGTGTGGTGGCAAACGCCCGTAATTCTAGCTACTTGGGAGGCTGAGGCAGGAGAATCACTTGAACCCGGGAGGTGGAGGTTGTGGTAAGCAGAGATCATGCCATTGCACTCTAGCCTGGGCAATAAGAGCGAAACTCTGTCTCAAAAATAATAATATAAACATTTCTGCAATTGGACTGTCTTTCCAAACACAAGTGCACATATTTTATCTAAAATAGTTTCAGCTAAGAGTGCACAGCAAAAACAACTGTCCAAAGATAAAAGAACAACCAAATCATTAGGTACTCAGAGGAAATCTCATTCAATATCTCCTAAGGTTCCAATGCTTCTCAAATTTTAATGTGAATCTAGTTTATAGATTCAGATTCAGTAAGCCTCGGGTGGAACTTGACACTGTATTCTCACCTTGATGATGCCAGCACTGCCAGTTTGGGGACCTTGAGTATCAAGGTCTTCAGTAACCATTAAAATGTAGCTGGTATCAACACTAGATGAGAAAATGGAATCAACAGGTATTGAGAACATGTGCCAGGTGCCTTATCTCATTTAATCTTTACGTCAACTCTGTGAGGAACATATTATCAATTCTAAGATGAGGATAAGATGAGGAAAATTGAGGCTGAGATAAATTAACTTGCCCATGATTACACAGAACCAGATTTGAACCCAATCATAGGACTCCATTTATTCTTTTTAAGAGATACTATAAATTGTCATTGAAATTAACTTCAAACCATCCTCAAAAGAATAATAGGCCAGGCCAGGCACAGTGGCTCACGCCTGTAATCCTAGCACTTTGGGAGGCCAAGGTGGGCGGATCACCTGAGGTCAGGAGTTCAAGACCAGCCTGCCCAACATGGTGAAACCCCCGCCTCTACAAAAAATACAAAAATTAGCTGGGCACGGCGACAGGCACCTGTAATTTCAGCTACTCGGGAGGCTGAGGCAGAAGAATTGCTTGAACCCAGGAGGCAGAGGTTGCAGTGAGTGGAGATCGCGCCACTGTACTCCAGCCTGGGAGAAAGAGCGAGACTCCGTCTCAAAAAAAAAAAAAAAAAAAAAAAAAAAAAAAAAGAATAATAGGCCAAACACAGTGGCTCACGCCTACACTTTGGGAGGCCAAGGAGGGAGGATTGGCCGGGCGCGGTGGCTCACACCTGTAATCCCAGCACTTTGGGAGGCCGAGGCAGGTGGATCATGAGGTCAGGAGATCAAGACCATCCTGGCTAACACAGTGAAACCCCGTCTCCACTAAAAATACAAAAAATTAGCCAGGTGTGGTGGCAGGCGCCTGTAGTCCCAGCTACTCGGGAGGCTGAGGCAGGAGAATGGTGTGAACCTGGGAGGCAGAGCTTGCAGTGAGCTGAGATCATGCTCCACTGCACTCCAGCCTGGACAACAGAGCGAGACTCCATCTCAAAAAAAAAGAGGGAGGATCGCTTGAGCACTGAAGTTGAGGCTGCAGTGAGCCTCTGCACTGTAGCCTGAGGAACAGAGTATGGCCCTATCTCCAAAAAAAAAAAAAAAAAAAAAAGAATAACAATGTTGCATGACATCTTGTCTTGGATACAGACTTTCACTTTCCTCTATTACCTGTTTCTTCAAAACGTCCTACCTTTTATTGTTATCCCCCTGCTTTGATGCTGGGCATTGTCATCCACACTTGAACCAAAATAGTAGACACCTACCTAACTGTTCTGACTCTAGCCTTTTGCCTCATCAATCTAGAGATTATTCTGCAGTCTCCAGGAATTTACTAAATGTGAGCAGACCAGTAGCATGGTAAAAACAGTGTTTCAAGAGGAATTCAAAGTACTTTACAATCCCACAATGCTCCTATCAAATCTCTCGGGTGGCATATAAACCTAGCTTCCCCACTGATAAACAAAAATATTCTGCAAAGAACATAATACATTTTAACAAGATGCTGTGATGGAATGGAACATTTTATTTCCATTTGTCTTTTTTTTTTTTTTTTTTTTTTTTGAGACGGTGTTTCGCCCTTTTCCCCAGGCTGGAGTGCAGTGGCACAATCGCGGCTCACTGCAACCTCCGCCTCCCAAATTCAAGCAATTCTCCTGCCTCAGCCTCCTGAGTAGCTGGGATTACAGGTGCACATCATCACCCCCGGCTAATTTCTGTATTTTTAGTAGAGATGGGGTTTCACCATGTTGGCCAGGTGGTCTCAAATTCCCAACCTCAAGCGATCCACCCATCTCAGCCTACCAAAGTGCTGGGATTACAGGCGTAAGCCACCCTGCCCAGCGGTCATTTATCTTTTTTCTAGTGGTGGTCAGGGCAAAGGAATGCCTTCCTGCTTCTGCCTCCTACTCACTTCTCTAGAGCAGAGGAGAGGACCTCCTTCCATCACAAGTCATTTCCTACTCCATTCCACATTAATCATTTCCAGAAGTCCATCTATACCATTACTTATCGACACAATGTCACACTATTTCATATTGTTATAGTTTTTTTGTTTTTGTTTTTTTGAGATGAAGTCTCACTGTGTTGCCAGGCTGGAATGCAGTGGCATGTTCTTGGCTCACTGCAACCTCCGCCACCTGGGTTCAAGTGATTCTCCTGCCTCAGCCTCCCGAGTAGCTGGGACTACAGGTGCGTGCCACCACGCCCAGCTAATTTTTGTATTTTCAGTAGAGACAGAGTTTCACCATGTTGGCCAGGATGGTCTTGATGTCTTGACCTCATGATCAGCCCGCCTCAGCCATCCAAAGTGCTGGGATTACAGGCATGAGCCACCACACCCAGCCATAGTTATGTTCTTATGTAAATTTTCTCAATAACCAGATTACACATTTTTGGTTAATACTTGCACAGCTGAACAGATTATGAATTTATGAAAGGTAGATAATGTCTTGATTACATCTTATCCCCAGGAAACCTAAAGGACAGTGGTGTATATGCACATGAAGTAAATCTTTGCTTCACCTGATCATAAAAATCACCTGGCCAAGCACGGTGGCTCACACCTGTAGTCCCAGCTACTTGTGAGTCTGAGGTAGAGGATCACTTAGCCTGGGAAATCCAGGCTGCAGTGAGCCATGATTGTACCACTGCGCTCCAGCCTGGGTGATAAAGCAAGACCCTGTCTCAAGAAAAAATTTAAAAAGTAAATTACCATCCTGGCTAACACAGTGAAACCCTGTCTCTACTAAAAATACAAAAAATTAGCCAGGCGTGGTGGCAGGCGCCTATAGTCCCAGCTCTTGGGAGGCTGAGGCAGAAGAATGGCGTGAACCCGGGATGCGGAGCTTGCAATGAGCCGTGATCGTGCCACTGCACTCCAGTCTGGGCGACAGAGCAAGACTCCAGTCTCAAAAAAAAAAAAGTAAATTAAAAAAATTAAAAATCACCTAGCAGGTAGATTTCCTGGAGACTGTTTCAGAAAAATAGGCATGAAAGCAGAAATCTTAATTCTATCAACAAGCACCACAGATCCAAATCCAGAAAACCTTTGGTAGTACTTTTTTTTTTTGAGACGGAGTTTCACTCTTGTTGCCTAGGCTAGAGTGAAATAGTGCCATCTCGGCTCACTGCAGCCTCCGCCTCTCCCAGGTTCATGCAATTCTCCTGCCTCAGCCTCCCGAGTAGCTGGAATTAAAGGCGCCCACCCCGCCCAGCTAATTTTTTGTATTTTTAGTAGAGACGGGGTTTCACCATGTTGGCCAGGCTGGTCTCAAACTCCTGACCTCAAGTGATCCACCCACCTTGGCCTCCCAAAGTGCTGGGATTACAGGCGTGAGCCACTGCGCCCGGCCAACCCTCTACTGAGGGTTAGGGTTTTGCCATGCCAAGGTTAAGTTACTTCTAAAACTTAACCTTATGTTCTCATTTATAATTTTCTTACAATGCTTTATACACTTTACTGAGCAATAGGCTTAAAATACGGTTAATAAAACTTGCAGAAAAATACAAAATAGTATAAGCAGGAGTAGATATTATAGAACAACTGAACCCTTATTTCACAAATGAGGAAAGTGAGGTCAGAAAACCTAAGTGGCTTTAAGGTCATACAGCCAATGAGTAGCAAAAATAGAAACTGTATCTTTTGTCTTTCAGCCCAGCACTTCTTCTATTGTACCATACCAAAATTTATTTATAAAAAATCAGCAGTAAAGCATTATTTACTAATGTCCATCAAAAACAGACCAGTTGAACAAACTCTGGTGCATCCTCACTGTGTAGGTGTGGAAATGAATAAGGACTACCTCTGTTCCAATATGGAATGATCTCCAAAATATACTAGGTGAAAAGACCAAGAGGCTGAGCAGCGTATATAGTAGGAAAACCTTTTGCATAAGAGAAAAAAAGAATATATGCAGATATTTGCTTATTATTGCAAAATCCAACATTTAAAGGATAAACCAAAACCAAATAAATATTAGAATGGTTCAAGCACCAACCATGAGACAACCCTTGGCAATTCCTCCTCAAAGTCCCAGCTATAAAAGTGGTAGTAGGCTGGAAGCCGTGGCTCATGCCTGTAATCCCAACACTTTGGGAGGCCGAGGCGGGCAGATCATGAGGTCAGGAGTTCGAGACCAGCCTGACCAACATGGTAAAACACCGTCTCTACTGAAAATGCAAAAATTATTTGGGAGTGGTGGTGCACGCCTGTAATCCCAGCTACTCAGGAGGCTGAGGCAGGAGAATCGCTTGAACCTGGGAGGTGGGGAGGCAGAGGTTGCAGTGAGCCAAGATTGCACCCCTGCACTCCAGCCTGGGCAACCAAGTGAGACTGCGTCTTTTAAAAAAAAAAAAAAAAAAAAAAAAAGTGGCAGTAAGTTTGAGTGGTGGTCCCTACTATTTGATATTCTTAAAAGTTCTGGGCCGGGTGCGGTGGCTCATGCCTGTAATCCCAGCGCTTTGGTAGGCCAAGGCGGGCGGATCACCTGAGGTCAGGAGTTCGAGACCAACCTGACCAACATGGAGAAAACCCCGTCTCTACTAAAAATACAAAATTAGCCAGGCATAGTGGCGTCTGCCTGTAATCCCAGCTACTCAGGAGGCTGAGGAAGGAGAATCGCTTGAACCTGGGAGGCGGAGGTCGCGATGAGCCAAGATCGCGTCATTGTACTCAAGCCTGGGCAACAAGAGAGAAATTCCGTCTCCAAAAAAAAAAAAAAAAGTTCTGGGCCAGGCGCAGTGGCTCATGTCTGTAATCCCAGCACTTTGGGAGTCTGAGGTGGGTGGATCACCTGAGCCCAGGGGTTCAGGACCACCCTGGACAACATGGCAAAACCCTAACTCTACAGGCCAGGTGCAGTGGCTCACGCCTGTAATCCCAGCACTTTGGGAGGCCAAGACGGGCGGATCACTTGAAGCTGGGAGTTCAAGACCAGCTTGACCAACATGGAGAAACCCCGTCTCTACTAAAAATACAAAATTAGCCGGGTGTGGTGGCACATGCCTGTAATCCCAGCTACTCAGGAGGCTGAGGCAGGAGAATTGCTTGAACCTGGGAGGCGGAGGTTGCGGTGAGCCGAGATCACGCCATTGCACTCCAGCCTGGGCAAGAAGAGCGAAACTCTGTCTCAAAAAAAAAAAAAAAAAAAAACCCTAACTCTACAGAAACAATGGACACGGTGGCACCTGCTTGTAGTCTCTGCTACTAGGGAGGCTGGGGTAGGAGGGTCACCTGAGCCTGGGGAGGTCAATGCTGGAGTAAACCGTGATCGCCCACTGCACTCCAGTCTGGGAGGCAGATTGAGATCCTGTCTCAAAAAAAAAAAAAAAAAGTTATAGTAATACCATCTCCTCCCTTTTGTTCCCCTGACCCTTAATAGTTTCACCCTACAGTAATTAATTTCTAAGTTACCTACTGCTATGGTTTAGATAAGGTTTGTCGCCACCAAAACTCATGTGGAAATTTGATCCCCAATGTGGTGGTGTTAGGAGGTGGGGCCTACTGGGTGGTGTTTAGGTAATGGGGGCAGATCTCTCATGAGTGACTTGGTGCTGTTCTCCTGGTAGTGAGTGAGTTCTGGCTCTCCGAAACTAGATTAGTTCCTGGGAGAGTAGGTTGTTATAAATCAGGCCATCCCCAACGTTTCCCCTATTCACATGTCAACTTCCCCTTTGACCTTTCCTGCCACACTGTGATACAGCTGGAAAGCCCTGCCAGAAGCCAGGGCCATGGACTTGAACTTCCTAGCCTGTAGAACCATGAGCTAAATAAACCTCTTTTCTTTATATAATAAATTACTTAATCTCAGGTATTCTTTACAGAAACACAAAATGGACTAAGACACCTACTCTACCATCTTTTGCCCTTCTGGTGTTATAACACATATGTAACCAATTCCCTATATTAAATTTCCTCTTTGAAATATTTAGTATATTTTCCAGTTTTTGGCTGGATCCTGATGGATAAAAAATTCTAAGGATTTAGAAGAACTGCAGGCTAGGCGCAGTGGCTCACGCCTGCAATGCCAACACTTTAGGTCAAGGCAGGTGGAGGATTGCTTGAAGACACGAATTCCAGACCAGCGTGGGCAACATGGCAAAACTCCATCTCTACAAAAAACACAAAAAAATTAGCCTGGCATGGTGGCATGTGACTGTAGTCCCAGCTACTCAGGAGGCTGAGATGGGACAGTAACTTGAGCCTGGGAGGGAGAGGTTGTAGTAAGCAGAGATTGCACCACTGCACTCCAGCCCAGGTGACAGAGCCAGACCCTGTGTCTAAAAAAATAAAAATCAAAAAAATTCCCAGCACTTTGGGAGGCCGAGGCAGGTACATCACGAGGTCAGGAGTTCAAGACCAGCCTCGCCAAGATGGTGAAACCCCATCTCTACTAAAAATACAAAAAATTAGCCAGGCGTGGTGGTGGGTGCCTATAATCCCAGCTACTTGGGAGGCTGAGGCAGGAGAATCGCTTGAACCCAGGAGGTGGAGGTTGCAGTGAGCCCAGATCGTGCCATTGTACTTCAGCCTGGGTGACAGAGACTACGTCTCAAAAAAAAATATTGGCCAGGTGTAGTGGTGCCCACCTGTAGTTCTAGCTACTCGGGAGGCTGAGGCAGGAGGATCGCTTGAGCCAGGAGATTGGGGCTGCATTGAGCCATAATCACACCACACTTTAGCATGGCAAAAAAAAAAAAAACAACAACAAAAAAAGAAAACTGCAAAGGGATCTTTTTTTTATTTTTTTGAAACAGAGTTTCACTCATGTTGCCAAGGCTGGAGTGCAATGGCGCAATCTTGGCTCACCGCAACCTCCACCTCCCAGGTTTAAGCGATTCTCCTGCCTCAGCCTCCCAAGTAGCTGGAATTACAGGCATGTGCCACCACACCCAGCTAATTTTGTATTTTTAGTAGAGATGGGGTTTCCCCATTGTTGGTCAGGCTGGTCTCGAACTCCTGACCTCAAGTGATCCACCCGTCTCAGCCTCCCAAAGTGCTGGGATTACTTTAAGTTAGCTTCAGGTATTTTATTAGTAGTAATATGGAATATATATAATTTTTTTTTTTTTTTTTGAGACAGAGACTCTACCGCCCAGGCTGGAGTACAGTGGCTTGATCTCAGCTCACTGCAACCTCGGCCTCCCAGGTACAAGTGATTCTCCTACCACAGCTTCCCAAGTAGCTGAGATTACAGGCACATACCACCACACCCAGCTAACTTTTTTTTTTTTTTTTTTTTGTATTTTTTAGTAGAGACGGGGTTTCCCCATGTTGGCCAGGCTGGTGTCAAACTCCCAACCTCAGGTGATCTGCCCACCTCAGCCTCCCAAAGTGCTGGGATTACAGGCGTGAGCCACAGCACCCATCCAGTTGTTACATTTTTAAACCTTCTTATACATACATAGGATAAAGCAAATAAATGTTAATATTATTAAAACCAAATATTTCAGTATGAGACAAATATAAAATCAAAAGAAAAAATCCCATAAATGTGTTAAATTCAGTTGTAAATATCAATATAAAGTTCTGATTTCTAATAATATTTTCTGGGCCGGGCGTGGTGGCTCACACCTGTTATCCCAACACTTTGGGAGGCCAAGGTGAGTGGATCATCTGAGGTCAGGAGTTTGAGACCAGCCTGGCCAACCTGGTGAAACCCCATCTCTACTAAAAATACAAATATTAGCTGGGTGTGGTGGTGGGCACCTGTAATCCTAGCTACTCCGGAGGCTGAGGCAGGAGAATCACTTGAACCTGGGAGGCGGAGGTTATAGTGACCCAAGATTATGCCATTGTACTCCAGCCTGAGAGACAGAGTGAGACTCCGTCTCAAAAAAACGACAACAACAAAAAAACATATATATATATTTTCTGAGCCAGGCGCGGCAGCTCACGCCTGTAATCCCAGCACTTTGGGAGACCAAGGCAGGCGGATCACGAGGCCAGGAGTTCGAGACCAGCCTGGCCAACATGGTGATACCCCATCTCTACTAAAAATACAAAAAATTAGCTGGGCGTGGTGGAGGACACCTGTAATCCCAGCTATTTGGGAGGCTGAGGCAGGAGAATTGCTTGAACCCAGGAGGCGGAGGTTGCAGTGAGCTGAGATCCTGCCACTGAACTCCAGCCTGGGTGATGGAGCGAGACTCTGTCTTAAAAATAAAATAGAATAAAATAAAATAAAATTTTCTAGTTGTGACTACTGAAAGGACCTAGAAACAATGAAGACCCTGTAGCAATGAGCATCCCTAGCACACAGATCCTGGTTTCTACTGGCATTCCCTGTAAAAGACACTGAGTCGCCAGGCGCGGTGGCTCACGCCTGTAATCCCAGCACTTTGGGAGGCCGAGGCAGGCGGATCACAAGGTCAGGAGATCGAGACCATCCTGGCTAACAAGGTGAAACCCTGTCTCTACTAAAAATATAAAAATTAGCTGGGCATGGTGGCGGGCGCCTGTAGTCCCAGCTACTCGGGAGGCTGAGGCAGGAGAATGGCATGAACCGGGGAGGCAGAGCTTGCAGTGAGCCGAGATCAAGCCACTGCACTCCCGCCTGGGCGACAGAGCGAGACTCCGTCTCAAAAAAAAAAAAAAAAAAGACACCAGGTCTTCTTAGAAAAACGACTAATTTCACTTCAATGACAGGTAGATACAAGGTGAATCCGGGATAGCTTGTTGTGACAAAAAATAAGGAAGCACTCCAAGACCAAAGGTGACATATCAGAAGGACACACTACCAACTTAAGGAGGCTTATGCTGGCCAAATTTCAGGGTCAGAACGACTAATGGTGAGAACGAAGTGTAAAATAATGAATAAATTAAAATCCATGTACAATATAGTGATACAGAAAGTAGCAAGGAAACTTATTTGCTACCACTGAGGTGACCACTTCACCAATTCTTTACGAAGAAATTTATAATGAAAAGCAAAAAAGTAAACACCCTACCTTATTAGAGATCAATAAAGGAAACATTTGAAAGTGCGTTTACCCCCATACTAGTGAATTCCTTAAAACAACTGAAAGTATCCTAAATAGAAAATATTCTAAGGGAACATTACCAGCTAAAACCAAAACACGCTTGCCTTTATAGAAATTAAATGAACTACTTCAAATCTATTTATTACTAGAAAATAAGAGAGCGAGGCGTAGTGGCTCACACCTGTAATCACAGCACTTTGGGAGTCCGAGGCGGGCGGATCATGAGGTCAGGAGATCGAGACCATCCTGGCTAACACAGTGAAACCCCGTCTCCACCAAAAATACAAAAAATTAGCTGGGCGTGGTGGTGGGCGCATGTAGTCCCAGCTACTGAGGAGGCTGAGGCAGGAGAATGGTGTGAACCCGGGAAGCAGAGCTTGCAGTGAGCCGAGATTGCGCCACTGCACTCCAGCCTGGGCGACAGAGCTAGACTCCGTCTCGGGGAAAAAAAAAAAAAAACAAGAGAAAATAAGTTACTAAGCTAAATTACTGTACTGAACAGTACATTTTTTTTTTTTTTTTTCTGAGACAGAGTCTCACTCTGTCGCCCAGGCTGGAGGGCAGTGGAGGGACATCAACTCACTGCAACCTCTGCCTCCTGGGTTCAAGTGATTCTCCTGGCTCAGCCTCCTAGGTAACTGGGATTACAGGCACACACTAATTTTTGTATTTTTAGTAGTAGAGATGGGGTTTCACCATGTTGGCCAAGCTGGTCTTGAACTCCTGACCTCAAGTGATCCACCCACCTCAGCCTCCCACAGTGCTGGGATTATAGGCATGAGCCACCGCACCCGGCCTGTCAGAATAGTACAATTTTAAAAGTGACTATTGCCATATATAATAACTATACATTTATCAGATTTATATAGTGTACATATATAAATACACTTATCTGTGTGTGTGTGTGCGCATCAAAGCATCACAAGATACATCCACCTTTGAAGCAAAACACTGGAAAAAATTAAAAACTCAGAAAAAAACTTTACAGGCCAGCACAGTAGCTCATGCCTGTAATCCTAGCACTTTGGGAGGCTGAGGCAGGTGGATCACTTGAAGACAGGAGTTCGAGAGTAGCCTGGCCAACATGGTGAAACCCCGTGTCTACTAAAAATACAAAATTAGCCAGGCATGGTGGTGTGCACCTGTAATACCAGTTACTCAGGAGGCTGAGGCAGGAGAATCACTTGAACCCAGAAGCAAAGGTTGCAGTGAGCCAAGATGGCGCCACTGCCCTCCAGCCTAGGCAACAGAGAGAGACTTCCTCTCAAAACAAACAAACAAACAAACAAACAAACAACTTTACAAATTAAAAAGTAGAAATTTCAGGCAGGGCACTGTGGCTCACGCCTGTAATCCCAGCACTTTGGGAGGCCAAGGCCAGCGGATCACCTGAGATCAGGAGCTCCAGACCAGCTTGGCCAACATGTTGAAACCCCATCTTTACTAAAAATACAAAAATTAGGCAGGCACAGTGGCTCACGCCTGTAATCCCCACACTTTGGGAGGCCGAGGCGGGCAGATCACGAGGTCTGGAAATCGAGACAATCCTGGCTAACACAGTGAAACCCTGTCTTTACTAAAAATACAAAAAATTAGCCAGCTGTGGTAGTGGGCGCCTGTAGTCTCAGCTACTCGGGAGGCTGAGGCAGGAGAATGGCGTGAACCTGGGAGGTGGAGCTTGCAGTGAGCCGAGATCGCGCCACTGCACTCTATCTAGCCTGGCGACAGACCCGAGACTCCGTCTCAAAAAAAAAAAAAAAAAGAAAAAAAGAAAAGAAAGACTTGCCTATAAGTCATAAGCTATATTATAAGCTTAATGCTGGACAATTTTTAAATGACTTGTCTGTAAGTCATATCCTTGTACATGTAGCAAGCTGTCACATTATAGAAAACTGAACACATCACCTTCACTTTTCCATCAGCCGCAACTTTAGATCACTCATTTTCAGTTAAGATACAGATGGTATATGTTCAATAATACAGTGCCACATAAAAATTTCACTCAATCCAAAAATTCGAAGTTTTTGCAATATAGGCAACAACACGCTAAATTAATTGTACAACAACTACAGCACTAAGGTAAATAACTTGTACTGGGATACAGAAGTTCAATATCAAAGCTACTAGCAACACCAATCCACATAGATTCTATAAAAGTTTAGTGTAATTCGTCGGGAGCGGTGGCTGAAGCCTGTAATCCCAGCACTTTGGGAGGCAAAGGTGGGCGGATCACATGGTCAGGAGTTCGAGACCAGCCTGGCCAATATGGTGAAATCCCACCTCTACTAAAAAAAAACTACAAAAATTAGCCGGGCGTGGGGCGGGTGCCTGTACTCCCAGCTACTCGGGAGGCTGAGGCAGGAGAATCGCTGGAACCCGGGAGGTAGAGGTTACAGTGAGCAGAGATTGCGCCACTGCACTCCAGCCTAGGCGATAGAGCAAGACTTGGTCTCAAAAAAATAAAAAAGAAAAAGAAAGTTTAGTGTAATTCTCACTTAAGCGGTCAGCTTCAATCAAAAAGGAATTAAGATCTTCTCATTTTATTTATTGTTGGGAAAAAGGAGACAGTACTAATAACCACCTATAATCAACATTGTAAGGAATAACAATTAAATATTTACTGTATTAATTGTCATCAAATTAAAAACACAGTGCCTCTTGTACTAGTTTACAAAACAAAAACAAAAAAGCATCATCACTCTAAAGTTGTCACCACTTAGTAATCTGAGATATTTTAATTGCAGCTGCAATGTTTGTGTTTGTTGCCTGTGTATATGACTCATATAGAAAGGTTTTCCCAAGACTGCTGGATTTTTGAGAATGCAGAAGCCATAACTGGGGCATACTGTGTGGGAACTGTCATGACAGTGAATGAATAAAAGGGGAAAAGAACCCATGACAGAATTTTTTTTCAAGTTTTTATAAAAAGCAAGTCACTCACTAAAGGCAGACTCTGCAGAATAATAGGAAAGGTTGGGGAAAAGCCATCCCTGCTCCAAGAAGCCTTCCTTGACTCTCTTGGTTGGATTCAGTGCACTTCTTAACACTACATAGCACTTAACGGGTTTCCTTGTCTGGCTCCCCAGCCATACTATATGCAACTTCAGACCAAAAGCTGTCTTAAATTAGTACCTACTTCCCAAAACACCCGCCATATGGAGGGCCCTCAGTAGGTGGTTCATAAATAGGAATAATCAATTTTACATTTACCTTTTATTTTACATTTTACAAAGCACTTTCACGAACACTATCTTTTCTGATCCACATTAACAATCGTGGGAAGGGCTTTATTTAATCAAATGGCTTCTGGTTTTATAAAGAGTTAATTCAGGGCCGGGCGCAGTGGCTCAAGCCTGTAATCCCAGCACTTTGGGAGGCCAAGGCAGGTGGATCGCCTGCGGTCAGGAGTTCAAGACCAGCCTGGCCAACATAGTGAAACCTTGTCTCTACTAAAAATACAAAAAATTAGCTGGGCATGATGGCAGGCACCTGCAATCCCAGTTACTCAGGAAGCTGAGGCAGGAGAATCGCCTGAACCGGAGAGGTGGAGGTTGCAGTGAGCCGAGATCATTGCACTCCAGCCTGGGAAACAAGAGCAAAACTATGTCTCAAAAAACAAACAAAAAGAGTTAATTCATTGACTAAAACAATTCTGAAATCACAAAGATAATTACGTATTTGTTCATCTTTGAGATAGCTTCTCCCTGGGACCTCAGTGTTCTCATAAAACTCAGACGTTTTGTTAGCATTTTCTTTGCTTGCTCTCCATAATAGGTAGGACTCACCCTGCTCTGAATCTTACTCAGGGTTTAAACCACATAAAGCTGTTATTAAAGACCCCTCTAGAAATCAGACAAGAAGAAGCATCCTAAGCTATTTTTTTTCTGATCCTGTTCTTTTTGTAACTAAGGTAAGGAATTGCAAAGGTCAAAATCTGGAGAGCAAATGATGTCATGGATGTCATGAAGTTGCATCAATACCTGATGATGATTTAGCATAACAGTGCAACATATTATGCCAAGAAGCATAATGATGAGCCACCAGGATGTTTTACTGCATTAATTTCATGACTCTTTATTAGCAAATTGATATGCAAAGTAGCTCTCCAATTTTCTACCACAGAGAAGCTGCTGGTTCAGATTTACATCTTTAGCAAAGACACTAAGAAAATCGACAAATTTCTATGGAAAAGTCTTTGATTTAAAAATAGAAAAGGAGGCTGGGCACGGTGGCTCAAGCCTGGGGTGGGGCAGGGTATCGCTTGAGACCAGGAGTTTGAGATCAGCCTGGGCAACATCGGTGAAACCCCGTCTCTACTAAAATTACAAAAAAAAAAAAAAAAAAAAAAAAATTAGCGGGCGTGGTGGCGCACACCTGTAATCCCAGCTACTCAGGAAGCTGAGGCAGGAGAATCGCTTAAACCCAGGGGATGGAGATTGCAGAGAGCCGAGACTGTGCTACTGCACTCCAGCCTGGATGACAGAGTGAGAAACTGCAAAAAAAAAAAAAAAAAGAAAGAAAGAAAGAAAGAAAGAAAGAAAGAAAGAAAATGGTCAAATAATAACCTAAACAGTTGTCATTTTAACAATGAAAAGCTTTTTAAGATACGCAACATGCCTATGGATCAATGTAGATTGAATCATCTATTTATACTGGCTTGTCAAAAGCAAACAGTTACTGGGTATAAAATGACAACATACAATAGAAAAGACACCCAATCAGATTACACACGTGAATACACTCAAAGTTAGCAATTTAACACAGCATCACTAATGGCCATAAGATATACAGACTTAATTCTAAATATTCAATTCTAAATGATGGTACTTCCCCCAAATTTTCCTTGCCTCTTTAAATCCATGATGTCATCATTCTTAAGCAGAAGTAAAGCCAATTTGTTACAAAAGATATTTTGGTGTGTCCAAGCAAAAGCAATCGCCTCAACAATTCTGCATAGCACAAGTTCAGTGAAGCCATCATTCCTCAAGAAAGAGACCACAAGGCTTCAAACCGACTTCCCTACATGACAGAAACACAATCGAAGTCTCCCAATTAGCATTTAAACAGCAATAAAAGTTGTTCTCAAAAAGGAACAACATAGTTTCAACGTCGGGGCCAGCAACTGCCAGCAAGTAAAACTGGTAATGTGTCAGAATCTTCATCTAGATCGATCAGAATCCCACCACAGAAAAATCCAGACTCTGGCAATTAAGAAATGAGGCTTTTATTTTCCTAACAGAAATCGGGAGATTTAACAGACAAAGCAATTGGTTATTCTGAATCTTAACAAACCGAAGGTTTCAAACGAACTCAGCGCTGAAGTTACTCTGCAGCGACCATCAAGATCTCACAATCGTTTTCTCTTCGCTTACAAATTCGTTCCCACCCTCCACCGTTCCCTTTGCACACACAATTCTCGCCAAGAGAAGCCTTCCACAGTCACAGCATGGATTGCTGTCTCAAGCAAGGAGATCCGCAGTTCCCATTTCTCTAAGGGAACACTCAACAAGCTAGGGGATAGGAAAGGCCTTTTGTGTTTTATTTAACGTAAACCAATTCCAAAATTATCCCTTTGCAGCTGCAGGTTCAGAGATGCTAGCCCCCAGCCGCAGCCCCAATTTTGATGGGCACCCGACCCCCGACTCCTCTCTCGCAAAGGAGTGAAATGTTCGGAGGAGCGATGAAAGATTACCTGACACCCTAAAGCCATCCTTGCCCGGGCCACACACCCCTTCACTGCCCGGGTGAGGGGACGAGAACCACCCTGCTGAGGAGAGGGGGTGGGTTCGCTCCCAACCCAAGGGCTGGCTGGAAAGGAGCTGTCCTCCTCCTCGCCTCACTCGAGGACGGCGATAGCAAGTCACCCTGCCCAACCAGGACCGACCCCCGCGTGGGATACGGGGCCTGCGTCAGACCCCGGGCGCCCGCTGCCCCTTGCCAGTCCCGGGCATAAAGGGCAGAAGGCGCCGGCTCCCCTCTGCGGCCCGGGGAGGAGGAGAGGCCTCACCTGGCCCAGCCCGCTCCACGCTCTCGGGTTCGCTCCGCTGGCGACGGTAATGAGGGAGCCAGGGACAGGGCCAGAGCAGAGGCGCTCTGCCTCAGGCCGCGACAGCCGTGCTCGGGGCTCCTCACAGCTGGCGGGACCCCGAGCCGCCCGGAGCCGCCATCTTCCTCCACTCAAACGCCGCCGCCGCCGCAGCTGCTGCTGCTCAGGCCGGGAGAAGACAGCGCAGAGCGCGCATGCGCCGGGGCGGGCGCGGCGGACGCGCGCGCACTCACGTCAGCGCGGCGGGATGGCGAGGGGCGGCCAGGGGGCGGCGCAGTGTTGAGAAAGGCCGTGGTCACAGGCCGAGGTTCTGTGGAGGGTGGAATGCGCTCGGGGGAGCTAGGCCTCCGCACCCGCCTTCGCCGCGTCTCTAGCGTCGACCTGATAGCCGCACCCACCCTCCGCTGCACTGTCTGGGGCAACTGGGTGGTTTTCCCGGTGGTTTGAGACTAACATTTAGCCAGGAATTAACTCACTTCTACCCCGAGGGCCCGATGAGCAGAGAGGGCTGTGGCGGATGTGAGTGCTCTTGGATATCGCCAAGGGGAGGGAAACTGTGCTTGAGGTGTGCAGGAGAAGTCTTCCCTTAACCGTAGCCTCGTAGCAACCACTGTGAGTTCTTACTAGCTCCACTTTTCAGATGAGGAAACTGAGGCACAGAAAACGATCACTTATTTGCCCGGAGTCACACACCTATCAGTGGAGGTGGGGCGGCGCGGGAAAGAGGATTTAAACTCAGGCTTGTCTGGTTCCCAAGCTCCTTTACTTCCTACTAGCTAGGTTATAGGATCCAGCAAAGTCCCCCTTCTCAAGGGAGCAACCTGGTGTGTAGGTGAGAACCTTCATGAGCCCAGCCCTACAGCATGTGGTCTAAGGAAATGCCAGATACAGAGTCAAAGGCTTCAGTCTAAACTCTGTAAGCCAAAAAAACAAAACAAAACAAAACAAAAAACTAAGCCCCCACCCCCCCCCCAACACCAAACCATCTGAACGGACTTCCTCCTAGGCCAGGGCAGTCTAAAATGTAACCAACCTGAGAGACTGGTTCAGGCCATGACGGGAAGCAGGACATGAGACATGCCTCATTACATCCTTCAGCATTGACATCAACACAACAGACCTTAAGACTGGTAAGAAACATTTACAATCTGTTCTCTCTGGAGCCCACCTGCCACTTGGAGGCTTCACGTGCGTGATAAAACTTTGGTGTCCACAATCCCTTATCATAACCCAGACATTCATTTCTATTGATAATAACTTTTTTTTTTTTGAGACAGGGTCTAACTCTGTTGCCCAGGCTGGAGTCCAGTGATGAGTTCTTGGTTCGCTGCAACCTCTGTCTTTCAGGCTCAAGCTATCCTCCTACCTTAGCCTCCTGAGTAACTGGGACTACAGGCGGGCACCACCATGCCTGGCTAATTTTTCCATTTTTTTTGTAGACACAGGGTTTCGCCATGTTGTCCACTCTCATCTCAAACTCCTGAGCTCAAGTAATCCACTTGCCTCGGCCTCCCAAAATGCTTGGATTACAGGCGTGTGCCACCGCACCAGGCCTATTGATAATAACTATTTCAACTCATTGCCAATCAGAAAATGTTTAAATCTGCCTATAATGTGGAAGCCCCCACTTCAAGTTTCCGGTCTTTCTGCACCGAACCAATGTAGTTTTTATTTATTTATTTACTTATTTTTATTTATTTGTTTATTTTTTTGAGACTGAGTCTTGCTCTGTCGCCCAGACTAGAGTGCAGTGGCACCATCTCCGCTCACTGCAACTTCCGCCTCCTGGGTTCAACCGATTCTCCTGCCTCAGCCTCCCGAGTAGCTGGGATTACAGGCGCCCGCCACCGTGCCCAGCTAATTTTTGTATTTTCAGTAGAAAATACAAAATTCAGTAGAAAATACGGGGTTTCACCATCTTGGACAGGCTGGTCTCAAACTCCTGAACTCGTGATCCACTCACCTCGGCCTTCCAAAGTTCTGGGATTACAGGTGTGAGCCACGGCGCCTGGCCTTTTTATGTATTTATTGAGACAGGGTCTCACTCTTCGCCCAGGCTGGAGTGCAGTGGTGTGATCTCCACTCACTGCAACCTCTGCCTCCCAGGTCCAAACGATTCTCGTGCCTCAACCTCCTGAGTAGCTGGGATTACAGACATGTGCCACCACACCCAGCTAATTTTTGTATTTTTAGTAAAGACGGGGTTTCACCATGTTGGCCAGGCTGGTCTCGAACTCTTGCCTCAGTTGATCCACCCGCCTCGGCCTCCCAAAGTGCTGGGATTACAGGCATACGCCCCTGCACCTGGCCCTGTATTAATATATCTTAAATGTATTTGATTGATGTCTCATGTCTCTCTAAAATGTATAAAACCAAGCTGCTTCCCAACCACCTTGGGCACATGTTCTCAGGATCTCCCAAGGGCTGTGTCATGGGCCATGGTCACTCATATTTGGCTTAGAATAAATCTCTTCAAATATTTTACAAAGTTTCCTCCTAGGAAATCTCATGGGGCATAGGGCTGGGCCAGAAGCCAAGTTCCCCTCAAGTTGGAGGGCAAGGCCTCTTTGAGCAGACTTGGGTCACCCTTACCCATAGAGAGCTGTATGAGCCAGAGGCGGTGGTGCATACTTGTCAGCCCAGCACTTTGGGAAGCCAAGAGGGGAGGATCGCTTGAGCTCAGGAATGCAAAACCATCCTGGGCACCATAGCAAGACCCCATCCCTACAAAAAGTTGAAAAATTAGCTGGACATGGTGGCATGTGTACCTGTAGTTCTAGCTACTTGGGAGACAGAGGCAGAGGGTTGCTTGAGCTCAGGAGTTGGAGGTTGCAGTGAGCTATCATCACCTCACTGCACGCCAGCCTGGGTGATAGAGGGAACCCATCTCAAATAAATAAATAGAAAGCAGTATATTCTTACGTTCTTCAAACCTGAATAATGCAAAGTCCCCTAGGGATACACTCAGGGAATCCCAGTGGGAGAAACATTGATTTAAGAAAATCATGTTTTGGCCAGGCGCGGCGGCTCACGCCTATAATCCCAGCACTTTGGGAGGACGAGGCAGGCGGATCACCTGAGGTCGGGAGTTCGAGACCAGCCTGACCAACATTGAGAAACCCTATCACTACTAAAAAAAAAAATACAAAATTAACCAGGCGTGGTGGCACATGCCTGTAATCCCAGCTACTCGGGAGGCTAAGGCAGGAGAATTGCTTGAACCCGGGAGGTGGAGGTTGTGGTGAGCCGAGATCGCATCATTGCACTCCAGCCTGGGCAACAAGAGCGATACTCCCTCTCAAAAAAAAAAAAAGAAAGAAAAGAAAAGATAAAGAAAATCAAGTCTTTCAACTAGGAAATTTTACTGCAAAAGAGAAATTGGGCAATTATAACTGGTAAAGGAAATATTTTTAAATCTGGTTTTTAAATCTAGTTTTTAAATCATGTCATTAAAAACCTCAAGCTTAAAAATTACTAGAACTGAGCCGGGTACGGTGGCTCACACCTGTAATCTTAGCACTTTGGGAGGCCGAGGCAGGCAGATTGTCTGAGCTCAGGAGTTCGAGACCACCATGGGAACAACATGCTGAAACCCTGTCTCTACTAAAGTACAAAAAATTAGCCAGGCTTGGTGGTACACACCTGTAATCCCAGCTACTCGGGAGGTGGAGGCAGGAGAATTGCTTGAACCCAGGAGGTGAAGGTTGCAGTGAGCTGAGATTGTGCCACTGCACTCCAGCCTGGGCCACGGAGCGAGACTGTCTCAAAAAAAAAAAAAAAAAATTACTAGAACTTGTGACCAACTCCACTCTTCCCCCTCCAAATATCCTGTAGAGCTCAATATTGGAAACACTGGACCAGCTATTAAATGCTACTTTTTTTTTTTTTTTGAGGAAGGAAGTTTCCAACCGGGCTCAATCAATTCTTCCACCTCAGCCTCCAGAGTAGCTTGCATAGTCCCAGATACTTGGGAGGCTGAGGTAGGAGGATTGATTGAGCCAGGGTGTTTGAGGTTGCAGTGAGCTATAATCACTCCACTCCAGCCTGGTGTGACAGAGCGAGACTCTGTCTCAAAAAAAAAGTAAAAGTAACAAAAAAAAGTAAAAAAAAAATCCTAGCACTTTCGTAGGCCAAGACAGGTGGATCACTTGAGGTCAGGCGTTCAAGACCAGCCTGGCCAACATGGTAAGACCCCGTCTCTACTAAAAATACAAAAATTAGCCAGGAATGGTGGCATGTGCCTGTAATCCCAGCTACTCGGGAGGCTGAGGCACAAGAATCACTTGAAACTGGAAGGTGGAGGTTGCAGTGAGCTGAGATCATGCCACTGCACTCCAGCGTGGGTGACAGAGTGAGACTCTGTCTCCAAAAAAAAAAAAATAAGTAAAAGTAAAAATGCAGGTTCCATGGCCAGTTGCAGTGTTGCACGCTGGTAATCCCAACCCTTTCAGTGGCTGACATGGGAGGCTGACTTGAGGCCAGGAGTTGAGATCAACCTGAGCGAGATAGCAAGACCCCATCTCTACAAAAATAAATTAAAATGCAGGTTCCAGGGCCCACCTCAAACAATGGCCTCAGACTTTTCTGAAAGCTCCTCAGGGATTCTGTTGAGCAGTCAGGGTTGGAACTGCTGGACCATGTTAGAATACGTTCAAATACAGAATCACTTCACCCTGAATCTTCTTACTCAAGGACAGCAGGGATTTTTGTCTGTTTTCCACCAGCACCTGACATAGAGATGCACATAGTAGGGACTCACTAAATATTTGTTGAATGAATGAACTTGGAATTTGGCAACTAAGAGGGCATTTGGGAAACAAATATTTAGTGAGCACCTACTATGTGCCAGACCATGTGATACGTATGGTCATATATATATACAATATTAATATATATATTTATAAATATATACAAATTTTTTTTTTTTGAGACGGAGTCTCACTGTGTCTCCCAGGCTGGAGTGCAGTGGCATGATCTCGGCTCACTGCAAGCTCCGCCTCTGGGGTTCACGCCATTCTCCTGCCTCAGCCTCCCGAGTAGCTGGGACTACAGGTGCCTGCCACCACGCCCAGCTAATTTTTTGTATTTTTAGTAGAGACATGGTTTAACCGTGTTAGCCAGGATGGTCTCGATCTCCTGACCTCATGATCCACCCACCTTGGCCTCCCAAAGTGCTGGGATTACAGGCATGAGCCACTGCACCTGGCCATAATTTTTTTTTTTTTTTTTTTGAGGCAGAGTCTTGCTTCTGTTGCCTAGGCTAGAGTGCAGTGGCACAATCTCTGCTCACTGCAACCTCCGCTTCCTGGGTTCAAGTGATTCTCGTGCCTCAGCCTCTTGCGTAGCTGGAATTACTGGTGCGTGCCACCATACCCAGCTAATTTTTGTATTTTTAGTAGAGATGGGGTTTTGCCATGTTGCCCTGGCTGGTCTTGAACTCCTGACCTCAGGTGATCCACCCACTTCGGCCTCTCAAAGTGCTGGGATTACAGGCATGAGCCACTGTGCCCGGCCATGGTCATATATATTTTTTAATGAAACATAAGGTCTCTGCCCTTGTGGAGGGCCCTACTATCTACTGAGAGAGATAACCAATACACAAAGACTGTAGACAAGATAGAAGTATAAATTGTGATAAGGACAAAAGTATTAAACTCTAATAATAATCACAATTGCTATTTATTGTTTACATTTATTATGTACCGAACTCTGCTAAGTAGGCGTCATTATTGTGCCTATTTTAAAGATGACGAAACTGAGCTACATAGTGGCTGGAATATCGGGGGAAGACTGGAGATTACATTATAGGTCATGAAGAACTGGGAACGGGGAGGTTATACTCTATAATTAAAATGGTTTTTCAGAATAGTCTCTCTGCAGTGTGAAGGCTGATTGGGACATGATTAAAGACAGGGGATAAGGCTAGAATGAAAGGGGTGGTTGGAGTCTCTCTAATACGTTTAAATAAGGTACTTTCCTCCAGAGTCTGTCCCAATAATCAATCACAGTCACGCACCACATAACAGTGGTCAATGGCAAACCACATGTACAATGGTGGTCACATAAGATTATAATACCATATTTTTACCGTACCTTTTCTATCTATATGTTTTGTTTTGTTTTTCTCAAGACAGAGTCTTGCTCTGTCGCCATGCTGGAGTGCTATGGCGTGATCTCGGCTCACTGCAACCTCCCCCTCCCGGGTTCAAGCGATTCTCCTGCCTCAGCCTCCCAAGTAGCTGGGATTACAGGTGTGTGCCACCACGCCCAGCTAATTTTTTGTATTTTTTGGTTTTTTATTTTATTTATTTATTTATTTATTTATTTATTTATTTATTTATTTATCTGAGACAGAGTCTTGCCCTATCAGCCAGGCTGGAGTGCAATGGCACAATCTCGGCTCACTGCAACCTCTGCCTCCTGGGTTCAAGCGATTCTACTGCCTTAGCCTCCCAAGTAGCTGGGGTTACAGGCACGCATCACCATGCCCAGCTAATGTTTTGTGTCTTTAGTAGAGACAGGGTTTCACCACGTTGGTCAGGCTGATCTCCAACTTCTGACCTCAGGTGATCCACCCGCCTCAGCCTCCCAAAGTGCTGGGATTACAGGCGTGAGCCACTGCGCCCAGCCAATTACTGTATTTTTAGTAGAGACAGGATTTCTCCATGTTGGCCAGGCTGGTCTTGAACTCCTGACCTCAGGTGATCCGCCCACCTTGCCTTGGCCTCCCAAGGTGCTGAAATTGTGCTGGGATTACAGGTGTGAGCCACTGTGTACAGCCCAGAACATAATTTATTCTTTTGTTTTCTTTTTTTTTTTGAGATGGAGTCTCCCTCTGTCGCCCAGGCTGGAGTGCAGTGGCACAATCTCGGCTCACTGCAAGCTCCACCTCCTGGGTTCATGCCATTCTCCTGCCTCAGCCTCCTGAGGGACTACAGGTGCGTGCCACCACGACTGGCTGTTTTTGTATTTTGAGTAGAGATGGGGTTTCACCATGTTAGCCAGGATGGTCTCGATCTCCTGACCTCGTGATCCGCCCGCCTCAGCCTCCCAAAGTGCTAGGATTACAGACATGAGCCACCACGCCCGGCCCAATTTATTGTTTTTTTGAGACAGAGTCTCGCTCTGTCTTTCAGGCTGGAGTGCAGTGGCATGATCTCGGCTCACTGCAACCTCAGCCTCCCAGGTTCCGGCCATTCTCCTACCTCAGCCTCCAAGTAGCTGGGATTTACAGGTATGCGCCACCACGCCTGGCTAATTTTTGTATTTTTAGTAGAGACAGGGTTTCACGGCGTTGGCCAGGCTGGTCTCGAACTCTTGACATCAGGTGATCTGCCTGCCTCGGCCTCCCAGAGTGGTGGGATTAAAGGCATGAGCCACCACACCTGGCCAGAACATAGTTTATTCTTAAAGGGTTGGGGTGCATGACTTAACCCTTGCTTGGTATGACCTTATGTCCTGTTTATAATTGGCATCTTGGTCGCACGCGGTGGCTCACGTCTGTAATCCCAGCATTTTGGGAGGTTGAGGCAGGAGGATCACTAGCTCAGGAGTTTGAGACCAGCATGGCCAACATGGTGAAACCCCATCTCTACTCAAAATACAAAAATTAGCCGGGCGTGGTGTTGCCAGCCTGTAATCCCAACTACTCAGGAGGCTGAGGCAGGAGCATCTCTTGAACCTGGGAAGTGGAGGTTGCAGTGAGCCGAGATCGAGCCACTGCACTCCAGCCTGGGCAACAGAGAGAGACTGTGTCTCAAAAAAAAAAAAAAAAAAGCATCTTATTACCACAAAGCATTTGTTGTGTCAGTCTTATGATCTCTATTTTAGCATTAATGCTGGTCAATTGTTGTGTCTAAACTGTGAAAGGGATAGGGTATAACCAAGTGTGTCTGACTTCCTGTTCCATCATGGCTTCTCTGGGGTCCCCTGTACCAAAAGGGTGTCCATTTAGTCCGTTGGAAGGTTTAGGATTTTATTTTTAGTTCTCATGTGAGATCACTCAGTATCAGTGCATTTAGGACAATATAAATGTTATTAACAGTTGCATTCTATTCTTTTATAGGAATGTACCATAGTCTTTTAAAACAAATTCTCTAGCGATGAACATTTAATTTGTTTCCAGTCTTTTTTGATTATAGACAAAATAGCAATGGATATCCTTAGGTATGCACATTTTCTTTTTGTTTGTTTGTTTGTTTGTTTTGAGACTGAGTCTGGCTCTATCACCCGGGCTGGAGTTCAGTGGCATGATCTCGGCTCACTGCAACCTCTGTCTCCAGGCTTTATGCGATTCTCCTGCCTCGGCCTCCTGTGTACCTGGGATTACAGGTGCGTGCCACCACGCCCAGCTAATTTTTGTATTTTTATTTTTATTTATTTATTTATTTTTGAGATGGTGTTTCGCTCTTGTTGCCCAGGCTGGAGTGCAATGGAGCGATCTTGGCTCACTGCAACCTCCATCTCCAGGGTTCAAGCAATTCTCCTGCCCCAGCCTCCCGAGTAGCTGGGGTTACAGGCGCCTGCTGCCACGCCCAGCTAATTTTATGTATTTTTAGTAGAGATAGGGTTTCACTATGTTGGCCAGGCTGGTCACCAACTCCTGGCCTCAGGCAATCCACCCGCCTTGGCCTCCCAAAGTGCTGGGATTACAGGCATGAGCCACCGTGCCCGGCCTTATTTTTATTTTTTTATTTTTTATTTTTTTTATTTTTATTTTTTGAGATGGAGTCTGTTACCCAGGCTAGCGCAGTGGCTTTATCTTGGCTCACTGCAACCTCCACCTGCCAGGTTCAAGCAGTTCTCCTGCCTCAGCCTCCTGAGTAGCTGGGATTACAGGTGCGCATCACCATGCCCGGCTAACTTTTTGTATTTTTAGTAGAGATGAGGTTTCACCATGCTGGCCAGGCTGATCTTGAACTCCTGACCTCATGATCTGCCTGCCTCAGCCTTCCAAAGTGCTGGGATTACAGACATGAGCCACTGCACCAGACCTAATTTTTGTATTTTTAGTAGGGGTGGGATTTCACCATGTTGGCCAGGCTGGTCTCGAACTCTTGACCTCAGGTGATCCACCTGCCTTGGCCTCCCAAAGTGCCGGGATTACAGGTGTGAGCCACCATGCCCAGCCTGCACATTTTCAATATTGGTAAGTTGCCATTTACTCATCACAACTATCTACCTAGCTTCAGCTTGTGCGTCAGATAGAAAGTTATCTCGGCCGGGCGAGGTGGCTCACGCCTGTAATCCCAGCACTTTGGGAGGCCGAGGCGGGCAGATCACCTGAGGTCGGGAGTTCGAGACCAGCCTGACCAACATGGAGAAACTCCATTTCTACTAAAAATACAAAATTAGCCGGGTATGGTGGCGCATGCCTGTAATCCCAGCTACTCGGGAGGCTGAGGCAGGAGAATCGCTTGAACCCGCGAGGCGGAGGTTGTGGTGAGCTGAGATCATGCCATTGCACTCCAACCTGGGCAACAAGAGCGAAAATTTGTCAAAAAAAAAAAAAAAAAAAAAAAAGCTGGGCGCAGTGGCTCATGGCTGTAATCCTAGCACTTTGGGAGGCTGACGCGGGCAGATCACAAGGTCAGGACTTTGAGACCAGCCTGGCCAATATGGTGAAATCCCGTCTTTACTAAAAATACAAAAATTAGCCAGGCGTGGTGGCACGTGCCTGTAGTCCCAGCTACTCAGGAGGCTGAGGCAGAAGAATTGCTTGAACCTGGGAGGCAGAGGTTGCAGTGAGCTGAGATCACGCCATTGCACTCCAGCGTGGGCAACAGAGCAAGACAAGACACCGTCTCAAAAAAAAAAAAAAAAAAAAAGTGGACTCTCTGTCTCAGGAAAAAAAAAAGTCACCTGAGGTCAGGAGTTTGAGACCAGCCTGGCCAAGATGGAGAAACTGTCTCCACTAATAATACAATACACCGGGCTGGGCACGGTGGCTCAAACCTGTAATCCCAGCACTTCGGGAGGCCGAGGCGGGTGGATCACCTGAGGTTAGGAATTTGAGACCAGCCTGGCCAGCATGGTGATACCCGGTCTCTACTAAAAATACAAAAATTAGCCAGGCTTGGTGGCAGGCGCCTGTAATCCTAGCTACTTGGGAAGCTGAGGCAGGAGAATCGCTTGAACCCGGGAGGCAGAGCTTGTGGTGAGCCGAGATCACACCATTGCACTCCAGCCTGGGCAACAAAGCAAGATTCTGTCAAAAAAAAAAAATTAGCTGGGTATGGTGGCCCAGGCCTCTAATCTCAGCTACTCAGAAGGCTGAGGCAGGAGAATCGCTTGAATCCGGAGGATACAGTGAGCCAAGATCACGCCATTGCACTCCAACCTGGGTGACAAGAGAGAATCTCCATCTCCAAAAAAAAAAAAAAAATGCAAAAACTTAGCTGGGTGTGGTGGCACACACCTATAGTCCCAGCTACTCAGTACTCAGGAGGCTGAAGCAGGAGGGTCACTTGTGCTTGGAAGGTGGAGGTTGCAGTGAGCCATGATTGTGCCACTGTACTCCAGCCTGGTGACCGAGTGAGAGCAGAAAGAGTGAGAGAGAGAGAGAAAGACTCATGCTTTAGGGCCTCTGACAATACCTGTGTATTGTGTGCCTCAACTTTTTTTTTTTTTTTGAGACAAAGTCTCACCCTATCGGCCAGGGTGGAGTGCAATGGCATGATCTCAGCTCACTGCAACCTCCGCCTCCCAGGTTCAAGCGATTCTCCTGCCTCAGCCTCCCTAGTAGCTGAGACTACAGGCGCGTGCCATCACGCCCAGCTAATTTTTGAATTTTTAGTAGAGAAGGGGTTTCACCACGTTCAGGATGGTCTTGATCTTTTGACCTCATCTTCCACCTGCCTCGGCCTCTCAAAGTGCTGGGATTACAGGCGTGAGTCACGGTGCCAGGCCGCCACTGCCTCAACTTTTTGGGCTTATCCCTGGAAGAAGAAACTGCCACTACTTTTTCAATTTTAGAGCTAATTTGGTTCCATCCCTGATTTTACAGATGAGGAATCAGACTGAGAGAGAAGAGACTTGCCCAAGGTCACAAGGGGTCTATGTGATTAACTAAGACTGACCTCCTGGTTACCCATTTTGTGGAACAAAAACTATTTCATTTGCAGCATTTTCAGATGATTTCCAAGGTCTCCATCTTTCTTGTCTCCTTGAAAATGCAGTCCCAGAAATGCACAACTAATGCTTTTGTTAAGGGTCGTTGCCCAATATGCTAAATTGTAAGAAACCATCTCCCTCTGCTGGTAATATGGCATAACGACAAAGCTTAAATATAGGAGTCACTTGCATTTAGGAAAAACTATTGCTCCAGAACGAGGTTATGTCTGACAGTTTCTGTATACTTTTTTTTTTTTTAGACGGACTCTTGCTCTGTCGCCCAGGCTGGAGTGCAGTGGTGCGATCTCGGCTCACTGCAAGCTCTGCCTCCCAGGTTCACACCATTCTCCTGCCTCAGCCTCCCGAGTAGCTGGGACTACAGGCGCCCACCACCACACACGGCTAATTTTTTTTTTTTTTTGTATTTTTAGTAGAGACGGGGTTTCACCGTGTTAGCCAGGATGGTCTCAATCTCCTGACCTCGTGATCTGCCCGCCTTGGCCTCCCAAAGTGCTGGGATTTACAGGCGTGAGCCACCGCGCCCAGCCCCGTCTGACAGTTTCAACCACTTTGCTGTTGCCAAGACTCAGTCAGGATAATTTACTTCAACGAATGGGTTCACAGTAGAATGTATTCCAAGTAAATATAATCTCACAGAGTGAATAAGCCAAAAATCCATGAAATTGGTGAACTCAACAGAATTACTGAGTTTTTGTGTGGTTTTTTTTTTTGGTTTTTGTTTGTTTGTTTGTTTTTTGAGATGGAATCTCACTGTCACCCAGGCTGGAGTGCAGTGGCATGATCTCGGCTCACTGGAACCTCCACCTCCCGGGTTCAAGCGATTCTCCTGCCTCTGCCTCCTGAGTAGCTGGGATTACAGGCATGCGCCACCACGCCTGGCTAATTTTTGTATTTTTAGTAGAGACGGGGTTTCACCATGTTGGTCGGGCTGGTCTACGAACTCCTGACCTCGTGATCCGCCTGCCTTGGCCTCCCAAAGTGCTGGGATTACAGGCGTGAGCCACTGCGCTCGGCCGAGAATTACTTGAGTTTTAGAGACTTAAAAGCTGCTAGTGGAATATCCATGTGGAGATGGCAATAAGAAGCCTAGCTGTAAAAATCAGAATCAGAAACACCAGGTCAGTTCACAGCTAGAAGTCAACTTTGGCAGTCTTCAGCATACAGTGGGTGGCTTATACCATGAACATCTAGGTAAGAACAGTGGACTGAGGACAGACCCTGGAAATGAACAATATTTCAGAGTCAGGAAGTTGTGAAACCAGAGAATTAGTAAGCATATCACTTAAGCTTCTAAATAAAGACCAGTAACATTTAACACATGGTTGCAGTTTATGATGATAATCATTAAGAATACAAATAACAGGACGGGCAGAGTGGTTCACACCTGTAATCCCAACACTTTGGGAGATTGAGGCAGGCAGATCATCTGAGGTTAGGGGTTCCAGACCAGTCTGGCCAACATGGTGAAACCTGGCCTCTACTAAAAATACAAAAATTAGCTGGGCATAGTGGCAAGCACCTATAGTCTCAGCTACTCGGGAGGCTGAGGCAGGAGAATCACATGAACCCAGGAGGCAGAGGCTGCAATGAGCCAAGATTGCGCCACTGCACTCCAGCCTGGGCGACAGTGAGACTATGTCTAAAAAAAAAAAAAAAAGAATACAAATTATGAAATTTCACAGCAGGAAGGTTTTACTTCAGAAAGATTAATGGCATACTAAAAATACAAGAAAAAACACATTCCAAGTCAGATAACTTGGTTATAGCAGCCAAATGCAACACTACTGAATGACATGTATTTAAAACTGAGAGAAAAACAGGAACATGTCAGTAAGAATATAAACACATGGTGTTTGCTTATCTCCCTGCCTTTTTTTTTTTTTTTGAGACAGAGTCTCGCTTTGTTGCCCAGGCTGGAGTGCAATGGCGCAATCTTGGCTCACTGCAACCTCTGCCTCCTGGGTTCAAGCAACTCTCCTGCCTCAGCTTCCCAAGTAGCTGGGATTACAGGTGCTTGCCACCACATCCGGCTAATTTTTGTATCTTTAGTAGAGATGGGGTTTCACCATGTTGACCAGGCTAGTCTTGAACTCCTGACCTCAACTGATTCGCCCACCTCAGCCTCCCACAGTGTTGGGATTATAGGCGTGAGCCACCGCGCCTGGCATCTCCCTGTCCTTATATTTTAAGAAAGGATGATTACAGAAGTGACAATTATAAATCTTCCTCGGGCAGACAAGACACTCCCATAATGATAATAGCTAACCCTTAGGACTCTTACTATGGGTCAGGCACTGTTCTAGGCATTTCAGCATAGTAACTGGTTAAATTCTTACAATCTACTTTTGAAGTAGCTATCTCTAATGTATACACTTGGGGAACTGAGACATAGAATCCTTATGTAACTTGCGTTAAGATCACACAGCTTTTTTTTTTTTTTTTAGTAGAGATGGGCTTTTGCCTCGTTGCCCAGGCTGGTCTCAAACTGCAGGGCTCAAGCGATCCCCCCGCCTCACCCTTCCAAAGTGCTGGGATTATAGGCGTGAGCCACCATGCCCGGCCACATAAATAACTTTTTTTTGAGATAGAGTTTTGCTCTTGTTGTCCAGGCTGGAGTGCAATGGCGCAATCTTGGCTCACTGCAACCTCCGCCTCCCAGGCTCAAGCGATCTTCCCGCCTCAGCCTCCCGAGTAGGTGGGATTACAGGCATGTGCCACCATGCCCAGCTAATTTTGCATTTTAAGTAGAGACGGGGTTTCTCCGTGTTGGTCAGGCTGGTCTCGAACTCTTGACCTCAGGTGATCTGCCCACCTTGGCCTCCCAAAGTGGGATTACAGGTGTGAGCCACTACGCCTGCCCTGACATAAATAATTTTTTTTTTTTTTGAGACAGAGCCTCACTCTGTCGGCCAGGCTGGAGTGCAGTGGCATGATCTCGGCTCACTGCAACCTCCACCTCCCTGGCTCAAGCAGTTCTCCTGCCTCAGCCTCCGGAGTAGCTGGGATTATAGGCGTGTGCCACCATGCCCAGCTAATTTTTGTATTTGTAGTAGAGACGGGGTTTCACCATGTTGGCCAGGCTGGTCTTGAACTCCTGACCTCAGGTAATCCGCCTGTCTCGGCCTCCCAAAGTGCTGGGATTACAGGCGTGAGCCACCGCGCCTGGCCAGTAATTTTTAGAGGTAATACTAACGTATTTATCTACCATTAAAGACCCAGGAGAACTTAGTAGCTGGGAATCCCACTGGTTCTCCCAACTGAGGTGCAATATTATCTTTACCGTCTTTACCTTACGGTAGCGGATATAGTGTTAATAAATGATTAGAATACTGCTTTATGAGCAGGAAATACTGTAATGATTTTCACCCTATCAGAAATAATAAAATGTTTTCTGCATCAGCAGATATTTTTCATCATTTGTTGGTGTTTAAAAATGTTTTCAGAATTCTGAAGATACCATTATCTGTAGTTTAGGAAAACTACGACTCACTTTAAAAGAAAAAAAGTTTTCTTTAATTGCCTGCCCTTAGAAAAGATGGTTCCACAGAACACACTTCCGGTACTCGAGATGAGGACTTCCCTTGAACGCCCATTCTGTAAGACAGATAACGCGTTGGCCCTTAAGAAAGATGGCATCTTTCCGCCTTCTCTGCCCCCTTCCAAGATGGCTGCCCTAATGTACACTTGGGACCTTGCCTGGCGCCTCTTCCGGGCTTGGCAGCGGGCGGGGTCCATTGAGTAAAGCCTTGCGTGCCTGCGCCCGCGACGGAGGCGCGCTTCAAAGCGCAGGCGCGGGGAGGGGGTGGGGGAGGAGGGAAAGCGGCGAGTAAGATGGAAGATGAGGAGGTCGCTGAGAGCTGGGAAGAGGCGGCAGACAGCGGGGTAAGGAGGAGCCGCCGTCCCATGGCAGGGCCGGGCGAGACCTGGCGTGAGGGGAGCCTCCGGGGAGCGGGTCTGGAGATAGTTCTCCCCAAGGAAGGGCCCCATACGCCGGGCTGGGGGTGGTGGAGAGGCCCCCAGTTCCTGAGCGCCGTGAAGGCCTCTTAAAGGGGCCGCGATCCATTTCTCTCCTTTCCTTTGCCTGGTGCGCCTCCCTCCGCCCACTAACGCGCGCGTCACCCGGGGCGCCCCACCCGCCACCCGGGGCCTCCTTTCCTGACCCCCCGCGCCCACTTGCTGGCCGTGGGCCTCTGTGACTCTTTCCGATGAGCCTTGTGGCCCGAGGCACCATTTTAAAGTTCTTGTGCTCTGACCGGGACGGACACACCATGTGGGTGGTGGTGGGGCTTGCGCGGACCAAGGAGGCATGTCCGGCTTCGCAGGAAAGCGGGAGGAGGCAGCCGAGGGCGGGGGGAAATTGAATCCTCTTTGGGCTACTCAACTCTGCTAAAATCCCCCACCATCCGTCACGGTGGACGAGTCGGGTTTTTTTTCTCTTTCACTTTTACTCCAAGAAGAGTTTGTGGGCAGGCAGGCAGGTCTCACGGGGACTCTGCCAAAGCAACCGAAAGCTCTGCGGGGCAGCTCCTCTGCCACTCAGCGATCCGAGGCCCCGGGAAGGTCTAGGAGTTCGCTTGTCGGAGTCCAGGGTGTGATATGTAAAACAGCCACATTCTTGGGAGAGGAGTGGGGAGATGGACCGTTCGACTTGTTTTTGGAGTTTTTGTTTGCCTCCAGAAACTGTAGGAAAATAGTTTATCTCAAAGAGGATCTGTCAATTCTCTTAGATTTGTGAATAATTTGGTCTTTTCAGAGTTTGTCTGTGGTGACCCTTGTGAATATGGGGAGATGCTTTTTTTGTCTCCCCGTGTTCGCGTCTGTTCAATGCTGGCTGCACTGACATCCACCTTAAAGGTTTACGTGTGCGAGGAGTCGAGCGTACCAGGGTAGAGTAGGCGCTGGGTTTTTTTTCCTAAGCGCTTTTTGGGGGTGCTTATGAGCTCTGGAAGAGGCCGGGAAATTGACCCTGGCAGCAGTCAGTGGGTGTATCTAGCTCTACGGGAATGTTGAAACTTGGCTTTGAAGTTTTTTCCGCTGGTTCAGCATTTCTCTCAACGGTTGTTTATGTTTTTCCATTTAGCATAATTGAGAATTTGAAGGATTCGTTCGTTCAGAGGATATTTAGTAGAGTTCTTAATGTGACAACCATCTTTCTTGAGTTTTGGCTTAAGAAAGTTAAAGATTTTATAGGGAGTAACAGGTGTCAGTTGGCTCCTTGTTCATTCAACCAGCATTTTTGAGTGTCTGCTATATGCTAGGCAGTGTGCTTATCAGTGACTTTGTGCCAGAAAATGCAACATTTTCGGTACAGGCGTTTATTGCCTACCACTAATCTGAGTGAATCATCCAGACATCCCTATAAAAAAGCTTGGCTTACAACTTTAATATCATGCAAATGATACGTTTCTTGGGCATCTTGGCCTTTCTTTGGTTTTCCTCACCTGTTTCAAAGGGTCATAAATCCCTCATGTTAGAGAAGTTGGAGGCAAATGAACAAAAATGAATAGGATTCAGCAGAAATTGGGGCTTACTTTAGTTTTTCAGAATGGGTAAGTCAATTAGAAATAGCTAGTACAGTCCCCCATTTAACAGCTGAATAAGCCTAGAGATGTGAGATTTAGAGACTTAGGTCTTTCTGACGCTTGTCGCGTGTTCTTTCTTTTTTCTTTTGGTTCCCAAGTTTTATTGAAAAACTTATACAAAATATTCCAGATAAATGAAATTTAATCCTCATCTTCCTCCTCTTTGTCCTGGTTAATCTGGAAGTAACATAATTTGTAGCTATCTTTGCTGTTAGTAACTAGGAGCAACCAATCACGTAAATTATTCTTCATATATGTTTTGGTGAGATATTTGAAATACCTTTTGGAGAAAGGCACCTCGGATGTCACGTTGATCTTGCTCTTACTCCTTTCAATGGTCGCCATCCCTCCACCAAGGTTCTCAGCTTTTCCGTTCACTTTGATCCTTTCTTGCAAAAACTGCTCAAAATTGGCAGCATCCATGATTCCATCTTCTACGGGGTGAGTGCATTCAAGAGTGAACTTCAGAACCTGCTTCTTTTTTTTGCCCCCCTTCACCACAGGCTTTTTCACAGAAGCCATGGCAGCAGCGGAGGCAGAAAGCCAGAGTTCTTTCTGCTATCCCTTACTTTAGTAATATCCTTTAAAAATGTACCGCGGCCAGGTGCTGTGGCTCACGCCTGTAATCCCAGCACTGTGGGAGGCTGAGGTGGGTGGATAACCTGAGGTTAGGAGTTCCAGACCAGCCTGGCCAACATGGTGAAACCCCATCTCTACTAAAAATACAAAAATTAGCTGGACCCTATGGTACATACCTGTAATCCTAGCTACTTGGGAGGCTGAGCCAGGAGAATTGCTTGAACCTAGGAGGCGGAGGTTGCAGTGAGCCGAGATCATGCCATTGCACTCCAGCCTGGGCAACAAGAGTGAAACTCCATCAAAAAAAAAAACAAAAAAAAAAAACTACAGAGGTGGAACACAAACCTTGCCTTATTGACATCATGAACACTTCTGCCAAAATGCAGGTTCTCTAATATATTTTATTTAATTGAATCCTTGAAACAACCTGTTGAGGCATTGTCCCCCTTTTATAGACAAGGAAACGGAGGTTTCGAGAGTAACCTGTTTTGCGCAAGATCACACAGCTGGGGGAAGCTGGGATTTGATCCCAAGCATGTCTGACTTCAAGGCTGGGCTTTTTTTCTCTAGCATTTTGCTGCTACCTCTCTACCTGGGGACATGTGGAAAATTTGGGAATTGGGTGTTCTTTCTTTTCCTTTTTTTTTTTTTTGTTTGAGAGAAGGTCTTACTCCATTGCCCAGGCTGGAGTGCAGTGGCTCAATCTCATCTCACTGCAACCTCTACCTCCCAGGTTCAAGCGATTCTCGTGCCTCAGCCTCCCGAGTAGCTGGGATTACAAGGCGCATGCTACCACGCCCAGCTAATTTTTGTATTTTTAGTAGAGACGGGGTTTCACCATGTTGGCCACGCTGATCTCGAACTCCTGGCCTCAAGTGATCCTCCTGCCTTAGGCTCCCAAAGTGCTGGGATTACAGGCATGAGCCGCTGCACCTGGCCTTTTTTTTTTTAATTTTTTTTTTATTTTTTGAGATGAGATTGCCCAGGCTGGGCCTCCCAGTAGATTATAGGCATGTGCCACTATGCCTGGCAGCTTTCATTAAAAAAAAAAATATTTATTTATTTTAGATACAGGGTCTCATTTGGTTTCCCAGGCTGAAGTGCAGTGGCATAATCATAGCTTACTGCAACCTTGAATTCTTGGGCTCTAGCAGTCCTCCTGCCTCAGCCTCCCAGAGTTCTGGGATTATAGGCATGAGCCACTGCCCTCAGCCAGCTTTCATTTTTAATAGTTTGTCTGGGCTTATATTTGAACGCTGTCTTGAATTTGATTCCCTTTTCAAATTTCACAAAGGTTCTTGTAAATATGCACTTTTGAAAGAGGGGAGCCAGGGAGATGTTATGTCCACATCACTGGGAAACCAATGGACTGCAGGCTATACATGTCTTTCATATATAGGCAATTGCGTAAAAGTCTTGGCTTCAGGTTATCCCCTCTTCCTACTGGTAATGAGCTTTGAATACCCTACTCCAAAACAGCAAAAACTGGGTGAAGACTAATAACCTAAATGGGAAAATTGAAACTACACAAAAATCCAGCGGCAGTTCTAATCCTTGGAAGTAAAGGATTTTGGAGATCCCTGCCCTCCAACACCACAAGAAAATTTTTGTCTTTTTTCTTTGAGACAGGGTCTTGCTCTGTTGCCCAGGCTGGGGTGCAGTGGGGAACACTCACTGCAGTCTCAGGCAATTTCTGTCTCAGGCAATCTCCACCCGCCTCAGCCTCCCAAGGTGCTGGGATTACAGGCATGAGCCATCATGCCCAGCCAAAAATTTTTTGACATCATGTAGAATTTCTCCCCTCCCCTCCCCTCCCTCTGCTCCCATCCCTCTGCTCCCCCCTCTCCCTTCCTTTTTTTTCCTTTTTTTTTTTCCCCTTTTTTTTTTTTCCCGAGATGGAGTCTTGCTCTGTCGCCCAGGCTGGAGTGCAGTGGCGCAATCTCGGCTCATTGCAAGCTCCGCCTCCCGGGTTCACACCATTCTCCTGCCTCAGCCTCCCGAGTAGCTGGGACTACAGGCACCCACCACCACGCCTGGCTAATTTTTTGTATTTTTAGTAGAGATGGGGTTTCACTGTGTTAGCCAGGATGGTCTCGATCTCCTGACCTCGTGATCCGCCCGCCTCGGCCTCCCAAAGTGCTGGGATTACAGGCGTGAGCTGCTGCGCCTGGCCCCTTTCTTAAGACAGAAGGGTCTTGCTCTGTTGCCAAGGTTGGAGTGCAGTGGTCGGAATACAGCTCACTGCAGCCTCAGCCTCCTGAGTAGCTGGGCCCACAGGCGTGTACCACTATGTGCCTGGCTAATTTAAAAAGAAAATTTTTTTGTAGAGACAGGGTCTTGCCATATTGCCCAGACTGGAAGAATTTTTGTGTGTGTGAGTCATCTGAGGTCATTGTTTCCTGTATAGCTTCCGAATTCTTAGTATCAAGTCCTATTGTGTCATTTGGAGAAAGACTGACTTTGAGAAGTCCCTCACATATTCTGTGAATAGACTTTTTGCTTTTAGTTAGTATGGCAAACACTTTTTTCTTTTTCTTTTTCTTTTTTTTTTGAGACAGGGTTTCGTCCTATATCCCCAATTGTTTAAGACAATCAATAAAATATGCCAGGCGTGGTGGCTCACGCCTGTAATCCCAACACTTTGGGAGGCTGAGGCGGGCAGATCACCTGAGGTCACGAGTTCAAGACCAGCGTGGCCAACATGGTGAAACCCCGTCTCTATTAAAAATACAAAAATGAGCTTGGCATGGTGGCAGGTGCCTGTAATCCCAGCTACTCCGGAGGCTGAGGCAGGAGAATCTCTTGAACCTGGGAGGCAGAGGTTGCAGTGAGCAGAGATCGCACCACTGCATTCCAGCCTGGGTGACAGAGTGAGACTCTGTCTCAAAAAAAAAGAGTTCATAGTGTTGGTAATGAGCTAACCCAGCTAGGGGAAGGCAGCAGATGATATAAAAATGTAATTGGACCAGTGGTTATTATAAAGCACTGACAACCTCTCTGATTTCCCTGTATCTTGCAAGTTTCCTTTTATTCTTTTTCTCCAGGTCAAGGCATGCAGCTAGTGGGAAGAAAATGCATCTTGAATAAGTTAAAGGATGACTGGTGTTCTGGATTAAGAATTGAAATTTATGTTTACTTTCTACCCCCATGAGCCAGTTATCCAAACATTGCCCCATCAGTGATGCTGGATGGTGTATGAGTCCATAGGAAGGTGTCATTAAACATTAAATAACTATTGCATACCAGGCATGGAGGCCCTGTTTAGTGGGGGAGTCAGACAGGTCCGGCAGCACCTTCAGGAAGAGGCATAAGTGGGGTACCATGGCTGGATCAGAGAAAGTCTTGTAAAGAAGACGATGCCTAAGTTAAGATTTGAAAGATCAGTTGAATTAAGCAGTGGTAAGTCTGGGAGAGGCAGGTAGAGTGTAGGGCCAAAGCAGGCATGGATGAGGAGGCCGAGAGACAAATACACAGCATTGGGAGGGCTACAAGTATTTCCTTCTGGCTGAAGGGGAGAGGGTTGGCAGGGTTGAGTGGAAAGAGATGAGACCACAGAGGTATGTAGGGGCCAGATTGGGAAAGGCTTCCTTGTACTTGGTTCTGGAAGCTTGAACTTTGTCCTGAAAGTGCAAGGAGCTTTGAAGTTTTTTTTTTTTTTTTAAGCAGAAGAGTGATATAGCTAGATTTATTTATTTATGTTTTAAATTTTTTGCCGGACACGATGGCTCATGCCTGTAATGCCAGCACTTTGGGAGGCTGAGGCAGGTGGATCACCTGAGGTCAGGAGTTCGAGACCAGCTTGACCAACATGGAGAAACCCTGTCTCTACTAAAAATACAAAATTAGCCAGGTGTGGTGGTGCCTGCTTGTAATCCCAGCTACTCGGGAGGCCAAGGCAGGAGAATCGCTTGAACCTGGGAGGTGGAGGTTGCGGTGAGCCGAGATTGCACCATTGCACTCCAGCCTGGGCAACAAGAGTGGAACTCCGTCTCAAAAAAAAAAAAAAAACAAAACACGTTTTTTTTTTTTGAGACAGGGTCTCACTCTGTCACCCAGGCTGAGCGCAGTGGTGCAATGATGACTTACTGCTGTCTCGACCTCCCAGGCTCAAGTGATCCTCCCACTTCAGCCTCAACCTCCCGAGTAGCTGGGACTACAGGCATGCGCCACCACACCTGACTATTTTTGATTTTTTTGTAGAGACAGGGTCTCACCATGTTGCCCATGTTGGTCTCGAATGCCTGAACATAAGTGATCCTCCCGTTTCAGCCTCCCGGAGTGCTGGGATTGCAGGCGTGAGCCACCACACCCGGCCCATAGTTAGATTAAATTCAGGAGATCAGAACTTTGATTTTCTTCTCTTTCTTTGGAGAAGAGGCCATTCTCCCCAAAGTGTGACTGCCGCTTCACTCTGGGGTCCCCAATGCTTTGTGTAGCTGCTGTCATTTTGGAACATGTACAACAAAACAACAAAAAAAGGCTATGGGTAGTGGGAAAAAAGAGATCAATTAGTTTGGGGCTATCTGGTGCTGATTTCTTTATGTCTGTCCCTGCAGTAAAAAGAAGGCATTTAAGATTTGTGGTATCACAGAAAGCACAGTTCCAGATACACCATGCCTAAAGGGGCCACCTCTCAGTTGGTGCTAGTCTTTCTGGAAAGGTTGAGCCTTATGGACTGTGATGTCCTCAGAAGGGGCTTTCTGTGAAGCAGTTGGGCAGTTTAGGCATGATTCTGCTGAGCAGTCTGTCCCTGGGACTCTGGAAAAAGGTTGGTTTCACTGTGGCTTCAAAGAAAGGAGGATAATGAGCTTTTCACTAGTAACTTCTCAGCCCTTTTTTCATTGGCTGCATGGGAGGGCCTGTTCCCAGCGTGCTCTGGGTATCAAGAGAGCTGCCATGGTTGCCGTGGGCTAGAAATTCCAGCAATCACAGGCCTTCTTGTTTTTACTTCTATGACAGGAGAGGATTTAGTGCGTCTTTCTAAAACTGTTGGTGCAGTCCTGCAGAGAAAAGTCACAGTTGTCTAGGTCTGATGACTGAAAACATTCCAGGGGCCAGCCCTTTCCAGTTTCCACCTCTCCACTGCTGTTGGCCCCGACAGCTAGCATCAGTTTCTGGCTGTATCAGGTAGCTAGCCTCTACAAGGTGTGTTCTGTCAGGAAAACTACTGACCTGTTGGTTTCCTAGGAGAAGGTTGAGTTTAGCTACTTAAATCTGTGGCCAAAGTATAAAATAAAATAAAAAAATTTTAATGTAGTATCCATAGAGATTTCTCTTCTTGAGTGTTTTTGTTTTGTTTTGTTTTTTTGAGACGGAGTCTAGCTCTGTCGCCGAGGCTGGAGTGCAGTGGCGCAATCTCAGCTCGCTGCAACCTCTGCCTCCCGGGTTCGAGCGATTCTCCTGCCTCAGCCTCCCAAGTAGCTGGGATTACAGGTGCTCGCCACTACACCCAGCCAATTTTTGTATTTTTAGTAGAGATGGGGTTTCACTGTGTTGGCTAGGCCGGTCTCAAACTCGTGACCTCGTGATCCGCCCGCCTCGGCCTCCCAAAATGCTGGGATTACAAGCGTGAGCCACCACGCCTGGCCTTTGAGTGTTTTTCTTAAAACCGTTTGCTCCTACCAAGCATCCTTCTCTTTAACATCTAGCTCTGTGCAGGATATTAAGGTAAAACCATGCCCCACAGAAATTAGCAACAAACCCCAATAGTCTGTATGGAGACAGATAATTTTTTTTTCTTTTTTTTGAGAAGGAGTTTCTCTCTGTCACCCAGGCTAGAGTGCAGTGGCGCAATTTCTGCTCACTGAACCTCTGCCTTCCGGGTTCAAGCAATTCTCATGCCTCACCCTCCCAAGTAGCTGGGACTACAGGCTCATGTCACCATGCCCGACTCATGTTTTGTATTTTAGTAGAGACGGGTTCACCATGTTGCCCAAGCTGGTCTGGAACTCCTGAGCTCAGGCAGTCTGCCCACATCGGCCTCCCAAAGTGTTAGGATTACAGGCGTGAGCCACCGCGCCCGGTCCGAGACAGAGAATCTTGTCCTTGACGGTGAGACATTTCAAAATGCCCATCACAGTAAGCCAGCCCCTCCCCCCAACAAACTCGTTCCCTTATAAAAGGAACACAGGAAATAACAGTCATTCCTTTCTAAAAGGAATAATAAATATGTACAGCTAAAATTGCATTCTTCAGGGGCCATGGCGATTAGATGAGATTGTATAGAAGGAAAGTATGACTTGAGTCTGGAAAGGTCAGGACTGTCACCACTCTTCACTGACCTTGAGAACAATTCCCAGCCCAGCCCTTCCTAGCTTATAAAAACATTTGTGACCTTCCATATGTCAGTAGTGTTTCTGCTATCTAGTTGTTCATCTCACTGGCGAACAAGCGCGCAGCCTGTGGGAAGCTCCCAAGTTCCTCGGGCCCTTTTTGGAAGAGCTTCTAAGATATATGTTGTATGGCTGCCTACAGCCCAGGGGGAGTGCATTTTTACAATCATTAGCAGTGACCTTGTGAGGTGTAGGTGCTATTATTCCTGGTCCGGGGAGGAAATCATGTGGTCGGTCCAGCCCTGGCTGTTAGGCCTGAGCCCACACTCTGAGGGACCTTTTTTGGAGCAATTTGTTTACATTTGCTTCTCACCAGATAATTAACTAGTTAAGTGCTTTAGGATGCTTAGTTACTAGCTCCTTTGAAGCATTTCATTTGTTTTCACCTGGGATTGACCTCCTGCCTCTGTAGCCTGCATGAGCTCATAAACTGCATCTGAGAAATTTGAACTCAGTGCTGAAGAGCCAAGCGATAATCCTGCTCTCAGTTATAATGCTAAGAACAGTGACTACAAGTGAGATGCTGGTCGAAATCTTGATCATAAATGAGAAATAACTTTTTAACATTTGGCCAAGTGGAAAAAGATAACATAAATAATTATTGGGCAGGGCGCATTGGGTCACGCCTGTAATCCCAGCACTTTGGGGGGCCGAGGCAGGCGGATCACTTGAGGTCAGGAGTTCCAGATCAGCCTGGCCAACATGGTGAAACCTTGTCTCTACTGAAAATACAAAAATTAGCCAGGTGTGGTGGCAGGTGCCTGTAACCCAAGCTACCTGGGAGGCTGAGGCAGGAGAATCGCTTGAACTTGGGAGGCAGAGGTTGCAATGAGCTGAGATTGTGTCACTGCACTCCAGCCTGGGCGACACAGCGAGACTCTGTCTCAAAAAAAAAAAAAAAAAAACGTTGCTCAGGATTTTTAAATGGAGGGGGCGGTGGTCTTGCCTTGTTACCCAGACTGATCTGAACTCAGATCGCTTCAAGTGATACTCCCACCTCAGCCTCCTCCTGAGTAGCTCAGAGTACAGGTGCGTGAGCCACTGCACCTAGCCGGCAGGATTTTTAAATATTGAACTTGAATGCCTTTACCGGCTGTTGGCTGCTCTCTGCTGTCCTCTCCTCTGCTCTCCCCTGCAATCCTCCTTTACCTGTTGTTACCTCTTGTGTTCCATTCTGCCTGCTTTAGCCATTTGGGCTTGGAGGCATTGTGTTTGCCACCCCTGCTGAGTGCTGGCGATTCTAACTGGGATTTGATGAGGGCACCCTTGGGTGTTAAAGTGAAATCTGGTGGATGAGGGTTAATAGTGTCTTTGTTTCATCCTCCAAAGTCAGTAATGCCTGGTATTTCCTTTGGGAGAGGAGCCTTGCAGTCATTATAAAAGGTAGCAAGAGTGGCTTACACCTGTAATCCCAGCACTTTGGGAAGTCAAGGCGGGTGGATTGCCTGAGGTCAAGAGTTCAAGACCAGTCTGGCCAACATGGTGAAACCCTGTCACTACTAAAAATACAAAAAAATGAGCGGGACGTGGTCGTGTGCACCTGTAATCCCAGCTACTCAGGAGGCTGAGGCAGGGGAATTGCTTGAACTAGGGAGGTGGAGGTTGCAGTTAGCCAAGATCATGACAGAGACAGACTCTGTCTCAAAAAAAAAAAAAAAAAAAGCAAGAAAGGATAGGTTCTCTCTGCCAGTTAACGGCCTACTTTTCTCCATTAATGGCAATAGGTCAGAAGACTGGGATTTAAATGCCTGGTCTGATTTTTGGACAAATCACTACCTACCCTTCTGTCCACATCAATCTCTTAATTTGTAAAACTGAATTAATAGAATTTGCCTTGCCTGGTAGTGAGAGTTAAAACACTTAGTAAAGCGTCATTCACAGGTGGATGTGGGAGCCGAGAGTGCCATTGCTCTGAGTGTGAAGGCATTGTTCCCGGCTCTCCAGCCACTCACAGTGTAGCCTCTATCTGGTTTGGGTTCAGGATTCCTAAGACTGGCTGAAGGGTCACTTTCTTGCTGCCCCTGAGGACTAATATACTCTCCTCCGAGAATTGTATTGCTTAGTGTTGTACGAAAATCAACAGGGAGAAGCAGTTACAGAAACACAGAGAAAGCAGGAGCCCCATTAGATTCGACCCCATTTTATTTCCAGGGCAAGACTCTTCACCATTACATCTGCCTATCCCGTTACTTTCAGGTATAGGGCTGAGTGTATCCCTCCGGCATGGAGACCCTTTGAGGAGGCACTCAAAACAATACATTGTCTCAAGATGGCATCTACAAAGTTTTTGAGGCTTTCTAGCCTGGGATACATCTAAACTGCTAGGCCTGGTTGCTGCTGAAGAATTATTTCTGTTTGGCAACTTCTTTTTTTTTTTTTTTTTTGAGATGGAGTCTTGCTCTGTCGCCCAGGCTGGAGTGCAGTGGTGTGATCAGCTCACTGCAACCTCCGCCTCCCAGGTTTGAGCAAATTCTCCTGCCTCAGCCTCCCGAGTAGCTGGAATTACAGGCACCTGCCACCGTGACACCTGGCTAATTTTTGTATTTTTATTAGAGACAGGGTTTCACCATGTTGGCCGGTCTGGTCTTGAACTCTTGACCTCAGGTGATCCACCCACATCGGCCTCGCAAAGTGTTGGGATTACAGGTTTGAGCCACCGTGCTTTTGGCAACTTATTTATAGCTTTAAGATCGGGGCCTTGGGAGTCAGCTGTTTTTGTCTGTTACTGCTATAGGCCTTAGGAAACCTGGGCTTGCACTGACCTGGCCTGAGGTGTAGCAGCAGGCTGGGATGTTGTTATCTGTCAGCCCTTATCCTACTTTATTTATTTATTTTGAGACGGAGTCTTGCAGGCTGGAGTGCAGTGGTGCAGTCTCGGCTCATTACAACCTCCACCCTCTGGGTTCAAGTGATTCTCCTGCCTGAGCCTCCCGAGTAGCTGGGATTACAGGCACGTGCCACCACGCCCGGCTAATTTTTGTATTTTTGGTGGAGAGGAGGTTTTGCCATTTTGACCAGGCTGGTCTCGAGCTCCTGACCTCAGGGGATCCACCCGCCTCGGCCTCCCAAAGTGCTGGGGTTACAGGTGTGAGCCACTGTGCCCGACCTCCTTATATCCTACTTTATTAGCTCCTGATGCCACCTGCCTGCCAGTGTCCTGAACATTTTTGCTTCCCCTTCTTGAGATTTAGGGTTCAGTTGTGTTTTGTTTTGTTTTTGAGATGGAGTCTCGCTCTGTCGCCCAGGCTGGAGTGCAGTGGCACGATCTTGGCTCACTGCAAGCTCCGCCTCTGGGATTCACGCCATTCTCCTGCCTCAGCCTCCCAAGTAGCTGGGACTACATGTGCCTGCCACCACGCCCGGCTAATTTTTTGTTTTTAGTAGAGACGGGGTTTTACCATGTTAGCCAGAATGGCCTCGTGATCCGCCCGCCTCGTCCTCCCAAAGTGCTGGGATTACAGGCGTGAGCCACTACGCCCTGCCTTAGGGTTCAGTTCTGTCACTTACTAGTTGTGCATAGTTGTGCAGTCAGAGGCAAATCACTTAACTTCCGGGTATGCAGCAAGGCTGCTGGACGCTCCACAGGTTGTAGCGAAGATAAGAGGTGGTAAAGGGAGGACGTAATACCTGTTTTTTGCCAAGAAATGCCTAAGGCAGCCTGAGCTCTTATTTTGAATATGGATAGTGTCATTTGTCAACTGGATCCAGATAGATCCAGTTCAAATTCTGGCTCCACTTCATACTAGCTGTGGAACCATGGTCAAATTATATAACCTATCTGAATTGATTCCTCTTCATTTGTAAAATCAAGATATATCTATAAAATCCTGTTGATTTGGGGTTTTTTTTTTTTTTTTTTGAGACGAAGTCTCGCTCTGTTGCCCAGGCTGGAGTGCAGTGGCGCAGTCTTGGCTCACTGCAACCTTTGCCTCTCGGGTTCAAGCAATTCTCCTGCCTCAGCCTCCCAAGTAGGTGGGATTACAGGCGCCAGCCACCACACCCCGCTAATTTTTTGTATTTTTAGTAGAGACAGGGCTTCACCATGTTGGCCAGGCTGGTGATTGTTCTTTAATTCGTGTGTTGGGTACTATTTTAGACATTGGACAAATGCAGTGAATGAAGTTTCTGCTCTCATAAGGCTTACTTTCTACTGGGGAAAGATGGACAATAAACAGTAAGTGTTTTATATACCACTCAGTAAAGAAAAGTAAAACAGATTAAGGGTTTTAGAAAGTGACTGTGGTGGAATTGCCATCTTACAAAAAATGGTCAGAGGCAGGCAAGGTGGTGCGCGGCTGTATTCCCATCTACTTGGGAGGCTGAGGCAGGAGGATCGCTTGAGGGCAGGAGTTTGAGACCAGCCTGAGCAACATAGAGAGACGCTCGTCTCTTTATTTATTTTTGAGCTGGAGTCTCACCCTGTCTCCCAGGCTGGAGTGCAGTGGCATGATCTCAGCTCACTGCTGAGATCCTCCCAGGTTCAAGCAATCCTCCTGCCTCAGCCTCCCAAGCAGCTGGAATTACAAGCATGTGCCACCATGCCTGGCTTTTATTTTTTTTTTTGAGATGGAGTTTCTCTCTTGCTGCCCAGGCTACTGGAGTGCAGTGGCGTGATCGCGGTTCACCACAGCCTCCACCTCCCGGGTTCAAGCGATTCTCCCACCTCAGCCTCCCGAGTAGCTGGAATTACAGGCATGTGCCATCACGCCTGGCTAATTTTGTATTTTCCGTAGAGACGGGGTTTCTCCATGTTGGTCAGGCTGGTCTCAAACTCCTGACCTCAGGTGATCTGCCTGCCTCGGGCTCCCAAAGTGCTGGGATTACAGACGTGAGCCACCGTGCGTGGCCACCTGATAATTTTTGTATTTGTAGAGATGGGATTTTGCCATTTTGGCCAGGCTGGTCTCGAACTCCTGAGCTCAAGCAATCCACTTGCCTTGGCCTTCCAAAGTGCTGAGATTACAGATGTGAGCCACTGCACCCAGCCCCTCATCTTTTTTTTTTTTTTAAAGAAAAAAATAGCTGGGCATAGTGGCATGTGCTTGTAATCCCAGCTGCTCAGGAGGCTGAGGCAGATCGCTTGAGTCCAGGAAATCAAGGCTACAGTGAGCTATGATTGCATCACTGCACTCCAGCCTGGGCAACAGAGCAAGACCCTGGCTCGTTAAAAAAAAAAAAAAAAAAACTAGCCAGGTGTGGTGGCACATGCCTATAATCCCAGCTGCTCAGGAGGCCGAGGCCGAAGGATCACTTGAGTCCAGGAGTGTGAGGCTGCAGTGAGCTGTGATTGTACCATTGCACTGTAGTTTGAACAACAGAGCAAGAACTTGTTTCTTAAAAAAATAAATAAAAAATAATGTTGGGCATGGTGGCTCACACCTGTAATCCCAGCACTTTGGAAGGCCGAGGTGGGTGGATCACTTGAAGTCAGGAGTTTGACAGCCTGGCCAGCATGGTGAAACCCCATCTCTGTAGAAATACAAAAAAATTAGCCAGGTGTGGTGGCACACGCCTGTAATCCCAGCTACTTGGGAGGCTGAGACAGGAGAATCGCTTGAACCCCTGAGGTGGAGGTTGCAGTGAGCTGAGATCGTGCCATTGCACTCCAGCCTGGGCGACAGCGAGACTTCATCTCAAAAAAAAAAAAAAAAAGATCAGAGAAGGTCTCTTAAAGATAGGTAGAGAGATTTAAAAGAAGTGCAGCAACAAGCTGCTTAGAAGCTCGTTGAAGGCCGAGTGCGGTGGCTCACCCATGTAATCTCAGCACTTTGGGAGGCTGAAGCAGGCGGATCACCTAAGGTCAGGAGTTCAAGACCAGCCTGGGCAACATGGTGAAGCTCTGTCTCTACTAAAAATACAAAAATTAGCCGGGTGTGGTGGCAGGCGCCTGTAATCCCAGCTACTCAGAAGGTTGAGGCAGGTTTGAACCCAGGAGGTGGAGGTTGCAGTGAGCTGAGATCGTGCCACTGCACTCCAGCCTGGGCGACAGAGCAAGACTCCATTGCAAAACAAAACCAAAAAGAAAGAAGCTGGTTGAAGTGCGTTCTAGGCAGAGGGAACAGCAAATGCTAAGGCCCAGAGGCTGGAGCATGATTGTTTTGTCTTGAACAGTGGGGCCAATGTGGTGGCCATGCTTGATAGGGGAGAGTGGTAGGAGATGAGGTCAGAGGTAGTGGACAGCCAGATTTAGTAGAGACCCGTAGGCCAAGATGGATATCACCTCAAAATAGCACCAGGAGAGGGTGCTGAGCAGGGGCTAGCATGGGTGGGTTTTTTTTTTCTTTTTTGAGATGGAGTCTTGTCTGTCGCCCAGGCTGGAGTGCAGTGGCCCGATCTCAGCTCACTGCAGCCTCCGCCTCCCGGGTTCAAGCGATTCTCCTGCCTCAGCCTCCTGAGTAGCTGGGACTACAGGTGCACGCCACTGTGCCCAGCTGATTTTTATGTTTTTAGTAGAAATAGGGTTTCACCATGTTGGCCAGGCTGGTCTGGAACTCCTGATCTCAGGTGATCCGCCCACTTCGGCCTCCCAAAATGCTGGGATTACAGGCATGAACCACTGCGCCTGGCCACATGGTTTTTTTTTTTGTTTTTTTTTAATGGAGTCTCACTCTGTCACCCAGGCTGGAGTGCAGTGACACAATCTCAGCTCACCGCAACCTCCCCCTCCCGAGTTCAAGCGATTCTCCTGCCTCAGTCTCCCGAGCAGCTGGGATTACAGGCATGCGCCATCACACCTGGCTAATTTTTGCACTTTTGGTGGAGACAGGGTTTCACCATGTTGGCTATGCTGGTCTTAAACTCCTGACCTCAGGTGATCCGCCAGCCTCGGCACTCCCAGAGTTCTGGGATTACAGGCGTGAGCCACTGTGCCGAGTCGGGACCCATCTTCTAAGGTTAGACTCTAAAGCAGTGTTGTCCAACAGAAGGTACAATGTGAGCCACATGGATAATTTTTTTTTTTTTTGAGACGGAGTCTCACTCTCTCCCCCCTGCTAGAGTACAATGGTGCAATCTCAGCTTACTGCAACCTCCGCCTCCCGGGTTCTAGCGATTCTCCTGCCTCAGCCTCCTGAGTAGCTGGAATTACAGGTGCCCGCCACCACGTCCGGCTAATTTTTGTATTTTTAGAAGGGACAGGGTTTCACCATATTGCTCAGGCTGGTCTGGAACTCCTGACCTCAGGTGATGCACCCACCTCGGCCTCCCAAAGACACATGGGTAATTTTATATTTTCTTTTTCTTTTCTTTCTTTCTTTCTCTCCTTCCTTCCTTCCTTCCTTCTTGCTTGCTTCTTTCCTTTTTTTTTTCTTTTCTTTCGAGGTGGGGCCCCACTCTGTCATGCACCTGGAGTGCAATGGCACAATCATAGCTCACTGCTGCCTCAAACTCTTGGACTTAAGCAATCCTCCCACTTCAGCAGCCTCCCAAGTAGCTGGGACTACAGGTGTGTGCCACCATGCCCAGCTAATTTTTTATTTTTTGTAGAGTTGAGGTCTTACTTTCTTGTCCAGGCTGGTCTTGAACTCCTGGTTTCAAGCAATTCTCCTCTTTCAGCCTCCCAAAGTGTTGGGATTACAGGCATGAGCCACTGCCTCAGCCTTAATTTTATATTTTCTAGAAGCAACATTTTAAAAGTACAAAGAAACAGATGAAATTAATTTTAATTTTTTTCTTTTTTTTTCTTTTCTTTCTTTCTTTTTTTCCTTTTTTTTTTTTTTTAGACAGAGTCTTGCTCTGTTGCCCAGGCTGGAGTGCAGTGGTGCAATCTCAGCTCACTGCAACCTCTGCCTCCTGGGTTCAAGCGATTCTCCTGCCTCAGCCTCCTGAGTAGCTGGGATTACAGGCATGCGCCACCACGCCTGGCTAATTTTTGTATTTTTAGTAGAGATAGGGTTTCACCATGTTGGCCAGGCTGGTCTGGAACTCCTGACCTCGTGATCCGCCCGCCTGGGCCTCTCAAAGTGCTGGGATTACAGGCGTGAGCCACCGCGGCTGGCCAGTTTTAATATTTTTAATTTAACTCAGTATGTCCAAAATAGTATAATTGTAACATGATTATTATTTTAAAATACGTGAATTGTTTAAAAATATGTGAAGCATCCCTGTAAAATCAAACCTGGGGTGATAGGACTTGGGGTGTGTCCCTCTCTGGGATTAGTCAGGGGAAGTAGAATAATTACAGGAGCATTGGAGGTGGCCAGTCCTAGTCATACCAGGCCAGGACACTGTCACTGCTATGCTACTGATGGAAACAAGGCAGAGACGAAACAGAATTAAATCAACATGGAGGTTGTTTGGAGAAGTCCATGGATTGTACATCTGAACTTGAAATGGCCAGTGGCCAGGCACAGTGGCTCACACATAATCCCAGTACTTTGGGAGAGTGAGGTGGGAGGATCACTTGAGCCCACAGTTCAAGAGCAGCCTGGAGAACATAGCAAGACCCCGTCTCCACCAAAAAAAAAAAAAAAAGGGAAAAAGAAATGGCTAATGATGCGGGAGACATTTTTATCTGATAGTTTTAGACCAGATTTTGCTGTTGTAGATTGCTTCTACCTGTGAATTCTTTGACTGTATTCCCAAGTGAAATTGGGAATTCTGATTCCCAAGGAATCAGAATCCCATCCATATTTGTGGTATGGGAAACAAGACCCCTTGCAGGGGAGACTGGTCCACCAGGAGACCCTGTAGCCCAGGGACCTGGGCGCCAGTGTCCCTCCCAAGGCCTGAAGACATAAGGCTAGCATGGGCCGTGGCTGGCTGTGTGGGAGTTCAGGGCCGGAACAGGTTGGAAGGTAGTCTCGCCTGCTATCCCTTATTTCTTCTCTTTGCTTTTTTCTTTGCCCTTTGCTTTTTGTGTTACTCAGGGCCTGTGGGACCCTGATTCTGGGAGAAATCTGTTGTGCTCTCCAGGTTCCTGTCTCTTCTTCAGATCTCCCCGGGTCCACTTGTAGACTTGTGCACCCTGATTCAGGATGAGACCAGAGGACCCTGTGGGGCAGCGATTCATAGGGAGCTCAAGGCCAGTTGTTATTCTTTGAATTTGAGAGAAACATTGGAAATGTCATCTTCTGAAATGAAAACTAACAGAGAAAGGCAAATCATTTGGGAAAAGTTACTTAAATGGTAACCTTGTTGCCAATAAAAGAGTATTTTCTAATTCAAAGTCCAAAGCAAGGGTCCCTCTTAGATCTCTGTTCAATATAAGATTGCTCTATTTCTTGGGAGTCGTGTTGGTGACACTGGAGACCAGAGGATTCCGGTTCTCAGAGAGAGGGATGCTGTGATGGAGTAGGACAGTACAGTCTTTTGGCTTGTATACTGAGGCACAGAGTGGGGAGGCCTGCTGTCCTTGGGGAGTGGGTAGCAGCAGATCAGGCACCAGAAAGGGTGAGACACCCCCTCTGACCCTTGTAGTGTAACAGGTGTGAGTTTGTTCACTTTGTCTCTTGTGAGCTTGGCTAGTTCGAATCAGTCCCCCAGGGCATCATCACCCCAGGCTGTTGTGTAAACATTCGTACCTGAGAAGGTACAACTGTAATGGTGCTTATACTTGCTGTGCTTTACACTAAGACCCAGAATAGCCTATTTCTTCCTCTCCTCTGCCTTTCTCACCTTTCTTTTTTCCTTGTCATCGACCTCTTAACGTTACAGGAGTAAACCTACCACTGTAATCTGCTTCACCTTACAGACACATCCCTATCTTTTGTCACCTTTGTTCCTTTTGTAGCTTGTGACAGTAACAAACTGGGTTGTTTGAGGTGACCCCTTCCCTGCTCTCCTCCTTGGGAATGATCTTATCCGCATTGTACTCCTAGGTCCCATACCCTAACTTTTCAGCCAGAGGCACATTTATAGCAAGGTTAAGGGCATCAGCAGCCAGTGAAGCTGAGCTTCCTCCTCTGGTGAGTTAAAATTGCAAATGTTGACATCTGATCCCATTCACCTTGTGGTTGTGGCTCTCCTTTACCTCCCATAAAGGACCAGCCCTGTCGAGAACCACCTTCCTCCCCACTGTGCTTCTTCATGATTTCCTGCCTCCGCTCTTTCCTTCTGGCTTTGCTTGTTCTCTGAGACCGAGAAGCTTGTGTCCCATTTCTGTAGATGTGTAGCCTCATAGGACAAGTGATGTCAAGGTTTGGCAACAGTAGATCTTTTGCTTAGGATTTGGACCCGGAACACAGAATGTCACCTTCTGTGGGCTGCTTGGTGCTACTTGGCTGAAGAGCCTTTCCAGGAGCAGGAGCCATAGGAGATCACTTTCCTGGCCACCGCCCTGTGTGGTATGCTTGTGCCCTAGCACTTGCCTTGTGCCCACTCACAGCAGTCACAGCGATGGTTTTCTTTGACTAGCGATGGAGGTCAGGCCTCTAACACAGGAGCCTAGACCTTGGGCAGGACTCTGCATCCTTGTCTAAAGAGAGGGTTCCCTTAGGTAGTACGATTCCTTATTTCAGGCCTGCATCTAGATGCTTCCCCACACAAGTTCTGAGGCCTGTTTAATTCCATTGGGCTATTGCATCTCTGGGGGAGATGCACATTTTCCTTGTAATACACCCTGTAGGAAAGTTTTGACTTGGTCCAGCTTTTCAGAGCATGAGTCTGAGAGCAGATTGATTGCAAGGCCTTGTCTGAGAAGAGAATAGACTGACTCATGATACCTGGACAGACTCCAGAGGGAGATGCGATGCCCTCTCCAGCTGCTGGCAGAGCATTCCTTCTCCTGCTTGGGCGCCTCTGAGCATGCTGGCGTCCAGCTGGCCATCTAAAGATGACCAGGATCCACTTTCCACCAAAGCTGCTTGGGTTTCCATCCCATTCTGTAATCTTATGGAAGAATCCCTCTCCAGCTCTGATAAAGCTCTTCTGCCTTTCACAGTGGAGTTGGATGAGAGTTGTAGTTCTTGGCATGCCAGGGAGCAGTGTGGAATTGGGGGAGATGACCAATATCTAATGGTTTATACTGGCATTTCCAGGGGATTTGAGCAATTGTCGGGGGAGGGTGGTATGTCAGCATAGGGGCCTCAAAAGGCGAATTCTAGGGCTGTCTCTGTGGTTTACTACCTTGTGACCTTGGGTAAGTTCCCTAACCCTCATCTGACAGAAGGATAAAAGCTACTTTGTCTGCCAAACAGGGCTGGTGTGAGCAGAAAATGAATGTCTGGGGAAGAATGTTGACAGCCATAATACATTATATCGATATAAGGTATTATTTTAAAAGCTATTAGTATTATATTACATGCCAAGTATGTTAATCATGTTCTAGTTTGGGGACAGAGGCGCATTTACTCAGACATGGCCTACGATGTCCTCTTGAAGCGCTTTTCTTCCACCCAGGCTCCTTGTGCTGGAACTGGGCAGATGGTCCATCTTCCTTAAACCCTAGAGGAAGAAGGAAGCAGTTTGCTTTCCTCAGAGGAGACCTGGATGGGACTTCTCAAATTCACTCTAATGTGTGAGGCCCATTTCTCTCTCTGTCTTATTTGGCTCTCGCAGCGATATGAAAGTGAAAGTTCACATAGTGAAGTTGGAAAATTCAGTGCATTGCCATAAAAATACTGATTTGGTTTCTTCTGCGCTAGATCTGGCCCTGTCTGCCAAAGCTTGTTGGCCGTCATTAGGCAGGGCAAGTGCTCTTTGGTGCCCTGCAGCCCCTTCACTTCCCCAGGTATGCTCCGTGCGAGTGGAGTTTGGCTGCTTGCCTGGTCTATGAAGGCATTTGGTCTCAACCCTCAAAGGCTTCTAAATTCTACAGCTGTCAAGGCTCTGTTTATGATGGAGAAACTCGAATAGGCAGTCTTGTATTTAGAGTGGAGCGAAATGATACAGTATGAAACTTTAAAACAAGAAGTTACTTGTGAGAAGCCCTTAAAAGGTAATAGGCAATAGACTAATATGAGCTGTAGTACTTACTCAGGTAATAACACTGGTATTAATAGAATTAATACAATTCCATCAATACAGTCATTTTCAGGACAGAGTACGTAGTGGACATAGATTCTGTGTGAGTGTCTGTGTTTGTCAGTTCACAGAAAACATCCAGGTCGTTCTCTTATTATTGGTGTACCTTTTCCATTCAGTCATTCAGCATTCTTTGGCACCAACTGTGTTCCAAGCTGGAGCGAGAGGTTTCCATTTTAGTGCCTTTCTGGCCCCTCCAGAGATTTGATGGTGCCTCAGAATACAATAAATTACATATATATATATATTTTGAGACAGAGTCATGCTCTATTGCCCAGGCAGGAGTGCAGTGGCATAATCTCGGCTCACTGCAACCTCCGTCTCCCAGGTTCAAGAGATTCTCCTGCCTCAGCCTCCTGAGTAGCTGGGATACCACGCCCAGCTAATTTTTGTATTTTTAGTAGAGACGGGGTTTCACCTTGTTGACCAGGCTGGTCTTGAACTCCTGACCTCAAGTGATTCACCCACCTCGGCCTCCCAAAGTCAAAGTGCTAGGATTGTAGGCGTGAGCTACCATGCCCAGCCAAATATATAAATATATTTTAAACACAAGTTAGTACCAATCAGGATAGGTGTCAGTGTTAGACTAGATTTAAATCTAGTTTCATATGGTTAATCTAGTTCATACTGTTTACAAGAGATGCAAATAAGGACATGGAAAGGTGAGAAAAACTATGTTCTAGGAAATACTGACCAAAAGAAAGCTGGCCAACTTTATTAATATGAAACAATACATTATAAGGCAAAAAAGATCACATCATAATGATACACTGTTTAACTTACTAGAAAGAATAAGTCTTTTTTTTTTTTTTTTTTTTTTTTTGAGACAGAGTCTTGCCCTGTCGCCCAGGCTGGAGTGCAGTGGTGTGATCTCCACTCACTGCAGCCTCCCTAGTAGCTGGGATTACATGTGCGCACCACCACGCCTGGATAATTGTTGAATTTTTAAATAGAAACAGGTTTTCACCCTGTTGCCAAACTGGTCACAAACTCCTGACCCCAAGTGATCCGCCTGCCTCAGCCTCCCAAAATGTTGGGATTACAGGCATAAGCCACTGTCACTGTGCCTGGCCAATAATTCTTAATTCTTTACCTGGTCAGTAGATCAAATGAGTCAGTAAGAATTTACAAGATTAGAACAATATAGCTAACCAGCTTGAACTTTGAACTGCACCCATCAACTGGAGAATAGTTATTTCCTTTTTTTTTTTTTTTTTTTTTGAGACAGAGTCTCGCTCTGTCGCCCAGGCTGGAGTGCAGTGGCACGATCTCAGCTCACTGCAAGCTCCACCTCCCAGGTTCACGCCATCCTCCTGCCTCAGCCTCCCGAGTAGCTGGGACTACAGGCACCCACCACCACGCCCGGCTAATTTTTTGTATTTTTTTGAGGGGGGGTGGGGGGGGGGCAGAGTCTTGCTCTGTCGCCCAGGCTGGAGTGCAGTGGCGCCATCTCGGCTCACTGCAAGCTTCGCCTCCCGGGTTCACGCCATTCTCCTGCCTCAGCCTTCTGAGTAGCTGGGACTACAGGCGTCCTGCCTCAGCCTTCTGAGTAGCTGGGACTACAGGCGCCCGCCACAACGCCTGGCTAATTTTTTTTTTTTTTGTATGTTTAGTAGAGATGGGGTTTCCACTGTGTTAGCCAGGATGGTCTCGATCTCCTGACCTCGTGATCCGCCCACCTCGGCCTCCCAAAGTGCTGGCATTGCAGGCGTGAGCCACCGTGCCTGGCCAATTTTTTGTATTTTTATTAGAGACGGGGTTTCACCGCGTTAGCCAGGATGGTCTCAATCTCCTGCCCTCGTGATCCGCCCGCCTCGGCCTCCCAAAGTGCTGGGATTATAGGCGTGAGCCACCGCGCTGGGCTGAGAATAGTTATTTTCAGAACATACAGAGCACTTACGAAAATGGCCTACATGCTGAGCCATGGGGCAGATCTCACCAAATTTCAAAGTCTCCACACTACGGCTGTGGTTCTTCACATTTTGCAAGTGATGGACTTCTTTGAAAATCCCAGTCTAATAAATTAAGGTTGCCCAGACTTAGCACTGTTGACTTTTGGGGTTAAATAGTTCTTTGTGTGGGGCTGTCCTGTACACTGTAGGACATTTAGCATTTCCCCAATAGTGGCAACCAAAAATGGCTTGACATTGTCCAGTGTCCCCTGAGGGACAGAATCTTATCTGGTTGAGAACCACCATTAGAGATCTTGTCTCTAGAAAAACACAGAATTTTGCATACAGTTTCTTCCATCTCCATTAGAGCTAGTTGATCTTGTCCTCACTGAGGATGGCTGAGGGAGTGGGACTTTTTCTAAGAAAGGCCGTAGGGCAGCCAAGCAGCCTGGGGGTTTGGTCTTTGTTCTGTGCACGGCCTCTCCCCACACCCCTGTCCTGGATATAGATGCTCACACGCGTGTGTGGAGGTGTCATAGGCATGCTGGTGCTGATGGGCTGAGGGCTCAGACTGCCATGAGCCCAATGTCCTGCTCAGGGCTTGAAGAGATGAGGCCAGGGCGTGTTGGAAGGCAGTCCTGCCTGCTCCTCCTTCTCAGCCTCTTTCTTCTCTCTGCTTTTCTCTAAAATGGTGGTGTTGTTTTAATCAAGACCTGTCAGGCTCTGGTTCTGAGAGAAATACTTGCTGCACTCTCAGGTGTCTTGTCTCTTCCTCAGGTTCCCCATGTTCACTTGTAGACCATGGACCTCCAAAGCCACAAACATAAGGCATAGGTTTTACTCTAAGCCTTTCGGTAGGTGCCAGTCACAGAGAGTTCAAGTCCGTAACAGTAAAAAATACATTATTAAAATATTAGATATGACCATAAAGGAATGTAAAAGGGAGAGTTTATTCTGAGGACCAGGTGATGCACCATGCTGGTGGGATCAGAGGAGACTTTATAAAGGAGAGGTAGACATCCAGGCTGGGTTGTGCAGGATCAATGGGAGTTTGCAAGGGGAGGGGACATTGCAGGCAGGTGGAACAGCATGCTGAGTTCTGGGGGCTAGTGATAGCAAAACAGAGACAGAAGGTAAAAGAAGGTATGGGTGAGGCATGCTCAGAAGCTTTGACTAGGTCTGCAAGCAGTTGAAGGGTTTAAAGTAGGGAAGTGACATGATCAGATTTATGTTTAATTTTTTTTCCAACTCTTTATTTCATAAAATAGAGTAAGTGTTCCTAAGTTTAGGTTTAGAAGTTGATATGAGTGGCTCTGTGAAAGACAGATTACAGGTCAGAAAACTGGTTGGAGGCTATGCAAAGAACCCAGCTGAACAATGAGGTTTAGAACTGTCATGGCGGCCATGGGGCTAGAAGGGAGATGGACCTGCAGAGGGTATCAGGTCCCCAAACCCCAAAATCTAGTCCACATTTGTTATGTTGAAGGACACAGTCATGTCCCTGGCTAGAGAAAGGACACTGCCCTTAGCTCCAAAAATAAAGACTAAGTTTTTATTTGAGAGAGATTTTTTCCTCTTTTTATATACATTTTTTTCCTCTAGGAAATAGACAGACGGTTGGAAAAAAAACTGAAGATCACACAAAAAGAGAGGTAAGGCTGCTGTCTGGTCTGAGGGCTCATGCTCTCTGTGGTTTGAGAGCCGGGCAGTCAGTGGTGTTCTCCAGCTGGCCATTAGGATTAGCAGGTCCTAGCAGGTCAGGCTCTGGGGCAGCAAACCCTTCCCTCCAAATTGGAGACCAGGACGTGGTGGCTTGAGGCTTTAGGGTTGAGGCTGGGGTGTTGCACCTGCCTCTGACCTTCGTGGGCTCCCTGTGTGAGGTCATCTGATGCAATGTGAGGAAGTGACAAGTTGGAAGACTTGAGTTTTAGGCCTGGCAGTGCCCCAGTTGCTCTGAGGTCTGGGGCAAGTCATTTCCCAGATCTGGACATCAGTTTCTTTCTCTGTGGCATGAGGAGTGTGGGCAGATGATTTCTCTGGGTCCCCAGTGACTTGGTGGTCTAGGGTATTATGAGGGTATCCTGGAAGAAAACATTCTAGGAAATTCTTGAAAAAACCTTTAAAAATAGCTTTGTTTTCCACCTAGACGACAGAGGAGGGTGTTTCCAGAGTAGGTGAAAGTTGACTTCGGCTTTCTGCTTTTGGGCTTAGGGAACCTGTTGGTTTTCCATAGGTACAAGGGACAGGAAGGAGGATAGGGCCCCTCTGGATTTGCTCACGGGGCTGCACAGTCATTCCCCAGGAAACTCTGGGTGCTCTGCCCGCCCGCTAGTTTTCCTGGCTCCCTGCCTCTTTGATCAGATTGCTGGCTCCTTGTCTGTCTGCTCATCTCAGCAACCACGCTAACCCTGGGTTACAGTCCTCGTTCCATACCATTTGTGTCCTACCCGAGACTTGTTTCCATCCACCCTGGCTCAGTTCCTCCAATCCCGACTCCTCCTGACAGCCAAGGCTCTGGAAGCAGGCTTGTTTGGTTCTGAAGAGAAGCTGGTTGACTGCTCTGGGTAGGGTCCTGGTGGCTGTTGTCGGGTGGTCATTCCTGCCTGGGTTCCTGTCTCCTCCTGTGGCTTTTGTTTCTTTCCCTTCCTGTGTTGTTGTCCCTCTTTGTTTTTTGTCATTCCACCTCTCCCTGTGGACACATCGCCTTGATGTACGCGTCCACCAGCCTTGGACAATGCTTTTCTTTTGAGCATTGCCAAGCACTGTTTCTAGGAGCATCCTTCACTCCAGCCCCGCCGCTGTCCAAAAGACCAGGGAGCCCTGGCAAGGGAGGTTTCTCTGTTCAGAAGCTTTTTGAAGAGGATTCAGTTGTCTGGTGTAGCTTGTCTCTGGGAGGCACAGGTCACTCTCACTAGAAGGTGGCTTGGTAAATCTTGATGCCAGGCAGGGATGGCGTAGTGGGCTCCTTTGTAGTGTTTGTCTGGTTTGAGCATGTGATGGAAGATTTGGCTGAGTGAACACTGCTGACCCCCAAGTTCAAAGGCTCCCACCCCACCAGCCAGTCCTACTCTGATCTGCGTAGAGAAGCTGGGATCTTAACTGACGTCATTCAATTCTGGACATAAACTGTTTTGCTGCAGGGCCAAATAGTGGTTGATGTGGCTGTGGTGAACATGGGGATAGAAGTGCCAGAATGAGGTGGCGTTCCAGCCCCTGTGGCCAGGGGTTAGGGCTGAGGAGCAGTTCCTGTGGCCTGTCAGAGCTGGTCGCAAGCTTACTTTTTTGGGACACCCTTCTTGAGGAGTGGAAATTTTGCTGTCTGGTCAGAGGCCAGAGAATCATGCATGGGTAGAATTAGGGAGGGAGAGGAAAGTGATGAGAGGTGGGTGTGGGACATGGACAGGGCCTCCTTAGTCAGGAGCATGATTTGTGAAGCTGTGTTTGCTCTTTGTCAGCAGGAAATCCAAATCTCCTCCCAAAGTGCCCATTGTGATTCAGGACGATAGCCTTCCCGCGGGGCCCCCTCCACAGATCCGCATCCTCAAGAGGCCCACCAGCAACGGTGTGGTCAGCAGCCCCAACTCCACCAGCAGGCCCACCCTTCCAGTCAAGTCCCTAGCACAGCGAGAGGCCGAGTACGCCGAGGCCCGGAAGCGGATCCTGGGCAGCGCCAGCCCCGAGGAGGAGCAGGAGAAACCCATCCTCGACAGGTGAGTGTGGCTGGCAGGGCCGGCCAGTGATGGCTGTCCCAGTCCACCCGGGAAGAGGAGAGCATCCTGGCTGCGTGTAGAGTAGTGAGAAGCAAGCAGAGTCAGGGTAGGAACCATGCAGCTCCACTTGCTGATCCCAGCCTGCTGGCACTAGTTCACTGTGCCGCATTGGCTGGAGAGGGCTCTGAAAGCCTTGCCAGGGAGGAGGTGGCAGTTTGCTGGCATGCTCCCTCTGCGGTTGGTAGTCACCGGGGGCACTGTTGTGTAGAGAGTGAAGGCACAGATGAGCTTGTGTCAAAATCTGCCTCTTACCTCTTCTTTAGAACGACTTGACCTCTCTGGGCCTTAGTTTTCTCATCTGAAAAAATGGGATAATAATAGTACCAACCTTATCAAGGTGTTGTGCAATTCAGTGAGTAAATGAGCATAGGATGTGGAGAGCCTGGGCTGGCAGAGTGGAAAGTACCCCAGATAAGTGCTTTGATGATATTTTCTGGGTCTCCAGTATGCCCACTGTGATGTTTTTGTGAATTTTCTAAATTCCTTTTTACTCTTAACATTTTTTTCTCTGCAGTATTAAAGGTTGCATCATATAAGTTTATCACTTTCGAATCAAACAGTATTCATTAAGATGGCCTCCTTCTAACTTTGAGGGGCTGCTATGGTTTGGTATTCTGGGACTTGAAGAAAAAATCTGCGTACCTTCTTTCTAGCTCTTCATAATTTTGAAGAGATACCTGTTCTTTTTGTTGTTTCTCCTCTAAGTCTTCACCTTTCCAGGGTGGAAAAATAGTCATATGAGTCAACCGTTAACCGCAGAGTTTGGAGAGGAGTGGGAGGGAAGAATTGGGGGGCGGGGGATGTGTCCCTCTGCTGAGCTCTTGATTCCAGTTCTTTACTTTGGCCTAACACTCTGGAGATTCCAAATGGTTCTGCGGAGCATGTGCTATCCATGGTCACTGCCTCTGGGCAGAGTGGGCCCTCAAGCACTCCCCCTGCCTACAAGTGCATGATGGCAGCTGAGCAGGGGGAAAGGATGCTGTAGCTGCTAGAGGTGAATGTGCACCACCGACCCTGCCTGCTCACAGGGGCCTCTCAACTTGGAGGTGCCCTGAGTCAGCTTCCCAAAGAAGCAGGCTTGCGGAGCCAGAGTGACGTGGGCCCAGCTATATGGACAGTTGATTTTAAGATGGGGGACATCTAGGCCAGGTGCAGTAATCCCAGTACTTTGAGAGGCCGAGGTGGACGGATCACTTGAGGTCAGGAGTTCAAGACCAGCCTGGCCGACATGGTGAAACCCCATCTCTACTAAAATTACAAAAATTAGCTGGGTGTGGTAGCATATGCCTGTAGTCCCAGCTACTCGGTAGGCTGAGGTAGGAGGATCACTTGAACTCAGGAGGTGGGGGTTGCAGTGAGCGGAGATCGTGCCACTGCACTCCAATCTAGGTGACAGAATGAGACTCCGTCTCAAAAATAAATAAAAAATAAAGAAATGATGGGGGACATCTATTATATCCTTCTTCAGGCCTTCCTCTGCTTTTCTTCCTTTCAGGCCAACCAGGATCTCCCAACCCGAAGACAGCAGGCAGCCCAATAATGTGATCAGACAGCCTTTGGGTCCTGATGGGTCTCAAGGCTTCAAACAGCGCAGATAAATGCAGGCAAGAAAAGATGCCGCCGTTGCTGCCGTCACCGCCTCCTGGGTCGTCCGCCACGGGTTGCACTGCCGTGGCAGACAGCTGGACTTGAGCAGAGGGAACGACCTGACTTACTTGCACTGTGATCCCCCTTGCTCCGCCCACTGTGACCTTGAACCCCATGCACTGTGACCTCCCCCCTTCTCCCCCTTCCCACTGTGATTGGCACATCGACAAGGGCTGTCCCAAGTCAATGGAAAGGGAAAGGGTGGGGGTTAGGGGAAGGTTGGGGGGACCCAGCAAGGACTCAGAGAGTCAGACAGTGCCACTTGGCCACTTGGGGTAAAGCCAGTGCCAGCAATAACAGTTTATCATGCTCATTAATTTGGGATTTCAAAACACAAATGAAAACTCACACCCACCCACCCCCAAGTGCATGTCTCCATCACTTAAAAAGTAAGTTCCATTTGAAAATATCCTTTCTTTTTTTTTTCTTCCTATTTTTGTTTGTTTATACAAATATCTGATTTGCAAGAAAAAGTGCATGGGAGGGGTTTTAGTGGTTTAATGAATTTTTAATTAAGAAAGGGTAGTTTGGTAGTCTACTTAAAAATGTTTCTGGGAAATTCACTAGAAACATTAACCAATAGGATTTTGGTGAGCTTAGCTTCTGTATTCCTACTGCCGCCCAGAAAAGGGGCAGGGCTCTGCAGCCGCCAGGACAGACGAGCACCCCATGCCTATACCTCCCTCCCCGAGCTAAGTCCCAGGGCATCTGGGCCTTGCCTGGAGACTGGGCTAGCTCTGTAGGCTCGGAGAGCCTGGGGAGGGTGCCAACCCCACCTCTAGTATTTTGGGAGATAGGGAAAGTGAACCGACTTCCCCTTCCCATACCCCTCAGGGTGGTTCCCTACCAGCCAGGCTTACTACTTCTAGAAGAAAGCAGAGTGCCAGGGAGTGAGATTGCATCCCTGGGCTTAGAAGTGACGGAGAGAAGACTTGTTTAGTATTTTGCCATCAGCACAAGGAAAACCAGGAGAGAGTCTGCCTCCAGGACTCTGAGCCTTCTGCCTCGTATGTTCAGAAGGTGGATAGGTCTTCCCACTCCAGCATGGCTTGAACTCTTAGGGGTCTGCAGTGCTCCATCTCCATTGGTGGCCCCAGCTCAGTAACTATACCTGGTACATTTCCTGTGTGCAATCAGTACCTTGAAGGCAGAACATTCTGAATAAAGTTGGAAAAAGAACAGCTTTGCTTTGCAAAGATTGATGACAGACTGGTTCCTCAGAGGCCTAGGCTACCCGTCACCCCTTTTTCCAGAGCGAGGGCCTGGAATGAAGGCAGTTTATCCTCTGTCCCTGGAGCCTGGGGTTTGCTTTGGCTCCTTGAGGTGGAAGAGACTAAGAGGGCAGCTGCCCAGAGCAGCTGTGTGTACCTGGCTCCTCTCAGGCTTCCTGATCCCTTCCGTTGCACTGCGCCTTATCCCTCAGCCAGCCAGACAGCCTCCCTGCTCCTGACCAGCAGATACGTTTCGGAGTGGTTGGTGTGGTTTTTGTGATGAGGGCAGCACGTGGTGGCCAAGGTGGCAAGCTGAGTCTCACAGGCTCACTCCCTCGTTGGTTCCCTGTGGGAATGGTAGGCCAGGCCCAGTAAGCCATGCCCCAACACGTCCTCTCCTCCGGAGGAAGGGCCAGCTGCCAGCTGAGTCAGCAGCTAGTCCATAGCACAGCCTTATAACTGTAAAGCCAGGCATTGCCCATGAGCAGAGCTGGAACCAGAGCTTCAGTCAGTAAGAGGGAGGATTACCTTCAGGAGAAGGCAAGGAAGAAAACTGGCTGCTATCTTTATAGTTCCACTGCCCTAACCAAGTGTCCACATTCTAAATGTGTAGTGTCCATCCCTTATGTAATAGTGGTTTCCCGCCCAAAGTGAGACTTTCCTTTTAATTGGAGAAGGGTATAGAGGTAGTCCAGGTGGGAACGCCAGAAGTGCTGATTGCCCAGCCATTGGGACCACCTGTTCTTGCCCCACTACCCTCTAGTGGGAGGCCAAAGTAAAGGCTGGCTGGTGGGTGTCTGTGGATTGAGGATGTGGCAGGGACTGGTCCTCCCACCTCCCTCTGGCCAAAGATGGGCTTTGCCCGCTGTGTGCCTGTCACCACCCACCAGCAGTCATGCCCTGGGCTTCCCAAATGGAGAGGTAGCAGGCAACGTTTTTAAAAAGAAAGAAAACAGGAAACTGTATTGTGTCGGGGGAGGCGGGAGGGAGATGAGGAAACGGTTTGGATTTTGTGTGTGGGAGGGTATTTTTTGGGGGTAGTTGTCTGTAACTTTCCTAAGTGCTTTTTTTCCTTTTCTTTTTTAAAGTAAGTTGCAGGCTTTGGCTTGGAAAACCCCAGGGGGATGGGGGGCAGAAACCTGAGGCTGCTGCCCCTTTATCTGCCTTCACGGTACTGTCCCCTTCCCCCAGCTCCTCCCTGACCCCATGGGCCAGGCCTCAGACCTTCCAGCTAACCGCTTCCCATGAGCCACTACTCTGATGTCAGCCTATAACCAAAGGAGCTGGGGGGTCCAGGCCTGGTGACCAACCTTTCTCAGCCCACTCAATCAGGGTGCTCCCCACCTGCAGGCAGGAGGCAACACCCTATCTGCTACCATCAGCCCCTTCCAGAGCCCATCTGCCCCGCCCAGCCCTGCCCTGCCCAGCCATACCCTGCTCTGCCCCATCTGGGGGTGCCCTGCTCAGGGATGGGCTGGCAGGGCTGTACCCAGCCTCCCTGGTAAGCAGAGACTCAAGAAACCTCTGGGGTCCTGTTTTCTGGTCGTGTGATCCCAGGGGTGCACATGGGCCCCTTGGGTGTCTGAACAGAAGGGCATGGGAGGGAGGGCTGCACCCCTGCAGTCTTACTCTGCTGGTGTAGCGGGCAGCTGCCCACTCCCACCCCACCCTGCACCGCGGGCTCCTGAGTCGGCAGATTAAGCATTTTATAAATTGTATTTTAAATACATGTTTTAAACTTGTCAGATCTTTGTCCTCATTTCAGTCCCTGCCCTCTACCTCTTGCTGTGGCCGCTTATTTAACCCTGGGGGATTTCCCTCTGCCCAGTCCCAGGGAAAGACTGTCTTTGGTAAAACACGAGGCCGGGTGGTATGTGGGTTGAGGGGAAAGGACCCACCCCTCTTGGGGCTCCCAGAGAATGAGAGCCCTGGGTCCTGGGGCTCTGTCGGGGGAGCATGCAGAGGCCACCTCCTGCTCTTCCACAGGGCCTGTCTTAGAGCCAGTGGAGAGAGAGAATGGCTGCTTTTGTGGGGCTCCCAGTCCAGAGGGGGATGTGCTCACCTGAGGAGAGGCCTAGCCCTGTGCTTTGAGAAGGCACAGAAGGTCAAGACTGCACGCAGGGGCACCTGTAGCAGAAATCCCAACCCCGCGCAGGGCTTTGAGGTGGAACCCTGCACTCTGAGAGCCCAGTGGTGGCTGGGTGACAACTTGAGGGCCTTTCTTGGCAAGAGGCACAGAGGCTGAAGTTATTGGTGTTTATTAGCTCACCAGGCCACAAAAGCAAATCCCAGCAGCAGCTCCTGCCTGGTGGCCCATCTGTCTACAGGCCTTGAGCAGCTGCCTAGAGTCAGGCCTCCAGAGGGTCAGTGGGTTCGAGCTGGCACAGAGCTGAGCCACTTTCTGCTGTCAGAGTTGTGTTCCCTGGGGAGAGGAGTAGGGCAGAAGGGTGGGAGACATGTGGCCCTTTCCCTATCTGCCAGTATATGAGCCATCTGTGCGTGCCCAAGTGAGGAGAGAGAGGAGGCCTCCCCTCAGAAATGGTGGAACCAGCAGTTGTGCTTAGGGGCCTGATTCCAAGTCCAGAGCTCCCTTCCCCAGCGGCCTGGAGGGGGACTGCTGCAGGAGACGTTCCCCTCTGCCCAGGTGCACAGTCTGCTAGTCCTAATATGGAACCATAGGGAACTCAGAGTACTCAGTTAGGTGCCACTGAGTCCTGGACACAGGAAAGCAGAAGCACTCTGGCTTCAGTGGAACAATCTGCTGGGTACACAGGCCCTCAACAAAGGTTTGTCTTCTTCGCCTTTTACCCTTTCTCCTCCCTGGAGCAAGCAGCCTCTCAGGTATGATCTCTTAGAAAGATGGATTCCCAGGCATTAGGCCAGGGGCCTCTTAAGGAAGAATCTGGAAGGGCCTGGGCTGGGACCCTTTCTCTGGGCACCCACCTGTTTCCTTGAGATCCTGACTGGAAGAAGGGGCTGCGGATGTCAGGATCCAGGCCAGGGGGTGTGCACTGGTCTAGTGCATAGTGGTTGCTCGGCTGCCTACGGACCATCTTCTTGTCCAGCTGTGGGCAGAGCAGGATGCAGGGCACCTGGGCATAGGGGCTCTGCAGGTTGGGAGCTGGTGAAGAAGGAGGCAGAAGGAGGAATGCTTCACAGCATGCCCAGCCTTGGGAAGCAGGCAGATTCAAGTGAAATCCTGGCGTTGCTACATAATGACCTGAGTGGTTTGGGGCAAGTCACTTAACCTCTCTAAGCTTCTGAGCTGGAGGTGATAGTGGTACCCACCTCACAAAAGTTGATGATGAGGATTAAAGGAGAAATATATGCAAAGCACTCAGCTCAGTGCTGCACACAGAATAAGAGCTGGTAACAGCTTAACAAGGAGCAGAGGACTTTGTGATGGGTGTTGGCAAAGTCTAGTAGGCATGCTCTAGAAAGACTGCAAAGCTCCTATCCTGTTACTTGGCACATAGTAGGAGTCTAATAAATGGTACCTGGGGGAAGGGAGGCAGGCTTGCCCAGTGGAAAGAGCATAGATTTTGGGGTCAGACCTGGATATAAACTCCCCTTTCCAAAACACTAGTTAGGGGCATTGGGCAAATTGCTGAACTTTATCAGTTTCATTTTTGTTTTTTTTTTTGAGACAGAGTTTTGCTCTTGTCCCCCAGGCTGGAGTGCAATGGCGTGATCTCGGCTCACTGCAACCTCCATCTCCCGGGTTCAAGCGATTCTCCAGCCTCAGCCTCCAGAGTAGCTGGGATTACCGGTGCTCGCCACCACACCTGGCTAATTTTTTAGAGATGGGGTTTCACCATGTTGGCCAGGATGGTCTCGAACTTCTGACCTCAGGTGATCCGCCCACCTCGGCCTCCCAAAGTGCTGGGATTACAGATGTGAGCCACTGTGCCTGGGTCAGTTTCATTTTTCTAATCTGTAAAATGGGGTAAATACATGATTATGAGTATTAAATTCTAGAGCATCTGCAAAGGGCCTAGCACAGTGGGCACTCAATAAACAGTGAGCTGGGATTGCTAATCTCTACAGCTGTTCTTTCTCAGTCCTGGCTCATGGGACCAACCTGTGCTCAGGCTAAGGCAGGAGGGGAGGAGTCCAACGCAGGAGGCCATTGTCATAGGCCTGGATGGAAAATAGTGATTATCAGCCTGTTTTCTGATGTACACAGTTAAGCCCGAAGTGGGAAACTGGCCTCTCAGCTCCCTTGGCCTGGCTGCCTGAGGGTCCAAGGAAAGGAGACCAGATGGGCAAGAGAGCAAAGCCCCAACCCTAGCCCATCCCACCCTGCCCAGGGCCCTCACCATAGTTCTGCTGCTTCAGCCGGCTCAGGATACTGAGGACCTTTCGTTCTGGAACTTCTGAGCTCTCTTCTTGCTGGGGGTTGTAGGGAAGCTTCTGCAACCGCAGCCGGCCTACGGCCGCTTCCATCTCCTGGGCCTTGCAGGTGCCTTCCTTCAGCTTTTTCTGGTAGTAGCTGGGGAGGCAGTGCCCACCCATCTCAGCCTGGCTGTGTTTAATTCACCCTTCTCCTCCTCAGCCCCTATCTCTCTGGCCAGCTCTGGAGCAGGAACACAAGCCTAGGAGTCAGGAAACCTGGCTTCTAGTCTCAGCTCAGCCCTTTCTGTGACCATGAGCAAGTCACTGCCCTGCTCTGGGCCTCAGTCACCCTGTGTAAAATGGAGGGAAGGGGTTCTCTCTACCCTGTCAATGCAAGTGACTTGACTTCTCTGAGCTTCAAGTTTCCGTTGGGTAAAACAGATCAGACAGTTCACATGCCGTAGGATTAAATAACAAGGATGAATTAACAAGGCCCATCAAGCACGCAGCATGGTGTCTGGCACACGGAAAATGCTTTGTACATGTTACCTATTATTTTGGGGAGGGGCGTGGCGGGGAGACAGAGTCTCACTCTGTTACCCAGGCAGGAGTGCAGTGGCGTGAACATGGCCTCACTACAGCCTTAAACTCCTGGGCTCAACTGATCGTCCTGCCCTAGCCTCTTGAGTAGTTGGGACCATAGGCACCAACCACCACACCCAGCTGATTTTTTTATTTTGTGTAGAGACGTGGTCTCGCTGTGTTGCCCAGGCTGGTCACAAACTCCTTGCCTCAAGCAATCCTTACACCTTGGCCTCCCAAAGTGTTGGGATTACAGGCGTGAGCCACTGCATTACCTATGATTACCTATGATTTTATCACTGATACATTTACTTAGATGTGCAAGTACTTATCTGTGCAATTAACTCCTGCTCATCTTCCAGATTTCAAGTTAAGGACTCTGCTCCAGAAAATCTTCTCTGTCCTATCCCCACCCCTACCCTACAGAGTAGCTAGGCTCCCGCTGGAGGCCCCCTGCAACCTGTAGTTACCCAATTATAGCCCGCAACCCACTTGATTTTCTTAACTCACTGCTTGCCTTTTCCCCCGCTAGACTACAACATCATTCATTTAGTAAGTATTCACTGAATGTTCACTGTGTCCTGGCCACTCTTCTAAGTGATTGGAAAAGAGTAGTGAAAGAGACATCCACACAGGGTCCCTGTATCATAGCCTCAGCCGCACCTCTTACTCCAGCCGTCTACTAACACCGTGGGCCAAGGGTGCCGCAGTGGCCACTTTCACACAGGCTTCAACTAGCTTTGCACAGGGACAACCCTACGGGTCTCACCTCAGGCCTGAGCCTCTTGCTTCCTGCCCCAGGGATTCTCTGACACACGTGCAACCCAGAAGTGTCGGGGAGTTAAGCACCTGTGGGGCACCCTTGCCAAAGGTGTTAGTAGATGAGCTATACAGGCTTTTCCCTTTCTTCTGGCAGTTCTGAGCTGCCATTCTTTTTTTTTTTTTTTTTTTTTTTTTTTTTGAGATGGAGTTTCGCTCTTGTTGCCCAGGCTGGAGTGCAGTGGTGGCATCTCAGCTCACTGCAACCTCCGCCTCCTGGGTTCACGTCATTCTCCTGCCTCAGCCTCCCGAGTAGCTGGGATTACAGGCACCCGCCACCACGCCCAGCTAATTTTTTGTATTTTCAGTAGAGACGAGGTTTCACCATGTTAGCCAGGATGCTCTCGATCTCCTGACCTTGTGATCCGCCCACCGCGGCCTCCCAAAGTGCTGGGATTACAGGCATGAGCCACCATGCCTGGCTTTTCTTTTTTTTAAGAGATGGACTTTCGTTCTGTCACCAAGGCTGGAGTGCAGTGGTGCCATCATGGCTCACTGCAGCCTCGAACTCCCGGGCTCAAGCAGCCCTTCCCCTTGAGCCTCCTGAGTAGCTAGACTACAGGCACACACCATCTTGCCCAGCAACAAAGTGCCTTTTGGCTGGATGTGGTGGCTCATGCCTGTAATCCCAGCACTTTGGGAAGCCGGGCATGGTGGCACGCGCCTGTAATCCCAGCTACTCGGGAAACTGAGGTGGGAGGATTGATTGAGCCCAGGAGGTCAAGGCTGCAGTGAGTCGTAATTGTATCACTACACTTCAGCCTGGGCGACAGAGCGAGACCCGGCCACCTCTCCTGAAAGCTAGCATTTATTGAGCAACAAGCATTAAAATATGTTCATTTCAAAGACAGGAAATGGAGGCTCGGGCTCCTCTGAGGCATGAGGGCCTGAAATTGCTATTTGAAGGTCAGCTGGACTGTTCTGCCTTCGCCTTTGCTTCTAGCCCTGGAATGTTCATGTTGTTTCACCTATGGCTATCTCTTCCTTAGATGAACCACTACCTACCCACCCACCTGCCCTGGAGACACGTGGAGGCTTTTGTGTCTTCTGACCCAGATAGGGTCCATCGAATTCCTTTCCTGGGACTGCTCAGTGCATGCTGCAGGAAAGAATTCCTCTTGCTGCACTAGGAGGGTGTAAGCATGGGGCCGCCAGCTACCATCCCTCCCTCTGTAGGGAGAGCCTAGCTGAGCTCAAAGCCAGTGCGCACAGACATGGATAGGTGGAGAGAGAAAGCCTTACTGGTATCATTTGGTCTCTGGGATCCCACTAGACCTGAGGACCCAACCAGTGATTTGAGCCATACATTCCCCTTTTGCTTAAGCTAGTTTTATTCTAGTTTTTTTCTTTTTTTTCTTTTTTTTTTTTTTGAGACAGAGTCTCACTCTGTCACCCAGGCTGGAGTGCAGTGGCTCAATCTCAGCTCACTGCAACCTCCACCTCCTGGGTTCAAGCGATTCTCGTGCCTCAGCCTCCAGTTTCTTTCACTTGTGACTAAAAGTCGTAACTACCAAAAGTTCTCAGTGCCAAAATGCTAGATGCCACCTCTGTGTCCACAACCCTTCACCCCCAACAACCGGCCCCACTCACTTTGTGATTTCCTCTAAGACTGCCTCTGGTAAGGCCAGCATCTCTACCAGCAGGGACAGGATCTCAAAGAGTAGAGTGTGGGGGTTGTGGGGAGCCATGTCCGACAGGGCGTTCTGTTCTGGAGACATGGGATAGTGGCTGCCGTTACCACTGGGCAGTCCTGAATGCCCTCTTCTCTCCCCGCAACCAACCTCCCAGCCCCTCCTCCAGTTCTGACTACGCTGGGCTCATCCCTGCTCACCCACAGAGCAGAAGAAGCGCCTGGTGTCTGTCATCACAGCCAAGAAGTCTTTGAAGTCCACACGACCATCTCCTGTGGAGGCCAGAGGAGTAGGGTGGGCAGGGACCTTCGGAGCAGGTCCATGCCTTGCAGCCCAGGCGTGGTTATTAGAAGTCACTGTCTGGGTCTGATTATCAAGCAGTGCATACTCAATGCAGAAAACATGGGGCACACAGGAAAGTACAAGCTGAAAGTGCTCAGACCTGTAATCCCAGCACTTTGGGAGGCCGAGGTGCGTGGATCACCTGAGGTCAGGAGTTCGAGACCTACATGGCCAACATGGTGAAATCCCGTCTCTACTAAAAATACAAAAATTAGCTAGGAGTGTTGGCACACACCTGTAATCCCAGCTACTTGGGAGGCTGAGGCAGGAGAATCGCTTGAACCTGGGACGTGGAGGTTGCAGTGAGCCAAGATCGTGCCACTGCCCTCCAGCCTGGGCGACAGAGCAAGACTCTGTTGCAAAAACAAACAAAAAAACAAAACCAAAAAAAGGAAAAAAAGAAAAATTGTTAAGAATTTCTATGATGTTGGGTGCGGTGGCTCACGCCTGTGATCCCAGCACTTTGAGAGGCTGAGGCAGGCAGATTCCTTGAGTCCAGGAGTTTGAGACCAGCCCGGGCAACAAAGACTCCATCTCTACAAAAAATAAAAAGTTAGCTGGGCATGGTAGTGCGCCTATAGCCCCAATTACTCAGGAGGCTGAGGTGGCAGGATTGCTTGAGCCTAGGAGGTCGAGGCTGTGGTGAGCAGGGATCACAGCATTATACTCAGTCTGAGCAACAGAACCAGACCTCGTCTCAAACAACAAGAACAACAAAGGCATTTCTAGACTGTGACAGTAGAGCATTAAACCAAGCACAGGATCCTTTAGGTGCAGAGCCTCATGCAACTGCACAGGTTTCAAGCCAGTGAAGCAGGCCCTGCCTGGGATGCAGAGTGGAGCCCTCTGCCACTCACCATTGACATCAGCACTCATCAGGGCGTCCTCCACCTGGGCCAGCGTCACAGAGAAGCCCATTAGGAGCAGGATATTCTTCAGGCTCTGTGCATCCACCTCACCAGGACCATTGAAGATCTCAAAGTAGCTGCGGAAGGCTGTGGGGAGGGCAGGGTTATGTGGAGTGGGGGCATTTCTTGTTTCTGTCATTCATCCCATTACCCCAACCACCCTCCTGCCAGCCTCCTCCACCATCAAAAGTGAAAATAAAATTGCTGGGTGCGTTGGCTCACACCTGTAATCCCAACATTTTGGGAGGCTGAGGCAGGCAGATCACCTGAGGCCAGGAGTTCAAGACCAGCCTGGCCAACATGGTGAAACCCTATCTCTACTAAAGATACAAAACTTAGCTGGGCGTGGCGGTGCATGACTGTTGTCCCAGCTACAACACTCAGCTAGGCTGAGATAGGAGGATTGCTTGAGCCTGGGATTTCAAGACCAGCCACGGCAACACAGGGAGACCCCATCTCTAATAAAAATAAAAATGAAAAAAAAAAAAAAAAAAAAAACTGGGCATGGTGGTGTGCACCTGTAGTCCCAGCTACTGGGGAGGCTCAGACAGTAGGATCCCTTGAGCCCAGGAGATCCAGGAAGCAGTGAGCCATGATCACACCACTGCACTCCAGCTGGATCAACAGAGTAAGACCCTCTATTGACTCCAACCCAGATTTTGCAATGGGGCTGAGAAACCTGACACCACACAGTCTGACTAGTACACGGCCTTTGTATCGGTGCTGCTCTGGGACGTTCTCAGACCCTTCCCATCCTCTGCTCTGGTCCACACAATGCAGCGATCCTTGCAACCTTGTCCATCCAGATAGGTGACCAAGATCTAGGGACAGACTTAGTCAGAAAAACTGTCCAGTCATCTAACCTCTGAGCCTCAGTTTCCCCATTGTTACAACAGGAATAAGCATTCTACTCTTTTGAGAACATGGCTGTAAAGAGCCTAGTCCAGTGTCTGGCACATAGTAGGGTGCCCTAAAGTGGGTGGGCTACTGGCACTGAGTGGAGGCTACTAATTAGCTGAGCTGTTGGCACTCAAACCAAACCCTTGGCCTGGATATGGAATAGACAGCAGAGTGAGTCAAGGGGACCACAGCCCTTTTTTCTTTTCTTTTTTTTTTTGGTGAGATGGAGTTTCACTCTGTCACCCAGGCTGGAGTACAGTGGTGCAATCTTGGCACACTGCAACCTCCGCCTCCCGGGTTCATGTGATTCTCCTGCCTCAGCCTCCCAAAGTGCTGGAGTTACAGGCATGAGCCGCTGCGCCCGGCCTGGCTCTGCCATTTAATGAGCCGGATTGCTCTTATGTTGAAGCCCTAACTCCAGTACTTCCAAATGTGCCTGTGTTTGAAGATAGGGCCTTTAAAGAGGTGAGAAAGTTAAAAAGAGGCCTTTAGGGTGGGCCCTAATCCAATCCAACTGGAGTCCTCATACAAAAAGAAAATTTGGGCTAGGTGCGATGGCTTACACCATCTACCCAGCACTTTGGGAAGCTGAGGCAGTAGAATCACTTGAGTCTGGGAGTCCGAGAACAGCCTGGGCAACATAAGAGACTCCATCTCTACAAAAAATTTTAGAAATTAGCCAGCCACAGTGGCACATGCCTGTAGTCCCAGCTACTCAGGAGGCTGAGGTGGAAGGATTACTTGATCCCCGAAGGTGGAGGCTGCAGTGAGGTAGGATCATATGACTGCATTCCAGCCTGGGTGACAGAACAAGGCCCTGTCTCAAATAAATAAATAAATAATAAACGCAAATTTGGACACACACAGAGATACCAGGGTTGCCCATTCACAGATGAAAGACCATATGAGGACAGTGAGAAGACAGCTGTCTGCAGGCCAAGCAGGGAGGCCACAGAAGAAAGCAACCTGCCGACCCCCTGATCTTGGACTTCCAGCCTGTGACAAAAGAAATGTCTGCTGTTTCAACCATCCAGTCTGTGGTCCTTTGTTAAGGCAGCCCGTGCTGACTGGGACGGTGGGCATGGGCAGGCTGCTGCATTCATGTGAGCCTCTATATCCATATCTGTACGATGGCCATGACAACAGGGCACCCTCTTGGAAGTATTCTATGAACTCAGTGCTGGCACACAATAGCCTCTGTTAGCCTGGAAGTCTCTGACAAACAGCGCTGAATGGTAGGGAAGAGGTGGGGCTAGGATTGGTGTTGGGGCACGTGGTGACCTGTCGTGCGCAGGCACACCACAGAAGGAAAAACCAGAGCAACTCTCAGAAGCAGGTGTGATCGCTCAGAATGCCTGGTGGTTTGAGCCACTGGAGCAGGGCAGTCGGCCCTTCAATTACCAGACAGGGATTGGGAGCTGTGGGACCTTGAGTCTCTGAGTCAAAGTGGCATGTTGTTCATGAACTGCTCAAGGAGGTGGGGCAGGGAGAGCTGCACTTAGGAAGGTGGCTAGGGAGTTGTATATCATTATTATTATTACTATTACTATTATTATTTTTGAGACGGAGTCTCTCTCTGTCACCCAGGCTGGAGTGCAGTAGCGCGATCTTGGCTCACTGCAACCTCCACTTCCCAGGTTCAAGCGATTCTTGTGCCTCAGCCCCCTGAGTAGCTGGGATTTCAGGTGCCCACCACCACACCGGGCTAATTTTTGTATTTTTAGTAGAGACAGGGTTTCACCATGTTGGTCAGGCTGGTCTCGAACTCCTGACCTCGTGATCCACCCGCCTAAGCCTCCCAAAGTGCTGGGATTACAGGTGTGAACCACTGCTCCCGGTTGGAGTTGTATATTATTTTATTTTTAAGAGACAGGGTCTTGCTCTGTCGCCCAGGCTGGAGTGTAGTGGCATAATTGTAGCCCACCATAACCTCGAACTCCTGAGCTCAAGTGATCCTCCCACCTCAGCCTCCTGGGTAGCTGGGACTACAGGCTTATGCTACCATGTCCGGCTAATTTTTAAAGTTTTTGTAGATGTGGGGGTCTTACTATGTTGCTTAGGCTAGTCTTGAACTCCTGGCCTCAAGCGATCCTCCTGCCTCAGGCTCCCAAAGTGCTGGGATTATAGGCATGAGCCACTGTGCCCAGCCCTGGTAGAGGGTTTTAATACTAGAAGGGGTGAACTTCAAGGATGGGGTCACAGGGAGCTAGTGAGAGCATCCAGCGAAGACAGAGGAAGGGGCCGCTGTGGCCAAGAGGGTTGCAGGCTTTGGAGAGGAGTAGGGGATGGAAGGAGGATGTACATCCATTCTTCTAGGGCCAGGGTGATGGGGGAGTGGGGTCACAGGGCCCCTTCCTGAGGACAATAGAGAGCAGGGTAGGTGTTCAGAACTTTTTAACTTTTTGGTGCAGGTGAGATGCAGTGGGAATGGGGTACATGTTTAGGCTGGTGGCCTTGTTTAATGGTGAGGGACCATCTAGGATGGGCAGGGTTCCTGGGGCCCTGTCTCCCATCCAGGGTGCTCTGAAGAGGACCAATAGAGCAGGCTTGGGTTAAGGGAAGAAGAAACTATTCCAAAACCTAAAGCACTGTGCAGGGCATCTGTCATTCTCTCAGAGAGGCAGCTCTGGCACAGGGAGAGCGCTGGACTTCGAGTCAGAAGACCTAGCACGAGGCTGGGCGCGGTGGCTCACGCCTGTAATTCCAGACTTTGGGAGGCTGAGGTGGGTGGATCACTTGAGTTCAGGAGTTCGAGACCAGCCTGGCCAACATGGTGAAACTGTCTCTACTAAAAATACAAAAATTAGCCGGGCGTGGTGTCACACATCTGTAATCTTAGCTATTCAGGAGGTTGAGGTAGGAGAATCGCTTGAACCCTGGAGGCAGATGTTGCAGTGAGCTGAGATCGCACCACTGCACTCCAGCCTGGGTGACAGAGCGAGACTCTGTCTCAAAAAAAAAAAAAAAAAAAAGACCCAGCATGAGTTCTGGCCCCCCCAACCCAGCAGCTTTGTGAGCTGGAGCCAATCCCCTACCCTGCCCTGCCCCATAGGCCAAGTGCAGAAAACCCCTGCTGGGTCTGCTACACATGGCGGCAGCCATGTGATCTGGAAAGCACCCCAGTCCGCCCTGCGCCTATAAACCCCCAAGGACCAAGGGTCCTGCCTGTGCTGGGACCTCCCTGACCTCCCTGCCCTCACCTTCCTCTTGCTTCAGGGTCAGTTGCTCCTCGGACTTCTCCCGGTTTTGATAAAGCTTTTGGAGGCTCTGCTCTTCCGGCTCCTGCCTGCAGAGGACAGAACCCCGACCCAGGGCAACATCCGGCCGCCCACCCTGCTGATAGCTAGGGGAGGGGTTGGGGGAGCCTGCAGGAGGAGGTCGTGGGGGAGGCTTTGGGGAGCCCGGAGAGATCAAGAATGGCAGGAAAAAGGAGATCCAGAGGAGAAGTGGGACAGAGGAGAGGGGACTAGAGGGAGACCCCTTCGGGGGAGTTAGAAAAGGGGTCAGAAGTGGGAGAGGAGGCAGAGACATGGGAGATGCGGAGAGGAGACACATGAGGAGAAATGGAGAGAGGGGGACACACGAGGGAACAGGCAGGTGCAGGGACAGGGACCTGCATCCGGGACAAGGCTCTGATCTTGGGGCCTTTCAGGAGCGGGCGGGTGAGCAGCGGGGGCTCCTACCGCGCCTTGGCGTAGCTCAGGGTTCTCTCGCTGCTCTGGTGCAAGAGTTCCATCCTTCTCCAGCCCAGGTCCAGGGCAGGGCCCAGCAGGACAGGGCAAGGCATGGAGGTGGGGACCGGGGCTCCCATGGGGGCAGGTTCTGGCCCAGGAGCTGGCAGCCGGGCCCACGATGGGCCGCTGGCAGGGACCGAGGCAGGGGTCTGAGGCAGGCTTGGAGCTGAGGTGGGCACCGGGGTCAGGGTCCTGGGCGACTTCTGGGCTGTCTGGGACCGGGCCTTCGAGGCTCTCCGATGGGAGGCCTCCATTTTCTCCACCTCCAGCAAGCACTTCATGAAGCCCTGCCGGAAGTTCCCGAGGCTCTGTGTCCCTGCAGCCACCGCGGGCTTCTGAGGCTGCTGCTGCGCACGGTCTGGCTCCCGCCTCTCTCCAATGTCCCTCACCTCCTGGGGACAGGGGAGGGGATCCAGGAGGCCTCTAGTGGGCCAGAGTGTCCCACAAATCTCCTCCCTGCCATCCCCTCTCCAGAGATCCTCAGACTGCCCCTTACTCTCTGAGCCTTTGGAGGATGTACCCCAAATCTCACATGCACCCCACTGTGCTCCTGCCCCACGTCCTCCCCAACACTTGACTTGCCACATCCAAGTGAGCTGTATTTTCTTTTTTGAGACAGGGTTTTACTCTGTCACTCAGGCTGGAGTGCAGTGGTGTGATCTCAGCTCATTGCAGCCTTGACCTTCCAGGCTCGAGTGATCCTCCCACCTCAGCCTCCAGAGAAGCTGGGACTACAGCCGCGCACTACAACGCCCAGCTAATCTTTTTTTTTTTTTTGAGACGAAGCCTTGCTCTGTTGCCCAGGCTGGAGTGCAGTGGTGTGATCTTGGCTCACAGCAACCTCCACCTCCCAGGTTCAAGCGATTCTCCTGTCTCAGCCTCCTAAGTGGCTGGGACTGCAGGTGTGCACCACCATGCCCAGCTAATTTTTATATTTTTAGCAGAGATGGGGTTTTGCCACGTTGGCCAGGCTGGTCTCCAACTCCTGACCTCACATGATTTGCCTGCCTCAGCCTCCCAAAGTGCTGGGATTACAGGCATGAGCCACTGCGCCCGGCCTAATCTTTGTATTTTTTGTAGAGACAGGGTTTCACCATGTTGCCCAGGCTGGTCTGGAACTCCTGACCTCAAGTGATCCTCCGCCTTGGCCTCCCAAAGTGCTGGGATGACAAGCGTGTTCCACCGCGCCCGGCTGAGCCATGGTCTTGAGTGAGTTACTCCTGGTCCCACCACTTGGCTTTGTTCATGCCTGTTGTCTGCCCTCCTGACCAGAAGGTAAGCATTATGAGGGCAGGATCTTGGCTGCCTCTTTTATTCCTGTACACCCACTTCTCATTCACTCAGCAACCCCAGTCTCTCTTGCACCTGTTCCCTCCCCTCAGAGGGACTGGCTATCCCCATTCTGCCTCTTGCCAGGCCAGGCTTTTCTCCCAATCAAAGACACTGTGCTTACCACACACTCTCTCTTCCTAAGTTATCAACTTCGCTTTCCCCACCAGATTACTCCTATCAGCATGTAAATATATTATCATCTTCCCTCTTTTATTTTGAAAGAAATAGGGTCTCGTTTTGTTGCCCAGGCTGGAAGGCAGTGACACGATCTCAGCTCACTGCCACCTTGAATTCCTGGGCTCAAGAGATAATCCCACCTCAGCCTCCCAAGTAGCTGGGACTACAGGTGCTCACCACCAGGCCTGGCTAATATTTTAATTTTTTGTAGAGACAGGGTCTTGTCTTGCCCAGGCTGGTCTCAAAACCCTTGGCCCAAATGATCCTCCTACCTCAGCCTCCCAAAGTGCTGGGATTGCAGATGTGTGCCACCAAAACCGCTAATCTTCCTTCTTTAAGAACAAAACAGGCCAGGCAAGGTGGCTCACGCCTGTAATCCCAGCACTTTGGGAGGGCGAGGCAGGCGGATCACAAGGTCAGGAGATCGAGACCATCTTGACTAACATAGTGAAACCCCGTCTCTACTAAAAATACAAAAAATTCGCCGGGTGTGGTGGCAGGTGCCTGTAGTTCCAGCTACTAAGGAGGCTGAGGCAGGAGAATGGCATGAACCCAGGAGGCAGAGGTTGCAGTGAGCCGAGACCGCGCCATTGCACTCCAGCCTGGGTGACAGAGCAAGACTCTGTCTCAAAAAAAAAAAAAAAAAAACAAAACAAAACAAAGTCTCCTGATACCACCCCACCCCTGATCATCCCAGTTCTCTGCTCCCCTTCTATTGCAAAATTCCTTGAAAGCGTTGGCTGTCCTGACTCCCCACTTCCATCTCCAATCAGGCTCTGCCCAGCACTCCCCAAAGCTGCTCTCGCCATGCCACAGTCAGATCTCTGCCCTCATCTGAGTTGACCCCTTGGCAGCATTAGACACAGATGCCCATTCACTCTGTCCTTCTGGAAATGCTCCCTTCTCTAGACACCCGCCCCTCACTGGCTGCTCTGCCCCTGCCTCCGGTGCTGGCTCCCCCTCACTTGTGCTCCATTTCTCAGTGTTGCAGAGACCCAGGGATTTGTCCTCAGTCCTTCCCCTGCTCTGGACTCCCTCCCTCCCTAAAAGTCATCCTGCTGCCCATGACTCCATTTTCCTCACATTTCTTTGTCCTTCCGAATACCAGATGTCCTCCTTGACATCTCTTCTTGGGTGTCTAGAACAGGACCAAAGCAGAGACCCCAGGTTCCTCTCATCTGCTGCTACCCAGGCTCGTGTCTCACTTCATGACACCACTGGTGGCTCAGGCCCCAGACCTAGAGTCCTTTTATTCTTTTCCAACTTTTTTTTTCTGTGATAACATACACGTAACATTTACCATCTTTGTTTGTTTGTTTTGAGACAGAGTCTCACTCTGTTGCCCAGGCTGGAGGGTAGTGGCACGATCTTGGCTCACTGCAACCGCTGCCTCCCGTGTTCAAGCAATTCTCCTGCCTCAGCCTCCCAAGTAGCTGGGATCACAGGTGTGTACCACCATGCCCGGCTAATTTTTGTATTTTTAGTAGAGACAGCATTTTACCATGTTGGCCAAACTGGTCTCGAACTCCTGACCTCAGGTGATCTGCCTGCCTCGGCCTCCCAAAGTGCTGGGATTACAGGCATGAGCCATCATATCCAGCCACATTTACCAACTTAACGATTTTCTTTCTTTCTTTCTTTCTTTTTTTAGATAAAGTCTTGCTCTGTCGCCAGGCTGGAGTGTGGTGGCGTGATCTTGGCTCACTGCAACCTCCAGGGTTTGAGCAATTCCCCTGCTTCAGCCTCCTGAGTAGCTGGGACTACAGGTGTGCACTACCATACCCGGCTAGTTTTTTGTATTTTAGTAGAGACAAGGTTTCACCATGTTGGCCAGGATGGCCTGGATCTCCTGACCTCTTGATCCGCCCGCCTTGGCCTCCCAAAGTGCTGGGATTATAGGCGTGAGCCACCACGCCCGGCCAACGATTTTTTTTTTAGAGACAGTGTCCTGCTATGTTGCCCAGGCTGGTCTTTTCATCTTGTAGAACAGAAACTCCATATCCATTAAATAATAACCTCCCATCACCACTCCCCCGGGCCCTGGCAACTACCATTTCCACCTCCTGTCTCTACAGATTTGACTAAGAATCTCATATAAGCAGAATTGCTTTGTCTTTTTGTGACTGGCTTATTTCACTTAGCATAACATCCTCAAAGCTCATCCATGTGGCAGCATGTGTCAGAATTTCCTCCCTTTTTAAGGCTGAATAATAGTCTATTGTACGTACAGACCACATTTGGCATATCCATTAATCTGTCAATGGACACTTGAGTTGCTTTCATCTGTTATCCGTTGTGAATAATACTGCTATGAACATGGGTGTACAAAGATCTCCTTGAGATCCTGCTTTCAGTTCTCTGGGGTATATACCCAGAAATGGAGTTTCAGCATCATATAGTAATTCTATCTTTAATTTTCTGAGGAACTACCATCTTTCTCTTCTCTTCTTTTTCTTTTCTTTTCTTTTTTGAGACAGAGTTTCACTCTTGTTGCCCAGGCTGGAGTACAATGGCGTGATCTTGGCTCACCGAACCTCCACCTCCCAGGTTCAAGCGATTCTCCTGCCTCAGCCTCTGGAGTAGCTGGGACTACAGGTGCGTGCCACCATGCCTGGCTAATTTTTGTATTTTTAGTAGAGAGAGGGTTTCGCTATATTGGCCGGGCTGGTCTTGAACTCCTGACCTCAAGCGATCTGCCTGCCTCGGCCTCCCAAAGTGCTGGGATTACAGGTGTGAGCCACCATGCCCAGCCTATCATACTGTTTACCACAGTAGCTGTACCATTTTACATTCCCACCAGCAGTACACAGATGTTCCAGTTTCTCCACATCCTTGTCAACACTTGTTATTTTCTGTTTTTTTTCTTGTTTATAGCAGTCGTCCTGATGAGTGTGAGCCTAGAGTTCTTTTTTTTTATTTTTTTGGGACAGAGTCTCGCTCTGTTGCCCAGGCTGGAGTGCAGTGGTGCAATCTTGGCTCACTGCAACCTCCGCCTCCCGGGTTCAAGTGATTCTCGTGCCTCAGCCTCCCGAGTAGGTGGGATCACAGATGTGCGCCACCACAGCCTGGCTAATTTTTTTGTATTTTTAGTAGAGACAGGGTTTTACCATGTTGCCTAGGCTGGTCTTGAATTCCTGGCCTCAAGGGATCTGCCCACCTCAGCCACTCAAAGTGTTGGGATTACAGGCGTGAGCCACCGCACCCAGCCTAAACTGTATTTATTTATTTACATGTTAATGGTCTAGACTTTCTGCCAACTAGGTCACAAGCTCCATTCACCATGAAATCCCCAGTTTCACAACTGTTTTTGGTATGTTGTCCTCAATATGTATGTTAACTAAACACTGATTATTTCAGTTTTCTCAGTGATGTCTGAGAAGCAAGATAATGTAAATAATGCACTTGGACAGAGTAAACGCTCAACAAACAGTACGGTTGAAATAATCATAGCTGGACGGGCGCGGTGGCTCACGCCTGTAATCCCAGCACTCTGGGAGGCTGAGGCAGGCAGATCACCTGAGGTTGGGAGTTCGAGACCAGCCTGACCAACATGGAGAAGCCCCGTCTCTGCTAAAAATACAAAATTAGCTGGGGTTGTTCGCATGCCTGTAATCCCAGCTACTCGGGAAGGCTGAGGCAGGAGAATCGCTTAAACCTGGGAGGTGGAGGTTGAGGTGAGCCGAGATCACACCATTGCACTTTAGCCTGGGCAACAAGAGCGAAACCTCATCTCAAAAAAAAAAAAAAAAAAAGATTCTAGTTGAGTATTCTGACAGCCTAGAAAAGAGACCCATTTTCCCATGTCGAAGACTCCTTTAATTGTTTTCCTGAATTAAGGGCAAATGCTCAATTTCTGTCAAGCCTAAAACAAACTAGCAATTAAAAGCAGTTCTGGGCCAGGCGCAGTGGCTCATGCCTGTAATCCTAACACTTTCGGATGCTGAGGCAGGTGGATCGCTTGAGCTCAGGAGTTCGAGAAGAGCCTGGGCAACATGGTGGGACCCTGTCTCTACAGAAAATACAAAAATTAGCCAGGCATGATGGCTCGCGCCTGTACTATCAGCTACTTGAAGGGGCTAAGGTGGGAGGATCACTTGAGCCCAGGAGGCGGAGGTTGCAGTGAGCCAAGATTGTGCCACTGCACTCTAGCACTCTGGGTGGCAGAATGTGACCCTCAAAAAAAAAATCAGTTCTGGGGCTCCTGCTCCATTGTGATATTGGGGCCCAAGATGGTGGCCATGAATCCAGCCTCACTGTCATCATGGCCCTCCGGGGACTCCCCATGGCCCTCTGGGGACTACAGGGCTTCCAAAGTCCGGGGCCTCTGCCCCTGTTGCAGATACAGACTCTGAGCCCCAAGGTGGGTAGAAGTCTGTCTCAGAATGTCTCCTATTATTATTATTATTATTCTTTTTTAGAGACGGAGTCTCGCTCTGTCACCCAGGCTGGAGTGTGTTGGTGTGATCTCGGCTCACTGCAAGCTCCACCTCCCGGGTTCACGCCATTCTCCTGCCTCAGCCTCCCGAGTAGCTGGGACTACAGGCGCCCGCCACCATGCCTGGCTAATTTTTGTATTTTTAGTAGAGACGGGGTTTCACCATGTTAGCCAGGATGGTCTCGATCTCCTGACCTTGTGATCCGCCCACCTCGGCCTCCCAAAGTGCTGGGATTACAGGCGTGAGCCACCACACCCGGCCAAATGTCTCCTATTATTTCAGGATCCAGCACCAAGTTTTGCTCCCAGCAGGCGCTCAGCCTGTGGGTGAACGATGGTGCCAAGGCCCTGACATCTTTCCCTCCAGCTTCTCCAACCCTCACACACCTGGATTCCTCCTTCTGCCTTCTCTGAGCCCCTTCCACCTGGCACCAGGTGTCCTGAACAGGCCACTGCATTGACCTCTGTGCAGCTCTTCTGTCACTGCTCTGCTACCCCCGAGCCTGCAGGGGCTCCCTGTGACTGTCACACCCATCCCTTCATCCATCTGTGCCACAAGTGCAGTCACGTGGGTACAGGGGTGCCTAGTGCCCAGCCTCGGGGTGCTCTAGTCTAGTATTTCTTCCTAGGCCCAGCTTTTTGCAAGGTGTTAAGAGTGTCATTGAAGTGCTAAGGCCAAATGCTTCACTCCACGACTGTGCAGGATGGGTCTCTGGTGCAGGTGGGCCTTGGACCCACCCAGTTCTCTCTCATTTCTCACTTGTAGTTCTGAAGATTACACAGTTAAAGAATGTGGTGGGGGCCGGGCACGGTGGCTCATGCCTGTAATCCCAGCACTTTGGGAAGCTGAGGCGGGTGGATCATTTGAGGTCAGGAGTTCAAGACCAGCCTGGCCAACATGGCGAAACTCTGTCTCTATTAAAAATACAAAAATTAGCCACACGTGGTGGTATATGCCTGTAATCTCAGCTACTTGGGAGGCTGAGGCGGGAGAATTGCTTGAACCCGGGAGGTGGAGGTTGCAGTGAGCTGAGATCACACCACTACAGCACTCCAGCCTGGGCGACAGAGAGAGACTCCATCTCAAAAAAAAAAAAAAAGAATGTGGTGGGAATGCAATATCCTAAGATAGGGAGGGACTGGCTGGAACACCCCAGGATCTGTTCCACTCCCCTGAGCCCCAGAAATAGGATGGCCTTCAAGGCTTTAGCCCAGCAAATCATGTCACCTTGATGTATAAAACCCAGGGTGTGCTGCTTTCTGCGGTCCCTCAGCAAGTGCGGCACACGCAGACAGGACTCCCTCTGTCCCAGACAGCTTTCCTGAGCCTTGGGGCCCAGGCTCACAGTGGATCCTAGGCTTCTATTGTCCTTTGTTGCCCATCTTTAGTAATAAACTCACTTTTATAACATGTATGCATGGGTATTCTGCCTCACTGGACTCAAGACAAGTTGGTAACCAGTACACGGTGAGCCTGCCTCACATCCTGGAGGCTTCATATCACAGCCAGTCTAGCTTTTCAGCCGCTCTGTCCATTGTATCCAATATGCTTGTCCCACGAGGCCCAGATGATGGCCCTCTCCATCGTCACTTTTCATTCACCTTCCTTCCCATCTCTGTAACTTTCCTTGTGATGGGTCTGCTGCCTGGCTGCCCTTTCTTTTCTTTGCCTTTTTTCTTTTGAGACGGAGTTTCACTCACTGCCTAGGCTAGAGTGCAATGGCAAGATCTTGGCTCACTGCAGCCTCTGCCTCCTGGGTTCAAATGATTCTCCTGCCTCAGCCTCCCAAGTAGCCGGGACTACAGGTGCCTGCCACCATGCCCAGCTAATTTTTTTGTGGGCTTTTTTTTTTTTTTTTTGAGACAAAGTCTCGCTCTTGTTCCCCAGGCTGGAGTGCGATGGCACGATCTTGGCTCACTGCAACCTCTGCCTCCCAGGTTCAAGCGATTCTCTCTTGAATAGCTGGGATTACAGGCACCTGCCACCACGCCTGGCTAATTTTTTTGTATTTTTAGTAGAGACGGGGTTTTTTTTCCCCATGTTGGCCAAGCTGGTCTCGAACTCCTGACCTCAGGTGATCCGCCCACCTCGGCCTCCCAAAGTGCTGGGATTACAGGCATGAGTCACCGTGCCCGGCCATTTTTTGTGTTTTTAATAGAGATGGGGTTTCACCATGTTGACCTGGTTGGTCTTGAACTACTGACCTCAGGTGATCCGCCCACCTCAGCCTCCTAAAGTGTTGGGATTACAGGCGTGAGCCACTCACTGCACCTGGCCCTGGGCGCCCTTTCTACTCCCTGGCTCTGTCTGTATTCCATTCCCTCTGTATGGCCTAATATCAGTCCTCCCTCTCCAGAAAGCTACCTGCTGGCCCCAGGGCTCCTCTGAGTGCCTGCAGGACTTCCTGTCCAGGACCTCTCATCTCTTGTGGTGCCACCAGCTCAGCTGCATCCTCCAGAGCAGGGAGCAGGGGCCCTCCCCGGCTTTCCTTGTCCTTTCTCTCCAAGCACTGGGCCTGGTATGCCACAGACACTCAGTATGTACTTGCAGAGCTAAATTGTGCCCTCTCCTCTTCTCCCCCACAGTATCCAGCCCACGCTTTGCATGGGGTAGGGATGGGGTAAAAGGCAGAAACACACAGGCAAGGAATAGTTCTTATTTCTCTCTCTCTTTTTTTTATTTTTATTTTTTTTGAGATGGAGTCTCGCTCTGTCGCCCAGGCCGGAGTGCAGTGGCGTGATCTCGGCTCACTGGAAGCTCTGCCTCCTGGGTTCATGCCATTCTCCTGCCTCAGCCTCCCAAGTAGCTGGGACTACAGGTGCCCGCCACCATGCCCAGCTAATTTTTTTGTATTTTTAGTAGAGAAGCGGTTTCACCTTGTTAGCCAGGATGGTCTCGATCTCCTGACCTCATGATCCTCCCGCCTCAGCCTCCCAAAGTGCTGGGATTACAAGCATGAGCCACCATACCCTCTCTTTTTTTTTTTTCCAAGACAGAGGCTTGCTCTGTTTCTCAGGCTGAAGTGCAGTGCCGCTATCTTGGCTCACTGCATCCTCTGCCTCACGGGTTCAAGTGACTCTCCTGCCTCAGCCTCCAAAGTAGCTGGGACAACAGGTGCACGCCACCATGCCCCACTAATTTTTGTATTTTGGCCAGGCTGGTCTTGAACCCCTGACCTCAGGTGATCCACTTGCCTCGGCCTCCCAAAGTGCTTGGATTACAGGGATAAGCCACTGCATCCGGCCTAGTTCTTATTTCTCATCTGACTTCTCACTAGTCTGGAGAGGTACCTCATCTTATTCCCATCCATTCATTTATTCAACACATTCCTGTTGAGTACCTACCACGTGCTGGGCATTGTTTGAGGCACAAAGCATAGAGGAGTAAGTCAACTAGCAAGGCTGCCCTCAGGGAGCTTGCGTTCTAGATAATGAATAGGTTGACAACTTAAAGATAATGTCGGAGGGAGAAAGTACTACAAAGACAATAAAACAGGACAATGTGATAGGCTGAGTGTGGCTGACAGGCTCCTTGAGATGGCTGGCCAGGGAAGGCCTTGTGGAAAAACTGATGTCGAAATTGAAAGTGAATGACTCAAGAGAGCCGTAAGACTGTCTATGAAGAGGAGTTCAGGCACAGGAACATTCAAAGGCCCTGGGGTGAGACTAGGCTTAGCATATCCAAGGGCTGGAGGTTAGACCAGAGTGGCTAGACATAGGGCTTTATGGCTCTTGGTGAAGATTTTGGATCTTATTCTAAGAAGATGAGGCTTGGACTAGGGTAATGAAAGAGGGAGTGGAAGGAAGGGACGGATTCAGGATTTATTTTGTAGGTAGCACTAAACAGGGCTTGTTGACACGTGAAAGGATTATAGAGGGAAAAGGAGGAATCAGAGGTGATTTTGAGCTGGGTTGCATGAGCCCCTTGGGTGAGAAAGGCAGTGTCATTTGCTGGGCTGAAGAAGACTGCTGTGGTCATGTTTGAGAAGTGAATTAGCCAGCCAGAGGGAATTCAAGTAGGCCATTGGATATATGAACATGGAATTTAAAGGCAAGGTCTATGGCTGGGCATGGTGGCTCACGCCTGTGATCCCAGCAGTTTGGGAGGCTGAGGCGGGCGGATCACCGGAGGTAAGGAGTTCGAGAGCAGCCTGACCAATATGGTGAAACCCCATCTTTACTAAAAATACAAAAATTAACCGGGTGAGGTGGTGCTTGCCTGTAATCCCACCTACTCGGGAGGCTGAGGCAAGAGAATTGCTTGAACCTCAGAGACAGAGGTTGCAGTGAGCTGAGATTGCGCCACTGCACTTCAGCCTGGGCAACAGAGACTCTGTCAATTCAAAAAAAGAAAAAGGCAAAGTCTCGCCTGAAGATATGGATTTGGGAATCATCAGAGGGACTGAATGAGATCATCCAGGGAGAGAATGGAGATGGGAGACCAGAGGGTGGAGCCCCGAGGGTGGAGAAGATGAGGAGGAACTAGGGAGGGAGACTGGGAAGGAGTTGCTAGTGACATGGGAGGAGAACCAAGGTAGGGCTGTCATGGAGCCTGGAGAAGGCAGCATTGAGGAGAGAGGGAGCCACTGTGTCTTCTGCTGTTGCGAGGTGGGCTCTGTAAGGACAGAGCTCTTCCATTTGATAAGCCAGATGGAGATTATGGAGACCCCGATAAAAGCTCTCATATGGGGATGTGTTGAGAAAAGACAAGCGGAGGAGGTGAGGGGGACAATTATTGAGGGATGGGGCTGCAAAGGGGAGCAAGGAAAGACGGCTTTTGACGCCAGGTATGTTTGTACACGCCTGTAGTCCCAGCTACTCAGGAGGCTGAGACTAGCTTGAACCCGGGAGGTGGAGGTTGCAGTGAGCCGTGATCACACCACTGCACTCCAGCCTGGGCAACAGAGACTCTGTCTCAAAAAAAAGGAAAGAAAGAAAGAAAGGCAGCTTTTGATATTGTGGAGGCTGAGCCATGTTTGTATGCTGATGGAATCGTCCTGTAGTAACGCAGAGAGGGATCATGTGGTGGGGGGAGGGGACGAGAGCTAATGAATAAATGGGGAGACAGCCATGGGAGCAGGGGCCCATCTTCACAGCTCCCATTGCAGCCAAATCAAGGCAGGGAGGGTGGTGGGTTTGGGGATGCTTCTTCTCATCTGATGCTTCTGTTTGTCAGTGACACATGAGTGAGATGAGGGGCGTGGGGGATGCTGTTGTGAAATGATGACCTGGAGCGGAGGGAGGGCGGTGTGGCCAAGGAAAAGTGAGACTTGCAGGCAGCATCTGACATGAGTGGTTAATGCTTGAAAGTGAAACCCATCAATAAGACAGGATGTTCTCCAACCGCATTAAGCTGCTCAACATGGGTACAAGGCTGAGTGAGTTTAGCCAGGGTGGGGTTTTGCCAATGAACAGAACAGGATGAGACAGGGCAGATGCTGGCAGGGCATGCATGCTAGTGACTGTGTATTTGCAGGTTGCCTGGTCAGGTCAAAGAACTAGGAAGTGGCAGAGCTTGGGGAGGGAAGGATGGCTGGGAGGGGTCGGGGAAGCCTCCCAGGTGTTCAGGGATGCTTTGGATTGTGTGGCTGTGGCCGAGGGCAAATGGGTGGAAGAAATCCATGCTGATGTGGAACAAGCCACCACCTGGGATGAACCCAAGGGCTCCAGAGTGTAAGAGCATTCTTGATGCCCACCCAGAATACACACACATGCATACACACAGGCACAGGCACACACACACACGTGTGCACATCCATGTGCACTTTAACACACAGCCACACACACCTTCCTTGGTTTGACTCCAAATAGGGGTTTGACGTGCCACATCCGCTTCTGCCCTCTTCCTCCTCCTGATCCCCCCTGCCTTTCTCCTACACAGCTCGTCCCCGTTCCCCCTATGGCCCTACTTACTGGTGGAGGAAGAGGCCCCGGTGCTGGGTGGGTCTCCACAGCCTCACCCCTGAATAGAAGAGAAACCCCCAGGTGGGGGAAGCGCTCAGCTGAAGGTTTGCCCCCCTGCCCTCCCCTCTCAGCCCCCAGGACACTCAGTTCCACCCCAGCCTCATCCCCTTGGCCTTCTCATCTCAGGGGGCTCCTTATGTCCCCACATCCTCATATATACAGGCTCACGGAACCAAGAATTCTGGTATTCCAGCCATTACACAGATGGGGAAATTGAGACCCAGCGGAGCATGACTTGCCCAAGGTCCTCTACCAGGTCAGGAGCAGTCTGGACTAGAATTCACCCCACCTGAAACTCAGCAGAAGAGCATCCTTGTTGGGGGCAGGGGATGGCACTGGATGATGACTTACCCTCCTTTTGCTTTTTTAGGTCCAGGCGTGGATGGCAGGAAGGGGTTGACTGTCTTTTCCTCTGGAGCCACGACGGACATTGGGGGCATTGCTTCCTGAGAGCTGTCCCCATGTCCCCCTGGGCTGGGCTCTGGCGGAGCCTCCTGTGGCCTGATGTGTGGGACACCTGCCTCCTTGGGGTGCTTGCCTCCCAGTGGCTGGCCATGGCTGGCCAAGCGGCAGCAAGGCTCTGCTGGCTGCACCATGTCTGCCTGGTGACTGGGGGTGGATTGATATCCGGAGCCCTGTCAAGGACAAGGACACCACGGCTGGGGAGCTCCATCCTCGTTCCCAGGTGAACCTCAATGCTCCAGGCGAACTGGAGACCAGTTATTACACACTTACTAGGGTCCCAGCACTTCAGGCATCATCTTACTTAATTCTCCTAGTGCCCCTAGAAGGTAGCACAGGTACTCCCACATTTTGAAGGGTGAGGAAATTGAAGCCCAGAGAAGGCGTGGCCTACCCAAAGAACCACACTTCCCTATGGGAGTGGAATGAGAGCCTGGAAAATTGAGAAGATCCCCTTTAAATAGGGTTTTCCTTTGTGTGTGTGTGTATTTTTTTTTTTTTTTGAGACAAGTCTCACTCTGTCACCCAGGCTGGAGTGCAGTGGCAAGAACACAGCTCATTGTAGCCTTGACCTCCTGAGCTCAAGGGATCCCCCTGCTTCAGCCTCCCAAGTAGCTGGGACTACAAATACCTGTCACCACGCCTGGCTGATATTTTTTAATTTTTGGTAGAGATGAGGTCTCACTATGTTGCTCAGGCTGGTCTTGAACTCCTGGGCTCAAGCATTCCTCCTGCCTCAGCCTCCCAAAGTGCTGGGATTACAGGCATCAGTCACCATGCTCAGCCTTAATGGGATTTTCCAAGGGATACTTCAAAGAACAAGAATCCTTCATGAGCCTCCTTAAAAAGAGGAGGTTTTGGCCAGGTGTGGTGGTTCACACCTGCAATCCCAGAATTTTGGGAGGCTGAGGGGCAGGTGGATCACTTGAAGTCAGGAATTCATGACCAGCCTGGCCAACATGGAGAAATTCTGTCTCTACACAAAATTAGCTACGCATGGTGGCTCATGTCTGTAATCCCAGCTATTTGGGAGGTTGAGGGACGAGAATCACTTGAACCCAGGAGGTGGAGGTTGCAGTAAGCCATGATCACACCACTGCACTCCAGCCTGGGCGACAGAGTGAGACTCTGTCTCTTGAAAAAAAATAATAAAGGCCTAAGTGGGTGGATCACACGAGATTAGGAGTTCAGGACCAGCCTGGCCAACATGGTGAAACCCTGTCTCTACTAAAAACACAAAAATTAGCTGGGCGTGGTGGTACGTGCCTGTAATCCCAGCCACTCAGGAGGCTGAGGTGGGAGGATCACTTGAACCCAGGAGGTGGAGGTTGCAGTGACCCAAGATCACACCCCTGCACTCCAGCCTGGGCAACAGGGTGAGACTCCATGTCAAAAAAAAAAAAAAAAAAAAAGTGGTATATTATGGTATATCCATAGAATGGAAATATTACTGAGCAACCAAAAGAACAACATGTTGATACACACAATACATGAATTTCTTTCTCTTTCTCTCTCTCCTTTTTTTTTTTTTTTTTTTTTGGAGACAGAGTCTCACTCTGTTCTCCAGGCTGGAGTGCACTGGCATGATCTCAGCTCACTGCAACCTCCGCCTCCCAGGTTCAAGTGATTCTCCTGCCTCAGCCTCCCGAGTAGCTGGGACTACAGGCACCTGCCACCATGCCCAGCTAATGTTTATATTTTTAGTAGAGACGGGGTTTCACCAGGTTGGCCAAGCTGGTCTTGAACTCCTGACCTCAGGTGATTCACCCGCCTCAGCCTCCCAGAGTGCTGGGATTACAGGCTGAGCCACCGCACCCGACCTAGATGAATCTCAAATAGTCATGTGGAGTGAACGAAGCCAGACAGAAAGAATGTACACTGTACAATTTCATTTGTGTAAAATTCCACGAAATACAAACAAATCTATAGTGATAGTTGGTAGTCGCCTGGGGATAGACTAGTGGGAGGGGGGATGAGAAAGGGCATGAGGAAATGGTTGGGGTGATGGCTATGTTTGCTTTCTTGATTGTGGGGATGGTTTTGTGGGTGTGTACATATGTCAAAATATTAAATTGTACACTTAAAGTATGTGCAAGTGAATGCCAATTATACCTTACTGAAGCTGTTAAAAATAAATCTTACCAGGCTGGGTGCGGTGGCTCACACCTGTAATCCCAGCACTTTGGGAGGCTGAGGCAGGAGAATGGCATGAACCTGGGAGGCAGAGCTTGCAGTGAGCCGAGATTGCGCCACTGCACTCCAGCCTGGGCGACAGAGCAAGACTGTCTCAAAAAAAAAAAAAATCTTACAGATAAATAAAAAAAGATCTTGTGGTCAAATAAGTTTGGGAAAGGCAATATACTCTAACCATATCTTTTTAAAATTTTTTATTTATTTTTTTATTTTTATTTTTTTTGAGACAGGGTTTCACTCTGTCACCCAGGCTGGAGCACAGTGGTGTGATCTTGGCTCACTGCAGCCTGGACCCCAGGCTCAGGGGATCCTCCCATCTCAGTATCTGGAGTAGCTGGGGCCACAGACATGTGCCACCACATCCAGCTAACTTTGGTATTTTTTGTAGGAACGGGGTTTCACCATGTTGCCCTGATCTCAAACTCCTGGGCTCAAGCAATCCTCCCACCTCAGCCTCCCAAAGTGCTGGGATTACAAGCACGAGCCACGGCGCCTGGCCTCTAATCATATCTTGCAAAATCTTACAAAGGCTCAGCAGCTAGTAAACTGCTTCCAGGATATCCTAGCATACAGAAACCTGTTTCAGCTTTGTTAAACTCAGCATGTCCCAATATTATCTGTATACAGAACCTGGCACCTCCTCCCTCCCCCCTGCACCCATTGACATACCGTGGGGCCACTCTGGAAACAAGACTTATTTTTATTTTATTTTTATTTTTTTGAGACGGAGTTTTGCTCTCATTGCCCTGGTTGGAGTGCAATGGCGCGATCTCAGCTCACTGCAACCTCCACCTCCCGTGTTCAAGCAATTCTCCTGCCTCGGCCTCTTGAGTAGCTGGGATTACAGGCATGTGCCACCACACCCGGCTAATTTTATATTTTTTAGTAGAGACAGGGTTTTACCATGTTGGCCAGGCTGGTCTTGACCTCAGGTGATCTGCCTCCTTCGGCCTCCAGAAGTGCTGGGATTAACAGGCGTGAGCCACCATGCCCGGCCTGGAAACAAGACTTAAATGCTTGTGATGTAGGCTGGGGGAATAGCCCAGTGACCCACAGACTGAGTGCTTGACATCTTCAGGGCACAGAGGTGAGCAAACATTCTGTCACCCAGGCTGGAGTGCAGTGGCCTGAACATAGCTCATTGTAGCCTTGACCTCCTGGGCTCAAGGGATCACCCCTGCCTCAGCCTCCCAAGTAGCTGGGACTACAGATACATGCACCAGAATGGGGGGCATGATAGGAGGGGGGCTCTTTCACCTCCTCTGTGGTAGGTCATTCCATACCCTTCTCCCCAGATCTCCTAGGTTACCTGGCAGCTCTCAGGAGGCTGATCCTCCCCGATTCCCCGGTTCCGTTGCCTCCCCTGCTGGCCCTTGATCTCCTTTCCGGAGCCCAGCTGCTGCAGCCCTTCAGGTACTTCAGGAACCCAGGAAGGCAGCAACCCCAGCTCACTCTGATCCTGGCCTGCTTGCAGCTCCTGGGACCCTTCCTGGGGGACCCAAGAGGGCTGTTTCTTCCTGGGGAAAATAGACAAAGTGACACTTTAGCTCCCAGACTGGGGCACTGTTTTATATATTTTTACAGGGCTAGGCATACCATAGGTGCATAGCTAACGCCTGGAAGGACCAATGAAGGACTCACAGGAATTCCCCAAATCATAGACACTTTGATGTCAATGTTTGGGGGAGTTAAAATTTAAACTTTCACAATTATTTGTAGAGACAAGGTCTCTCTGTGTTGCCCAGGCTGGTCTTGAACTCCTGGGCTCAAGCAATCTTCGACCTCGGCCTCCCAAAGTGCTGGGATTAGAGGTACGTGCCATTGCATCCAGCCTAGAATTTAAGTTTTATAGTATTTTTAAACTGTTTTTCAGAAAAAAATGAAACAAAAATCAGAACTGGGATGCAGAGAGGACAAGAGATTTGAGCCTAAGGTCATAAAGCTAAAGATAACTGTTCAAAATTTGAAGCTGTGTCTATCCGATCTCACTTTAGTATTCTGGAGTATTTCCTCCAAGCTTCTTCCTATGCGTATGCATACTTATTTATTTATTTATTTATTTGAGACAGAGTCTTGCTCTGTCACCCAGGTTCGAGTGTAGTGGCATGATCTCAGCTCACTGCAACCTCCACTTCCTGGGCTCAAGCAATCCTCCCGCCTTAGCCTCCCAAGTAGCTGGGACTACAGGCATATGCCACCATGCCTGGCCAATCTTCATATTTTTTGTAGAGATGGGGTTTCACCATGTTGTCCAGGTTGGTCTTGAACTCCTGGGCTTAAGTGATCCGCCAACCTCAACTTCCCAAAGTGTTGAGATTACAGGCGTGAACCATGGTGCCCGGCTATATATATATATATATATATATTTTTTTTTTTTTTTTTTGAGACAGAATTTTGCTCTTGTTGCCCAGGCTGGAGTGCAGTGGAGTGATCTTGGCTCACTGCAACCTCTGCCTCCTGGGTTCAAGTGATTCTCCTGCCTCAGCCTCCCAAGTAGCTGGGATTACAGGCATGTGCCACCATGCCCAGCTAGTTTTATATTTTTAGTAGAGATGGGGTTTTGCCATGTTGGCCAGACTGGTTTTAAACCCCTGACCTCAGGTAATCCACCTGCCTTGGCCTCCCAAAGTGCTGGGATTACAGGTGTGAGCCACTGTGCCCGGCCTAATGTACTTTTTTCAATTAACATCATAGCCTGTGTTTTTCGCATGCTAAAAATCCTTCAGAAACATGCTTTATATGTTTTCTTATGTTCATTAAATGTATAAAATTCCATATTTTAAAGATAACCATCATTAACCATTTCCCTATTGTGTGGGCGCTTAAGGGGTTTCTAATTTTTTAGTATTTAAGATAATGTGACAGTGAAAGTCTTTGTGCATAAAACTGCTTGAATCACCAATTATTTCCTCATGGCCTATTTCCAGAAATGGGTGAGGATAAAGGGAGTTTCAAGGCAGTTTAAACAAATTGCCACGTTGATGAAACAGGTATGCTTAAATGGTTTCTATTTCCACCGGCATGGTATGCAGTAGTTGTCTCAGTGGGCCTCGGACCTGGCTTGAGTTGTCTCTCCTAACTTTTCTTGTAGAGGAGGCTATTTAGGAGCTTCTGGTTATAGTCAAATCCAACTAAGCCAGCTAGTCTTTACTATTTCTATTATCCCAGCCTTTCACTTTGCCTCTATCTGGCTCGCTCTTGATTTTCTCTTTTTGAATACATTCTTGCTGTAGAAAAGTTTTAAAAAAACACAAAATTTAGAAAACAATTACGTGTACATCTTTACATGTTCCTGTGTCTCCTAACCTTTTTTTGTTCATTATTCTATTAATTCAGTGAATCAATATTTATCGAACATTTACTATGTGTCAGGCATAGTACTAGGCATGAGGGCTTTGAGGTTGAACCAGGTATATGATGCTCCTCAAACAAGACACATAAAAGATGTTTGTGGTCTCGTTGGGGGAGTTCAGACAAAAGGTTAACATGAACTCTTTAGTGCAACTGGTGCAATGAAAGAGAAGGACAAGGTGCTGTCGTGGGTGGAGCTGCCTTGGCCTGGGAGTTCTCCATTCTCTCTCTCTCCCCCGCGGGTGGGCTACAGGGGGTTCTCTCTTGGACCTGTTCTCTCGAGAGCCCCTCAGCTCACCCTGGTCTTGCTGGAGGCCCCTGCTCCTGGATTCTGAGCTCTGAAGGCCCCTTCTCAAATGCATCTCTGAGTCTGGGCCCCTTCTCTGGCCCTCGTGAAGCTGATGAGAGGTGCTTCTTGCTGCCCACTTCCGAAGCATCCGGAAACATGACCTGGACAGAGATATCCATGGCAGTGGCTTGAGGGCTGGCATTGAGTACCCGTTCTGGAGTGATCCCTCCCACTCCTCCCTGGGTACTCTTCTGGCCTCAAGGACAGGGAGATCCTGTGCCTGATTGGGGAAGCTGTTGGAGAGGGGTGAGCAGGAGCTGAGAGGCAGGGATGCAGGGCCCGGCCCTGCTGTTGCTGTTGCTTAGCACGTAAGGCTCTGGTATGAACTGGAGTCCAGATTAGTACCCGAGACAAGGGGATTGCCTTAAGGACAGCTTGAAAGAGCACCCTGGGGGACCCCAAGACTCTCACAAGGTCCAAGAGACGCCTTCAACAATTCCCATGCCTTCAAAACGCAGGCTCTAGTTTGAACTGAGTTTTTATTTCATTTTTTGAGAGAGAGTTTCCCTCCTTTGCCCAGGCTGGAGTGCAGTGGCACAGTCTCGGCTCACTGCAACTTCCACCTGCTGGGTTCAAGCGATTCTTGTGCCTCAGCTTCCCGAGTAGGTGGGATTACAGGTGTGCGCCACCATGCCCAACTAATTTTTTTTTTTTATTTTTTTTGTAGGCCAGGCTGGTCTCGAACTTCTGACCTCAAGTGATCCGTCTGCCTCAGCCTCCCAAAGTGCTGGGATTACAGGCATGAGGCACCGCACCTGGCCTGAACTGGGTTTTGATCACTATCATGGTCTGTCACTCTCCAACTGGGTGACCTGGAGCCAGTGACTGAGACCCCGCTCCAAGCATCACCGGAGTCAGCAAACTCCAAACAAATGGACTTAATTAACTCATTGACATTGATATAATACAAGATTCTGATGTGAGCTAATACTAACAGGCACCTACTATGAGACAGGGCCTGTGCTAGGTGCCTTAGTCAACACCGTAAAACAAATGAGGCTGCAAGGGGTGCAGTGACAGGCCCAACATCACACAGCTGGGTAAGTGGTGGGACTGGGACCCCATGACGGTGCTTGTTGAAAAAATAAATGGGTGGATGAAGGAAGCCCTGAATGTTCACCTCTAGCCTCTCTCCTAGCCTCCTCCCCTCCAGGCCCTCTCCCTGCCCCAGGGGAAGTGAGGATTTATAACAGAGGCTACAGGGAACATACCCAAGGGCATGTTGACTTTTTATTTTTTTTTTTGGCTTTTTTTTTCTTTTCCTTTTTGTGGAGAACGGGGTCTCGCTATATTGCCCAGGCAGGCCTCGAACTCCTGGACTCAAGCTCTCCTCCCGCCTCTGCCTCCCTAAGAGCTGGGATCACAGGCGTGAGCCACCGCGCCTGGCTTTGTTTTTTTTTTGAGACGGGGTCTCACGATGTTGCCCAGGCTGGTCTTTAACTCCTGGGATCAAGCAATCCACCTATCTCTGCCTCCCAAAGTATTGGGAGCAGGCGTGAGCCATGGCACCTGGCTGACTTTTTATTTTATTGTATTGTATTTTATTTATTTGTTTGTTTGTTTGTTTATTTATTTTTGAGATGGAGTTTCACTCTTGTTGCCCAGGCTGGAGTGCAATGGTGCAATCTCCGCTCACCGCAACCTCCACCTCCCAGGTTCAAGCGATTCTCCTGCCTCAGCCTCCCAAGTTGCTGGGATTACAGGCATGCACCACCATGCCAGGCTAATTTTGTATTTTTAGTAGAGACTGGGTTTCTCCATGTTGGTCAGGCTGGTCTTGAACTCCCGACCTCAGGTGATCCACCCGCCTCGGCCTCCCAAAGTGCTGGGATTACAGGCGTGAGCCACCGCGCCCGGCTGGCTGACTTTTTAAATGGTGATATCTTTGGCCCTGAGGAAACTGGATGGTGAGGAGGGTCTTCTTTATGCTCTTCAGTTCATGCTACTTGGCACATTCAAAAAGAGGCCAGTGGGGCGCAGTGGCTCACGCCTGTAATCCTAACATTTTGGGAGGCCGAGGTGGGCGGATCACTTGGGGTCAGGAGTTCAAGACCAGCCTGTCCAACATGGTGAAATCCCATCTCTTCTAAAAATACAAAAAAAATTAGACGGAAATCATTTGAACCCAGGAGGCAGAGGTTGCAGTGAGCCATGATCACACCATTGCACTCCAGCCTGGGTGACAGCAAGACTCTATCTCAAAAAAAAAAAAAAAAAAAAAAAAAAGAAGATGCCGGACACGGAGGCTTATGCCTGTAATCCCAACACTTTGGGAGGCTGAGGCAGACAGATCACTTGAGCCCATGAGTTCAAGACCAGCCTGGGCAACATGATAAAGCCTTGTCTCTACAAAAAATTAAAAAAATAGTTGGGTATGGTGGCACAAGCCACGCCTATAGTTCCAGCTACTCAGGAGGCTGAGGCAGGAGGATCGCTTAAGCCTGGGAGTTCGAGGCTGCAGTGAGTCGTGATCGCACCACTGCACTCCAGTCTGGGTGAGAGAGTGAGAGCCTGTCTCAAAAATAAACAAACAAACAAACTAATAAACATATTTGATGGAAAGAGGCTGAGAGGTGTGATGGAAGCTTAGGATGCAGGCTGGGCTCTGGGGAGGGGCATGGAGGGAAGCCCTGAGTAGCTCTCAGGAGAATAAAGCTGGGCTGGAGGCTGTGAGGGGAGTTTGGAGGCCATGCAAGGCACCTAGAAGAGCGAGTAGGCAATTCTGGGTTTGCTCACCCTGCAGCTCTTTCCGTTACAGAAGCCAGCATTGTTTTTGGGAAGCTTCTCTTCTCCATTCAGCCCATGGGGCTCAGTGGAGCCACCTATCACCTCTGTCTCCATTGTATCAAGAGATCCAGACCACTCCCCACTGCCATGGTGATTGGTTCAAGGATGAGCATCTGACCACAATCTGGGCCAATGACAGTGATGCTAGAGACTTGTTTCAACTATTGCAAAGAGGCTCACTTCCTGTTGGAATGCTAAACCAGAGGGTGTAAGATGGGAAGATGTAATCCTGGAGTGGCCAGGGCAATCCCTGCCATCTTGCAGGGAGAGCTTGCCTGAGAATGAATCCAACACGGAGGAACATAGAGCCAAGAGATACTCATTTAGCACATTGATCTAGCCATACCTGAAGTCTATGAAGGCATGTGTCAGTTACCCAAACTGATATATTCTCTTTTCTGCTTAATCCAGTTTGAATTGGGTTTTGTGTCCATTTTTAACAGAGTCTTAATTAAAGCAGCTGGGGAGGAAGCCTGGGCAGGGGAAGGGAAAGGTGCCAGCTAGGAGTGAATGGATCAGAACATGGGGTGCAGGTCCCTACCTTGCTGACTCCTGGTATGATGGGCTCAACACCAGCCCTCTTTATGGTGATCCTCAGGCCAGGACTTGGCTGCGTCCCTGGAGCCTTGGTTCTACCCTCCGTGTACATCTGGGTGTTTCTATTGTCCATGATGCCAGCGCCAACACGGGTGCCAAGTGAGGGGCATCACCTAGTGTGCTCCTACAGGAGAAATCCAATCAAGCGTCCCACCAAGCCCATCACCTAACTGCTGCTTCAGGAGCCCACTTGGAGCCTATAATGTAGACAGCCTGGCTCGAGGGAAGAGGCGGGGCCAGGCCTTGCAAGGAGAGGCACGCAGCAAAACCAGAGAGCTAGCCACATGCCATTTACCCATACGCTTTTCCTAGTTCTCACTATGACCCTGAGGAAAAGGGGCTCTGGAAGGCACAAGACTTGCCCAAGATCTAACACCTGCTAGGTCGCAGACGAGGATTTGAACCATGGCCTGTTGAATCCCAAAACCCAGGCGCTTTCCCCGACGGCGACATTTCCTACAGGGTATTCTTTGGCATACTGGTCCCTTCAGATGCTCCAAGGGGTTCCAAGGCTAAATGCCTTTGGAAAGTGCTGTGATGAGCGAAATGATACAGGCTCTTTCCTGTACAACTTCTCAGAGCCTTTAAAATACTAATGTGCCTTTTAAAGAGAGTCCAAGAATGTCACAGCTGCTCCTGCTATAGATGAAAACTCCATGTTCTTAGATGGGGCTAAGGAACAAGAACTAGGGACATCTGTCCATCTGTCTCAGGGCCCCAAAGTCTCCAGCGGCAATCTGCAGTTCACCAAAGCACCCACACCCTGCCCTGGACACATCCTTTCTTTTTCTTTTTCTTTTCTTCTTCTTCTTCTTCTTTTTTTTTTTTTTTTGTTTGTTTTGAGACAGAGTCTCGCTCTGTTGCCCAGGCTGGAGTGCAGTGCTGCAATCTTGGCTCACTGCAACCTCTGCCTCCTGGGCTCAAGCAATTCTCCTGCCTCAGCCTCCCTACTAGCTGGGATTTTAGGCGGCCGCCACCATGCCCGGCTAATTTTTGTATTTTTAGTAGAGATGGGGTTTCACCAGGTTGGCCACGCTGGTCTTGAACTCCTGACCTCAAGTGATCCGCCCGCCTCGGCCTCCCAAAGTGTTGGGATTACAGGTGTGAGCCACTGCACCTGGCCATTTCTGAAGCCTTTCATCTCTCCTCCACCTCTTTCATCCAACCTCATGTTCAGCTGTGCCACCACCCCCTACACAAACTTTCTGTTTTAATCCAGGCAGGCTCCTGCAATCCTAGTCCCACAGACCCCAGCCTCTGTGCCCACCTCCCATTTTTTCTATCTTTCCGATAGCCCCCAACCCATCCTTCAAGCTCCTCCCTCTTCTCCAAGTTTCCAACCATCTCAGCTCTCTCTCCAGCCACTGAATTCCTTTGAGGCAACATCAGCACCATTTCTATGGGTACATGGACCCCCTTTCACTGTTAACTAGTTTCCAGGAGTAAATCCTAACCCCCATGCCCCTTCCTCCTGTAGTGAGACCATATGACCTTGAAGATCTTGATGGTGCTTCTTCCACTTTAAATCATGGCAGGCCCGCCAGCATCCACGGAGGAACCTTCCATGTGCTGGAAACCTTTGTAAACAGTATTCTCCTAACAGCCCTGTGAAGTCTGGGTTCAGCCCTGTTTTAAAGATAGGGAAATTAAGGCTCTGAGCAATGTTTTGTCCGATACCACATGGCCAGTCTGCAGAGGAACTGGATTCAAACCCAGGCCTGTCTGACTCCCATGGCCACTCATCTCATCATATCATTTTGCCTACAAAGAAGCTTAAGTCATTCATTCATTTCCTTGTGCAATCGATAACTGTTTAATGACACGTGCCCGTGCTAGGGACAACGTCAGGCCTTAGGGGATACACTGGGTGTCCTGACGGTTCCCACAGTTTACCAGGGACACAGAGGAGGCGCACTTAATAGCTGCTGACCCAAGTTCGCACTTCCTTTTCCTGCCCTCCAGGCCCTTCCTGCAGTTACAGCTGCACCCCTGCCATGCAAAGCAGACCTCAGCTGGTTTGGTGGGGTGACCTCCCACCCCTGGTGCAGCTCTGGCCTCACGAAGGACCAGGCTGTCACCTGGAGCGGAAAAGTCAGGGCTGTGGCCAAGTCCTTCTCTCTTGCCTTGGAGTTCCTTGCCCCTCCCCAGCCTCTTTCTCATTAGGGTTCCCCTAGCCATTCCCGCTTCCTCTGAGTCTTCCTGTCTCAGGGGTGGATGAACCACCTAGGGAAAATCTCCCCCTACGCCCCTCAAACACACCCCCTATTGTCCACTGTCTCTGCCTGAGAATGTGCAGGCTCAGCCTTGGAATTGTCAGGCCCCAGTATTCCACAAACTGAAGTTTTACGGAGGCAGAAGCCCCAGAGGGGCTCCAGCCCCTATCTGTCCACATCTGGAGCTTGCTAACTCTGAGAATCTAGACAAGGAGGGGAAGCCCCAGCCCTAGCAGAGGGGCTTGGAATCCAAGGGTAGAACTGGGAGAGAAGTTGACAAATATCGACTATGTCACCCTTTCAGATCACTTGGGACCCTTTTTTGTTTACAGCTTTATTGAAATTTAACTCACATACCATACAGTTCACCCATTTAAAGTGTACAATTCAACGGCTTTTAGGATATTCACAGAGTTGTACCACCCTCGCCCTAATTCTAGAATATTTTTATCACCCCAAAAAGAAACCCCACACCCCTTGGGCATCATCCCCAATCTTCCCACCCCAAACCCAGCCCTAGGTAACCACTAATCTACTTTCTGTCTTAGTGGATTTGTCTATTCCGAACATTCCATATAAATGGAATCATACAATATATGGTCCTTGGTGAGTAGCTTCTTTCACTTAACGTCATGTTTTCAAGGTTCATCCATGTTGTAGCACACATCAGAATTTCATTCCTTTTTATGGCTGAGTAATATTTCACTGTATGGCTAGACCCCATTTTGTTTATCCATTCATCAGTAGATAGAAATTGAGGTTGTTTCTTTTTTCTTTCTTTTTTTTTTTTTTGAGACAGAGTTTTGCTCTGTCACTCAGGCTGGAGTGCAGCAGTGCGATCGTAGCTTACTATAGCCTCAAACTCCTGGGCTCAAGGGATCCTCTCCCCTCAGCCTCTGAGTGGCTGGCTGGGACTACAGACGCATGCCACCATGCCTGGTTCGTCTTAAAAATTTTTTAATTTTAAATAGAGGCGAGGTCTCATTAGGTTGCCCAGGCTGCTCAAAGTCCTGAGCTTAAGTGATCCTCCCACCTTGGCCTCCCAAAGTGCTGAGATTACAGGTGTGAGCCACCATGCCTGGCCCGTTTCCACATTTTACCTATTATGAATAACACTGCTATGAACATTCATGTACAAGTTTTTATATGAACATACATTTGCATTTCTCTTGGTTATGTATATAGGAACGGAATTGCTGAATCACATGTCAACTCTATTTTTAGCTTTTGAGTAATTGCCAGACTTTCTCAAAGTGGCTGTATCATTTTACCTTCTTACCAGCAGCATATGACTGCTCCAATTTTTCTGCATCCTCTCCAACACTTGTTATTATCTGTCTTATTTATTTATTTATTTATTTTTTGAGACAGGGTCTTCCTTTATCACCCAGGATGGAGTGCAGTGGTATGACCATAGCTCACTGCAACCTCCAACTCTGGGGTTCAAGGGATCCTCCCACCTTAGCCTCCTGAGTAGCTGAGACTACAAGTGCACACCACCACACCTGGCTAATTTTCAAATATTTTGTAGATGGGAATCTCACTATGTTGTCCAGGCTGGTCTTGAACTCCTCAGCTCAAGGGATCCTCCCGCCTCAGCCTCCCAGTGTTTTGGGATTACAGGTGTGAGCCACTGTACCGCCTTACTTGTCTTTTTTATCATAGCTATCCTAGTGGATGTGAGTGTAAAGTGTTATCTCATTCTGATTTTGATTTGCATTTCCCCAATGGCCGATAATGTTGGACATCTTCATGTGCTTATTGGCCATTTGTCTATCTTCTTTGGAAAAATGTTTATTCAGAGCCTTCGTCCTTTTTTTTTTGAGATGGAGTCTCGCTCTGTCACCCAGGGTGGAGTGCAGTGGCCTAGTTCCAGCTCACTGCAACCTCCGTCTCCCGTGTCCATGCAATTCTCCTGCTTCAGCCTCCCTAGTAGCTGGGATTACAGGTGTGTGCCACCACACCAGACTAATTTTTGTATTTTTAGTAGAGACGCGGTTTTGCCATCTTGACCAGGCTGGTCTCAAACCCCTGACCTCAGGTGATCTGCCCACCTCAGCCTTCCAAAGTACTGGGATTACAGGTGTGAGCCACCATGCCCGGCCCCCCCCTTTTTTTTTTTTCAGACAGGGTCTTACTCTGTCCACAGGCTGGACTGCAGTGGCATGAACGTGGCTCACTATAGCCTTGACCTCTTGGGCTCAGGTGATCCTCCCATTTCAGCCTCCCAAAATGCTGGGATTACATGCATGAGTCACAGCACCCAGCCTGCCTCTGTCCATTTATACTGGGTTGTCTTTTTATTATTGCACGGTAAATGTTCTTTATAAATTCTAGATACATGTCCTGAATCATATATATGATCTGCAAAAATTTTCTCCCATTATGTGGATTACATTTTCACCTTTTTGTCTTTTGAAGCACAGAAGTTTTAAATTTTTGTAAAAGTCCCATTTATCGGCCTGGTGCGGTGGCTCACACCTGTAATCCCAGCACTCTGGGAGGCTGAGGCGGGCGGATCATGAGGTCAGGAGTTTGAGACCAGCCTGGCCAGCAAGGTGAAACCCCATCTCTACTAAAGATACAAAAAATTAGCTGAGTGTGGTGGTGCGTGCCTGTAATCCCAGCACTTTGGGAGGCCGAGGCGGGCAGATCACCTGAGGTTGGGAGTTTGAGACCAGCCTGACCAACATGGAGAAACCCCGTCTCTACTAAAAGTACAGAATTAGCCGGGCATGGTGGCACATGCCTGTAATCCCAGCTAGTCAGGAGGCTGAGGCAGGAGAATTGCTTGAACCTGGCAGGTGGAGGGTTGCAGTGAGCCGAGATCGCACCATTGCACTCCAGCCTAGATGACAGGGTGAGACTCTGTCTCAAAAAAAAAAAAAAAAAATACAGATAGGGTGCAGTGTATACTGCTCAGGTGATGGGTGGACCAAAATCTTACAAATCACCACTAAAGAACCTACTCATGCAGGGCAAGGTGGCTCACGCCTGTAATCCCAGAACTTTGGGATGCCAAGGGGGGCAGATCACTCGAGGTCAGGAGTTTGAGATCACCCTGGCTAACATGGTGAAATCCTGTTTCTACTAAAAATACAAAAATTAGCTGGGCATGGTGGTGCCTGCCTGTAATCCTAGGTACTTGGGAGGCTGAGGCAGGAGAATCGCTTGAACCTGGGAGATGGAGGTTGCAGTGAGCAGAGACTGCACCACTACACGCCAGCCTGGGCAACAGAGCAAGACTCCGTCTCAAAAAAAATTACTAATGTAAACAAAAAAAAAACACCAAAAAACAAAAACCTTAGTCATGTAGCCAAATACCACCTGTACCCCAATAACCTATGGAAAAACAAATAAATAAATAAATAAATAAAAAGTTTTGAAATCAGGAAGTGTGAGTCCTCCAACTTTGTTCTTTTTCAAAATTCTTTGGGTATTGAGTGCCCCTTTTATAAGTGGTTTCCTCATCTGAAAAATGGGAGAATTTCTCTTGGAAATATCTATGATGGCAGGAAAATACAGCAGATAAAGATAAGTGGCATATCATATATATGTCTGGAGGCCGTCAGGGAAAGCTTGTTCACCTTACACCCCACCTTGGCCCTGCACCTACCAGAAATCAGCTGGATGAGTCACAGTGAGATTTTCCACCCCTGCTCACCGCCTTGCACATAGGATGGGCTCTGTCTGAGCCTATACTTTGCCTGTTGGCTTGAATTGGATTTGTTTGGTATACAGGGCAGTTAAACTGGGAATAGATGGCAGGTCCAATTATTCTCAGCAGCAGAGGTTTAGGAATGCATTTCAGGAATATCCAGCCATGTGGTTAGGGTTTGAGAATAAGGCAAGGGGCTGTGTGACCTCCAACTACTGGACAGTGTCATTTCCCCCAGCTTGTCACTGGTTCAGTGGCCCCCATTACACAATGAAGATAACAATCGTTGCCTTGCCAACCTCACAGTGATTATTGGGCCAGGGTACTCTCTCCCAGAAAGCCTTCCCTGACTCTCCCCAGACTGTGTGGGGTTTCTTCTCTTTGCTCCCACAGGCCCCTGTGAATTTGCTTCATTACAGTACCTTTCATTCTGCTTTGCCAATGACTGCTTTTCTCTCTGTCTCCTCCAGTCTGCGAGCTCCAGGATGGTAGGAGCTGGATTGGCCACATCCCAGTGACCCCAGTACTCAGCACCTGGCATAGGGTATGTGCTCGATGCCTGTCTTTGTTAGACTGAACAGAACTGAAAGTGCTCTGAATGGCTGGGTGCGGTGGCTCACACCTGTAATCCCAGCACTTTGGGAGGCCGAGGTGGGTGGATCACTTGAGGTCGAGTTATAGACCAGCCTGGCCAACATGGTGAAACCCCGTCTCTACTAAAAATACAAAAATTAGCCAGGCATGGTGGCGCATGCCTGTAATCCCAGCTACTTAGGAGGCTGAGGCACGAGAATCACTTGAACCTGGGAGGCAGAAGTTGCAGTGAGCTGAGATCATGCCACTGTCTTCCAGCCTGGGTGGTAGAGTGAGACTTAGTCTCAAAAAAAAAAAAATTGGAAAATAAGGCCAGGTATGGTGGCTCATGCCTATAATCCTAGCACTTTGGAAGGCTGAGGCAGGAGGATCTCTTGAAGACAGGAATTCAAGACCAGCCTGGGCAACATAGCAAGACCCCCGTCTCTACAAAAAGTAAGAAAAATAGCAGGGTAGGGTGGTGTGTGCCTGTAGGCCCAGCTACTCAAAAGGTTGAGGCAGGAGGATCCCTTGAGCCCGGGAATTTGAGGCTGCAGTGAGTGATGATCGCACCATTGCACTCCAGTGTGGGGTGACAGAGAGAGAAAGAAAGAGAGAGACCCTGTCTAAAAAAAAAAAAAAAAAGAAAAGAAAAAGAAAAGAAAAGAAAAGAAAAATAACCAATATTTGCAAAAATGTGAAGAAATTGAAACCCTTGTGAACGTAAATGGTGCTGCTGCTGTGGAAGACAGTTTGGAGGCTCCTCAAAAAGGTGAGCAAGGCCGGACATGGTGGTTCACACCTGTAGTCCCAGCTACTTGGGAGGCTGAGTTGGGAGGATCACTTGAGCCTGGGAGGTTGAGGCTGCAGTGAGCCATGATCATGCCAGTGCTTTCCAGCCTGGGCAACAGAGTGAGATGCTGTTTCAAACAAAACAAAACAAAACAAAACCACTAAACATAGCATTATTGTATAACTCAGCAGTTTCACTCCTATGTATACACTCAAGAAAATGGAAAACAGGACTAGAACAAGTGTTTGAACACCAATGCTCATAGTAGCCCGATTCCCAATACCAAAAGGTGATAACATCCCAATTGTTGACAGATGAATGGATAAACAAAATATGGTATATACATGCAATGGAATATTATCCCTCCATTAAAAGGAATGAAATTCTGATCCATGCTACATGAAAGAACCTTGAAAACTTGATGCTAAGTGAAATAAGAAACACAAAAGCCCAATATTGTATGATTCCACTTATAAGAGGTATCTAGAAAAGGCAAATTCATAGAGACAGAAAGTAAAACAGAGGTTACTAAGGGATGGAGCAGAAGGAAATGGGAAGTTATTGCTAATGGGTGTGGAGTTTCTGTTTGGGATGATGAAAAGTTCTGGAAAGCATGATATAGTTGCACAATATTGTGAATGTACTTAATTTCACAGCATTGTACACTTAAAATGGTAAATTTTATGTTATGTATATTTTACAATAAAAATGTAAGTGGTTAGATCAATCCTATAATAAAAAGCTTATAAAAAATGAGTAGAAATGGCCAGTCGTGGTGGCTCACGCCTGTAATCCCAGCACTTGGGAGGCCGAAGTGGGCGGATCACTTGAGGTCAGGAGTTCAAGATCAGCTTGGCCAACCAGATGAAACCCCCGTCTCTACCAAAAAAATACAAAAACTAGCCAGGCTTGGTGGTGGGTGCCTGTAATCCCAGCTACTCGGGAGGCTGAGGCAGGAGAATCGCTTGAACCCGGGAGGTGGAGGTTGCAGTGAGCCGAGATTGCACCACTGCACTCCAGCCTGGGCGGCAGAGTGAGACTTTGTCTGAAGAAAAAAAAAAAAAAAAGTAAAAAGGAGAAGGAGAGTGAGAGAGAAAAGGAAAGAAGGGGTGGGGAAAGTTTGGGGTATTCAGTGAATCAGAAGTTTGGGATCAGCTTCACCCCCACATAGGGGCTGGCACATTGCAGGCACTCAACTCAATGAGAGAATGGTAGGGAAGGAGGGATTTTGAGAATTTGGCTAGGGTAGACATTGTATCTCCCAGAATATTCTGGGAGAAATCGAAGTTAAGACTGGAATTCTTCTTCTTCTTTTTTTTTTTTTTTGAGACAGAGTCCCGCTCTGTCACCCAGGCTGAGGTGCAGTGGCACAATTTCAGCTCACTGCAACTTCCGCATTCCGGGTTCAAGCGATTCTAGTGCCTCAGTCTCCCAACTAGCTAGGACTACAGACACACGCCACCAAGCCCGGCTAATTTTTGTATTTTTAGTAGAGACGGGGTTTCACCATGTTGGCCAGGCTGGTCTCGAACTCCTGACCTCAGGTGATCCGCCCGCCTCAGCCTCCCAAAGTGCTGGGATTACAGGCGTGAGCTACCAAGCCCGGCCTGGAATTCTTCTTAAATTACTTGTGTTACTAAACTTTACTTCTTTGAATACAACTCGTTGTTGAGGTTTGGCCACACGGGGCCCTGAGCATATAAGTGGGTTCCCCTAGGGGAAGCATGGAGGGTGGTAGGGTAATGGCATCTATTTAGTCTGGTGGGTCAGGTGCCAGCTGAGCCTTACAGTCAGGAGAGGGAAGGATATTCAGGCAGAGGAGGCGCCGAGGCAAAGGCTGGAGGACAGAGATACTGCAGGGTGGGCTACAGCTTTGCCTCTCGGTCAACTGGGCCCCAGGCCTAAGAAACTGAAGCGATGGGGATGATCCACACCCAGACCACGGGTTACAGAGGGGTCTGTCCATGGCGGGCGCAGGGCGCTTTCTTTGCGTCGGAGGGTGTCTGGAGGGAAGGAGAAGCCTCTGGAGGGAGGGAGAAGCCTCCGGAGGTCGCCCGCCACGTGTCTTGAGCCGGGTTTCCAGCAGAGGGCGCACAAACGAGGCGGTGCTGAGGCCCGCGAGCTGCCGCTCTAGCCGAAACCTGGTCAGAGAGTCGCACCGCTTCCGTCCGTCGGACAGAGGAACGGTGGAAGTCGCCGGAAGTTCGGTGGGCTCCAGGCGTCGCGATGGAGGAGAGCGGGTACGAGTCGGTGCTCTGTGTCAAGCCTGACGTCCACGTCTACCGCATCCCTCCGCGGGCTACCAACCGTGGCTACAGGTGACTACCCACCGCCAGACCAGGCTAGCTCCAATTTAACCCTTTCTCCGCCACCCGGACACACCCACTGCGGGAACCGAGGACAGCCCTGGCCAGTTTTGGGGCGAGGGGGAGCTAATGCTGCTGCTTCTTCCAGTTCCAGGCCCGAGCAGGGAGGTGGATCCAGAGTTTCGCCCGTCTCAGTTCGACGCACGGGACTCCTGGCGGCGGGGAGGGCGTTAAAGCCGTATCTAGCGCTTAGGGACCCCGGTGGGCTGCCGGGTACCCTAAACTTGGTCGGGGGTGGTGATGTCACAGACGCTTCTCTTTCAGCGCTAACCGGTGGCCTTGAAGGGATCCTCGAAAAGCCTTAAGCGGGGAGGTGCCCTATCACAGACGGAAATCCCCGAGAGGAGGGGAGGGAGCCCAGAGCCGGCTGAAAGGACCGGTCCCGGGGAGCTTTAAGGTGACGGTCGAAGCCCAGGGACCCCTTCCTACCCAGATCCCTTCGCACGAATTTCACCCTTGATCACAGCCTGGAGCAGTTGGGAGGACCCCTTCTATATTTCTCTGGTCTCTACCTGAGACGAATAAACACACACGCTTGTAAACATACTGAGTATCTCTGCAAAGGAACACAGGAAACTGCCCTAGGGGAGGGGAACCGCCCTTGGAAGGAAACTTCCTTTCCCTTTTGTGCTGTTTGCGTTTTACTACTCTTTGTATGCGTTATCTATCAAAACGACGAAAAATATTAAAAGAAAAAAGATACACTTCATACAGACAACCTGGCCTATGGCTATTTTGTGCCACTGAGTGGTGGTGGGGAGTGCTCGTATTTGCGGGGGCCTGGGTGGCTCTTGAAGGCGATGGTTGTCCAAGTTTTTCGGAAATACAGGATTGGTCTGCACCCCAAGAATGATGGAACGTCCACATTTCCTCTTGTTACTTTCCAGTTGTGTTACCGTGGGCTCATAGCTGATCTTATGGTGAAAAGATGCGTTAGTGAACATTACATTCATGACATATTTTAAAATAGTATAAAAACAAAAACAACAATAACCAAAATACATTTGTTTTCTGTCATCAAACTGTGGTTGGACCATCAAACCATTGATGGTCGTCTAGCCCCATCTCCTGTTGGGTCTTTTTTTTTTTTTTTTGAGACAGAGTTTCCCTCTTGTTGTCCAGGCTAGAGTGCAATGGTGCGATCTCGGCTCACTGCAACCTCCGCCTCCCGGATTCAAGCGATTCTCCTGCCTCAGCCTCCCGAGTAGCTGGGATTACAGCCATACACCACCACACCCGACTAATTTTGTGTTTTTAGTAGAGATGAGATTTCTCCATGTTGGTCAGGCTGGTCTCGAACTCCCTACCTCAGGTGGTCCACTCGCCTCGGCCTCCCAAAGTGCTGGGATTACAGGCAGGATCCACCGCGCCCGGCCCCCTATTGGGTCTTTAGTAGGATGGATTTGGTTCCTCTTGGTGCCCCAGAGAGCGAGGTTATGAATTGTCAGGGCTGGCTGGTTTAGCTTAGAGGAAACTACCAGTGCCTGCACTTAAGTCTTGGAGCTCTCCTTAGCCTGAATCTCAGGCCTGGTAAGAGGAACAGGAACTGAGTCTGCTGATTTGTGAATTGAGAATCTGCATTTGTGCAGCCCTCAAGACAGCCGCGTCCAGGGTTCTTGAGAACTGGCATAGGGACTTCTAAGAAAAGCCTCCTGGAAACACCTGCGGTTCTTGCTATTTGGGGATTTAACTGACCTTTTCTTAGAACTAAAATGTGAAGTTAATGCTTTAAAAGAGTCAAAACAGCTGGCTGTGGTGGCTCACGCCTGTAATCCCAACACTTTGGGAAGCCTCGGTGGAAGGATCCCTTGAGCCCAAGACTTCAGGACCAGCCTGGGCAACATAGACCCTATCTCTATAATTTTTTTTAATTGGCCTGGTGTGTTGGTACACACCTGTAGTCCCAGCTACTCAGGAGGCTGAGGTGGGAGGATCTCTTGAGCTCAGGAGGTTGAGGCTTCAGTGAGCCGTAGTTGCGCCACTGCACTTCAGCCCGGGTGACAGAGTGAGACCCCGTCTCAAACAAATTAGAGCCAAAAGAGGCATTGCTGTAGGTTCATGGTTTCCTGGGTTTCTTCCTAAGGACCCATTCACTTTTCTCACATGTACTGTTGTTCTCCTTTTCTCTTCTGGTGATTGTTCCATGCTGTCTTTTTCTTTCAAGATAGTCTCACTGGTCTCAAATGGTCGCTCTGACTGCTGCAGTCAAGCAGTGTCAGAAACAGAATCAGGCCCCTGCAGCTGCTGCTTCTATAGAAAGGAAACTGGAAGGAAGTCCTACGTGGAGGAGGACACTGTGGTCTAGAGAGGGGGTCACCAAGTGACAACCCAGTGTGTTTTTGTATGGTTCACACCTAAGAATAGTTTTTACATTTTTTAAATGGTTTGGAAAATTTTTAAAGGAGAGTATTTCATACTGGGAACATTACATGAATTTCAGATTTCAGTGTCTACACTTTGATTGAAATACAGCTGTGCTCAGTAGAAAATAGTTAAGATACCTAAAGCATCACCACGTGCATGTTCTATACTGATTTTACCCTACAGCAGCCGAGCTGCCTTGTTGTGACAGGCTGTGTGGCCTGTAGAGCCAAAGATATTTACTGTCTGACTCTTTACAGAAAATGTTTGCCAACTCTTGGGCTAGAATAAGCAGCCCTTTCCATTCCCAGCATTGGGGTCACACAGCAGGAGCCTCTGGCAGAGATTCAGTGGTGTTTGTCCCCTTAGGGCTGCGGAGTGGCAGCTGGACCAGCCATCATGGAGTGGCCGGCTGAGGATCACTGCAAAGGGACAGATGGCCTACATCAAGCTGGAGGACAGGACGTCAGGTAACCGGAAGGGAGGCTGCATCAAGCTGAGGGGCCGCACCCCACTTTATGAAGGGAGAGGTGGCCTGGTCTGGCCAGGCTGCTCAGGGGTCATGGGAACCTGTCCTGAAAAATCAGAGACGTGTGTGTACCTTTAAGCTGTACCATTCCCCCACCTTAGTTGTAGAAAGTACCGTCTCCAGGTGTAAAAATGAGTATTTCATGTCAAACACTAGTTCCTTTTAGGAGTCCTCAGGAAAATGTGGGGGCCAAGGAGAGGAGACCGCAGCTTGGTCCTGGTAGGAAGTAGGAAGCCCTGGAAGTGGCCTTGAAGACAGGCGGGTGAGGATGCACAGCCCTCTGCCGCTGGGCTCTGCTTCCTACTGAGGAATTGTTTATCAATGCAGCGGTAACTCCCAGAGCTGACCACACCCATTAACCGAAGAAGCTGGAAACTGTCCTACTCAGCTCTTTCTGTAGTGAGAGGACGAGCTGAGCTGGGTTGTGTTGGGGTCAGCTGGCAGAGATCGTCTTGGGGGAAACTTCACAAGTCCTGGGCCACCTGTGCCTCTGGGTGAGCTGTGGAGGGCAGTGCACCTGGAATCCCCCAGCCGAGACCCCTAGTGGGGTCGGACACAGTGTCTGCTCAGTCAGGTGCCACAACATTCGGTCATTTATTTTTTCTAATATGTAGAGATTTTCCTTTGTAGAGCAGAAGAGAAAGTGCAAAAGTTTAGAGAGAGAACTGGCTGCCTCTTCTCAGAACTATGTTCTGCCTGAGCTGCTGGATGTGGGGTGAGCCACATGACCTCTGGGGCCTTGGCCTCCTCCTTGTTGAAATGGGGATCATATTAGTTCCTCCTTCATAAGATTGTTGGAGAATAGGAAGTGAGCAGATATTTCTGTAATGCTTTACGGACTGCGAGGCAACCCAAAGCATTGATGTGTTCTTCGGGAACTTGGGTACTGGCGGCAGAGGAGTTTGGAGAGGCAGCTGCCATGGCCAGACCAGAGACTTTAAGCTGGAGAATTGCTGGGACACCCCAGGTAGTGTCATAAGAGAATGGTAACACCTCGTTCTCTGAGGAATTTGGTAACTGCGACTTTATTTTAAAAAATCATTTGTTTTTAGATGGAGTCTTGCTCTGTCACCCAGGCTGGAGTGCAGTGGCACGATCTCAGCTCACCACAACCTCTGCCTCACAGGTTCAAGCAATTCTCTGCCTCAGCCTCTCGGGTAGCTGGGATTACAGGCGCCCCCCCACCACGCCCAGCTAATTTTTTTTGTACTTTTAGTAGAGACGGGGTTTCACCATATTGGCCAGGCTGTTCTTGAACTCCTGACCTCGTGATCCGCCCACCTCGGCCTCCCAAAGTGTTGGGATTACAGGTGTGAGCCACTGTGCCCAGCCAGCTGTGACTTTAACATGACTCCCTAACGTAACAGGCACTGCCTAGGGCTGAGCCTCCCCTGTGGGACCCACCCCAAGGTGCTCTTAGCTCAAGGTCATGCCTGGGTCATGTTAGACTCTTACTTTCCCATGAGGTAATGAGCATATCACTCTAGGCCAGGCTTTCTCAGCTTCAGCACTGTTGACACCTGGGGCCAGATGAGTCTTTGTTTTGGAGAGCTGTGGAGCCCAGTGAGGACATTTCACAGCATTCTTGGCCTATGTCTAGCAGATGCCAGTAGCACCCCCCAAGTTGTGACAATCAAAATTATCTCTAGACATTGCCAGATGTCCTCTTGGGGACAGGGGAGCAAAATCACCCCTGATTGAGAACTACTGCTGTAGGCTGAAGGAATCTTGGTGAGGTTGGAACACAAGGCAGATAAATTGACAAGAAACCACAGACTCTAGGGCTGTTGGTTTTGAATCAGTTCAGCCTTGATTACAAAATTACCTCTTGCCTGGGCATGGTAGCTCATGCCTGTAATCCTAGCACTTTAGGAGGCCAAGACAGGTGGATCGCTTGAGCCCAGGAATTCCAGAGCAGCCTGGGCAATATGGCAAAACCCTGTCTCTAATAAAAATACAAAAATTAGCCAGGCGTGGTGGTGCACACCTGTGATCCCAGCTACTTGGGAGGCTGAGGCACAAGAATCACTTGAACCGAGGAGGTAGAGATTGCAGTGAGCCGAGATTGCGCCACTGCACTCCAGCCTGGGTGACAGAGCAAGACTGTCTCAAAAAGAAAAGAAAACAAAAAAAAGGCCGGGCACGGTGGCTCACCGCCTGTAATCCCAGCACTTTGGGAGGCCAGTGCAGGCAGATCACCTGAGGTCGGGAGTTTGAGACCAGCCTGACCAACACGGAGAAACCTTGCCTCTACTAAAAATACAAAATTAGCCGGGCGTGGTGGTGCATGCCTGTAAACCCGGCTATTCGGGAGGTTGAGGCAGGAGAATCGCTTGAACCTGGGAGGTGGAGGTCGCAGTGAGCCGAGATCGTGCCGTTGCACTTCAGCCTGGGCAACAAGAGTGAAACTCCGTCTTGGAAAAAACAAAAAACAAAGTTATCTCTAAACCACAGGATTCAGTAGAAGATATATGGTTAAATACTTAAAGCACCAGCCAGGTGTGGTGACTCACGCTTATAATCCCAGGGCTTTGGGAGGCCAAGGTGGGAGGATCACTTAAGACCAGGAGTTAGAGACCAGCCTGGGCAACATATCAAGACCCTATCTCTAACAAAAATTGAGTGGGCATGGTGGCATGTGCCTGTATTCCCAGCTACGTGAGAGGCTGAAGCGGGAAGATTACTTGAGCCCAGGAGTTCGAGGCTGCAGTGAGCTATGGTGCACTGCACACTGCACTTCAATCTGGGCAACAGAGCATGACCCTGTTTCTTTCTTTTTTTTTTTTCTTGTCATGTTGGCTGGAGTGGAGTGGCACAATCTCAGCTCACTGCAGCCTCCAACTCCTGGGGTCAGGGATCCTCCTGCCTCAGCCTCCCAGGGAGCTGGAACTAAATGTGCATGCCACCATGCCTGGCTTATTTTTGGATTTTTTGTAGAGACCAGGTTTCACCATCTTGCTCATGCTAGTCTCAAATTCCTGGGCTGGGCTGGGTGCAGTGGCTCACGCCTGTAATCCCAGCACTTTGGGAGGCTGAGGCAGGCAGATCACCTGAGGTCAGGCATTCAAGACCAGCCTGGCCAACATGGTGAAACACTGTCTCTACTAAAAATACAAAAATTAGTGGGGCGTGGTGGTGCATGCCTGTAATCCCAGCTACTTGGGAGGCTGAGGCAGGAGAATCACTTGAACCTGGGAGGCGGAGGTTGCAGTGAGCCGAGATTGCGCCGCTGCACTCCAGCCTGGGTGACAGAGGGAGACTCCATCTCAGGAAAAAAAAAAAAAAAAGGTATAAATCAAATTCCTGGGCTCAAGCAACGCACCCCACTTCAGCCTCCCAAAGTGCTGGGACCATACCCACTCCATGACCCTGTTTCTAAAAAACAAAACAAAAAATACTAAAAGCAACAACAGACGTCAGCACATGGGAAAAACTGATGCCAGTCATAAATGCTTGTGGAAATTTTATGTTGTGCCGCACTGTCGAGTGCTGTAGTTGACAAGGTGATGTGTTTCACAAGGGCTTTTAAAGCTAGTCACGCTTGCCCTGTCTCAGATTGAATTAAATCAGCCTGCTTCAGATTCCCTATGGGTATGAAAACTTCCTCCCTTCTTTCCTCGGGGCTCACTGGCCCCTCTTATAGTCCTGCCTCAGGTACTAGCCTCTTCAGCAGGTGTGATTACCTAGGCCAGGGTTCACCTGTTCTAGGACACTCAGGGTTCAGGTAATATAAGTGGGTAAAGCAGATGGAATGGATGGGCTAGCAGCTCCAACTTATTCTCAGGTGGGCTTGGAGGCTCAGCATTAATAAAGCTTAATTTTAAGAGAGGCCAGGCAGAATACCAAACTGTGAGCTAAATTTGACCTGTAAGCTCTCTGACTTAAGCCTTTCCTTGATTATATTTTCTGTGTCTTCCCTTTAGCAAGAATGGATTCGATTTGAATCCCACAGTAAGGTTTGCCGATCTGTCTCAGCTGGTTAGAGATGCCTTGCGGGCAAAAGGCCCAGTAGTGTGGTAGAAAACCTTGGCTGGAAGGGGGCTCAGGGCTCAGCGCTCAGCCTAACCTGTGCTTTCAGGGGAGCTCTTTGCTCAGGCCCCGGTGGATCAGTTTCCTGGCACAGCTGTGGAGAGTGTGACGGATTCCAGCAGGTACTTCGTGATCCGCATCGAAGATGGAAATGGTAGGCATGGGTCCTGGTGCTTCCTCCTCTTGGGAAAGGTTTTCTCTGCCTTTGGAAGGTGGGTTGATCATGTGTTGTTCCCCAGGGCGACGGGCGTTTATTGGAATTGGCTTCGGGGACCGAGGTGATGCCTTTGACTTCAATGTTGCATTGCAGGACCATTTCAAGTGAGTGGGTCTGGGAGACACACGCTCATGCCCCTCCCTTCTTTCCCTGGACAGAATGATCTCCCAGGTTAGGATACCCAAGTGTTTGTGTGTGATTTGTCTGGCAGCAGAGACTCAGGAGAACCCAGGACAAGCCACCTCTCTTCTCTGCCAATGTTCATCTCTGCTGTAAAGCCTTCTCTTTTACCTGAGGCTCATCTCTACCATCCCAGCCTTCGGGCCTGCCACCTGTCTCCCCTTACCAGTCCCCTGAGCAGCCAGAGTCCTCATCAGGCTCCTGTGGCCTTTCTGGGCCTGCTCCTCCATGTAATCAATGGCGCTTGGATTCCCAGGGCACCCAGCAGATGCCCTGATGTCCTTTTCTGAAGCTAAGAGACAGGGCAGGAAGTCCTCCTCCACCATCTGCAGGGCTCGAACTCAGGCTGCCAGTGAGTGGGCTGTGCCCGGCCACTCACATGGGCGCCTCTGGCTCTTCCCTTACCGGTGCTGCTGGGTGGTGTGGTATGGAGGGTGGGGGACTTTTGTGTTGCCCTCTACTTTTGGGTATCTGTCTTGTCCCCCCGTCTGCCTTCTGAGTGTTTGAGGGTGTGTAGAGACCGCATCTTAGTTCTCATGTCATATACTGTAGAGGGAAGGGCAGGCTCTCACGTGTCCTAGAGATAGTGTTAGGACCCTCTACGTAAGTGATCTCGCTGCATTCGTAGCCATCTTGAAAACCTATAGAATTGTGGGCATATTTTGCTGATGAGGAAACCAATGTGCATGCCGCTACTTAAGTGTCAGATTGGGATTTGAATTCAGGCCTCACTCCCAAGCCTGCACTCTTTCCAGCACCCCGTCTCACTACGAGGCTCAGCCTGGACTGATAGCAGGCAGTAGTGAAGTGAGCCAGTGATTGCAGGGCAGCTGGTCTCTTCCTTCCTCACCTTTTTCCTCATGTTCTCTCCCCAGGTGGGTGAAACAGCAGTGTGAATTTGCAAAACAAGCCCAGAACCCAGACCAAGGCCCTAAACTGGACCTGGGCTTCAAGGAGGGCCAGACCATCAAGCTCAACATCGCAGTGAGTTCTACCCTTGCTTGGCTGTGGTGACGTGATACTTGTGGCCACCCAGCCCCAGAGCCCATTGCTCTTCTTACAGTTCAGCTCCTTCAGTTCAGCAGATGTTTAGTGAGCATCTGCCTTGTGCCAGGTCCTGCATCGGGGTGAACAAGAGACCTCTGTTCTCATGGAGCTCAGAGTTGAGCTGAGACAGGCAGGTAAAAATGTGATAACAACATGGCAGGAAAGGTTCCATGACTAAGGGATGCCCTGGGTGCCGTGGGCTCCTAGAGGAAGGGTGTGCAGCCCATAGTTGTGGGAACCAAGGAAGGCTTCCTGGAAGAAGGGACCTGTAGGCAAGGGAAGAGTGATCAAAGAGTGGTTCACACAGAGGAACAGCAGGTGCAAAGCCTCTGAACTGAGAAGGAGCATCAGTCATTTGCTGCCAGAGGTGGTGTTTCTGTCCTAGCTATTAGAGTGCATCAGGAGGGACCTGTGTGCTCATCCCAGGCTGTGTCTTGAATAAGGAAGATTTGGGAGAGTTCTGGCAGGAGGGCGTTGAGGTGGGCGCTGGGAGTCCTGGGCAGCTTGTGCTGATGGTGTTGTCCTGGCTCCTGTGTCTTCGTTCTGAGCTGCTCTGCCTCTGGCTTCCCTCCCGTCAGCTCCTGTTCATAGGAACAGGTTGGGCTGGGCTGGGCTGGGCTGGGTTGCCTAAAGTTGGCCTTTACCTGGCTGCAAGGGTGGAGAGGGGAGATGAGGTCAGAGTCATGATTGCGGGGACCCAAGGACCAAGTGGATTGGTTTTTGTTTTTGCTAGGAATACTGTGTTGAGATGGATTTGTTTTTTCAAGAAGCTTTGTAACTCTAAAATAATGCTTTTCCTCTTTACTTACTCTTTCTCCTCTTTTCTGCTTCGTGCTGGTGATGATTTGGGATCCTTGAAGTTGGCCAGCTGGCCCTTAAGAGAGAAATGCAAGTCCAATCCAGTGGACTGGTTGGGATGTGATTCTTTCTCTCGCTTGGAGGAAACTAACATTTAATGAGCATCAGCTGAGGGCCAGGTAGTGGTTTTTTTTTGTTTTGTTTTGTTTTTTGTTTTGTTTTGTTGTTTTTTTTTTTTAGGCATTTCTCATGTGAATTAAACATCCTCTCCCTTTCCTCCATGAGATGAGGAAATGGAGGCTTAGGGAGGGTTGGGGACTTGCCCAGGGTCACAGAGCTAGAAATAACTGGCACAGCTGTGCTCACACTGAGGTCTTTGAGGTCTTTTGACTTCAGGGCTGGACTTACGATTTTATTAAGCTGCTGCTTTCCTTACAAGTAGGGAACACATTATCTTCATCTGTGTAACTTGTGCTGCTTTCTGGCTCATGCTTGGTGCTCAGTTTTTTTTTTAAAGCATTTTCTTGAAGTATAATGTGCATGTAAAAAAGTGTACAAATCATAAATGCAGAACTCTGTGAAATTTAAAAAATCTAATCTATAGGCTGGGAGTGGTGGCTCACGCCTGTAATCCCAGCACTTTGGGAGGCTGAGGTGGGCGGATCACCTGAGGTCGGGAGTCCGAGACCAGCCTGACCAACATGGACAAACCCTGTCTCTACTAAAAATACAAAATTAGCCGGGCATGGTGGTCCATGGCTGTAATCCCAGCTACTCCGGGGGCTGAGGCAGGAGAATTGGCTTGAACCTGGGAGGTGGAGGTTGCAGTGAGCTGAGATCGAGCCATTCATTGCACTCCAGCCTGGACAACAAGAGCGAAACTCTGGCTCAAAAAACAAAACAAAACAAAACACCCAATTTATAAACTTGCACCTTGCTCAAGATGCAAAAGATTGTCAGCACTCTGGAAACACCTCTCCTGGCCCCTCCCAGTAACTGCCCTGAGTAACCCCATCCTGACTTCACATACCCTAGATTTTGTTTGTTCTTAACTTTCATGAATTGAATCATACACCTAATCTTGATTTGGAATGATTTCTTTCTTTTACTCAATGTAATTTTTGTGAGAGTCATCCATGGTGTTGCGTGTAGTTTGTTCATTCTCATTGTTGTGGCATGTACCATTGTGAGAATTCACCCGATTTATTTATGTTTTACTGATGATGGACATTTGGGTAGTTTCCAGTTTGGGGCGATTACAAATAATGCTGCTGTAGATGTTTGAGTTCATGTTTTTGGTGCATATATGTATGATTTCTGTTGGTTTATATCTAGGAGTGGAACTGCGGAGTCATAAGTTTAAGTTCCTATGTTGAGCTTTATAATCCTTTCAAATAATTTTTCAAAGTAGTTTTACCAGTTTACACTTAAGCCAGCAGCGCGTGAATGGTTACTTCATATCGTAGTCAATACTTGATAATCTACATTTTAGCCATTCTGGTGAGCGTGTAATGGTATATCATTATAGCTTTGATCTGCATTTCCCTGATGAATGAAGTGGGGGTGCTGGGTTTTAAAATGGACCTTATTTGTGAGAGATTCAGAATGATGATGCACTAAGTATAGCTCATAGCAATGGAGGTGCTAGGTAGGACCATCTTTTGGTTACACAGATGTTGGGGGTCTGGGGTCACCTTGGCCCTCCTTGTGGGGTTTTCTGGTAGCATTGGGACTCCAGCAGAACGGGCTGATTTGCATTCCTCTTCCCTCTTTAGAACATGAAGAAGAAGGAAGGAGCAGCTGGGAATCCCCGAGTCCGGCCTGCCAGCACAGGAGGGCTGAGCCTGCTTCCCCCTCCCCCAGGGGGGAAAACCTCCACCCTGATCCCTCCCCCTGGGGAGCAGTTGGCTGTGGGGGGATCCCTCGTCCAGCCAGCAGTTGCTCCCAGTTCAGGTTAGTGCTCAGTGGGTGACTGCTGCATCAGTACCTGCCGGCTCCTCTTCTCCCTGGCAGCCAGGCCCCATGGTTTCCCCCCCGTTACACACATGGATTGGTCATGTAGTACCTGTCCGTGTCAAAGAAGGCGGGCACCCAAAGCTCATTCTGCACACGCTGGGTAAGGGGCTCCTCCTACTTGGCCTTTAGGGCGTCTGCCCTCCCCTGAGAGGCCAGGGCTGCGACTTGTTAGTTACTGTGAAATCATCAACATGTCGGTTCCTGGTTCCCAGTGTCTGCTCAGTGGGTATTGAGTGAGTGGGTAATGGAGACACAGTCTCTGCTCACGTGTAGTGAGAGAGATGAGTCACAGCACAGAGACCAAATGTGTAGGGCCTAGACCCACCATCAGCTGCTGTGATCTGGAGAGGTTTCATGAAAGAGGTGACATTGATCTGGACCTTGAAGGAAGGAGATAGAGTGGGAGTGGTTGGCATTCCAGGCAGAGAGAAGAACACGAATGAGGCCCAGACTTTTAGACACCTGGTGTATTTAGGGAGATGGGTACAGCATAAGGTGTGCCAAGGTGAGTGGTGGGAAATGAGATTTCGTTTGGAGTGAGCACCTCGGGTGTGGGAATCTGAGAGCATTTGCCCTGGCAGTTTGTGCTGAGGAGCCCTTAGGAGACCCTGGGATTCCGGAAGCGAGTGTCTAGTGTCAGCTTCTGACCACGCTGGGGTGCCAGCCCTTTTCCTCTACCTCCCCGCGCGCCCCCCCCGCCCGCCGCCCCGCCCAGCCCAGCTTGATGCTCCTGGCCTTCCCCAGGCTGGGCGATTGTCACCAGCGTGCCTTCTGCACACAGCTCTCCCCAGCTTGCAGGCAGGAAGCCTTCCTGCTTTACTGATTCCTAAGCCTCCCCAACATTGGCTGCCCTATCTGGAGGTCAAGCTTCAGACTTCAGTCCTGTGGGGAGAGTGGCAGGAGGGGCAGTCAGAGAGCCCCGGCCCGGTACCAGGAACTGTTCTTTAAGTGCTATTTCTCAGAGTGGGGTCATAGGACCACTTGCTTTGGCATCGCTGGGGGATGGGGGCAAGAATCTGCATTCTTGTGTCTTTTTTTTTTTTTTGAAATGGAGTTTTTTTGCTCTTGTTGCCTAGGCTGCAGTGTAATGGTGTGATCTCGGCTCACTGCAACCTCTGCCTCCTGGGTTCAAGTGATTCTCCTGCCTCAGCCTCCTGAGTAGCTGGGATTACAGGCATGTGCCTCCACACCCAGCTAATTTTGTAATTTTAGTAGAGACAGGGTTTCTCCATGTTGGTCAGGCTGGTCTTGAACTCCCAACCTCAGGTGATCCGCCCGCCTCAGCCTCCCAAAGTGCTAGGACTACAGGCGTGAGCTACTGCACCCGGCCCTTATGTTTGTTCTTGTTTGTGTGTTGACTAAAGTCTGAGAGCTACTACCTTAGGCCTTCCTAAGCAACCAAGGTTGCTGATGGATATTTATTTATTTAAGATGGAGTCTTGCTCTGTCACCCAGGCTGGAGAGCAGTGGCATGTTCTCGGCTCACCGCAACCTCCACCTCCTGGGTTCAAGTGATTCTTCTGCTTCAGCCTCCTGAGTAGCTGAGATTACAGGCACGCACCACCACGCCCAGCTAAGTTTTGTATTTTTAGTAGAGACAGGGTTTCACTGTGTTGGCCAGGATGGTCTCGATCTCCTGACCTCGTGATCTGCCCGCCTCAGCCTCCCAAAGTGCTGGGATTACAGGCATGAGCCACCGTGCCTGGCCTTGCTGATGCATTTTTAACAGCATTTTAATTTTAATATGGTGCACTTGCTGTGTGCCAGGTAGAGTTCTAGGCACTGGTACGTATAGCATCCAGTTTCAGCTCTCAAGGGCTTGTTTTCTGGTGTCTGAGACAGGCAGTTAGCATGTCAACAAACAAAATGGTGTCAGATAATAAGTCATGAATATCAACATTTATGAAGCACTTACTATATGAACAATATGGTTGGGTTCAAATTTCAGCTTACTAGCTTTGTGATATTTATTTATTTATTTTTATTTTTTATTTTTGAGATGGAGTTTTTTGCTCTTGTTGCCCAGGCTGGAGTGTGATGGCGCAATCTCGGCTTACCACAACCTCTGCTTCCTGGGTTCAAGCGACTCTCCTGCCTCAGCCTCCCAAGTAGCTGGGATTACAGGCATGCGCCACCTCACGTGGCTAATTTTGTATTTTTAGTGGAGACGGGGTTTCTCCATGTTGGTCAGGCTGGTCTTGAACTCCTGACCTCAGGTGATCCTCCCGCCTTGACCTCCCAAAGTGCTGGGATTACAGGCATGAGCCACCGCACCTCGCCTACTTATTTATTTTTAAGAAGGAGTCTCACTCTGTTGCCCAGGCTGGAGTGCAGTGGCATGATCTCAGCTTACTGCAACCTCCGCTTCCTGGGTTCAAGCAATTCTCCTGCCTCAGCCTCCCAAGTAGCTGGCATTACAGGCATGCACCACCATACCTGGCTAATTTTTGTAATTTTAGTAGAGACAGAGGTTTCACCACGTTGGCCAGGCTGGTCTCGAACTCCTGACCTCAGGTGATCCACCTGCTTCAGCCACCCAAAGTGCTGGGATTACAGGCTGAGCCACTGTGCCCAGCCCAGTTTTGTGATCTTTAGAAAATCACTTCTCCATGCCTCATTTTTCTCATCTGTAGGATAGGGGAAGTAATGATACTTAAAATATAAGTTTCTTGTGAGGATCAAATAAGCTGATTTATGTATAGCACTTAGAACAATTTTTGGAACATTCTAAGTGCTCACTGAATGTTAGATCTCATTTTATTAATATCGTTATTGCCACTATATGCTGGACCTGTTCTAAGCATTCTGTGGATATTTAATCTTCACACCAGTCCTATGGAGTAGTTCCTGTTATTTTCAGCATTTTAGAGGTAAGAGAATGGAAACTGAAATGACCTGCACAGTCACGTGGCTCATCCCAATCTGTCTTTCCCTAGGGGCTGGGGTGAGGTTCACAGAAGATAATGTGCCTTGAGCACTTGGTGAACTGTAAAACTCTAAACCATTGAGGGCCCTAGTTTTATCTGTTCTCCTGGCCCAGAGCAGATTAGAAATAGCAACTTAGTGCCAAGGTGGAGGGTGGCAAACACAGGCCCTTCAGAAGGGCAGTTGGCAGCACTGGGGGAGGTGCCTGAAAAGCACAAAAGCAGGCATTGCAGCCCCATGGCGTCGCCTACCTTGGTGGAGAGATAGGATTGAGCTTCTGTGTGAGCTCTTTGGAATGCTCTTCCTGACCCCTAACCAGTTTGGGGCCTGGGACTTGGCACGTGGCTGGCACGTAGTGTTCTCAGCCAGTTCATCCAGACATGGTAGTGCAGGCTTGATATGAAGATGATCTTGCGGTTTTGGTGGACATTCTCCGTTCAAGAAGCTAAGACGGGTTATAGTAAATTTTAAATAGATTTCAACATAAATGGTTGATAACAAAGTCAGCTTCAGGTATGCATGTTAGATGACGTGAGACTAACCACCCATCCCGCGGGCACCCCTCGTTCCACCTTGTATGTGGCTTTCTGCGTTTTCTCCAGAGCGCACAAGGGCTGGTGAGAAGATGCTGGAAGTGTGGCAACTCAGGGTGTTTGGTTGCCCAAAAGCATGTCTGGTGTGGCTTTCCCAGCTACCTGGTGTCATGAGACTGATCACTGAGTCTCATGATTTGGTCATTGAAACAACCAGAAAGGTCTCTGACTTCTCTGTCCCCTCTTCTCTTCCTACGGGTCGGACTCGGGAACATCAATAGGAGGTGCTCCTGTACCCTGGCCACAGCCCAATCCTGCCACTGCTGACATCTGGGGAGACTTTACCAAATCTACAGGGTAAGGAGGGCCATGTTCTGCGGAGGGGCTGGGGCCAGGGCCGTTGCTCTACAAACCTGGTATTGTTCCACATGCCTGCCTTCTGGTGTTAGGATTAGGAGTAACAGTTTTAATTTGGATGTTTTCTTTTCTTTTTTTTTTTTTTTTGAGAGGGAGTTTTGCTCTTGTTGCCCAGGCTGGAGTGCAATGGCATGATCTTGGCTCGCTGCAACCTCTGCCTCCCAGGTTCAAGCTATTCTCCTGCCTCAGCCTCCTGAGTAGCTGGGATTACAGGCACCTGCCACCACGCCTGGCTAATTTTTTATATTTTTAGTAGAGATGGGGTTTTACCATGTTCGTCAGGGTTGTCTTGAACTCCTGACCTCAGGCGATCCACCTGCCTCGTCCTCCCAAAGTACTGGGATTACAGGCATGAGCCACCGCGCCTGGCCTGATTTGGATGTTTTCAAGCTAGCCAGAGGACAGAGCCCCAGCGTGCCTGCTTTGGGTGGCACACGTCTTTCCGTGGAGGTTTTGCTGCTTTCCAGTGCTATATAGCCTGGGGCAACCCTTTGCAAATCTGGGCCTTTAAACCGCCTTCCCAAGTGCTTTGGCTTGTCCCCAGTACCTCCTTCTTCTATACCCCATCCCCCACCTTCCCCAAAATAGTGGACTGAGAGTTCAGACCCAGGCTCCAGCCTCAGCCCATCCTCATAGAACGCCTGAGGCTAGGTGGCTTGTCTTCTCTGATTCCATAAGATCTCAAGACTTTACTTGGGGCCAGGGTGAAAAGATACTAAATTCCTACTGCACTATTATTTACATGGACAGATTCTAGGACAGGGGTCAGCACACATTTTCTTTTTCTTTTCATGTTTTGAGACAGGGTCTCTCTCTGTCACCCAGGCTGGAGTGCAGTGGCACTATCACGGCTTACTGCAACCACATTCTCCCATGTTGCTGGCTCTACAGGTGCACATCACCATGCCAGCTATTTTTTGTATTTTTTCATAGATACGGGGTTTTGCCATGTTGCGCAGGCTGGCCTTGAACTCCTGGGCTCAAGCGATCTGCCTGCCTCGGCCTCCCAGAGTGCTGGGATTATAGGCACGAGCCAGTGTGCCCAGCCACATTTTCTGTAAAGGACTAGATAGCAAATAGTTTAGACTATTCAGGCCGTGTGGTCTTCGTTCTAGCTACTCAGTTCTGCTCTTGTTGCACAAAAGCAGCCACAGACAATATGTAAATAAATCAGCATGGCTGTGTGCCAGTAAAATTTTATTTACAAAAATAGAGGCATGGGCTGGGCGCGGTGGCTCATGCCTGTAATCCCAGCACTTTGGGATTCCCAGGCAGGCGGATCACCTGAGGTCAGGAGTTCAAGACCAGCCTGGCCAACATGGTCAAACCCCATCTCTACTAAATACACAAAAATTAGTTGGGCGTGGTGGGGTGGTGCCTGTAATCCCAGCTACTTGGGAGGCTGAGGCACGAGAATTGCTTGAACCCGGGAGATTGCAGTCAGCTGACATCATGCCACTCTAGTCCAGCCTGGGTCACAAGAGCAAGACTCCATCTCAAAAAACAAATAAACAAACAAAAAAAACAGAGGCGTGAAATGAGGACTGTAACCCTTTTCCTGTTTGCCCTGAGAAAACTTGCCAGTGGCACTTCAGACTGCAGCGTTGACCCTGAGATAACTTTGCCACAAAATGTATTGCTTTTATATTATTTTTGCATCGCTCTAGTATATCAGCTTTGGAACAAAAGACATTCTATTTATAGCATTCTGTTTTTAATAGTGGTATTTCCATTTACAAAATATAGTAATTCTGTTTTTTTTTTTTTTTTTTTTTTGAGACAAGGTTTCACTCTGGTTGCCTAGGCTGGAGTGCAGTGGCGTGATGTCGGCTCACTGCATCCTTGACCTTCCAGGCTCAGGTGATTATCCCTTAGCCTCCTGAGTAGCTGGGACTACAGGCAATTGCCACCACACCCGGCTAATTTTTTGTATTTTTAGTAGAGGCGGGGTTTTGCTATGTTGCCCAGGCTGGTCTGGAACTCCTGGAATCCAGCAGTCCGCCTACCTCAGCCTCCCAGAGTGCTGGGATTACAGGCGTGAACTACCATGCCTGGCCCAAAATATAGTAATTATTGATTACTGAAAAAGTCAAATCCTAGAAAACGCAGCATTCTTACATGTGATGTTAACATCGTTCTTGAACAGTTTTTAGCCTAAGATTCATTTGAGGAGTCTGATTTTTCCAAAATAGTTCTGATTATTCAGATGATTCTGAAATAACTCCAAGAACAGTTTTTATATTTTATTTTCACGTTGAAAATCAGTCAGATTTGCTTCAGCCTCAAAGAGCATGTTTATGTAAAATTAAATGAGGGCTGGCAGTGAGCTATATTTTTTCTACATGGGAAAGGGGTTAAGACTCTTCGGCCAGGCATGTTGGCTCACGCCTGTAATCCCAGCACTTTGGGAGGCCAAAGCAGGCAGATCACTTGAGGCCAGGAGTTCGAGACCAGCCTGGGCAACATGGCAAAACCCTGTGTCTACTAAAAGAAATACAAAAATTAACCGGTCATGTAGTTCCAGCTACTAGGGAGGCTGAGGTAGGAGGATCGCTTGAGCTCAAGAGGTTGAGGCTATAGTTGGCCTTGAGTGTGCCACTGCATTCCAGCCTGGGCGACAGTGAGACCCTGTCTCAAAAAAAAAACAAAACAAAAAACAAAACCACAAACAAAAAACTTTGGTAAATACAGTTACATTAACTATTTAAAAAAAAAAAACCATCGAGGGCCAGATTTGGTCTCTGTGCCAGAGTTTGCTGACTGCTGCTCTAGAACATTTAGGAACTGGCTTCTTAGAGCTTTTTCTGTCCAGAGAGAAACCAACTTTTATCTGCTTTGTATTTTCAAAGATCTGAACTCCCCCACCCTTCCCTGTCTTCTCTTTACAGATCAACTTCCAGCCAGACCCAGCCAGGCACAGGCTGGGTCCAGTTCTGACCTGAGCACGGTTTTTCCTCATGTGACTTCTGGGAAGGCGCTCCCTCATCTGGGCCAAAGGAAGGAGGACGAAGCCCTCCTCAGCTGGCCTGTGTTTGGGGCATGAATCTCTCCTCTCCTCCTTGTCTGGCTCTGTTGACAAACCGGGCATGTTTGGCAGTAAATTGGCACCGTGTCACACTGTTTCCTGGGATTCAAGTATGCAACCAGAACACAGGAGAAGAAAAGCTCCAGGATCCCTGTCCCCATCTGTCCTCTTGATGTGAGAGAGACTCTGAGACTTCTTCCATCGCAATGACCTGTATTAAACACAAGCCCCCCAAGCAAAAGAAGAGGTTGAGTTTGCTGCCAGGATTCAGATCAGCCCTTCCCAGGGTCTGCAGGTGTCACATGATCACAGTTCAGCGGGAGGCTTTCCGTACCCACACTGGCTGTAGCCACTTCAGTCCATCTGCCCTCCAGAGGAGGGGTTTCTTCCTGATTTTTAGCAGGTTTAGAGGCTGCAGCTTGAGCTACAATCAGGAGGGAAATTGGAAGGATTAGCAGCTTTTAAAAATGTTTAAATATTTTGCTTTGCTAATGTGCTGATCCGCACTAACTCATCTTTGCAAAAGGAACTGCTCCCTCGGCGTGCCCCAGCTGGGGCCTCTGAAGGGATTCCTCACTGTGGGCAGCTGCCCTGAGCTTCAGGCAGCAGTGTTTATCTCTGGCCAGTTGTCTGGTTTCCATGTATTCTAGGCCAGGTAGGCAACACAGAGCCAAGGCGGGTGCTGGAAGCCAGACGGAACAGTGTTGGGGCAGGAAGGTGGATGCTGTTGTCATGGAGCTGTGGGAGTTGGCACTCTGTCTGCTGGTGGCCCTCTCGGCTCACATGTTCACAGTGCAGCTCCTGGCAGACTTGGGTTTTCTCTTTGGTGGTTTCTAAAGTGCCTTATCTGCAAACAACTTCTTTTCTCCTTCAGGAACTGTGAATGGCTAGAAGAAGGAGCTCAGTAAACTAGAAGTCCAGGGTTGCTTGGTTTACTGGTTTATAAGAAATCTGAAAGCACCTCTGACATTCCTTTTATTAACTCACCTCTCAGTTGAAAGATTTCTTCTTTGAAAGGTCAAGACCGTGAACTGAAAAAAGTGTTGGCCTTTTTGCGGGACCAGATTTTTAAGATAAAATAAATATTTTTACTTCTGTCATTGTATGTGAAAGATGAATGTGTTTCTGGCCGCGTGGCTGTTAAACTCTTCAGGGTGCCACAGCTAGACTCACGGCCACTTCTCTCACCACTGACCAAGTGTCCAGATTGAAAGTTCAGGGCTGGGGTGTGAGGCTGGCCAAAGTGAGGAAATGCAACCTTGTTGTCTAAGGCAATCGGTACCTTCTCTCCTGTGTTCTCTAGGATAGTACAGTCTTTTCATCATCCTTTGGTTGATGTGAAAGTAGTTGCTTGAATCACTTTGTGTGGGGCTTAATTCTCTTGTGGCGTCTCATGATACAGGCCGTTCTAGAGAGCCTGGCCCCTTGCTTTCCGTCTTCCACCAAACCTACCGGCAGAGCATCTCCCTAAGTAGTAAAGGGGTGCAGATACCCAGAGGTCAAAAGTAAAATTAAGAGGCCGGGTGCAGTGGCTCACGCCTGTAATCCCAGCACTTTGAGAGGCCAAGACGGGAGGATCATTTGAGGCTGGGAGTTTGGGACCAGCCTGGGCAACATAGTAAGATGCATTTCTTTCCTTTTTTTTGAGACACAGTCTCAGTCTGTTGCCCTGGCTGGAGTGCAGTGGAGCAATCTTGGTCACTACAACCTCCGCCTCCCAGGTTAAAGTGATTCTCCTACCTCAACCTTTCCAGTAGCTGAGATTACAGGCACCTACCACACCGAGCTAATTTTTGTATTTTTTCAGTAGAGATGGGGTTTCACCATGCTGGCCAGGCTGGTCTCAAACTCCTGACCTCAAGTTATCTGCCCGCCTTGGCCTCCCAAAGTGCTGGGATTATAGGCGTGAGCCACGGCACCCGGCTGTTAGACCCCATTTCTTAAAAAAAAAAAAAAAAAAAAAAATTAGTGTGGTGGTGGTGCATGCTTGGAATCCTAACTACTTGCGAGGCTGAGGTGGGAGAATTGCTTGAGCCCAGGAGTTTGAGGCTGCAGTGAGCTATGATCACGGCCTCGCACTCCAGTCTAGGCAGCAGTGAGACCCTAGAGAATTCTCTAAAAGAATTAAAAATGAAAAAAAGCCACAACACTTCTTTTGCCTGAGGATTCTGTAAGAAGCAGTTTTTATTGTTATGGAAATAGCCACTCTGATTAAGAAACTGTAGAGAGGAGAAAGAAAATGAAAATTGAAGATTCTCTTGCCCATTGAATTAAGGGTAAGGAGATTGCATTAAAGGATCTTCGGGAGCAGTAACTTTTTTATGTCGATTTCACATAGCATTACTTCACATCGAGTCAGTTTTAAGTACTTGGAGGGTGGAAATCAGAAAGCTTAGATGTAGAGGAAGCTTTATTAGAAGTGTGTACCATGGCTGGGTGTGGTGGCTCATGCCCACAATCCCAGCACTTTGGGAGGCCGAAGTGGGTGGCTTACTTGAGGTTAGGAGTTCGAGACCAGCCTGGCGAACATGGTGAAACCCCGTCTACTAAAAATACAACAATTAGCCAGGCATGGTGGCGCACGCCTGTAATCCCAGCTACTTGAGAAGCTGAGGCATGAGAATTGCCTCCAGGAAGTGGAGGTTGCAGTGAGCTGAGATCATGCCACTGTACTCTAGCCTGGGCAACAGAGCAAGACTGTCTCAAAAGGAAAAAAAAAAAAAGTATGTACCATTGAAGATCAGCACTTGGATTGTGGAGACAGACCTGGCCTTAGGATCTAGGCTATCCCCTGGTTAGACGTGTGGCCACAGGCTGTTCCTTCACCTGAGCGTCACTCGGATGAGGCACTAGCAGATGCACATTGCATTGTTTGACCTTAATGACCTTTCTCTGGAGTCAGGTAAGTACCCAGAACAGTTCATCATGGTAGGGAGGAGGAGGTGGCACAGCTGATGACACAGCCCTCAGGAATCTAGCCTGAAAAGCACCTTGTGGGGTCTGGGGCCAGGAGCAAGGGACAGCTTGATGCTGTCCATCACTAACTGGAATCCCAGCTGGAAAAAACTCATTACAGGACCAGAATCTCCAGGAAAACTCAATCCCAAACCAGGCATCACTTCAATTACACCCCTGACTGGAGTTTACAAACTGGTGGGTGGATGGTAGAAGATGGCTGCTTTCTTGGGGGGTATGCTAGACCTCACTTGCCCTCTGCACAACAGAATTTGGATGCACTGGGAGGTGTGGCAGATAGACTCCCAGGTGGTCACTGTGATCCCCACCTGCTGTTCACAGCCTTATGTACTCCCTGCCCCTTGAGATGGCCTAGACCTGTGACTGCTAACCAGTAGAGTGCCACAAAGGTGACAAGATGTTATTTTCATGGTTGCCTTATGTAAGACTGCAACATCTGCCTTGCTGAGAAATTCTCTTGCTGGCTTTGAAGAAGGAAGCTGTCATGTTGTGTGAGCTGCCCTTGGGAGAGGGTCAGGTGGCTAGGAACTGAGGTAGCCTCTGACAGCCAACAAGAAACTGAAGCTCAGTCCAGCAGTCTGCAAGAAAGCAAATGCTGCCAGCAACCACACAAGCTTGGAGGCTGATCACTCCCAGGTAAGCCTTCAGGTGAGACCCCAGGCCTGACCAACACTGACTGCAGCCTTGCAGAGGACCAGCTAAGCTGTGCCCAGACTGTCCCATAGGAACAGATGGTAAATGTATTGTGTTAAGTCGCTAAGTTTCTGGTAAGGTTATGCAGCAATAGATAACCAACACAAAGGTTAGCAAAGTGTGTTTGAGGTGGGAATCAGTGTGGAAAAGAGAGAATCTGGATAGACTTAATAGCTGTAGGGCCTTGGGAGGTCCCTTATGATGCTCCTTTGGGCCTTCCTGTTGCCTTTAAGTAATGCTTATTGTTTATTGCTAAAGTAATGCTTAACTCTCTGCTAGGCACTATTCTATGCACTTATAAAACTCATTGCATCATCTCTACAACCCCATGAGGTAAGGACTTGTTTTTTTTGTGTTTTGAGACAGTCTCGCTCTGTGGCCCAGGCTGGAATGCAGTGGCATGATCTCAGCTCACTGCAACCTCTGCCTCCTGCGTTCAAGCAGTTCTTCTGCCTCAGCCTCCGAGTAGTTGTGATTACAGACGTGTGCCAGTACTTCCGGCTAATTTTTTTGATTTTTAGTAGAGACGGGGTTTCATCATGTTGGCCAGGCTGGTCTCAAATTCCTGACCTCAAGTGATCAGCCTGCCTTGGCCTCCTAAAATGCTGGGATTACAAGTGTGAGCCACCGCACCTGGCCAGTAAGTACTTGTTTTAGTCTATTTGGGACTATGACAGAATAACATAGCCTGGGTAGTTTATAAACAAAAGAAATTTTTTGCTCACAGTTCTGGAGGCTGGGAAGTCCAAGGCACCAGCAGATTCGGTGTCTGGTGAGGCCGTCTTTTTGCTGTAACCTCACATGGTAGAAGGGGCAATAGAGTACTCTGGGGACTTTTTTTTTTTTTTTTTTTTTTTTTTAAGAGATGGAGTCTTGCTATATTGACCAGGCTGATCTCAAACTCCTGGCCTCAAGTGATCCTCCTGCTTTGGCCGCCCAAAGTGCTGGGCTTAAAGGCATGAGCCACCACATGGGAATGGCACTGCCTTTTTTTTTTTTAAAGATAGTTTTGCTCTTATTGCCCAGGCTGGAGTGTGATCTTGGCTCACTATAACCTCTGCCTGTTGGGTTCAAGCAATTCTCCTGCCTTAGCCTCCCAAGTAGCTGGGACTACAGGCACATGCCACCACGCCCAGCTAATTTTTGTATTTTTAGTCAAGATGGTGTTTTGCCTTATTGGCCAGGCTGGTCTCAAACTCCTGACCTCATGATCCACCTGCCTCAGCCTCCCAAAGTGCTGGGATTATAGGCGTGAGCCACCACACCTGGCTGGGGCTTCCTTATAAGGGCAATACTGTTTGTGAGGGCTCTACGCTTATGACATAATTACCTTCCAAAGAACTCACCTCCAAATACCATCATACTAGGGGTTAGGTTTCAGTATGAATTTGGAGGTGGGGGTGGACACAAATGTTTATAGCAGTACTCATCCCTGTTTCGAAAATGAGAAATGCAGAGAAATTATATAATTTGTTCAAAGTCACATGGTTGGTAAGTGGCAGAGCTGGGATTTGAACCCAGGCAGTCTGGCTCCAGCATCCATGCTTTTAGTCAGGGTGGCTACTTCTTTGGAGCAGTGCTCCCTGCAAAGCCTGGCACATAAGACCCCCTTAATATATGAAAAGTCCCATTCCCTCCACATGGCTTACGAAAGCCGTGGCAAGTAGGAATGACAGGCGAAGGGTGGGGCTTTATTCCATTGGTGATTGAAAGCTACTGAAATGCATCATGGGCACACAGTAGGTGCTTAATAGTTGTCGATTTCTATGAGCTGGGAGTGAGAAAGATACCATGCTCTGTGGACTGAGTGGACTGGAGTAGGGAAAAGACCAATTTTTCCTCACCGCAGCTTGAATGTAGACAGATACTGTTTTTTTTTTTTTTTCTTTTTTTTTTTTTTTTTTTTTTAGCCAACCATACAAAGCCTGTAAGTAGGTACTTTATTTATTTGTATTTTTATTTTTTTTTGAGACAGATTTTCACTCTTGTTGCCCAGGCTAGAGTGCAATGGTGCAATCTTAGCTCACTGCAACCTCCACCTCCCAGGTTTAAGCGATTCTCCTGCCTCAGCCTCCCAAGTAGCTGGGATTACAGGCTTCCGCCACCATGCCTGGCTAATTTTTGTATTTTTAGTAGAGACAAGGTTTCATCCTGTTGGCCAGGCTGGTCTCAAACTCCTGACCTCAGGTGATCCGCCTACCTCAGCCTCCCAAAGTGCTGGGATTACAGGCATGAGCCACCACACCCGCCCAAAATGACCTGCATTTGTCATCTCCGCTTCTGTGGTCAGGAATCTGGTGCAGCTCAGCTGGGTCACAGGCCTCTCACAGGCTGCAGTCAAGGTGTCAGTCGAGGCCGCACTGTCATCTTAAGGCCCAGCAGGGAAAGCGTTTGCTTCCAAGCTCGCTCACGTGGTTTTGGGCATGATTCTGTTCCTCGTGGCTGTTGGACAGAGGTCACTCTCATTTTCTTTCCACGTAGGCCTCTGCATAGTTCACATCTTTGCAGTTGCTTCATTGAAGCCAGCAAACGTGATTGTGGCAAGATAGCAGTCATAGTTTTAATTCCAGAAATGATCCCATCCCTTGGCTGGGTCTTCAGAGTAGAAGTCACAAGTCCTGTCCGCACTAAGTGGAGGGTGTGGATACCAGGAGGCAAGGATCATTGAGAGCCATCTTAGAAGTCTACCTGGCCGGGGTGCAGTGGCTCACGCCTGTAATCCCAGCACTCTGAGAGGCTGAGGTGGGCCGATCACGAGGCCAACAGATGAAGACCATCCGGGCCAACAAGGTGAAACCCCGCCTCTTCTAAAAATTAGCTGGGCGTGGTGGAATGCGCCTGTAGTCCCAGCTACTCGGGGGGCTGAGGCAGGAGAATCACTTGAACCCAGGAGGCAGAGGTTGCAGTGAGCCGAGATTGTGCCACTGCACTCCAGCCTGGCAACAAAGCAAGACTTCGTCTCAAAACAAGTCTACCTGTGTATTAGCTTGCTAGGGCTGCTGTAACAAGTGACCACACACTGGGTGCTTTAAACCACCTGAATGTATTTATTCTCTCCCAGTTCTAGAGGCTGGACATCTGAAATCAAGATGCCAGTAGGGCCATGCTCCTTCCAGAGGGTCTAGGCCAGAATCCTTGCCACTTCAGGCTTCTGGTGGCCCCGAGCATTCCTTGGTGTGTGGCAGCATCACGCCAATCTCTGCCTCCTCCCTGTGTTTCCATGTGTGTCCTCTCCTTTCCTTATTAGGATGCCCATCATTGGATTTAGGCCCCACCCTAAATCCAGGAGGATATTATCTGCAAATGCCCTATTTCCAAATAAGATCACATTCACAGGTGTCGGGGGTTAGGACTTGAACATACTTTTTTGGGAGACACAGTTCACCCACTATGTCTACCTGCTACAAGGCCCATCAGTAAGGGATGGATTATATAAATTTAGGCATATCTGGTGGAATACTAGATCTCTGGGGAAAACAATGAAAAAGAAGCTCTTTATATATTGATAAGGGATAAGGGATGGTCCCCAAACTATCAAGGACAGGTAGCAAGGTACAGAACAAAGTGTATATATAATATGTTCTCTTTGGCATTAAAAAAATGGGAAGGGAGGCCGGGTGTGGTGGCACACGCCTGTAGTCCTAGCTACTAGAGAGGCTGAGGCAGGAGAATCGCTTGAACTTGGGAGGCTGAGGTTGCAGTGAGCTGAGATTGTGCCACTGCACTCCCGCAAGGGTGACAGAGCAAGATTCCATCTCAAAAAATAAATAAATAAAAAGGCCGAGTATGGAGGTCACACCTGTAATCCCAGCACTTTGGGAGGCTGAGGCAGGCAGATGACCTGAGGTCAGGAGTTCTAGACCAGTCTGGCCAACATGGTGAAACCCCATCTCTACTAAAAATACAAAAATTAGCCAGGCATGATGGTGGGCACCTGTAATCATAGCTATCTGGGAGGCTGAGGCAGGAGAATTACTTGAACTTGAGAGGTGGAGGTTGCAGTAAGCCAAGATCATGCCATTGCACTCCAGCCTGGGCGACAAGAGGAAGACTTGATCTAAAATATCCCTGGAAGGAGTCACGGGAACAGCATCCCACAGATTGCCTACAGGGTGAGATTGGGAGACAGGAATATAAGAGATGCCTATTTTAACTTTATAATTTTCTGTACTATTTGAATTTTTTTTTTTTTTTTTTTTTTTAAAGTAGAGACAGGGCTCTCTTTTGCCCAGGCTGGTCTCGAACTCCAGGGCTCACGCCTGGCCCTATCTGAATTTTGAACCATGTAAATGTACCATCTTTTCAGAGAAAAATAAAATCTGGCTGGGCATAGTGGCTCACACCTGTGATTCCAGCACTTTGGGAGGCTGGGGTGGGCGGATTGCTTGAGCCCAGGGGTTCAAGACCAGCCTGGCCAACATGGCGAAACCCCATCTCTACCAAAAAAATGCAAAAGTTATCCGAACGTGTTGACACCCGCCTGTAGTTCCAGCTCTTTGAAAGGCTGAGGTAGGAGGAGCGCTTGAACTCAGGAGGTGAACTGATTGCTCTATCAAATGTGAACAGTGTGGAATCAGTCATCCTCATGGTGAGCCTCACCATTGTTTGTGAAAACAGCATTTCTTCCTCAGTTTGTGCGTGATTTATTTAACCCTTTTCAAGATGTTTTTGAAATAAGGTGGGTTTCATGGTTTTAGGATTATAACTGATGCTGCAATCTCTACCATAGTTGTACACATATCTTTGGTCACTCCTGCAGATATTTCTGTAGTGTAGAGAATGGGATGTGCCATTTTAAATTACAGCATTTATTTAATGCTTCTAATTTGAGTATATTCTGCAAATTTATCTTCCATGGGAACGGTAACAGATCATATTCCAATTTGTTTCCTAATTCTATCAATGTCCCTTTTGTCATTTACTTGCCAGCACAACAAACTTTCTACACATTGATGTATGATATTCCACTGAGGGGAGAGGCACCCTCCTGGCTTAACTGAAGGGGTGTACCACAGAAGGACATGGTGGACATCACACACAGATTCTGTGGCATAGGATGAACTGCTAAACTAGGATATTTTAAAGTCCTCCAACATCTGTAATTGTTTTCCGTGGTGAACAAGTGTCGTGTGTCTCAAGAAGACAGGCCACAGTGACCTCTTTGAAAGCTTTCTGTCAAGTCTCTTATCCAAGGGGAGCAAAATCACAAAGGTCCCAGGCGATTTTTTTTCCTCTTTCCTCTTTTCTTCATAAATCTTGGTTTTGCTTTTATTTGACGAAAACAATCTGATGCCTGTTCTCCCTTCTATACAATGGTAAATTAGCATGCAAGTAGCTATCCCTTTATTATTGTTTGATAGATTTTTGCAGCGGCTATGTCCGTAAAAATTAGCCCACCTGAGATATATCACTGGAGCCAACAGAACCCTGCACCCAACAGGCACCTTGTGCAGACCTGGACCCTTACAGCTGTTGGCTCATGTTCCTTTGGTTCTTCTAATGAATATCATGAGTAGAAACTGAGCTCTTTGGCTTTTACCCACTACCATGACTCTAGTACATTTTCTCTCTCTCGTTTCTCTCATTTTTGTATCATGATTTTCTGCCATCAGGGGCATCAGTGTGGGTTCCTGGTTTTGATGGTATGGAGTGAACTTCTGGGATCGTTTTATGACTGTATAACAGTTGGTATTCTTCTGTTGATGAAGATTTGTGTTGTACCCAGTTTTTCCTTAGTATAAAAAGGAGGTTAATAAGAACATTTTTGCTAGAAGCCTTGTTGGATGTATTGTTCATTTTACGGGGGTAATCAATAAATGTAAGCGTGCTTCTTTATCAGGTAGGCTTAACTCGATGAGAAACTGCCAATTACTAGAACAGCTGTTGGGCTAAGTTGCAGTCTAACATCACACAGCAATATCATACACACTCTGTATGAAGAAGCAGGAGAGGCAACAACTTTCATAATCAGTTTTTCTGTTTCCCTTCATTTTCTTGTGAACCCTTAATGGCATCTTTGAAGGTGACTGGTCACACCAAGTGTCACCACCAGCCTATTCGAGTCTTGCTGCAGAGCCATGGAGTTATATACCAGGACAGCCCTGCCAAGTCTCAGGCTCATAAACACCAGGCAGGAATAGATGCCTATGAAATGAGAAGGGTCAGGTGACCCCTCCCTCTCCTGCCATGTCTGTGCCTCTCTTTGCAGCTGCCGTGTCTCTAAAAACAATCATTCACACTTATTTTGTCAAAGATATATCAGACATTAGTCAAATCGATGAAAACCAATTTTATTCAGTAACTACTGACCGTAGAGGAAGGGGCTGGTTCTGTTCGCATTTGTGCAGAGGTGATGGCATTCTAATGGGAGAGAGAGGCAGGGGAGAGGGCAGGGGGCAGGGCACAAGTGAAACATTACAAAAGATTGGTCATTTTAAATGTCTGCCTCATCAGGACAGCTGTGTCTGCCAGCTGGCAATATTAGAAGTTAGGATTCTAACCTCCCACAGAGACTGGAAGACAGAGGCTCAGTCCTTCCTGAGAACTACACCTCAAAAGTATTGCCTTTCAGATCCTGGGCAAAGATACATTGAAGTCCCTAGGAGATACACACATATATCAAAGGGATGGAGGAAGGATTCCCTTCTTAGTAAGTGCTATAAGAAAGAAAGATCCTGAAACTGCCATCATCAAGTATTGGCTAGACTAAAGTAAGTTCCCCTGGCAGCCTTGAGCTTTCTTAGGTAGGCATTGTCATGGGAGCCTAGGGTCATTCGTGAGACATGGTCTCATGCTACTAGAAGCCATGATAGACTCTGATCATCTCTTAGCACAGAGGTTTAAACTCAGTCGTTTTGTGCTGAGTTTGGTGGTTCTCACTTTCTCTCTCCCCATTCCATTGTCAGGATTTTACTGGACTCTGTTAGATGGACAAGGCCATGGGCCATTTTCAATGGTTTTTAAGCAGCTGAGGCATATCTATTGAGAACTAAATTAAAATAAAACCATGAGATTGAGAGTGGGCCCCACAATAGGTATCCATTACCCATATTCAAGGAGATGGAGAAAAATATTTCTAGACTTTGTCAAAATGGAAAGTGACTTATGCAGCCAGGATGAAATTCAAACTTACATTACTGAAGTATAGAGCTTATTGATATTTTTTAAAAGAAAGTCATGGCAAAATGACAATCCACAAGTGGCAATGGTAGATAGGGGTAGGGAGAAACTCTGTAAGGTCAAAATTATCCTCACTTTAAATGAAACTCCTACATGTTGCTACTATAAGGGAACGGAAGCCAATGTTACGCTCGACTATACTAATTGTCATGGGATAAACAGGCAGGACATGATGCCACATTTATTAGTCACTTCTATTGATAGTATTTGTGAAAATTAATTTTTGTGTCAATTTGCCTGGGTCGGGGGTGCCCAGACATTTGGTTAGACATTATTTCTCACTGTGTCTTTGAGGGTGTTTCTGGAAGAGATTGACATTTGAATCAGTAAACTGAGTGAAGCAGATTGCCCTCCCGAGTGTGGGTGGGCCTCATCCAACCCATGGACGGCTTGAATAAGATGATGGGTTAAGAAAGGTTTCTGCTCCACTGTCTTTGAGCTGGGACATCAGTCTTCTGCCTTAAGCCTTGGACTTGGTCTTGAACTATATTCGACTCTCCTAGGTATAGAGCTTACTCAGAGTAGAACTTGGGCTTCTCTGCGTGCGTGCATGCGTGTGTGTGTGTGTGTGTGTGTGTGTGTGTGTGTGTGTATCTTGTCCTCTGGATAACTCAGACTAATACAGTATTATATGCCAGTTGCCGGGTTTTGTCTCTATGCTTTTGAAAGGTGTAAAATAAATAAATAAAATCCTGGAGGGTTCTCAAAGAAGAACAGTAAGGATTAGTAGAAGTTTTAAACTTCTAGGAAAACCCCTAAGCACAGCTTTTGTTAAAACTATCTTCAAGAAAATAAAGGGTTTTGGAAAATTATTGTTGCCTTAATGTTTTCTAAGCAAAGGCATGATCACTCAAGGAGAAATACACTTAGCTTTCTTAAAGTTAATTTTTACGTTTTAATAATTCACATACAATCTTAACTCAGAAAAAGAGAGGTCCCTTGTACGCCTTACTCCGTTTCCTCCAATGGTAACATCTTGGTAATATTTCCAAAATGGTAATATTTGCAAATAGTGGCCGGGCGTGGTGGCTCACACCTGTAATCCCAGCACTTTGGGAAGCTGAAGTGGGTGGATCATGAGGTCAGGAGATCGAGACCATCCTGGCTAACACAGTGAAACCCCGTCTCTACTAAAAATATAAAAAATTAGCTGGGTATGGTGGTGGGCACCTCTAGTCCCAGCTACTCAGGAGGCTGAGGCAGGAGAATGGTGCGAACCCAGGAGACGGAGGTTGCAGTGAGCCAAGATCGCGCCACTGCACTCCAGTCTGGGCGACAGAGGAAGACTCCGTCTCAGAAAAATGAATGAATGAATAAATAAATAAAATTTGCAAATATTGCAAATGCCACAGTACCAGGAGATTGACATTTATACAAGCAAGGTACAGAACATTTCCGTCAACACCGGGATTCATCATGTTGCCTTTTTATAGTTATGACCCCTTCTATTCAGTGCTGCTCCTCCTTCCCTCCTTAACCCCTGGCAACTACTAATCTATTCCCCACTCTTATAATTTATTCATTTCAAGAATGTTACTTAAATGGAATTCTACATGTAACCTTTGGGATTACCCTTCGTCCACTCACCATAATTCTGTGGAGATTCGTCCAGGTTATTGTGGGTATCAATCATTTGTTGTTTTTTTAAAAAAAATTACTGAGGACTATTTGATGCTGTGGATATATACCACAGTTTAACCATTCATCTCACAAAAGTCGTGTATACATTGTTTCCCCAGTTTTGGCTATTAAAAACAAGGCTGCTATAAACTTGAAGTACATGGGTTTTGTGTGAACATAAGATTCTATTTCTCTGTGATAAATGCAGGGAATGTAATTCCGAGGTGGTATGGTAGTTGCACATAGAGTTTTAAAAGTAAAAATTATACAGATATTCTCCAGAGTGGGCTGTAATCTTTTACATCCCCACCAGCAATGTATGAGTGATCCAGCTTTCTCTGAATCCTTGACAGCACTTGATGTGGTCACACTTTTATGTTGGCCATTCTGATAGGTACGTAGCAATTTCTCATTGTTTTAATTAGTAAATCACTAGTGGCTAATAATGTTCTGATTTCAACATATGAATTTGGGGGGGCTGGGCACAATGCATCCCATAACAATGTGTATTCTGGTGTGGTTGGGTGTTCTAAAATTGCCAATTTAAGTCCCGCTGGTTGATCGTGTTGTTGGGTTCTTCTGTATTCTTGCTGATTTTCTATCTGGTTGTTGTATAAATTGTTGAGAAAGGGGGACATTGAAGCATACAGCTGTATTTGTGGATTTGTCTAGTTCTCTGTTAAGTACTTTCAGTTGTTCTTGCGTAGACATTTATGAATTTGTCAGGCGAGGAGTTGGTGGATTGGTCCTTTGCACATTATATAGTCTCCCTCTCTGTCTCTGATTAGTTTATTTGTTCTGAAATATACTATATCTGGCATTAATATAGCCAGTCTTGCTTTCCTTTGGCTAAGGTTTGCATGATATATCTTTTCCCACCCTTTTCATTTCAACTTGCCTGTATCATCATATTTGAAGTTAGTCTCTTTGTAGCCAGTATGTAGTTGGTTCGTGTCCATTGACCTACTCTGCCAGCCTGTGTCTTGCAACTGGTATACTTAGGCCATTGATATTTAATGATATTGACATGGTAGGGCTTAAATCTGCCATTTTATTTTTCCTTTTCTGTTTGTTCTCCCTGGTTTCGTTTTCTGGATATGCTTTCTTTTTCTTACCTTCCTGTCATGACTTGAACATCTTTGAGAATGGTGTTTTGCCTTATCCATAGTGCTTTTGAGTATGTCTGTTTGTATAGCCCTCTTGGTTTTTCCAGACATTCGTATATCTGTGCATCTATATCTTAACCACACGGTATACTGGTGTCATTGTTTTACCAATTTGAGTGAATGATAGACGAGTTACCTCCCTTGTAGGTCTCTTTACCCTCCCAGTTTATAACCATTTCAAACATTTTCTTTATGGAGAGTTAGAACCACATTGAATGGTGCTATGATTTTTTTCTGAAACCGTCAAGCATAGTTTAGAAAACTCAAGAGGAGAAGGAAGGCCTATTTTGCTGTTTTCTTTCTTTCCGATGTCCCAAGGTTCCTTCTTTAATCATTTCCTTTCCGTCTAGAGAACTCCCCTTAGCCCTTCTTTTAGGGTAGAACTGCTGGTCAGAGATGTCCTTAGCTTTTCTTAATCTGAAACTGTTTTGATCTTCTCCTTAATCCCTGAAAGATGTTTCTGCTGGAGAGAGGAGTCTGGGCTGACAATTTTCTTCTGCGGCTTGAAAAGCACTGCACAACTTCTTTCTGCCTCCGTGGTTTCTGATGAGAAAGCCATCATCGTCGGAATTGTTTTTCCTTTCTAGGTAAGGTGTCACCTTTCTCTGTTGCTTTCAATATATTTTCTTTGTCTTTAGTTTCCAACATTTTATTTTTTCACGTGTCTTGCCATAGACCTCTTTGGGTTTTATCCTATTTGGGGTCCTCACAGCTTCTTAAGCATATAGGTTTATGTCTCTTGCCAACTCTGGGAAGCTTTTAGCCATTTACTTCTTTATGTTTTCAGGCTTGTCCTCTTCCTCTTCCCCTTCCAGACATAGATGACAACATGAAAGTGAGACCTTTTGAGGTAGTTTCACAGGTGCCTGAGGTTCTATTCACTTTCTCCCCGAGTCTATTTTTTCCCTGCTAAGATTGTGTAATTTCTACTTTTTCATTGGCAGTGGATGGATTTCCTTGCTCTGCACCATCCATTCTGCTGTTGAGCCTATGTGCCAGACTTTTTATTTTGGTGGTTGTATTTTTCCACTTCTAATACTTCATTTGGTTCTCCCTTAAGTCTTGTATTTATTTGCTAAGACTTTCTACTTGTCCATTTATTTCAAGTGTGCTCATAATTACTCGCTAAATCATTTTCATCAGGCTTGCTTGCTTTAAAATGTTTGTCAGACAATCCCAGCGCTTCTCTCATTTTATTGCCAGTGTGTGCTTGCTGCCTATTTTCATTCAGTATGAGATTTTCCTGGTTCTTGGTATGATGAATGATTTTCAATGGAAACTTGGACTTTTGGGTATTATGTTATCAGACTGTCGATTTTATTGAAACCTTCTGTTTTAACTACCTTTTTCTGAGTCTGCTTCTGCAGGGGAGGGGAGTGGTGCCATCTCATTGTAGCCAGGTGTGTGTAGAAATCCAGGTTTCTCATCTGATCCACCTCTGTTGACACCCTGAGTGGAGGGCCTGAGAGGAAAGAGCCTGCTGATCAGGCCCCTCGACTTGAGTGAAGGGCAGGCAGGGAGGGTCCTATGGCTCCTGGGAGGAGCCGAAGGGTGGATCGCCTGTCAAAGCCAAGAGCCCTGATGGCGGGCGCCAGGGAAAAGGCCCTGAGGCGGGGTCACAGCCCTGGAGGGGCAGCGTCCACACTCCTGCACAGTGCAGGGCACCTGGGACTCTCAAAACCCGCCGGCTGCTGCACCTTCTGGGACCGGGAGAGTGTCAGCTGGGTGAATCCCGCACACGGGCGCGGGGGCGCGGCGCGTAGTTGTGGAACCGGATACCCCGCGGGCTGCTGGCTCCAGCGCCTCCACCTGCCACTGGGCCAACCCCCTGGGCCTCCTCCAGCTTCTGCTCCCGCCAGCTCAGCTGCTGGGAGAGCTGGCCCCCACCCAGAGACTCAGCAGAACTCCCAGCATCCCCCAGCTTGTTGATCGTGCAGCACCCCAACTCTGGGCCTAACCCAGTCCTGGCAGAAAGCCTGGGTTCGAGCCCAGGGTCTGCCCTGATGTGCTATATGTGCTTGGGCAAGTCATGACCTTCTCTAGCTCTGCAATGCACGTGTGTACAAAAACCAGGGCCCGGCCGGACACGGTGGTGCACGCCTATAATCCCAGCACTTTGGCAGGTGGATCACTTGAGGTCAAGAGTTCAAGACCAGCCTGGCCAAGGTGGTGAAACCCTGTCTCTACTAAAAATACAAAAATTAGCCGGGCATGGTGGTGCACGCCTGTAGTCCCTGCTACTTGGGACGCTGAGGCAGGCGAACAGCTTAAACCCCGGAGGCGGAGGTTGCAGTGAGCCCAGATCATGCCACTGCACTCCAGCCTGGGCAACAGAGCAAGACTCTGTCTCAAACAAAACAAAACAAAACAAAAACCAACAACAAAAAAGAGGGCCCTCACTCAGCTTTGGGAGTAACAGAACCCTTGTATTACTCTAAGAAGAGAAGCTGAATATATAAAACAGACCCAAGTGCAGCTGCTCAGCAGGCCTCAAGGTGGAGACCTGCACCCTGCTTCTTGCACCCCCTACCCCATCCTCTAGAGGCCCCTCCCAGAAACCCAGGCACTCCAGGATAGACCTTGCATGAAGGTCCCTGGATCCCTGAAAATGAGACATTAAGGTCTCTTCCAGATGTGATGTTCCCAAAAGTCTAAGATTCCAATTCTAAAAAGTCTCGACCTATTATTAATCTGTATCATTATTATTATTATTATTATTATTATTATTATTATTTGAGACAGAGTCTCGTTCTGTTGCCCAGGCTGGAGTGCAGTGGCACGATCTCGGCTCACTGCAACCTCTGCCTCCTGGGTTCAAGCGATTCTCCTGCCTCAGCCTCCTGAGTAGCTGGGACTACAGGCGCGTGCCACCACACCCAGCTAATTTTTTGTAGAGATAGGGTTTCACCGTGTTAGCCAGGATGGTCTTGATCTCCCGACCTCAGGTGATCCACCCGCCTCGGCCTCCCAAAGTGCTGGGATTATAGGCGTGAGCCACTGCACCCAGCTAGCCCCATGCTATAGATGGGGCAACTGAGGTATGGGGAGGTTGGGCAGCTTGTCCAAGGTCCCCAGCTAGCAGAAGTGGGGCTGGATTTAACCAAGAAGCAGGCTCCAGTGCCTGTGACTTAACCCAGGACTGGATGCAGGGGGCTGGGAGCCCAGCCTGCCCCACATGCTCTCCACACCACCCCACACACAGCTTGGCCCACCTGCGCTAGCTGCTCCTGCAGCCGGCTGCACTCATGATGCAGCGTGGGGAGCTGCTGCTCCACTGCCTCCTGGGCCTGCTCCGCCGCTCATAGGGAGCCCTCCAGGCCCTGCCGCGCCACCTCCTGTTCCAACCGCAGCGCCTCCAGCCGCTCCTGCTCTTCCCGTGCCACTGTGGCCTCCTGCTTCGCCTGCCGCTGCCGGCCCTGCAGGGCGCACTTTTCTTCCTCCAGCTGTGGCCTGGGTAGGAGTGGGGCCTCGTGAGCAGGGCATCCCTCCCAGGACCAGGACGCCTCCTCCACCCACCCACCAGCCACAATAGCCCAGGGGAGGCTCCCAGGCAATGAGGGACAGGGCCCTTGGGTGTGTGGGACACTGGGGAGGGAGAGATGAGGAGGGCCCATGGAGCTTCTGTGCTTTGATGCCTAGAGAGGATAGACAGACAGAGACAGACAGAGAACCAGAGACAGAAAGGGAGGCAGGGGCCAAGACAGGTACAGGGCTGGGCCCGGGGTGCCTTACTGAGTGGGGAGGACGGGTGGGCAAGGCAGGTGGGCCCGCAGGTGCACAGCGTACCTGGGTGACAAGGCGGTTCAGATCCAACTTGTCCTGAGCAAGGCTCTCGTTGAGGGCGCTCAGCTTGGACAGGGAGTCCTGCAGGGAGGCCTCCTCTGCCCTCAGCCTGGAGGGCAGGGCCAGAGTTCAGAGGATCCCCTGAGTAAGGTCTAGGGATAGCACTGCTCAGAGCCCAGGCTGCAGCGGACAGCGCAGGCCCCCCCGCCAAGGACCCTCTGCGCTGTGGCCACAACTCTCAGACCCCAGGAGCTGAATCTCAGGATGACCCTGAGCTATAGGCACTGCCCCCAGGAGCATCCAGAACAGCAGGGATACGGCCATAAAGAGAGGTCAGTCCACTTATGGCTGGGACCAGAGGTCCAGAGGTCTGTGGTCTGTGACAAAGATCAGCCTGTATCCAGAAGGAAGGGGTCAGTCTGTGACCAGGCTCAGAGGTCTGCCTGACACTGGGACCAGTTTGTGCCAGAGTGAGAAGGCTTGGGGCTGGGGGTCAGATGTAGGTTTGTGGTTGTGCAGCCAACAGGGACCCACCTTGGTCAGCGCCTCGGCCACCTCGGCCTTCTCGGCCTGCAGCATGTCCCGTTGCAGTGTGGCGCGGCTCAGCGCCTCCCTCACCTCCACCAGCTCCTTGGCCAGGACTGAGCGCTTCCCTTCCAGCTGCTCCAGTTGTCTATGGCTGCAGGACAGAGGGCAGGTGGGTGGCCCATGTCACTTTCCTGCCCCGAATCTCCCACAGCCAGCGAGATGCTTGGCTGTGGACCAGGCCTGAGGCAGGAGTTTGGAGAGAAACAGCCTGAGCCACAGGGCAACCAAGCCCACTACTGCTTAGCTCCATGACCCTGGGCCTCCGTTTCCACATCTGCAAAATGAGGTAACACCTACCTTGTCACATAGTTTCTTTGTTTTCTTTGAGACAGAGTCTCGCTCTGTCGCTCAGGCTGGAGTACAGTGGTGAGATCTCAGCTCACTGCAACCTCCGCCTCCTGGGTTCAAGCCATTCTCCTGCCTCAGTCTCCCGAGTAGCTGGGATTACAGGCATGCACCACCACGCCTGGCTAATTTTTGTAGTTTTAGTACAGACAGGGTTTCCCCATGTTGACCAGGCTGGTCTCGAACTCCTGACCTCAGGCGATTCGCCTGCCTCGGCCTCCCAAAGTGCTGGGATTACAGGCGTGAGCCACCGTGCCCAGCCTGTTTTAAGGCTACAAACTTCACATGTGCTTAAAATAGTGCCTGACACATCTCCCCAAGGACCTTCAGAAACAAGAATAACATGCTCCACCACAGTCTACTAAACATCATCAGCGATCACGTCCCTGAGAGGTAAGCAGCGCAGTGGTGAAGAGGTTAACTCTAAAGGCAGAATGTCTGGGTTCAAATCCTGGCTCTTCTAACTAGCTGTGTGACCTGGGGCAAGTGACATGGCTTCTCTGTGCCTCAGTTTACCGTCCATAAAATGAAGATAACAGCTTCTATGTCACAGTTATCATAGGTTAAATGAGAGAACTGAATTGCTTAAAATGGTATCTGGCACTTAGTGAAATCAGTAAGGATATTATTATGATCATAACTTAATTTAAAAAATACTATCGTTAATATTACTACTGTTATTTTAATTATTCTTGTTATTATCATCCAAGTTCTACCTTTTAACTAGTTCTCTGACCCCAGGTAAGTGAGTACACCTCCCTGAGCCCCAATTTCCTGCAATGGGTCTGGTTAGAAAACCCGACATCAGAGGGGTCCAGATGGTAGGAGGCCCAGGACCCAGTGGGTGCTCCCTAACCCCCGGGGCACTGTCAGGGGACCTGAGGCACATTTGAAGGGCCCTGGCAGGGTGGCGAGATGCTGTTCACCTGTGCTCAAGCTCCCGGCGCACCCGCACACCATCCTGCACTGCGTCCTCCTGCTCTTCCCCCAGCCAGTACCGCTGGCGCCGCAGCTCCTCCTGGGCAGCCTGCAGCTTCTTCCGCTCCTGCCGCAGCTCCTTGGCCTGCTGCTGGGCCACCTGCAGGCTGTGGGCCAGGTTGCTCTTCTCCCTTCAGGACAAGCAGAGGGGATGCTGGGGCTGCTCTCTGCAGGGAAGGTGGCTGGCTGCTCCTCTAGCCATGAGCTATAATCTCCCGTTTTCCAAGGAACCTGCCTCCAGGAAGCCTTCCCTGACCCTGCCCGTAGCTGACTCATTTCACTCACATCCTCCAGCAGAAGAACCTGGCTTTCCTTCTCCCCAACCCATCCACTTGGAGTGGATGGAGGTGCTGGCTTTATCTCCAAGCACCCTACCAGGTAGAAGAGGCCAGGTTAGGCTCCTGGGATACATGGGCAATTGTGCCACCAACCCTGCTAGGCCACGTGACCAGGAAATGTCCCCTATAACAACCCATGCCCCTCAATTCTGGGAAGCCTGATAGAGCTGAGTCTGCAGATCCCATGGCTTCCTGCTACACAGTCACATGGTGGCCACGGCAGGGGAGGGAGGAGAAGGGAACAACTGGGACCCCAAAGACTTGCCGTGAGCTGCCACGTTCCCCACTGGCGGTAGGTGCGAAAAACTTTCCCGATGTGATTTTCTTTTTTTTTTTTTGAGACGGAGTCTTGCTCTGTCACCCAGGCGTGATCTCGGCTTACTGCATGCTCTGCCTCCCAGGTTCATGCCATTCTCCTGCCTCAGCCTCCTGAGTAGCTGGGACTATAGGCGCCTGCCACCACACCCGGCTAATTTTTTGTATTATTAGTAGAGACGGGTTTTCACCATGTTAGCCGGATGGTCTTGATCTCCTGACCTCGTGATCTGCCCGCCTCGGCCTCCCAAAGTGCTGGGATTACAGGTGTGAGCCACCACGTCCAGCAATTTTTTTTTTTTTTTTTTTTTTTAGACAGAGTCTCACTTTGTCACCCAGGCTGGAGTGCAGTGACACAATCTCAGCTTGCTGCAACCTCCACTTCCAGAGTTCAAGCAATTCTCCTGCCTCAGCCTCCTGAGTAGCTGGGATTACAGGCACCTATCACCACGCCCAGCTAATTTTTGCATTTTTAGTTAGAAGTGGGGTTTCACCATATTGGCCAGGCTGGTCTCAAACTCCTGACCTCAAGTGATCTGCCCGCCTCGGTATCCCAAAATACTAATTTTGGGCTAAAATTGGGCTAAAAGGGCACACCCAGCCCTAATTTTTTTATTTTTATTTTTTTATTTTGTACTTTTATTTATTTATTTTTTTGACACTCTTGTTGCCCAGGCTGGAGTGCAATAGTGTGATCTCGGTTCACCGCAAACTCTGCCTCCCATGTTCAAGCGATTCTCCTGCCTCAGCCTCCCAAGTAGCTGGGATTACAAGCATGCACCACCACGGACAGCCAATTTTGTATTTTTAGTAGAGACAGGGTTTCTCCATGTTGGTCAGGCTGGTCTCAAACTCCTGAACTCAGGTGGTCCTCCCGCCTCGGCCTCCCAAAGTGCTGGGATTACAGGCGTGAGCCACTATGCCGGGCCAATTTTTAAAATTTTTAGTACAGATGGGGTTTTGCCATGTTGGCCAGGCTGGGCTCAAACTCTTGACCTCAAGTGATCCACCCGCCTTAGTCTCCCAAAGTGCTGGGATTACAGGCGTGAGCCACTGTGCCCAGTTGACAACGTGCTGTTCAGTAAAACACACTCAGCCTGAATTTTCACTTTTTAAAATTTTTAATTAAATTTTAATAGAGCCAGACACAGTGGCTTATGCCTGTAATCCCAGCAATTTGGGAGGCTGAGGTGGGAGGAGTGTTTGAAGCTAGGAGTTCAAGACCAGCGTGGGCAACATAGTGAGACCCCCATCTCCACATTTCACAGAATGCAAAATGGGATGTTTGCTGTGAACACAACTACTTAAAAAGACCTTCTCCTTTCCAGGCATGGAAAGCCTGGGTTTACTCTCCCATGGACCTGAATTCCAATTCCCACCCTGCCACCCCAGCCACACATGCTGTATGAGTCTGAGCGAGCCTCTCAAGCTTACAACAAAAGAGTTCTGAATTGCATAAGTTTGACAGGAAGACTAAATCACAGAGTATGTATAAAACACTCAGCCAAGAGCCTGGCACACAGTAGGTGTGAAGGAAACGTTTGCTATCTCACTGCCAGGCAACACAGTGGGAAGGAAAACCAGTGCCCTACATGAGTTAGGATGGGCAGATGAGGCTGTGAGAAGGCGAGGTCTTTTTATTTCTATTATTTTTCAAACTTTTCATTAGATGGTTACATTTATGAAGAGAAAAACCAAACAACAAAATATCAAAAACAACCTGGCAGCTAAGTGGATAATTTCTTGTCTTAAAAATCTTCAAGGTGCAAAGAACGGTGGCTCATGCCTGTAATGTAGCACTTTGGGAGGCCGAGGTGGGCGAATCACCTGAGGTCAGGAGTTCGACACCAGCCTAGCCAACATGGTGGAACCCCATCTCTACTAAAAATATAAAAATTAGCCAGGCATGCTGGCAGGCATCTGTAATCCCAGCTACCAGGGAGGCTGAGGCAATTGCTTGAACCTGGGAGGCGGAGGTTGCAGTAAGCCAAGATCGTGTCATGGGCAACAAGACTGCGGAAAAAAAAAAAAAGTGGATAATTTCTTGTCTTAAAAATCTTCAAGGTGCCGGGTGTGATGGCTCACACCTATAATCCCAGTACTTTGGGAAGCCAAGATGGGTGATCATTTGAGCTCAGGAGTTAGAGATCAGCCTGGGTAACATGGCAAAACCCCATCTCTACAAAAAACAGAAAAATTAGGCAGGCGTGGTGGTGTGTGCCTGTAGTCCCAGCTACTCAGGAGGCTGAGGTGGGAGGATCACTTAAGCCTAGGAGGTGGAGGTTGCAGTGAACTGAGATCGCACCACTGTACTCCAGCCTGGGTGACAGAACGAGACCCTGTCTCAAATTAAAAGAAAAAAACAATCTTCAAGGCTAGGCATGGTGGCTTATGCCTGTAATCTCAGCATTTTGGGAGGCCGAGGCAGGGGAATCGCTTGAGGCCAGGAGTTTGAGACCATCCTGAGCAACACAGCAAGACCCCATCTCTGAAAACAAACAAACAAACAAAAAACTCCAAGAAATACGGTCCAGAATAGCGCTGTCAATAGAACTCTCTGAGATGACAGAAACATTCTATGGCCATGTGTGGTTGATGAGTGCTTGAAATGTGCCTAGGGCAACTAAAGAACTGAATTTTCTTTTTCTTTTTTCTTTTTCTTTTTTTTTTTTTTGAGATGGAGTCTCGATCTGTCACCCAGGCAGGAGTACAATGGCGCAATCTTGGCTCACTGCAAGCTTCGCCTCCCAGGTTCACACCATTGTCCCGCCTCAGCCTCCCGAGTAGCTGGAACTACAGGCACCCGCCACCACACCCAGCTAATTTTGTTTTTGTATTTTTAGTAGAGATGGGGTTTCACCGTGTTAGCCAGGATGGTCTCGATCTCCTGACCTCGTGATCCGCCCACCTCGGCCTCCCCAAGTGCTGGGATTACAGGTGTGAGCCACCGCATCTTTTTTGTTTGTTTGTTTTTGAGATGGAGTCTCACTACGTCTCCCAGCCTGGAGTGCAGTGGTGTTATCCTTGCTCATTGCAATCTCTGCCTCCGGGGTTCAAGTGATTCTCCCACCTCAGCCTCCCGAGTAGCTGGCATTACAGGAGCATGCCACCATGCCTGGTTAATTTTTGTATTTTTAGTAGAAACCGGGTTTCACCATGTTGGCCAGCCAGCTGGGTTGTGAGCCACCACACCCAGCCTGAATTTTCACTTTTTCAAATTTTTAATTAAATTTTAATAGCGCCAGGTACAGTGGCTTGTGCCTGTAATCCCAGCAATTTGGGAGGCTGAGGTGGGAAGAGTGTTTGAAGCTAGGAGTTCAAGACCAGCATGGGCAACATAGTGAGACCCCCATCTCTACAAAAAATTTAGAAATGTTGGGGGCTTGTCTAGTATCCTTGGGGCTGAGATCAGAGTTGCCCAGGAACCCAGGGAGGTGAGGGCTCAGAGGGTGATGAGGGCACAGAGGAAGGGAGTGGAAACCTAACTCTCAGGCTTCGGTCCCATATCCTTCCCCAGGCCAGGCCCAGGCCCTGGCCCCCAACTAGGGGCAGTTGGGAAGTAGAGGTGGGAGGACCGCTTGAGTCTGGGAGTTCCACGCTACAGTGAGCTGTGAGGGACCAATTGTGCCCCGGCCTGGGAAACAGAGCAAGAGCGTGACTCAAAACGAAGCAAAACAAAACAAAACAAAACAAAACTGAATACTAAAAAATAAATGTTGGGCGGGTGCGGTGGCTCATGCCTGTAATCCCAGCACTTTGAGAGACGGAAGCGGGTGGATCAGGAGGTCAGGAGTTCAAGATCAGCCTGGCCAAGATGGTGAAACCCCGCCTCTACTAAAAATACAAAAAATTAGCTGGGAGTGGTGGTGGGCACCTGTAATCCCAGCTACTTGGGAGGTTGAGGTGAGAAATGCTTAAAACTCGGAGGCGGAGGATGCAGTGAGCTGAAATCGCGTCACTGTACTCCAGCCTGGGTGACAGAGTGAAACTCCGTCTCAAAAAAAAAAAAAAAAAAAAAATTAGCCGGCCGTGGTGGCGGGCGCCTATAGTCCCAGCTACTACGGAGGCTGAGGCGGGAGAATGGCGTGAACCTGGGAGGCGGAGCTTGCAGTGAGCCCAGATCGCGCCACTGCACTCCACCCTGGGTGACACAGCGAGACTCCATCTTAAAAATAAATAAATAAATAAATAAATACCTAAACGTTAATAGGCACATGCAGCTAGTGGCGACCATATTAGTGCAGAGCCACACGCATAAGGCTCCACTGATGTTATGCCCAGCCGCCGACTTATTCTTCAGCACCCCCAGCTCAGACCTCCCCGGCACCTTCTCAGGAGCTCTTTGGCGCTCCGCAGCCGCTGCACCTCGCGCTGGGCGTCCTCGTGGGCCTGCATGGTGCTGTCGGTCTTGTCCCGCAGGCGCTGCAGCTGTTCCTCTAGGGCCCGCCGCTCACTCTCGCTGTCGCTAAGCTGCTTCCGCAGGGTGCCCAGCAGGTCCTGGCTTGCCTCATAGCGCCCACGCATGTCCTGGGGCGCGGGGATCACAGAGTCTAGCGGGGGTCCTTTGAGGCCTCCAGAGCCCACCTACTCTCTTCTGGTTCCAGGGATACACACTAGCCTACGCTAGGCGGGGTCCAGGGCCTGGACCTGGCCTGGGGCAGGATAGGGGCCTAGGCCTGAGAGCCAGGCTCCCGCTCCCCTCCTATGTGCCCTCACCACCCTCTGAGCCCTCACCTCCCTGGGGTCCCGGACAACTCCTATCAAAGCCCCCCGGATGCCAGACAAACCCCCAGGCACACTCGTCTCCTGGGTTCTGACCCCACCCCCAGGGCTCCCAGGCTCCTCCTCCTTGCATCCTGGTTCCACTCTCAGACTCCTCCCTACCCTGGCTCTGCCCCTAGTTCCCAAGCTCTGATTCCCCTTGCTAGACCTTTTCCCAGGGTCCTGGCTCTGTAGACCAGGGACCTGTCTCCCTCTCTACCAGGACCCTAACACTGCCGCAGCCTCCTCCCTCCACCTGCCCAAGCGCCCACCCCCAGCTGCCCAAGCACCCCTACTTCTGGGCTGGCTTCACCGCAGAGCTCTCGGCCACCTCCTTCGGGATCCTGACACCCTCAGACACTTTCTCAGAGCTCTGGCTGCACCCCAAGGCGCTCGGACTCCTCCCCCGGACCCTGGCCCCGGACCTGCCCCCGCCCCGCCCCTACCCGGAGGGCGCCAGACGCTCCCTCCAGGCCTCTGGCTGAGCCCAGAACGCTCAAGCCCCTTCCTACCTGGACCTGCAGCTCGTGCTTGTGTAAGGTGGAGTGGATCAGGGCGAGCGTGGAGGAGTCTGAGCAGGCCGGGGAGGGGCCTCGGCGGGGTGAACGGCCTCGGCCGGGCGAGGAGCGCCGCGGTGGGGACGGGGTCTGCTGGGCCGAGAGCCCCCGCAGGCTGCCGAAGGAGTCATCCGCGGTGCGCTCGGAGCCGCTCAGCTGGACGCCGCTCTGTGTCCGACAGGACGGACTGAGGGTAGGGGAGGCAGGCAGAAGAAGGCCTCAGAGTTAGGAACCGCAGTGTTAGCTGGCAAAGACGCCCAGGTGAGGCTGGGGGCCGCCTCATCCCAAATGCTCCCTCTTACAAGAATCCTTCCTGATTTCACCTCCTCCGCTAGCTCAGTCCTCAGCTCACAGGTGGCCTCCAAAAGGGCCGTGCCTCCCCTCTGAGACTGGGGGCTCCCCAGGGCCGGGGGTGCTGAGCAGCTACAGCCTGGGTCCCAGGCCCCCACCCATTTGCAGTTCAGTCCCAGGCCACCAAAAGTCGTGGCGGGGGAGCCCAGGACTGCCTGGCAGTGCCCTGTCTTCCCACCTCTTTGGGCTCACACCTGTGCCAGGTCCCTTAGGCTCTGCTGTAGCCCCTCTCCGTCCTCTGTCTCCAGGGCCACCTGCTCCTGTAGCCGCAGGGATTCCTGGAGTGTAGTTAGGGAGACAAAGGGTGGTCCTGGTTCTGTCTTATCTGAAACCTCCCATTCCCCTCCCTTCCTGGTCCACCACTGACCAGGTGGCCTCTGAAGCTATGTCCATAGGCCAGACATCTGGTAGACCCCACAGCAGGCCCGAGGCCCTCAATGAACAGACCAGGCGCAGAGAACAGCTGTGTCCTGCCCCAGGTCACACAGTCGATTGGAGGAGAGCCGGACCTAGAACCCAGGCCAGGCCCCACACAGAGGGGTGACCAAACCAGGCTGTACCCTGGGGGAGTGAGTGTCCCACTAGTGGGGATGGGCAGCTGGGATTCCAGAGGCAGCATCTGGACCTGGAGAGCACGGATGGGAGTTCAAGTCCCGACTCTCCAGCTTACTGGCTCTGAGACTGGACAAGCATTTCCCCTCTTGGGCCTCAGTTTCCCCATCTGTGTCATGAGGATTATGCTACAGGGCTGCTGGGAGGAAGAAATGGGATGGAGGAGGTGAATGTTCTTACCACAAAGCCTGCACACCTGTGAGGGCTGAACCTGAGTGTGAGTGGGATGCTGGGGGTGGTCCAGGCAGCCCAGCCCTAAGCCTGCGTCCATGGATCTGGCCGGTACCCCATCCCACCCTGCCCCATCTCAGGGGCAGCTGCAGCTCACCAGGGCCTCAAGCTTCTCAGTGAGGTCCGTGTTGACCTGATCCTTCTCCGGATTCTGCTTCTGAAGACGCTTCACTGCCAGGCCCAGCTCTGTCACTCTGGAGTTGGGGGAGCAACAGAGGTGAATACGGGACCACCCCAGCCTCTCAAATCCACTAGCTCTGTGTCCACCATGCTTCTCCAAACCCGAGGGAGGGACCCTAACATCCACCTCCCTGGCTGTGTGACCTTAAACAAGTTGTGGCTCCTCTCCAGACCTCACACTTCTCATCTGTGAAATGGGAATGAGGTTCCCACCAGCTTTATCTCATGGGAAAACACTGGAGGACTTGTCCAGGTAGCAGGAGTAAGGGGCACAAGTTGTTTTTTTGTGGTTTTCTTTTGAGACAGAGTTTCGCTGTGTCATCCAGGCCGGAATACAGCGATGTGATCTTGGCTCACTGCAACCTCCACATCCTGGGTTCAAGCGATTCTCCTGTCTCAGCCTCCCTCGTAGCTGGGATTAGAGGCACACACCACCACACCCGGCTAAGTTTTGTATTTTTAGTAGAGACAGGGTTTCGCCTGTTAGGCAGGCTGGTCTTGAGCTCCTGACCTCAGGTAATGCCCCACCTTGGCCTCCCAAAGTGCTGGGATTACAGGTGTGATCCCGGCCACAAGTTCTGTCATAAGAGGCTAAGCTGTTTATGATATACACTGGGCAAGTGCCTCAGAAACTCAGTTGGGTGCCTGGGAAGACTGGCTGAGCTCACAGAGGAAGGCCCTGCTCCTAGTGAACAGATGCTCCCTTCTCCCCAACTCTCCAGTTTTACCTTCTGCAAGGACGCCTGCCCCATGTGGCACCCACCAGGGACCCACCTGGCACTGAGGTCAGCCTTGTCCAGGTCACTTTGCATCTGCTGCTGGGCCAGGTCCTTCTAGTGGAGCACCTTGTCCCGCAGCTGCTCCTCCAGCTGGGCCTGCAGCAGGGCCTGCTTCTCCAGGGCTGCCTTGGCCCGGCTCTCTGCCAGCCACAGGCCCGTGCTCAGTCCCAGGCCCGCCTCCTGGACAGCTCGTGATGTCCGGGCCAGCTCCCCTCCCAGCTGCAGCAGGTCCTTTGGGAGAGAGCACAGGATGGGGATGGGATGGGGCTCGCTCCCAACTACAAATTAAAACTACGCTGAGGCCAGGCGTGGTGGCTCACACCTATAATCCCAGCATTTTGGGAGGCCGAGGCGGGCAGATCACCTGAGGTCAGGCATTTGAGACCAGCCTGGGCAACATGGTGAAACCCCGTCTCTACTAAAAATACAAAAAATTAGCCAGGCGTGGTGGCGCACTCCTGTAGTCCCAGCTACTTGGGTGGCTGAGGTGGGAGGATCACTTGAGCCTGGGAGTTCAAGCCTAAGTGAGTTGTGATTGTGCCACTGCACTCCAGCCTGGGCAACAGAGAGAGACTGTCTCAAAAAAAAAAGAAAGAAAAAGTATTTTAAGTCCATAATACAGGTTAAATCCTTTCCTTTCCTGAATGAACTGTACCACTGGTTATCCAATAGTAAGGAGGGAAAGTGCCTCATTCCAGAATTCTAATTAATATACACAGGAGTGACTAAATGAGAAGCTCACAGTTTTGCAGCCTCTGATGAGTGGGTTGGATCTTGAAAAGAAAGACAGCTGGCATAGGGGCATCCTGCTGGAAGAACACATTCTACTTATGGAGTCTTGATCAAACAAAAAAGCAAGCAGAAGAACCTGAATCTGACCTAGCTTTAGATCCAACATCCAATTTACAGGAAATACATGGGATAAAGAAACATGTTAATTGACACCATAAGGATGCAACCAGCAAAATCCAGACCATGAGAATCTCCAAGGACAATTGGCCCAGTTTCCTGAACAAATAAGTTAAAAGGGACTTCAAAGACAAAGCATGGGCCGGCCACAGTGGCTCACTCTTGTAATCCCAGCACTTTGGGAGACCAAGGTAGGTGGATCACCTGAGGTCAAGACCAGCCTGGCCAACATGGTGAAGCCCCCATCTCTACTAAAAACACAAAAGTTAGCTGGGCGTGGTGTCGCACTCCTGTAATCCCAGCTACTCAGAAGGCTGAAGCCATAGAATTGCTGAACCCAGGAGGGAGAGGTTGTAGTGAGCCAAGATCCTGCCACTGCACTGCAGCCTGGGCAACAAAGCGAGACTCCATCTTGGAAAAAAAAAAAAAAGAGACAAAGCAACCATTTATATTTTGTGAATGTCTATGGATCCAGATTCAAACAAATTGTAAAGAAAAAACTAAAGCAAGACTATCTGTGACTTTTGTTTTTGAGACAGAGTTTCACTCCGTCACCCAGGCTGGAGTGCAGTGGTGTGATGTCGACTCACTGAAACCTCCACCTCCTGGGTTCAAGCGAGTCTGGTGCCTCAGCCTCCCCAGTAGCTGGGATTACAGGCATGTGTCACCACACCTGGATAATTTTTGTATTTTTAGTAGAGATGGGGGTTTCACCATGTTGGCCAGGCTGGTCTCGAACTCCTGACCTCAGATGATCCACCTGCCTCGGCCTCCCGAAGTACTGGGATTATAGGTGTGAGCACCTGGCCTATCTGTGACATTTATGAGACATATGGAAAATTTAGACACTGGCTATTCGATGATATTAAGAAAAGATTATTAAACCAGTTGTGGTTGCTGTAATCCCACACTTTGCCTGTAATCCCAGCACTTTGGGAGGTCAAGGCAGGGGGATCACTTGGGCTCAGGAGTTCAAGACCAGCCTGGGCAACAAAGTGAGACCTCGACTCTACAAGAAATAAAAAAATCAGCAAGCCTGGTGGCATGCACCTGTGGTCCCAATTGCACAGGATGTGAGGTAGGAGGATTGCTTCAGACCAGGAGGCCGAGGCTGTAGTGAGCCATAAAGAAAAGAAAAGATTACTAACTAAAATGTTCTCAACGCACTAAATGAAATACCTTGGCCTCCTGCCTTGGGGCTCTCTCCGCAGCCTCCCCGACACTACTGTTGAGCTGACTGCTCACACCAATCAGACACCCCTGCTCAAAGATCAGGCAGGCCCAAGCTCCCCCGCTGAGGCAGGCTCTCCTTTCCCTGTACCAGCTCTTCCTTGCAACCCCCTGGCTGTCATGGGCTCCCACCTCCATGCCTTTGCTCATGCCTTGCTCCTGCTTGGAGCGCCTGCTGCTCTGCTTCAACCCTACCCATCCCTTGATGCTCTGAGCAAATTCCATCTCCACAAATTGGTTTTTCTGACCTCCCCACCCCTCCCATCCTTCTGAGCCTCCAGGACATTCCTTCTGTCCCACGTACATATCACTGACCACTCGCTTCCTCAGTCTAGAATTTTGGGGATCTACATCTTTTCATCACAAGAGGCTGTGAGGTCCTTGGTAGCAAAGCTGAATATTCTAGCGGATTAAAATCAGGAACTTCAGCCTGGCATGGTGGCTCAGCTATAATCCCATGGTGGCCTATAATCCCAGCACTTTGGGAGGCTAAGGCTCCGCCTGAGCTCAGGAGTTCGAGACCAGCCTGGGCAACATGGTGAAACCCCGTCTCTACTAAACTACAAAAAAAGTTAGCCAGTCGTGGCGGCATGTGCCTGTTATCCCAGCAACTTGGGAGGCTGAGGCAGGAGAATTGATTGAACCAAGGAGGTGGAGGTTGCAGTGATCCAAGATCGTGCCACTGCACTCCAGTCTGGTGACAGAGTGAGACTCCATCTCAAAATAAATAAATAAATAAATAAATAAATAAATCAGGAACTTCAAACTCTGACTCAGCCACTTATGTACTACTGTGCCACCTCAGGAAGATCACTCAACCTCTCTGTACCTCAATGTCCTCATCTATAAAATGGGAATGAACACAGTTCCTACCTCACAGGGAAGCTATGAATATTAGTTGAAATGAAATATACAAAGAGCCTAGCCCAGAGTAAACATCTAATAAATGCTGACTGCCACGACTGTGGTAATGGTTATTACAAGTTGCCTCTGTGTCCTCACAGGCCCTTGTGCACAGCAGGTGCATTGAGTTGAACTGAAATTCAACTGAGTTGAGTTGGATGTAAAGAGCAGGGCTGGCTCTCAGCTGCTGCCCATCCCTGGCCAGGCCTCACCTCTCGGTGAACATCTTCACCTCGCTGACCAGCCGCCGGAACCCCACCACCTGCCTCCATAGCAGGAGCAGGTGATTGTGCTTCTTGCTGAAGTAGGCATTGAAAGACTGGAGGGAAGACATGCCGAGGGAAGGGTTGGGGTGAGAGCGGGTTTACTCCCTCCCACTGCTTCCCTCATCTCCGACCATCCTGGGAGGCACCGTCGTTCAGGGATTGGGTCTTCCTGTGGGTCTGTGCACAGAGCTGTGTCGCAGCAGCCACGCTCAGCCTCCCAAGCCTCATGGCTCCCTCCTGCACAGGGACCTGGGTTTCAAGTCCCCTTTTGGCTGCAAGAGGCAGCAAGGAAGGGCAAAAATGCAAGTGACCTAGCTTTGCATCCCAGCTGCCAGTTGCATGACTGTGGGCAGGTTACTTAATCTCTCTTTATTTATTTATTTTGAGACAGAGTCTTGCTCTGTTGCCCAGGATGGAGTGCAGTGGCATGATCTCTCAGCCTCCCAAATAGCTAGGATGACAGGCGTGCACCATCACGCCCAGCTAATTTTTGTATTTTTAGTAGAGACGGGGTTTCACCATGTTGGCCAGACTGGTCTCGAACTCCTGACCTCAAGTGATCCGCCTGCCTCAGCCTCCCAAAGTGCTGGGATTACAGGCGTGAGCCACTGCGACCGGCCTTAACCTGTCTTTAAAATCAGGAGGATGATAGCACCTACCACATGCAGTTATCACCAGGAATAAAGGTCAACGCACACCGTGCACGTGGTACATGCTACGCATTGATAAAGACCAGCTATTGTGATGATGGCTATTTACTTCTGCTAACAGGCTCCCTTGGACAGTGCTCCCTCTCCCTCTCCAGGCTTCTGAGTCCTCCCTCCTCTGCAGTGCCCCTCCCCTTGGGTCAGGCTGGCCTCCCTGCACCCCCATGCCCACCTCCTCCTCGCGCCTCCATGCCGCCTCCCGCTGCTCCAGCTCCTTGCGGCTGCGTGTCCAGTCATTGGTCACCTTTTGTATGTCCTCACTCAGAGCCTGGTTGGCCGAGCCTGCCTGGTCCAGATGTTCTCGGAGCATGGCTTTCACCTGGGCCAGGCTGGCACTCCTGAATAGGGCAAAGGGGATCAGTAGGCGCTTGCCCAGGGGGCCATGCTGCCAGCCCTGGCCCTCCCTGTTGTGCCCCCACCTCTGCGGCTCCTCCTCCAGCCGGATGAGGGCACTCTGCAGGTCTTGGCTGTGCTCTGTGTCCTGGGTGGGAGAGAGGTTAAAGCATCAGGCAGGGCAGGTGGAGGGCAGGGGCAGGCCTGCCCCTGCCCCACCCTGGCACCCACCCTTAGCCGCTGCTGCTCCAGCTCTCCGGATCTCTCCAGCAGCTGCTGCTCCAGCTCCGAGTACCTCTTCTTGTACTGGAGAATGTGGGGATGGGGAGCTGATGGTGACCCCCATGGGTGGGGGCAGGGCAAAATGAACATGTGGGAGGGCAGGAGCAGGAGTGGGTGGCCCTGACCTTGCCCTGCAGCCGCTGCACACAAGCTGGGCCTGCCGCTGCTGGCCCTCCAGGTAGGCCTGCAGCTTGCGCTGGTAGGAGGCCTGCTCCTCCTGTAGCTGCCTCTGCAACTCCAGGCTCTGGGGTGGGGGCTGAGGAGGGAGGGGATGGAAAAGGACAGGAGAGGAGGGAAGCAGAGGTGGGGAGCCAAAGGAAGAGGAAGGATGAAGAGAGGGGAGGAGAAGGGAGAGAAAGGGAGGGAGGAGAGAGAAGAGGGAATGGGGGGAGGAAAGGAGGGGAGGCAGCTGGAGGTCAGGACCTCACACACTCTTCACCCTCCGCAGGTTGTTGGGTCCTAGAGCCCTCCAAGCCCAGGGGGTGGGGTCAGTAGCCACGTAGTGCGAAAGGCCAGAGTCCTAAGTATTTGGGATCATCTTTGCTGGCCCAGAACGGGGGTCACAAGGTTAGCTAAGAATGAGAGGATTTACGTTTTCCCACAACAGGTGTAGGGCAAAGAATGCAGGCTGTGAGATCAGCCAGGCCAGGCTTGGCACTTAGTTGGGCATGAGCGGTCCAGCCTGGACTGATGAGCATTTATGCAACACCTGCAGCATTCCTAGGTCTGACCTAGACAGAGTGGTAGAGCCTCGAACTACAAATGCCCTAGCCTTGCCCTTCAGGCACTTATTGGGAAGCTTCTGGCCCCTTCACACCCACCCCAGCCCCTACTAGCTGGGTGCACCAGGGACAGTGACTCTGCCTCTCTCTGAGACTCAGTGTCCTCTTACGTAAGATGTGAATAATATTGGTACTCACCTCACAGAGCTGTCCGGGGATGAAACAGAATATCGTGTGTGCATAACCAGCACATGACACGGTGCCGGGGGGACACACGGTCAACACTCAAGAAATACTCATTTCCTTCATTTGAAAATGCAAAAGGCACAGTCCTGCCAGGCATGGGCACTCACACCTGTAATCTCAGCATTTTGGGAGGCCAAGGCAGGCGGATCACCTGAGGTCAGGAGTTCGAGACCAGCCTGATCAATATGGCGAAACCCCATCTCCACCAAAAATACAAAAATTAGCCGGGTGTGGTGGCACATGCCTGTAATCCCAGCTACTTGGGAGGCTGAGGCAGGAGAATCAATTGAACCTGGGAGGCGGAGGTTGCAGTGAGCTGAGATCATGCCATTGCACTCCAGCCTGGGCAACAAGAGCGAAACTTTGTCTCAAAAAAAAAAAAAAAAAAAAGGCACAGTCCCTATATCCCAGGGCCCTGAGACCCAGAGGTCACCCACAACCTCCCATTGTTCTTTCCCTGGGGCAAGGAGGCTATGTGCTCTAGTGCTTAGGCGCACAGCTCTGGAGTCAGTATCAGGTCTGAGGTTGCATCTGAGACCCAGCTCTGTCACTTGCAACTATGGTCTTCAAGACAGTTCATGACCTTGAACAGGTTACCTCCCTGAGCCTCAGTTTTCTCATCTCTAAAAGGAGACTAGACCAGGCCAGGCGCAGTGGCTCAAGCCTGTAATTCCAGCACTTTGGGAGGCTGAGGCGGGCAGATCACTTGAGGTCAGGAGTTCGAGACCAGCCTGGCCAACATAGTGAAACTCCATCTCTACTAAAAATACAAAAATTAGTCTGTAATCCCAGCACTTTGGGAGGCCAAAGTGGGCAGATCACGAGGTCAAGAGATTGAGACCATCCTGGCCAACATGGTGAAACCCCGTCTCTACTAAAAATACAAAAATTAGCTGGGCATGTTGGTGCATGCCTGTAGTCCCAGCTACTTGTGAGGCTGAGTCAGGAGAATCGCTTGAACCTTGAAGCTGACTGTGGCATTAAAGACATCAGTTAGCTTGTCTGTTGTTCCCAGAATACCAGCCCAGTAGTGGGAGGGCCTACCTTGTTCACCTCCCTATCACTCGCATTTTGAGTGTCACCAACCCATGCCCACAGTTCCCTGGAAGATCGCTATGGTTACCGAGCAGAGGCACGGAGGAAGCCCCAAGAGGCCACACTGCAATGAGCGGAGATCACACCACTGCACTCCAGCCTGGCAACAGAGTAAGACTCTGTCTCAAAAAATAAATAAATAAATAAATAAATAAATAAATAAATAAATAAATAAATTAGCTGGGGCGTGGTGGCATGTGCATATAATCCCAGCTACTCAGGAGGCTGAGGCAGGGGAATCACTTGAACCCAGGAGGAGGAGGTTGCAGTGAGCCAAGATTGTGCCACAGTACTCCAGCCTGGGTTACAGAGCAAGACTCTGTCTCAAAAAAATAAAATAAAATAAAATAAAATGATACTAGACTGGGTGTGGTGGTTCAGGTCTGTAACCCCAGCACTTTGGGAGGCCAAAATGGGAGAATCGCTTGAGCCCAGGAGTTTGAGACCAGCCTGGGCAACATAGCGAGACTCTGTCCTACCAAAAACAACAAAAAAATGCGACTGATAGTACCTACCACACCTGGCAGGTGGTGAGCTATTAGCCAATGGTGGCTGCTGTTCCTATTGTCATTAGCATCACGTGTCTGGCCTCCTGCCCTTAGAGTTGTAAGCCCTGAAAAAGGACAGGAATTGCTCACTCGAGGAGCTCGGCTTTTAAGACACAAGTCTCCTGAAGTTCCCGGCCGAATAAAGCTCCTTCCTTCTTTAACCTGGTGACTGAGGAGTTTTGCCTGCGGCTCGTCCTGCTACACTGCTATGCCTCAGCCCTTGACCTCTGGGTGCCCGCTGCTCCATGCTGTGCCCCAAAGGGGGCATATTCACATTATCTCATTAAATCCTTACTTCAACCCATTTCCAGATGAGAAAACTGAGGCTCAGAGAGATTGGGCTCTCACCTATTCAAGGCGACATGCTTCAGGGAAGTGGTGAGCCCAAAGCTCATTCCACTTAGACCAGCAGCCTCCCAATGAGTGACTGAAGGGCAAGGCCGAGGCATTTGTGCTTTGAGGCTCTACTTCTGTATCCAGGTCAGACCCAGAATGCCACGGTGCTGTATAAATGCTCATCAGTCCAGGCTGGACCGCTCATGCCCAACTAAGGAACCTGCCCTGCAAATGGAAAACCAAGAAACAGGGCCAAAAAGATAAATGTTGCCAAGTTGCAATGGCAAGCAAGCCAGATTTGGGCAAAACCAAACCAGCCACTGGCCAGGTGCGGTGGCTCATGCCTGTAATCCCAACACTGGGAGGCCAAGGCAGGTGGATCGCTTGAGGTCAGGAATTCTAGACCAGCCTGGCCAATGTGGTGAAACCCCGTCTCTACTAAAAATACAGAAATTAGCTGGGCATGGTGGTGGGTGCCTGTAGTCCCAACTACTCGGGAAGCTGAGGCACAAGAACCACTTGAAACTGGGAGGTAGAGGTTTTGGTGAGCTGAGATCGCACCACTGCACTCCAGCCTGGGTGACAGAGAGAGACTCTGTCTCAAAAAAAAAAAAAAAAAAGAAAACTAATCCAGCCAGCAGCATAGAGCTGCCACTACAAACCCCAGGGACGCCCACTCTTCTACCTCTAGGCAGCCTCCAAAAATCCCCTCTACAGGTTGCACACCTGCCCACCAGAGCAGGGGGGAAGCCACAAATACCCCTGGACCAGCATGTCCAGCCCTGCATGCCTAGCTCAGCAGAGGGGGCCCCAGATGTCCTTGAGGGACTGAACTCAATTATTCTGTGCCTTCTCCTGACCACAGTCCTAAGGGTTGGGGGAAGGAGACAGGATGTCAGCCCCTGGCACCAGGTGACACCCACCCTTGGCTCCATCCCCAAAGTTCTCCCCCAGAGTCCTGCTGGGTTCTGTGGGTCCCAGGAAGTCATATCTGAACCCCGTGTATATGTCCACTGCTTCCACCCAATTCTCCAAAAAAAAAAAAAAAAAAATGACTGAATTCCTCTTAGAAATCTGGATGCTAACAGCTTCAGCATCTGGCCACCTGGACTCCAATCTTGGCTCACCAGCCCCTCACCAGCTGTGTGACCCTGCACCAGTGTCTTCACTTCTCTGAGCTTCAGTTTCCTCATCTGCAAAATGGGATAATAATGGTGCCTGTTTCTAGCATGAGCATTAAATAAAATACTCCGTGCTAAGCTATATGCCTGGATATGGTGTGGCAGAAACTGCAATGTGCTCACCACAAAGCATTTCCGATTCCTCTTAGGAATATGGCTAAAAGCCATTTCCCAGACTCCCTTGCAGTCAGATACGGCCATGTGGTCAAGTTCTGGTCCATAGAATTAAGACAGAAAGACAGCGTGCCACTTTAGGCTTGGTCCATAAAATTATTTCTCTCCTTCCTGGTCCATCAGCTAGAAGGAAATAACTCCAAGGTCCTAGGGGATGCCGCAACCACAAGACAGAAGGGATCTCGGTCCCTGGGTCGCCACATAGAAAGCCACCTGCCAAACACCCAACAGGGCTTTTCATGAATGAGAAATAAACTTCTATTGCGCTAAGCCTCTGAGAATTCAGGGTTTCACTATCACATTAGCTAGTGTTACCTTAATTACTACCTGCAGTTCAACAGCGGGTAAGTGTTGGCTATTACTACTGTTATCATTACTATCATGAGTATTATTGGCTCTTTCTAGTCCCCAAGCTAGAACCCTGTGCCTTGTTCTAGATGCTGAGACATTATTTGGTGACCAAATACAGAGGAGACACCCTTTGTACCCTTCCCTCCCCACTACCACCCTCCAAACTTGCCTTTTGCCAGGGCTAGCGGCAGGAACTAGCCAAAAAGCCCCTCAAAGATTACTCGTTTCAAACATAGCAGCTGCTCTTATCCGCTTACCCCTTCATTATCCTCCTGCTGCTGACTAGAAATTATGACAAAAATATTGAACCAACCACGAGCCAGGCCCTGTGCCCAAAACGTTACATCTGTCCCTTACCTGCTTTAACACTCCTGGCACCACCCTACTCACTTTACAGATGACAGCGTGAAGTCTCAGTGAAGTTAAATAATTGGCTCCAATGCACCCAGCCACAAAGAGCTCAAGTCACAGCCGCGACCTAGGTGTGCCTGATTCCAAAGGGTTTTTGTTTTTTGTTTGTTTGTTTTGTTTTGTTTTGTTTTTGAGATGGAGTCTCACTCTGTCACCCAGTCTGGAGTGCAATGGCACAATCTCGGCTCACTGCAACCTCCGCCTCCTGGGCTCAAGCAATTCTCCTACCTCAGCCTCCTGAGTAGCTGGGATTACAGGTATGCGCCACCGCGCCCAGCTAATTTTTGTATTTTTAGTAGAGACAGGGTTTCACCATGTTGGCCAGGCTGGTCTCAAACTCCTGACCTCAAGTGATCTACCCGCCTCGGCCTCTCAAAGTGCTGGGATTATAGGCATGAGCCACTGCGCCCAGCCCAGAGTTTTAAATAATAACAGCAAGCCGGGTGCAGTGACTCACACCTGTGGTCCCAACACTTTGGGAGGCTGAGGTAGGAGGATTGCTTGAGCCCAGGAGTTTGAGACCAGCCCTGGCAACATAGTGAGAATCCATCTCTACCAAAAAAAAAATACAAAAAATTGGCCTGGCATGGTGGCATGCACCTCCTGTAGTCCCAGTTCCTTGAGAGGCTGAGGCAGGAGGATTGCTTGAGCCTGGAAGGTTGAGGCTGCAATGAGCCATGGTTGTGTCACTGCACTCTAGCCTGGGTGATAGAGCAAGACCCTGTCTCAAATAAACAAAACCAGTAACGGCAATGACTTCCATCCTGCAGCGCCTGCTGTGTACCTGGCACCACCCCAGGACGCCGATGTGTATTATATAAGCCACTGCCTGGACTGCTGAGATGGCTCCCCGAGGGTCTCTATGCTTCCTGCTCATCCCCTCACCCACTCAAGTTTCACACAGTAAAGGTCATATCCCTCCCCTACCCAAGGCCCTCTACTAGCCCTTACCGCACCTAAAATGAAGTTCAAAGTCCTTCCATGGCCCACAGGGCCCACCAGATCTGGTCCCACTCCACTTCTCCCACCTCATCTCCTTTTTTTTTTTCTTTTTTTTTTTTTTTTGAGGCAGAGTCTTGCTCTGTTGCCCACGCTGGAGCTAGAGTGCAGTAATGCACGATCTCTGCTCACTGCAACCTCTGCCTCCTGGGTTCAAGCAATTCTCCTACCTCAGCCTCCCGAGTAGCTGGGATTATAGGCATGAACCACCATGCCCAGCTAATTTTTGCATTTTTAGTAGAGATGAGGTTTCACTGTATTGGCCAGGCTGGTCTTAAACTCCTGACCTCAAGTGATCCACCCACCTTGGCCTCCCAAAGTGCTGGGATTACAGGTGTGAGCCACCACACCCGGCTGCTCATGGCCTTCTTGATTCCTCAAACACCAGGCATGCACCCACCTCTGGGCCTTTGCACTGCCACTTTCTCTGCCTGGGACGCTCTTCCCTCTTCCTTTGCACAGCTGACTCCCCCGCTTGTCGGCCAGATTTTTGCTCAAAAGTATCACCTTCTGAGGGACCTACCCCTGACTCTCAGCTAAAGAGGTCCCTCCAGTGGCTGTTCCGTTTTCTCCAACATGTATGTTGTCTGTCTCCTCCTTTTTTTTTTCTTTGAGACAGGGTCTTGCTCTGTTGTCCAGGCTGGAGTGCAGTGGCAAAATCATGGCTCACTGCAGCCTTGACCTCCTGGGCTTAAGGGAGGCCCAGGAGGGGGGGCCTTTGGGAGGCCACCTCAGCCTCCTGAGTAGCTGGGACCACAGGTGCATGCCACCATGCCTGGCTAATTTTTTACTTGTTGTAGAGATGAGATGTTGCCCAGGCTAGTCTCCAACTCCTGGGCTCAAGCCGTTCTCCCACCTCAGCCTCCCAAAGTGCCAGGTTGGCTTAGTTCACTGCCACTTCCACAGTGCATGGGCTAAGGCCAAAGCTCCATGAAGAGCTGCTGAATGAATTAATGAATGCTAAGAGCCAAGGACACCAGCGAACACATATCCAGCATCTGCCGCATCCCAGAAGTTCAGGGTGAAAACCAGGGAGTGACCCCCACAGGGGCCACCTGGGTGGAAAGGGGGCCTCCCCTCCTAGGGCTGAAAGACTGGGGAGGGGAGGGTTAAGTCAGGGAAATGTGCGCGGGTGGGGAGCCTCCGAGATCCAGGGGTTGACTCCTGGAGTCGTGCCTGAACCTCGCTGTCCTCTGCTCCCGCCACAAGATCTGTTTATTAAGCACCTGCTGTGAGCCCAGCGAAAGAAAACAGAAATCTCTGTTTTCTGGCGTAAACAGACAGATGGCACCCTGAAGGCCCCCTCCCCAGGGTCCCCATTCCCCAGTCAATCGTCTTCCCAAGGGAGCTGTGACCTGGTCACCAGAGGGGCAGACATCCGCCCCAGCACGGTCGTCAGGCTTAAGTCTGTGTGAAAATCAGGAGGGAGCTCGTTCAAAATGCCCACTCCAGAGACGCTGCCGGGCACAGGGGCCTGAGGCCCCATGGTGAGAGGCGCAAGGGGTGCAGGGCCCCATCCCCGCACAGCATCCGGCGGCCCTGCCTCCGTGGCCAGCCCAACCGCGCGCTCTGGGCCTCAGTTTACCCATCCGCACAATGGAGATGCTTCCGACTCGGCAGGGTTGCAATGAAGACGAAACCGCGTCCCACACTAGGAGGGCAGTGCAGGGCGGGGCCCGCACGCAGGAGCTGCAGAGGGCATCTGCGAGGGGTAGCGGCCGTCGCGAGGGCCTCCCACGGCCGCCCGCGGAGCGAGGGGACCCCGACCGGCGGAGGGACGGCTGCGCCCTGCAGGCCGCTGCGCCCAGGCAGGCCTCTGCGCCCGGGCAGGCCTCGGCCTCCTGTCGCGCCCCCGGCCCGCGACAATCCGGGCAGGATGGGCGGCAGGACGCGGAGGGGCATCTGCGGAGCCCGTCGGGAACGCCCTCTTGGCTTCCGGTGCCGGGCAGCGGCGGGCGCGGCGCCCACAGCGCCCCTAGCCCCGGGACATGGCTCCAGCCCGCCCCCAGGCGAGCGGCCTCCTTCGCCCGGAGCGCGTCGGTCCAGCCCCCGCGCACGCGCGCACCCCCAGCCTCCTACCTTCGCTCGCCTTCTCCGCAGCCGCTGCCGCCGAGGCCGAGGGGCCGCACCGGGTGCGGCGGGGCGGGGCGTCCCTTCCACTAGGCGGGGAGAACCGGGGGCGGAGCCTGCGCCGCGCGAGAGAGGCTCAGGCCGGGGCGGAGGCGAGGCCGGGGCCGAGGCGGGGGCGGGGGCGGGGCCGGGCGCCAGGGGCCGCGGGTCTGCGGCGCTTACAGGGACCACCCTGGGCGGAAACGCCTGGTGAGCCCTCCCGCTTGCAGCCTCGCACCGCCGGGCAAGCTAGGCTCCTCCTGCACGCACGAAGGAGGATTCCACAGGAACGAACCACGACCCCCAAGGTTTCGCAGTTGTAAGACCGCAGCGCAGGATCGAAACCCCGACCCGGCTGCAGAGTCCCCCTGCGGTTTGGCCGGGCCTCAAAGGCCTGAAACTCCTGACCCATCGCCCAGCCAGAACGAGGGGACGTTTCATGCCAGCCCTGTCACAGCCCCCAACGACGATCCCGAAGCTTCGGTGATTTGACCGGTCAGAGAGAATGCCTTTGTTTTCCTGACTGACGTGCAATCCTGGGGAAGGCACTCTGGCCTCATTTTGTTCGCGAGACTCAACCCGGCGGCGCGCCTGTCTCGTGTCCTTTCTACTGTAACAATATGTTCGTTTCAACCCCCGACTGGGCTTCGACCTCCTTCTGTTATTGAAGGCATGGGATGAAATCATTCTTCTTTTTTTTTTTTTTTTTGAGGGAGTCTCACTCTATTGCCCAGGCAGTGGTGTAATCTCGGCTAAATGCAACCTCCGCCTCCCGGATTCAAGAGATTCTCCTGCCTCAGCCTCCTGAGTAGCTGGGACTACAGGCGCCCGCTGCCACGCCCGGCTGATTTTTTTTTTTTTTTTTTTTTTTTTGAGACGGAGTCACCCAGGCTGGACTGCAGTGGCGCGATCTCGGCTCACTGCAAGCTCCGACTTCCCGTTTCCCGCCATTCTCCTGCCTCAGCCTCTCTGAGTAGCTGGGACTACAGGTGCCCGCCACCACGCCGGGCTAATTTTTTGTATTTTTAGTAGAGACAGGGTTTCACCGTGGTCTCGATCTCCTGACCTCATGATCTGCCCGCCTCGGCCTCCCAAAGTGCTGGGATTACAAGCGTGAGCCACTGTGCCCGGCCAAATTTTTGTATTTTTAGTAGAGACGGGGTTTCACCATATTGGCCAAGCTTGTCTCGAACTCCTGACCTCGCGATCCACTCGTCTTGGCTTCCCAAAGTACTGGGATTACAGGCGTGAGCCACCGCACCCGGCCGAGATCATTCATTTTCAAAGGGAGAGGCAGCTCTGAATCTCTAGGGCTAAGAGAGGGATGTGTTTGGTTTGAAAAAGCATGTTTAATTTAATGATTTTGTGTTTTTTCCAAACACAGTACCCAGAGAGAACGGCCAGCAGGCCCGCGGCTGATGGTTGCTTCTGTGTTTCCTGCGTGGTAGGAGGGAAGCAGTGGAAGTTCCATCTTTGTCAAAGAGGAACCTGTCTGTGACATCTGAAACACTGCACTAAAGGCTGCCAGTGTGCCCTTCGGGCTCTGAAACCCGGCCCAGTGCAAGCAAGACTGTGGCCTGGACCAGGGCTGAGAGCTGTTTGTCAGGAGAGATTCGGGCCATTCCCTGGGGTTTGGGTTGGAAGGGTGATGTTACCAAGATTGGAAGGAAGGTCACAGTTTCCCTGAGGTGTCCCTGGCCCAACTGCAGGAGGGCTGACTGACATCTGCCAGTATGCACAGCCAGTCCCTGGATGCCCAGCATGGCCCAGGTCTGTGTGACCCTGTCTGGAGTCCCCAGACTTGCTATGTCCCTACCCAGGCCCTGGTGGGCTCATGACCTCCCCAGTCCAGTTCTGATGCTGCCTGTCCCTGTGAAGCCCACTCCAGTGTTCATATCACCAGGGCTGGGCTCAGGCCTGTGTCCTTGCCCCTCTCTCCAGGGCATCTTGGGTCTCCCTTGGTGACAGTACCTGCACCCTGCGGGCAGCCTGCGCTGGCTGTGAACCACACTGCCGCCTACTTCCTCTTCTATGTTCCCGCTCTGTCCACAGTCCCCTCTGAACACTCCCGTGAAGCAGGTTCTAGGATCATCTCCATTTTATAGAAGGGGAGATTGAGGATCAGAGACATGCAGTCATTTGCCCAAGGACACACGCAGGAAGTTCAATGGCTTCCAATCCCATGCTCTTTCCTCTACACCGTGCTGACTCACTTGAGGTTTTAACAGGGGGCGGCAAACACAGCTCCTCTCCCCTTGACCCTCTCACTCCCAAAGCCCATAGGACCCTGCCGCAGGGTGGCACATACTTAACCTCCTTGGGGGGGCCTCCAGCTCCCCTCTCTGTGTAGAGCCTACGTTCCCTGCTGTGCTGAGTCCTTGGCTCTGCTCAGCTCAGCCTGACCGGGCTGCGGTCATTTGAATCCCCAGTGCTGCCGCCCACCGGTCACCCTGTCCTGTCACCAGGTGGTGACTGGCCCAGTGACCCCCAAGACAACCCGCCAGAAAAGAATCATGCCAGGTGCTCACCTGCTCACTGCAGAGGGCTCTAAATCTGCAACTCAGGTAACAGGGAAACAACTGATTGGAGTTACCACCCTCAGGTTGCTAAGGCCAAGTGCCTGCCAAATCCAGCGGCTCGGCTGGGGTGGACTCTGCCCACCATCAGCAAAACGACATTCACCAGGAGGCTTAGAGGTAATTGCTCTGGTTAACTGGATTTGCTGGGCATCTGAAGGCTAACTTGCAGAGTCTTTCTATCATGCCAGACTTTAATAGCAAAAAGTTAGAAAGACCTAAACATTCAGCAGTAGGGGACTTGTATAATAAACCATGGGTTATTCATATAATGGCACACTATGATGTCATTCCAAATGTTATAGAAGAATGTTCAATGACTGGACAGATGGTTACGATATATTAAGTGAAAGTTTCAGAAAAGTAATACAGAATAAGCCCATATTGTAAAAAAAAAAAAAAAAGATTTCCTTTTTTTTTTTGAGACGGAGTTTCGCTCTTGTCACCCAGGCTGAAGTACACTGGCGCAATCTCGGCTCACTGCAACCTCTGCCTCCTGGGTTCAAGCAATTCTCCTGCCTCAGCCTCCCAAGTAACTGGGATTACAGGCGCCTGCCACCACACCCAGCTAATTTTTGTATTTTTAGTAGAGGTGGGGTTTCAGTGTGTTGGCCAGACTAGTCTTGAATTCCTAACTTCAAGTGATCCACCCACCTCGGCCTCCCGAAGTGCTGGGATTACAGACATCATCCACCAGCCCAACAATTCACTCCTGACCCAATGATTAAAAAAAAAAAACTTGTAGGCCGGTTGTGGTGGCTCACAATGTACTACATTTGTAGACATTTTGGTGCCTTAATGTGAGCAAGGGTTGCACAAGTTTTGATAGGCATGTATTCCAGAGATGTATAGAAATTCTAGTTACTGGCTGGGCACGGTGGCTCATGCCTGTAATCCCAGCACTTTGGGAGGCCAAGGCGGTGGATCACGAGGTCAGGAGTTCAGGACCAGCCGGGCCAAGATGGTGAAACCTTGTCTCTACTAAAAATACGAAAATTAGCTGGGTATGGTGGCGGGCACCTGTAATTCCAGCTACTTGGGAGGCTGAGGCAGAGAATTGCTTGAACCCAGGAGATGGAGGTAGCAGTGAGCCGAGATTGTGCCACTGCACGCCAGCCTGGGAAACAGAGCAAGACTCTGTCTCAAAAAAAAAAAAAAAAAAAGCAGACATTCTAGTTACTTATAAATTTTTGGGAAAGAAGCCTGGAACTAGATTCTTGCTTTAGATAGTAAGGAACTCTAATTGCCTCTAAATTCCTCAGATAAGGAGTTTTGCCTCTGGATGGTCTGCTTTATGGCCACCAGGTGATTTTTGCTAGCCTTGGTGACCTTTTACGTGTAGGATTTTTTTTTTTTTGGATACGGAGTCTCGCTCTGTTGCCCAGGCTGGAGTGCAGTGGCGCAACCTCGGCTCACTGCAATCTCCCCTACTAGGGTTCTAGCGATTCTCCTACCTCAGCCTCCCAAGTACCTGGGATTACAGGCACCCGCCACCATGCCTGGCTCATTTTTTTGTATTTTAATAGAGATGGGGTTTCGCCATATTGGCCAGGCTGGTCTTGAACTTCTGACCTCAGGTGATCAACCCGAGGTTGGCCTCCCCAAGTGCTAGGATTACAGGCATGAGCCACCCTGCCCAGCCCTAACGGTGGGCTTTTTTTTTTTGAGGCAGGGTTTCACTGTCTCCCAGGCTGGAGTGCATGGAGAGCAGTTGTTCCAGCATAGTGATTACATGGTTTTTATATCATTCCATTTTCTTTCCTTTGTTGGCTTATTAGGTATAACTCTTTCTTTCTTCTGGTCCACCACTCCCTGACTTCTTTCCCTCCTTTTGCTTTTTCAGTGAAGGCTTCAGGGTTTCCAGAATACATCTTTATCAGTGCCATCTAGTGACATTATACCTCCCCTTCTGGCCATTATGCTAGTGTTGTCATGTAATTTGATTTTAGACATGTTATAAAACCCAGAATCCATTATTATTGCCTTTGTTTAATCGGTCAAATTATTTTAAAAGATTTAAATAATAAGAACATGTATATTTAACTGTGTACATACCGATTTCCAGTAGTCTCCATTTCTTTGTGTAGATGCAGATTTCTGTCTGGTATCCTTGTAGTGTGGGTTGCTGAATTCTTTCATTTTTTTGTATGTCTTTAAATGTCCTTATTTCAGTCACATTCTTGAAAGATTTTTCACTTTGACATGGAATTCTAGGAAAACTTTATTTCTTTCAGTACTTTAGGATGTTGCCACTTTGTTTTTGTAAAACTGGCATAAAGTTGGCTTCCTGTACTTATATAATTTTTGGAATGTGTATTTAAGTTAAAAACATTAAAATGGGCTGGACCAGGTGGTGCATGCCTGTAGTCCCAGCACTTTGGGAGGAGGAGACAGGAGGATCGCTTGAGGACCAGAGTTGGAGACCAGTATGGGCAAGATTGCAAGACCCTGTCTCTCTGTCTCTCATACACACACACACACACACACATCATGAATGTCTTAGATTCATTGTAAGTTCCACCGACAGTGCGCTTAAAGTAAAATGTGCCCAACCTGAGGGTCAAACCTACCTGCTGACATGTAGTTTGTGCTTGTGAGACATTCTCAACAGCATTTCCTTTCCCTAGCATAGTGGTTTTCGTGTTTTCCTCACACCTGAATGTCTTAAGTGCAAAACCTGTCAGTCAGAAATCATTTCCTTTGCCAAAAGATTCTAAAATACTTTTTTTTTTTTTTTTTAGGCCAGGTGTGGTGGCTCACGCCTGTAATTCCAGCACTTTGGGAGGCCAAGGTGGACGGATCATGAGGTCAGGAGATCGAGACCATCCTGGCTAACATGGTGAAACCCTGACTCTACTAAAAATACAAAAACAAAATTAGCTGGGTGTGGTGGTGGGCGCCTGTAGTCCCAGCTACTCCGGAGGCTGAGGTGGGAGAATGGCGTGAACCCAGGAGGCGGAGCCTGCAGTGAGCTGAGATGGTGCCACTGCACTGCAGCCTGGGCAACAGAGCGAGACCCCGTCTCTAAATAAATAAATAAATAAATAAATAAATAAAATAAAGTGAAATAAATTTTTTTTGACATCAGCTCACTGCAACTTCCACTTCCCATGTTCACAGGATTCTCCCGCCTCAGCCTCATGAGTAGCTGAGACTACAGGCCTGCACCAACACACCCAGCTAATTTTTGTATTTTTAGTAGAGACAGAGTTTCACCATGTTGGCCAGGCTGGTCTCAAACTCCTGACCTCAAGTAATCTGCCCACCTCTGCCTCCCAAGGTGTTGGGATTACAGGCGTGAGCCACTGCGCCTGGCCAAAAATACTCTTACTTCAAGGAAAAGTGCTTTAAAAATAAACTTCTCAGTTGCATCCCTGGAATCCATAGAAAGCCCAGGAGAGACAATCAAGTACTACAGGATCAAGCATTAAACAGGGGAAGACAAAGCCTGGCTTCCTAACTAGGAGTCAGGACAAAGTTATCTGCTTTGGTTTCCTATGGAGACCAGAACTCGGTTCACCTGCAAAGGGAGGATGCAGCCCAGAGGAGGCAGACTTTCTCTTCATGGTGCCTTCAGATAGGAAATCTCCTAGGATTTCTTTCTTTCACTTTGATCTACTCCCAATGCTCCCTTTCTGTTTCTTCAAGACCTTTCTTGGATCCCTAATGTGCAGGACCTAAGGGGCTGGTGCCCTTCCCTACCCTTCCTGCCTGGGTGTCTTCAGCACCGGAGCTCACACAGAATGTTACTGCCTGCCAGAGACAGTGAGAGGACCAAGGAGGGCGATGGGTGCAGTGGGAACTACTGAGTCACCATGTACCTGTGCCTCATGGGCTCCTAGCAAATTGAATAAACACTCCCTGAAGCATGGCACCAGTTCCAAGTACAATTACTACTTGGCTCTATGAGCTGAGTGCACGTTCCCCCCAGCACGGAAATCCTAGAAACTCCCATGGATGCTATAGTGAAAAGCAGGGGCTGGCCAGGTATGATGGATCACACCTGTAATCCCAGTGCTTTAGAAGGCTGAGGTAGGGCGGATCATTTGAGTCCAGGAGTTGGAGACCAACCTGGGCAACATGGAGAAACTTCAACTCTTAAAAAACAAAACAACCACCACAACAACAAAAACAACAGAAATTAGCTGGCTGTGGTGACTCGTGCCTCTGCTACTCCAGAGGCTGTGGTAGGAGGATCACTTGAACCAAGATGCCACCAGATACAGTGAGACTCTGTCTCAGGGAAAAAGTCAAACAAACAAAAAAAGAGGCTGTGTAAGAGGTGATTCTGGGGACAGCGGAAAAACACTAAGGTTTTCAAGTGGTGTTAAAAGCCAGTAGGCCTTGGGGACCATTGAGCAATCTACAAAGCAGGGAAGCCTAGATCCCTGAGCTCTGCCTGCCAAGTACCACCACAGCTAACATGGGAGACCTCCCCCACAGAGACTGAAATTTGCCTCCCAAGGAAACAAGTGACTACAGACATCTGTCCCAGGACAGTAAACAAGAAAACAAGGTGTCACAAAAACAAAAACAGCTGACCACAGCATACAATCACTGAGACTGAGCCTGCGACTATAGGCAAAAAAAAAAAAAAAAAAAAAAAATGCCGTCTATTATTCATACCATGAAAGACCAGGGGAAAGTGTGAACGCAGTCCCCTACTACTGTTGTGGGAATCAGGAGAACAGAGAGACCGATAGGTGGAACAGGAGGATTTATTGACTGCACTCAGGCACAGTGGATTAAAATCCAAAAGCTGAGCCATGAACAAAGACAGGGCTTGACTTTATAGACACTTCTGAAAGGGGGTTGGCTAGTTTGAATGGCGCGGCGGGAATTTGATGGCACGAAACTCGTGGGGCAGGCAAGAGGGCTTACAGAAGCAGAAGAAAGGCAGCTAATCAAACTGTCACAGGTCTTGCAATGCAAGTATGGCTGGTGACCTTGCAGCTGCACTGAAGGGAAATCGGGAACTTAACAAAACTTGAATAATTAGAAATGGAAAGGGGGAAAGAGAAGGTAGTAAAGGCATTTGTTGTTTTTTCCTCTTATCTTTGCTAGGGGCTGTGTTGAGAGAGTCTCCGGAACGCATTCCTCGGGGCTCTGACTTTTCAGATCGTGTTACCGAGGATCTGCTAGGGCTCTATCTATGGCAGGTCTTGGAGTCAGCCAAGTACAGGGAAACCTGTCTTTTCCTTTTAACTTCTGCCTGATTACTACAAGTTGTACAGCACACCATGCCTGGTTTTCATCAGCAATGTTTCCTGAGGTTACAGAAAGATTTCTAATCCTGGGAGGAAACACTCCCTTGAAGCAAAAGTGTTCTCCCCCAAAAAATGCAAGGAGCTATCTTCTTGATAGCCAGGCAGATAATTCTCAGGTTTTGCCCCACAGAATCTCGATCTAAAATAGAGCAGTGGTCATGCCTAGTGAAAAGTTTGAGGGAACTCACCCAACGTTGGGTTTCTTCAGAGCCATATATATAGATATAACCAAATATCCTAAAAGACACTGCCCTTCATCATTCCATGCTGTTAGACATTTATAGGACCATGGATGGTGATCTCCTCCAGACAAAAATAAATGCTGGTGCAGAACAGGTAAGTGTATTATAATTTGAGTACATCAGCTTTTGGGCATTTTAAACCATGGGTCAGACATGTTAAAGAAAGAGCCAGGTTGATAGTAAAAGGGAGTGTTTTTCTATTAATTTTCCAATAGCAAAGTGATGTTTGCCACTGTCATTTCAGAGTGAGGGGACAATTTGTTGTTGTTTGGTTTTGTGGGTTTTTGTTTGTTTGTTTGTTTGTTTGTTTTTGAGACAAGGTCTCACTGTCACCCAGGCTGGAGTGCAGTGGCATGATCAGGGTTTACTTCTGCCTTGACCTCATGAATTCAAGCAAACCTCCTTACTAATCCTCCCAAGTAGCTGGGACTACAGGCACGTGGCCCCACACCCTGGGGTGTGAACTGGGATTTGATGTTTTCAGTTGGCTCTCTAATGGAATAGGTTCCCTTACTCTTGTAGAATCAGATTGTCTTCATGATTATCATTCTTGTGTGCATTATATTTCTACTACCCTGCTGTTTTTTTTTCTATTTTTCTTTTTATTTTTTTCTTTGTGAGACAGAGTCTCGCTCTGTCTCCCAGGCTGTATTGCAGTGGCAGGATCTCAGCTCACTGCAACCTCCACCTCCTGGGTTCAAGCAATTCTTTTGCTTCAGCCTCCTGAGTAGCCACCTGGCTAATTTTTGTATTTTTAGTGGAGACAGGGTTTCACCATGTTGGCAGGCTGGTCTCGAACTCCTGACCTCAAGTGATTCACCCGCCTCAGCCTCCCAAAGTGCTGGGATTACAGGCATGAACTACCACACCTGGCTCTCAAACCATTTTAGTTAAGCAAAGACAGATTTGTCTGGCTTTTTAGTACAATGCTGAATTATCCTCCAATCTATATTTTTAGGAAGGACCTGGGGAATGGCAACTTGGAGATATTTGGTGAAAATGTGAACCTTTCATGTTCTGCTTCAGTCTCTTTTTGAAAATCCTTCCAATTTACCTTTTGCAACCAGTTAGTGGCCTTCCCTTCTTCACCAGCATGTGAATTAATTGATAAAGATCAGAATATTTGGGCTCAAAGGTTTCAACAGTTAAGTCAAATTTTCTGCCAAAGCCTACAGGATCTTGGAGCCTGCTTTAGAAACAGAAGAGTGAAATGTATTTAAGTTTAGATCAGGGAAGTCCTTTATAATATTCTTAATTCACGTTTTGGTGAAGTGGTATACACAACGGTAGGCTCCCCTCTTCCTGTGGGTTTGGGTTTTACCTTGAAAGGGGCTGTCAGAACAGAAGTTTCAGGGAGGGGTCCAGACCCCTGGGGACTTTCCTTAGGTGATGGTGATGGAAGAAGAGGCAAGGCAGGACAGGAAGGCTCAGGTAAGAAAGACTATGCAGGTGCAGGGGCAGGAGGAGAAGGAGCAGCTGGAAGTGAAAGAGACAAAGCCTCCTCAATATTTCTCAATTCAGAAAACATGACAGTTTACCTCCTTCAGCTTACTTCCTGGATGGAGGCAATTTTCTCAGTTCTTTTAGAAATTTTAGAAATTTAGACATTTCTAGGTCTCATTAGAAGTAAGTCTCCCATTTAATTTGTCTGATTCTAAAACCAAATTTCTCTCTCTCTCTTTTTTTTTTTTTTTGAGACAGGGTCACCTAGACTGGAGTGCAGTGGTGTGATCTCCGCTTACTGCACTCACCGCTTGCTGCATGACAGCCAAGATGTCGAGGGTTGAGGTGTAGGGGCAGGGAAGGTGACTTTATTCCAGAGAGCCACCAAACTGAACAGATGGTGAAGTAACATCCTGAAGAACCATCTTAAATTAATACGATTTTCCGGCTCCTTGTACGTTAGGGAAGGGAGGAAGAAGGAGGCGCTTGAGGTGAAGAGGTCTGACAATGACAGACATGGGCTGCAGTGGGAGCCCAAGGGGATGGTGAAAATTGTTCGTCCTTTGTCAGGTCACACTGCTCTTATAAATCTTCAGCATAACACTGTTACTTGTGTATACAACCTCTCTATCTTCTCAGGAGTTAGTTTGGGGAAGGGATTATTATCATCTGTGCTTTAAAGTTAAACTGTAAGCTAAATCCCTCCCATAGATAGCTTGGCCTATGTGCAGAAATAAGAAAAAGCAGTTAGCCTGGAAGATGTCACCACAGGGTAGGAAGGGTTAGGAGCAAAATGCAGTCAGTCATGCTAGGCCTCATTTTCATTGCCATATATTTAATGTATTTGAACACATAATTTTAATTTTTTATATTTATTTTTATTAATTTATTAGTTTTTTGAGACAGAGTCTCACTCTGTTGCCCCCCCAGGCTGGAGTGCAATGGCGTGATCTTGGCTCACTGCGACCTCTGCCTCCTGAGTTCAAGCAATTCTCCTGCCTCAGCCTTCTGAGTAGCTGGGATTACAGGAGCCCCCCACCATGCCCGGCTAATGTTTGTATTTTTAGTAGAGACAGGGTTTCACCATGTTGGCCAGGCTGGTCTCAAACTCCTGACCTCGGGCTCCCAAAGTGCTTGGACTACAGGCATGAGCCACCATGCCCAGCCTAACCAAGATTATTAAACCATTCTAATTTGTCAAAAGAGTCACACTGATTTTTAAAAAATAATGTAATGGGCCAGGTGCAGTGGCTCATGCCTGTAACCCCAGCACTTTGGGAAGCCATAGCAGGAGGATCATGAGGTCAGGAGTTCAAGACAGCCTGACCAACGTGGTGAAACCCCGTGTCTACTAAAAATACAAAAATTAGCCAGGTGTGGTGGTGTGTGCCTGTAATCCCAGCTACTCAGGAGGCTGAGACAGGAGAATTGCTTGAACCCGGGAAGCAGAGGTTGCAGTGAGCCGAGATTGCACCACTGCACTCTAGCTTAGGCGACAGAGTGAGACTACATCTCAAAATAAATAAATAAATAAATAAATAAATAAAATAATAATGTAATGAACTTTTTCATGTCTTTATATAATAAATATTACATTATTTAAATTGTTCAAAAGCATCAAAGATTCCTCTCTGCTATCAATTTCATTTCATTTATTTTATTGTACCAAACTACCAGGACCATTAATTTAATCTACAGCTAAATCTATTATTCTTTCATGTTAGAAATTCAACAAGAAAATTTTTCCCTAATGAAACCTCACATTTCAAGCATAAGGAGCCTGGGCGAGTTGGCTCACACCTGTAATCCCAGCACTTTGGGAGGCCGAGACAGGTGCATCACTTGAGGTCAGGAGTTAGAGACTAGCCTGGCAAACATGATGAAACCCTGTCTCTACTAAAAATATAAAAATTAGCTGGGCGTGGTGGCATGTGCCTGTAATCCCAGCTACTCTGGAGGCTGAGGCAGGGAAATAGCTTCAACCTGGGAAGCAGAGCTTGCAGTGAGCTGAGATGGCACCACTGCACTCTAGCCTGGGCTACAGAGCAAGACTCTGTCTCAAAAATAAATAAATAGATAAATAAGCATAAGTAGTAAAAAAATAACATAAATTTAAAAATAAGGCACAGGGTCTTGCTCTGTTATCCAGGCTAGAGTGCAGCGGGGCAATCATAGCTGACCAACTTGGAACTTCTGGGCTCAGGCAATCCTCCTGGCTCAGCTTGCCTTGTATTTTTTTAGAGACGAGGTCTTGCCCTGTTCCCCAGGCTGGTCTCCAACCGCTGGCCTAAAGCAATCCTTCCCCCTCAGCCTGTTGAGTTGCTGGGAGTACAGGTGCAAGACATGCAGCCTAGCATTGTAGTAAAACAATTTTCAACAAATTCTTAATTTTCTTTCCTTTTTTTTTTTTTTTTGAGTTGGGAGTCTCATTCTGTCACTCAGGCTGGAGGGCAGTGGCACAATCATAGTTCACTGCAGCCTGAGATTACAGTCATGCATTATCATGCCCGGCCAGCTTTAAAAAAATTAGCTAATACTTAAAAATTTGTAGAGACAGGGGTTTCACTGTGTTGCCCAGGCTGGTCTCCAACTCTTAAAGTGCTGGGACTGTAGCTATGAGCCACCATACCTGGCTTAATTTTCTTATTTTAATTTTATATAAATGATTATTATTGTTCCTAAGATAATTGGGGCAGTGACTCCTTTACAATTGTAGAGATCTAATTTGTCTATTCACTTCACTGAAAGAGTATGCCAATTTGTTTCATGAGAAAATATCCTATATTTATAAAGCAGGAAAATTCCTTCCACCAAACTAGGGTGCATTCTAAAGAAATGAATTGTGCTAAGTAACATCACTTAAAGTGAAAACAGAGGCAATGGTATCTATTAACAATGTTTATCAGTGAAGGAAATAAACTGAAAAGATGAACATCATTAGATCCTTGGAGGGCCTTCATTGCTGAAAATCTGAGTAACAGTGTGATACTCTTTTGAGTCTGGCAGGACATTCTCTTTCCAGGGCATGCAACAGTGGGTGAATAATTTCTTTTCATTCATTTCCATTAAGGGCTGAACTTCCTTAATGTTCTGGAGATTATTAAATTTGATTTGTATAGTTGTGAAAAGTACTCATATTGCTGATTCCATTGCTTATATGTGATCATATAAATCTTTTCTCTTTTGGTAGTGTGGTTTAAACTTAATCCTTAAAGGGCATGTATTTGAATTTTTCAGCTGGTTAGAAACCTGAATATACCAATCAAATAAAACTGCTCCTTACATGCTACAGATTTAGTTTTCTTCCTGTACTAAGATGTCTTTTAGATACAGTAAATTTGTTAAAGCCAAGAGCCCCTATGAAACGAAGTTGGGTGGGAGGGGGGACATTGAGTAGTAAGATCACTCTTGTAACAGAGATGCCACTCTTGCAGATATTGACAACAATTGGGCCTATAAAATTTTTACCAAACATTGGAAAGACAAGATCTGAACAACTTATCATTGCTGCAGTCTCAAATATCAGGAAATATCATTATTCTCAGGACAATAAATAGACAATAAAGAAGACTCACAGACCAGATTAGCTGCCATGTATCACCAAACAGGGACTGGATCCTTGTCAACACGACCCAACAGAGATTGTCCCCAGAAATTCACTTCATAACCTCAAAACCAAAAACCCACACTGATGGCAAAAAACAATGATGCAAAGAATGAGAGAGAGAGAGAGAGAGAGAGAGAGAGGGAGAGTGAGAGACCTGTCCTATAGCCATACTCAGTGGGTAAAAGCCAAAGAGCTCAATTTCTGCTCATGATACTTAATAGAACATAGGGAACATGAGCCAATAGCTCAATGGGTTCAGATCTGCACCAAGTGCCTGTTGGACGCAGGATTCTACTGTCTCCAATAATATGTCTCAGATGCACTATTTTTTTTTCTTTTTTTGAGACAGAGTCTTACTCTGTTGCCCAGGCTGCGGTGCAATGGCGCGATCTCGGCTCACAGTAACCTCCACCTCCCGGGTTCAAGTGATTCTCCTGCCTCAGCCTCCCGAGTAGTTGGGATTACAGACAGACACCACTGCACCAGGCAATTATTATTATTATCATTATTATTATTATTGTGCGTGTGTATGTGTTTTTAGTAGAGATGGAGTTTTGCCATGTTGGACAGGCTGGTCTTGAACTCCTGACCTCAGCTGATCAAAAGTAGGTGAGGTCAGAAAACATACCCTGGGAGAGGCTGGCACAATGCCCAGAACCGCCATCGCTAGGCCTGGGGTTTTCCTCTGTAGTGGAATACTAGTATTCATGTAGTGCAGGGACAAAACCAATTAGATAGTTCTGGGAGTTAAAAAGAGGTGATTTACAGTGCTATTTGAGAAGGGGTATTAAGGAATTTGCCAGGGCACTGACGCGTGTCAGGTGTAAACCTCAGGTTGAGAGAGAGCTAAGTATTTTCTGTCCATGAAGGTGATAAGCGAGGGCCTGAAGAAAGAGGGACTGGGGAGGACACTGGCACCAGAAATAGGAAAGGGCTTCTTGGGGGTGGGAAGGATGGGTCACGGTGCTATCTATAAAGTTGGCTGGCAGTGGATGTAGGATGTGGGAGTGAGACATCAAACATGAAGCAGTCGCTTAAAGTCTGAAGAAAGACTAGATATATAAACGGCAGGAGATAGTAGGGAAACTGGACCGGCTCCTCATAAAACTTCCCGCCTTCTATCTCCGGGAGGATCGCAGGGCATTTCCGCCAAGACAGGTGAGACTGCGGTTCTGACCTGCGGGCCTCCGTGCATATGCGCTAGGGCACCTGGGGGCCGGCAGAGCCGTTCCCCTACGCAAAGTAAGCGTGTTATGTCTACAACCCAACGGGGACACTGAGAGCCCCAAAGGCCCTGCTTTCTTCCCAGAGAACTGCCCATCTGCATAATTTCTACCTGGCTCTATGAGGTGAGAACACATTCCCCGCTAGCACAGAAATCCTACAAACTCCTGTGGGGGCTGCGCTTGGAAGCAGAGGCTGTGTAAGAGGTGACTGGGGGGTAGGGAAAAACACGAAGATTTTCACACAGGGTGAGAACCCAAGAGACTGGAGACCACGGACCAATCCCTGCAAAAAGCAGCCAGGGTAGAAAGGGAAGAGCTGAGCGGACTTCACGATAGCTAATTTGTGTTACAAAGCCGATACGGCTGATGCTCGCTTTTTCTCCTATGACATGCAGGCGACATGTTACTTCCTATTCCCATAAACCCTCCACTGTAGGATTAACACCTAAGACACCAACCAAGACACAAACCAATACAAAAAAAGATATGACCCTTGGCGTACAGTCTGTTTTTGAAACTCCAGAAAGTCAGGGGAAAGCGCGAACGCAGTCCCCCACTACCACAAATTATGCAGTCGAGTTTCCCACATTTGGGGAAATCGCAGGGGTCAGCACATCCGGAGTGCAATGGATAAGCCTCGCCCTGGGAAAACCACCTTCGTGATCATGGTATCTCCCCTGCCAGGTAAGTATGAAACGTTGTGCCTCTGCCCCGACACAGCCTCATACGCCTCACTCTTTACACACACGGTCACTTGCCCCGCGCACTCCCGAGCCCTTTCCAGCCCTGACACACAGCTGGGATTCTCACTTCCGATCAGCGGTCCTGAACCCGCTCCCAGGGCACGGGAACTCCCTTCGTGGCGAAGCAGCAAGTGGCGAAGCAGCAGCCTCTGCGCTGCCTCATCTACATAGAAGTCGCCCTGTCCGTGATGTCACCGACAGTGCCTTGCCCAGTCCCCGTCTGCCTTTCTGCCACTCAACCGACCAATCTGCTGCCAGAGTCGCCAAGAGGAAGTGACGTCTGCCTCTCCCTTTTTCCCTCCCGCCCCTGCGTCTGTTCTCTCCCAAAGAAGCTGGTCCTTAGCCTGTGTTAAGGAGCAATCTTTCGGTGGCCAGATGGAGCCGGGGCATCCTTCTTCAAATAATGGCTTTTAATTCGCAGACTAGAATGTTTCGGATTACAAAAGAAACCGGTTCTCTTCACATCCTTATCCTTGTGATGCAGCATTCCGCTTGCATTTGGAAGCCGTTTAATATCAGAGAGAAGCCATATTTATGAAAGTAAAGAGGCTGCTCAGATGACTGCAAACCAGCCTTCCTTACTGGTTTTATCACTGGTAATGTTATAAAGACAGTTGTCCAGTTTCATGAATCTTGTAGGTTTTTTTTTTTTGATGTTGTTTTTTTTTCAAAAATCCGTATTGTAGAAAAATATGCTGTCCCAGAAGAGATGATTGGACACTCTCAAGCGTGGTGCTGGACTTTGTCATCTCTTGCACAGCCATCTCCACACCTTAGTGCTTACCTCATGTTAGTTTTTTATATTCTGCAAAGACGAAACCAAAATAATCCAAATTTGACACAAATACCTGGGCTACATCTTATTTGAGATGTTTAACAAATGTCTGGATCATCTTTTCTTATATATTACGCAGGAAACACTGTGAAGTAAGCAAAGTTGGAATGCCCAAGTGAAAGACCATTTGAATATTTACAAGTAGATTTCAGACAGGAATACTACAGGGTGGTCACAGGATAACAAATTCTAGGCAGCAGATTTACATGACTTGAGGCTGTGGGCTGTTAAGACGCTGAAAAACCAGGGTGTGGACCAAGCTGGCTAAGGCTGAGTGGACCCAACGTGGTGCTGGATTGGATGGAGGTTTTACCTAGGCCCTCATTATATGCTCATTAACATACTAAATCACACACCCGCCAGTGCCATGACAGTTCTGAGACCAGTGTTTGATGTAAAAATGGCACCACAGTTCCAAGAAATCTCCACCTTTACCCAGGAATTTTCGTGAACATTCCACTCCTTGGTTAAAGAAACCCATCAAGATGAAACCCCAGAACCCATTATTCTCTCTTGGGTATGCCCAAGCTCCCCTTTCTTGAGAGTGTACTTTTTGCTTTGCAATAAATCTCTTCTTTCACTATCTGCTGACTCATCTTTGACTTTGTTCTCGCGATGGTGTCAAGAGCCTGGACACCACGGCTGGGGTCGAGATCCCACCAGTGTCCAGGGACCTCCCCCAGCCCACCAGTATCAGATTCTATTCCATTGCTCAAATCACAAAACATCGAGTGGAGAGTTCTCTTTGGAGACCGTAAAGTAAAGATTCTGTGGCATGGTGGCCAGTTAGGCCACTGGAAGCATGGCAAAATATTGAAAATGAGGGATTGGGTGACAGTGTAGTAACTGCTGAATACTAAATACTTGATCCAGGCCCCATTCCCTGGAGATTGACAGGGAGACACATTGTCCAGGTAGTAGTGGAGAAATGCTTTCTGGGTATCTGACCAGCCTTTGTGGAAAGAACTGGCACCATCCTGCAGATGTAACCACCTGATGGGTTCTTCCTGACCAATGTACACAAAAATTCAATTCATGGAGACCATGGCACTGCAGGAAAGAGTTTCATTGACACAGGCCAGCCACGACATGTGGGAGACAGAGTTATTACTCAAAGCAATCTCACTGAAGGCTTGGAGGTAAGGGGTTTTTCAAAGATAGTTTGGTGGGGAGGGGGCTAGGGCTTGCGTGGTGCTGATTGTTGGGGATGAAATCACAGGGGTGTGGAAAATGGCCCTCCTGCATGGAGTCAGCTTCTGGGTGGGGGCTAAGGGACTGGTTGATTTTCGGGCCAGATGGTGCCTTCCAGCAGTCAGAAATGCAAAAGCCTGAAAAGACATCTCAAGAGGCCAATCTTAGGTTCTACAATAGTGATGTTCTTCACAGCAGTAATTGGGGAAGCTGCCAATCTTGTGACTTCTGGAATAATGGCTGGTAATTATTTAACGAGGCATACATCTTAGTAGAAATCAGGCCCCTTTCATCCTTCTAACTTGGTGGCCTTTCATTCATTTTACAGGGGTAATTTAGTTTTGGGGAAGGTTATCATTTAAAGCAGCCTTTTTGGCTGTCCTCAACCTTTTTGTCACCAGGGACTGGTTTCATGGAAGACAATTTTTCCATGGAAGGGGGTGGTGGATGGTTTCCAGATGAAACTGTTCCACCTCAGGTCATCAGGCATCAGTTACAGTCTCATAAGGAGTGCGCAATCTGGATCACTCACATGAGCAGTTCCCAATAGGGTCCGAGCTCTGACGAGCAGCTAATGCTCATGCTGATCTGACAAGAGGCAGAGCTCAGGTGGTAATGCTCGAAAGCCTGCAGCTCACCTCCTGCTGTTCAGCTGGGTTCCTAACAGGCCATGGACCAGTACCTGTCTTATGGCCCTGGGGATTGGGGAGTCCTGATTTAAACTATAAACTCTATTTTTCCCAAAGATAGCTTGGGAGAAATTGCACAGGAATGAGCAAAGACAGCAAGCCTGTGAGGCTAGAACCAAGATGGAGTCAGCCATGTCAGCTTTCTCTTGTTGTCATAATTTTGCAAAGGTAGTTTCTGAGGGGCTGCACTGGACACTTCTTAAAAACATGAGACAGATGTTATTGTATTTACTACAGTAGGCAAGAGAGACCAGCAGAGAACTGGGCTCAACCTCGAATACAGCAGGAGGAGTTGAAGATTATAGCCAATTGGCAAGATAAGAAAGTCAGTGGATGGAAAATTACTAAGAGGAACTTGATTAGCTATCAAAGGTGGTTGCGAGGACTCTTGCTAAACTAGACTCAACAGTATTCTTTCCTAAAACTGGACTTGGCAGGCAAAGAAATAACAGAGAAAAGGGCTCAGAGGAAACTACTAAGGTTTGGTCAAAGACTAGAGTCCTTGTCAACTCTACATTGAAGCTTCTGCAAATAAACAAAGACCAACCAAATGAAAAAAAGCAAAAGCTATTTATTCTGAGCTTGCTATAGCAGGGAGTCAGTCACTGTTATTTGTGTTTTGGCAGAGACTTGAAGGCAGTCATAAAGGTGGGAAAGCTTTTTAAAAAGAAAGGCTTCAGGGGCCGGGCACGGTGGCTCACACACATAATCTCAGCACTTCGGGAGGCCCAGGTGGGTGGTCACGAGGTCAGGAGATCAAACCATCCTGACTAACATGGTGAAACCCCATCTCTACTAAAAAATTTACAAACAATTAGCCAGGTGTGGTGGCAGGCACCAGTAGTCCCAGCTACTCTGGAGGCTGAGGCAGGAGAATGGCATGAACCTGGGAGGCGAATCTTGCAGTGAGCCAAGATTACACCACTGCACTCTAGCCTGGGTGACAGAGCGAGACTGTGTCTCAAACAAACACACAAACAAACAAACAAACAAAAAAACAAAGAAAAGCTTCAGGTATGCTTGGATTGGAGGCTGTCAGCATGGTGAAGCTGTTGATAGATGAAGAAAATCAAAGTATTTTACCCCAGAATATATTTCTTTGGCATATTTTAAGATGGCTGTCAGAGAGCCAGCAAACAGAAGGAACTCTGCAAAACTGTCTTTTGTAGGGGAAATTTACACCTGCAGAGAATCTGCATTAATCCAGCTTTATCTTGTCAGGTTTGAGAAATAAAAATAAGCCCTAGGCCCTACAACCAACTGAATGGACTCCCTCTTGGCTGACAGGACCACAGAGAAACTTCGAAAGCAGTTTCTGGATGTGGCAGGCTAGGAGGTTGGACATGCCACCTCAAAACCCTCCCCTCACTAACTGCCATTATGATGCAGGAGAACAGCAGAGGGAATTGGAAGTTGGATAAAAGGCAGAGTGAGTGAAAGCAGAGAAAGAAGCAAGGTGATGGGGTGGGAGAGCAAGAAGCAAGATATAAGGCAGAAGTTGAGCAGCCAAAACAAAAAGTAAGATTTAAAAAAGCAAGCAAGGCTGGGCACGGTGGCTCATGCCTGTAATCCCAGCACTTTGGGAGGCCAAGGCAGGCAGATCACCTGAGGTCAGGAGTTTGAGACCAGCCTGGCCAACATGGCGAAACCCCATCTCTACTAAAAATACAAAAAATTAGCTGGGCGTGGTGGTGCACTCCTGTACTCCCAGCTACTTGGGAGGCTGAGACAGGAGCATCGCTTGAACCCGGGAGGCAGAGGTTGCAGTGAGCCGAGATTGCACCACTACACTCCAGACTGTGCAACAGAGCGAGACTCTGTCTCAAAAAAAAAAAAAAAAAAGAAAAGCAAGCCAGGACCCCATGGCCGGTGAGATCCAAACCAGTAAAGGGGCAGCTCCTCAGAGATAGGCATGTGCATTAGAGAAAAAAAGTATCCTTAACATGACTCCATATGATAATCAGCTCATTAAAACTCATGCATATGGACTGCACATCATGCATGTACTTAAAATTATGGGATGGAGGCAATGTGCAAGCACACAAGGGCCAAAGTAACTAAGCAACCCACCTATCAATCAAAAGGCAAACACTGGCTAACGATTAGGCATCCTTGGGAAGAGAAGAGAAAGAAACACACATAAAAAGACCCAACGTACACCAAACTAATACTGATCTCACATCCCAGAGATCAGCCCACTCTCCCCACTCTGAGACTGTTACTGTGCTTAATAAATTTTGCTTTGCTTTGCTGCTTTGTGTGTGTCATGTACAGTTCTTTGTTTGGGACACCAAGAGCCTGGAAATGCACGGCACCATCTGGCAAGAATTAGGATTTTTTTTCCTAAGGGTTAACAATCCAAGCCTTTGGAGAGACTTGCTTCACTGCTGTTATCAACCAACAGCCTGATGCTTTCCCTCCCTTTTGTGGTTTTGACAAAACAAGCAAGCAGCATTCCCTCCTGATAAGAGACCACCGACCTAGGAATCATTCTGGCCAGACTACAGAGGATGTACAGTGAGGGTTTTCATGTCCATTGCCTCAGATTTTGACGTCAGAGGGCCACAAACTCCACTCTCAGATGATTGCTAACGCCACCATTTTATGAACATGAGCCCCATGGAGAGGCACGCAGCTCAACTGCACATCTGCACATTTTTCCTCTTATAAACATTCATATTGGAATATTATTTGGTACTGCTCCCGTGAAAGATACATTTGCAGAATGGACTCAGATTAGAAGCATTATACAAGCACTATAATGTAGCAATGGCACATCCAGCTCTCTACACTATAGAAATGTCTGCAGGGTAAACATTTCCACAATGACCAAAGATATCTGTACAGGACTGGTGACTGCAGCATTCTTTGTAATCCTAAAACTATGAAACTAAAGTCATCTCAAAAACATTTTGTTTTTTTGAGATGGAGTCTCGCTCTGATACCCAGGCAGTGCAGCGGTGTGATCTCAGCTCACTGCAGCCTCCACCTCCCAAGTTCAAACGATTTTCCTGCCTCAGCCTCCCGAGTAGCTGGGATTACAGGTGCATGCCACCATACCTGGCTAACAAAAACATTTTGAAAAGGGTTAAATAAATCATGCATAAACTGAGGAAAAATACTATTTTCAAAAATGATGGAGAGAATCACTTTCATGATGAATGATTCCACTGGTCACATTATTGATAGAGCAATCAGGAAACCCAGGCACATCCTGGAGGTAATACTGGACTCCTATTACTAAAATATGAAAAAATGGAGACACGTAAATACTCGTTTAAGCGTATAACGGACTGAATTAGAATTTTATCACATCAGAAGTGGGTTCCTAGGTCTCTGTTTCAGGATTCCTTAGTGACACAGGTGTAAACCCGGCATTTCAGGAGATAGCCGGCTAAGAATCTGGTCGGGGAGGTGGGCGGCCCTTGACATGGATCTGTCATAAATTAGTGGCTTGAGACTTTGGGAAGATAAAATCTTCCCCATTTATCTAGTGATTGACATTGCGTGAATGCTTCAAAAGTTCCAATAAGCGTCCCTGGGTGGGCTCGAACCACCAACCTTTCAGTTAACAGCCGAACGCGCTAACCGATTGCGCCACAGAGACAAGCGCTTCCAACTCTACTGGGCATCTAGGAAGGGCGCACTCACTGAACTTCCTCCGTTCCGTCTATTCTCAGGGCCCACCGGGCAGGACCACTGAGCAAGGCCTTGGAAAACCAGAGAGATTAGAGCGGTGAGTCGCGCCGGTCACGTTGGACGCCTGCGTGTTAGGAGATTCTGGAGCCAGAAGAACAGCAGAATTGCCTTCGCCCGCCCTGCCCCTCGCCTGCTGCAGAAGCTTCCAGAAACTCCCTGGTGGGCGACCCAGCCCGAGCTGCCTGGGGCCCCAAGGGAAGCTGAACGCCCTGTGGGCTCCTGGGATGGTTCTTCCCGTTCTTTGCGCCGCCTTCACCCATTGAAGGAGCCTGTGCCCACCCTGCCCAGTCGCTTTCCGGGCCGCTGAGGAGCTTCCGCTGCCATCTTCGGATCCTGTGTTCCGCACGGGGGCTCCACCAGGGCAGGGATGGTGGTGAGGGTCGCTCGTGGGTCCCCTCGCGGGGAGCAGGGTCTGGTACTCACCAGGGCGCACGACTAGGACTTGTGGAATGAATTCATCGTCGCCTTTAGCTTTTAGTCCTTTGAAGAGCCCTGAGAGTGGAAATCAAGAGATTTTTTCCACGGGGAAGTTCTTTTTACAAAGCGTTGATTTCTCGGCACCCGGCAGGGAGGGCAACTGGCAGGGTCTCTGGCGCACCTTCTGCGCGGTGGAGCCACGGGGGCTCAGCTGGGCGGTGGTGCGGCCGTGGGGTGGTAGGTCAAGAGCTGGGAAAGGAAAAAGCAAAAGCTGGGAAAGAAGCCGGGGAGCGGTGGACCAGACATCCAGACCTCCTGAAAGGCTCATGAAGGGGCACAGGCAGGATCTTCTGGAAGTGAGAATTGTTTTGTTTGTTTGTTTGTTTATTGTAGTAGAATGGGGAAATGGAGAGAGAACCTGAAAGAGCCCCAAACTCGAGGACCTATTGCTCCCCAAGAATAACATCTTCCAGAAGAACTAGACAGAAAACTAGGCGTCTGGGAACTCTGAAATCCTTGGAGGAGTAGCATCATCATGACCCTCTGTGTTCCTTTTGGCAAAGGACTTGCTCCCATTGTTTGCTTGTTCAATTGTCTGTCCGTTAAATAAATAAAACCCTTTTCCTATATCTTTAAAATTACGTTGGTTTTATCATTTTATGATTACAAGTAATGCTGCAGTCATCATTCTTGTACACTCTCATTGGCCACTGGTGTATTTCTATAGGGTGGAGGCCTGGAGAGTAGTTGTTCCAGCATAGTGTTTACATAGCTTTTATTTCATTCCGTTTTCTTTCCTTTGTTGCTTTATTAGCTATAACCGTTTTCTTATTTCAGAGGCTGCTTTAGGGTTTCCGGAATACATCTTTAATTTATCATAGTCTGCTTTCTAGTGTCATTATGCCTCCCTTTCTGGCCTTTATCCTAGTGTTATGTATCTTTACTTTATGCACTATAACCTTTGTGATTCATTATTATTACTTTTATTTGTTACGTCAAATATTTTTTGAAAGATTTAAATTATAAGAAAACGTGTAGTACATGCTTTCTAAATGCCATTTCCAATATTCGTTTCTTTGTGTAGGACCACATTTTTATCTGGTATCCTTTTGCTTCTGCCTGGAGGACGCAAGATTTCTTGTAGCGTGGGTTGGTGAATTCTTTTAGCTTCCGTATGTTTTTCAATGTTCTTATTTCACTCACAGTTTTGAAATTTTATTTTTGCATAGAATTCTAGGTTAACTTTTTTTCTCTAGGTACTTTAAAAATGTTGCCATTTATGAAGCATTGTCATTTAAAATATCATCTTTCTTTCCTATGTTTGTAAATATGGCGTAAAGCCGGTTTCTTGTGCTGGTTATACAATTTTCAGAATGTGTATTTAAATTTAAAATATTAAATTGTACTAAAAAACTAAAAATATTAATCATGAATGTCCTAGATTCATCTTAAGTTCCAACAGTGCACTTAAAATGTGCCCAACCTGAGGGTCAAACCTACCTGCTGATGTGGAATTTGTGTTTGTGAGACATTCTCAACAGCATTTGCTTTCCCCAGCCTAGTGATTTTCCTCACATCTGAATGTCTTCATTGCAAAAGGAAACGTTTTTCTTTGCAAAAATACTTTAAAATATTCTTACTTCAAGTAGGTGTACTAAAAACAAATTTCTCAGTTGCATCCCTGAAATCCATCGAAAGCCCGGGAGAGACAATCAAGTGCTTCAGGACCAAGAGTGAAACAGGAGAGGACAAAGCAGGGCTTCTTCACTAGGAGTCAAGCCAAAGTCAACTGATTTGGTCTCCAATGGAGAACGGAACTCGGTTCACCAGCAACGTGAGGACGTGGCCCAGAGGAGACGGAGTTTCCCTTCATGGTGCCTTCAGATAGGAAATCTAGGATTTTCTTTCTTTCCCTTTGATCTACTTCCAACTCTCCCTTTCTGTTTCTTCAAGATCTTTTTCGGATCCCTGGGTGCGAAGGACATAAGGGGCCAGTGGCCTTCCCTACTGGTCCCTCCTTGACTGGGTGTCTTTGGAGCCCAAGCTCACCCGGAACATTACTGCCCGCTGCAGACAGTGAGAGGACAAAGGAGGGCGGTGGGTGCAGTGGGAACCACAGAGTCACCGTGCACCTGCGCCCGTGGGCTCCTAGCAAATTGAATAAATGCCCCCTGAAGCTTCTCTGCAGGTCAGAGGGAAGGGGAGGGTGGCTGCCGACCTGGCGGGAGAAGCTTCAAGAAACATCGGGAGGACTTGGCCCTGCCCCTGGGCCTTGAAGACAGGCCTGGCCAGGCTGATTTTGATGGGTAGGCCCAAAGAAAAGGTTCGAGGGCAGCCCAAACCCCGACCCTGAGATTAAGGCTCTTAAGTGTCTGACAGTTTTGAGAATCGTCAGTAGAATCGATCCTGCCTGTATCAGGAGACTTCTTTGCCAAAATTCAGAGACCAAGAAAGAGAAAGATTGGGCAGATCAAAATCTGTCATTAACCAAACAGGAAACATAAGTTTTCTGACAAATTGAATGTGTGCTGTGAGAAAAAGACTAGCCTCAAGGAGAACCTGGTTTTTTGGCTTGAGTGTAGGGAAGAATGGAGTTGCCACCAACAATGGTGCGTTGAAACGGCAGGTGCATCAGGCTGTAGATGTGAAGGAATTAAAAATATTTTACCCCAAACTACATTTCTTTGACATATTTTGAGATGTCTGTTCAGAAAGCCAGCTGCAGAAGTAGCCCTGCAAAGTTGTCTTTTGTTGGGGAGATTTGCATCTGTAGGGAATCTGCATTGATACAGCCAAGTCTTTCCTTGTCCAGATCTAGGAAAGATGAACTGAGAGTCTGACACCTGTAAAGGTCTGAAAGAAACTTTTAGGGTTTATTCTCTCTGAGAGCTGCTACCTGTAAGGTTTCATTTACATATTAAGACCACCTTTGCTAGCCGAGCCTCATTTTCTCTCCCTGCCATCACTTATCTTGTCCACAATAAATGGATATACCTCTGACTCTGATTGCACCTGGTTTTGGCCATGCTTTGAGCCCTCATTCATTCTGTTATCTCGAGATGGTATATAAGCTTCTGCATCCCATTGTGGGTAGGGGAGGGTAATCACTCTGTGACTCTCCCCATGCACATGTTAGTACATTTTATGCCTTTTCTCCAATTAATCTGCCTTTTGTGACTTGATTTTTGAGTGAAACTTCAGAGAGTTAAGAGGGAGGGTTTCCATTGGCCCCTACAGTTTTGGAGCTGTAAACAGGATAGGAAAGCTCTGCTCTTCTGGAAGCTGCAGTGAAGAACCCAGGATATGATCAGCTATCATAAGGGTAAGAATTTTTTTACCAGCCAGGCTCCTGGCCTCCTTCTCTGTGTGGAATCTCATCAAGTGGATGGTAAAAATCACTGTTTCTTTCTTTTCCCTCTCCAAAATCTTGATTAATTGGAGAAAAGGATTTGTGTGACTAGTCTTGGGTGTAGTGACTCTGGTGTGCTTTTTGGTACTTTGTGGTACCAATTCCTATTGTTTAATCCCTTTCTTCCCAGAAATTGTCTGTTCCTTTGTCTTTGTCTCTATGTGTTATTCTGTCATAAAAGGGGGTACTGGTTGAGGTTCCTTCTCATCTTATTTTATGTCCTTGAGAGCTTGACTTGTGACCAAGTGGAAGCGCTTTCTCTTGGTTTCCACTATCTGGAAAGAGGCGGTAACTTTCAGGTCATACTAGGTGGCCTGTCTGAAAATGGCTGGGAACCCCAGCACACTTTTTGTTCTGACCATGACAAGCTCTTGGGGTTTGTCTTAAGAAGTCCCATCCCTTTGAGGCTTTTGTCATCTCAATTCTTGTTGCCTGGTTAGTTCTAGGAAAGCTCAATCCCAAGATGGCCTACCTGGTATCATGGATTCACAGGTCTGTGACTGGAAGTCCCCATAAATTTGTGGGTTGCTGGAGGCAAACATCATCCTTACCCATCTGTGGTCTACTCTACTAAAAATACAAAAATTAGCCAGGTGTGATGGCATGCGCCTATAGGCCCAGCTACTCGGGAGGCTGAGGCAGGAGAGTCATTTGAACCCAGGAGGCGGAGGTTGCAGTGAGCCAAGATTGTGCCACTGCACACTAGCCTGGGTGACAGAGCAAGACTCTATCTCAAAAAAAAAAAAAAAAGAAAGAAAGAAAAGATTTAAGAGAACAATTATTTTAATTGAATACATTTTGTCAAGATTAACTCAACTTTCCCCTAGAGTAGTGAAAGAATAAGCAATCGTAATTTAGATTCTAAGTTACTGGTCTTTGAGAAAGTGTGAAAACCAAAAAGGTGCCATAAGTCAAAAAGAGCAAAAGTCCTAATTTTCAAACTGATGAAAATAAAGTACTAAAAAATTGAAATCATCATAGTTCATCTTGGTCCTTGGCAAAATACAAATGTATTGATTCAAATTATAATATCTTAGCTACCCTATTGTGCGTAGCTCTTACCACTGAGGAGAAAAACCAAACCCAAACAAAAGTGTGTTCAAGTTGGCAACAATGTTTACAAACCTGCAAAATCTCTTCAGCCTATCCCTTAAACTCCAGACTTGGTATTTACTAAGCTCTGTGGTGTACAATACCCACCTTAATATCCATTCTTGCACAAGTTCTGTTAGGTATAAGCCAAGATGACATGAGATTTTTTTTTTTTTTTTTTTTTTTTTACCCTCTCATGCCTATGTTTGCTTTTGCTTCCACAGACCCTTCTGAGTAAGGACTATCCTCAGACTACTGGAGGCACTTAGTCACAAGCTTGCCTGAGGCTCAGAGCTGGCAATACCTGGGAGTTTATGTCAATCCCACAGCACCCAGCAACCCTGCCTGCAAAATATTTACCCATGATTGACAGGTGCAGGTGTATGAAAGCCCAGCTCCTTGACTTGAGGGGCACCTTTGTGGTGAATTAGGTTTGGCAAAAGGGAATCCAGAGGCCAACTTTGTAAAAATGCAGATAGATAAATAGAAAGAAATCTTTGCCTTGGAAGTCCAGTTGAGAAAGAGAGTGATTTACTTGAGACTCTGAAAACAGAGACTAAAATCTGTACTTTTTCATGGGAAAGAAGCCTATGGTGAAAGAGAAACAAAGAGAAAGGTAGGAAATAGGGTGGGTCTACTCCGTAGCTTTAAACCACTCTGTCATATTATAAAGCCCGGTGAGGTTTTAACTAACACAAGTGTCTGGACTCTACACATAGAGATTCTGATTTAAACGCTTCCAGGTGGGTGGAAGCCACTAGTAGTCTTAAAACACTCCCAAGTAATTTTACCATGTGGCTAGAGATGAAAAGGACAATCTATCTACTAGAATCTCAAGTAACCATTATTGAAGTGCCCCAAATGTGCAGCTACCTCATAGAAAAGGCTTAACACCACCCTTTGATGGAATTTCCCTTCCTCTCTCCATGGTCTTGTCTGCATAGCATGGAAAATAGAGAAGAGATAAAGAGGTAGATGGAGAGGTTGAACCTGTAATTTGCCTATGTAGAGCAGTTTCTCAAACTTTTCTGACCACAAGATGCAGTGAGAAATATACAATTCTTTGTGATCAGTTTTTTTTTTTTTTTTTTTTTTTTTTGAGATGGAGTCTTGCTCCGTTGCCCAGGCTGGAGTGCATTGGAATGATCTCGGCTCACTACAAGCCCCACCCTCCTGGGTTCACACCATTCTCCTGCCTTAGCGTCCTGAGTAGGTGGGACTACAGGCACCCACCACCATGCCCAGCTAATTTTTTTTTTTTTTTGTATTTTTATTAGAGACGGGGTTTCACCGTGTTAGCCAGGATGGTCTCAATCTCCTGACCTCGTGATCCACCCGCCTCGGCCTCCCAAAGTGCTGGGATTACAGGCGTGAGCCACTGCGCCTGGCCTGTGATCAGTTTTTAAAAAATCTTTTACTATGTGTAATCCACCCTACCTAGAATTTAAATAAAGCCTGCAGTAGTAAGCAGTCGACTATATTGATTTCACAACCCCTAAGTGGTTCAGAATTGCAATTAGAAAATTTTTCCTTTTGGCCAGGTGTGGTGGCTGGAGCCTGTAATCCCAGCACTTTGGGAGGATCACTTGAGGTCGGGAGTTTGAGACCAGCCTGACCAAGATGGAGGAACCCCGTCTCTACTAAAAAAAAAAAAAAAAAAAAATTAGCTGGGCGTGGTGGTGCATGCCTGTAATCACACCTACTTGGGAGGCTGAGGCAGGAGAATTGCTTGAACCCCAGGGGCTGGAGGTTGTGGTGAGCTGAGATTGCACCATTGCACTCCAGCCTGGGAAACAAGAGTGAAACTGTCTAAAAAAAAAAAAGAAAATAAATAAATTTTTACTTTTGCTCTGCCTTTTTATCAAGCAAAATCCCAAAAGAACATTTACTATAAACATCTTTCTGTGAATCCTTATTTCTGTCCCAGCCACCATGACCCAATAATCTCTAGAGCCTGTTAGTGTTCTCCAGATTGAAGCCTTCCCTCTAACTGCTCCTAAACTCTGTGATGTAGTGGAAAAGTTTTGAGGCCTCGATTCTCATCCCAGGTTTTTCACCTACAGATCATACGGCCTTAGCCTCTTGACACCATTGTCTCCTTATGGCCAAAGATGGAACTGTACTTGGGTGGTATCTGAGCACCCTGTTGGCTTTGACATTCTAGGGCTCTTCCCTTGGCACCACTCTCTTATTTAAAAGGAACAGGATGTGGACTTAGGAGGGTTATTTCTCTGCAAACTATCCTCTCTTTCTTATGACAAGCTATTTCTGAATGTGCACATTTGAGGCTAAGCAAATTCCTTCCTGGGAGGTTGAAAGACCCTTATTTCTCTCCAGAGGAGTATTATGGAGAGTCAATTGATGCTGAGGAGGTGGTAGAGACCTAGTGAACTCATCTGCAGTGGCTTTGAGCAAGGCTTTTAGAATCATAAGGTGGGTGGGGTCCTGTGTCCTACACCACAGGCCAGCTAGTTCATTTCAGGAGACTTTTTTTTCAATCTATTATTACTATCTTCTTCTAGACTGTAGTTCACTACTGGAGATTATCCACTTAGTTACACTCAGTTTGCACCTGGCCTGTATCACCAGTCAGCTCTCACTCCAGCCTCAGGTATCAGCAAGACCTCACCAAAGATTATTGTTTAATTTTGTGTGTGTGTGTTTTTGTTTGTTTCGGGTAACAACTAATGTTGGAACTATGAAAAGCTCTTCTCTACTTTTAACAAAGCTTAGTCACAAACAGTTCCCCAGTTGATGAGAAAAACTAAAACAACAGAACAATTGAAAGTCCAAATCTGCAAGCTCATCTCTGAGAACCGAATTCTACAGCCACTCCAGATTTGTACTCCAAATGGATAGTTTGATTGTAGAAATCACATCCCTTCAGTCTGCCAATGTGATAAGGGCCCAAGAGACAGTGATGCCTAGATTCATAGATAATCCCCTTTCCCCCATCCTATATATAACTGGAGTCAACAGCAGCTGGAGGAAAATGGCAAGAACTTGGAATCAAGATTAGGTTAGAATAACACTGCTGTAGACAGTTTATCAGCTCTTCAGCATACGTCCGTTTTCCTTGAAGGATGAGCCTGTAGAAACCTCTGACAATAAAGTTTATTTTACACCCATTCCCTTGCCTATGATTTTTTCATACAAATCACAATTATAAAACTTTCTTGCTCCAGCTAAAAGCAGGAAACTCAATCATGAATGTGTTCACTAAATATATACCACAGAATGATAACAACCAGTCTGATTGCATCACTTGATTCCAAAATTAAATGTTAGCCCTCAGGGGTGCAACTACATGTATCTCCAACTCTGGAAGCCACAGGCAACATATTCCTGTTTCCTTGCAGGGAAACAGATCTATAAGCAGGGCGGCAGTCTGACACATGTACATTCCTGGGAAACCCAAGGAAACAATGATAGTGACGCAGGGCAGGCAAGCCCCCAAACTGAAAGAGTTTTGCTAATGTCGCGATTGGCTTTCTATGTTATTTGAAGACTGAGATCTCCATGAGGAGTGAAGATAGGTAATGCCTAAGGCTGAGGCATGACCTCACTGGGTCACCTTAGCTGTAAAGTGAGGTCAGTTGTCACCTTGCAAACCTTTTGGTAATCCAAATCTTGGAATGATTTCTTTAAGAATTTAGACACTTCCAATACTTTTCCTGTCCTTGTGGGGAAAGCTTCTATCCACCTGGTGAAAGTGTCTATAAATACTAGCAAATCTTGTAGTCCCCTGTAAGGTGGCATCTGGTTTAAGTCTGTCTGCCAGTCTTCACCATGGTATGTTCCTTGGTGTTGTACAGGTTTAAGCAGGGATCGGGGTATGGGGTGGCTTCCTGAGTGGTAACCCTTTTTATAGTTTGGAACAGTCCCTTCCGCAAGAATATTTAGGAAACTAATTTAAATGGAAAATCCTGTCCCAAATGTGAGGAATCATGAAAATGTTTAATTATTTCCCATCTGTCAGCCTCAGGAATAGAGTTTGTTCTTTTCTAGCAACCATCCAGATGGGTCTCCCTGGAAGCCTTTTACTCAGTCCCTTTAATTTCCTTAGGGGTATATTATGGTGTCACTGACACGGATGGAGTACCTGGTAGTAGCGCAGCAGCCTGAAATACCAGGGTTTCCTTAGCTGTGGCCTTAGCTGCTCTTTCCACCAGGGAATTTCCTCTAATAATAAAAGTGTCTCCCTTCTGGTGTCCCCTGCGGTGAGTAATTGTTATTTCTTTGGGAGTTGGACAGCATCTAAAAGTTCCAAGATCTGAGTAAAGTTGTGTGGGGGATCCCTTGGCTCTTGATAGTCCCCTTTCCTTCCCTATGGCTGCATGAGCATGGAGCACCAGGAACCCATATTTAGAGTCAGTCAACACATTGACTCTTGAGGTTTTGTTCTTTTTTTTTCTTTTTTTGAAACGGAGTCTTGCTGTGTCGCCCAGGCTGGAGTGCAGTGGCATGATCTCAGCTCACTGCAATCTCAGCTCACTGCAAACTCAGGGATTCTCATGCCCCAGCCTCCCAAGTAGCTGGGATTACAGGCGACCCCCACCACACCCAGCTAATTTTTGTATTTTTAGTAGAGACGGGGTTTCGCCATGTTGGCTAGGCCGGTATAGAACTCCCAACCTCAGGTGATCCACCCACCTTGGCCTCCCAAAGTGCTGGGATTACAGGCGTGAGCCACCGTGTCCAGCTTAAGTCTTTTCATGGTTGGAAGGCCCTAATTAGAGCAGCTAATTCTGCTTTTTGAACAGAAGTCTGAGAAGGTAAACCCTTGGCCTCAAAAACTTCTTGTTGGCTAAGCTTCCTTTCTTACTCCCTCATGAATATAGCTATTTCCATCTCTAAACCACTCAACATTTGGGTTAGACAAGAGCTTGTCTTCAAGGTTGGGCCTTCTAGAGTAGAGCTCTTCCGTGGTTTCCACACAGGAGTCAATGAGTTTGGGATCTGTTTCTTGAGACGTGAGGTGCAGCAACAGAGTAGCAGGGTTTAAAAATCAGGACACTTTCAGGGTAACATCTGGGGTGTCAAGCAGAAGGGTCTGATATTTAAGTAACTGGCCCCCTGTTAGCCATTGGTGTACTTTTGCCTCTAGGACCCTCTGTACTGTACTTCATGGGGTGGCAGGGGGTGGGGGTGGGGGTGGGGTGGTATGGCATGTAATTGTTGTCCCAAGGTAAACTTACTGGTTTCGTCTAACGATAGAGTGATGGTAGTCACAGATCTCAAGCTTCTTGGTCACCTAGCTGCCACCTGGTCTAGCTGTTTAGAGAAATAAGCCACTGGTCCAAAGCAATTCCTCAGCCTTTGAGTTAGAACATTCGAAGCTGTCCCTTGTTATTCATCCACATAGAGGGTGAAAGGTTTTTCTAAGTTCGAGAGTCCTGAGGCAAGGGATGTCCCTGGCTTTTCTTTTAAGGCTAAGAATGCCTTTTGACAGGTTCCAAGCTCCGCCTCCTGGGTTCACACCATTCTTCCGCCTCAGCCTCCTGAGTAGCTGGGACTACAGGCGCCCGCCACCACAGCCAGCTAATTTTTTTGTATTTTTAGTAGAGACGGGGTTTCACCGTGTTAGCCAGGATGGTCTCTATCTCCTGACCTCCTGATCTACCCACCTCGGCCTCCCAAAGTGCTGGGATTACAGGCGTGAGCCACCGCACCCGGCCAACAAGTTTTTTTTTTTAAATGAACAGAGCATCAGTGAATGATAGTGCAAGTTTAAGACACCTAATAGACAAGTTAAAGGAGTCCTCCAGGCAGAAGGAAACTGACACCAGATGAAAATGTGGATGAAAAAAAAAAAGACACTAGAAATGACATCTACATAGGCAAATATATAATTTTAACATCTGACTGTTTAGCTGGGCACGATGGCTCACGCCTGGAATCCCGGCACTTTGGGAGGCCAAGGAAGGCGGATCACTTGAGGTCAGGAGTTCGAGACCAGCCTGGCCAATATGGTGAACCTTCCTCTCTACGAAAAATTCAAAAATTAGTCATATATGGTGGCGCAAGCCTGTAATCTCTGCTACTCAGGAGTCTGAGTCAGGAGAATCGCTCGAACCCGGAAAGCAGAGGTTGCAGTGAGCCAAGACTGTGCCACTGCACTCCAGCCTGTCCGATAGAGTAAGACTCGTCTTAAAAACACCACCACCAGCAACAAAAAAGCAAAAACAAACAAACAAACAAACAAACAAACAAACAAAAACACATCTGACTCTTGAAACAAAAGTAATAGAGATGGATTGTAAGGTTTATAACAGGTGTAAAGTAAAATGCATGACAATAGCATAAAGGCAGGGGGAGGAGTCATGTGAAGAGGTATGATGCCACTTGAAGGCAGACTGTGATGGGTTAATTTTTGTGGAAAGCAAGGCAGAATTTTTGAAGTTTGTTTCTTCAAATACTTTCTGTTTCCCGTACATACAAGCTAGTTTGTTCTGCAGAGATCTCATTTTCTAGGAGGCTCGGAGGGGGACCTTCTGCTGTCTGTCCTCATGGGATGCACAAGACACAAGGGAACAGTCTTTCACTTTTAAATACATTGATGGGTCTGAGGAGATAGATACAACTGCATTTTTTTTTTAAATGAGGTGGGATTCTCATTGGTCTTGAACTTCTGAGCTCAGTGGAGGCTTCCCCTACTTCAGCCTTTCAAAGCGTTGGGATTAATAGGCATGAGGCACTGCGCCTGGTCACAACCAACGTTTAAAATCACGTCCCTGGGTGGTCTGTAACCACCAACCTTATGGTTAACAGCCGAACGCGCTAACCGATTGCACCACAGAGACAACCTCAATCGCTTGCTTTCATCTCTATATAGATTAAGCAATCACTAAACCCTAGGAGTTGCCATTTGCTTTCTGCGGGACAACTGTGCAGACTACAAAGCTTCAGAAAACCGGAGAGGCTGAGTCGACTAATCGTGTTGTTGCACGTTAGAAACGCGTGCATTGCGTGACTCTGAAGCCAGAAGGGCGGCCGAATGGCCTTCACCCTGCGTTCACCCTCGCCTGCTTCAGAAGCCAGTGCCTCTGGAAATGCCTGGATCTGCGACCCCAGCCTGAGCCAAGTAGGGCCCAAGGGAAGCTGAACTCCCCGACGTCTCTCATGGTAGCTCTTTCTGTTCTTTTGCGCCGCCTTCAGGCAATCATCTGTTCCGCTTGCTCTCCCTTCACTCAACTCGGCTTCAGTAGATGGGGTCGGTGGGGCGGGAGCGGGAAAGAGGCAGGGGAGTCAAAAGGGAAAACGTGAAAAGGAGGAGGGAGAAGCAGGGGAGACCAGGACTAGACAATGGGACAGCCCAGGATGCCCGTGCAGAGGGCACCGGCTGGATGCAGAGAAGATGGGACATGTATCAGATCGGAGAGGAGGAAATGGGGAGAAGATGTGAGAGAAAATCACAAGAACCTGTAGCTGCCCAAGAATAAAGAAGTAAAAATCGCATAATGTTTTTACATTAATAAAAAAAATCGGGGGACCAGGGGCGGTGGCTCACGCCTGTAATCCCAGCACTTTGGGAGGCCGAGGTGGGTGGATCACTCACTTGAAGTCAGGAGTTCGAGACCAGCCGGGCCAACATGGTGTAAGCTCGTCTCTACCACAAATACAAAAATTAGCTGGGCGTGGTGGTGCACGTTTGTAGTCTCAGCTACTTAGGAGGCTGAGGCAGGAGAATCGCTTGAACCTAAGAGGCGGAGGTAGCAGTGAGCCGAGATCGTGCCGCTGCCCTCCAGCCTGGGCGACAAAGCGAAATTCTGTCTCTCAAAAAAATATATAAATAAATAATAGAGGGGTGGGGAAGCAAAACGACGGGCAGTAGGTGTGGGGCGCCTTGGGATTCTCTAGTGGTTAGTAGTCTGCGTTGTGCCTGCAGCAACCTCTGTTCTAATCCGAATCCTGGTACAGTCAGACTCTATCTTGGACCCACTGGGGCGAACCCACGTGTCTTTTGGTTTGCTTTTGATTCCTGCACCAGCTGAGGCCTTTATCTGCAGCCAGAAAGCCGGAAAGCAGGGTTTACCCCTGGCCCCACAGCGCCATACTGTCTGGGGAAAAGAAGGAAACCCAAGAGTACACAAACAGTGGCCCAAAGAGAAACCTTCCAAGTGCTCTATGCCTCACCGTTTAGCAGAAAATATCAAGCAACTCTCAATCTAGCTGGTCTGTACCTTCCACGAATGAAATAATGTATTTATTGCAGTCTTTCTGGTTGAGATATTTCAAATATTTGGTGGAGCTTTTAATGAGAGAGACACTCTCGAGTGTGGAAGAAAAAAAAGAGGGGATGTGAAGATAAGGCGACTTTAGGACAGAAAAAAAAAAAGAGACAAGGAAGCCATGTAAACGTTTTTGGATGGGCGTGAGGCGTTGTCAGTCTTGAACCCCGTTATGTCAGGTAAAGAGCGCAGCCTCTTCTACCACAAACACCATTTCCCACATGGAGGAAATCACAGGGATCAGCAACTCTAGAGTGAGATGAAGAAGCTTCACTCTGGGAGAACCCCCTTCGTGACCACGGTCTCTCCCCTGCCAGGTAAAGTGGAAATGAGCACATGGCTTGCAGGGACAGCACAGCCTCCTCGCCCTGGCCGGTCGCTCAGGGTCACCACCCTCCCCACTGCCGCCCCTCGCCATTCTTCCAAACCACTCTCCACCAAAGATTCCACCGACAGTCACCCCACAAGACAACCCAGGCCGCCTCTCAGCAGCGGCTCCCGCCCCGCAGCCACCGCGCCCTCTCACCCCCGCGCGGTTCTGCCCGCCGCCTCTGCCGAGTCTGCGCACTTCACCTCCCTGGCTCCCGCTCTCCCCTGAGCTTACAGTGGACTCGGGGTTCTTCCGAACCCCTCTTGGGAGTACTGAATGGAAAAGGGGGAGCGTGCGCAAGTGCTTGGTAGAGTGTAGACGTCGTGGGATTTGACTGTGGTACAATCGCTTCGACGTCCTAGTGCTGATTTTTCCACCTGCCTTCTGCTTAGGGCACCGGCAGCAGTTTTCCGTCTGTGCCTACTCCACCTGCTGTCCTTGTTGGGTCAGCGAACATCGCCTCCCTCTACCGCTCAATCAGCAAACGGGACCGCCCTCGAGGACCTCACCCGCCGCTTACCCCCCTAACAAATTCGCGGGCATCGCCTCCGGTCGCCTCTTCCCAAGGCCTAACGAGCGCCTTCGCTGGCAACGGAGGTGAGGAGGCTCCGCTGACTGGCTGGTGCCCGTGTCCGGGGCTGCCACAAACGCCACGACTTGGCTTGGCCTCTCTCTTAGTTATTCGCAGCTCAGCCCGATGGGCGTCTCCGGGGTGGCGACGGGAAAGAAGGTGGGCTTATTGGGTGCAGCTCCACGGGGGCTGGCATCTCTGCCGGGCTGTGTACACCTGAGCGAGAAGCTCAGTCGCTCTCTAAAGCTGCTCCCGCGGATGACGGACACGGAGACAAATAGGAACGGTGTGTCGTGAGAGGTGGTCCACAAGCACTTGCCCTCCTTCGCCCGGCTTTAACCCCGCTGCGGAGACTGTTCTGCTTCTGGCCCTTGGAGCAGGCCGGCTGACAGCGTAGTGAAGGAAGATTCCTGCGGGAGGGCGGCCAGTGTAAAACAATTCCCTGACCGGGAATCGAACCCGGGCCGCGGCGGTGAAAGCGCCGAATCCTAGCCACTAGACCACCAGGGACACACAGGAGGGAGCTTTCTCTCCCTTCTTCTGTCAGAAGCGACAGCTTCCCTGAGCTCTGGGAGGACTTGGGCCTTGTGAGGGTCGCTCTTTGCTCCTGGAGTCTCTCACAAGGCCATTCCCTCCCTGCTTTCTTCAAAAAAAGAGCCTGCAAGCGACACACCGAGGGCTCCGCGAGGGACACCGAGGCCACGAGTCCGAAGGCCTGGAGCGAGTTGCAGCGACCCGGCCGCAGCTCACCACTGGACTAGAGATGCGCCTTTGCGAGGTGGCAGCAAGTGACCAGTCGGTCGTGCGTCGCCAGGTCCGGAGCCGCGCACCAGGTTGCCAGGAGGAGGCGGGAGCGCGGAGGCGCCCGGGGTGAGACGGGGGCACCCTCTGCATCATAAAGGACCCAGACGCCAGCACCCTCAACGTCATAAGGAATCAGACGGATGCGGAAACCGAGACGGGCTGGATGGGAAACTCTTTCCAGGAAGGCTCCGGGGCCCTCAGCTGGTCTCCGACCTTCCCCTGCAACCTGTGACACCTGCCATTTTCCCATCTTAGGCGATGGCAACGCCACCCTTCCGTTTGCTCCGGGCAAAACTTCGAGAGTTCCCTCTGACTCTGGAGTTTTTTCCTCAGATCCAAGAGCCAACTGGTCATCAATTCGTAATTTCCCATCGGCTAAGTGCGTGGGCATTGAGCTACACGCGAGTCTCTCCACCTCTGCGGAATGGCTACTTCGGGGTAGGGGAGGGGCCCTCCCGTGGATTGTAAGGTGTTTAGCAGCAGCCGTCGCCTCCGCTGACTAGATACATGCCAGGGGGTTAGCATTCTCCCTCCCCGCTTCCCCCATTCGTGACCTAGTGTCCCAGCGTGGAGGTGAGAGGCGTGTAAGGGCAAAGTTGCCCCCTCTTGAGAACCACTGATGCGCGTTGTCCTGCTGTCTGAGCTTGTGCAGAGGACTCTCCAGATGAAGGCTCAGGGGTCGATCCAGCTTGAGACCCCCTCGCTCCCCCGCACAGTCAGACCTTAGGATTGGAGGCTTTTAACATCTCTACATCATGAGATTCGAAACCTTTAGGTCTTTTCTTCCGTTCTGTCCTCCAAATCGGCCTCTTCCGAGCCTGTTGACCAGGGCCAGCCAGGCAGACGGCTGGGTTCGCTCAACGAGGCTCCTCTCGGCCCTCCTGGAGCTTCAGGCCTCTTTCGGTTGCAGAGAAACTTTATGGGCCACTTCCTTCGGCATCCCCGGGGGCAGGTGCGCGGTGCCCGGGGAAGAAGAGGGTTTGACTGCGGTTCTCGACCCCCGGCGACCAACCTCCACCCCGGTGGGCGCGCTTTTCCAGGCTCCTGCTGGTCCCACTGGCCGGGAGTTAGGTCTCGGGTCAGCCTGAGCTCCAGAGATGCCCAGGCCCGGAAGGACACTTAGGGGAAACCAGCTGCTCACTTTGGTCTTGTCCGCAACGGACCTCTTGCTGCCAGGAAAGAAAGGCGTCGAGTCCTGTCCTGTTGGGTAGGCGGAAGAGAGATCAAAGGGAAGACAAGAAAAATCCTGGGAGGTTTCAGGATCTAAAGTTACCATGAAGTCGACCTAACCTCCTCTGGAGGTCCTCCCAGTCCTCCCGTGGCTGGCGATGGTGAATCGAGTTTCCGTCTCCAGTTTGCCAAGGCGGACAAAGCCGACACAATGGGCCTGTCCACTATCTTCTTTCATATACACAAAATGTCAGCTTTTCCTGTTTCTAACTGGCAACATCCCGCCTGATGACCAGCTTAGCAAATTAGAGACTCTCCATGGGATTCCATCTGTGTCTTAGTTCGGGCTTCTCTAACACCGTACCATACATAAACTGGGTGGCTGATTCACAACAGAAATTGATTTCTCACAGTTCCGGAGGTTGGAAGTCCGAGATCAAGGTGCCGACATGGTAGGTTTATGGTGAGGGCCTTTTGTTCTGGTTGTAGACTGCCACCTCCTCATTGTATCCTCAGGGGGCAGAAAGAGGGCGAGAGAGCTCCCCGAGGTCCCTTTTATAAGGGCATTAGTCCCATTCAGACTAATGGGACTAAATCCAGACTCTGTGCTGAGTGTTGTGGATTTTTTGCATGTTCATCCTCCCCGCAGGCAACTGGAGATGTATTGTCCCCAGAGGGTACAATAGAGAATCTTCCGTCACAAGTCAGCAACCAGCATATGTGAGTGACAGCATGTGTTCCACTCAGAAATGAGAGTGTATTAGTCCGTTTTCACGCCGCTGACAAATACATAACATAGTCCAGGACGAAAAAGAGGTTTAATTGGACTTACATTTCCATATGACTGGGGAGGCCTCAGAATCATGGCGGGAGGCAAAAGGCACTTCTTACAAGGCAGCAGCAAGAGAAAATGAGGAAGAAGCCAAAGCAGAAACCCCTGATAAACCCAGCAGATAGTGAGACTTATTCACTGTCAGGAGAATAGCACAGGAAAGACCCACCCCCATGATTCAATTACCTCCTCCTAGGTCCCTCCCACAACACATGGGAATTCTGGGAGATACAATTCAAGTTGAGATTTGGGTGAGGGCACGGCCAAACCATGTCAGAAAGGGATGAAGTGACAGCATATCCTGATGTGTGTGATGGTTTTATGAGTTATTACCTATTTCAAAAATTATTGCAATGTGTAAAAAAGAACAAGGACTTGTACTATCTGACTTTAAGGCTTACTATAAGCTATTACAGACAAGGCATCAGGAGTGACAAATAGATAAACAGACTGAGTTAAGAGACTTGAAACTGATCCACAGCTATACGGTCAATAAATGGGTTTTCAATAAAAGCAGTTCAATAAAAGAAAATAAATCATTTCAATTAATGGACTTTTATATGGATGTGGGGAGACCAACAATGTTATTCTCCCTCACACTACACACAAAAGTAATTTCAGCCGCATTACACACCAAAACTTAAAAGTTAAAGATATAAAGCATTTCAAGGATAGTTTGTGACTTGTTGGTAGGCAAAGATCACCCTACCAACAAGCAGGACACAAAAAATACATATATAAGAAAGACATGATAAATGAGACTTCATCAACATTAGCCACACCTTCTCATCAAAAGATACCACTAAGAAAGTGAAAAGGCAAGCAAGTCACAGACAGAGAGAAAATAGCCACAAAACGTGTCTGACCTCCACACCCTGCAGTTATAATTATAGTGGTCTGGTACACTGCGCCCAGTTTCTGCTGGATGGAGTATTTTCTGGGTGTCTCTAATGAGTAAGAGAGGGCCCCATGGGATATTCCTTCAGTTCCCAGGTGAACAGTGGGAAAGACTCCACATTGACCAACCTCGGGGGCCTAAAAATCCAGGTCCTATAGGAGGGTAGAGTATACCTGGACCCTGACCCAGACCCCTGGATGGGTTGTGCCAAGAGACCCAGCAAGGGAAAGGATTTCCTCCTGCCTCAGGTTCTCTGTCCTTCTGTGGTTAGACGACCTGAACCCAACTCCCTCCCCAAGCACTGGAGATGGGGCTTTTCCAAGGGCTGGGGATCTTGCTGTCCTGAGAACAGCTGAGCAAGGGGGTCGAGGAGGAGCTTGGGTGGTGGAGGAGAGGAAACCGGGTAAGATGCATGAAGCCGTTGGCTATACCAGGCACAGAGAGGACCCACTGGGACCCAATGGCCTGCATGTGAAGCCAGGCCTTGGGCCACCTCGTTCCTCAAAGGGGTGCTGACTTCCATGGGGTGTTCAAAGGGACTGTGGAAAGAGAGGCCTTCAGCCCACACCTCTGAATGCTTTTCGACCACAGCATGCCCTGTGGCCTTTATCCTGCTGGTGTGGAACAGTCAGAGCCCTGCAGGGCTGCAGAGCTTCTGTACTGGGCGGCATCCCAGCCTGAGTGTCAGAGCTCAGAGAGCAGGCACCGGAGCAAGTAGAGAGGAGGGCACCTTTTGGACAGAATGTGTGGGACAAGAGCGACGGCTCATCCATTCAGGTTCCTCAGAAAATGAGAGTCAGGAAGATGAGGGCGCAGACCTGATTCCCTACACAGGGCTGAAAGCAGACAACCGGAGGAAGAGCAGCACCTGGGCCAACGAGGTAGAAGACAGAAGACCACAGTCTACTCCTGCCCTCAATCTCACCCCTTCCCACCCACATCCTCCACGCCCCCTGATCACCTTCCTCAGAAGTGTAATAGGAATCCAGATTCCCCCTGGCCTGGTTGCTGCGGGAGGCACAGTGGCCTGATGGAGCCTGAGGCAGGTGTGGGAAGATGTGGATTGTCTAACTGGAGGTTGGGAGTTCAGGGTGAGGAAGGAGAAGCTTGGAGTGCAGGATTTGGTGGTATGTATGTGGCTGTAGGCAAAAGAAAGAGACAACTAAGCCACTTGAAATACCATGAGAATTCAAATTTAGAAAATTCCCAGGGAAGTATGCATGCAGGCACTCATGAGATCCAAAAAACAGCTGCTGCTTAACTGCGTGTTGCAAGCAAGCCCTAAATTGCTGATTTTGAAACAGCCTGATGGGTTCACAAAGACAATTTCTGAATAGTCTTAAGAGCAGAGGTGCACTAAAGCCACTGTGCCCCGCAGCTCAGGATCCCAGAAAGTTCTTTAAGGAGTAAGTCTTACTTCCATTTATGGAAGATTTTTGGAGTTGTCCTTAGTCACCCCCAAAAATGTTTTGGTTAGGAGTAGAATTTTAGATGTCATCAATTTAAAAATTAAAACTGAAACGCTGGAACTCATAGAGAGATAAAATTAAGAGAATCCATTCACATCCTGAGTAGAAAGATTTTTATAGAACATGACGGGCTTTAAAAATAAAGAAAAAATATGGCAAAATTTCATCAAATTAAATGCTTTCAGAACTAAGATTAAAATCTGAAGCCACCCAACTAGCTGGACAGATGGCTTCTTTGCCAAGGAGACCCCAGAGAAGTCTTAAATACTGAGTTCCTGGCCAGTACTTGGAAGCTCAGACACCTCTCCTTATACTCTCTCCCTTTGTGGTTTAGACACAACTGACCAGCATTATTGTTAAAATAGAGATCCTAAGACTGACAGAACAGAGTCCTTACAGTAGTAAGATACCATATTATAAACAAGACCTAAGGCCATGCCAGGCAAGGTTAAGTCATGCACCCCTCAACTTAAAGAATAAACTATGTTCTAATTGCCACAGGTTTTTTTCTTCTTCCTTTTTTTCCTCTAGCTAAACAAGCACTGGCCTTGAGATAAGCAATGCTGAAGCACTTGCAGCTCACCCATTAGCATAAACTGACTGAGCCCTCCCTACACAAGCCATAACTACAGCTTTGATTGGACAAGAGACTGATTTCAGTAACTTCCCCTTGATAAGAGAGCACTGGCTGTGGACGGGTTCTGGACGGTTTACAGAGGCTGTGCACTTGACTGCCTTTGTGTCCCTACTTCCCCTTTTGAAGCATAGGGCCTAATTATAATGTATTTAAATGTCATCTCCACCCCAAAGTGAACATGGGTTGCATGTAACAGGCTTGTTTACTCAGCATGCATGCAGCAGGATCCCTTCATGAATATTCAGAGCTCCTCCTATTCCCTGTTGAATATGCATATGTGGCCCACCACATCAACATAAATCCCTGTTCCCCCCTCCCCTCCCTGGAAACCTACTTTTCGGTTTCAGCAGGAGGGTATGCCTCCCAGTCTGTGGGAATGGCCACCTTGCAGGCTGTAACCATTTATAAAAAATAAAATCTCCCTTCTAAATTTATAAATTGTGTGATTTTTCAGTTGACAGCTTTCAGTCAGACTTTTCACTGACTGGGAAAAGTCATTTGCAATATATTTATTTTAAAAATGACTCCTCAGGATACAAAATTCTTGTGCAAAGATCACAAGCATTCTTATACACCAATAACAGACAAACAGAGAGCCAAATCATGAGGGAACTCCCATTCACAATTGCTTCAAAGAGAATAAAATACCTAGGAATCCAACTTACAAGGGATGTGAAGGACCTCTTCAAGGAGAACTACAAAACACTGCTCAACAAAATAAAAGAGGATACAAACAAATGGAAGAACATTCCATGCTCATGGGTAGGAAGAATCAATATCGTGAAAATGGTCATACTGCCCAAGGTAATTTGTAGATTCCATGCCATCCCCATCAAGCTACCAATGACTTTCTTCACAGAATTGGAAAAAACTACTTTAAAGTTCATATGGAACCAAAAGAGAGCCCGCATCACCAAGTCAATCCTAAGCCAAAAGAACAAAGCTGGAGGCATCACGCTACCTGACTTCAAATGATACTACAAGTCTACAGTAACCAAAACAGCATGGTACTGGTACCAAAACAGAGATATAGACCAATGGAGGAGAACAGAGCCCTCAGAAATAATGCCACACATCTACAACTATCTGATCTTTGACAAACCTGACAAAAACAAGAAATGGGGAAAGGATTCCCTATTTAATAAATGGTGCTGGGAAAACTAGCTAGCCATATGTTGAAAGCTGAAACTGGATCCCTTCATTACACCTTATACAAAAATTAATTCAAGATGGATTAAAGACTTAAATGTCAGACCTAAAACCATAAAAAGCCTAGAAGAAAACCTAGGCAATACCATTCAGGACATAGGCATGGGCAAGGACTTCATGTCTAAAACAGCAAAAGCAATGGCAACAAAAGCCAAAATTGACAAATGGGATCTAATTAAACTTAAGAGCTTCTGTGCAGCAAAAGAAACTATCATCACAGTGAACAGGCAACCTACAGAATGGGAGAAAATTTTTGCAATCTACTCATCTGTAGATTCATCAGAATCTACAAAGAACACAAACAAATTTGCAAGAAAACAACAAAGAACCCCATCAACAAGTGGGCGAAGGATATGAACAGACACTTCTCAGAAGACATTTATGCAGCCAAAAGACACATGAAAAAATCCTCATCATCAGCGGCCATCAGGGAAATGCAAATCAAAACCACAATGAGATACCATCTCACACCAGTTAGAATGGCGATCATCAAAAAGTCAGGAAGCAACAGGTGCTGGAGAGGATGTGGAGAAATAGGAACACTTTTACACTGTTGGTGGGACTGTAAACTAGTTCAACCGTTGTGGAAGTCAGTATGGTGATTCCTCAGGGATCTAGAACTAGAAATACCATTTGACGCAGCCATCCCATTACTGGGTATATAAATCATGCTGCTAAAAGCCAAATGATTATAAATAAATTATATATTTATTTGATTTATATGATTATAAATAAATGATTATTATAAATGATTATAAATGCCAAAGGATTATAAATCATGCTGCTATAAAGACACATGCACACGTATGTTTATTGCGGCACTATTCACAATAGCATAGACTTGGAACCAACCCAAATGTCCAACAATGATAGACTAGATGAAGAAAATGTGGCACATATACACCATGGAATACTATGCAGCCATAAAAATTGATGAGTTCATGTCCTTTGTAGGGACACGGATGAAGCTGGAAACCATCGTTCTCAGCAAACTATCGCAAGGACGAAAAACCAAGAACTGCATGTTCTCACTCATAGGTGGGAATTGAACAATGAGAACACTTGGACACAGGAAGGGGAACATCACACACCAGGGCCTGTTGTGGGGTGGGGGGAGGGGGAGGGATAGCATTAGGAGATATACCTAATGTAAATGACGAGTTAATGGGTGCAGCACACCAACATGGCACATGTATACATATGTAACAAACCTGCATGTTGTGCACATGTACCCTAAAACTTAAAGTATAATAAAAAAAGTCAAAAAAAAGACTCAATTCTTGAATATACAAGAGAACTTTTGTAAATCAGTAATATAGAGCTAAGCCAAATAAAATAGGGCAAAATATTTGAATAGTCCTTTGCAAAGGAGAGTTTCTTATATGCTGGAAGCCACAAGAAAGTATGCTTCATAGGATTGCTCATTAGGCAAATACAAATTAATTCCACACTGAGATAGCACTAACTACTCACCAGTGTATGGCTACTTTTTTTTTTTTTTTTCTGAGACAGGGTCTCATTCTGTCACCCAAGCTGGAGTGCAATGGTGCGATCTTGACTCACCGCAACATCCCCCTCTGGAGTAGCTGGGACTACAGGTGCATGCCACCATGCCCGGCTAATTTTTGTATTTTGAGTAGAGACAGGGTTTCGCCATGTTGGCCAGATTGGTCTGAGAGCATAGCTACATTTAACAAAGTTAGTACACCAAATGCTGACAAGAATTTGGTGCCACTTCAACTGTCATCGCTGGTGAAAAACATTCTAGAAGACTGGCAATTTATACTGATGTTAAACTTATACTCAGGTCATGACCCAGCAATTGAAGGACTTCCATGAATCTCAAGTGCACACAAAGACTGTTATAAGAATATTCAGCACAAGAATTCAATAACCCCAAAATTGAGAAGTGATCTATGAAACTACATGGATATATCTCATGAGTATAATGAATGTAACTGCAGAAAAAAGGCCAGACACAAAACATATGTACATTCATTCATGTGAACTTTAAGAACAGGCAATTGTAACCTGTGGGAATAGACATCAGAATAGTGATAACTAAGAGGACACAGGGTGGGAATCACCTGGACAGGGGCTCTAACAGGCCTTTCTCAGATGATGGCAATTTTCTATAACTTGAGCTGGGTGGTGATAACATTGATCAAAACTAAACAAATTGCACTAAAGATTTGTGCACTTTATGTGAACTGTAGCTTCTTTACTGTTCTCATTGCTTGAACCTGGGAGACACAGGTTGCAGTGAGCCGAGATTGAGCCACGGCACTCCAGCCTGGGTGACAGAACAAGACTACGTCTCAAAAACAATAATAATAGTAATAATTTACTGTTCTCATAAAAATTAGCAGATGGGGAATGGAGGCAAGCCTGTGCAGACCATGACAACTAGTTTAGATTTTATTGTCAGCTCATTAAAAACTCGTCCTCGTTTTGTGTTTTTAAAAAATTCCACTGATACAGCCGTTTTCTCTACCAGAAAAGACTATAACCGCATTATTTCATCAGTGGAAGCTACAGACAAAGGGCCCTTGAGAGGCGGCATCTTCACCTACGGGAATTTTTCCTGCTCAATTGTGAGACAAAGAGCATGTCCAAGTTTTCCTATCGGCCAGGCCGCCCCCTAGTTTCTGCGCTGTGGGCTAAACTCCAGAAGCTGGCGCCCTTCAGGGCCAGAGGTTTACTCTGCTCTCTGGAGGCTGCTAGGATTAAAGGCAAAGCAAACGACAGGTCTATTAGCCACAGTTGCAGGTTAGAAAACACTACTGTGACTCAGATTAGAACCCAGGTTGTGGCAACCACAACTACAAGTATTAACTACTACACGACCACAAAGCCTGCTGACAAGCATTGCACTTCTATGTTTTGAATGTAAAAACACTCACACTATTTTATCTGCTTTATTGTTGGACGTCCGCAGATTTTCGTGCTTTTCTGTCTTTCGTGCGCTTCTCCCTTTCTCTCCCCATTCTGCTACATAATTAAAAAAAAAATCTCATCTCTCAGGATCCGACCACTGCCTCTACAACAAGCCTCCTGGGAGGTCTCTTTGTCCCATTGACATCTCTGCCTTCTTTCGCTGCTTTTTTTTTTTCTTTCTTTTTTGACGGAGTCTCGCTCTGTCGCCCAGGCTGGACTGCAGTAGCGCGATCTTGGCTCACTGCAACCTCCGCCTCCTGAGTTCAAGCGATTCTCCTGCCTCAGCCTCCCAAGTAGCCGGAATAGCAGGTGCATGCCACCACATTTGGCTAATTTTTGTATTTTTAGTAGAGACGGGATTTTCCCATGTTAGCCAGGCTGGTCTTGAACTCTTGACCTCAAGCGATCCATCCGCCTCGGCCTCACAAAGTGCTGGGATTACAGGCGTGAGCCACCGTGCCCGGCCAAATTTCAGGCCAACACCTGTTGACACACATTGCCAGACACACGGAATCTCTCGGGGAACACCGATGGGCCCACAAAACACGCGGAGGCCGCGGTCGCTGACGATGTGAGCAAATTCGGTTCACGGTGTCTGGGGTACAGCCCTGAGGGTCTACTGGCCGCCTCTGCGCAAGGACCAGTCTCCGCCGCTCCCCTCATCTCCACGCAGATTCTTGCCCACACACCACCCCTTTCTTTGGGCCGCTGACGCCTCTTGGACCTCTGAGGTGACTGTCCTGCCCGCAGCTTCTCTCCTTCCAAGAGCGTCATTTCTTGATCCTCTCCATAGTGGCTCAACGGTAAGCCCAAGGTCCAGCACGCGAATCAGGAACCTGATGGTTCTTCGGGTTTGCAGGGATCCTTCCAGTGAATAGATGAAAGTCACAGGTACCAGTATGAAAACTGCAGTGACTCACCGGAAACACTTCATGCTTGTCAGCTTGCTAAGCTGTTTGAGTCCAACAACTGCATGGGGTCCTGAGTTAGTCTCCTGAATGTCTCCTGCCGCTACTTTCGTGAGTGTTGTCGTCACTTTACCTTGTGGTGGCCAAGCCCCTAAATGCACTATTAGGTTATGCAGTATGATTTTCAGCGTAAAAGACAGATAAAGAGCAACAGCGGGGTGAAAAAGACCCTCTTGCATTGGCCGGGAATTGAACCCGGGTCTCCCGCGTGGGAGGCGAGAATTCTACCACTGAACCACCAATGCCTCTGCGTAACAACCGCCTGCAGGATAACAGAAAACAGTATCCACAAAGACTTAGAAACCGTTCCAAGCGGTTTTTTCAAGTGTCGACTAAAAGCTAACAAAGACATCCAAACCAAATGTGTTTTTACAGGAAACTTTTACTAGACAACGTTATAAATATCAAAATAGCTCATTTGTCGGATCAAACTCTTAACTCTGAAAAAGGTCTTTCTTTCTACCTGCATTACAAACCCCTATAATAAAACATCAGAAATTCATTCACGTTTCTTTTTTCTAATCCTAAATCTTCCATCGTCAACCTCAAACTGCTGCCTTAGAGGTTCTAAGAAGGTAACCTAACTGGTAGTTTAGGTAAGTAAAGTTCAAATCCAGGGAGGAAATCAGTAGCAGAAGCAGAATTAGAAGAAAGAGGAAATAAAAGGACAGAACCAAGGTAGAGATAATGAAGAAACAAAGGTTGGTCCACTAAGTTAGTCTTTTGTCGCTGGTTTTTTTGGCAAAAGAGTAATGATCAGTCTCGTAATCATTATAATACTATTATTTGTCTGCTTGAAGATGTATAAAGCATTTGAAGGAAATGTGATATGAAAAGATGAAGAACGCTCGCTGTCAATGTTTCCTTGTTTGGGAGAATCCCATTTCCTAAGTTAATATGCTTTGATGTATTAGCTATGTAAGCAGTAGACTAGTTTAAGGAAATATTGACGGTCAAATATTAGCATATTAGTCTTTTGATGAAGTTCAAATAGTAGAGAGATTTCTTTCCTCAATTTTCTCTGGAAACATTCAACTGAAGAGACAAATCCAGAGTTTTCTCCATATGTTGGGTCTGGGAGTCATTATGACTTTTTCAAAGACAGGAGCTGTGACATGGAATCATGCTTCTTCTCTAGCTGAGAAGCCAAGCTAGGTCCAGGCTGCGTCATAAACTTGAGCCCACCAAGGAAATCACCCTTCACATTGACCTCGCAGAGTTTTGGCTGTTCTCTGTTCTTTGCCCAACACCCAAGACACACACCAGCTCTGGCCAACAAACCTTAACATATGATCTATATCCACCAGAGCTATATTTATTCCCAAATCTCCTTCTAAAATACAAACCTGTACTTTCTACTCTCAACTTCTAAATTTACAAAGGCCTCATATGCATCTCAGAGTCACAGATGCTAAAACTTAACCGGTTTTCTGAGGATTATTTGGGGAAGGGGTATGCATGCAAATGTATATACATAATTCATGTGATTTAGGAATATTGACTCTATGACTTCCAGATGCAGATTTAGAACCTTTTTAAAAAATATTTTGTTTTTGTTGTCTTGCAAATCAGCCAGATCTGCAACTTACCAGAGTAAAGCGAAGCCAAGCGGGACCCTTAGGAAATGCACTAAGATGTCATCCACTTTCAGTGTCAGCCTGTGAAAATACAGGCGATAGAAGAGAATGAAGAGAACCTGAAGGAATTTCTGGAACCAAAGCTAATATTAAGCAGGCCTCTTGCTGGCAGACCAGTGGAAACTGTAGCCTGGTCAACGATCTCTCTAGATTGAGGAGGTCTAAAGTGTAGCCACAGGTTCAACTACTTTTCTGTTTGTTTCCCAACCTCGATTAAACTCACTAAATTTAGGGACAAAAAAACAAAACAAAACAAAACACGATGTTCCCACGCAGTCTCGAACCAGAGACCTTTCATATGTGAAGCGAACATAATAACCACTACACCACAGAAACTGCATATGCACCAAAAAAGGCAAAATATCATCATGAAAATCTTAGGTCAGCCATTTCTATTATCGTTTCCAAAGTAAGAAATTCAACTGCATTTCGAAATTCGACTGAAAAAAGCCCAATAAGCACCAGCCATCAAGAAGACTATGGCTCCCAATAGGCCCAGGCTTAGCGTTCCGCGCCCACCCCCAACACGAAAACCATGGGGACCCACACCCGGGCTTCGGGGACACATACCCGGGCTTCGGGCTCCCGCATCCTCCCCTGGGTATGCAGTTCCAGAACTAAGCGCCGTGTGCGGGATCCTCCCGGCTGACACTCTTCGGCTCCCAGAAGCTGCAGGAGCCGGCGGGCTTTGAGCGTCCGAGCCCTGGGCGCCCCGTGCCTCTCAGGAGTGTGGACGCCGCCCTTCCAGGGATGCGGACCCCGCCTCGGGGCCTTTTCCCCGGCGCCGGCCGTCGGGGCTCTTGGCTCTTCTCGTCCTCCCAGGAACCGTAGGACTCTCCTTGCCCTCCCTCCCGTAGGCCGAGGGGCGCGAGCTGCGCCTGTTTCCTCACGGACCCTTTGGCCTCAGCGCCTCGACGTCTTGCAATTCTTAGCTCACGGCTCTTCCTCCTATAACAAGGCCCTTCCATGTCATGTCCCCTACTCCCTCTTAGCACCAGAGAGATGTCTCCCCTGCCCCACAGGTCACATTCCATGAGTGGTGAAGTTTCTAGAGTTGTAACCATGGCATCTCCAGCCCTGTGTGTTCCTCTCCATGCTCCCCATTGAGCAGTCTTGATCCTATATTAGCCCCAGGAAATGAAATAGAAACAGGACCCTACGTTAAAAAGTTGCAGTGGAGATGTGGTGGCCACCAGGGGCTGGAACTGTGGGGTGACTGAGAGTATCCAAAGCCCTGTGGCCAACCTACTGGTGCTGAGTGTGCTGGTGAGCCTCTCTGTCAGCTGGCTTCCCCGGGCCAGTTGCTCCCGGAAGCTCTGTCCCAGGTAGTAGTCAATGTCATTGCTCCTTAGGAGATCCTCAAAAGATTTTACTGTATCTTTTGCATGCTGGGTGAGAAGATAACAAACACCTCTCCCTTCTCGTATTTTTTGCCGTAGGTAAGACAGTTCCCGGGCCTGATCCTGAATCAGGGAATCATATTTCCTAATGCAGGACAGAAGAGGAAAGGGTGGATGATAAGTTATGGGGGCTTCTGTAGAGATTTCTATGAGAACATCTCTAAGGAACTCCCCCAAACTGAATTCTGGCACGTAAGCCATAGGAGGTATTTAAGAGTAAATTCTACCCTGATAAAGTATTGCACTGAAAAATTTAGTATGGGCCGAGCATGGTGACTCACGCCTGTAATCCCAGCACTTTGGGAGGCTGAGGCAGGCAGATCACAAGGTCAGGAGTTTGAGACCAGCCTGGCCAATATGGTGAAACCCCTCCTCTACTAAAAACACACAAAAAAACTAGCTGGGCATGGTGGCACATGCCTGTAATCCCAGCTACTTGGGAGGCTGAGGCAGGAGAATTGCTTGAACCTGGGAGGGAGAGGTTGCAGTGAGCCGAGATGGCACCACTGCACTCCAGCCTGGGTGACAGAGTGAGACTCTGTATCAAAACAAAACAAAACAAAAAATTTACCATGCCACTGTTCTTCAACTGTTCTATATATGTTAATTATATGTCCCTAGATAAATCGTAAGGTCTGTGAGAATGAAGATAGTTCTGCGTTTCACATCCCTTACAGCACCAGCATCACAGAGATTCACAGCAGATACTCAATGAATAATTAGACTCATCTCATCCTAAGTCTAGATAGGACCTTTCATGTCTTCTGTTTTAACCACCACCTGATGTCTGAATTTCTTCTGTGTTGTGATACTGTGGCTGACTGTATTTTGCAATCATGGCCATCACATAAACTCTCATGCCATCAACTGATGAGACCCAAAACAAGAGACCCTAAGTGAGAGCCACCCAGCTGAGCCCAGTCAAACCACAGAACCGTGAAGCATAATAAAGTACTGTTTGAAGTCACTAAGTTTTAGAGTGGTTCTTACTTAGCAGTAGATAACCAGGACACATACCAAGATGAATGTCTGTGTTTTCAACACAAAGTGTCAATAACACTGATAACTATGGCAAATAGCATTGAGAGCTTAATGTATGCTGGGCACCATTCTAAGCACTTGTACTAATTTTTTTTTTTTTTTTTTTTGAGACAGAGTCTTGCTCTGTCACCCAGGCTGGGGTGCAGTGGTACCATCTCGGCTCACTGCATCCTCCACTTCCCAGGTTCAAGCGATTCTCCTGCCTCAGCCTCCTGAGTAGCTGGGATTACAGGGGTGCACCACCATGCCCACCTAATTTTTATATTTTTAGTAGAGACAGGGTTTCACCATGTTGGGTAGCCTGGTCTTGAACTCCTGACCTCAGGTGTTCTGCCCACCTCAGCCTCCCAAAGTGTTGGGATTACAGGCATGAGCCACCACACCTGGCCAGCACTTGTATTAATTCATGTAAACCTAATATCCACCCTTTGAGATGGGTTCTGTTATCATCCTCACTTAATAGGTAATGACAAAGGCTCAGAAAGGTTAAGAAGGTTGCATGGGTAGTAAGCATCAGAGCTAGGCAGTCTGATTCCAGTATTACCACTATACTATACTATACTATACTATACTATACTATACTATACTATACTATACCATACCATATGTACTATTACTTTACTGATATATCCCTAAGAGGAAATCCCTGAGATCTGGTATCTCCCAGATACTGGGACATCATCCTATGCCCTCCTGCTTGCCTACCTGTCTTTTCCACAGACCTATATCTACCATTTAAATCAGTGTCCTTGTGAATACCCAGACATGTTGTTTCTTCCAACTGCCTGAGCTACCCTACACCAAGCACAAACTTACACATTTTCAATCCAGAAAGTGCCCAGACAGTGCCATCCTTACCCAGGCCACGAGGCTGATCTCAGCTCCTCAGCCAGCTTCCCTTCTAGTCAATTTTTTGGGAGCTGGGCCTCCAGCTGGGATACTCTCTGGATGAGACTCTTCAGGTCCTTTTTGGCCTGAAGTCCTGGAGAGTAGAAAGCCCCAGTGCCATCAGACAGCCACACCTCATCCTCATCAGTGACACTATGAGGTGAAGACCCCTCCAGGGTGTCAAGAGCTCTCAGCTTCCAGGGTCTTTCCAGACTAGATGAATAATCACTTGTAACTGAGAGGGACTGGACCCGGCTCTTGAAGTTTTGAATGACCTTGTTGGCATTCTGCAGCTGGGCCTTCAGATCTTTGATGTCCTTTCATAGGACCCAGATGTTTTCTGACTTTCCATATACCCAGAACTCTTCCTGCCTCCCTAGTTCATTCTCCAAGGGCTTCCTCTCAGAGGAACTAGCCAGCGTTCAGCCCCGGCGCCCCTGCTCAGAGCACAGCCCCTCCACCAGGACCATTTCCTTGCGGCTGCTGTGCTCCTCATGCTCTGAAAAAAGACAAAGATGTCTTCCTAAATAAAAGTTGGATGTGCTGTTGTGGCCACTGCCTTTGAGAGGAGGCAGGTTTGGTCATGAGGACAATAATTACTAGGGAATAAGGTGAAGTCGTACTTTATTCAACCCTGACACTGTACTAGGCATTCAAATACAGTATTTCTTATCCTCCTTATACCCACAAGTTAGGTTTCACCACTTTCTATTTTACTGACTGGGGAAACCAAAACTTAAAGAGAGGTGGTAAACCAGCTTGTTCTAGATCACTCAAACTAGCACATGGCAGAGCCTGAATTCAAATCCTCCAACGTCCTGTGTTCATTCCACACACACTGATGTTTCTCAAGCCATTAACATGGCCTTATCTAGTTAGGATAGCCACAAGAACGCAGGACAAGCTATTTCTGCATGCTGCAAGTTTAATGCTCTCTAAAGTTTACTATAATTTAAAAGTTTATTGGGTTACAACTGTGTGAAAAATAGGCAAAGGAAAATAAGACTTTGAATAAATATATCAGCATGTTAACATCAGTGTATTGGGGCAGTGGTAGTCAGAATGAGAACTAATCCACAGCATTTTACCCGATGCCAGACACTGTTCTAAAGCATTTTATAAGAATTTACTCATTTAATTGACATTAGTACCTGATGGGGTAGGTAGTTCCTTTATTACTATTTTAACATTTGAAGAAACTGAGGCATAGGAAAGTTTACAAATTGGGATTTGAAGCAACAAGTCTGGCCCCAGGATCTTTTCTCTTAACTGCCACACTACACTTCCTCAAGAATGAGAGAGACTGTGTTTTTCTTCTCTTCTCGTTTTGAATGTGGTGGGTGGCCCTATAGTTGTAGTCCTTTTATAATGCAAACCAAAATTATTTTTAACTTATGGTTTGCATGTTTCCAAAACCTCATGTGGTCTCTAAGTAGGCCTTAGTATTTCTATAATAATCAGTTGGATAGAACTTCATATGATTATTATTATTATTAGCAGTATGCCACAAACTCATTGTAGAAATTCAAACTTATACTCAGCCTCATTTTGGGTAAGAGTTCTCCTATTAACCTCCTGTCCTCCTCTTCCCCACTACTTGTCAGGTGTGGAATTGGCCAACAGCACCCAAATGTGACAGCTGACTCCAGGGAGGGAAGGTGAGCCCCACACCCTGTGCTCTTACCGGGACTGGTGGATTCCTCCTGTTCAGCCTCATTCTTGCTTTGACCACAAGTCTCATAGCCCAGGTCCTGGAGGTCCACCTGGACCTGCTTGCTGTCCTGCTTCAGCAAGGGTTCACCTGCGTGGGAAGAGACAGCAGGTGTTACAGAATGTCTGAATTTCCCACATATGCCCTGAGCCTCAATGGCACATACCCTAACCTTGTGGGGCAGGGAGGGCAGATCCACAGTGCAAGAGAAGCTTCTTTGAACTGGTGGGAGAAGAGACCACCAGCTCCAGGAAGCAGAATTTCTTTCCACAGGAGGAGCCTGCATTTGCCATTGATAATCTCCCCTTCAGATAACCTAGGCCTTAGTTGGGACAAGGTATCTGTAAGTCAGGGATTGTGTACTCTCATCTCTAGCAGCCCCACTGAAGCTGGCAAGTGCTTTATCAGCAGGGGTTCAATAAATGTTGAATGTAAAACATGGCTGATTACTTTTTATTTTCAATCCAACAAATCTCCATTTCTGGTGAGAAAATCTTGCCAAAACCAACCAAGCAAATGCATAAAAGTATATCAAAAAGAAAATGAAAGCTTCCCTGCCTCCCAATCCCACTTGCTTGGTTTCAGCTATTATTTATTACATGGAGGAAGGGGGCTAGGCACCCAGGAAGTCCCAAGTCCTGTTCTGACAATCATCTGGCCTCCCTGGGCAAAGGGAAAAGAGGGAAGGCAAAAAGAATATAACATTACTGTTTGCAGAAATTTCCCCTTGGTACAGGAAACTCTGGTAAACTGAGAGAGTATGTTTTCCATGAGGGAGGCCTCAAGGGCTCTTCTCTGGCCCTAAGCCCAAACTGGATTTTGCCTCATTTTCTAAGATGCAAAGGAAATGGTAAAAGTTGATCAAAGGAGAGGGCAGAGAAAGAAAGAGGACGACTCCTCCATCTCAGGTCCACCTTCCTCGGTGTTGCTTGAGGGATCAGAGGAAATGCATGAACAGAGGTGCGTGGGAACTACGGCTGCTCTGTGAACTCAGTGCCCTCCAGTTACGAGCTATTGTGAGGTTCCATGATGTAATGGCGAGCGCTTTGGACTCTGAGTACGGTGATCAGCGTTCAAGTCTCAGTGGGACCTTTCTGTATAATGCCAATGATATTCCTATTGCTCCCTAAGCGGAATGGGGGAAATTGCCCCAGTCATGGTCACCCACCGTCCAGGCCACTGGCTGTGTGCAATTGGAGTCCTAGACCCAGCGACCCAGCAAGACCCCTCCCCTCTCAGGGTGACCCTGGGCCTCCAGGTGACAGGTCTCCTCCACTGAAAAGGCTGCGTCCCCTCAATCCTAGACCCTGAGTTTTCTTTTATACATGTCATTGGGCCATTGCCCTGTGTCTCTTTGGAAGAAATGACCTATATGAAAAACTTTACTTCCGGGATTCCCTAATTCCTTCATCCCTTAGGACGGCGCAGTTTTTCAGCTCCTGGTCTTGGCTCCAGTTCTAATGCACACGTTTCATTTTATTGTCATGGGATCCCCTCCAACAGGCTACCACTGGATTCCTGTCCTTGGGGTCTCTGTGGATGGCAACCAGATGCTGCTCTTGTCCCAGATCCTGACACCTCTCTCCAGGGAATTGCCTCCCTTAGCCTCCTAAATCAGCCAATATTTAGATTTGGGCCTGGGATCGCAGCAACTGTGGAGAACAGAGGTTCCCGATCCCTGGCCAGCCTCCCGCAGTGAAGGGGAGAGGAGCACAGCAGCTGGGAGGGGCAAGTCTGGGGCCCTGGGCAACCCCCTTCTTCCTGCCCAGACTCTGCTCCAAGGAGCAGTTGCCTTAGGACCAGATCAGATGGAAACTCTTTTGTTCTCTTCTCATCAGCAGAAAAATTTAGGCAAGAGCTCTGGAGGACGTTCCTAGCTCCTAAAAATGGTGTGGCCAAATCTCTCCAGTTTTGGAAATGCCCAAGGTTACCAAGTATTTTGAGGGCTCACTTTGGAGCCTCTGAAAAGGAGGGGTGAGGGCCCATGGAAGGTACCTGAGGGATGCAGGGGAGAGAGGGGAAAGAGCAGACAGGAGGGAGGAGAGAAGGAAGGAAGGGGAGAAAGGGCGTGTGAGGGCCAGGAGCCAGGATTCACCCTGACAGTTCAGTGACTGCTCCCTTCCAACAAGCTTCCCACTGTGGCACCTTCTAGCAGGTGGTTTCCATCTCTTATTGATGTCCTAAGACCTTGGCTCTATGGAACGGTTCTGTTCTATTTGTCTGGCATGAGTCCTGGCAAAGTTTCTTTTTCACCATTTGGGGGATGAGATGGGGGTATATAGGTTTGCAAGTGACTAGGAGCTAAGTCAGGAACTTGTGGAGCCACTCAGAGTCAACTGTCAAGTAGCCTCCTTCTCCCATTCCCCTGCAGGACGATTGCCTGCAAGACAGGGCCTGGAGAAGGCCAGGGCACCCAAGGCCACAGAAATGCCCAGGGATGAGTCCCGGCTGGAGATGCCTTGGCTGAACTCACTGTGTACTTCCAGGGTGCACAGGGCAGGTACTCTGGGGGTCTGGCCGGGAGACTGAGCAAGGGGACCAGGGAGGTTATGCAGAAGACTTCTGCACAGCAAGGCAGACATTCTTCTTGGAGCCCCCAACCCAAATCAGGTCTTCCACCTCCTCTTCCTAAAGACCCTTTACTGCAGTCATTCTTTTACTAGAACTGCAAGTTTATAGAACATAGATTTCAGTGTGCTCATCTGGCCAACCATCTTCAGTGGCCAATGCCCAAGGTAACCTCCCTCCCTACCAAGACCTGAACTCAGAGCCTTACCTAAGGAGAAGATGTCCTGTTCTTTCTTTCCCACCAGAACTGCCCTGGCCCAGACCCCATTTCTGTCTGGTGACCAGGACAGTCCCCTCACCAGTCTCCCAGGTTGGGGAGGGCAGATTCTCCTCAGCTCCCTGCCCCTGAGAGACCCCAACAGCCTTGCGTGGCTCCAGCCCACAGAGGGCTATCCATGGCCCATATCTCTCAAAACTCTCCCCTCCCACTCTGAATCCACCCTCTACTGCATGCTCCCCTCACAGAACAGACATGGGTTTTTTTTTGTGTCCTCGTTTTGCCTACCCATACCCCAGATTGACTTTTCTGTCTCAGAACTACCTGTCCCTCTTTGGACAGTGTCTTCTTGGTACTACACATGAAGATGTCCTGCTCTCCCCTGCTCAAGGAGAGAGTGCCTGACCTGAGCTGGGCCCATCAGATCCAGTACTTACCCGGAATAGGAAAAAGATGGAGAGGGTGACCAAAGATTACAAAAATCTCTGAAGCTTATCCACTTGAGAGAGAGTCCCTGAAGATACTGGCCTTTCATTTCCTGCTATGTATATCCAGTGTGACTGAACTCTGAATAACATATACAAGTTATAATAATGTAGTAGTTGGCCCTCAAACTAGGACACAAACATGTTAGAGGGTAAGGTAGTGAGAGGCATGTTTGGGGGTGGTGGTGATGAGCAAGTATGTGAAGGAGAGATAGTGCCTACGCTTGAAAATCAAAAAGGAATAATATCTATTTAGACATAAGGAGATAAATAACTAAATACTTGCTTCTATGTGATGAAACTCTGGGAGTACACAAGGGGACTGCTGTTTTACTAAACAAATTTTCCAGTCTATATAACTTTGATAAGGTATCCAAATAAAAAAATTCCTTTCCCATATATGTATGTGTATATATATGTATTTGTATACACATATATGTTTGCATTTTTGTATTTTGAATATAAATTTTTATAGAGTCCTGTGAACCCCTCTTTTCAATTAGGATTTGAGTTTGATGTCATGCATGCAATGTGATCCCACTGTGTGACTACAGAAATGTTGGCAAAAGTAAGTTCAGAGGAAATGGTAGGCAAGTACTTCCCAGTTTTGGCCAGAAGATGGAGAAAAAAAGAATTCTCATAAAATATTAAAAGTATGACTTGTTACAGCTTCTTTTCATAGTAATTTGGATAGAAATTAGCAAAATCAGAAATGTATAAATACTTTGGTCTGACAATTCCATCTCCAGGTATCTACGGAGAAATAGACAAGTGATGCACGACAGATACATGTGTCAGTCTGGTCTCTGCAGTTGTATTTGTAATAATACACATTGGAACAATGTCATGGCCATCGGTTAGAGAATGTTTGAAGAATGACCCATTCATATCAGGAAGGACGTTTCAAAGATCAAAGCCTGATGGAAATGCTGGAGGCCGTGACGCTGATAGGAGCTCATGCGTGTTGACCAATTGCTACGTGACAGGCATTGGCTCCACGCTTTTCCTGCACTGCTCGTTTAAACATTGGACAAATTAAGTGTTCTGATTTAGCCCATTAGACAGATAGAAATGGAAGCACAGAAAATTAATGGGTTTATCTTTAAACGCGAGCAGATTAGGTTTTTCACCCAGGGCCTGTGGCTTCACCATAGGTGTGATTCAGGTTCTGTTGTTCTCCACTTTAGGAATTCCCAGTATTCCAAATATGAGAAGCTGAGAAAACAAACAAACTCAAAACTCTAAAAACCGGGATAAGTAAGGGTAGATGTTTGCTGGGTGTGGATTAATAATGAACTTTTTTTGCCTCAAGCAACAAAGAGGCACCTTGGAAAATAGACAAGAGACAAGAAGAGGAGAAGCTTGAAGATATATTTGGTCCAAGGAAGAGACTCTTCAGAGGGAAGATCACATCAGCTAGAAACATTAATGCGACTGGATGGGCTCAAACCACCGACTTTTCAGTCAACTTCCGACAGCACTAACCTAGTGTTCCAGAGACCCTGCTTGTTAAACAGTGAAAGCTGTTGCTCAATTGTGTCATCCATAATTGTCAAATATTGTCATTTAGTAGCACAAGGAAGTATTCTCTGTTGCCAAGCTAGAGTACCCATAACTCTTCTGTTTTGTTGAACATTCTTCCCCACCACAAACCCTCTTTAGAAGACTGGTGGCTCCTAAAACATTGAGGCCAACAGACCTGTCCTTGTGCATGTTTGGGCATTGATCCAGGGCCAAATCAGTGGGAGACTCCTCCACGCACATGCCAGGTCCCCAGGTGACAACTGCAGTCTCTGGATCTGAGGTCATCCACTTTCCCATTCCTAGCTCACCTCACCCATCATGAAGCCTGGTTAGTATTGCCAGAGACCCGAGTGGGCAGGTGCCCGCACTAAAGACAGAACCTGCTGTGTGCCCACTTTGCTGATCCCTCCATCTTTCTAGACAAGGCTTTGTGAGCCAAGGACTTTGGGTTTGCTCACAAGGCAGCCCCTCACCTAGTAGGCATTAGTTCATTATGTATAGTATACGTATATGTGTATGTATATGTATATGTATATGTATATGTATATGTATATGTATATGTGTATGTGTATGTGTATGTGTATGTGTATGTGTATGTGTATGTATGTGTATGTGTATGTGTATATGTATATGTATATGTAGTCCTCAGGTTGTATTCCTTAAATATATATAATATATGTAATTCCTTAAATATATAATTTTAATACAAAATTTTTAAAAGATTCCTTTCATAAACATTTACAATAACACCAAGAAATATAAACTACATAGCAAAGATGTGAAAGCCAGCCAGGCGCAGCTTCAAATCCTAGCGCTTAGGAAGGCCGTGGCAGGAGGGTCGCTTGAGCTCAGAAGCTTGAAACTAGCTTAGGCAACATAGTGAGACCTCATCTCTACTGAAAATCAGAAAAATTATCCGGCTGTGGTGGTGTGAGCCTGTAGTCCCAGGTACTCAGTGGATGAGGCCCTAGGATGTCATCGGCCTGAGAATTCCATGCTGCAGTGAGCTGTGTGATCTTGCCACTGTACTCCAGCCTGAGTGAAAGAGTGAGATCGTGTCTAGAAACAAAAGAAGAAAAAAAAAAAGGTGTGAAAGCCTATATATTGAAGATTACCATGTATTACTGAGAGCAGTTAAAGACCTTTGGAATAGAGAACGTTCCTTCTTGCATTTCAAGATTGCTTTTGTTTTGGGGGGACACTTGCTGTTTTTTAGGAACATGAAGTTCTTCTCAGGCATTCCTGTAAAAAAAGCCACTTTTTGATAGGATTGTATTGAGTCTGTGGATTGCTTTGAGTTGTATTTTTATCTTAACCATGTTACAACTTCCAACCCATGGACACAAGATGTCTTTCCATTGATTTAGGTCTTCCTTAGTCTCCTCGAGCAATGTTCTGTAGTTGTCTGTGTACAAGTACTGCACCTTCTTGAACAAATTTATTCCCAGGCATATTATCCTTACAGGTGCTATTATAAATGAAATCATTGTGTCAGTTTACTTCTCAGATAGCTCATTGCCATCACAATGGATTGTTTGCTGAAAGTTTGCTGAATTCACTTATTAACTCTGATAGTGTGTGTGTGTGTGTGTGTGTGTGTGTGTGTGTGTCTGGTGTCTGTGTGCATGTATGTGTGTTTGCCTTTGTATGTATTGTTTGGGATTTTCTATGCATAGGATCACACCATCTGCAAATTGAGATCATTTTGTTTTCTGTTCAAAAATATTTTTTCTCATGTTTATTTTTGAAAGATAATTTGGCCAGGTGTAGACTTGTAGGTGACAGTTTTTCTTTTTTTAAGTACTTTATTGCAAACTTCTTGTTTGTAAAATTTCCTATGAGAAATCTTATGCCATCCTTATATTTAGTGCTCTGTATGTAACATGTTCTTTTCCCTTTTATTACTTTTAGGATTTCCTTTTTATCACTGGTTTTGATGGATTTGATTAAGGTGTTCCTTGGTGAAGTTTTCTGCATGTTTCTTGTTCTTGGGATAATCATATTTCTGTAATATTTGAAGTTTATGATTTCTATGGAGCTTCTAAATCTTTCATCCAGTATGTTTTAAATATCTTTTTCTCTCTTCTCCACTACCTGCCCTTCAGGGATTCCATTTAGCCCTATACTGGGGGGTTTAAAGTTTTGATGCTGATGGTCTTTATATGTTTTCAAGTCATTTGTTAATGTGTGTTTCATTTATGTTAGTTTCAACTTCTATTCCTTCTAGTTTAATAATCTTCTCTTCTGCAATATTTAATCCAGTGCCTTCTTCCATTTCACACTGTAAATCATAGTTTTTATCTACAGAATTTGATATTTAAAAAATCTTCAACCTCTCCATTTAATTAAAATACAATTATACTAATTGCGGTAACGTCCTTTTCTTCTATTTCCAACGTGTGTGTCAATTTCAACCAGATTATTAGATTCTTCAGTATGTGTCATGTTTTCCTGCTTCTTTGACTGCTTGATATTCTTTTATTTTTATTTATTTGTTTTTGGGGGGATGGAGTTTCACTCTCGTTGCCCAGTCTGGAGTGCAATTGTGTGATCTCAGCTCACTGCAACCTCTGCCTCCCAGGTACTCAAGCGATTCTCCTGTCTCCGCCTCCCAAGTAGCTCAGATTACAGGCATGCACCATCATGCCCAGCTAAACTTTTTGTGTTTAGTAGAGACAGGGCTTCACCATGCTAGTCAGGCTGGTCGTGAACTCCTGACCTCAGGTGATCCACCCGGCTGCTTGATATTCTAAGATTTGATGCTGGAGCTTTGGTGTCAATGCTCAAAAGTGCCCAAAGACACCACTCAACCTCAGTGTCTATGCACACCCAAGCTTTTGCAACAGGAGAGGTAGAGACAGCAGAGATGAATGTGCTACAACATGCTGGTAGAAGGTACCCCAATTGTGCTTGGGGCTTCCTATGCCTCATAGAATAATGTGCCTTCCTTAATTTTTCCCATAAGAACCACCCTACTTCATGCCCTGTCTCTCTGTCCAAACACCAGGACAGCCCTCAGACCAGTCTCAACCACCCAATGGATTGACAAAGGTCCAAATATGATTCAGTGGAGAAGGCATTCTCTTGTCAACAAATTGTGTAGAAACAACTGGACATGCATATCCCCAAAGGAAAAAGATTCACCTGAACCTCAATACTGACTCAAAAACTAACTCAAAATGGATTATGCAACTAAATATAAACTATAAAAGTAGAAAAAGTATAGCAGGAAATATAAGACAAAATCTTCACGACGCAGTTAGGCAAAGTGTTCTTTGTTATCAAGAAACACAAACCATTAAAGAAAACATTGATAAATTCAACTTTATAAAAAGTAAAAGTTTTTGCTCAACACGAGACAGTATTAAGAGAACAAATATAAGCTGCAGATTGGGAGAAAAACAGGGGAAATGACAAATGTGACAAAGGACAAGTGTGATAGTTACTTGCACGTGTCACTGTGACTGAGCACCAGGGTGCCGGGACATTCGGCCAAATGTGATTCTGGTTGTGTTCCAGAGAGTGTTTCACATATGATTAACATCGGGATGGGCAGACTAAGTGAAGCAGATTGCCCCCCTTAACGGGGGTGGGACTCATGCAATCAATCAAAGGTCAGGAGAGAATTAAGAGGCCTAATGGGAAACAAATGCTTTCCTGGGTATCCAGCTTTCCTTCCATCTTGGGAATTTCAGCCTCCATAATCTCAGAAACAAATTCACATATGTATACACACACATATACATTTCATAGGTATGTGGCTAAGATTGTATTTTTAAAAGTTCAGCCATGAGATGATTGGTGAAGCCAGCCAATGAATAAGGGTGTGTTCTATTATATGACTCAGTCTTCTTTTGTACACGATTGAAGTTCTGCATTTGAAGTAGGAGGACAGGAGAGAGCAAGTCCACCTAGGATGATAACAGCTGAATTTCTCAACAGACACTTCAAAGCCCTAGGCGTTAACTTAGAGAGTCAAAAATCCCACCCATAACCCTGCCCCTAAACGCCAGGGCTAGGGAACACTGTGGCCCTCAGGTGATTTTGTTTCACTTGGTCTGGGAGCCACACAAGGGCAGAGGGAGCAGGAAACACTAAGCAAATCGAGGCCAGGACAGCAGGGAGGGCCTGTTCATGACAGAACACAGGTAAAACTATCCTCAGAAAGAGCATGTGGAGAAACACAGATCATGCCTGAGACCTGGTGGATTAGAGCACTGGCTACTGGGGAATTGAAAGGAAGGGGCTTCACCATGCAGAGGACCAGAGGTGCCAGTCTTGGAAACGCAGAATTGCTGGGAGATGGGGAGGCATGGACAAAGGAAGCATCCTCTGGAGACTCATGGTGAAGAGAACAAATGAAGTAACTGGCAGAAATTATAGGTCCTGGTAGAACAAAATAGAATCCCACAATGAGAACATACAGCATGTATGTCCCGCAAGGAAGACAATAGCTCCTAAAAATGCAAGAAAAATCATTTTGGGCAAACACCTTATATCCAGTAATGCGATCCATGTATCAAGACCACGAGGAAGATTATTAAACATGCTAAACTCAGCGAGACCTGATTCCCTCATGAGGACTCTGTTAAGGATGAGTACCACTCAGCAAGTGATGACTGTGACATTCACTTTTGAACAGCTCATGAGCATTAATATATTTAATTGTGGATCTAAACCAAAAACCAAGGTGTGGGCAAGATGACAACCACAGAATGTCACTGGCATATGTTTAGGTTCAAATACCATTATGAGAAGTGGCAGGTAAAGGAGGTAGGAAAAAGAAAACACATCATGTAACTGACTGTCATATGGAAATATTTGACGTTGAAAGTCATAATTTAAAATGTATAAACCAAATATTAGAAGTGTGTCTAGTTCAAAGGGGGGAAAACTATGAAACATTTTTAATCAATATCAAACATGAGCTACACAACCCTTCCTAAATGCCAGAGGCACACACAGACACACACACACACACTCTCACAAAGAATATAAATATCTAGAACCAAGAAATGGAGTAAATGCATTCTGCTACATATGGTAAACATAGCCTACAAGGTGGAAGAGATTAGAAAATAAACAGGGAAATGGAAATGTTTTTATTAATTCACATCAGTACCCACCAAAACCAATCAGCATAACAAAAGATTATAACACTGAATGTAAAAAACAATCCAACAGTCCAGAGTGATAGGCAAAAGCTTTTAATTGTATAGATTAAAATAACTTTGGACAAAAATTAAAACTCAGGCAGAGAATGTTTTTTTTTTCAACAACACACACTAGCAAAAACAAAGGCACAGTAAACATTGAGGCAGAAAGTTTCCAGCGTAGAGATATGAATATAATAATAGACACAGGCAGGGATGATTAATAAATGATAAAATGTTTACAGGATGATCATTGGAATACAGGACATTTCTAATTTTGAAAACCACCCTCCCAAATACTTCATTATAAGTAAGGTGTCTCTAAAAGGGACAGATCTCCTAGACCCCTCCTTAACCAAGTAACCAGTCCTGATATCATGATAATGCTGATGGACAAACTAGACCTTCTCTGCCCGCAGATGGGCTAAGGTTGGAAACTCACAGCATTGTCTCTGCAGTGTTCCCGGCAAAACGTTTAGGCTGAATTTAATCATGAAGACATTTTCAGACAACTTCAGAATGTAGATCATTGAGCCAGAGAGCTGACCTGTCCTCTATAAACAAGTCCATGTCACCACCATCAATGACAACAACAAAAAGATGAGGAAATATTTGGGGTTCAAAATAACTAAAGAAATGCAGCTATATTATCTTTTTACTTTTTTTGAACCCAAAATATCTCTTCTCCTTTTTGTTGTGTGATTTGTGGTGATATGGACTATGTGAAGGAGACAGGTCAGTTGTCCTGCTCAGTGTTCTACATTCTGCAGTTGTCTGGTAATTACCTCCTATGAAACTCAGGCTAAGCGTTTTCTGCAAGAACATGGCGTTGTTCATATTCTGCACCGGCAGAGTCCTGGGTGACATGCTGTCTCCTGCCAGCGGCTCCTGACTCCTGTTCTCTACAGGATGGAATCGAGAGGAGCAGGGCTAAGGCCTCCCAATGCTGTTTGTCCATCTAGCTGTGGTCTTCCTAAGTACTGACACCAATTGGAGGCTGAAGGACTGTGGCTTCTCTAACCAAAGGAGCCTAGCGGGTTAACAATTGTCAAGAGCAGTTGGTGGTTCTGAAATACAATCCTCAGCCAAGGATCCCTCCTGTGTTAAAGATGGATCAGCTAAAACAATTCAACACTGAAGATACAAAGAATGAGGTTAGGTTCATTGAAACCAGGGTAACACCTTTGGATGAGCTAAACACAAAGATGACACTGACCTTGAGCAGGTATAGAAGCTCAGAGACATGACTGCAAAATGAAATCCCTGAGGAACTTTGTAGCTACCCAGAGATAAGTGGTTCAAATTAAAATGTCTGACTGATCACTCCCGGCATGTGCTGCACAGTTATGTGAACGTGTCACACCTAACTTGGGTCCATTGTCTTCAGACTGAGCACAGGGTGCCACTGGCATGGTCTGAGAATAGGAATAGAGCCATGCCCACTGACCCATCCTATGTCTGGGCTTCCAAATGGAACTATAGTTTCATTCAAATCTTCACGTGCCTATAGGTCCTGCCTGCAGGAATGACATCTCTCGGCTTAGTAAGGGCTGCTTACTGTGGGAATATGACTCCCATCTGGAAGACCAGGTGGAGACTTGTTCCCATCAAAGTAAGAAACCTATTGTCCACGTCAAGGGCGAAGCTGATGTGCTGTTCCTCAAATGAGTAAAACACACTTCTGTAGTGCTGGAATGAGTCAGGTAGTTCAAAGTACATTGACGGAGTCGAATAACATCTATCCAGTGAGTCCTGCAAGACTTCAGGCTCTTCCACTTCCATCAGCATGCCGCTGAGCCTGGAAAAGCAGACAAAACTAAAGAAGCAGCCAGGGAAAATCAGACACCACAGAGCCCCACTAGATTTCAGAAGTAACGTAAGGAAGTGGTAAGAAAAGAAAAGGATAGATCCATTAGATCCATTAATGAGGTAAAAAAAAAAAATTATTGCCTTTATGTTGGGATAGAAAAGGGCCAGGTAGAAAACAATGAAAGAGAAAGACAGAGAGACAGAGACAGAGACAGAGACAGAGAGAAAGTGAGCTAGTGAATTGGCCAGGTGACATACTGGTAAGGGAGTAAAAGGACACTCTGAGTTAGTGCCCTCATGACACACAGCACACTGCGATCATGAAAAGAGTGAGCTCAATAGTTTTCCATAAAATATGCTCAAAATTCGATGCAGTGGCCATGAGAGTACAGCTTTTGAAGTATGGTCATCCTATGGTACGTTAGTAAATGATAAGGGGAGGAAGAAATGGAAACCTAAACATCTACTGCAATGAAAACCAACAGCAATGACAGTAGGAGTAATTCAGCCTTCGTTGAAAACATGAAATCAAACACACTCTGGTTTCCCTCAATCTGTTGCCTCCAGGTGTTAACACAGAATTAAGCATCCACAATTGCTGAAAGTTACCTGGGGCATGGTGGGTTTTGATCTTCTTCCCCTTCTTTTCTTCCCCTTCTCCTTCTTTTCTTCGTTGATCTTCTTCCCCTTCTTTTCTTCCCCTTCCCCTTCTTTTCAATTTCTGCAATAAATTCAGACATGGACAGACACATTAAGCTGATTCCCCTACACACATAACAATCCACTGTCTAACCCTCACACAGGGACCTCAGGCTCCTCAGCATAAGAATAGGAGACTGTGAGAGATATATTTCAGGAGGCCTGAAGGCTGGTCATGATAGAAATTCCTCGGTTTTTCTCCCAGAAACTGTGGGTAAAATGTCCCTATTCTAGTAGATCGTTATCCCAATATCATTTGTCCCGAGTTTGTGCAAACAGTTATGCCATATTTTTCCAATCAATTTAAAGCAAATACCCTCAAATGATTTCTAGGAGAAAAACTGCAATATTTAGCCCTGTCTCATCAAATACTCAGATTGTTCATGGTTGTGAGGACTTTAGACACTGAAATTAGAGTGAAAAAGGAAATCTACAAACCCTTGAGTCAAAATCATAGTTCTCTGAATTTGTCACATCTGCCCAGGTCCAATGTCATGAGAGTAGAATCAGAGTGCCACAGGCATGGCCTGAGACTAGGAAGAGAGCCATGCTCACTGACCCATCCCATGTCTGGGCTTCCAGTTAGAACTAGAGTTTCATTCAACCTACATGTGCCTATAGGTCCTCACTGCAGCAATGACATCTCTCAGCTCAGTAATGGCCACTTGGAGCAGGAATATGATCTTTATATGGAAGACTCAGTGGATCCTTATCACCTTCATAGAAAGGTACTCACCTCCCACGTCAAGAGAAAAGCCAACATGTTTTTCCTCCAATGCATAAAAGGAACTTCCATAGGGCAGGCAGGAGTCAGGCTGTTCAAGACAACTGGAAGGAGTTGAATAACATCTATCCAGTGAGTCCTGCAAGACTTCAGGCTCTACTGCCTCCAGCAGCTCCCTGCTGAGCCTGGAAAAGTAGGAAAAAGTAAAGAATAAGCCAGGGGGAATCAGAAACCACACAGCCCCAGCTACATTTCATGGCTAACATAAGGAACTGTTTAAACAGAAAAAGGACAGATCCATTAATGAGGTAATGAATTATTGCCTTTATGTTGGGATAGACCAGGGCCAGGTAGAAAAGAATGAAAGAGAAAGACAGGGAGAGGGAGAGGGAGAGAGAGACAGAGGAGAAAGTGAGCTCAGCGAATTGGCCGGGTGACACACTGACGAAGGGGTCAAAGGACACTCTGAGTTAGTGCCCTCGGGACACACAGAGAACAGTGATCATGAAAAGAGTGGGCTCAATAATTTTCCATAAACTTGCTTAAGATTCCATGCAGTTGCCATACAGCCTTTGAGGTATGGTCAACCTACAGTAAGTTAGTAAATGATAAGGGGAGGAAGAAATGGAAACCTAAACATCTACTGCAAGGAAAACCAACAGCAATGTCAGTAGGAGTAATTCAACCTTCGTTGAAAACATGAAATTGAACATACTCTTGTTTTCCCTGGACCTGGCATCTCCAGGTGTCAACACAGAATTAAGCATCCATAATTGCTCAAAGTTACCTGGGGCATGATGGGTCTTGGTCTTCTTCCACTTCTTGGTACTTTTCAATTTCTGCAATAAGTTCAGACATGGACAGACATATTAAGCTGGTTCTCCTACACACATAACAATCCACTGTCTAATCCTCACGCAGGGACTTCAGGCTCCTCAGCATGAGAATAGGACACTGTGAGAGATCTTCTTCAGGAGGCCTGAAGGCTGATCATGATAGAGATTCCTGGGTTTTTGTCCCAGAAACTGTGGGTAAAATTCCCTATTCTGGTAGATCGTTATCCCAAGATCATTTGTCCCAAGTTTGTGCAAATGGTTATGCCATATTTTTCCAATCGATTTAAAGCAAATGCCCCCAAATGGTTGCTGGGAGAAAAACTGCAATATTCAGCCCTGTCTCATCAAATACTCAGATTCTTCATGGTAGCGAGGATTTTAGATGCTGAAATTAGAGTGAAGGATGAAATCTACAAGATCTACAAAATTGAGACAAAATCAGAGTTGTGTGAATTTGTCACATCTGCCCAGATCCAACATCTTGAGAGTGGGATTAGGGTGCCACAGGCATGGCCTGAGACTAGGAAGAGAGCCCTGCTCACTGACCCATCCCTTGCCTGGGCTTCCAAGTGGAACTAGAGTTTCATTCAACCTACATGTGCCTATAGGTCCTCCCTGTGGCAATGACATCTCTCAGCTCAGTAAGGGCCATTTGCAGTAGGAATATGACCCTAACCAGAAGACTCAGTGGATCCTTATCACCTTCATAGAAAGGTACTCACCATCCATGTCAAGAGCCCAGCCAACACGCTGTTGCTCCAATATGTAAAAGGCACTTCTGTAGGGCTGGCATGAGTCAGTCAGTTCAAGATAACCTGAAGGAGTTGAATAACATCTATCCAGTGAGTCCTGCAAGACTTCAGGCCCTTTCTCATCCAGCAGCTCCCTGCTGAGCCTGGAACAGTGGGAAAAAGTAAAGAATAAGCCAGGGGGAATCAGAAACCACACAGCCCCAGCTAGATTTCATGGCTAACATAAGGAAGAGTTTGAAAAGAAAAAGGACAGATCCATTAATGAGGTAACAAATTATTGCCTTTATATTGGGATAGACTAGGGCCAGGTAGAAAAGGATGAAAGAGAAAGACACACACACACACACACACACACACACACACACACACACACACACAGAGTGAGCTCAGTGAATTGGCCAGGTGACACACTGATGAGGGAGTCAACGGTCATTCTCTATTTGTGCTCTCAGGACACACAGTGAACAGTGATCATGAAAAGCATGGCCTCAATAATTTTGCATAAAATGTGCTCAAGTTTCCCTGCAGCCACCATGAGAATACAGCTTTTGAGGTATGGTCAACCTTCACTAGGTTAGTAAATGATAAGGGTAGGAAGAAATGGAAACCTAAACATTTACTCTAATGAGAACCAAAAAGCAATGTAGTAGGCATAATTTAGACTTGTCTGACAAGACAAAATCATTATTTTCAGCATGTACTGTTTTCCCTGGACTTGGCATCTCCAGGTGTCAACATCAAATTAACTGTCCACAATTTCTCAGACTCACCTGGGACCTGTTGCCTCTTGGTCCTCCTTTTTCACTTGATCCCACCGATGTCCTGCAAATAAATTCAGATGGGGCCTCTTACATTAAGCAGTTCTTCCTTGCACACAGAAACATTCCTCTGTCCAATCCTAACACAGGTACATCAGTCTGGTCAGTGTGAGAACAGGAGACTTTGAGAGAAATATTCCAGCAGGCCTGAGGTCAAGTCTTGAGAAAACTGGCTTGGGTTCTTTCATGAGCCTTGGGCAAAATTACCCTGTTTTGGAATGTTATCTTCCCTATGTGCTCTGTCCTAGGTTTGTGTACACAAATGAGCAACTTTTTCCCCAATAAATTGTAGGCAAATAGTTCTAACACCTCATAGGAGAGATACTTCAATATTAAGCTTTCTCTCATCAAATACCCAGAATTTGATAGTTTATGAGATTGTGGACACAGAGATTTGATGAAGGGGTGCAATGTACCAGCTCTTGAGTCAAAATGAAACTTGGTTCTACACAGAAGCATCAGCTATTATGGCTTTTGTGGGTGAAAAGTCAGCCATTTATCTAGAAAACATACCAGGAACATGACGGACAGATGAGCTAAAGCAAGCGAACTTAGAAGACACAGAAAATGGGAATAAATTCAGTGAAACCTGGGCCACATCTTTCACTGAGAGGTAGACAAGGGTGACACTTGCCTTGGGCAGGTAAAGAACCACACAGACATGCTTTGGGAACAAAACTCATAAGGAATTTTGTAGCTGGCAAGAGACATTTAATTCAGATGAGCTGATCTGACAGACAACTCCTGGTCATGTGCTGCATAGTTTGGTGTGAGCTTGCCACACCTGCCTTGAGTTCAATGTCGTGACAGTCAGTCCAGGTTGGCACGGGCATGGCCTGAGACTAGGAAGAGAGCAAAGCTCACTCACCCACCCCATGCCTGTGCTTCAGACTCGACTCCAGAGTGATTGAAATCTACATTGATATATAGGTTCAGCCCACAGTGATGGCAAATCTCAGCCCAACAAGGGGCACAAGGCCCAAAGATTATGGGGTCTACCTGGGCCATGAACTGGAGCTTTATCACCTTCACAATGGAGTACTCACCGCCTATGTCAACAGCCATGCAGACTTGCTGTTCCTCTAATGAGTGAAATGTGCCGCTGTAAGACTTGTACGAGGCCAACATTTCAGGAGGAATTGAGAGAGTCGAATAACCTTCATCCCAGGACTCCTGGGGGACTTCCTCCTCTTCAGACTCCTGCAGATTCCTGATGAGCCAGGCAGGACAGGGATGATAGAAGATTTAACCAACAGACATTAGACAACAAAACCTCCCAGATGATCTGATGGGAGACAGAATGGAGTGGTCACAGAAACCAAAGGCATTTTTCCTTCAAGAGAAATAAAACTAGCCTTCTAAATACAGGGTGGAGGGTGACTGCTCTGGGGACAGAGCAAAAATGGGCAGCATGTGCTCAGTACATTTGCCACAGATGAGCCAACTCAGGGCACCCAGACTCTCCCTGTAAACTACCATCATGACTTGCAGCACAGAGAACTGACACAGGGCTTCAACTACTTTGCATAAATTGGGTTGAATTTTACATGCAGCATTCAAGTGAAGAGAGTTCTTGACACAGTGCAGACACAGATCTTGTGTATTAAGGGCCCCATTTTCCCAATATTTTGATATAATATATTTACCTTTTCAATTTCTTTTCTTGCAAAAATACTAGCCAACATACTACCAACAGATAGGAAGAAAGCATATATACATCTCTCCCTGGATTTAAACACATGGGAGAGAATAGGCAACACCAAGAAATCCCTGTTTGAGGGTCTGGAGTGGACTTCCAGCAAACTCCAACAGACCTGAAGCTGAGGGACCTGATTGTTAGAAGGAAAACTAACACACAGAAAGGAATAGCATCAACATCAACAAAAAAGACATCCATCCCAAAACCCCATCTGTAGGTCGCCATCATCAAAGACCAAGGGTAGATAAAACCACAAAGGTGGGGAGAAACCAGAGCACAAAAGCTGAAAATTCCAAAAACCTGACATCCCTTCTCCTCCAAAGGATCACAGCTCCTCGCCAGCAATGGAACAAAGCAGGATGGAGAATGACTTTGATGAGCTGACAGAAGTAGGCTTCAGAAAGTCGGTAATAACAAACTTCTCTGAGCTAAAGGAGGATGTGCGAACTCATCGCAAGGAAGCTAAAAACCTTGAAAAAAGATTAGACGAATGGCCAACCAGAATGAACAGTGTAGAGAAGACCTTAAATGACCTGATGGAGCTGAAAACCATGGCACGAGAACTACGTGATGCATGCACAAGCTTCAGTAGTCAATTCGATCAAGTGCAAGAAACGGTATCAGTGATTCAAGATCAAATTAGTGAAATGAAGCGAGAAGAGAAGTTTAGAGAAAAAAGAGTAAAAAGAAATGAACAAGCCTCCAATAAATATGGGACTATGTGGAAAGACCAAATCTACGTTTGATTGGTGCACTGAAAGTGACGGGGAGAATGGAACCAAGCTGGGAAACATTCTTCAGGATATTATCCAGGAGGACTTCCCCAACCTAGCAAGGAAGGCCAACATTCAAATTCAGGAAACACAGAGAACACCATAAAGATACTCCTCGAGAAGAGCAACCCCAAAACACATAATTGTCAGATTCACCAAGGTTGAAATGAAGGAAAAAATGCTAAGTGCAGCCAGAGAGAAAGGTCGGATTACCCACAAAGGGAAGCCCATCAGACTAGCAGCAGATCTCTTGGCACAAACCCTACAAGCCAGAAGAGAGTGGGAGCAATATTCAACATTCTTTTTTTTTTCCATATGTATAGTTTTCCTTTATTATTTTTTGTGTGTATGTATATATATGTATATATATTTTTCAATACTTTAAGTCTTAGGGTACATGTGCACAACGTGCAGGTTAGTTACATATGTATACATGTCCACATTGGTGTGCTTCACCCATTAACTCATCATTTAACATTAGGTATATCTCCTAATGCTACCCCTCCTCCCTCCCCCCACCCTACAACAGGCCCCAGTGTGTGATGTTCCCCTTCCTGTGTCCATGTGTTCTCATTGTTCAATTCCCACCTGTGAGTAAGAACATGCGGTATTTCGTTTTTTGTCCTTGCGATAGTTTGCTGAGAATGATGGTTTCCAGCTTCATCCATGCCCCTACAAAGGACATGAACTCATCATTTTTTATAGCTGCATAGTATTCCATGTTGTATATGTGCCACATTTTCTTAATCCAGTCTATCATTGCTGGATATTTGGCTTGGTTCCAAGTCTTTGCTATTGTGAATAGTGCCACAATAAACATATGTGTGCATGTGTCTTTACAACAGCATGATTTATAATCCTTTGGGTATACACCCAGTAATGGGATGGCTGGGTCAAATGGTATTTCTAGTTCTAGATCCCTGAGGAATTGCCACACTGTCTTCCACAATCGTTGAACTAGTTTACACTCCCACCAACAGTGTAAAAGTGTTCCTATTTCTCCACATCCTCTCCAGCATCTTCAACATTCTTAAAGAAAAGAATTTTCAACCCAGAATTTCATATCCAGCCAAACAAAGCTTCATAAGTGAAGGAGAAATAAATCCTTTACAGAGAAGCAAATGCTGAGAGATTTTGTCACCACCAGGCCTGCCTTACAAGAGCTCCTAAAGGAAGCACTAAACATGGAAAGGAACAACCGGTACCAGCCACTGCAAAAACATGCCAAACTGTAAAGACCATTGACGCTAGGAAGAAACTGCATCAACTAACGGGCGAAATAACCAGCTAACATCATAACGACAGGCTCAAATTCACACATAACAATATTAACCTTAAATGTAAATGGGCTAAATGCCCCAGTTAAAAAACACAGAATGGCAAATTGGACAAAGAGTCAAGACCCATCAGTGTGCTGTACTCAGGAAACCCATCTCACATGCAGAGACACACATAGGCTCAAAATAAAGGGATGGAGGAAGATCTACCAAGCAAATGGAAAGCAAAAAAATGCAGGGGTTGCAATCCTAGTCTCTGATAAAACAGACTTTAAACCAACAAAGATCAAAAGAGACAAAGAAGGCCACTACATAATGGTAAAGGGATCAATTCAACAAGAAGAGTTAACTATCCTAAATATATATGCACCCTATACGGGAGCACCCAGATTCATAAAGCAAGTCCTGAGAGACCTACAAAGAGATTTAGACTCCACACAATCATAATGGGAGACTTTAACACCCCACTGTCAATATTAGACAGATCAATGAGACAGAAGCTTTACAAGGATATCCAGGACTTGAACTCAGCTCTCCACCAAGCAGACCTAAAAGACATCTACAGAACTCTCCACCCCAAATCAACAGAATATACATTCTTCTCAGCACCACATCACACTTATTCCAAAATTGACCACATAGTTGGAGGTAAAGCACTCGTCAGCAAATGTAAAAGAATGGAAACCACAACAAACTGTCAGACCACAGTGCAATCAAATTAGAACTCAGGATTAAGAAACTCACTCAAAACCGCACAACTACATGGAAACTGAACAACCTGCTCCTGAATGACTACTGGGAAAATAACAAAATGAAGGCAGAAATAAAGATGTTCTTTGAAACCAATGAGAACAAAGACACAACATACCAGAATCTCTGGGACACATTTAAAGCAATGTGTAGAGGGAAAATTATAGCACTAAATGCCCACAAGAGAAAGCAGAAAAGATCTAAAATTGACACCCTAACATCACAATTAAAATAACTAGAGAAGCAAAGCAAACAAATTCAAAAGCTAGCAGAAGACAAGAAGTAACTAAGATCAGAGCAGAACTAAAGGAGATAGACACACAAAAAACCCTTCAAAAAATCAATGAATCCAGGGCTGGTTTTTTGAAAAGATCAACAAGAAAACCCTGTTTGGCTAGTTCACCTGGCTCATCTGATGGCAAGTTCCTATCTTGAGAGGACTATGAAATTAAAACCAATACAAGTGCCACAAATAACATACAACATTGTAAATCAGCACAATTTGTAGCTGGGTGAATGGAAGAAATAGTTCTATTCATCACTTCCTCATTTTCCCTAAATCTACAATCTCCAGATGTCACTACTGAATTAACAGCCAACAATTCCACAACATTACCTGGGAGACACTGGCCCTTTTTCTTCCTCTTCCTCATCATCACTTTCATTTTCTGTAAATAAATTCAGAGAAGCAGGTCACATTAAGCAATTCATACTTCACATATGACCAAATCACTGTCCAGTCATAGCACAAGGACATAACTATTCTCAGTGCAAGAATAAGGATTCTGACAGGAATATTCTAGGGTGCCCTAGATTAACTTTGGTGAGAATTAGATGACCCTGCTTTCCAGACCCACAGGCCAAAATCTCCCTCTACGTGTAGACCATAATGCCATATTCCCTGCCTGAGTCAAAGTTAAACAAAATTTTTTCCCCAAAAAAATCTCCAAAAATTGGTCCATTTTCTAAGAGTGTTGCTGCAATACGGACTTATATCACCAGATAACATGGACATTAAATGTTTAGAGGCATCTATACATGAAACACACATGATAGATAAATTTGAACAACTCTTGCTTTAAAAAGAATCTGTGATTTGGGAGGCCAAGACAGGTGAATCATTTGAGGTCATGAGTTCAGGACTACCCTGGCCAATATGGGGAAACCCTGTCTCTACTAAAAATACAAAAATTAGCCAGATGTGATGTTGTGCACCTGTGGTCCCAGCAACTCAGGAGGCTGAGGCAGGAGAATCACTTGAATCTGGGAGGCAGAGGTTGCACCAAGCCAAGATGGTGCAACTGCACTCTAGCCTGGGTGACAGAGCAAGACTCCATCGCAAAAAAAAAAAAAAAAAAAAAAAAAAAAAAAATCCACGATGCTACAAAGAAACATTGGATCAGCCATTGCATTGACAGGGTGGAGAACCAGGGTCCAGCCTTGCTTTATGGAAATATATCAGCAAAGTAAAGAAGAAAAGTTTCCGTCCTGATTTCAGGGTGACTGTGCAGCTAAGCAAGCTGACTTAAAGGAGATCCGGATGAAAGCTGAGAGCAGTGAAGCCTGGGGAACAATATTTCCAAATACAAAGGCAAGGCTGCCAGCTTCCTGAAACAGGCATAGAAACTCCATGGACATTGTTCAGGGACAGATGACTTAATCACAGATGACAAGAGATACTGAATCGAAGCTAGGAGGCCTGACAGATACTGCCTGTGCACCTCCTGCACTCAGGTGACTATGAGATTGTCACACTTGCCTGGGGTCGAGTAACTTGATACTGGGGACTGGCAGACAAAGGCATGACATTAGCTGAGAAGGACAAAAAAACTCCCTGATATCTGTTTAGAAACCCATCATAGTTTTTTATTCAAATGAATTTGTGTTTATAGAGCCTGTCTTCAGAGTTTATCTTCCTCAGCCTAGAGAGAGGTATGAGACACAAGGAAAACAGAGGCTACCTGGGATAATGTGTACAGCATCCTCCCATTCAACATGAGAGGATGAGCCAATGAGAGTTGAGTCGACTTTGTCTTCCTCAAATGTGATTTTGGTTTTCCTATGTGGCTGGTTGGAGTCATAAGGGCCATGGCTATTTGAACAAGTGATGGCACATTCCTCCAGTGAGTCCTCAGGGACTTCCTTTTCTTCAGCCTTCGGCATCTCCCTGATGAGCCAGGTGGGACAGAGATGACAGAAGATTAAACACAGAGGGATTGGACCCCAGGGAGTCCTAGCTGGTTTTGACAGGCGGCATTAAGAGAGTGGTCCCAGAAAGCAAAATGGAGGTTCCCTTTAAGGGGGAACATGCAATCCTGTTCTCTCTGCAACAGAGCATGGCTGCCATGGGAACCAGAGAGGAAGAGAGCAGCTGGTGTTCATTGCAGTGGACAGATAGGAGCTGAGGAGGATGAAGACTCAGCTATCCCTGTATGGTGCAGACATGACACTCGGCACACATAGAGAAACATGACAGCTGCCGCACCCTGTGTCTAAGCTGGGTTATATTTCACATACTGTGGCCAAGCAAATGCGGGTTTTTGGCCCATCATAGATGCCAGAGAGGGTGTACCTCCTAGATATTCTTCATATGTTACCATCCATTACTTGTTCCTGAGTATTCAGTGTTACCTGGGGGCAGACGATTTCTGCACTTTCTCAGCCACCTCAACTTGAACATCTTCATCGTCATCGTTGTCATTTTCTGTAAATACAGAAGTGTTCGTTCAGATATTTCCCACTTCACAGTCTGCAAGCACAGTCAGCCCAATGTGCAACAGAGACATGAACATCTAGGCATGGGTCACCGTTCAACTGAAAACTCTCATGTTTTATCTTTAACAGAATGCCCTGGCATGGTTTCCTGATCCATCAGGCAATGCATTTCTGATCTGGAGGGCCACCATCAAGATGTGGCCAAATATTGAAAAGACCTTTTGCTTCCCATATCACTGGAGGCTTGTGCAGCCTCTCTCTGGACTTTGGCAGCTGTCGCCCCCATCCTGCCAGATCTGATTCCCAGGCACAGGCTTGGTGTCCTGTCACAGTTTGCATTTCAAACCTAATTCTTTCTCTTAGAAGCAGACAAACTTATCCCACAGTCCTCTATGCATCAGAAGATTTCAAGCCTCCAAGTGGCTTCTGCTGTGTTATTCAGGGACATTCTATCCATGGGGAGTGCTCCAGTCTGAAGCACTTCCTACCACGAAACGCCACCACATAAAGTGCCTTCTCCAACATCACACGGCGAGGGGCTTCATCTCATTTTGGAAAGCAGTTTTAAGTGTTCCCACATTTGAATGCTTCAGACCCTTGCAAGAGACAATTTGCCATGGAGAGAGAGAAACTCAGGAAAGACAAGTCATTCAGTCACTGACAGTTACTAAGAACATTGCCGAAAAGACACCCTGGGAACCTTCATTCTTAGTCCAGAGCTCTTTTCACTCTAACAAGCCTGCTCCTATCGCAGCCTCCTTCCTGTCCTTTAAAACTAGATAGATGCTGCCTCTTACTCCAAAGACAACCTTCCATCAAGGGAGGAGGGACAATTGCAATACTGTGACCTCCAACCCCATGGGTTTCCCAACTCCGTTCTTACCCAGGAAGTCCTGGTCATGTCATGGCCACATAAGCTTAGTGGCAAAAAACACCATTGATACAACTGTCATTGTGAAAGTATGGAGGTCTGGAGTCTCTCATAAGCCTGGGGTTTTGGGTCATCAGGGCCTATGGCCACCTTACCTGGGCTGAGCTTTTGGACAAGGTGCTGTGCCAGTCTACACCCCTCAGCCAGCTGTTCTTGGAGGTCCTGCCCCTGGGACTTGTCTGGCTCATCCGGAGTGAGGAGGGCCTGGAGATGCTGATTCAATGAGCAGGAGGCATCTCTCCCTTCCCGTAACTTCTCCCTTAACTGGGTCAGCTCTCGTTCCTGAGAGTGAACCAGGACTTTATATTGCCTAAGGTGAGACGGTAGAGAAAATTTAAGAGTGGAAAGGGTTGAGTGATCCGCTCAAATATTGCAACAGAGATTTCTGAGACAATGTCCTCAAGGAGACCTCCAAGCAGAAGGTCAGCACATGTTGGAAGGAATGTCTGTGGCTAAGAGAAAGAATAGAAAATGGTTTACAGGTTTCCTCTGTATCAGAGAGGGCTCCTGCAAGATCCTCGATGATGTTCCATTCATCTTTCCCTTCTGTAAACAAAAGTAGGTGTCTTCCTAATTCCATTTCAAAAAGACATCCTTTCAGTCCCTCACTCTGGCCATGGACATTTCCATGTGAAAATACACATAGTGCATCTTGCGGCCACTAGATACAAAGCCATGTACAGAAATGAGGCCAGGTGCAGATGGGGCGAATTGAAAAGATGAAAGAAGAAAAGAATGACAGGGTCGAGAAGGCAACATTGATTGAGTGAAAGAATGAGAAGACGCAGTCAGTCAGAAGGTGATTCTCACTAAGGGTAAGTGGGGTGGTGATGGCACACCATTTTGAGTATACTGAATGCTGCTGTGTGGTTCACACTCCTTTGGTTAATTTTGTGTTATGTAAATTTCACATCAACAATTACTTGTTTGAAAAAGAGAAAACAAGGCTCTGAGAAACAACTGCAACCCATAAATTTTTATTATCCTTCTTCTCTGCTTGATAAATACTTGTGTGTTGCGAGCCTGCCATGGCAATTCCTGCCCTTCCCCTGGCCCAGCTTAGTTCTTAAGTCTCCCCACTGAGCTGCTGTACTTCAGAGATTTACACACCTGCCCCCCTGCCTGCCCCCATGGGGTCCCCTCACCTGAGCTCCTCAGCTTGCTTGAGCTGCTCTGCAAGCTTCTCCTCCTTGAACTGTCGCTCATTCCTCAGCATAGATTTTATGAGGTCTTTGCACTCTTCATTTTCTGAGAAAAGACAGACACGCCTGCCTCAGTGGAAGGCTGGACATGCTGCTGTGGTCATTGCCTACAGGGCAGGAGCCAGGTCCATCCCAAGGACAAAACTCTCCCCAGTACCAGGGTCTAGACAGGGATTTCCACATCTTTACTCTTCAGTCTCCTGACTTTCTGGCATCTGATCCTCCAAAATTTAGAGATGAAGAGAACCTCAATGGCACATCAAGGAAGTTGACAAGATGATTCAACCACAACGAAGTGGAGTCAGAATTCACAGCCCCTGAGGTCTGACTCTGAATGCAGGGCCACTTTCCCAAGACTTGCAGCCTCTCCTCTAAAACACTGCACTGGGGCATGAAGTAGTGATTTCTTGTACAGTCGGGAAGGCCCCTAGGACTATGGGACTGATGGTTTCCCTTTTACTGGGAATTTCAAGGACAAGTATGCAAAAGATTTTAAAAATCTTTGATTTTTAAATCATATCTTCAGTTATGATTTTAAGAATCATATCTGAAGCATAAAGTGTGACACATAACACCATAAGGCCATGAAGGAAATATGCCCAAATGTTAATAAAGTTTGTGTTAATTTAGAAACAGCAGAATGAAGAACTAATAGATAGTGTTTACTGTGTGCTAATAAATGTTCTAGGAGATTGACAAGAAATAGCTCATGTAATTCACTGCAGCAATTTACAGAGGTAGGTATTATTGTAGTACCCTCTGAACAGGTGAGGAAACAGGGACAGAAAAGACAAGCAACTTGGATGGAGCCCAGGAGACAGGCCCACGGTCTCTGCTCTGTACACTGCACTGCTATCTCCACACATTCTCGGGTGCGATCTTTCTTCCTCTTTAGGAACAAGACTCTGTGCCCCAGGAAGCAGGACTTCACTCTCACCAAGCTACATTCTGCTTCTTATTCTTATTTTTATTTATCATTATTAGTATTATTTTTTTAACAGTCTTGCCCTGTCGCCCAGGCTGGAGTGCAATGGCAAAATCTTGGCTCACTGCAACCTCAGCCTCCTGGGTTCAAAGGATTCTCCTGCCTCAGCCTCCTGAGCAGGGGTGATTACAGTCACCTGCCACCATGCCCATCTACTTTTTGTATTTTTAGTGGAGATGGGGTTTCTCCATGTTTCCCAGGCTGGTCTCAAACTCCTGACCTCGTGCTCTACCCGCCTCAGCCTCCCAAAGGGCTGGGATTACAGGAGTGAGCCACCATGCACAGCCCCTACTCCCTGCTCTTGATGCTGTCACTTATAGATAGCACAGGTTCTATTAGGAGCAGACTCCTCTTGAAGCCCCTCAGAGCAGGTACTGGCTACTATCACCAAGTTTCCCTCAGAGTCACTAGAACAGAGCTTTGCATATTGGGCCTCAACAGAAACTTGAACTGAATAAAAGTTCACTAGTCTCAGACATTTAGAACAACAGACTAGATGTTATTTGTCTGCAGGATCTTACATGGTACAGAGAGGATTCTTGAAAACATGATTGAGCCTCTTGGAGAAAACAGGTCATTCTGTGCCTGTGTCAGAAATCAATAAATGGCAGTTTAACTCTAGTCCCACCCCCACCTGATTGCAAACATGGAAAGTTGCTAAATATTTTGGGACCTCTGTCTTCCAACTTTAACAAAATGTTAAAATACCCATTTCTGTTTTCCTAGAAGTATGGGGAGGATGACATTATTTTAGATGGAGAGAGCACTTAGTTTCTCAGAGAGAAGACAGGACTTCGTTCATCACTTTCGTGATGGTGAGCCTATAGATCTTACTGTATTTGTTCTGCTGGTTGGCCAGGAAGCAGGCCAGTTGAGTTACAAAACATTTCTCTTTGAGGTTTCTGAACTGCTGTTTCTTCTCTGCCAGCTGGGGATGCAATTTCTCGTTGATTTCTAGAATGTTCATCTCTGCCTTCTCGCTGGACAAAGGGCCGGCTGATACCACCATGCTGACGTTTGTGGCAGAAGAGGTGGGGCCAGGGACTGGGGAGAAGAAAGGCAAACACATGATGGGTTAAAAACTGGTGAAATCAAATAGGTTTAATCACACTGAGGGATGTCAGCGGCAGCCTTGTCTACTTATTTGAAGATGATGTTTCCCTGGTTTCACTCTTGTCATCTCCAGTCTTGATCTCCTTTAAGTCAACTTATCTTAGCTATGCAGTCACCTTGAAACCAGGACATAAACACTTCTACACTTTTCTTGCTTATAAGTTTCTATAAAGCAAGGCTTGGCCCTGAGATTTTTACCCCATGAGTGGCCAATGTTTCTGTGTAGCACAAAAGGTTTCATTTTGCCTTTTTAATTTTTTTCTTTTTTGGTTTTTTGTTTTTTGTTTGAGACGGAGTCTCACTCTGTCACGCAGGCTGCAGTGCAGAGGCACAATCTCAGCTCACTGCCACCTCTGCCTCCCGGGTTCAAGCGATTCTCATCCCTCAGCCTGCCAAACATCTGGGATTACAAGCGCCAAGTAACATGCCAGCTAATTTTTGTATTTTTAGTAGAGATGGGGTTTCGCCATCTTGGACAGGCTGGTTTCGAACTCCTGACCTCAGGTGTTCCGCCCACCTTGGCCTCCCAAAGTGCTGGGATTAAGATGTGAGCCAGCACCCCCGGTCAGAGACTTTTTTTTTTTTTTTTGAGATGGAGTCTCGCTCTGTCTCCCAGGCTGGAGTGCAGTGGCACAATCTAGGCTCACTGCAAACTCCGGTTCCTGGGTTCATGCCATTCTCCTGCCACAGCCTCCCGAGTAGCTGGGACTACAGGTGCCCAACACCGTGCCCAGCTAATTTTTTTTTTTTGTATTTTTAGTAACGACGGGGTTTCACCGTGTTAGCCAGGATGGTCTCGATCTCCTGACCTCGTGATCCACCCGCCCCAGCCTCCGAAAGTTCTGGGATTACATGTGTGAGCCACCGCGCCCGGCCGAGACTTCTTATTAATAGCTAAGACAAGCCAATGAAAAGGAGAGAGAGTCTAGCCTGAGAGGAGTGAACCAGGGTGGGAGGATCGTCTCAGCCGATCCTCCCACCTAAGTCTCCTGAGCAGTTGGGACTAGAGGCACGCAGCACCATGCCTGCCTAATTTTTTGTATTCTTTGTAAAGATGGGTTTCACCATATTGTCCAGGCTGGTCTTCAACTCCTGAACTCAAGTCATCCTCCCACTTGGGCCTTCCAAAGTGCTGTGATTATATGTGTGAGTCACAGAACCTAGCTCCATCCTAGTTTCTGACTAAAACAATATGTGCGTATACAGCCTGTCCTCAGAATTGATCTTCCATAGCCTAGACAGAGGTATGAGACACAAGGAAAATAGAGGCTACCTGGGAGAATGTTTACAGCATCCTGACATTCATCATGAGAGGATTCTCTGTCTACAACCAGAGCTGAGTTGACTTTGTCTTCCTCAAAGGTGATGTTGATGTTCTTGTGAGGCTGGTTGGAGTCACAAGGGCCGTGGCTATTTGAACAAGTGATGGCACATTCCTCCAGTGAGTCCTCAGGGACTTTGCTTTCTTCAGCCTTCTGCACCTCCCTGATGAGCCAGGTGGGACAGAGATGACAGAAGATTAAACACAGAGGGATTGGACCCCAGGGAGTCCTAGCTGGTTTTGACAGGCGGCATTAAGACAGTGGTCCCAGAAAGCAAAATGGAGGTTCCCTTTAAGGGGGAACAGGCAATCCTCTTCTCTCTGCAACAGAGCATGGCTGCCATGGGAGCCAGAGAGGAAGAGAGCAGCTGGTGTTCAGTGCACTGGACAGATAGGAGCTGAGGAGGATGAAGACTCAGCTATCCCTGTATGGTACAGACATGACACTTGGCACACATAGAGAAACACGACAGCTGCCACACCCTGTGTCTAAGCTGGGTTGAATTTCACATACTGTGGCCAAGCGAATGCGGGCTTTTGGCCCATCATAGATGCCAGAGAGGGTGTGCCTCCTAGACATTTTCATATGTTACCACCCATTACTTGCTCCTGAGTATTCAGTGTTACCTGGGGGCAGATGATTCCAGTACTTTCTCAGCCTCCTCAACTTGAACATCTTCATCCTCATCTTCGTCATTTTCTGTAAATACAAAATGTTCGTTCAGATATTTCCCACTTCCCATTCTCCAAGCACAGTCAGCCCAATGTGCACAGAGACATGAACATCTATGTGTGGTTCAGCATTGTACTGAAAACTGTCATGTTTTATCTTTCACAAAATGCCCTGGCATGGTTTCCTGGTCCATCGGGCAATGCATTTCTGATCTGGAGGGCCACCATCAAGATGTGGCCAAATATTGAAAAGACCTTTTGCTTCCCATATCACTGGAGGCTTGTGCAGCCTCTCTCTGGACTTTGGCAGCTGTCTCCCCCATCCTGCCACAGATCTGATTCCCAGGAACAGGTTTGGTGTCCTGTCACAGTTCGCATTTCAAACCTCATTCTTTCTCTTAGGAGAGGACAAACTTGTCCCACAGTCCTCTATGTGTCATGAGACTGCACAGGCCCTCCATGTGGCTTCTGCTGTGTTATTCAGGGACATTCTATCCATGGGGAGTGCTCCAGTCTGAAGCACTTCCTACCACCAAATGCCCCCACATCAAGTGCCTTCTCCAACACCAAACGGAGAGGGGCTGCATCTCATTTTAAAAAGCATTCGTAAGTGTTCCCATATTTGGATGCTTCAGACCCTTGCAAGAGACAATTTGTTTGCCTTTGCAGATGGAGAGAGAGAAACTCTGGAAAGATAAATCACTCACTCACCGACAGTTACTAAGAACATTGCCAAAAAGACAGCCTGGGAACCTTCATTCTTAGCCCAGAGCTCTTTTCACTCCAACAAGCGCCCTCCCATCACAGCCTCCTTCCTGTCCTTTAAAACTAGACAGATGCTGCCTCTTGCTCCAAAGACCACCTTCCATCAAGGAAGGAGGGACACTTGCAATACTGTGACCTCCAACCCCATGGGTTTCCCATCTCTGTTCTTACCCAGGAAGTCCTGGTCATGTCATGGCCACATATGTGTAGCAGAAAATAACCCCACTGATACAACTGTCATTGTGAAAGTATGGAGGTCTGGAGCCTCTCATAAGCCTGGGGTTTTGGGTCATCAGGGCCTATGGCCACCTTACCTGGGCTGAGCTTCTGGAAAAGTTGCTGTGCCAGTCTACACCCCTCAGCCAGCTGTTCTTGGAGGTCCTGCCCCTGGGACTTGTCTGGCTTATCCGGAGTGAGGAGGGCCTGGAGATGCTGATTCAATGAGCGGGAGGCATCTCTCCCTTCCCGTAACTTCTCCCTTAACTGGGTCAGCTCTCGTTCCTGAGAGTGAACCAGGACTTTATATTGCCTAAGGTGAGACGGTAGAGAAAATTTAAGAGTGGAAAGGGTTGAGTGATCCGTTCAAATATTGCAACAGAGATTTCTGAGACAATGTCCTCAAGGAGACCTCCAAGCAGAAGGTCAGCACATGTTGAAAGGAATGACTGTGGCCAAGAGAAATAATAGAAAATGGTTTACAGGCTTCCTCTGTATCAGAGAGGGCTCCTGCAAGATCCTCGATGATGTTCCATTCATCTTTCCCTTCTGTAAACAAAAGTAGGTGTCTTCCTAATTCCGTTTCAAAAAGACATCCTTTCAGTTCCTCACTCTGGCCATGGACATTTCCATGTGAAAATACACATAGTGCAACTTGCAGCCACTAGATACAAAGCCATGTACAGAAATGAGGCCAGGTGCAGATGGGGCGAATTGAAAAGACGAAAGAAGAAAAGAATGACAGGGTCAAGAAGGCAACATTGATTGAGTGAAAGAATGAGAAGACGCAGTCAGTCAGAAGGTGGTTCTCACTAAGGGTAAGTGGGGTGGTGATGGCACACCATTTTGAGTATACTGAGTGCTGCTGTGTGGTTCACACTCCTTTGGTTAATTTTGTGTTATGTAAATTTCACATCAACAATTACTTGTTTGAAAAAGAGAAAACAAGGCTCTAAGAAACAACTGCAACCCATAAATTTTTATTATCCTTCTTCTCTGCTTGATAAATACTTGTGTGTTGCGAGCCTGCCATGGCAATTCCTGCCCTTCCCCTGGCCCAGCTTAGCTCTTACGTCTCCCCACCGAGCTGCTGTACTTCAGAGATTTACACAGCTGCTCCCCCACCTGCCCCCATGGGGTCCCCTCACCTGAGCTCCTCAGCTTGCTTGAGCTGCTCTGCAAGCTTCTCCTCCTTGAACTGTCGCTCATTCCTCAGCATAGATTTTATGAGGTCTTTGCACTCTTCATATTCTGAGAAAAGACAGACACGCCTGCCTCAGTGGAAGGCTGGACATGCTGCTGTGGTCATTGCCTACAGGGCAGGAGCCAGGTCCATCCCAAGGACAAAACTCTCCCCAGTACCAGGGTCTAGACAGGGATTTCCACATCTTTACTCTTCAGTCTCCTGACTTTCTGGCATCTGATCCTCCAAAATTTAGAGATGAAGAAAGGGAACCTCAAGGGCACATCAAGGAAGTTGACAAGATGATTCAACCACAACGAAGTGGAGTCAGAATTCACAGCCCCTGAGGTCTGACTCTGAATGCAGGGCCACTTTCCCAAGACTTGCAGCCTCTCCTCTAAAACACTGCACTGGGGCATGAAGTAGTGATTTCTTGTACAGTCGGGAAGGCCCCTAGGACTATGGGACTGACGGTTTCCCTTTTACTGGGAATTTCAAAGACAAGTATGCGAAAGATTTTAAAAATCTTTGATTTTTAAATCATATCTTCAGTTATGATTTTAAGAATCATATCTGAAGCATAAAGTGTGACACATAACACCATAAGGTCATGAAGGAAATATGCCCAAATGCTAATAAAGTTTGTGTTAATTTAGAAACAGCAGAATGAAGAACTAATAGATAGTGTTTACTGTGTGCCAATAAATGTTCTAGGAGATTGACAAGAAATAGCTCATGTAATTCACTGCAGCAATTTACAGAGGTAGGTATTATTGTAGTACCCTCTGAACAGGTGAGGAAACTGAGGGACAGACAAGACAAGCAACTTGGATGGAGCCCAGGAGACAGGCCCACGGTCTCTGCTCTGTACACTGCACTGCTACCTCCACACATTCTCAGGTGCGATCTTTCTTCCTCTTTAGGAACAAGACTCTGTGCCCCAGGAAGCAGGACTTCACTCTCACCAAGCTACACTCTGCTTCTTATTCTTATTTTTATTTATCATTATTATTATTATTATTATTATTATTATTTTTACCAGTCTTGCCCTGTCACCCAGAGTGGAGTGCAATGGCAAAATCTTGGCTCACTGCAACCTCAGCCTCCTGGGTTCAAAGGATTCTCCTGCCTCAGCCTCCTGAGCAGGGGTGATTACAGTCACCTGCCACCATGCCCATCTACTTTTTGTATTTTTAGTGGAGATGGGGTTTCTCCATGTTGCCCAGGCTGGTCTCAAACTCCTGACCTTGTGATCTGCCCGCCTCAGCCTCCCAAAGGGCTGGGATTACAGGAGTGAGCCACCATGCACAGCCCCTACTCCCTGCTCTTGATGCTGTCACTTATAGATAGCACAGGTTCTATTAGGAGCAGACTCCTCTTGAAGCCCCTCAGAGCGGGTACTGGCTACTATCACCAAGTTTCCCTCAGAGTCACTAGAACAGAGCTGTGCCTGTTGGGCCTCAACAGAAACTTGAACTGAATAAAAGTTCACTAGTCTCAGACATTTAGAACAACAGACTAGATGTTATTTGTCTGCAGGATCTTACATGGTACAGAGAGGATTCTTGGAAACATGATTGAGCCTCTTGGAGAAAACAGGTCATTCTGTGCCTGTGTCAGAAATCAATAAATGGCAGTTTAACTCTAGTCCCACCCCCACCTGATTGCAAACATGGAAAGTTGCTAAATACTTTGGTACCTCTCTCTTCCAACTTTAACAAAATGTTAAAATACCCATTTCTGTTTTCCTAGAAGTATGGGGAGGATGACATTATTTTAGATGGAGAGAGCACTTAGTTTCTCAGAGAGAAGACAGGACTTCGTTCATCACTTTCGTGATGGTGAGCCTATAGATCTTACTGTATTTGTTCTGCTGGTTGGCCAGGAAGCAGGCCAGTTGAGTTACAAAACATTTCTCTTTGAGGTTTCTGAACTGCTGTTTCTTCTCTGCCAGCTGGGGATGCAATTTCTCGTTGATTTCTAGAATGTTCATCTCTGCCTTCTCGCTGGACAAAGGGCCGGCTGATACCACCATGCTGACGTTTGTGGCAGAAGAGGTGGGGCCAGGGACTGGGGAGAAGAAAGGCAAACACATGATGGGTTAAAAACTGGTGAAATCAAATAGGTTTAATCACACTGAGGGATGTCAGTGGCAGCCTTGTCTACTTATTTGAAAATGTTGTTTCCCTGGTTTCACTCTTGTCATCTCCAGTCTTGATCTCCTTTAAGTCAACTTGTCTTAGCTATGCAGTCACCTTGAAACCAGGACATAAACACTTCTACACTTTTCTTGCTTATAAGTTTCTATAAAGCAAGGCTGGGCCCTGAGATTTTTACCCCATGAGTGGCCAATGTTTCTGTGTAGCACAAAAGATTGCATTTTCCTTTTTCGATATTTTTCTCTTTTGGTTTTTTGTTTTTTGTTTGAGACGGAGTCTCACTCTGTCACGCAGGCTGCAGTGCAGTGGCGCAATCTCAGCTCACTGCCACCTCTGCCTCCCGGGTTCAAGTGATTCTCATCCCTCAGCCTGCCAAACATCTGGGATTACAAGCGCCAAGTAACATGCCAGCTAATTTTTGCATTTTTAGTAGAGATTGGGTTTCGCCATCTTGGACAGGCTGGTTTCGAACTCCTGACCTCAGGTGTTCCGCCCACCTTGGCCTCCCAAAGTGCTGGGATTAAGATGTGAGCCAGCACCCCCGGTCAGAGACTTTTTTTTTTTTTTTTTTTGAGATGGAGTCTCGCTCTGTCTCCCAGGCTGGAGTGCAGTGGCACAATCTAGGCTCACTGCAAGCTCCGGTTCCTGGGTTCATGCCATTCTCCTGCCACAGCCTCCCGAGTAGCTGGGACTACAGGCGCCCAACACCGTGCCCAGCTAATTTTTTTTTTTTGTATTTTTAGTAACGACGGGGTTTCACCGTGTTAGCCAGGATGGTCTCGATCTCCTGACCTCGTGATCCACCCGCCCCGGCCTCCCAAAGTGCTGGGATTACATGTGTGAGCCACCGCGCCCGGCCGAGACTTCTTATTAATAGCTAAGACAAGCCAATGAAAAGGAGAGAGAGTCTAGCCTGAGAGGAGTGAACCAGGGTGGGAGGATCGTCTCAGCCGATCCTCCCACCTAAGTCTCCTGAGCAGTTGGGACTAGAGGCACGCAGCACCATGCCTGCCTAATTTTTTGTATTCTTTGTAAAGATGGGTTTCACCATATTGTCCAGGCTGGTCTTCAACTCCTGAACTCAAGTCATCCTCCCACTTGGGCCTTCCAAAGTGCTGTGATTATATGTGTGAGTCACAGAACCTAGCTCCATCCTAGTTTCTGACTAAAAGAATAACAATATGTGTATATACAGCCTGTCCTCAGAATTGATCTTCCATAGCCTAGACAGAGGTATGAGACACAAGGAAAATAGAGGCTACCTGGGAGAATGTTTACAGCATCCTGACATTCATCATGAGAGGATTCTCTGTCTACAACCAGAGTTGAGTTGACTTTGTCTTCCTCAAAGGTGATGTTGATGTTCTTGTGAGGCTGGTTGGAGTCACAAGGGCTGTGGCTATTTGAACAAGTGATGGCACATTCCTCCAGTGAGTCCTCAGGGACTTTGCTTTCTTCAGCCTTCTGCACCTCCCTGATGAGCCAGGTGGGACAGAGATGACAGAAGATTAAACACAGAGGGATTGGACCCCAGGGAGTCCTAGCTGGTTTTGACAGGCGGCATTAAGACAGTGGTCCCAGAAAGCAAAATGGAGGTTCCCTTTAAGGGGGAACAGGCAATCCTCTTCTCTCTGCAACAGAGCATGGCTGCCATGGGAGCCAGAGAGGAAGAGAGCAGCTGGTGTTCAGTGCACTGGACAGATAGGAGCTGAGGAGGATGAAGACTCAGCTATCCCTGTATGGTACAGACATGACACTTGGCACACATAGAGAAACACGACAGCTGCCGCACCCTGTGTCTAAGCTGGGTTGAATTTCACATACTGTGGCCAAGCGAATGCGGGCTTTTGGCCCATCATAGATGCCAGAGAGGGTGTGCCTCCTACACATTTTCATATGTTACCACCCATTACTTGCTCCCGAGTATTCAGTGTTACCTGGGGGCAGATGATTCCAGTACTTTCTCAGCCTCCTCAACTTGAACATCTTCATCCTCATCTTCGTCATTTTCTGTAAATACAAAATGTTCGTTCAGATATTTCCCACTTCACATTCTGCAAGCACAGTCAGCCCAATGTGCACAGAGACATGAACATCTATGTATGGTTCAGCACTGTACTGAAAACTGTCATATTTTATCTTTCACAAAATGCCCTGGCATGGTTTCCTGGTCCATCGGGCAATGCATTTCTGATCTGGAGGGCCACCATCAAGATGTGGTCAAATATTGAAAAGACCTTTTGCTTCCCATATCACTGGAGGCTTGTGCAGCCTCTCTCTGGACTTTGGCAGCTGTCGCCCCCATCCTGCCACATATCTGATTCCCAGGAACAGGCTTGGTGTCCTGTCACAGTTCGCATTTCAAACCTCATTCTTTCTCTTAGGAGAGGACAAACTTGTCCCACAGTCCTCTATGCATCATGAGACTGCACAGGCCCTCCATGTGGCTTCTGCTGTGTTATTCAGGGACATTCTATCCACGGGGAGTGCTCCAGTCTGAAGCACTTCCTACCACCAAATGCCCCTACACCAAGTGCCTTCTCCAACACCAAACGGAGAGGGGCTTCATCTCATTTTAAAAAGCATTCGTAAGTGTTCCCATATTTGGATGCTTCAGACCCTTGCAAGAGACAATTTGTTTGCCTTTGCAGATGGAGAGAGAGAAACTCTGGAAAGATAAATCACTCACTCACCGACAGTTACTAAGAACATTGTCAAAAAGACAGCCTGGGAACCTTCATTCTTAGCCCAGAGCTCTTTTCACTCCAACAAGCGCCCTCCCATCACAGCCTCCTTCCTGTCCTTTAAAACTAGACAGATGCTGCCTCTTGCTCCAAAGACCACCTTCCATCAAGGAAGGAGGGACACTTGCAATACTGTGACCTCCAACCCCATGGGTTTCCCATCTCTGTTCTTACCCAGGAAGTCCTGGTCATGTCATGGCCACATATGTATAGCAGAAAAAAACCCCACTGATACAACTGTCATTGTGAAAGTATGGAGGTCTGGAGCCTCTCATAAGCCTGGGGTTTTGGGTCATCAGGGCCTATGGCCACCTTACCTGGGCTGAGCTTCTGGAAAAGTTGCTGTGCCAGTCTACACCCCTCAGCCAGCTGTTCTTGGAGGTCCTGCCCCTGGGACTTGTCTGGCTTATCCGGAGTGAGGAGGGCCTGGAGATGCTGATTCAATGAGCGGGAGGCATCTCTCCCTTCCCGTAACTTCTCCCTTAACTGGGTCAGCTCTCGTTCCTGAGAGTGAACCAGGACTTTATATTGCCTAAGGTGAGACGGTAGAGAAAATTTAAGAGTGGAAAGGGTTGAGTGATCCGTTCAAATATTGCAACAGAGATTTCTGAGACAATGTCCTCAAGGAGACCTCCAAGCAGAAGGTCAGCACATGTTGAAAGGAATGACTGTGGCCAAGAGAAAGAATAGAAAATGGTTTACAGGCTTCCTCTGTATCAGAGAGGGCTCCTGCAAGATCCTCGATGATGTTCCATTCATCTTTCCCTTCTGTAAACAAAAGTAGGTGTCTTCCTAATTCCGTTTCAAAAAGACATCCTTTCAGTTCCTCACTCTGGCCATGGACATTTCCATGTGAAAATACACATAGTGCATCTTGCGGCCACTAGATACAAAGCCATGTACAGAAATGAGGCCAGGTGCAGATGGGGCGAATTGAAAAGACGAAAGAAGAAAAGAATGACAGGGTCGAGAAGGCAACATTGATTGAGTGAAAGAATGAGAAGACGCAGTCAGTCAGAAGGTGATTCTCACTAAGGGTAAGTGGGGTGGCGATGGCACACCATTTTGAGTATACTGAATGCTGCTGTGTGGTTCACACTCCTTTGGTTAATTTTGTGTTATGTAAATTTCACATCAACAATTACTTGTTTGAAAAAGAGAAAACAAGGCTCTAAGAAACAACTGCAACCCATAAATTTTTATTATCCTTCTTCTCTGCTTGATAAATACTTGTGTGTTGCGAGCCTGCCATGGCAATTCCTGCCCTTCCCCTGGCCCAGCTTAGCTCTTACGTCTCCCCACCGAGCTGCTGTACTTCAGAGATTTACACAGCTGCTCCCCTGCCTGCCCCCATGGGGTCCCCTCACCTGAGCTCCTCAGCTTGCTTGAGCTGCTCTGCAAGCTTCTCCTCCTTGAACTGTCGCTCATTCCTCAGCATAAATTTTATGAGGTCTTTACACTCTTCATACTCTGAGAAAAGACAGACACGCCTGCCTCAGTGGAAGGCTGGACATGCTGCTGTGGTCACTGCCTACAGGGCAGAAGCCAGGTCCATCCCAAGGACAAAACTGTCCCCCGTACCAGGCTCTAGGCAGGGATTTCCACATCTTTACTCTTCAGTCTCCTGACTTTCTGGCATCTTATCCTCCAAAATTTAAAGACGAAGAAAGAGAAATTCAAGGCACATCAAGGAAGTTGACAAGATGATTCAACCACAACGAAGTGGAGTCAGAACTCACAGCCCCTGAGGTCTGACTCTGAATGCGGGGCCACTTTCCCAAGACTTGCAGCCTCTCCTCTGAAACACTGCACTGGGGCATGAAGTAGTGATTTCTTGTACAGTTGGGAAGGCCCCTAGGACTATGGGACTGACGGTTTCCCTTTTACTGGGAATTTCAAAGACAAGTATGCGAAAGATTTTAAAAATCTTTGATTTTTAAATCATATCTTCAGTTATGATTTTAAGAATCATATCTGAAGCATAAAGTGTGACACATAACACCATAAGGCCATGAAGGAAATATGCCCAAATATTTTATTAGTATGACAGGCAGCATCAAGATTTAGATTAGTTGTGTTAATTTAGAAACAGCATAAGATTAGTTTGTGTTAATTTAGAAACATCAGAATGAAGAACTAATAGATAGTGTTTACACTGTGCCAATTAATGTTCAAGGAGATTGACAGGAAATACCTCATGTAATTCATTGCAGCAATTTACAGAGGTAGGTATTATTGTAGTACCCTCTGAACAGATGAGGAAACTGAGGGACAGACAAGACAAGCAACTTGGATGGAGCCCAGGAGACAGGCTGAGGGTCCCTGCTTTGCACACTGCACTGCTGCTTCCACACATTCTCGGGTGTGATCTTTCTTCCTCTTTAGGAACAAGAGCCTGTGCACCAGGAAGCAGGACTTCACTCTCACCAAGGTACTCTCTGCTTTTTATTTTTATTTTTGTTTTATTTATCTTTTTGTTTGTTTGTTTTTTGATGAGTCTTGCCCTGTCACCCATGCTGGAGTGCAATAGTGCAATCTTGGCTCACTGCAACATCTGCCTGCTGGGTTCAAAGGATTCTTCTGCCTCAGCCTCCCGATTAGTGGTGATTACAGTTGCCCGCCACGACGCCCATCTACTTTTTGTATTTTTAGTGGAGATGGGGTTTCTCCATGTTGCCCAGGCTAGTCTCAAACTCCTCACCTCGTGCTCTGCCCGCCTCAGCCTCCCAAAGTGCTGAGATTACAGGAGTGAGCCACGTTGCACGGCCCCTACTCCCTGCTCTTGATGCTGTCACTTATAGATAGCACAGGTTCTATTAGGAGCAGACTCCTCTTGAAGCCCCTCAGAGCAGGTACTGGCTACTATCACCAAGTTTCCCTCAGAGTCACTAGAACAGAGCCTTGCCTGTTGGGCCTCAACAGAAACTTGAACTGAATAAAAGTTCACTAGTCTCAGACATTTAGAACAACAGACTAGATGTTATTTGTCTGCAGGATCTTATATGGTACAGAGAGGATTCTTGAAAACATGATTGAGCCTCTTGGAGAAAACAGGTCGTTCTGTGTCTGTGTTAGAAATCAATAACTGTGAGTTTAACTCTAGTCCCACCCCCACCTGATTGCAAACATGGAAAGTTGCTAAATACTTTGGTACCTCTGTCTTCCAACTTTAACAAAATGTTAAAATACCCATTTCTGTTTTCCTAGAAGTACAGGAAGGATGAAATTATTTTTGATGGAGAGAGCATTTAGTGTCTCAGAGAGAAGACAGGACATCATTCATCACTTTCATGATGGTGAGCCTATAGATCTTACTGTATTTCTTCTGTCGGTTGGCCAGGAAGCCGGCCAGTTGAGTTACAAAACATTTCTCTTTGAGGTTTCTGAACTGCTGTTTGTTCTCTGCCAGCTGGGGGCGCAATTTCTCGTTGATTTCTAAAATGTTCGTCTCTGCCTTCTCGCTGGACCAAGGGCCAGCTGATACCACCATGCTGACGTTTGTGGCAGAAGAGGTGGAGCCAGGGACTGGGGAGAAGAAACCCAAACATATGATGGGTTAAAAACTGGTGAAATCAAATAGGTTTAATCAGGACTGAGGGATGTCAGTAACTGAAATTCTTAACTTACTGTTGTGAAAAATGTGATCACTCCCCACAGCACTTTAGGATCCTTCACCACAAAAACAAGGTTCGAGGTGCCTGAACTCAGAGCTGAAAGCACTGCCAGTAGCTCAGACTCTGATAAGAGTGAGGTAGACTGTGGCCAGCGTGCCAGGTAACCGTCTGCAGTTGCAATAACAGAATTAGAAGGTGGGGGTGTCATGGAATCTTAGGAGCCCTGCATTCCAATTGCCCAGGCTTTCCTGAAACACAGGCACCCTAGTCTCACCTGAGGGTCACCACCAATGGGGATCATTCCTTCAGCATTCACTCTCAGTATTCGTGTACCCTTGTGATGATGCCACAGACCCGTGTCTTTCCCAATACATCTAAGCATATTCCTCACTGTTTATCTCTTGTCTGTACAACATCATCAAGGCAGAAACAGTTTCCCAACAGGTTGTATTTTCTTAATGGTAGTCATGAAGTCACCCCACCTGCTCTCAGTTAAAACAGAGCTTAAGGCCTTTCCACAGGTGTAAGATATCAAACTTTTAGCCTGCCCTGATTTCCTCTGGGTCTTCTGCAGTTTTGTCTGTATCCACTAGAAAGTGAATGAATAATTCATTTGTAAAAAATGTTGTCTTTCCTGTCTCAGTATTCTTCTTGCTGTTTCCCATTGTTATGTTGATTTCTTTTTTCTCACTGGGGCACCATCTTTGCTTTTCATTACACTCTAGACCAGTTTGACATCCCTATGTCCAGAGCTCTTCCTCTATGTGGGTTGATTTGGTTTTTGATGTCACTGAGCGCTACATTTTATACTTGTCACTTATGGATGTCATTCTAGTGTCACAAGAGCTCTTTTCAAGGTATCAAGTGATCAAAATCATTTATATAGAGATCTCCTGAAAACATGTGTGACCATCTATCTTGGGAAGTTTCATAAACCTGATGCTATTTTGTTGTTTCCATTTTGTTTTCCCATATACTGAAAAGAACAGGGCCATGAGCGGTTCTTATGCAATATGGTTTGATATATATTTTGTTGAGATGACCTAACACCATTGATTTTGGGTTGCATTCCACTAACAGAACATGGCAAGATCAAGGTTATGGTCACGGTTGGTTGGTGATCCTCAGTGTTGCAGTAGAAGGTGAGTTTGAGATGAGAGGAATGAGTAGGAAAGAGTGATCCCCTGAACCACCTCCTCGCTTTCTCAGCTTTCACCCCACCTAGGTTTTGTGAGCCTGGAACTTGGGAGACTGTTCTGTAGCCCAGGTCTCCTAAGATTGGCTGCTGGACTTGCCTGAGTTGAGGGTGCGGTGGGTTGACCCTGGGCTGCCCAGCATTCATGTGGTAGTGAAGGAAGGAGGACTGGATCAATCCCATTTCAAAGCATGTCTCTCTGCACTCCACACTGTCCTCCAATGACACTGTAAGGAAACCGCTTTAAGACGTATCAACGGCTTTAAGTAAATGTATTTTCTGGCATCTGGGAGACCTGACATTCTGTGTCATAATGAAAATCTGTCATGTTTCTTTATTTTAAAAATGATAAAACTGCAGGTTCACAGAGTTACATGGCTTACTTGAGGTCACACGGGGATGAGTTTTCAGCACTGCCAATAAAAGCAATCACATGAATTATTCAGTAATTATTCATAGGATCCATATAATTCAGTAAATATTCACATAATTATTTACTAGTTGTTCATTGACCAATTCGTACAAGGCATTTTGCTCAAAACTGTGTTTATATTTGGACATTGTATCTTCATCATAATCCTGTGGTAATGCTGTTATCCGTAAGTAACAGGTAAGAAACCTGAAGAGGAGGGATAGCAAATCATGTATTTGGACATATTTCCTTTTTTTTTTTTTGGTTTTTGTGATGCTGGAAGAATGACCAGAATGAGTCATAGGAAGAGTATACATTCCTGTAGTATTTTCCAGGACAGAGGTGTGACCTCCTAGAGTACTGGGACCAAAATTCCCAAGTGTCTGCAACCTTGCTTTAACAGTATGGGAGATCACCTCTATCACCTGGAATTCCCCTGGAACTCTGGAATATACAAGAGAAGTATGAGACTTGGGTCTTCCCTTGGCTGTGTTTAATTCACTCTTCTATGGAATACCAATGATTCTCACTAAGACTGGCCTTTTCATAAGCACAATGTGCATTTTATGGAGAAGATTTTACACTTTGCTCTATTTAGAAAGAATAAATATGAGCAGTGGTTTAGGTTTTATGCCCTGGACTTAATATGTTTCTGATTCCTGTTTTGAGATTAAATTCTCATGTAAATAGAAAAATACTTATTATTTCTCATAAGGCCAAGTTTGTTATTAGTTTGAGTTTTTGAAGATGAAGCACAAACTTTTGATTTTATCTTTGTCTGTCTCTGTCAGCGCCACTCGTTGTCTCTCAGTATGACCTGGACTTGCCCCTGCACTTACCCTTGTCCTGCTGAACCATCTCCATGCACTGTCCAATTCCATCAGTGATTCGGGCTCCTTCCAAGGCTCCCTGAAAAGGGCACAGAGATCAGGACATTAGGCACATTCCGGACACAAAGGCAACCCATACTGTAGAGTGGGCAGCTGTGTTTCCACTTCCCTAATATTCCAGTGATGTCCTCAAACTGAAAGGAACACTTTCCCTTTTTAGGGGTCTGTTCTTCATGTCTCAGTGCCTCTGATCTAGTCAACACAACTGTCCTGAATGTGAAAGAACTTGCTAAATTTCTAGTTTCTTGTTAGGTGGCTAAAATAGATTTATAAGACTTCCTTACTTACCCATGACTGCTGAAGTTTGAATTCTTAGCAGTACGATTCGTTTTCTTGTAAGGTGAGCAGCTTAGGAAAGATTGGCCATCTTCCTGTGCAAAAAGAGGCAAACTTAATTTCTACTCAAAGCATGCTTGAATTTGGAATCAGGGCTTCCACTCTTCCGAAGTTGGAGTGTCACTGCGACAGGCATGTGTCCCGAAGGGCTCGTGTCTCTGCTATACTCAAAGTTTAAATGGAGCCCAGCAAGCCAGATGTCCTTTACTTCTAGGTTCCCTCAACAGTTTCTCCTCCGCTTTAGAGACCGCATTGAAAATATTCTTGTTCTGCTGTTGTGTTTTGGCTTTGGAATGATGTGATGCAGCTCAATGGGTCCCACCCCCAACTTGATCAAAGTAAGAAACAGCTGGGAAAGTCAGTGCAAATACAAGTTCATTGTCCTCCTTGCAGGGATTCTGATTCAGAGGGCTCAGGTGGGGCCTGGAATGTTTGTTAACATGACTCAGATGTGCAGTCAATTTGGGGACTCACTGACAGCATTGACCTTACAGTTTATGGGATGATTCTTTCTGTTTGGTGATGAAGAAACTGAGGCACACAGAGTCTGTAACTTGCCCAAGTTCCCCTTGTTGTAAGTCCTGGAGCCAGATCTCAGGTGGACCAGTGCTTCTCTCCCCTATACCTCATTTCTGAGAAAAGGAAATCTTCTGCAATTTGACTTCTTTCATCTAACACATTTCCTCACAACATGCAGCCAGCATCATATTTTGGCCACTTACTATTAAAGTGAGATGCTTTTTTTTTTTTTTTTTTGAGACAGGGTCTTATTCTGTCACCCAGGGTGGAGTGCACTGGTGATTATAGATCACGGCAATCTTGAACTTCTGGGCTCAAGCGATCCTCCTGCCTCAGCTTTCCAAGTAGTTGGAACTATAGGCACACATCACCATTTCTGGCTAATTTTATATTTTTCATAGAGACAAGGTCTTGCTATGTTGCTCAGGCTGGTTTTGAACTTCTGGCCTCAAGCGATCCTCCCACCTAGGCCTCCAAAAGTGCTGGGATTACAGAAGTTAGCCACTGAACCTGGCCCTGAAATGCTTTTATTTCTTTCTTTTTTTTAATGAAAATACTGGACATGGAGATGTGGAAAGACACCTTGCTTTATTACTTTTGTTGTTATTATTATTTCTACAGTAGAATTTATACATCACAAAATTCACCATTTTTAAGCATACATTTCAGTGTCTTTTACCATATTCCAAAACTTTCGCAACCATCGCCACTACCTAATTCCAGAATATTTTCATAATGCCAAAAAGCATGCCTGTACCTATGGGCAGACACTCTCCAATTCCCCCCTTCTTGCGCTCTCTGACAACCACTAATCTACCTTCTCTATATATTGATGTACTTGTTCTGGGCACTTCCTCTATATGGAATAACAAAGTGTGGTATTTTCTATCTGCTTCTTAGAATATTGTTCTCAAGTTTCATCCTTTCTAGCCTGCGTCAGTACTTCAACTTTTTATGGCCAGATAATATTCCACTATATGGTTATACCACATTTTGTTTATTCATCAACTCATGGTGGTTTAAGATGTTTCCACTTTTTAACTATTAGGAATAATGCTGCTGTGAACAGCTTTGTACAGGTTTTTGAGTGAACATCTGTTTTTCATTTTCTTGGTTATAAACCTAGGAGTGCAATTGCTGCATCATATGTCACTTTATGTTTCACTTTTTGAGGAACTCACACACTGTTTACTAACTTCAGTAGCTATATCATTTTAGATTCCCAATAGTAATATATGAGAATTCCATATTCTCCATCACTTTTGAAACATGTGTTGTCTTTATTTTTTTCTTAAGTCATACTGCTGGGTGTGAAGTGGTATCTCATTTTGGTTTAAATTTACATTTTCCTAATGACGAAAAACATTGAACATCTTTGCATGTGCTTCTTGGCCATTTGTGTGTTTCCTTTAGAGAAACCTCTACTCACAGCTTTTTTTCCCCATTGTTAAATGTGGTTGTCGTTTATTGCTCAGTTATATGAATTCCTTATACACTCTAGGTACTAGACCTGTGTCAAACATACAATTTGGAAATAGTTCTCCCATTATGTGGATTATCTTTTCACTTCCTTGACAGTGTCCTTTGAAGCATACAAGTTTTTTATTTTAATGAAGTCCATTTATCTATTTTTCGGTTGTTTGTGCCTACTTAAAAAATGTCTAATCCAAAATCACAAAGATTTGTACCTAGGTTTCCTTCAAGACATCGTCTTTTGAATGAGAACTTTCCTGGGTTTTAGAGGAGGGTGGACATTGTTTATTGATGCCTCCTGTCCATTACCGATGTTTCTCTTGATTGTTATTCATATGCTCACCACCCCTCCATGGAGCATCCATGGCCTGTGACAGAGCTCTGGGGACTGATATCCTTCCACTGACTTTGGCGCTGGTGAGAGCCCTGGTCATGTGATTCAGCTTGGCCTTAACCCGACCCAGTTGCACATATTCCTCAGGCCCTTTAGAGTTGAAGTCGAGACCTCTCTGAGAACGCTTGCCAGCCCATGCTCTTCTAAGGCTGGAGCAAACTTCCTCCATCTATTCCAGACAGAGGGGACTGCAGGGGTTGGACTCACTCAAGATATCTCTGGTGTTAGAAAGAAGACCTGTTTCAGGCTTTGGGGAAGATTGTTCAATATGAACTAGGTCCTCTCTAATTATTTTTACCGTATGTGTGACTTCTTTCTAGAAACAAGGGAAGAATATTTATGTTAGAACATTTTGTCTATTCTTTGTCAATTGTTGTTTATCTACAATTTTAACATGGATAAAGGAGAGTTCAGTGTCAATATATTCTTAACAACTAATTACGGCTCATGTCCACCGCCATGCGATCATATTTAAATCTGTCAACTATCCTGTTACTTAGGTATTATCCTGTTCCTGATGAGAAAACAAACTCAGAAAGATTGCAAAATTTCCCTAGGTCACAAAACTAGTGAGGAGAGGAGTAAGAATTAGATATCCGTTCCTTTTGGCCTTCAAAGCTAACCTTGTACCATTAGATCAAACTGATTTACATACTTTTGCTGGAATTAGTCTCAGACTTGTGGTTCTCACTTGATTTTCCCAAGGAAACAGTGTGCCACTTTAATATCATTTCAAACTTTGAAATTTAAAACTCTTTTTATTATACTTTTTTGTCTTTGTTCTATTCCGTTGCTTTTGGTTTCTTCTCAACGGATCCCTCTTATTTATATGCTAAATATTTGTTACCTATTTTCTGTCAATTTTCACCTTTTTGAGTGTTTGTTATCTGTCTGTTGTATGCTAACAGTTTTTCACTGAGGTAAAATTTGCGTAGAGTATACTGCAAAAAAACCTAAAGGCACAGCTTAATAAATTTTAATATAATTATAATTGTAAAGTAACACCCAGTTAAAGACAGAGAACATTTTCCCCCATGCCACAAAGTTCTGATGTGGTCCTTGCCAGTCAATACTCATCCCCCAAATGAAGAATATATTCTGAATGTTGTCACTGCCTTAGCCCCTTTGTGTTGCTGGAAAGGAATACCAGAGGCTGGGTAAGTTATCAAGACAAGAGGTGCCTTTTGCTCATAGTTCTGCAGGCTGTACAAGAAGCATGGCCCCCGCATCTGCTCCTAATGAGGGCCTGAGGCTGCTTCCACTTGCAGCAGAAGGTGAAAAGGAACCAGGGTGTGCAGAGATCATATGGCGAGAGAGGAAGCAAAAGAGAGCAAGGAAAGGTGAGAGGCACTTTTTAATAACCAGCTCCTACAGGAACTAAGAGAGTGAGAATTCACTCACTACCTTCTCCCAGGGTGGGGATTCATCTATTCATGAGGGATCCACTCCCATGACCCAAACACCTCCCATTTACCCCCACCTCCAACACTGGGGACCACATTTGAACATGTGATTTGGAGGGGACCAATATTTAAACTTAGCAGCCACCATAGATTCATTTTGCTTGATCATGTGCTTCATAAAAATGGAATCATTTTGGCTGGGCCTGGTGGCTCATGCCTGTAATCCCAAGACTTTGCAAGGCTGAGGCGGGCAGATCACCTGAGGTCAGGCGTTCAAGACCAGCCTGGCCAACATGGTAAAACCCTGCCTCTACTGAAAATACAAAAAATTAGCCAGGCATGGTGGCCGGTGCCTGTAATCCCAGGCACCAGATATGTACTGGTATCTCATATGTACAGGACATGTACTGGTATCTCATTGTTGTATTGATTGATGTTCCTGATGGCTAAACTGTAGAGCATCTTTTCCTATGCTAATTGACCATTCATGTATCTTCTTTTCTTAAGTACCTATTCAAGTCTTTTGAGAAATTGTTTCATTGTGCTGTTTATCTTATTAAACTTATATATATATACATACATATATATACAAATACACTCTAAAAAACCCCTTTGTTGGAAATAAATATATCTCCTATATTGTGGTTTCTTTTAATGTTCTCTTAATGTTCCCTGTTTGGAGATAACGATAGATAATCTTCAAAAAGGTGAATATACACACCCACACCCACCCACACACATACACACACACACACACACACACACACACACACACGTGAGCCACCGGATCCAGCCTGTTGAATTTATTTCTAAGCACAACATGTATTTAGATGTTACTTGAAATGAAATTGTATTTTTATTTCATTTTCCAAATGCTCATTGCTAATACACAGAAATACAAAAGACTACTTCTATTGAGCTTATATTCTGCAACATTACCAAACTCACTAATTACTTTTGGCAGATTTTTATAGATTTCTAGGATTATTAACATACACAGTCATTATCTGTGAATAAAGACAGCTTCAATTCTTTCTTTTCAATCTTTTCAATACTTTTATTTTTCTTACTTTATTGCATTGATTTAGATCTCTAGTATAATGCTGAATTGAAAGAATAACAACAGATATTCTACTTTTTTCTCTGATTTAATAGAAAAGCATTCAATCCTATGCCATTTAATATAATGTTACCTCTGAGTTTTTTTCAAATCTACCCTTAATAGGGTTGAAAGTGTTGCCTTCTCTTCTTATCATGCTGAGAGTTTTCTGGGGTTTGTTTTTATAAATCATGAAAAAAGTTTTCAATTGTGCCAAATGCTTTTACTGTGTATGACAAGGTAATCATATGGTTTTTCTCTTTTGCCCTGATAATACATAACATTACATTTTCTTAAATATAAAAAAGATTTCTTGAATCAAGCTAGGACAGTTTTTTTAATTATAAACTTTTAACAAATATATTGAAATATAACTTACATGCAATTGAGATGCATGAAAGTGTATAATCATTAAAGTGTATAATTTTAAGAGTTTGAGCACACTATACACGAGTCAAAGAGAAAGGACAGAAAATACTAACGATGGCTCAGCACATGTGGTCTATCTTGCTGAATGCTCTATGTGAGTTTGAGAAGAGTTATTTGTTAGCTGTTCTTAGATGTATTTTGCTTAAATATCGACCTGGCTAACATGTGTCATTGATTGTGTGAATTAATTTTGTTCTAGTGGGCAGTAAAATTACTGTCTGATCACTTTGGACTTATGTGGACTGGTTCATGTTTTATTACAACGGATTCATGGAAAGCCCACAGCATTTCCCAAGACCCTCTAATTTGGCAGGACTCAATCACCAATCCACCCCTTTGTGAATTTGTCAGGGTTTGCTTTTAGGCTTTAGCAGGTTGGTCTACAATAGGCCTTATTGAAAAGTGTGACACTTATTCCTAAAGCACATCCATTCTAGTGTCTCAGTTGGATACCTGGGTGCTAATGAGGTGTGCATGAGTTCTTCCCACCATGGATGGCAGAAACTCCATCATACATTCCCCAACCCTCCTCCACCTCAAGTACCTCTGGTCCAAACTCAATTTCATAGCAGCCACCCCTCTGTTAAATCTGTTAGTCTTTTCCTTGTGCAGGTAGAGTCCACTCCTTGATAAGTATGCACATGGAACCCCACATAGACTTTGAGAGCTGCACCTTTGATCAGCTGTCTCCTCACTGGTGCCCTGCCCTGCAGATTGCAGTTGCTTCAGCCGTCTTGAACTCTGATCTCTGCCTTCTCAGCTCAGTGAGCTGCCCTGCCCTGAGTGGACTCTAGCTCACTATGCAGCTGCTGAGAAATTCTCCCCAAACAACTAGGAAATCATGGGGCTTCCCCCTTAAGTTTTCTCTTGGACTGCCTGTTGTACACTGCTGAAAACAATTTTACGTTTGTTTATGGAGGCAGGGTTAGTCTGATATGATTTATTCTAACAGACAGAAGCAGAAATCTGTTATACTCTTTTAATTACTGTGTCTTTATAATATTATGGTAGACAGAATCCTAAGATGACCCCCAGTGATCTTTGCTCTTATATAATCACTTCCTCCTGAGTGTAGACAAAGCTACTGAGGAGATGTCACTCCTGTGATTGTGTTACAATTTATGGCAAAAACAAGTTAACAGATGTAATCGAGATCCCAAATCGGTCCAATTTAAGATAGACAGATTATCTGATGAGCTTGACCTAGTGAACGTGAGTTCCTTGGAGGGACTGAGGACTTCCTGGAGAGATGTGAAGTGCAGGAGGGTTTCCATGCAGGGCGATCCTCCTCTGCTGGCTGGAGGAAGCATGCAGTGGGAACATGGGAGGCCTCTAGGAGCAGCGAGAGGCCCCTGGCTGACAGCCAGCAAGAAAACAGAGATCTCAGTCCTACAGTCACAAGGAACTGAACTCAGCTGACAACCTGAGGAAACTTGAGAGGAAGTTCTTCCCCAGAACCTCCAGAAAGAAACCCAGCCTAATTTCAGCCTGTGAGGCCCTGAGAAGAAGACCCAGAGAATCCAGGCCTGAACTTCTGATCTGTGGACACTGCAAGAAAATAAATCATTCTTATTTTACGCCGCTAATGCTTGCAGTAATTTAGTATGCAGCAATAGAAAATTAATACAAATAAAATGGAGAAGGCTTTGGAGTGGGGACAAGAAGGAAACGGTGGGAGAGGGATGCCTGTATGCTGATATGGTTGATGCCTGTATGGTTGAATTGGGTCTACCGTTCCTCATCTAATTAGCTATGGTCTATTAAGGTGCATAGCTACACACAAATATTGGTACTACGTTCAATTCAGAGGAATAAGATATTGCATTCTTGACAGTAGACAAGAACACCCTGAATTTGGGGTCACTGTATCATAAGTCATGTTATCAGGTCCCTCTAGGAAGGCTTAGAGGAAGATTTCCAGGATACACTTGTGACAACATTGAAGGCTTCTTTTTTCCCCAAAGGGACCCGATCTCCCCTCAGTCGAGAAGCTCCAAGTCTCTGAACTGGATGCCAGGTTATAAATTCCCCCTATACTGACTCCATCAGGCTTCTGTCCTCAGAACTAGAGTTTATCAGTAAAAGATAGACTCATGGGAGTCTAGGCATTTATTCTCTTATTTTATATAAATCAGTTAATGTGCAGGAACAAAACAGACTTTGAAGAAAGACACTCACAGTTGCCACAGGAAAACACCTTCAACATCCTCATGAGTCATCATGGGTGTTCTGTTGGGAGGACTTGATAGGAGGCTTTCCTCCTCACGGGCTAGTGCAGATCCAGGGGAAATGTCATCAAGTCCTCCATTCGGAGGGTAGCAGCTGAGGCTGCTGATTCGTTAGGCCTCCTGCAGCTGGAGATGCAAGTAGTGCATTTTCATGGCCACCGCAGGGCCCTCAGTTTAGCATTCTTCAGAGCCAGCATCCAACAAGCCACAGAAGCTCTGAGTATTTCCCTTTCTTCAGTCACCCACATAAATGGCTTCAGGGCCTTCTGGGGAAGGCCTGAAGGAAGATTTACAGCATACACTTGTGGCAGCATTGAAGGCTTCACTCTTCCTCAAGGGATCCAATCTCCCCTCAGTCAAGAAGCTCCAGGTATCTGAACTGGATGCCAGGTCATAAATTCCCACTATGGTGACTCCATCAGGTCTCTGTCCTCAGAACTAGAGCTTTTCTAAGTGTAACGTAAGTTGATTTCTTAGTAGATGTCCCATCCATTACATTCCCAGACACCTCACAATGATTCGAATGATTAGTAACCACCACATATCCCTGCCTCTCAGGGAAATCCCTCCCGCCTTGTCTCTAGATGGCCAAGTCCCACGGCCTGTCCTCTACTCTTCCAGAACCCTGTTGTTCTCACTGACAGCAGGGAGGGCAAATCCATGCAGCAGCTCCCGCCATGACCTCCAGCCTGCAGAGGATGGGCGCCACAGGACTTTTAAACGCATGCCGCTGTTCCCCTCACCTGTGCATTTCTTAACGCCTTGGTGAGGAGAATGTCTCTGGATCTTCCTTGATGGGAGCTAAAGGAACAAAGGTAAATAATGCTATGGGACCCACTGAGAACTGGGGCTGTGGAAGAGTGGCCACTGAAGTAATAGACAGATGCAGCTATTGCCAGATACTCAGTGCCAGAGCAGGGAGGGACAGGGAAGAAATACGGACCTCACCTTCCTCTCACTTCCAGGATCCATCGGGGGCCCTCCATTGCTAAACCTAACTAGAAGTGTGCACGCACGGGAGCCAGGGATGCATTCTAGGAGGGACGAGCCCCGAGTGGCATGAGACAGGATGGAAATGAGTGGACAGTGGATCTGTGGGAAGAAGGAGGGGATGTTATGGGAAAACAAAAGGAGAATACTAGCTAAGAACGCTAGGTGACATTAATATTCCGAAGTCTGTGCTCATATTCAGCAAAGAAAGTTCAGCATAAAGCACTAAATAAGGAGTCAAGATATTGTACTTCCAACTGTTGTTCCAACAGCTGTATTATGAAGGGCCACTTTATTTCATGCCTTTCTAATTTGACCTAAAGTGCCAGGTGGCACTGGGGCTGGCACAGCCTTGCTCAATTATGTGTTGCAGAGTACACAGAGACTGCCAGGCTGAGGGAAGATGCAAGAGAATAGAAGAGATGCTCTCAGGGAACAAGAGACCACATGGCCCCAGAGTCAGGGGCAGCATCAGCCACTGTCAGCTGCTCATTTTCCCAGACAGAGCCCACAAGCCTCAGCCATGCTTTGCTTCTGCAAGACGCTTCTTCACCTTTTCAATAAACCTGCCTGAATTTAAGCTGACAGGGTTTATTTCTCCTTCATCATAAATGAAATTCTTCACCACAACAATCTCCAATGAATTTTGGGCACAGCAGGCAGGCCCATTTCTGCTTCTGTTCCACTATCTCTCCTGTAGGTTGAAAAGGAGGAGGTACTGAATTACCTCCAAATGTTCCTCTGGCTCTGATATTCTGTTATTCTGGTTCCTTTTTGGCTACTTTGTTTTTGGTAGCGTGTATCCTAAGGCGTCCAGTTGAACAACTTTTGTCTACTGTGTCCAGGCATTCCTGGTGGTATTTCAGATAAGACTCTCTTGGGTTGCTGAACTCACAACCACTGAACCAATTCTATGACCATCTGTTTCATGGCCACATGTTTGCTCATTTTATATGTACATAAAGGGAGGGGACAGACAGCAAACTTGCGTGTTACAAATTGTATCATCTTAAAAAGGAAACAAGGCAACACTTTGCAATAAAACCTTAAGATGCATGAAATTTGAGCCTAATGCAATAAAGGATGCCCATAAAATTCTTATCTAAAGAATGTTTCGAAAATTGTTGTACAAGGACATCATCATTTAAAGTGATATGAAGAAACCTTCTCAGCTAAGCATATGGGCTAGATTAGAGAGAAAAATAAAGGACCCATCTCTGCCCTGGAAAAACTGCTGGTAGCATCTTTCAAAAAGCTCTCTGTGTTTGAGTACGCACCTTGATCCATAGGCTCACATTTGATCCCAACTGGCAGCTGCTTCTTGGCATTAACATTGGATTCCCAACTAGTAAATCTTACCAAGATCTGACTTTCTGCAGATATAATATTATTTTGTTTGACCATCCTTATCTTCAAGGGCTACCAAGAAGGAACCAAGAATTTATTTACCTCCCCAAGGGAAAAGGTTTTACCAATGAGACCCTTTCTCACCATGACCCCAGGACCCCATATGCCCTGTTCACTTGAGTGCCCTGTGTGGCCTGATAGAAGCTCATGCTGGTCACAGGATTCCTTATATGACTAGCCTCCTTCCTGAATCCCAATTTCATGGTGGTGGTCATGACAGGTGTCCTGTATCCCATGCTCATGTCCCTGAAGTCACCAGCCTATCTCCAGTTAGAAAAAATTACATGTATATAGAGAGGCCTCTTTGGAAGGAGCAAAAGCTTTCTCACCTTCGTACACTAATGGTTGGAAGGTACAACAGCATATGCACTTTGGGAAAAAATATCTGGCATATTCTTACAGAAACAAACAACTACCTATTCTATGACTCAGTAATTCCTAAGCATTTATCCAAGAGAAACTAAAACCTATGTCCAGAAAATGACTTATACAAGAATGTTCATAGCAGTTTTATTCATAATACAAAAAACTGGAAACATTCAAGTATCTGTCAATACAAGAATGGATCAATAAACTGTGATACACTCATTCCATGGAATGGCTAAAGGAACAAACTGGTGACACACAGAACAACATGGATGAATCTCAAAAACATTTGGAGTGCGATAGAAGCCATACCCAAAAAAGTGTGAGAAAAAAAGATAAATAATAATGGTTCCAAGAAATGCACAGCAGACAGCCCAGAGGCAAAGACCCACAGGACGGCGGGCCGGTCCCAGGCTGTCGATCCTAATTAAGAAACTTCTGCTGGATTTTGCCCAGCTCCATTTCCAAACTATTTTGGGTCAGTGACTTCTTTATCCCTTCCATGTTGCCTCATTTTGAACTAGAATCACTGTAAGTGTTATTCTATGTCTGTCACATCATTCCACAGTAGGGGCAGATAAGCTGTTTAGAATGGCTAAAATTCAAAAAGGTGAACACACCAAATGCTGTCAAAGATGAGGAGCAACCAGAACTTTCCATCGCTAGTGGAAATCAAAAGGGTACAGTCACTTTGGAAAACTTAAGTTCACTCAAAATCCTGCACAGAAGTACTTACAGCAATTTTATTCATCATCGCCAAAACTTGGAAGTGCCCAAGATGTCTTTCACCAAGCGAAAGAATAAACAAACTGTTGTAGCCATACAAGGAAATCTGATTCACTGATTTTAAAAAACAAGTTATCAAGCCATGAAAAGACATGAAGGAACTTAAAGTACATAATGCTAGAAAGAAGCCAGTCTGGAAACCCACATACTGTACCACTCCAACTCTAGGACATTCTTGGAAAGTCAAAAAGATAGAAGTAGTAAAATGGTGAGTGGTTGTCAGGGGTGGAGGAGAGGAGGACGCGTGAAATGGTGAAGCACAGGGAATTTTCAGCAGTGAAACTCTTTCGCATGATGCTGTATTGGGGATTTAGGACATTATGTAATTGCCAAAACCCATAATCTGTGAAACTCAAAGAATGACCTCTAATGTAAACTATGGACTTTAGTTGATAATGACGTATCAACAGTGGTTCATCAATTGTAATGAATGGACCACACTAATACAACATACTAGTAGGGAAAATTGTGTGCTGGAGGACAGGGGAGCCTAGGAGAACTCTCTGTATTATCCACTCAAGTTTTCTGTAAACCTAGAACTGTTCTAAAAAATAATGTCTATTAACTGTTTTTTTAATTAGGATGCAGCAGCCCCATATCAAGGTTTTGGTGGCATCCTGTAATTGTGTGGTTAGTACTTGGCATTGAAGTGCACCAACCTGGAGTCAGAGCAGTTGGAGATTTCAAGGCCTGTGCCATTTACCTCTAACCCTGGGGTGCCCCTGGAATACAGATAGCAGATCGGTTAAGGAGAAGCAGCCTCAGCAATCTAGACAGTGCAGGTTTCTGGTGAGGACAGGTAAAAACCATCTGGGTGGGCAGAACTTGGTGAAGACCAGAAACCACTGAGACTCAGCAGCTGCCGCAGTGGCACCCACAAATCAAAGGAGGGGGCTGGGAAGAGCTAAGGGCTACTGGATGAGCTCTCTGCCTGCAAGACAGAAGCAGATCCAGAGATTTTGGAAAATAATGTAGGTTTCAGTACAGTGTGATCTCTTCAAAAAAGTAGAGAGAATGAAAAGGAAAGAAAAAGAGAGAGCATGAGAGAGAAAGAAGAAGAAAAGAAGAAAGGAAGAAAGGAAAGAAGGGAGGGAAGGAGGGAAGGAGGAAGGAAGGGAGGGATGGAGGGCGGGTGGGAAGGAGGGAAAGAATAAAAAGAGAGAGAAAGAGAGTTGGAGGGAAGTAGGGAAGGAAGGAAGGAAGGAAGGAAATGAACAAATTTACATGAAGATGAGAACAGTGGGGAAACTTACACCACCAATATTTTCCATTAACAGGAACACGCTAAGTAGTTATTAGAGAAAGACACGCTACTGTAAAACAATATACTGTTTCCATGGGGTACAACAACCCCTTCCTCCTCCTCTGAAACACATTCTATCTCTGGCTCACTGTTGCCAGAGACACTGAGTCTTGTCTTTGGATACGTTCTGGTGCCCACAAGAATGAGATGAGACAGTGGATCCCAGAACACCAGGCCACGAACTTCCCTGTTGCTCCTTGTCCACTCCAGAAGCTACCCAGCTGCAGTTGGGGACCTCAGCCCCTGGGTCTGATGTCATCCATTTGCCTTTCTCAATGGACTTCTCTCCTTGCACTGGCTCCTACTCCCCCAGGACCTGTGGGTGACCACATGAGAAGAACACAAACAGGCCATGCCCCTTTCTTTCTCCCCCTCTCAATGCCTGCAGTAGTGGGTTCCATGGGGTAGTGACCTGAGATTTACTCATTGTGGGGCCTCTAGCCCAGAGCAGGGCCTACTACCTCACAGTCACCCCATGAATGCTCAGTGAAAGAAGACGTCCACCACAAGGTCCTGGGGAACCAAGAATTCCACTGTGGCCCATAAATTCTAAGTCTACAGGATTCTGGAATGGGAGATGGGAAAGGCCTTCAAAAGTGGCCACTTTTAACCCATTATACTGGCAACTGAGCCATGTTTCCCCATCCTGGACACATCCAGAGGGCACTGCCTAAAACCAGACACATCTCCCCACCCAGGACAGTGTAGGAGCCTTAGCCTGGGGGATGCAGGTGGACAGGGAGGGGGTGAGCCACCAAAGCTGAAGAGCAGAAAGCAGGTGAAAGGGGACAGCAGGGTGGAAACAGAGAGAAATGGGGGCAGAGAATGGGGGGTGAGAGGGGAAGAGTGAGGAGAGGGATGCAGATCTAGCTAGTAAGGAAAAGTCCTGGAGAGAACACTGTCCTCTCCTGAAGTAAAATCACTTCTACCTGACCACGGCACTGCAGCTCATGGGCAGCACATGCTGTGGATATTTGTTCATTCATTTAACAAATATTTATTTAATATCTGTTGCATGCCAAGCAAGGCCCTGCAATGTTTAGGGACCTTGACATCTTCCCTTCACATCTGAGTCATAATACAAAGAGGACTCTCTGACCCCACTGAGCTGGCAATGCCTCGGGATTTTTACCTGTTGGATCTGGCAGCTCTTGATGTCAGCCCACACCATGTGAGGCTGCTCTTGGTGCACCCAATGGGGAAGTTTCTACATCAGGGCCTCGGAGAATCCACTGGAAGCCCTGGACAGTGGGAGTCAGCGGCATCCCCAGTGTGGAGGCCAAGAGCACACAGTGCTTAAGCTCCAGGCACCCTCAGGAGGACGGCAAGGGACAATTGGCTGGTGAGAGCCCGGGTCACCGGGAACCTTCGCCTGGGTCTAAACAGGATTTGCCTTCAGATTGCCTGTGAGATAAAAGAGAGAAATCAAGGTTAACGTTGAGATTTAGGGCTTCGGTAACTTGAAGGATGGAGCTGCCATTTACGGAGACTGGGAAGACCCAGGGAAGAGCAGATTGAAAGGTGGTGGGAACTAGAGGTGGTTGGGTTTCTGTCATATGTAATCAACAGTCCTGACCAGCCTGGGCAACATAGTAAGACCCCGTCTGGGAAAAGAAAAAAGGAAAAATAAGCTGAGCATGGTGGTGCACACTTGTAGTCTCAGCTACTTGGGAGGCTGAGGCAGGAGGATTCCTTGAGCCTTCAGTTAGCGGTTAGTGAGCTATGATGGCACCACTGTACTCCAGCCTGGGGGGAAAAAAATAAAGAGTCCTGACTAAATACTAGAGTAGCCAGGGAAGTTTTCACAAAGTAAGTAATATTTGAGGCAGATCTTAGTGAACAAGAATTCCATTATTTCTGTTAGGGAATTAAGAGAGTGTGGGTGTCGTTAGTTAATGCTTATTAAAGTAGCTTTGGAATCTCATCTACTGGTCTAGCTGGTCTATCTGTACACGTATATTGTATATGCTGTCTCTCTGAGCTTTCGCTAGGTTATGCTACGGTAACAAAAGCCCCAAAATCTTAGCAGCTACACATACGAAGGTTTATTTTTCATTGACATGTCCTTTTATGGCAGGTTGACTGTGACTCTACTCTATACAAGCTACTTTATTTGTTAGATGGTGAAAACTGTGATACTCGGAGGTTGTTGAATATGGTATTAGTATGTTCATTCATTCATTCATTTAAGAAATATTTATTCAATATCTGTTTCATGCCAGGCAAGGTCAAGTACTGAGAATACACTGGTGAATCAAAGAGACAAAATCTCTAATTGCCAGGAGCTTATATTGAAAATCAGATTAAACACATACAAAATCATCATAATAACAACAATGAATACTATATTCATAAATAATAGCTGTAAGAGATTTTAGTACATCTTTTAAATTAGAAAAATATAAAAATTATTAAAACTAAAATGGCCAGGTGTGATGGCTCATGCCTGTGATCCCAACACTTTGGGATGCCAAGGTGGGAGGATCATTTCAGCCCAGGAGTTTGAAACCAGTCTGGGCACTACAGGAAAACCCTGTCTACAAAAAGGAGAAAATTAGCCGGGCACAGTGGTGCATGCCTGTAGACCCAGCTACTAAGGAGGCTGAGGTGGGAGGAGTGCTTGAGCCTGAGAGATCAAGGCTGCAGAGAGCCATGATCATACCACTGCACTCCAGCCTGGGCGACAGAGCGAGACACTGTCTCAAGAAAAAAAAAAAAATTATTTGATGTAGTCCTAAAACTATTATGTAGAATACTATTGTTTATATCACAGCACGTGAGCCCCTTAAATGGCTTAACACTTATTTAGGTATGATCCATAAAGCTTTTCTGGTAATTAAGTATACTTAAGAACAATTAAGTATAAAAGAGTTACTGCCTTGACAGGAAGATTGTAAAAATTTTAAAAAGACAAATAAATAAAAGAGTAAAAACTGTAGCTCTGTGAGGCTCAAATAACATCTAATTCAAGTCACAATGAACATCTAGCAATCATTCTGAACACCATATAATTCACTTAATACGTTTTGCCTGAACACCCAACACATCTGAATTACCAACACCCATATGTAGCCAAGAAACTGGCAATCATTTATAAATTATCACCTATGACTCCATCTGCTCTACGCACTTATTTTTTAAATTTTATTCATTTATTTATTATTTTTATTTGTTGTAGAGATGGGATCTCACTATGTTACCCAAGTTGGTCCAGAAACAGAAACAGACCCACACTAATTTCATAAATCAGATGACCATACAGTCATTCGATTTATGAAAAAAAGTGCCACATGGTGCGGAAGGAAAAGGATGGTCTTTTCAATAAATGGTGCTGGATCAAGCAGACACATCCATGTAGTAAAAAGTGAATCATAGCCAGGTGGGGTGGCTCACACCTGTAATTCCAGCACTCTGGGAGGCTGAAGCGGGCAGATTACTTGAGCCCAGGAGTTCGAGACCAACCTGGGAAACATGTTGAATCCCCATCTCTACAAAAAATATGAAAATTAGCCAGGCATGGTGGCACATGCCTATAGTCGCAGCTACTCAGGAGGCTGAGGTGGGAGGATCACTTGAGCCAGGAGATGGAGGTTGAGTGAGCTGAGATCCTGCCACCACACTCTAGCCTGGGCAATAATAGACTGAGGCCCTGTCTGAAAAAAAAAAAAAGCAAAAACTAAAATAAAATCGTTATAAGGTTAACACAGAAAAATGTGTTCATACTCTTAGGTTAGGCATTGATTTCTTAAACAGGACACAAAAAACAGTAACCATAAAGGAAAAGATTAATAAAGTATAATTTCATTAAAATGAAGAATCTCAGGCTGGGTGCAGTGGCTCATGCCTGTAATCCCAACCCTTTGGGAGGCCGAGGCAGGTGTATCACTTGAGCCTAGGAATTCCAGACCAGCCTATGCAACGTGGCAAAACCCATCTCTACTAAAAATACAGAAAACAGCTGAGTGTGGTGGTACTCCCCTGTAGGTCCCAGCTACTTGGGGGCTGAGGCAGGGGGATCACCTGAGCCTTGTGAGGTCAAGGTTGCAGTGAGCTGTGATTGTGCCACTGCACTCCAGCCTGGGCGATGGAGTGAGATCCTGTCTCAAAAAGAAAAAAAAAAAAAGAGAATCTCCCTTCATGAAAAAACACCATAAAAGAGTGAAAACGCAAGCTACAGATTGAAAAAAGGGAAATGCAATACATATAAATCCTAGAAAGGAGGCATATCCAGAATAAAGTATTACAAATCAACAGGAAAACAAGCATATCAATGAAAACTGGATAAAAAGATTTAACAGGCACGTCACAAAAGAGGACATATAAATGGCAATAAAAGATACTCAATCTCAATGAAACCACACTGATATATTACTGCACCCCTACTAGAATGGCAAAATAATTTTTAACTGACAGGTATCAGCGAAGATGTGGGGTAACCAGCATATCCCTGCTAAATGGTACAACTACTTTGGGAAAATGTTCAACAATATGTAATACTAAAGTTTTATCATTCATATACCTCTAAAACCAACAATGCCACCCCTACAAATATACCCCAGACTAGTAATGTTCAATTTCTTGATCTGTGGTGGTTCACTTGGTAAAAATTCATTACTTTTTTTTTTTTTTTTTTGAGACAGGGTCTCACTCTGCCATCCAGGTCGGAGTGCACTGCCATGATCACGGCTCACTGCAATCTCAACCTCCCGGGCTCTGGTGATCCTCCCAACTCAGCCTACCGGGTAGCTGGGACTACAGGCACACGCCACCACACACAGCTAACTTCTGTATTTTTAGTAGAGAAAGGGTTTTGCCACATTGCCCAGGCTGGTCTGGAAATCCTGGGCTCAAGTGATCTACCCACCTTGGCGTCCCAAAGTGCTGGGATTACAGGTGTGATCACTGCGCCCGGGCCACCTGCACATGTAAAATTGTGAACTTCTGTATACTTCAGTAACTTTTCCAAGATTTCTTTGACGCAAAGTTCTCAGAAATCTTAAAGCTAGCATTTCAGAATAGAAAAAGTAGCTTCTGGTTCACTAGTGAAATTTTACCAATAGAATTTAAAAACAAAAAGCTACTAACGCATATCAGCTCAGAACACTACCAGCAGATCTTTTCTTTAACTTCCTGAAGCACTGGGATTCATTCTTTTGGCAAAGAAAGGATGAACAACACTGTAACCCAAAGAAAAGATACCACTGCCAGAAAAGACTTCTTTTCGAAAGCAGCTCTAAGCAAAAGATAGGAGGAAAACAAGGAAGCCAGGCCAAACGTCTTGGTTAACTCTCCGCTGAAAGGACGCCACATGAGATGATCTAAGAAGCCAGCCAGCCAGCCAGACGCAGGGAAATCACAGCAACTCTTTGGAGTGCAAACAGCAACCCCACAATCCAATCTACCCGAAATCCTGCGGTTCATTTGAGGCTTGCCCCGCTAGTCAGGAGGTGATTCAGTGATGGCTACAAATGCTGCTCATGTGCATCCTGGAGCTGGCACACCTGGCTTGCCCATCACCAGCCTGGAGACACCGCCAGGAGCAGAAGCCCGGAGGCCAGTAAAGACCCCAACTTTGCAAGTCAGGGGCGCGAGCGCGCTCGCCTCTCAGGTCCGCAGAGGGAACGGATTTCTGGCCTGGAGGGTGGGGTGCGGGGTCAGTGTCCTCTACAGGATATAGGAGGACGTGCCCCCGAAGCTGCTCCGTCCCTCCACCCCCTGGGATGCCACAGAACACCCGCCAGCGAGTTTCTTCCCCAGCGCCCACGAGAGTTGGGCTGCGGGCGGCAGCGGCAGGCGAAGAATCCAGCGCGGGGAACTCAGGCCCCGGCGGTGCACGACCCCCCACAGCCCCCACCCGCCCCCGCGCTCGCGCAACAAAACTTGCCACGGCCGCGCCTCGACCCAGCTGTGCGCCCGCGGGTCCCGGATTCACCGCCCGCCCAGCCTGGCGCGGCGCCCTCACCTCAGAAACGCTGGGTGGACTTCGCGTAACTTCCCATTCACAGGGCAGCCGGCAGCCGCGCCGCCGCGCCTCGGCCCAGCTCCTGGCGCCGCAGATCGCCCGTCCCGCGTTCCCAAAAGCACCGCGCTCGCTCAGAAGCTCGGGCAGCCTCGCGACCCTCACCTACGCCTCCCAGTACCGCCGCTGTCTCAACCGCCACCCAGCCCCTCGCCTGCGCCTGCGCCTGCAGCCCACTGGCTCCTCAGGATCCCGATGGGCGTGTCAGGATAACCCAAGGCGCAGGCGCGGCGGGGCCTTAAAGGGACCCGGCGGCCTCTTCTGCACAACGGGTTCGAGCAGGTTAGGGGCCGCGCAGGCGGAGGAAAGGAGTAACCCAGGGGAAGGACCGAGTGCAGCGGGGACGGGGAAATCCCTCTCTCCCCTCCGCCTGTCTTTCAAAGCACCAGCCCTCGACCCTCCAAATCGCTGGTTTCCCCGGCCACTTGAACAGCCCCTGCCAGGTTGAAGAGGCAGGAGACACACCCCCTCTGGGGCTGGAGCGACCCCGCGCTTAGGACTGCAGGCCTCGCGCTGCCGCACCGCCCCGAATCTGACTTCCAGGCACGGGCACGCGGTGCAGTCGGGCAGGCTTCAGAAGAGCCCCCAGCTCTCCCAGAGGTGGCCTTAGGTCACTCTCAAAAAGAATAACCAATGTGTCAATGGCACTTGTAGTTATTTTCTAATTTAAATTTATTAACAGATTTTGCAGATGGGCTTCCACTGAAATAAGCCTTTGAGAAAAAGAAAAACTTTTTTTTTCAACAGGATTAGAATACCAAGAAATAGGAAGTAAAGCCATGCCGTCCACCCAGCTAAAAACTTTGAAAACTTGATATTTTATCTAAGGCAAATGTTTGCATAACTTTAGGTCATGCCATTATTTAAAGTCAATTTCAGTTAACAATTTCATTGCAACTGAATCTATCTTGTATAAGAAAACTAAGATACATCCCTGATAATCTACCTCTCCCCTCCTATACTCCATCCGTCAGCAAATCCTACTGGTTTTTACCTTCCAAATTTTCCTTGAATCTGTCCTCTTCTATCTCCTCCGTCACCACCCTAGTCTAGGCTGCCTTCACCTGGGGAGTGAGGGTCGAGGGACTACTGACCTAGTCTTCTTGTGGTTTACCCATATCCCCTTTATCGCCTCTCTAATCTCAACACAACAGGCAGAGTGGCTTTTCCAAAATATAATGTGACCGTGTCACTTCCCAGCCTAAAGCACTTAAACACCTTCCCATTCTCTTAGACAAAACCTCCTAACTAACCAAGCCCCGAATGGCCAGGCGCCTTGCCCACTTCTTCATCTCTTCTCACTACTCAGACCAATTCTGTTCTGCTCTCTCTGCTCCAGCCAAACTGGCCTCTTTTATTCCCTATTTACCAGCTTCCTGGCCTCCACAGAGCTTTTGCTCATGCTTTGCTCTGTGCCTGGAAAGTTCTTCTAACCCCTATTCTTCTGAGAACAGCTGTAGTCTCCACCTCTGAAAAGCACCTTCTGACCTCCCTATGGTGGTCCCTTACTCCTATCACATTGCATGAAACTGTAATCGGGTGGTTATTTTGGTGAATTTTTTACTATCGGCTACGTAAGCCCAGGGTTTGGTTTTGTTTGCTTCATGATTTGTATTTCCACATTTGTTAAATACATATTTGTTCATAAATGAGAATGATGGATGCTAGAAGTTGAAGTAAATTTGGCATAAAGTCAGAGAAAGAGAAAATGTCACAATCTGACAGTTGGAGTCAGAATGTAGAAACTTCAGTTATATTAAAACTGATTTTATATCGTTTTAGGCTGAGTTGTCTTAGGATGCTTTGGGTAACCTTTAAAACTGAGTTCTCAAAGAGCCTTGTATAAACACCTGAATTAATAATGATAAGCCATGGGGTGGCCCACATAAAACTAATAACATTGGTTGCTTTAAGAGAGGAAGACTGAGCCAGGCACAGTGGCTCATACCTGTAATCCAAGCACTTTGGGAGGCCAAGGCCCGCAGATCATTTGAGCTCAGGAGTTTGAGACTAACCTGGGCAACTTGGTGAGACCCTGTCTCTACATAAAATACAAGCAAAATTAGCCAGGCGTGGTGGCGGGCACCTGTACTCCCAGCTATTTGGGAGGCTGAGGTGGGAGGATTGCTTGAGCTCAGGAGGTTGAGGCTGCAGTGAGCCATGATCATGCCACTGCATTCCAGCCTGGATGACAGAGCAAGATCTTGTCTCAAAGAGAGAGAGAGAGAGAGAGAGAAATGAAGACTGGTGACTGGTGGCTACTGGTGGGAAGGAGATTTTTACTAAATGCCCAAAAGGTTTAAAATTGTAACTTTTTTATTTCAAAGTCTGTGAAGATAAATGACACAAAAGAGCACATACCTTCCCATTTATTTGAAATTCTAGAAAGGGGAAAATTAATCTGTGGTGAAAAAATCATAGCAGTGGTTCCCTCTGGCAGGGGATTGACTGGGAAGTTACATGAGAGAAATTTCTGGGTGGTAAAAATGGTCTCTGTCTTGATAGGGATATGAGTTATATAAGTGTATTCATTTGTCAAAAAACATACAGTTAACATTTCAATGAATGTAAATTTTACCTTAAAAACTATACGAATAAATGCAAATTTAAAATCTGCTAGCTAACACCTAGTTGAGTACTCAGTGTCTATGGGCATTGGCCGAGGCTATACATACACGATTTTCTTTAGTCCTCATACCGTCCTCATGGGGTAGGTATTATTATCATAACCCCCTTGCATATGAAGAAGCCAAAATGCAGTAAATACCAAATAACTTGCCTCGATTTATACCCCTGGAAAATGCGGGAAGAGCTTTAAACACCATCAGTCAAATGCCAGAAGTTGTTAAACATTAGACTCTATAGCACTTCTCTGAAATTATAGTATTTTTGGTATATGTATATATATATATATATATATCATCTACTAGATCAAGAGCTTCACAATGATTGAAATCATAGTTTGTCTTTTTGTTTGAGGTTTATGTTTTTATTTTACTTCATTATTTTAAAGACTGAGTCTCGGCCGGGCACGGTGGCTCATGCCTGTAATCCCAACACTTTGGGAGGCCAAGGTGGGTGGATCACTTGAGGTCAGGAGTTCGAGACCAGCCTGGCCAACATGGTGAAACCCCATCTCTACTAAAAATACAAAATTAGCCAGGTGTGGTGGCACGTGCCTGTAATCCCAGTTACTCAGGAGGCTAAGGCAGGAGAATCGCTTGAACCTGGGAGGTGGAGGTTGCAGTGAGCCAAAATTGTGCCACTGCACTCCAGCCTGGCCGACAGAGTGAGACTCCATCTCAGAGAAAAAAAAAAAAAAGACTGAGTCTCACTATGCTGCCCAGGCTGGACTTGGACTCCTTCATTCAAGCCATCCTCCTGCCTAGGCTTCACCTGGGACTACAGGCCCAATATTTTTGTCTTAAGTTTCTAAGCAGTCCCAAGACTTTGCACAGTAGCTGTTCAATGTATTTTGAGTGAATGATTAAAAACAAGCTTGATGTCGATTTTATTGGTACAATTTATATTTACATATGTAATATTTATATGCTTTTATATATTTATGTGTGCATGTATATAATTGGTACTAACTTAGCACTGCTGTGCCTAAGTGCCTGAGATGCATCTCAAATGAATAGGCCTGAGGAGAGAAGCTTGTGTCATTAGCTCTGACCCTGCAGCACTAATCCTGGTTTACCCCTTTCTTTCAGTCTCCCTGAGCACAATTTATTTGCTGAAAGGCCACATCTCACTATGGAGTGAGGATCAAGAAGTAAAGGTCTGAAAGAGAGAAGCTGCGGGGCTGGGGAGACTGTTGGTCGGAGAGGCGTCGGGGGCCCAAGGAAAAGGGAGGATTGTGGGGAGGAATCGGCGTAGAGATGAGAGGAGCAGCAGAGACAGAGTCTCACGCAGAGGTGTGCCCAGACACCCTGAACCAAGTTACTTAACCTCGTCCACCACCGTGGCACCCGTGGGGTCCGTGGGCCCGTCGGTCTTCCAGGAGGGATTCTGTGTCCCTGTTATTGTGTGTCAACATGTGTTAGCCTGATATTTATATTTTTAATGAGAGAAAACGAACTCTGGAATTTGCGAACTGTTTTTTCGTTTTGCTTTATACCTCTTGGACACTCCTTCCGAAGGATTGGGTCTCAAGGGCAGTGGGGTGTGACTACGGTAGACAGGGCTGATTAATTTTCATCCAAAACTCTTTGGCGGATTCCCCTGCTCTCCGCTTCTCCGGTCTAACAGTAGTTTAAAATAGAAGATCAGCAACATTTGGAGAGTTTTTTTCTTTGCATTTTAATGATAAACTTGATTTATTCCATTCCAAAAGTTTTCTTATTCTGAGGTTGTCTTTCTATATTTTGAGTATAAAACAATGGCCATACTATGTTGGAACCACCAAGGTTCTTCTCTTCACTTGTTCATTTGTAATGTCTCTTTATAATCTGAGAATTTCCTGAGCAAACTGGGAACTGTTATACATAATTCCTTGTTTTTCAACATTCTTTGTAAACAGGAATCAGGATTGGGGATGGGGAGGGAGGGAGGAGTAGGAGTCCTGATTTGTGGAACAGAAAATCATGGATTACTTATGTGATGGAGCAAAGGGTTTAAAAACTCTTAGCATCCCCAGATTTCCCCTTTTACTGTTTGCTGAAGAAAATTCTGTCTTTGACTCCCTTCCTTACCCTCTCCGGGCCTGTGAGAAGCTTCCTCCCTATCCAGTTTATTTCCTCCTCTGCTCCCCGACCCACCCCCCACAGCCCCCTCCTCTTTTTCAGTGAAGCCGCTGGAGGAAAGTCGGGTTTGGGAGAAGACCCACACAGGCAAGGACAGCAGGAGAACACTGACATAGTTACACTCTTGTCACCAGCACTTTTATTAAGACGTGAAAAGACAAAGACAACAGAGGAGAGCAGAGAATAATATCTCTGTTTCAGCTATTCCAGGATGTTATGCCAATTATCCAGAGTCCTTGATCTGATGTAGTAAAGAGCTAGGGACATTTTCCCTGAAGGCTTTGATTGCTGGCAAAATCTCATTAAACGTGTATACATTCATAGGTTGGCCATAGGATGGATAAAAGAAGAGCCTCTGGCCTACATCTGCCACGATACATGTGCAAAAATGCTCTCTGCAGCATTATTTTTCATTGTAAAATAGCAGAACAAATTTATTATTCAATAATTATAAAATGGTCAAATGTATGTGACTATATTTGGACAATGAAAAATGCAGCTGTTAAAAGCAGACAATACTGATGATTCAGATGATGTTACTGATGAAAATAATAACAGATGACAATTATTGAGCATTTATGGCATTCTTACAGGCATTACCTTATTTAAAGTTCAGAACTACCAAGGAAAAGAGTAACTTGTGGCAGGCGTGAGAGGTTCCGAGGCACAAAAGGAAGATAGGCATTCAAGGAACACCAGGATAGAAGACCCAGAGTAGGAGAAGAGAGAGGAAGAGGAGTCCGCCAGATGGGATGCTGGAAACCGCGGGATAGCTCGGTGGAGAGAGGGCGCTCCTGCTCCGCAAGCCTCCCTACGACGGCAGGCCTACCCGGTCCTGCTCCTGCCGGCTCTGGGCATCTGGTTTCTGCCGCTCCATCTCCAGGGAGATGGTGGCCAGGCTGTGCCGTGTACCCATCAACTTCTCTGACAGCGCCATCTTCTCAGACTCCTTCAGAGACAAGGCCTGGGCAGAGGCAGGGGACAAAGGGCTTGGGGGATGGGCTGGTCCTGGGGGCATGCTCAGGCTTCTTGCTGCCTAGGAAATGTGCCCACTGGGGGCTTAGAGGCCTGAGTGTGCCACTGCAGGTGGACCCAGGGCAGACATGCAGCCCTGGAAAAGGGCACAACGGCAGTCACAAGAATCCCGGACGTGGATACCACTCATAGAGCTCACTAACCCGCCACAGCACCCTGACTGCAGAGTCTTTCTTTCTACCCATCTTACAGATGAGGAAACTGAGGCTCAAGGAGGTAAAGTGACTCGCCCAGGTACACAGCTGGTGAGGAGAGGAGATGGGCACAGTCTGCCCTGTCTCCGTTACATTATAGGAAAGTTAGGGATTTGTTATTTGGGGGGACACGTCAGCTGATGCCTGTGGGCATCGTGGGGACTGCTCAGAAGGCAGCCATGAGGATCCATGCCCAGCGTGGGGTGGGACGAGGCATGGGAGAATATGGAACAGCTTTCCTGGTGTCACGACTGTCACTGTCACTCAGTAAGTGCTCACTGTGTGCCAGGCATGGAGCACAGCAAAGCCTCACGAACCCCCTTCTAATCCTCCCCTCCTGCAGGTAAGGAAACTGAGGCCCCCAAGAGGGCAGTGGCCTGCCCCAGGGCTCCTAGCTGCCAAGTGGCAGAGCAGGGCCCGGCCCCAGAACTGGAGCAGCTCAGAGAGCAGCAGAGGCCACGCCAGGGCTCACGAACCTGCTGCTTCTCGCTCTCGGCCAGGAGGAGGCCCTCGTCATGCTCCTGCTGCAGGGCAGCAATCTCCTCACTCAGCTGTTCCTTCTCAGCCTTCCGCCGGGCCAGCAGCTCCTCCTGCTCACGCTGCAGCTGACTCTGCAGCTGGGCCCGCTCGGCCTCCAGCTCCCGCCATGCTGCCTCCTAGGGGGCCAGGACTGGACGCGTGTGACACACCAGGAGGGGCCCAGGCAGACCCCCCAAAACATCAGGGCAGCAAGAGCCATCTGGCCCCCATACCCTCAGAGATGGAGGGTGACCAGGTAAATACAAGGGACTGATAAGGGCTATGACGGGGACACGCCAGGGCCGTGAAAGTGCCAAGGAGCAGCAGTGGGCTGGCCTGGGGGTCCGAACATGATCCCCTGCGGAGAGACAAGTAACTGTCAGCCAGGTAAGGAGAGAAAAGACCACCCCAGGCCAAGAGCACAGCCCCTGGAAAGGACTACAGGATGCAGGGTGCAGAGGGAAACAGGGCACGGTGAGTCACAGGGCCAGAGCCCCAGGCAGTGGCTGGGCCAGGACAGGCCGTGTGGGCCATGGGGATTCTAAGGACAGTGAGGGGAGTGGGAGAGAGGACTCGAGCCAAGGTGACAAGGAGCAATCTGATTTTTAGCTTAGGGGATGTTCCGACAGCTGTGGAAGAGGGATTGGGGTTGGGATGGAGGAGAGTTAGGACTGGCTGTGAGGAATGAAGGGGGTCAGGGGTTGCCAGAGGAGCTGGAGAGAAGAACACAGATTTGGGGACATTAATGAGGCCAAGCCAGGCAATGCAAAGGGCAAGAAGAGCAAGGGGGAGGTCACAGTTCAGATCCCTGGGGACTGGACAGGCGGGCAGGCAGAGCCCACAGGCAAATAGCAGCCCACCCGGGGAGCCCGAGGGCAGGTGCCTGCCTCAGCAGTTGTCCCTAGCAACTCTGTGAGAAGCAGACAGAGCTGCCACTTCTTTTTTTTTTTTTTTTTTAGACAGAGTCTCGCTCTGTCACCCAGGCTGGAGTGCAGTGGCGTGATTTTGGCTCACTGCAACCTCTGCCTCCCAGGTTGAAGCGATTCTTCTGCCTTACCCTCCCAAGTATCTGGGACTACAGGCGCGTGCCACCATGCCCAGCTAATTTTTTGTGATTTTAGGAGAGATAGGGTTTCACTGTGTTAGCTAGGATGGTCTCGATCTCCTGACCTCGTGATCCGCCCACCTCAGCCTCCCAAAGTGCTGGGATTACAGGCATGAGTCAGCACGCCCGGCCAAGCCACCCCTTCTTTAAGAGCTTCACCATAGCTCATGCCTGGAATCCCAGCACTTTCGGAAAGAGCTTTACCGCCCCCTGATGGAGAAGCGTGATAACCACCACCCAAGGCCATGGGGACTGCAGGGTGAGTGGCATGCCCTGGAGCCATGTAGTCATAGCCTGCACCTCTGTCAGAGGAAGCCCTGTCTAGGATTTGGTGGCTGAGGGCCCCTGTTCTGAGGGCCACTCTGGAGAGCATGCCAGTGCCAGCAATCATAACTCATGGAGCATTTGCTAAGTACCAGTCACTATGTTAAGCCCTCTATGCAGATGGTCTCAGCTCATCCTCAATACCTTCCACTATCCTATCCCTATTTCTACAGGTGGGGAAATGAAGGCACAGACACCTTGGGTAGCATCACCAGTAAGCGACCAAGATTAGATTCAAACCCAGGCAATATAACCCCAGAGTCAGTGTTCTAGTAACTTCCCTGGCCCCTTGCCTTTCTACATGCTCAGGTCTGCGTGGCCCTTCATATGGAAACTTCTTAGCAAATGAAAGTGCTTTCCTGCTGTGCATTAGGTCAACATTTCCCAAATGTGGTTGTGGACCCTCTGCATCAGGATTACCAGGGCTGGACCAGATTTGGGACCTGGGTATCTGAATGTCTAATAAGGACCACAACCTCCCCACCACCCCTCCAGTCCTCCCAGCTGTCCCCAGGGCCTCCACAACAGAGAGGGAGTCCCATTTCACAGATGTACAGACCGAGGCAGAGCAAGAACGATGATGAAACACTGGCTCAGACTTCTGCCCACCCCTCCCCAGCTGCCTGAACCTTTTCACGCTGGAGTCACTGTAAGTCCTCCTCCTGGGCTGCCCACTGCTCCCGCAGAGAGGCCTGGGCCTCCCGCTCAGCCTGCACCAGCTTCTGGGCCATCAGCTCCTTGTCTAGACTGGCTTTCTCCTGCGTAGCTATTATTTGCTGCCGCAGGCCCGCCAACTCCCCTGCACGAGAGGAATGGGGGAAAGGGCAGGGTTGGGTTGAAATTTTTCCTTGGGCCAGCAGACTTAGGCCAGTTGAGCCATATGGGCAAAATCCCAGAGGCAGAGGGCCTGCCTGGCATCCAGTTTGGGTCCTCTTGAAGAAGTGGCTTGTCCTCTCTGGGCCTCAGTTTCCCTATCTGCTACATGGGCCCACTGGCCCTGACCCCTTTCCTGCCTACCTAGAATGGCATTAAAGGCATAAAATGACTGATGAGAAGGCCTCCCAAATGGGACGGATGTCAAACATATAACAACCCTAGGCCAGGTGCCATGGCTCACTCCTGTAATCCCAGCACTTTGGGAAGCTGGGGCAGGTGGATCACCTTAGGTAAGGAGTTCAAGACCAGCCTGGCCAACACGGTGAAACCCTGTCTCTACTAAAAATACAACAATTAGCTGGGCATGGTGGCGGACGTATGTAGTCCTAGCTACTTGGGAGGCTGAGGCAGGAGAATCGCTTGAACCCAAGAGGCAGAAGTTGCAGTGAGCTCAGATCGCACCACTGCACTCCAACCTGGGCGACAAGAGTGAGACTCTGTCTCAAAAAATCAAACAGGCTGGGCGCGGTGGCTCATGCCTGTAATCCCAGCACTTTGGGAGGCCGAAGTGGGCAGATCACCTGAGGTCGAGAGTTCGAGACCAGCTTGACCAACATGGTGAAACCCCGTCTCTACTAAAAATACAAAATTAGCCAGGCATGGTGGCGCGTGCCTGTAATCCCAGCTACTTGGAAGGCTGAGGCAGGAGAATCGCTTGAACCTGGGAGGCGGAGGTTGAGGTGAGCCAAAATCGCGCCATTGCACTCCAGCCTGGGCAACAAGAGTGAAACTCCATCTCAAAACAAACAAACAAAAACAAACAAACAAACAAAAACCCTATTACTGACTCAGCACTTACTATGCGTCAAGCACCCAGCTAAGTATTTTAGACATAACCTCATTTTGTCTTCATAACATGCCTATGTAGTTTATCCTCATCCCCGTTTAACAGATGATGAAATGGAGGATCAGAGGAGATCAGCAGCAACTTCCCACAGCTGCACAGCTACACATAAAGCATCTCCTTTAATGACTGACATGAACATACCTGTCAAGCATTAACTATCAGCATTAATGGAAACGACTACAGGGAATGGAAATGGTATAGCCATCATCTAAAAACCATCTCCCGGGTTGGAAACCCACCAGCATTTCCCTTCCTGGTTCTGTCTGGCTCAGGTGTACATGGACAGGAAAATTAATTTCCATGACCCAAGTAGGTGCTTAGTTAATGTTAGATGAGCAGAAAGAAGCCCTGAGTTCAGAGATTCGATGGGGAACGGTGCAGGGAAGTGGGGCTCGGATTCTGGGGCCAAGAGAGTCATCTGAAAACCACAGAGAACTCAGACTAACAGGCCTGATGACCGATGAACAGCAGTTACTGTTGACTCAGCCAGGCACCGTGCCACGGCCTTACACGCTTTTCCCATGTCATCCTGGCAACAGGCTTAGAAGGTGGGCATTGCCACCTCCAATCATCAGCTGAGGAATCTGCAGCCCAGAGAGGAAAGGGGCTTGCTCAAGGGAAGGTGAGATCTAAGTGGTGGCACAGGACTGGAACCCAGGCCAGCCAGACTCCTACTCCAGTGCTCCCAACTTCTGTGAGACTACAGACATTGGGAGGTTGCAGTCTGGGCTGGAACCTGGTGTTCCCCCCAAGTCCCCAGCCACTCGTACCAGTCAGGGTCTCCTTGGCCAGCAGCAGGGCCTGCCCCTCGGCTTCCAGCTGCTCCCGGCGGGCCTCAAGCTGGGCCAGCTGCCATTGCACCTCAAACAGGCTGCCCTCCAGGGCTTCCTTCTCCAAGCTGCAGCACATACAGTGCGTGAGGCCCTGGGACTCAGCCTCCCTGGCCCCAGGAAACTGTGGATCTCAGGGAGTGGCCAGGCATGGGCCAAGTGCCAATCTACCTGCCTGGCCAGGCCCACACTCCCTGGGGAAGCCTGAGCCCACAGCTAGGACGAGTTGGCAAGCCAGACTCCTTAGTAACTGCCCCTGGGGGCCCGTGCCTGGGTGAGGCTGTTCATGGCGTGGCCCCAGGAGGACCGCCCAGGGCGGGTTGGGCAGAGCCCAAGGCCTTACTGCAGGTGTGTGGCCTCCTCTGACACGGTCCTGCCTTCACGCTCCGCAGGCCGCCAGCTGCACAGCCAGGCCAGCGTGCTCCTTGGCTAGCGCCTCCTTCTCCCGGGCCACTTGCCCCAGCGTCTCCACCTGTCACTGGGCCTCCCACCGGGCCTGCTCCAGCTCCTGCTCCCGCCTGCTCAGCTGCCAGGAGAGCTGGCTCCCACCCAGAGACTGAGTAGCACTCCCAGCATCCCCCAGCTTGTTCATCGTGCAGTACCCCAACTCTGGGCCTAACCCAGTCCTGGCAGAAGGCCTGGGTTCGAGCCCAGGGTCTGCCCTGATGTGCTATATGTACTTGGGCAAGTCATGACCTTCTCTAGATCTGCAATGCACGTGTGTACAAAAACCAGGGCCCGGCCGGACACGGTGGCTCACGCCTATAATCCCAGCACTTTGGCAGGTGGATCACTTGAGGTCAAGAGTTCAAGACCAGCCTGGCCAACGTGGTGAAACCCTGTCTCTACTAAAAATACAAAAATTAGCCGGGCATGGTGGTGCACGCCTGTAGTCCCTGCTACTTGGGACGCTGAGGCAGGCGAACAGCTTAAACCCCGGAGGCAGAGGTTGCAGTGAGCCCAGATCGTGCCACTGCACTCCAGCCTGGGCAACAGAGCAAGACTGTCAAAAAAAAAAAAAAAAAAAAAAAAAAAGAAAAGAAAAATGAGGGTCCTCACTCAGCTTTGGAAGTAACAGAACCCTTGTATTACTCTAAGCAGAGAAGCTGAATATATAAACCAGACCCAAATGCAGCTGCTCAGCAGGCCTCAAGGTGGAGACTTGCACCCTGCTTCCTGCACTCCCTACCCCATCCTCTAGAGGCACCTCCCAGAAACCCAGGCCCTCCAGGATGGACCTTGCATGAAGGTCCCTGGATCCCTGAAACATTAAGGTCTCTTCGAGATGTGAAGTTCCCAAAAGTCTAAGATTCCAATTCTAAAAAGTCTCCACCTATTATTAATCTGTATCATTATTATTATTATTATTGAGACGGAGTCTTGCTCTGTTGCCCAGGCTGCAGTGCAGTGGCACGATCTTGGCTCACTGCAACCTCTGCCTCCTGGGTTCAAGCGATTCTCCTGCCTCAGCCTCCTGAGTAGCTGGGACTACAGGCGCGTGCCACCACACCCAGCTAATTTTTTGTAGAGATAGGGTTTCACCGTGTTAGCCAGGATGGTCTTGATCTCCGGACCTCAGGTGATCCACCCGCCTCGGCTTCCCCAACTGCTGGGATTATAGGCGTGAGCCACTGCACCCGGCTAGCCCCATGTTATAAATGGGGCAACTGAGGTATGGGAGGTTGGGCAGCTTGTCCAAGGTCCCCAGCTAGGAGAAGTGGGACTGGATTTAACCCAGAAGCAGGCTCCAGTGCCTGTGACTTAACCCAGGACTGGATGCAGGAGGCTGCGAGCCTGGCCTGCCCCACATGCTCTCCAGACCACCCCACACACAGTTTGGCCTACCTGTGCTAGCTGCTCCTGCAGCCAACTGAGCTCATGGTGCAGTGTGGGGAGCTGTTGCTCCAGCGCCTCCTGGGCCTGCTCCGCCACTCATAGGGAGCCCTCCAGGCCCTGCCGTGCCACCTCCTGCTCCAACCACAGCTCCTCCAGCCACTCCTGCTCTGCCGGCGCCACTGTGGCCTCCTGCTCCGCCTGCCGCTGCCGGCCCTGCAGCATGGCCTTTTCTTCCTCCAGCTGTGGGCCGGAAAGGAGTGGGGCCTCATGAGCAGGGCGTCCCTCCCAGGACCAGGACGCCTCCTCCACCCACCCACCAGCCACGATAGCCCAGGGGAGGCTCCCAGGGAATGAGGGACAGTGCCCTTGGGTGTGTGGGACACTGGGGAGGGGGAGATGAGGAGGGCCCATGGAGCGTCGGTGCTTTGACTCCTAGAGAGGACAGACAGACAGACGGAGATAGACAGAGAACCAGAGACAGAAAGGGAGGCAGGGGCCAAGACAGGTGCAGGGCCGGGCCCAGGGTGCCTCACTGAGTGGGGAGGACGGGTGGGCAAGGTAGGTGGGCCCGCAGGTGCACAGTGTACCTGGGTGACAAGGCAGTTCAGATCCAACTTGTCCTGAGCAAGGCTCTCGTTGAGGGCGCTCAGCTTGGACAGGGAGTCCTGCAGGGAGGCCTCCTCTGCCCTCAGCTTGGTCACGGAGAGCTCGAGCTCCATGCGGCCAGCCTCACCCTGCAGGGTCAGGCCCCAAGAGATGAGGAAGGGCAGAAAGGTCGGGAGGAGGTGAGGAGAGACAAGAAGAGACCCAGAGAGATGGACCCTCGGAGACAGGGGAGGGGAGACAAGGAGGGGATACGGCGTGAGATGGAAAAAAAAATCACCGCAGAAAGCCTGCTGCTTATGGAGCCATTTAAAAGCCATGCACCGCAAAGCTGTGCAAAAATAGCTCAAGCTGCAGGGCAGGGCCAGAGTTCAGAGGATCCCCTGAGTAAGGTCTAGGGATAGCACTGCTCAGAGCCCAGGCTGCAGCGGACAGCGCAGGCCCCCCCGCCAAGGACCCTCTGCGCTGTGGCCACAACTCTCAGACTCCAGGAGCTGAATCTCAGGATGACCCTGAGCTATAGGCACTGCCCCCAGGAGCATCCAGAACAGCAGGGATACGGCCATAAAGAGAGGTCAGTCCACTTATGGCTGGGACCAGAGGTCCAGAGGTCTGTGGCCTGTGACAAAGATCAGCCTGTATCCAGAAGGAAGGGGTCAGTCTGTGACCAGGCTCAGAGGTCTGCCTGACACTGGGACCAGTCTGTGCCAGAGTGACAAGGCTTGGGGCTGGGGGTCAGAGGTAGGTTTGTGGTTGTGCAGCAGACAGGGACCCACCTTGGTCAGCGCCTCGGCCACCTCGGTCTTCTCGGCCTGCAGCATGTCCCGTTGCAGCGTGGCGCGGCTCAGCGCCTCCCTCACCTCCACCAGCTCCTTGGCCAGGACTGAGCGCTTCCCTTCCAGCTGCTCTAGTTGTCTATGGCTGTGGGACAAAGGGTGGGTGGGTGGCCCATGTCACTTTCCTGCCCGAACCTCCTGTAGCCAGCAAGATGCTGGGCCGGGGACCAGGCCTGAGGCACGAGTTTGGAGAGAAACAGCCTGAGCCACAGGGCAACCAAGCCCACTACCGCTTAGCTCCATGACCCTGGGCCTCCGTTTTCACATCTGCAAAATGAGGTAACACTTGCCTCGTGACATTGTTTGTTTTTTTGAGACAGAGTCTTGCTCTGTCGCCCAGTCTGGAGTACAGTGGTGCGATCCTGGCTGACTGCAACCTCTGCCTCCCAGGTTCAAGCAATTCTCCTGCCTCAGCCTCCCTAGTAGCTGGGATTACAGGTGCTCACCACCACACCTGACTAATTTTTGTAGTTTTAGTAGAGACGGGGTTTCCCCATGTTGGTCAGGCTGGTCTTGAACTCCTGACCTCAGGCGATTCGCCTGCCTCGGCCTCCCAAAGTGCTGGGATTACAGGCGTGAGCCACCGTGCCCAGCCTGTTTTAAGGATACAAACTTCACATGTGCTTAAAATAGTGCCTGACACATCTCCCCAAGGACCTTCAGAAACAAGAATAACATGCTCCACCACAGTCTACTAAACATCATCAGCGATCACGTCCCTGAGAGGTAAGCAGCGCAGTGGTGAAGAGGTTAACTCTGAAGGCAGAATGTCTGGGTTCAAATCCTGGCTCTTCTGCTAACTGTGTGACCTGGGGCAAGTGACATGGCTTCTCTGTGCCTCAGTTTACCATCCACAAAATGGAGATAACAGCTTCTATGTCACAGAGTTATCATGGAGTTAAATGAGAGAACTGAATTGCTTAAAATGGTATCTGGCACTTAGTGAAATTAGTAAGGATATTATTATTCTTCTAACTAAATTTTTAAAATACTACTACTAATATTACTAGTGTTATTTTAATTATTCTTGTTATTATCATCCAAGTTCTACCTTTTAACTAGTTCTCTGACTCCAGGTAAGTGACTATACCTCCCTGAGCCCCAGTTTCCTGAAATGGGTCTGGTTAGAAAACCCGACATCAGAGGGGTCCAGACGGTAGGAGGCCCAGGACCCAGTGGGTGTCACCTAACCCCATGGGGGCACTGTCAGGGGACCCGAGGCACATTTGAAGGGTCCTGGCAGGGAGGTGAGATGCTGCTAACCTGCGCTCAAGCTCCCGGCGAACCCGTGCGCCATTCTGCACCGCCTCTTCCTGCTCTTCCTCCAGCCGGTCCCGCTGGCGCTGCAGCTCCTCCTGGGCAACCTGCAGCTTCTCCCGCTCCTGCGGCAGCTCCTCGGCCTGCTGCTGGGCCACCTGCAGGCTGTGGACCAGGTTGCTCTTCTCCCTTCAGGACAAGGGGAGCGGGAGCAGAGGGGATGCTGGGGCTGCTCTCTCCAGGGAAGGTGGCTGGCTGCTCCTCTAGCCATGAGCTACATCCTCCCGTCTTCCAAGGCACCTGCCTCCAGGAAGCCTTCCCTGACCCTGCCCATAGCAGACTCATTTCACTCACACACTCCAGCAGAAGAACCTGGCTTTCCTTCTCCCCAGCCCGCCCACTTAGAGTGGATGGAGGTGCTGGCGTGATCTCTAAGCACTCTACCACGTAGAAGAGGCCAGGCTAGGCTCCTGGGACACACAGGCAATTGTGCCACCAGTTCTGCTAGGCCATGTGACCAGGAAATGTCCCCTAGAACACCCCATGCCCCTCAATTCTGGGAAGCCTGATAGAGCTGAGTCTGCAGATCCCACAGCTTCCTGCTACACAGGCACATGGTGGCCACGGCAGGGGAGGGAGGAGAAGGGAACAACTAGGACCCCAAAGACTTGCTGTGAGCTGCCACTTTCCCCACTGGTGGTAGGTGCAAAAAACTTCAAGACGTGATTTTTTTTTTTTTTTTTTTTTGAGATGGAGTCTCGCTCTGTTGCCCAGGCTGGAGTGCAGTGGCACGATCTCTCCTCACTGCAAGCTCCGCCTTCTGGGTTCACGCCATTCTCTTGCCTCAGCCTCCCGAGTATCTGGGAATACAGGCGCCCGCCACCACGCCTGGCTAATTTTTTTTTTTTTTTTTGAGACGGAGTCTCGCTTTGTCACGCAGGCTGGAGTGCAGTGGTGCCATCTCGGCTCACTGCAACCTCTGCCTCCCGAGTTCATGCCATTCTCCTGCCTCAGCCTCCCGAGTAGCCGGAACTACAGGCACTCGCCACGATGCCCGGCTAATTTTTTATATTTTTAGTACAGATGGGGTTTCACCGTGTTAGCCAGGTTGGTCTCAATCTCCTGACCTCGTGATCCACCCGCCTCGGCCTCCCAAAGTGTTGGGATTACAGGCGTGGGCCACCGCGTCCAGCAATTTTTTTGTTTTTACACACAGTCTCACTCTTGCCTAGGCTGGAGTGCAGTGACACAATCTCACTGCACTCCACACAGCTTGCTGCAATCTCCACCTCCAGAGTTCAAGCGATTCTCCTGCCTCAGCCTCCCGAGTAGCTGGGATTACAAGCGCCTATCACCACGCCCAGCTAATTTTTGCATTTTTATTTAGAAGTGGGGTTTCACCATGTTGGCCAGGCTGGTCTCAAATTCCTGACCTCAAGTGATCTGCACGCCTCGGCCTCCCAAAGTGCTGGGATTACAGGCGTTAGCCACTGTGCCTGGGCAATTTTTTAAATTTTTAGTAGAGATGGGGTTTCGCCATGTTGGCCAGTGCCTGCGGGACAAGACCGACGGCGCCACGCAGGTGTTCCTCTAGGGCCCGCCGCTCACTCTCGCTGTCGCTAAGCTGCTTCCGCAGGGTGCCCAGCAGGTCCTGGCTTGCCTCATAGCGCCCACGCATGTTCTGGGGCGTGGGGATCACAGAGTCTAGCGGGGGTCCTTTGAGGCCTCCAGAGCCCACCTACTCTCTTCTGGTTCCAGGGATACACACTAGCCTACGCTAGGCGGGGTCCAGGGCCTGGACCTGCCCTGGGGCAGGATAGGGGCCTAGGCCTGAGAGCCAGGCTTCCACTCCCCTCCTATGTGCCCTCACCACCCTCTGAACCCTCATCTCCCTGGGGTCCCGGACAACTCCTATCAAAGCCCCCGGGATGCCAGACAAACTCCCAGGCACACTCGTCTCCTGGGTTCTGATCCCACCCCCAGGGCTCCCAGGCTCCTCCCCCTTGCATCCTGGTTCCACTCTCACACTCCTCCCTACCCTGGCTCTGCCCCTAGTTCCCAAGCTCTCATCCTAGGCTGTGATTTCCCTTGCTAGACCTTTTCCCAGGGTCCTGGCTCTGTATGACCAGGGACCTGTCTCCCTCTCTACCAGGACCCTAACACTGTCGCAGCCTCCTCCCTCCACCGGCTGCCCAAGCACCCACCCCCAGCTGCCCAAGCACCCCCACTTCTGGGCTGGCTTCAGCGCAGAGCCCTCGACCACCTCCTTGGGGGTCCTGACACCCTCAGACACTATTTCTCAGGGCTCTGGCTGCACCCCAGGGCGCTCAGACTCCTCCCCCAGACACGCCCCCACCCCCACCTGGAGGGCGCGAGCCCCTCCCCCTGGGCCTCTGGCTGCGCCCAGAAAACTCAAGCCCCTTCCTACCTGGACCTTCAGCTGGCAAAAGTGCAGGGCGGAGAGAATCAGGGCAAGCGAGCGTGGAGTCTTCTGAGCAGGCCGGGGAGGGGCCTCTGCGGGGCGAACGGCCTCGGCCCGGCGAGGAGCGCCGCGGTGGAGACGGGGTCCGCTGGCCCGAGAGCCCCCGCAGGCTGCGGTCGGACGCTGTTGGACGCAGGCTGCCGCTCTCAGCGTCAGACAGGACGGCCTGAGGGTAAGGGAGGGAAGCAGGAGGCCGCAGAGTTAGGAACTTCGGGGTTAGCTGGCAAAAACGACCAGGGGAGGCTGGGGGCCGCCTCATCCCAAATGCTCCCGCTTACAAGAAGCCTTCTGATTTCACCTCCTCCACTAGCTCAGTCCTCAGCTCGCCGCTGAGGCATCCCATTTATTGCGAAGACATCATTTGGCATTGCTCACAGGTGGGCTCCGAGAGGGCCGTGCCTCCCCTCTGAGACTGGGGGCTCCCCAGGGCAGAGGCCGGGTGAGCTAGCAGGGGTGCTGAGCAGCTACAGCCTGGGTCCCAGGGCCCCACCCATCTGCAGTTCAATCCGAAGCCACCGAAAGGCGAGGCGGGGGAGCCCAGGACCGCCTGGCAGGGCCCTGTCTTCCCGCCTTTCTGGGCTCACACCTGTGCCAGGTCCCTTAGGCTCCGCTGTAGCCCCTCTCCATCCTCTGTCTCCAGGGCCGCCTGCTCCTGTAGCCGCAGGGATTCCTGGAGTGCGGTGAGGGAGACAAAGAGTGGTCGGGGTTCTGTCTTACCTGAAACCTCCCCTTTCCCTCCCTCCCTGGCCCACCACTGATCAGGTGGCCTCTGAAGCCATGTCCATAGGCCAGCCACCTGGTAGACCCCACAGCAGGCCCGAGGCCCTCAATGAACAGACCAGGCCCAGAGAAGAGCTGGGTTCTGCCCCAGGTCACACAGTCGATTGCAGGAGAGCTGGACCTAGAACCCAGGCCAGGCCCCACACAGAGGGGTGACTAAACCAGGCTGGACCCTGGGGGAGTGAGTGTCCCACTGGTGGGGGTGGACAGTTGGGATTCCAAAGGCAGCATCTGGACCTGGAGAGCGTGGATGGGAGTTCAAGTCCCAACTCTCCTGCTTACTGGCTCTGAGACTGGACAAGCATTTCCCCTCTTGGGCCTCAGTTTCCCATCCGTGTCATTAGGATTACTCTACAGGGCTGCTGGGAGGGAGAAATGGGATGGAGGAAGTGAGTGTGCTTCCCACAAAGCCTGCACACCTGTGTGGGCTGAACCTGAGTGTGAGTGGGATGCTGGGGGTGGCCCAGGCAGCCCAGCCCTAAGCCTGTGTCCATGGATCTGGCCGGTACCCCATCCCACCCTGCCCCATCTCAGGGGCAGCTGAAGCTCACCAGGGCCTCAAGCTTCTCGGTGAGGTCCTTGTCGACCTGATCCTTCTCCAGATTCTGCTTCTGTAGACGCTTCACTGCCAGGCCCAGCTCTGTCACTCTGGAGTTGGGGGAGCAACAGAGGTGAATACGGGACCACCCCAGCCTCTCAAATCCACTAGCTCTGTGTCCACCATGCTTCTCCAAACCCGAGGCAGGGACCCTAACATCCACCTCCCTGGCTGTGTGACCTTAAACAAGTTGTGGCTCCTCTCCAGACCTCACACTTCTCATCTGTGAAATGGGAATGAGGTTCCCACCAGCTTTATCTCATGGGAAAGCACTGGAGGACTTACCCAGGTGGCAGGAGTAAGGGGCACAAGTTGTTTTTTTGTGGTTTTCTTTTGAGACAGAGTTTCGCTGTGTCGTCCAGGCCGGAATACAGTGATGTGATCTTGGCTCACTGCAACCTCCACATCCTGGGTTCAAGCGATTCTCCTGTCTCAGCCTCCCTCGTAGCTGGGATTAGAGGCACACACCACCACACCCGACTAAGTTTTGTATTTTTAGTAGAGACAGGGTTTCGCCTATTGGGCAGGCTGGTCTTGAGCTCCTGACCTCAGGTAATCTCCCACCTTGGCCTCCCAAAGTGCTGGGATTACAGGTGTGAGCCACAGCACCCGGCCACAAGTTCTGTCATAGGAGGCTAAGCTGTTTATGATAAACACTGGGCAACTGCCTTCGGAACCTCAGTGGGGTGCCTGGGAAGGCTGGCTGAGCTCACAGAGGAAGGCCCTGCTCCTAGTGAACAGATGCTCCCTTCTCCCCAACTCTCCAGTTTTACCTTCTGCAGTGACGCCTGCCTCATGCAGCACCCACCAGGGACCCTCCTGGCACTGAGGTCAGCCTTGTCCAGGTCGCTTTGCATCTGCTGCTGGGACAGGTCCTTCTCGTGGAGCACCTTGTCCCGCAGCTGCTCCTCCAGCTGGGCCTGCTTCTCCAGGGCTGGCTCGACCCGGCTCTCTGCCAGCCGCAGGCCTGTGCTCATTCCCAGGCCGGCCTCCTGGACAGCTCCCCTCCCAGCTGCAGCGGGTCCCTTGGGAAGAGAACACAGGATGGGGATGGGATGGGGCTCACTCCCAACTACAAATTAAAACTAGTCTGGGGCTGGGTATGGCGGCCCACACCTATAATCCCAGCACTTTGGGAGGCCGAGGCGGGCAGATCACCTGAGGTCAGGAGTTCGAGACCAGCCTGGCCAACATGGTGAAACCCCATCTCTACCAAAAATACAAAAAATTAGCCAGGTGTGGTGGTGCACTCCTGTATTCCCAGCTACTTGGGAGGCTGAGGCAGGAGAATTGCTTGAACCTAGGAGGAGGAGGTTGCAGTAAGCTGAGATCATGCCACTGCACTCCAGTCTGGGCGACACAGCCAGACTGCGTCTCAAAAAAATAAATAAATAAAAAATAAATAAAACTACACTGGGCTGGGTGCGGTGGCATGCACCTGCAGTCCCAGCTATGCGGGAAGCTGAGGCAGGATTGCTTGAGCCCAGGAATTTGAGGCCAGCATGGGAAACATAGTGAGACTCCATCTCAAAAACTAAAGAGGAAGAAGAAAAAAACAACAACCCTACACTGGGATGCCATTTGTCCACTATCAGATTGGGAAAAAAAAAAAGGGACACATAATACACAAAGAGAGGCTCTGGGGCAACAGGCCTTCCCCTACACAGCTGGTGGGAGGGTGAGTACAATCACAATGGAGGGCACTGAGGGAGATCTTCGAAAACTATGCAGGCATAGGACCTTCCCCACCGGCTCCTCCTCTAAGAATGGATCCTACAGATATACCCCAGCACAGAGGAGATGGCTTGTGGACAAGGAGGTTCACTGCAGCATTGCTCATGTAAGATATCCTGGTGACAACCTAAATGTCTATCAAAAGGGGACTGCTACTAAGTACATGATGGTACATCCTTTAAGTGGAGAACTGTGGCCAAGAAAAACCAGTGGAGAAGTTCTTCCTGGCCTGATCCAGAGCCACCTCCCAGTTATAACTAGTAGGTGAAAAAAGCATCTTCAAGAACTGTGAAGATGAAATTTTACCAGGCGTATATACAAAAAAGTGTGTGTGTGTGTGTGTGTGTGTGTGTGTGTGTGTGCGCGTGTGTGATCTCATTTGCTCATATAAAATAACCCTGGAAGGTCACTTAAGAAACTGATAGGCCAGGCACGGTGGCTCATGCCTGTAATCCCAGCACTGTGGGAGACCGAGGCGGGAGGGTCACCTGAGGTCAGGAGTTCAAGACCAGCCTGGCCAATATGGCGAAATCCCGCCTCTATTAAAAATACAAAAATTAGCCAGGTGTGGTGGCTCATTCCTGTAATCCCAGCTACTTGGGAGGCGGAGGTGGGAGAATCACTTGAACCCGGGAGGCAGAGGTTGCAGTGAGCCAAGATCGTGCCACTGCACTCCAGCCTGGAGACTCGCAGCACAGCGAGACTCCATCTCAAAAAAAAAAAAAAGAAAAAAGAAAAAGAAACTGACAATGCTTCTTACGGTAACTTGGTGGCCAAAAAAAAAAAAAAAGAAAGAAAATAATTGTATATATAAAAAGAAAAAGAAGCTGATGATGCTGCTTGCCTCCAAGGAAGGAATGGGAATATCTGGGGTCAGAGGTGGGAGGGAGCCATTTTACTGTGTACCCTTTTGAAATGTGAATAGGTGACTTCATCAAAAGTAAAATATAAAAATTTGAAAGGCTACTTACAAAATTTTTTTTTCTTTTTGTTTCTTTTTCAGATGGAGTCTCGCTCTGTTGCCCAGGCTGGAGTGCACTGGTTTGACCTCGGCTCACTGCAACGTCCGCCTCTCCGGTTCAAGCGATTCTCCTGCCTCAGCCTCCCGAGTAACTGGAATTACAGATGTACGTCACAACACCCAGCTAATTTTTGTATTTTTAGAAGAGACGGGGATTCACCATGCTGGCCAGGTTGGTCTTGAACTCCTGACCTCAGGTGATCCACCCGCCTCAGCCTCCCAAAGTGCTGGGATTACAGGCATGAGCCATGACGCCTGGCCTTAAAATACATTAAAAATTATTTGTATTTTAAAAAATTAAAATGTATTTTAAGGCCAGGCGTGGTGGCCCATTTCTTGAGACATAGCAAGACCCTGTCTCAAAAAAAAAAAAAAAAATTAGCTGGGTATAGTGGTGAACACTTATAGTCCCAGCTATTTGGGAGGCTGAGGTGGGAGGATCACTTGAGCCTGGGAGGTCAAGCCTAACATGAGTTGTGATTGTGCCACTGCACTCCAGCCTGGGCGACAGAGAGAGACTGGCTCAAAAAAAAAGTATTTTAAGTCCATAATACAGGTTAAATCCTTTCCTTTCCTTTCCTGAATGACCTGTACCACTGGTTATCCAATAGTAAGGAGGGAAAGTGCCTCATTATAGAATTCTAATTAATATACACAGGAGTGACTAAATGAGAAGCTCACAGTTTTGCAGCCTCTAATGAGTGGGTTGGATCTTGAAAAGAGAGACAGCTGGCATAGGGACATCCTGATGGAAGAACACATTCTACTTATGGAGTCTTGATCAAACGAAAAAGCAAGCAGAAGAGCCTGAATCTGACCTAGCTTTACATCCAACATCCAATTTACAGGAAATACATGGGATAAAGAAATATGTTAATTGACACCATAAGGATGCAACCAGCAAAATCCAGACCATGAGAATCTCCAAGGACAACTAGCCCAGTTTCCTGAACAAATAAGTTAAAAAGGACTTCAAAGACAAAGCATGGGCCGGGCACGGTGGCTCACTCTTGTAATCCCAGCACTTTGGGAGACCAAGGTAGGTGGATCACCTGAGGTCAAGACCAGCCTGGCCAACATGGTGAAGCTCCCATGTCTACTAAAAATACAAAAGTTAGCTGGGCGTGGTGGCGCACTCCTGTAATCCCAGCTACTCAAGAGGCTGAAGCCATAGAATTGCTGAACCCAGGAGGCAGAGGTTGTAGTGAGCCAAGATCCTGCCACTGCACTCCAGCCTGGGCAACAAAGCGAGACTCCATCTCAAACAAACAAACAAACAAACAACCAAACAAACAAACAAAACAAAGCAACCATTCGCACTTTGTGAATGTCTATGGATCCGGATTCAAACAAATTGTAAAGAAAAAACTAAAGCAAGACTATCTGTGACTTTTTATTTATTTATTTATTTTGAGACAGAGTTTCACTCTGTCACCCAGGCTGGAGTGCAGTGGTGTGATCTCGACTCACTGAAACCTCCGCCTCCTGGGTTCAAGCGAGTCTGGTGCCTCAGCCTCCCCAGTAGCTGGGATTACAGGCATGTGTCACCACACCTGGATAATTTTTGTATTTTTAGTAGAGATGGGGGTTTCACCATGTTGGCCAGGCTGGTCCCGAACTCCAGACCTCAGATGATCTGCCCGCCTTGGCCTCCCGAAGTATTGGGATTATAGGTGTGAGCCACTGCACCTGGCCTATCTGTGGCATTTATGAGACATATGGAAAATTTAGACGCTGGCTATTTGATGATATTAAGAAAAGATTATTAAACCAGGTGCAGTTTCTCATGCCTGTAATCCCAGCACCTTGGGAGGCCAAGGCAGGAGGATCACTGGGGCACAGGAATTCTAGACCCGTCTGGGCAACAAAGTGAGAACTCGACTCTACGAGAAATAAAAAAATCAGCAAGCCTGGTGGCATGGACCCGTGGTCCCAACTGCACAGGACCTGAGGTAGGAGGATTGCTTCAGACCAGGAGGCCAAGGCTGCAGTGAGCCATAAAGAAAAGAAAAGATTACTAACTAAAAGTAAGTCCTTGATATCAGCCAGATGACACTAAATCCCATCCATTCCCCTGAGCTCACAGGGGGGCTGCCTAGACTCCAGAAAAAAGGCTGTGCCTAGTCCTAGACTCTGGCATGCAGGAGGTCAGAAGGCTGAATTCTCCACTAAACTCAAAAGTATAACCAGTCCAGACTGGGTGTGGTGGCCCGTGCCTGTAATCCCAGCACTTTGGGAGGCCGAGGCGGGCAGATCACCTGAGGTCAGGAGTTCGGGACGAGCCTGGCCACATGGTGAAACCCCATCCCTACTAAAAACACAAAAATTAGCTGGGCGTGGTGGCACATTCGTATAATCCCCGCTACTCGGGAGGCAGAGGCAGGAGAATCGCTTGAACCTTGGTGGGGCAGAGGTTGTAGTAAGCCGAGATCGTGTCATTGTACTTCAGCCCGGGCAACAAGAGTAAGACTCTGTCTCAAAAAAAAAAAAAAAAAAAAAGTATGTGGCCGGGTGCGGTGGCTCACGCCTGTAATCCCAGCACTTTGGGAGGCTGAGGCGGGCAGATCATGAGGTCAGTAGTTCAAGACCAGCCTGGCCAACATGGTGAAATTGCGACTCTACTAAAAATACAAAAAGTAGCTGGGCGTGGTGGCATGTGCCTGTAATACCAGCTACTTGGGAGGCGGAGGCAGGAGAATTGCTTGAACCTGGGAGGCGGAGGTTGCAGTGAGCCATGATCGCACCACTGCACTCTAGTCTGGGTGACAGAGCAAGACTCCGTCTCAAAAAAAAAAAAAAAAAAAAAAAGTAGCCCTCTCTAAGTCTTAATTCCTTCATCTGTAAAAACAGAATAATGACTTATGTTAGAGATGCTGTGAAGAGCCCAGGGAATAACAAGTGCTGTCTGCATACCACATAACCTGTCCGCTCTCAAAGGTGGCTGGGCTGATGATGTCTGGAAGAAGAAGGCTGGGAGAAATGCTGGTTCCCAAAGTGGTCAGTACCAAGGCCACCTAGTCCAACCCTTGCCCCTAGGCCTGTGGTTCCTTTGGGGCAGATTCCAGTCTCGCCACCACCCAGCCAGGGGAGTCTGTGTTGAATGGGCCATGTCCTGGAAGTATGAAAGGCTCAGCCCTCTGAGCTGCTGGATGGCTCTGTCCTGTACCCGCCAGTCCATAAATGGTCAGCAGAGCACATGGCCCACCTACCCGAGCCAAAGGAGTTGGGAAAAATCTGTCTGGGTGGCCCCCTCATCCTCTCAACACACAGGCCTAGAGGGAAAAGGGTACTGTCTAATGCCAGTCAGTGCTGTCCTGAGCTCAGCTGCTAAGAATAGCAGGGAGTGAGGTGGTGGTAACCAGCAGGACTCAGGCAGAACAGAGGCCCATTACACACCTGGCTGCCCACAGGCTGCCACCACCTGCTCTTCCACCTTTCATGCCAGTTCCTACCCTACTCATCCACACAGACAGAAAGCTCTGGAAGGGGACGAAGGTGGCACAAAGCACCCTGACAAAGTAGCCACTACCCAGGCTCAGGGATCACATATTCCCCCAGTGTAAGCCACTCCCAGCCCTGAGCTGTAGGAGCAGAGATGCACAAAGGCCCCTCCCCACTGCTGCTCTGTCCCAGGCCAAGGCCAGGTGGTGGCTATGCAGTCGGGGTGCTCAGCTAGTAGCATAGAAGGCTAAAGCCAACCCCATCTCTGAATACCCCAGTGGACCAAGGATAAAGGAGCCTTTCTCAAAAGCAGTTACAGGCCAAGCATGGTGGCTCACACCTGTAGTCTCAGCACTTTGGGAGGCTGAGGTGGGAGAATCACTTGAGCCCAGGGGTTTGAGACCAGCCTGGGTGCCACAGTAAGACCCTGCCTCTTAAAAAAAAAAAAAAATTTAGCTGGGTGCTGTGGCATGTGCTTGTGGTCCCAGCTATGTGGGAGGCTGAGGTGGGAGGATTCCTTGAGCCTGGAACTTTGAGGTTGCAGTGAGCTATGACTGGGACATAGCGAGACCCTGCCTCAAAAGAAAACAGTTCTTAACAAGCCCACACTTGGAGTGGCTACTCTTGTACCTGACCCCCAAAGTCGTGTGCCTGATCCTGAGAGCAGACTGCACATATCTGTGGGCAGTCGGCCTGAGACAGCCACCACTGAGTGCCTACAGCACGGCCCATTTGGCCAAGACCAGCAACTTCCCTGACCTTTTTGGATCTCCTAGGTCCCAGTTCAGGGCCCTGAATCCCCACAACCACTGACTGACGGCCCTACCACCTGCTGTCTCTCCTGGCGGCCACAGCAGCAGCAGCAGCAGCAGGACCATCTCTGGTATCACATGAGGTAGGGATCAGATGGCTCTGAGAACAGGCCAGGACTGAGTATGGGGTGGGGGTGGGCAGGAACTCTCTGCAAGCAGGCACTTTCTGACCACCACAATTGCTTAAATAGAACAGGTAATGATGCTGCCTTTTGGACCTGCCTAAAGAGCAGAAGTCGTAAAAGACAGAACAGCTAAGGCTGATAAGGGGGTGAGAGACAGGGACAACCGTGCCTCACTGCAGGGACGGAGAACCTACTTGATCCTTTGAAGAAGTAATCTGGCAACAGTCTTAAAAGTGACTGCAGTTCAAACACTCTAGCCACACGACTCCAGCCCTGGGCATCCTCACAGCATTGTTTACAAAGGCAAAAGTCCTTCCAAACTAGGGCACTTGTATGGGCCACAGCAGACCCCCTGGCCCTAAAGATGCTCAGTAAGATACATTGATAATGTGGAAAAATACTCACGGGATAACATTTGATAATAAAAATAGGATGCAAACTTCTGGAAGTGAGGGACATGTCCATTACCTTGATGGTACTGATGGTTTCACGGGTTTTATCTATATGTTAACACTTATCAAATTGTACACTTTAAGTGTGTGTAGTTTATTGTATATTAATCATAGCTCAATAAAAATGTTTTAAGAAAAGAACTGAAGGTGACAAATTTTTTTAAAGTTTTCTATACAGCATAATCTGAACTACATACATTATAAGATAAACAGACATGAAGTTAAAAAGCTTCTGCATAGCAAAGTAAACGATCAACAAAGTGAAGAGACAGCCCACAAATGGGAGAAAATATTTGTAAACTACCCATCTGACAAGGGATTAATAACCAGAATATATAAAGAACGCAAACAACTATATAGGAAAAATACTAATAGTTCCATCAAAAGATGGGCAAAAGATACGAACAGACATTTCTCAAAAGAAGACATACAAATAGCAAACAGGCATATGGAAAGGTATTCAACGTCACTGGTCATCAGAGAAATGCAAATCAAAACTACAATGAGATATCATCTCACCCCAGTTAAAATGGCTTTTATCCAAAAGACAGGCAACAACAAATGCTGGCGAGGTTGTGGAACCCCTGTACGCTGTTAGTGGAAATGTAAATTATAATAGTGCAATCACTATCGAGAACAGTTTGGAGGTTCCTGAAAAAACTAAAAATTGATCAGGTGTGGTGGCTCATGCCTGTAATCTCAGCACTTTGGGACGTCGAGGTGGGAGGATGACCTGAGGCTAGGAGTTCGAGACCAGCCTGGCCAACACAGCGAAACCCCATCTGTACTAAAAATACCAAAATTAACTGGGCGTGGTGGTGTGTGCCTATAATCCCAGCTACACGGGAGGCTGAGGCAGGAGAATTGCTAGAACTCGGGAGGCAGAGGTTGCAGTGAGCCAAGATCATGCCACTGCACTCCAGCCTGGGCAACAAGAGCAAAACTCCTTCTCAAAAAAAAAAAAAAAAAAAAAAAAAAAAGGCCAGGCACACTGGCTCACGCCTGTAATCCCAGCACTTTGGGAGGCCGAGGCGGGTGGATCACGAGCTCAGGAGATCAAGACCATCCTTGCTAACACGGTGAAACCCCGTCTCTACTAAAAAGACAAAAAATTAGCTGGACCTGGTGGCGGGCGCCTGTAGTCCCAGCTACTTGGGAGGCTGAGGCCCAAGAATTGCGTGAACCTGGGAGGCGGAGCTTGCAGTGAGCTGAGATTGCGCCCCTGCGCTCCAGCCTGTGCAACAGAGCAAGACTCTGTCTCAAAAAAAAAAAAATTTTTTCAAAAAGAAAAAACTAAACTAAAAATTGAGCTACCATATGATCCAGCAATCCCACTGCTGGGTATATACCTGAAAGAAGGGAAATCAGTATATCGAAGAGATATATACCTCAAAGAAGGGAAATCAGTATATCGAAGAGATATCTGCATTCCCATGTTTGTTGCAGCACTGTTCACAATAGCCAAGATTTGGAAGCAATCTAAGTGTCCATCAACAGATGAATAAATAAAGAAAACACGGTACAGATACACAACAGAGTACTATTCAGCCATAAAAAAGAATGAGATCCTGTAATTTGCAACAACATGGATGGAACTGGAGGTCATTATGTTAAGTGAAATGAGCCAGGCAGAAAAAGACAAACACTGCATGTTATCACTTATTTGTGAGAGCTAAAAATTAAAACAATTGAACTCATAGAGGCAAAGTACTGGATGGTTACCACAGGCTTGGAACGGTAGTGTAGGGCTTGTGGGGAGATGGGGATGGCTAATGCGTACAAAAAAATCGAATTAATAAGACCTGTCTGGTAGCAGAACAGAGTGACTGTAGTAAATAATAATTGTACATTTAAAAATAACTAAAAGAGTATAACTAGATTGTTTATAACACAAAAGATAAATGCTTGAGGGGATGGATACCCCATTTACCATGATGTGATTATTACGCATTGCATGCCTGTGTCAAAGTATCTCATATACCCTATAAATACATATACCTGCTACATACCCACAAAAATTAAAAATTAAAAATGTAACACAAAGAAAGAAAACAGAAAAGAATCGCATTTGAATAGTCATGTTAAAATAACAAGATAGCAGGTGCTTTTCCTTCTTTTTTTAGAGACAGGGTCTTGCTCTGTCACCCAGGCTAGAGTGCAGTGGCATGCAGAGGCCAGCTCACTGCAGCCTCAACCTCCTAGGCTCAAGTGATCCTCCCACATCAGCCTCCCTAACAGCTGGGACTACAGGTGCACACCACCATGCCCAGGTAATTTCTGTATTTTATTGTAGAGATGGGGTCTGGCCATGTTGCTCAGGCTGGTCTTGAACTCCTGGACTCAAGCAATCTACCCACCTTGGCCTCCCAAAGTGCTGCGATTACAGGTGTGAACCACTGTGCCTGGCCCTCTAAGTTTCTGCTAAAATGTACTTGTAACTTTTACACTGACTACACTCAAAAGTATTAAACTTGTAAAGAAAAGGCCCTGGAGGAGTTTGTTCTTTACAAGGTCAGTCAGAAGCTACAAGGGGCCAGGCTGGGGCCAAGGTGAGGGCAGGTACATGCAGGGGCAGATGCTGGGTGTGGAGTAGGTGCCAGGTGCTAGCTGGGCATGAATGTGCACCCGCTCCCTGACCTCTGCTCCCTGACTCTCACAAGGAACTAGCACTGCCTGGAGACAGGAAGAAGCAGCGTACGGAAGGCAGACTCTCTGGCCAGAGATCTCGCAGCCAGGAGCACAGTGAGAACAGAGCCTAAGCCTATCTGTCCAGAGCCCAGGCTCCCTTTCCCTACAACTGCAGCCTCCTTATTCTGCTCTGGCCCAGCAGAGTGAGGAGGGGCCGCCCACCCAGCCATACCTGCCGGTGGCTGCTGGGGGTGCATGGTCAGAAGAGGAAAGATGCGGTTCAGGTAGTCATTCAGCAGCTTCTCCTGCACAATGCCTGAGCCACAAGTCAGAAGGGAGAAAAGGGCCACACGATGAGTGCAGCTCCTGGCCCCTGCTGGCCCCAGAGACTTCTGGTCCTAGGCCAGCCACAGGTGCAGCAAGGCCTGAGGCCTTTGTCCCTTCCTTCTCCTCCCAACAAGAGGAGCCTCCTTCCTTCTCTGCCAGCCCTTACCTGTGACCCTGGATTTCTCAGCATCTGAGGTCAGCCTACAGCTCTTGCGGGAGAAAGACACGCCGGCCCCCTTGGATGCCATCCTTCGTCTCTCATGGGCAGCCAGTGGTCCTGGAGGCTGAGGCAGACACAGAGCCTGTCTACTCAGGGCCAGCCAGGGGCCCCCACACCTGACCTCAGTCCTGCCATGGCAGGAAGTCTTGGGAGCAGGTGAGGCCAGGGGCATGCACACTAACACATAGGACAGGGGAATGCAGGGGCTCCCAGCTTCCTACACAGGCAGGGTAGCCAGGGTCTAGGCCCATGTAACAGGGACCACTTCTTGTTCTCCAGTGTCCCTGTGCCCAGCACAGGGCTGGGCAGAGAGCAGGTACCAGATATATTTTTGCCAAACCATAACAAAATGTCTCAGCTCTGTGGAAATCAGACCAAAATGTCCAAAGTGAGGTGTCCTAGGGGCAGAGCCCCTGTATTCATCTCGGTTGTAAGCCATACTGAGTCCAGCTCACAACCAGAAGCGACAATCCTACACATTCCCCCAAGTGCAGACCACCACTGGTCTGGTCATCTCTAGCCATAAGTCCCACTTACTCCCCACAAGGCTGGAGCCTCTTTCCTCAGCCCTGGGTTCCTCCCTTCTTTTATCCATGGTCCTGATAGTTTCACTGTTCCCACTCACACATGTGGCCTCCCACCTCATCCAAGCACCACCCTTGCCCAGCCCTCATGGCAAACTCCATTGGTCCTCCTAGTGCATCTATCCCTCACATCATGTTGCTGCTGCAGCTGCTCCAAAACCTGCACTGAGTCCCTGGTGCTGGCCTCACTGATGTGTAGCTGTGCTGTCCAACACAGCAGCCGTCATCCACGTGAGGTTACTTAAATTTAAAGTTTTAAAAATTAACAATTCGATTTCTCAGTTGCCTCAGCCACATTTCAAGAGTTCAATGACCACATGTGGCTAACGGTTACTCTATTGGACAGCACAAAGGTAGAACATTCCCACCATCATATAAAGTTCTATTAGACAGCGCAGGTCTAGAGTTTCGCTCTGCAGCACTGCCTTAGCCAGCACTCCCTACTCTGCCGTTCAGTCTCTTATCTCGCCCCAAACAGACCCTCTACTCCCGCCACAAACCCCTGTGGGTCTGCACCACGCCTGCTCCTCGGGAAGGTGATTTTCCCGACCTCGGGCCCTCGGTGGGCCTCCATGATCGGTGCCCCTTCACTACCACAGTAGTTGAAGATCTGATTAAATGCAGTCATTCATTTGATGAGCAGACCTTCCAGACACCCACTCCGGGTGTCAGTTGCTGAGGACCCAGGTGAGAGGCGGACCTTGTCCCCGCCCGGGGACTCCCTGTCACGGCTATCCCGTCCAACCTCGCCGGGGTATCCGGGCTCAGAACTGAACCTACTCCGTCTGGGAGCCCAAGGATGGCTCCCCCAAGTCGCCCCCGCCTGGCCCCAAGCTCCAGAGGACCTGCCAGACCAGCTTCCGCTCGGAGTTTCGCACTCAGATCCCGGCGCTGCAGGTGCCCTCGCAGTGGACTAAACTGGACCGCGAAGGGAATAGCCGGAACCCGCCAGGCTCAGAGCCCTGCCGCCCCTCACTCACCCCGAGCCTCGGCCGCCGCGACCCGGTTCACAACATCCGCCCAACCTCTCGGCTACGGCGTCCGTTCAGGGCCAAATCACGCGCACGCTCGCGCGCTGAGCCTCCAGCCGCGCACGCGCACCGGCCCGCGCCCAGCCTCCGCTAGGGGACCCCCTCCGTGGCTTCCCACCGGGTTGTTCCAGGCCTCAGCTTCGCCGAAAGGCCTCACCACCTCCGACCTCCGCCTGCCCCGGGGATGCTCCCAGCCCTGCTGCGGCAGAACGCGACGTGCTAACCGGAATCCCTAGGCCGCCTGTCTCCTACCCATACTTGGAGGCCCCGCTCAGACGGTCCTGAAAACGTCTGAAAGGCGGTTCCTGCCAGAGTCCCTGCTACCTGTTACCTCCACCCCTATTTAGTCCTAGTGGACAGCTTCGCTCACCTTCCCTGGGATGACACTTCTGGCGGCTGAGATGAGCGAGCCTCTCTGGGCTCTGCCGCCGGGCGTGGGCTGACCTGCCTACAGCTGGGGCCTGATAAGGCAGCAGCAAAAGGGTGGAGGGGAGGCAGTGTTGAAGCTGGGGCAAGTAATTTTCCCCAATTTACAGGGAAAAACCGAAATTCAGAAAAGTTTAATGTCAGCCAGGGGCTGGAACCCAGACCTCTGGCAGCTGTCACTTTCACAATGCCCTTGGGCTGACTAGGCTGCAGAGGGGTTTCACCCCAACCCCAGGGCACCTCAAGTGGCCCCACCAAACCTTCCTAACACCTGACCACTAAGTAGGGAGGCCTCTCAGGGGGCTAGCTGTGCTAGGCCCTTGCAACTGACCTGTGGGACCTGAGGCCTGGCCCCTCATGGCTCCTGTCACCAGGTCTCAGGTCAGGGTCCAGCAGGCCCTGAGCTGACGTGCGGAGCCAGAGCCACCCAATCCCGTAGGGACAGGTTTCACAACTTCCCGGATGGGGCTGTGGTGGGTCACAGTGCAGCCTCCAGCCAGAAGGATGGGGTGGCTCCCACTCCTGCTGCTTCTGACTCAATGCTTAGGGGTCCCTGGTGAGTGCCCCCAACCTTGATCCCCATCTGCCTTCAGGAGGGGCTTGGCCCCATTCTCCTATTCTGGGATGAGAAAAAAGTCAGGGAGCCAGAGGCTCAGTGGGCATGGGGCAGTGACCTTGGCCTCTTGAGCACAGCTGGGAAGCCCTAGGAACACATAGACATGGCCCACTTAGGCCTCTATTAGCACGTCTGCTCTAGCACTGAAGCAGTGTTAGGACCACACAGATGCACGCACACAGCAGGCAGTGACCCCTCCTGAGCCTGATCTACCCCTCTAACCTAGCGTATGCCTTTGTGCAGGTGAGAGCCCAGCTTTGGAGTCTGAATGCCTAGCCAGGGCCCCTGGCTGGGTAATGTGATGGCTCTGAGCCTTAGCATTCTCATTTGAGAGATGAGATGGGGCAAGCTCCATCACCCACTGCTCTCACAGAGCGTGTGTGTTAGATCTGAGCCCGGTGCCTGGGCCACTACACAGAGGCACCGGTGATAACTACCAAGTCTGGGCCTGCTTCCCAGGGGAAATTTTTTGACAAGTATCTGTGCAGGGGGGCTAGACTGGCCCTTGAAAGTGCATACAGGGTCCATCCCAGAAGCCTTGTAGCTTTGATCCCCTGAATGAACAAACTGTGGACATGCCAATACACATTACTGACATGTATGCCCACCTGACCTGCACCCACTCTGCAGGGCAGCGCTCGCCATTGAATGACTTCTAGGTGCTCCGGGGCACAGAGCTACAGCGCCGCTACAAGCGGTGGTGCCCGGGCCTTGGCAGGAGGATGTGGCAGATGCTGAAGAGTGTGCTGGTCGCTGTGGGCCCTTAATGGACTGCCGGTGAGTGGCCACTGGGCATAGATAAGACTGGGGGCAGGGGAGCCTGGGCCGTGGCGTTACCTTGTGCCTTCTTCTCTCCAGGGCGTTCCACTACAATGTGAGCAGCCATGGTTGCCAACTGCTGCCATGGACTCAACACTCACCCCACACGAGGCTGCGGCATTCTGGGCGCTGTGACCTCTTCCAGGAGAAAGGCGAGTGGGGGTGGAGAGGGGCAGGGTGGGAGACAGGGGACCTCAGCCCAAGTTGATCTTCTGTCTCTTGCTCCCAGACTACATACGGACCTGCATCATGAACAATGGGGTTGGGTACCGGGGCACCATGGCCACGACCGTGGGTGGCCTGTCCTGCCAGGCTTGGAGCCACAAGTTCCCGAACGATCACCAGTGGGACAAACACCTTCCCTCCGTCCCGGCCTGGGACCTTCCCCCAGCACACACTATAGTGATGCTCTGGGCCCTCAGGTACATGCCCACGCTCCGGAATGGCCTGGAAGAGAACTTCTGCCGTAACCCTGATGGCGACCCCGGAGGTCCTTGGTGCCACACAACAGACCCTGCCGTGCGCTTCCAGAGCTGCGGCATCAAATCCTGCCGGGTGGGTAAGCGGCGCCGGGTCAAGCTGGGAGAGTGGAGGGACAAGCCCACGCCCATCCACGAACCCACTGGCTCTTTGTCTCCAGCCGCGTGTGTCTGGTGCAATGGCGAGGAATACCGCGGCGCGGTAGACCGCACCGAGTCAGGGCGCGAGTGCCAGCGCTGGGATCTTCAGCACCCGCACCAGCACCCCTTCGAGCCGGGCAAGTACGCGTAGGCGGTATCGGCGCCCTGGGGGCCGGGCTAGGGAAGGTCCAGGACTCCAGGGGCAGGGCTCCGTGTAGGGCAACTGGGCGGGGCCAGATAAGCCAGAGTCCCAGGGTCTTCTTCACGCCCCATTACCGCCCCCAGGTTCCTCGACCAAGGTCTGGACGACAACTATTGCCGGAATCCTGACGGCTCCGAGCGGCCATGGTGCTACACTACGGATCCGCAGATCGAGCGAGAATTCTGTGACCTCCCCCGCTGCGGTAGGCGGCGGGGACCAGGCCTGGGAGGGTACCTGGGAACCTTGGGGAGGGGCGTGGCTTGGCCGGGGAGGTCAGAGGGGCTGGGCGTGACCTGAGAGCATATCCCGTGGAGTACCGTACACCTGGGAAAGGCGGGTTTGGTCCCAGCCCCAGAGGGATCTCAGCTGTCGCTCGGGGCCGGACCTATCTCGGTCCATCTAAGGGTCCGAGGCACAGCCCCGCCAAGAGGCCACAAGTGTCAGCTGCTTCCGCGGGAAGGGTGAGGGCTACCGGGGCACAGCCAATACCACCACCGCGGGCGTACCTTGCCAGCGTTGGGACGCGCAAATCCCGCATCAGCACCGATTTACGCCAGAAAAATACGCGTGCAAGTGAGGTGGGGGGGCGGGCGTTGGGACGTGCTGCTGCGGGTGAGACGGGAGGAGGGTAGTCACGGGCTTAGGGCTGGAGGCTGGCGGGCTAGGGCTGAGTGCAGCGCCTGCTTAGAGACCTTCGGGAGAACTTCTGCCGGAACCCCGACGGCTCAGAGGCGCCCTGGTGCTTCACACTGCGGCCCGGCATGCGCGTGGGCTTTTGCTACCAGATCCGGCGTTGTACAGACGACGTGCGGCCCCAGGGTGAGGCCCAAGCTTGGGGGCTACAGAGCCGGGGCTGGAAGCCTGGAACCGGAGGGCCGGGGCGGGGTCTCGGCCTGATGGCTGCCCGCACCGGCCGCAGACTGCTACCACGGCGCGGGGGAGCAGTACCGCGGCACGGTCAGCAAGACCCGCAAGGGTGTCCAGTGCCAGCGCGGGTCCGCTGAGACGCCGCACAAGCCGCAGTGAATCCCTGGTGCTCCCGGCCCCGCCAGGGCCCTAACCCTGGGGCGGCATGCTTTGATGTCTGGGACCAGAGCCTGGAAATGGTTGAGACTACCCTGCCACGACTTCGCTCCCGCTCCCGCCTCGGTTCACGTTTACCTCCGAACCGCATGCACAACTGGAGGAGAACTTCTGCCAGACCCAGATGGGGATAGCCATGGGCCCTGGTGCTACACGATGGACCCAAGGACCCCATTCGACTACTGTGCCCTGCGACGCTGCGGTGAGCACTAGTGACGCTTGCCCCATGACCCTGCCTCAGCCCTCACCACCAAAGGCTGGCTCCCTTAACCGCAGTGAACTTTGTCTTTCAGCTGATGACCAGCCGCCATCAATCCTGGACCCCCCCAGGTTAGGAGTTGGGCCAGTTATGGGTCAGGCCCTTTAGCCCACGACATCCACACAGTCTGGGTTTCATCCAGCCCACCCCATCCTACAGACCAGGTGCAGTTTGAGAAGTGTGGCAAGAGGGTGGATCGGCTGGATCAGCGTTGTTCCAAGCTGCGCGTGGCTGGGGGCCATCCGGGCAACTCACCCTGGACAGTCAGCTTGCGGAATTGGTGAGGCACAACTGCCTGTCTCCCACAGAGAGGAGCTGAGGTTGTGTCCTCTGTGGTTATGCCACTGGGGGCTGGGAATCTATCCCTGCCCCCAGAGGTCCTAGCCAGAAGATGGCAGGTCTAGCATCTGTCCCAGGAGTCTGTTCCCTGTCCTAATTCCCCACTCCTCTAGGCAGGGCCAGCATTTCTGCGGGGGGTCTCTAGTGAAGGAGCAGTGGATACTGACTGCCCGGCAGTGCTTCTCCTCCTGGTGAGCCTCCCTTGTGTTTGGGGACCCAGTCTCATCCCACCTTCCCCTTTCCCCAGGCAAGCTAACAAGTGAGCCTTGGGGCAACGGACTGAGAGTCACAAATGACCTAGCAGAGCTTCTCTCCCAGCCATATGCCTCTCACGGGCTATGAGGTATGGTTGGGCACCCTGTTCCAGAACCCACAACATGGAGAGCCAGGCCTACAGCGGGTCCCAGTAGCCAAGATGCTGTGTGGGCCCTCAGGCTCTCAGCTTGTCCTGCTCAAGCTGGAGAGGTATGTGGACAACCTGGGAGGGTGTGAGGTGGGGCTGAGCCTTGTGGCCTCAGACCCTGAGTGCCCCCATTCTTGCTAAAGATCTGTGACCCTGAACCAGCGTGTGGCCCTGATCTGCCTGCCGCCTGAATGATATGTGGTGCCTCCAGGGACCAAGTGTGAGATTGCAGGCCGGGGTGAGACCAAAGGTAAGAGCATAGTGCACAGGACTGCTGGTGGCCAGGAGGCCCAGCCCTGGATCTTCCTCCAGGACCGTCTCCTTCTCCCCATTCCCCTCACTGCAGGTACGGGTAATGACACAGTCCTAAATGTGGCCTTGCTGAATGTCATCTCCAACCAGGAGTGTAACATCAAGCACCGAGGACATGTGCGGGAGAGCGAGATGTGCACTGAGGGACTGTTGGCCCCTGTGGGGGCCTGTGAGGTTGGTGGCAGGGCCCTGGGCCAGCCCTGGAAGGGTATGGGGGGCTAGAAATGAACTATTTTATCATGAAGCAGGCTAGTCATGGCTGTGGCCCAGGGCCCTCATCAGTTCTCCTACCTGCCAGGGTGACTACGGGGGCCCACTTGCCTGCTTTACCCACAACTGCTGGGTCCTGAAAGGAATTAGAATCCCCAACCGAGTATGCGCAAGGTCGCGCTGGCCAGCCGTCTTCACGCGTGTCTCTGTGTTTGTGGACTGGATTCACAAGGTCATGAGACTGGGTTAGGCCCAGCCTTGACGCCATATGCTTTGGGGAGGACAAAACTTGTAAGTACAGTCAAGGACAAGACTTGTACTCAAGGCTGAGATTTAATAAAATTCATATTTTTACTACTTCACCAAGGACTTTCTTAAATGAAAATGGTTTTTCCCCCTACAAGTAAACAGTAATAAAGAAGAGAATTATTCCTAGTGCAGTTTGTTTTCATGGTCTTAATTTTTGCTAAGACTCCACTGCTTTTGCCTTATCAATACAAGTGCCAACACAGTGAAAAGGCAAATATCATCTTAGTATTACTCTGAAAATAGTTCTGAGCTAATGGCCTACTGAAAGGAAAAGAGTGGCTCCTGCTATTCTATTAGACTTATTACAATTATCTTAAGTATTCTTTCTACCCTCCTTTAATTGAATGGAAACAGGGATGGATTGGAGGAGCTGTTTTTCTCCTTTCTTTCCCCCGGCAATATTTACTATTTAATGCCACTTACTAACACTCAAAGAAACAAAACCAAACTTCTCAATTGACAGTGCAGTGACCCAACAAAGACACGGGTTCTTGAATTCAAAGTGGAGCAGGAGAGACGGTAAATACACATTTACTTTAATATATATATATTTATTATTTATGTGTTTAAAGCACAAATTAGTTTGGTAAAAAACATCTCATGTCTGTTTTATTTCCACATCCCTGAGACTGACAAGGGGATGCCTATCAATTAATTCATTTAGAGAGCCATACACCCCAAGAAATAAATTATTTGTCCTCTGGAGCTTGTCACAGGGGGATTTTTAAAAAAACATTAAACAGAAAGACAACTGTGCATCTTAGAAAGATAAAAGGCCAATTCTTCCTCTCCGGCTGATAGGTTCTTAATAATAGTGATATCTACTAATAAGATGTTTTACATAGTGTAAAGCATGTTCACATACAAATTACTTAGCCTCTTTGAGCCTCAGTTTTCTTATATGTAAAGCTGGATTAATAGTACATTTTGTGTTTAAAAAGATGATGTATATGAAGTGTTTACCATTTTTCTTGGCATCTAGTTCAGTTCTCAGTAACTGATGTGGTGGTGGTGGTGGTCATAGTAGCAGTAAGATCCGTAGTAATAGTAGCAGCAGTTGTTTTAGAAATTAGTAACTGAGGCCTGGCAAAGTTAAAGGCTCTTTCATTAACACCCAGAGGGGAAGAAATGAAGCTGGTCTTCAGAGGCAGGCTATTTTCACTCTGTGTCCCAAATTTTCCCCCCTAGACCGTTTTTATACTTCTGGGGCTCTCAGAAAATATTCTCAGCTATTCTGTTAGCTTGATCTCCTACCATCTGAGAGTGGGCTTCCTTCAAACAACCAAATTTCCAGGTATTTCTAAACTGCCCTTCCCCTACACCATTCTTTGATTCAGTATTTCAAGACCCCTAAGAGAAATGGTACATTTACGTGTAAGCACAGGATAGTGAAGTATTTACAACAAGTGCTTTGGAGCCAGCAAATATGGATCAGAATGCAGCTTTCCTTTCCTACATACATGACATTGGGCAGCTAATTTCTAAGATTTTACTTCTTTGTCTATGAAAGTGGAGTACTAGTACTTGCTTTGTGCAACTCTGATGGTTGTTACATGAGGTAGCATCTAGAAACAGCTTGCACATTGCCAGACACCCAGTGGAAGGTCAATGAATGACTATTTGAGGACTAACTATTACAGAAATGTTTACTCTTCTGAGTCCTGATTTCTAGTCTCCTGGACTAAATAGGTTCACTGTTTTCCTCCCGGTTCAGTTTCCAGACACATCACAGAATTATAAGAATATTAAAAACTCAGGCTTATACCTACGCAGGATTTTCTATAACCCTCTTTCTGCTTTGAGCTCCTAAAGGTATTTCATAGAAAAATGACCTTATTTTTAAATAGAGGGGGCAGTTGAAAATCAGTGAACGGACCTACCCCCTAATGATTTTTTTCTCAGACATAATTATAATAATTAGCATTATAAAGTGCTAATTATCTTTGGACACAGAGGACCTGCACACCAGAGACAGAGGTCCGCATTAAGTAAAGTGAATTTCACTTTCTTCAGTTGTGAGATTTCTCTTTTTTCTTCTTTGTAATGATGCAAAGATATATCATCCACCAAGCCTCATTTAAAAGCTTTTTCCAGTTAAGGAAACTATCTCTTGGCCATCCACAGCCAGACTCCATATTGAGATTATGGATATTCAAAGAAATTGTCTTTCCCTTGTATATTGTCATAACTTTTTGTGAAATGTTCGTTTTATAGTTCCAGGCCAGCACCTAGAACCTTGCTAGAATAAAAAACTGCAGAAATCATGAGTTTCTAGTTTGGATGAAAGAGCACACCTATTAACAAATGATAGACGGCTATCCTACTGTGAGTCCTGAAAACTGGTGGTGTGATTGTTGAATGGGTTAGGGGTATAGCAGAGAAACTCAGTGTGGGCTACATACAATTTCAGCTTGAATCACACTTAACAGATCCTCTGTTCCAACCATTTAAATTTACAAAGAAGAAACTAAGGCACAGAACTACTTGAGAAGAGAAGCAGAATTGAAAACTAGAGCTCCTGATTGTTCTCAAAATAATTTTTATCATACTGCATCGGGTTCTAAGTGAGAGGGCTTCTTATTTAGTAATGCCAAGGTCATGTGTTAACATGTAAAAAAATTAGACGAGGAATGGGGCATTGGTGTAAGATTATACAGAGTGTAAAGTTGGGCTTTCTCTTATCATCTGTTGTCAACAACAGGATGATTGTTACTGTTACCCACTCCTTACCATCATTCACACAGAGACATTGGATATTGAGGAGAGACTTTAAAACAGAATATTAGTAATGCAGAGCTATAAAGAGCCACGATCATATTAATACAATCCTCCATACACATAGTGACCTGTCTGCAGCTCCAGCCTAGAGAAACCCAGTTATTCATTTGTAGTGGGCAGCCCCATTATCAGAAAGCGCTATTCAATTGGAAGTGCTCATCTGTGTTAGGTCAAAAACGACTTCCTCTAAATATCCATTCTGTGTATTGAAGTATAAATGAGTCCCACTTAAGAAAAAACAAAACAAACCAACTTCCAATGATTTAAAAATACTAACGTGACCCTCTTACGTTTACCTAAAGCTAGTGTTTCTCAAACATCAGCTGTATCAGAATCCCTGAAGGACTTGTTAAAACAAATTGCTGGTCTCTACTCTGAGCTTCTGATTCATTAAATGTGGGATGGTACCTGAGAATCTGCATTTCTAACACGTTCCCAGGTGACCCTGATGCTGTTGCTCTGAGAACCACTTTGAGATCCACATCTCTAAGCTCATCAGTCTGTCCGTTACACCTTACAAGACATACTTTCCTAATCTGACACCCTTCTATTTGTCTTTTTTTGGAATGCTTTAGAAATTTAGCAGTTATCTTTTTTATGTATTTTACATTTGTTACAGCTTTCCTTGGTGGACAGATATGAGTTTTCTACTTGAAAATAAACACGTTTTTCTTTAAAATATCATTAAATAAGAGTGTAATTAGTGATATAAAGCAAGATGACTAAAAAGAATCTCTCATTATTATGTTTGCACAGCCTGTATAGAAATTATTTGAACTAGAAAGGATTTGCTAAGTAAATTATTTCTATTTCCCTCACTTAATAGTGAATATTATGGTGATTAGGGGAAAAAATAAGCTTTCTTTTTTCTTTTGAGATGGAGTCTCACTCTGTCACCCAGGCTGGAGTGCAGTGGCGCGATGTCGGCTCACTCTGTCACCCAGGCTGGAGTGCAGTGGCGCCATCTCGGATCACTAAGCCATCTCGGCCTCCCCAGCTCAAGTGATTCTACTGCCTCAGACTCCCAAGTAGCTGGAATTACAGGTGTCCGCCACCATGCCCAGCTAATTTTTGTATTTTTAGTAGAGATCACCATGTTGGCCAGGCTGGTCTCGAACTCCCGACCTCAAGTGATCCGCCTGTCTTGGCCTCCCAATGTGCTGCGATTACAGGCATGAGCCACCACGCCCAGCTAAAAGAAGCTTTTCTGATAGTAACTTTGTTTTCCCATTCTGGAGTTTATGGCAGTATGAAAAAGACTGAATTTATAAGCAGAAGATCTGTTTTTGAAATCCGGGGACCTGTATTTCACAATGGCTTTGATGTGTTTTGATTGTGCACCTTTAGACAACTTATCAGTTTCCTCATTTTTATACAGCAATAAAATAGTAACAGCTACCCATTAAATTCTGTACAGAAGCTAGGGACAGACGCAATAACACTTGCATATCTATAAAGGCTTTGTAAATGTGGGTATTATATCTAATGTTTATGCACATGCTGTTTGATTATTTTCATTTGGAATTCCACTCCATTAAAGGAAAAGTAACATACGAATTCAGATTCTTGTAAGTCTTCAGGCATGAGGCCTCCATTGACTAAGTACATTGCCTACATAATTTCTCCTAACCCAAATGAATCTCCAGTTAAACCAAGCTGGTGGTTATGTACTGTCTCCAGAGGATGCCAAGCATAAAGTCCTTGAGTATATTCATCTTGGATCCTCTGATTGGACAACTGCGGTATTGAGACTTCAAGTTCCCCCTTGAAGGCCCCAGACGGTACCTGTAATTTTACTCAAGTTTTAAATGTATGCTCTTTGTTAAGAAAGAGTGACAATGATTTGATTTATTTTCCGTGACTGGGGTTAGGGATGGGGGAGACTCTAGGAATGTGACTTACCAGTGAGGTTCTAGTTTTATAAATCATAGGACAAGTTTTGATAGGCAAATGTTGGACTATAGGGCTGAGGTTGTTTTCCACCACAACATATAGACTTCTACTAGCCCTTGAAGGAAAAAACACGAGAAAATCAGTTGGGTCAGCTGAGTATTCCTTTACGAGTATGGAACAGACTTACATAACAATTCTGCAGGTAATGGCTCTGGAAAGGTCAACCACTTAGTTTTGGACAACTCTTTTCTATTCTGTATAACCACTTTTTCACCAAAATGATACTAAATAAATATGCTATAGGAAGCTATATTTTGACATGACTGTTTTAGGCAAAGATACACTCACCAACTTACTCCACAAGAGTTTCTAATCAGAGAATATCATATGGATCTATTTGAATTGCTCCCATGCTTGGCTGAGCCCAAAATAATTTACTGTGCATATGTACACCAAGTGAGAAGGTTGAGGAGGTGTCACTTGTACATCTCTTTATTCTTTTTTTTTTGTATGTGTGTGTTATTTTCATGTGTTTTGAAAGGCTCTCTTGCTTAGCTTTTATTTTGCCATTAAAGATTTTTTTCTGTGCTATAACTGTATTTTTAAGTCTGGTTTGAGTTCAAGAAATCCACAAATTCACAAAAGATTAGGAATAATTTGTGAACAAAATGATGCAGAAATAAAAAATGCATTTTCCAAATAACTCCCTTGCAGTCCTTCTCGCCCAACTACCACTTTCTATTAAGTTTCTTCTTCCTACTCTATGAAGTGCCATGAGCTTTCAATTCATTGTATTTTAAGTATAAGCTATACTTACTAACCTTCACGTTATTCTTTGCTACTTAAATAAGCTTGCTTTCATAGTTCAATTGACGTATTGTTTAACTGATATTTTTAATTGGTATATTTTGATATATATTGATAATTGATAGATACATAATTCATTTGAGATATTTTGGGTATGGAGGGTTGGAAGGAATCCTTTCATAATTTTTCTACTTAAAAGAAATCTTTTTTCATTTAACAGCTTTTCCCATGGGGATAGAGTTTTCATGAATAAAGCAAAGTCATTAAATGAGGTATATGGTACATCTTTTAAGAGTCACAGAAAGAAGCAACAACAATTTACCCAGGCAGAGGGTATAAGTTTAGACCTTGGTTGCCTGATTTGTGGGACAAGTTCTTTAATTTTTTTTCTTTATATTTTGACTTTTTTTTGGACTCTCTCCTCCCCTTCCAGGCTCCAGGTCAAATACTTGACACCTGAATGATGTTCAATTATTTAAAAGATGGATTGGCCAGCTCAGCTCCTGTCTCAGACAGACTGTCTTTAAATGTATTTTCAACATGTCTTCAGACAGTTATTTTTCCTCTGTTCAATTTTGTTCATCTTCTTACTTAACCGTTCAAGTGCTCCTATTTCCTTTTTAAATGTAGTATTGAGAAGTGCAAACATTATTGGAAAAGAGAGTCTCACTAGCATAATTGTGCATTATCTTCCTCTTATATCGCCGGCCTCCCTGCACCCCCATGCCCACCTCCTCCTCGCGCCTCCATGCCGCCTCCCACTGCTCCAGCTCCTTGCAGCTGCGAGTCCAGTCACTGGTCACCTTTCGTATCTCCTCACTCAGAGCCTGGTTGGCCAAACCTGCCTGGTCCAGCTGTTCTCAGAGCATGGCATTCACCTGGGCCAGGCTGGCACTCCTGAATGGGGCACAGGGGATCAGTAGGCGCTCGCCCAGGGGGCCATGCTGCCAGCCCTGGCCCTCCCTGCTGCTCCTCCTCCAGCCAGATGAGGGCACTCTCCAGGTCTTGGCTGTGCTCTGCGTCCTGGGTGGCACAGAGGTTAAAGCATCAGGCTGGGCAGGTGGAGGGCAGGGCCTGCCTCTGCCCCACCCTGGCACCCACCCTCAGCTGCTGCTGCTCCAGCTCTCCGGATCTCTCCAACAGCTGCTCCAGCTCCGAGAACCTCTTCTTGTACTGGAGAATCTGGGGATTGGGAGCTGATGGTGAGCCCCAGGGGTGGGGGCAGGGCAAAGTGAACACGTGGGAGGGAAAGAGCAGGAATGGGTGGCCCTGACCTTGCCCTGCAGCCGCTGCACAAGCTGGGCCTGCCGCTGCTGGCCCTCCAGGTAGGCCTGCAGCTTGCGCCACTAGGAGGCCTGCTCCTCCTGCAGCTGCCTCCGCAACTCCACGCTCTGGAGTACCAGCCCCCTGGGCTCTTGCGTCTCCAGCTCACCAGATTGCAGCCACAGAGCCTGCTCCAGCTGCAGGGAAGGGCCCTGGGTGAGAGTCCTGGGCCTCCTGGGAAGGCAGGCTCAGGCCTCTGTAGGGGGTGGCAGGCTGGGCCCAGACCCACAATGCCTTGTAGGCTGATAGCCTGGCGCCCTGGGGAGCAGCACATGTGGGCAAGCCCAGGGGCAGTGCACGTGTGCATGGGGTGATGCAGCCATGCACGGGCACGCAGATGGGGCATGCATGGACACATGCAGGTGAGCCCACAAACCCAAACCATGCAGGCAAAGCTCAAAGGTGCACCTGGGGTCTACGTCAGGGGCCTCAGTACACCATGCGCCTCTCCTCCAGAACACTTAGCCCTGTCGTGGTTTCTGTTTATTACATTGATGCCTGTGTCTTCCCACCATGCCCCCACCCCAGTGTGAGCTCAGAAAGCCTGGATTTTTTGTTCCTCATTGTATCTTAGTGCTATAATGGTGTCTGTGGAATGGCATGGCTCACGCTCAGTAAATATTTCTTGTGATGGTGAATTAATGGCATGAGCTCATGGGAATACATTCAAACAGAGGTGTCAATCCGCCTATGCATATCTGAGCTTAAAAATATGCACACACATAACACATACAGGCAACCTCAAACATCCCCAGGGGGACACGAAGGACTCCCCTCATATACACAGCATTAAGATTTGTAAGAGGTGCACACAGATGTTGCCCTATACGGCGCCTGCATATTAATGCCCACTTCTGGCTGGGTGCAGTGGCTCATGCCTGTAATCCCAGCACTTTGGGAGGTCAAGGCGGGTGGATCACTTGAAGTCAGGGGTTCGAGACCAGCCTGGCCAACGTGATGAAATCCCGTCTCTACTAAAAATCGAAAAATTAGCCGGGTGTGGTGGCATGCACCTGTAATCCCAGTTACTCAGGAGGCTGAGGCAGGAGAATCACTTGAACCTGGGAGGCAGAGGTTGAAGTGAGCCGAGATCGCACCACTGCACTCCACCCTGGGCGACAGAGCAAGACTCCATCTTTTATTTATTTATTTATTTATGTATTCATTTATTTGTCTCATGGGCTGAGCGAGGGGACCCCGGCTGGTGGAGGGACAGCTGCGCCCTGCAGGCCGCTGCGTCCGGGCAGACCCCGGCCTCTTGTCGTGCCCCCGGCCCGCGACAACCCGGGCAGGATGGGCAGCAGGACGCGGCGGGGCATCCGCGGAGCCCGTCGGGAACGCTCTCTTGGCCTCCGGTGCCGGGCAGCGGTGGGTGCGGCACCCACAGTGCCCACAGCGCCCCCAGCCCTGGGACGTGGCTCCAGCCCGCCCCCAGGCAGGCGGCCTCCTTCGCCGGGAGCACGTCGCCTGGGCAACATGGAGAAACTTCAACTCTTAAAAAAACAAGACAGCCACCACAACAACAAAAAGAACAGATATAAGCCGGCTGTGGTGACTCGTGCCTCTGCTACTCCAGAGGCTGAGGTGGGAGGATCGATTCAACCAAGATACAGTGAGACTGTCTCTCAGAGAAAAAGTCAAACAAACAAAAAAAGAGGCTGTGTAAGAGGTGACTCTGGGGACAGTGGAAAAACACTAAGGTTTTCAAGTGGTGTTAAAAGCCACTAGGCCTTGGGGACCATTGAGCAATCTACAAAGCACGGAAGCCTAGATCCCTGAGCTCTGCCTGCCAAGTACCACCACAGCTAACATGGGAGACCTCCCCGACAGAGACTGAAATTTGCCTCCCGAGGAAACAAGTGACTACAGACATCTGTCCCAGGACAGTAAACAAGAAAGCAAGGTCTCACAAAAACAAAAACAGCTGACCACAGCATACAATCACTGAGACCGAGCCTGCGACTATAGGTGAAAAAAAAAAATGCTGTCCATTATTCATACCATGAAAGACCAGGGGAAAGTGGGAACGCAGTCCCCTACTACTGTTGTGGGAATCAGGAGAACAGAGAGACCAATGGGTGGAACAGGAGGATTTATTGACTGCACTGAGGCCCAGCAGATGAAAATCCAAAGGCTGAGCCCCGAACAAAGACAGGGCTTAACTTTATAGACACTTCTGAAAGGGGGTCGGCTAGTTTGAATGGCGCGGCGGGAATTTGATGGCATGAAACTCGGGGGCAGGCAAGAGGGCTTATAGAAGCAGAACAAAGGCAGCTAATCAAACTGTCACAGGTCTTGCAATGCAAGTATAGCTGGTGACCTTGCAGCTGCACTGAAGGGAAATCAAGAACTTAACAAAACTTGAATAATTAGAAATGGGAAGGGGGAAAGAGAAGGTAGTAAAGGCATTTGTTGTTTTTTCCTCTTATCTTTGTTGGGGCTTACTGTGTTGAGAGAGTCTCCGGAACTCACTCCTCGCGGCTCTGACTTTTCAGATCGTGTTACCGAGGATCTACTAGGGCTCTATCTATGGCAGGTCTTGGAGTCAGCCAAGTACAGGGAACCTGTCTTTTCCTTTTAACTTCTGCCTTATTACTACAAGTTGTACAGCACACCATGCCTGGTTTTCATCAGCAATGTTTCCTGAGGTTACAGAAAGATTTCTAATCCTGGGAGGAAACACTCCCTTGAAGCAAAAGTGTTCTCCCCCAAAAAATGCAAGGAGCTATCTTCTAGATAGCCAGGCAGATAATTCTCAGGTTTTGCCCCACAGAATCTCTATCTAAAATACAGCAGTGGTCATGCCTAGTGAAAAGTTTGAGGGAACTCGCCCAGTGTTGGGTTTCTTCAGAGCCATATATATAGATATAACCAAATATCCTAAAAGACACTGCCCTTCATCATTCCATGCTGTTAGACATTTACAGGACCATGGATGGTGATCTCCTCCAGACAAAAATAAATGCTGGTGCAGAATAGGTAAGTGTATTATAATTTGAGGACATCAGCTTTTGGGCATTTTAAACCATGGGTCAGACATGTTAGAGCAAGAGGCCAGGTTGATAGCAAGAGGGAGTGTTTTTCTTTTAATTTGTCAATAGCAAAGTGATGTTTGCCACTGTGATTTCAGAGTGAGGTGGCAATTTGTTGTTGTTTGGTTTTGTGGGTTTTTGTTTGTTTGTTTGTTTGTTTGTTTTTGAGACAAGGTCTCACTGTCACCCAGGCTGGAGTGCAGTGGCATGATCAGGGTTTACTCCTGCCTTGACCTCATGAATTCAAGCAAACCTCCTTACTAATCCTCCCGAGTAGCTGGGATTACAGGCACGTGACCCCACACCCTGGGGTGTGAACTGGGATTTGATGTTTTCAGTTGGCTCTCTAATGGAATAGGTTCCCTTACTCTTGTAGAATCAGATTGTCTTCATGATTATCATTCTTGTGTGCATTATATTTCTACTACCCTGCTATTTTTTTTTCTATTTTTCTTTTTTCTTTTTATTTTTTTCTTTGTGAGACAGAGTCTCGCTCTGTCTCCCAGGCTGTATTGCAGTAGCAGGATCTCAGCTCACTGCAACCTCCACCTCCTGGGTTCAAGCAATTCTTTTGCTTCAGCCTCCTGAGTAGCCACCTGGCTAATTTTTGTATTTTTAGTGGAGACAGGGTTTCACCATGTTGGCAGGCTGGTCTCAATCTCCTGACCTCAAGTGATTCACCCGCCTCAGCCTCCCAAAGTGCTGGGATTACAGGCATGAACTACCACACCTGGCTCTCAAACCATTTTAGTTAAGCAAAGACAGATTTGTCTGGCTTTTTAGTACAATGCTGAATTATCCTCCAATCTATATTTTTAGGAAGGACCTCGGGAATGGCAACTTGGAGATATTTGGTGAAAATGTGAACCTTTCATGTTCTGCTTCAGTCCCTTTTTGAAAATCCTTCCAATTTACCTTTTGCAACCAGTTAGTGGCCTTCCCTTCTTCACCAGCATGTGAGTTAATTGATAAAGATCAGAATATTTGGGCTCAAAGGTTTCAACAGTTAAGTCAAATTTTCTGCCAAAGCCTACAGGATCTTGGAGCCTGCTTTAGAAACAGAAGAGTGAAATGTATTTAAGTTTAGATCAGGGAAGTCCTTTATAATATTCTTAATTCACGTTTTGGTGAAGTGGTATACACAACGGTAGGCTCCCCTCTTCCTGTGGGTTTGGGTTTTACCTTGAAAGGGGCTGTCAGAACAGAAGTTTCAGGGAAGGGACCAGATCCCTGGGGACTTTCCTTAGGTGATGGTGATGGAAGAAGAGGCAAGGCAGGACAGGAAGGCTCAGGTAAGAAAGACTATGCAGGTGCAGGGGCAGGAGGAGAAGGAGCAGTTGGAGGTGAAAGAGACAAAGCCTCCTCAATATTTCTCAAATCAGAAAACATGACAGTCTACCTCCTTCAGCTTACTTCCTCAATGGAGGCAATTTTCTCAGTTCTTTTAGAAATTTTAGAAATTTAGACATTTCTAGGTCTCATTGGAATTAAGTCTCCTATTTAATTTGTCTGGTTCAAAAACCAAATTTCTCTCTCTCTCTCTGTTTTTTTTTTTTTTTTTTTGAGACAGGGTCACCCAGACTGGAGTGCAGTGGTGTGATCTCGGCTTACTGCACTCACCACTTGCTGCATGACAGCCAATAAGTCGAGAGTTGAGGTGTAGGGGCAGGGAAGGTGACTTTATTCCAGAGAGCCACCAAACTGAACAGATGGTGAAGTAACATCCTGAAGAACCATCTTAAATTAATACTATTTTCCGGCTCCTTGTACATTAGGGAAGGGAGGAAGAAGGAGGCGATTGAGGTGAAGAGGTCTGACAATGACAGACATGGGCTGCAGTGAGAGCCCAAGGGGATGGTGAAAATTGTTGGTCCTTTGTCAGGTCACACTTCTCTTATAAATCTTCAGCATAACACTGTTACTTGTGTATACAACCTCTCTATCTTCTCAGGAGTTAGTTTGGGGAAGGGATTATTATCATCTGTGCTTTAAAGTTAAACTGTAAGCTAAATCCCTCCCATAGATAGCTTGGCCTATGTGCAGAAATAAGAAAAAGCAGTTAGCCTGGAAGATGTCACCACACGGTAGGAAGGGTTAGGAGCAAAATGCAGTCAGTCATGCTAGGCCTCCTTTTCATTGCCATATATTTAATGTATTTGAACACGTAAGTTTAATTTTTTATACTTTATTTTTATTTATTTATGATTTTTTTGAGACAGAGTCTCACTCTGTTGCCCCCCCAGGCTGGAGTGCAATGGCGTGATCTTGGCTCACTGCGACCTCTGCCTCCTGAGTTCAAGCAATTCTCCTGCCTCAGCCTTCTGAGTAGCTGGGATTACAGGAGCCCCCCACCATGCCCGGCTAATTTTTGTATTTTTAGTAGAGACAGGGTTTCACCATGTTGGCCAGGCTGGTCTCAAACTCCTGACCTCGGGCTCCCAAAGTGCTTGGACTACAGGCATGAGCCACCATGCCCAGCCTAACCAAGATTATTAAACCATTCTAATTTGTCAAAAGAGTCACACTGATTTTTAAAAAATAATGTAATGGGCCAGGTGCAGTGGCCTATGCCTGTAACCCCAGCGCTTTGGGAAGCCATAGCAGGAGGATCATGAGGTCAGGAGTTCAAGACAGCCTGACCAACATGGTGAAACCCCGTGTCTACTAAAAATACAAAAATTAGCCAAGTGTGGTGGTGTGTGCCTGTAATCCCAGCTACTCAGGAGGCTGAGACAGGAGAATTGCTTGAACCCGGGAAGCAGTGGTTGCAGTGAGCCGAGATTGCACCACTGCACTCTAGCTTAGGCGACAGAGTGAGACTACATCTCAAAATAAATAAATAAATAAATAAATATAATAATAATGTAATGAACTTTTTCATGTCTTTATATAAAAAATATTACATTATTTAAATTGTTCAAAAGCATCAAAGATTCCTCTCTGCTATCAACTTCATTTATTTTATTGTACCAAACTACCAGGACCATTAATTTAATCTACAGCTAAATCTATTATTTTTTCATGTTAGAAATTCAACAAGAAAATTTTTCCCTAATGAAACCTCACATTTCAAGCATAAGGAGCCTGGGCGAGTTGGCTCACACCTGTAATCCCAGCACTTTGGGAGGCCGAGACAGGTGTATCACTTGAGGTCAGGAGTTTGAGACTAGCCTGGCAAACATGATGAAACCCTGTCTCTACTAAACATATAAAAATTAGCTGGGCGTGGTGGCGTGTGCCTATAATCCCAGCTACTCTGGAGGCTGAGGCAGGGAAATAGCTTCAACCTGGGAGGCAGAGCTTGCAGTGAGCTGAGATGGCACCACTGCACTCTAGCCTGGGCTACAGAGCAAGACTCTGTCTCAAAAATAAATAAATAGATAAATAAGCATAAGTAGTAAAAAAATAACATAAATTTAAAAATAAGGCACAGGGTCTTGCTCTGTTATCCAGGCTAGAGTGCAGTGGGGCAATCATAGCTGACCAACTTGGAACTTCTGGGCTCAGGCAATCCTCCTGGCTCAGCTTGCCTTGTATTTTTTTAGAGATGATGTCATGCCCTGTTCCCCAGGCTGGTCTCCAACTGCTGGCCTAAAGCAATCCTTCCGCCTCAGCCTGTTGAGTTGCTGGGAGTACAGGTGCAAGACATGCAGCCTAGCATTGTAGTAAAACAATTTTCAACAAATTCTTAATTTTCTTTCCTTTTTTTTTTTTTTTTGAGTTGGGAGTCTCATTCTGTCACTCAGGCTGGAGGGCAGTGGCACAATCATAGTTCACTGCAGCCTGAGATTACAGTCATGCATTATCATGCCCGGCCAACTTTAAAAAATTAGCTAATACTTAAAAATTTGTAGAGACAGGGGTTTCACTGTGTTGCCCAGGCTGGTCTCCAACTCTTAAAGTGCTGGGACTGTAGCTATGAGCCACCATACCTGGCTTAATTTTCTTATTTTAATTTTATATAAGTGAGTATTATTGTTCCTAAGATAATTGGGGCAGTGACTCCTTTACAATTTTAGAGATCTAATTTGTCTATTCACTTCACTGAAAGAGTATGCCAATTTGTTTCATGAGAAAATATCCTATATTTGAAAAGAAGGAAAATTCCTTCCACCAAACTAGGGTGCATTCTAAAGAAACGAATTGTTCTAAGTAACATCACTTAAAGTGCAAACAGAGGCAATGGTATCTATTAACAATGTTTATCAGTGAAGGAAATAAACTGAAAATATGAACATCATTAGATCCTCGGAGGGCCTTCATTGCTGAAAATCTGAGTAATATTGTGATACTCTTTTGAGTCTGGCAGGACATTCTCTTTCCAGGGCATGTAACAGTGGGTGAATAATTTCTTTTCATTCATTTCCATTAAGGGCTGAACTTCCTTAATGTTCTGGAGATTATTAAATTTGATTTGTATAGTTGTGAAAAGTACTCATATTGCTGATTCCATTGCTTATATGTGATCATATAAATCTTTTCTCTTTCTGTAGTGTGGTTTAAACTTAATCCTTAAAGGGCATGTATTTGAATTTTTCAGCTGGTTAGAAACCTGAATATACCAATCAAATAAAACTGCTCCTTACATGCTACAGATTTAGTTTTCTTCCTGTACTAAGATGTCTTTTAGATACAGTAAATTCGTTAAAGCCAAGAGCCCCTAGGAAATGAAGTTGGGTGGGAGGGGGGACATCGAGTAGTAAGATCACTCTTGTAACAGAGATGCCACTCTTGCAGATATTGACAAAAATTGGGCCTATAAAATGTTTACCAAACATTGGAAAGACAAGATCTGAACAACTTATCATTGCTGCAGTCTCAAATATCAGGAAATGCCATTATTCTCAGGACAATAAATAGACAATAAAGAAGACTCACAGACCAGATTAGCTGTCATGTATCACCAAACAGGGACTGGATCCTTGTTAACACGACCCAACAGAGATTGTCCCCAGAAATTCACTTCATAACCTCAAAACCAAAAACCCACACTGATGGCAAAAAATAATGATGCAAAGAATGAGAGAGAAAGAGAGAGAGAGAGAGAGAGAGAGAGAGAGAGAGAGACCTGTCCTATAGCCATACTCAGTGGGTAAAAGCCAAAGAGCTCAATTTCTGCTCATGATACTTAATAGAACATAGGGAACATGAGCCAATAGCTCAATGGGTTCAGATCTGCACCAAGTGCCTGTTGGACGCAGGATTCTACTGTCTCCAATAATATGTCTCAGATGCACTAATTTTTTTTCTCTTTTTGAGACAGAGTCTTACTCTGTTGCCCAGGCTGCGGTGCAATGGCGCGATCTCGGCTCACAGTAACCTCCACCTCCCGGGTTCAAGCGATTCTCCTGCCTCAGCCTCCCGAGTAGTTGGGATTACAGACACACACCACTGCGCCCGGCAATTATTATTATTATCATTATTATTATTATTGTGCGTGTGTATGTGTTTTTAGTAGAGACGGAGTTTTGCCATGTTGGTCAGGCTGGTCTTGAACTCCTGACCTCAGCTGATCAAAAGTAGGTGAGGTCAGAAAACATACCCTGGGAGAGGCTGGCACAATGCCCAGAACCGCTATCGCTAGGCCTGGGGTTTTCCTCTGTAGTGGAATACTAGTGTTCATGTAGTGCAGGGACAAAACCAATTAGATAGTTCTGGGAGTTAAAAAGAGATGATTTACAGTGCCATTTGAGAAGGGGTATTAAGGAATTTGCCAGGGCACTGATGCGTGTCAGGTGTAAACCTCAGGTTGAGAGAGAGCTAAGTATTTTCTGTCCATGAAGGTGATAAGCGAGGGCCTGAAGAAAGAGGGACTGGGGAGGACACTGGCACCAGAAATAGGAAAGGGCTTCTTGGGGGTGGGAAGGATGGGTCACGGTGCTATCTATAAAGTTGGCTGGCAGTGGATGTAGGATGTGGGAGTGAGACATCAAACATGAAGCAGTCGCTTAAAGTCTAAAGAAACACTAGATATATGAACTGCAGGAGATAGTAGGGAAACTGGACCGGCTCCTCATAAAACTTCCCGCCTTCTATCTCCGGGAGGATCGCAGGGCATTTCCGCCAAGACAGGTGAGACTGCGGTTCTGACCTGCGGGCCTCCATGCATATGCGCTAGGGCACCTGGGGGCCGGCAGAGCCGTTCCCCTACGCAAAGTAAGAGTGTTATGTCTACAACCCAACGGGGACACTGAGAGCCCCAAAGGCCCTGCTTTCTTCCCAGAGAACAGCGCCCATCTGCATAATTTCTACCTGGCTCTATGAGGTGAGAACACACTCCCCGCTAGCACAGAAATCCTACAAACTCCTGTGGGGGCTGCGCTTGGAAGCAGAGGCTGTGTAAGAGGTGACTTGGGGGGTAGGGAAAAACACGAAGATTTTCACACAGGGTGAGAACCCAAGAGACTGGAGACCACGGACCAATCCCTGCAAAAAGCAGCCAGGGTAGAAATGGAAGAGCTGAGCGGACTTCACGATAGCTAATTTGTGTTACAAAGCCGATACGGCTGATGCTCGCTTTTTCTCCTATGGCGTGCAGGCCACATGTTACTTCTTATTCCCCAGGCCTCCACTGTAGGATTAACAACTAAGACACAAACCAATACGAAAAAAGACATGACCCTTGGCGTACGGTCTGTTTTTGAAACTCCAGAAAGTCAGGGGAAAGCGCGAACGCAGTCCCCCACTACCACAAATTATGCAGTCGAGTTTCCCACATTTGGGGAAATCGCAGGGGTCAGCACATCCGGAGTGCAATGGATAAGCCTCGCCCTGGGAAAACCACCTTCGTGATCATGGTATCTCCCCTGCCAGGTAAGTATGAGATCTTCGGGCTCTGCCCCGACACAGCCTCATACGCCTCACTCTTTACACACACGGTCACTTGCCCCGCGCACTCCCGAGCCCTTTCCAGCCCTGACACACAGCTGGGATTCTCACTTCCGATCCGCGGTCCTGAACCCGCTCCCAGGGCACGGGAACTCCTTCGTGGCGAAGCAGCAAGTGGCGAAGCAGCAGCCTCTGCGCTGCCTCATCTACATAGAAGTCGCCCTGTCCGTGATGTCACCGACAGTGCCTTGCCCAGTCCCCGTCTGCCTTTCTGCCACTCAACCGACCAATCTGCTGCCAGAGCCGCCAAGGGGAAGTGACGTCTGCCTCTCCCTTTTTCCCTCCCGCCCCTGCGTCTGTTCTCTCCCAAAGAAGCTGGTCCTTAGCCTGTGTTAAGGAGCAACCTTTCGGTGGCCAGATGGAGCCGGGGCATCCTTCTTCAAATAATGGCTTTTAATTCGCAGACTAGAATGTTTCGGATTACAAAAGAAACCGGTTCTCTTCACATCCTTATCCTTGTGATGCAGCATTCCGCTTGCAATTGGAAGCCGTTTAATATCAGAGAGAAACCATATTTATGAAAGTAAAGAGGCTGCTTAGATGACTGCAAACCAGCCGTCCTTACTGGTTTTATCACTGGTAATGTTATAAAGACAGTTGTCCAGTTTCATGAATCTTGTAGGTTTTTTTTTTTTTGATGTTGTTTTTTTTTTCAAAAATCCGTATTGTAGAAAAATATGCTGTCCCAGAAGAGATGATTGGACACTCTCAAGCGTGGTGCTGGACTTTGTCATCTCTTGCACAGCCATCTCCACACCTTAGTGCTTACCTCATGTTAGTTTTTTATATTCTGCAAAGACGAAACCAAAATAATCCAAATTTGACACAAATACCTGGGCTACATCTTATTTGAGATGTTTAACAAATGTCTGGATCATCTTTTCTTATATATTACGCAGGAAACACTGTGAAGTAAGCAAAGTTGGAATGCCCAAGTGAAAGACCATTTGAATATTTACAAGTAGATTTCAGACAGGAATACTACAGGGTGGTCACAGGATAACAAATTCTAGGCAGCAGATTTACATGACTTGAGGCTGTGGGCTGTTAAGACGCTGAAAAACCAGGGTGTGGACCAAGCTGGCTAAGGCTGAGTGGACCCAACGTGGTGCTGGATTGGATGGAGGTTTTACCTAGGCCCTCATTATATGCTCATTAACATACTAAATCACACACCCGCCAGTGCCATGACAGTTCTGAGACCAGTGTTTGATGTAAAAATGGCACCACAGTTCCAAGAAATCTCCACCTTTACCCAGGAATTTTCGTGAATATTCCAATTCTTGGTTAAAGAAACCCATCAAGATGAAACCCCAGAACCCATTATTCTCTCTTGGGTATGCCCAAGCTCCCCTTTCTTGAGTGTGTACTTTTTGCTTTGCAATAAATCTCTTCTTTCACTATCTGCTGACTCATCTTTGACTTTGTTCTCACGATGGTGTCAAGAGCCTGGACACCACGGCTGGGGTCGAGATCCCACCAGTGTCCAGGGACCTCCCCCAGCCCACCAGTATCAGATTCTATTCCATTGCTCAAATCACAAAACATCGAGTGGAGAGTTCTCCTTGGAGATCATAAAGTAAAGATTCTGTGGCATGGTGGCCAGTTAGGCCACTGGAAGCATGGCAAAATATTGAAAATGAGGGATTAGGTGACAGTGTAGTAACTGCTGAATACTAAATACTTGATCCAGGCCCCATTCCCTGGAGATTGACAGGGAGACACATTGTCCAGGTAGTAGTGGAGAAATGTTTTCTGGGTATCTGACCAGCCTTTGTGGAAAGAACTGGCACCATCCTGCAGATGTAACCGCCTGATGGGTTCTTCCTGACCAATGTACACAAAAACTCAATTCATGGAGACCATGGCACTGCAGGAAACGGTTTCATTGACACAGGCCAGCCACGACATGTGGGAGACAGAGTTATTACTCAAAGCAATCTCACTGAAGGCTTGGAGGTAAGGGGTTTTTCAAAGATAGTTTGGTGGGGAGGGGGCTAGGGCTTGCGTGGTGCTGATTGTTGGGGATGAAATCACAGGGGCGTGGAAAATGGCCCTCCTGCATGGAGTCAGCTTCTGGGTGGGGGCTAAGGGACTGGTTGATTTTCGGGCCAGATGGTGCCTTCCAGCAGTCAGAAATGCAAAAGCCTGAAAAGACATCTCAAGAGGCCAATCTTAGGTTCTACAATAGTGATGTTCTTCACAGCAGTAATTGGGGAAGCTGCCAATCTTGTGACTTCTGGAATAATGGCTGGTAATTATTTAACGAGGCATACATCTTAGTAGAAATCAGGCCCCTTTCATCCTTCTAACTTGGTGGCCTTTCATTCATTTTACAGGGGTAATTTAGTTTTGGGGAAGGTTATCATTTAAAGCAGCCTTTTTGGCTGTCCTCAACCTTTTTGTCACCAGGGACTGGTTTCATGGAAGACAATTTTTCCATGGAAGGGGGTGGTGGATGTTTTCCATATGAAACTGTTCCACTTCAGGTCATCAGGCATCAGTTACAGTCTCATAAGGAGTGCGCAATCTGGATCACGCACATGAGCTGTATCACCACTCAGCTCTCACTCCAGCCTCAGGTATCAGCAAGACCTCACCAAAGATTACTGTTTAATTGTCTCTGTGTGTGTTTTTGTTTGTTTCAGGTAACAACTAATGTTGGAATTATGAAAAGCTCTTCTCTACTTTTAACAAAGCTTAGTCACAAACAGTTCCCCAGTTGATGAGAAAAACTAAAACAACAGAACAATTGAAAGTCCGAATCTGCAAGTTCATCTCTGAGAACCGAATTTTACAGCCACTCCAGATTTGTACTCCAAATGGATAGTTTGATTGTAGAAATCACTTCCCTTCAGTCTGCCAATGTGATAACTGCCCAAGAGAAAGTGATGCCTACATTCGTAGATAATCCCCTTTCCCCCATCCTATATATAACTGGAGTCAACAGTAGCTGGAGGAAAATGGCAAGAACTTGGAATCAAGATTAGGTTAGAATAACACTGCTGTAGACAGTTTATCAGCTCTTCAGCATATGTCCATTTTCCTTGAAGGATGAGCCTTTAGAAACCTCTGACAATAAAGTTTATTTTACATCCATTCCCTTGCCTATGATTTTTTCATACAAATCACAATTATAAAACTTTCTTGCTCCAGCTAAAAGCAAGAAACTCAATCATGAATGTGTTCACTAAATATATACCACAGAATGATAGCAACCAGTCTGAATGCATCACTTGATTCCAAAATTAAATGTTAGCCCTCAGTGGTGCAACTACATGTATCTCCAACTCTGGAAGCCACAGGCAACATATTCCTGTTTCCTTGCAGGGAAACAGATCTATAAGCAGGGCGGCAGTCTCACACATGTACATTCCTGGGAAACCCAAGGAAACAATGATAGTGACGCAGGGCAGGCAAGCCCCCAAACTGAAAGAGTTTTGCTAATGTCGCGATTGGCTTTCTATGTTATTTGAAGACTGAGATCTCCATGAGGAATGAAGACAGGTAATGCCTAAGGCTGAGGCATGACCTCACTGGGTCACCTTAGCTGTGAAGTGAGGTCAGTTGTCACCTTGCAAACCTTTTGGTAATCCAAATCTTGGAATGATTTCTTTAAGAATTTAGACACTTCCAGTACTTTTCCTGTCCTTGTGGGGAAAGCTTCTATCCACCTGGTGAAAGTGTCTATAAATACTAGCAAATCTTGTAGTTCCCTGTAAGGTGGCATCTGGGTTAAGTCTGTCTGCCAGTCTTCACCATGGTATGTTCCTTGGTGTTGTACAGGTTTAAGCAGGGATCGGGGTATGGGGTGGCTTCCTGAGTGGTAACCCTTTTTATAGTTTAGAACAGTCCCTTCCCGAAGAATATTTAGGAAACTAATTTGAATGGAAAATCCCGTCCCAAATGTGAGGAATCATGAAAATGTTTAATTATTTCCCATCTGTCAGCCTCAGGAATAGAGTTTGTTCTTTTGTAGCAACCATCCAGAGGGGTCTCCCTGGAAGCCTTTTACTCAGTCCCTTTAATTTCCTTAGGGGTATAGTATGGTGTCACTGACACGGATGCAGTACCTGGTAGTAGCGCAGCAGCTTGAAATACCAGGGTTTCCTTAGTTGTGGCCTTAGCTGCTCTTTCCACCAGGGAATTTCCTCTAATAATAAAAGTGTCTCCCTTCTGGTGTCCCCTGCAGTGAGTAATTGTTATTTCTTTGGGAGTTGGACAGCATCTAAAAGTTCCAAGATCTGAGTAAAGTCGTATGGGGGATCCCTTGGCTCTTGATAGTCCCCTTTCCTTCCCTATGGCTGCATGAGCATGGAGCACCAGGAACCCATATTTAGAGTCAGTCAACACATTGACTCTTGAGGGTTCATCCTCCCCGCAGGCAACTGGAGATGTATTGTCCCCAGAGGGTACAATAGAGAATCTTCCGTCACAAGTCAGCAACCAGCATATGTGAGTGACAGCATGTGTCCCACTCAGAAATGAGAGTGTATTAGTCCGTTTTCATGCTGCTGACAAATACATAACAGAGTCCAGGACCAAAAAGAGGTTTAATTGGACTTACATTTCCATATGACTGGGGAGGCCTCAGAATCATGGCGGGAGGCAAAAGGCACTTCTTACAAGGCAGCAGCAAGAGAAAATGAGGAAGAAGCCAAAGCAGAAACCCCTGAGAAACCCATCAGATAGTGAGACTTACTGGCTATCAGGAGAATAGCACAGGAAAGACCCGCCCCCATGATTCAATTACCTCCTCCTAAGTCCCTCCCACAACACATGGGAATTCTGGGAGATACAATTCAAGTTGAGATTTGGGTGAGGGCACGGCCAAACCATGTCAGAAAGGGATGAAGTGACAGCATATCCTGATGTGTGTGATGGTTTCATGAGTTATTATCTATTTCAAAATTTATTGCAATGTGTGGAAAAGAACAAGGACTTGTACTATCTGACTTTAAGGTTTACTATAAGCTATCAGACACAAGGCATCAAGAGTGACAAACGGATAAACAGCCTGAGTTAGAAAACCTGAAATTGATCCACAGCTATACGGTCAATAAATGGGTTTTCAGTAAAAGCAGTTCAATAAAAGAAAATAAATCATTTCAATTAATGAACTTCTATATGGATGTGGGGAGACCAACAATGTTATTCTCCCTCACGTTACACACAAAAGTAATTTCAGCCGCATTACACACCAAAACTTAAAAGTTAAAGATATAAAGCATTTCAAGGATACTTTGTGACTTGTTGGCAGGCAAAGATTAGCCTACCAACAAGCAGGACACAGAAAAAATACATATATAAGAAAGACATGATAAATGAGACTTCATCAACATTAGCCACACCTTCTCATCAAAAGATACCACTAAGAAAGCGAAAAGGCAAGCAAGCCACAGACAGAGAGAAAATACCCACAAAACGTATCTGACCTCCACATCCTGCAATTATAATTATAGTGGTCTGGTACACTGCACCCAGTTTCTGCTGGATGGAGTATTTTCTGGGTGTCTCTAATGAGTAAGAGAGGGCCCCATGGGATATTCCTTCAGTTCCCAGATGAACAGTGGGAAAGACTCCACATTGACCAACCTCGGGGGCCTGAAAACCCAGGTCCTCAAGGAGGGTAGAGTATACCTGGACCCTGACCCAGACCCCTGGATGGGCTGTGCCAAGAGACCCAGCAAGGGAAGGGATTTCCTCCTGCCTCAGGTTCTCTGTTCTTCTGTGGTTAGACCACCTGAACCCAACTCCCTCCCCAAGCACTAGAGATGGGCTTTTCCAAGGGCTGGGGATCTTGCTGTCCTGAGGACAGCTGAGCAAGGGGGTCGAGGAGGAGCTTGGGTTGTGGAGGAGAGGAAACCGGGTAAGATGCGTGAAGCAGTTGGCTATACCAGGCACAGAGAGGACCCGCTGGGACCCAAGAGCCTGCATGTGAAGCCAGGCCTTGGGCCACCTTGTCTGTCAAGGGGGTGCCTACTTCCATGGTGTCTTCAAAGGGACTGTGGAAAGAGAGGCCTTCAGCCCACACCTCTGAATGCTTTTCCACCACAGCATGCCCTGTGGCCTTTATCCTGCTGGTGTGGAACAGTCAGACCCCTGCAGGGCTGCAGAGCCTCTGTACTGGGCGGCATCCCAGCCTGAGTGCCAGAGCTCAGAGGGCAGGCCCCCGAGCAAGCAGAGAGGAGGGCACCTTTTGGACAGAACGTGTGGGACAAGAGCGATGGCTCATCCGTTCAGGTTCCTCACAAAATGAGAGTCAGGAAGATCAGGGCGCCGGCCTGATTTCCCAGGCAGGGCTGAAAGCAGACAACCGGAGGGAGAGCAGCACCTGGGCCAATGAGGTAGAAGACAGAAGACCACAGTGTACTCCTGCCCTCAACCTCACCCCCTCCCACCCACATCCTCCACACTCCCTGACCACCTTCCTCAGAAGTGTAATAGGAATCCAGATTCCCCCTGGCCTGGTTGCTGCAGGAGGCACAGTAGCCTGATGGAGCCTGAGGCAGGTGTGGGAAGATGTGGATTGTCTAACTGGAGGTTGGGAGTCCAGGGTGTAGAAGCAGCTTGGAGTGCAGGATTTGGTGGTACGTGTGTGGCAGTAGGCAAAAGAAAGAGACAACTGGCCGGGCGCGGTGGCTCACGCCTGTAATCCCAACACTTTGGGAGACCGAGGCGGGCGGATCACGAGGTCAGATGAAGACCACGGTAAAACCTCGTCTCTACTAAAAATACAAAAAAGTAGCCGGGCGTGGTGGCGGGTGCCTGTAGTCCCAGCTACTGGGGAGGCAGAGGCAGGAGAATGGCGTGAACCCGGGAGGCGGAGCTTGCAGTGATCTGAGATCGCGCCACTGCACTCCAGCCACTGCACTCCAGCCTGGGTGACAGAGCAAGACTCTGACTCAAAAAAAAAAAAAGAAAAGAAAAGAAAAGAAAAGAAAAGAAAGAGACAACTGAGCCACTTGAAATACCAAGAGAATTCAAATTTAGAAAATTCCCAGGGAACTATGCGTGCAGGCACTCACCAGATCCACAAAACAGCTGCTGCATAACTGCATGTTGCAAGCAAGCCCTAAATTGCTGATTTTGAAACAGCCTGATGGGTTCACAAAGACAATTTCTGAATAGTCGTAAGAGCAGAGGTGCACTAAAGCCACTGTGCCCCGCAGGCCCGGATCCCAGTAAGTTCTTTAAGGAGTAAGTCTTACTTCCATTTATGGAAGATTTTTGGAGTTGTCCTTGGTCACCCCCAGGAATGTTTTGGTTAGGAGTAGAATTTTAGATGTCATCAATTTAAAAATTAAAACTAAAACGCTGGAACTCATAGAGAGATAAAATTAAGAGAATACATTCACTATCCTGAGTAGAAAGATTTCTTATAGAACATAACAGGCTTTAAAAATAAAGAAAAAAGGCCGGGCGCGGTGGCTCACGCCTGTAATCCCAGCACTTTGGGAGGCCGAGGCGGGTGGATCCTGAGGTCAGGAGATCGAGACCATCCTGGCTAACAAGGTGAAACCCCGTCTCTACTAAAAATACAAAAAATTAGCCGGGCGCGGTGGCGGGCGCCTGTAGTCCCAGCTACTCGGGAGGCTGAGGCAGGAGAATGGCGTGAACCCGGGAGGCGGAGCTTGCAGTGAGCCGAGATTGCGCCACTGCAGTCCGCAGTCCGGCCTGGGCGACAGAGCGAGACTCCGTCTCAAAAAAAAAAAAAAAAGAAAAAATATGGCAAAATTTCATCTAATTAAATGCTTTGAGAACTAAAATTAAAATCCAAAGCCACTGGACAGACTGCTTCTTGGCCAAGGAGACCCCAGAGAAGTCTTAAATACTGAGTTCCTGCCCAGTAGTTGGAATCTCAGACACCTCTCCTTATACTCTCTCCCTTTGTGGTTTAGACACAACTGACCAGCATTATTGTTAAAATAGAGATCCTAAGACTGACAGAACAGACTCCTTGCAGTAGGAAGATACGGTATGATAAACGAGACCTAAGGCCACGCCAGGCAAGGTGGAGTCATGCGCCCCTCAACTTAAAGAATAAACTATGTTCTAATTGCCACAGGTCTTTTTCTTCTTCCTTTTTTTCTCTAGCTAAACAAGCACTGGCCTTGAGATAAGCAATGCTGAAGCACTTGCAGCTCACCCATTACCATAAACTGACTGAGCCCTCCCTACACAAGCCATAACTACAGCTTTGATTGGACAAGAGACTGATTTCAGTAACTTCCCCTTGATAAGAGAGCACTGGCTGTGGACGGGTTCTGGACGGTTTACAGAGGCTGTGCACTTGACTGCCTTTGTGTCCCTGCTTCCCCTTTTGAAGCATAGGGCCTAATTATAATGTATTTAAATGTTGTCTCCACCCCAAAGTGAACATGGGTTGCATGTAACAGGCATGTTTACTCAGCATGCATGCAGCAGGATCCCTTCATGAATATTCAGAGCTCCTCCTATTCCCTGTTGAATATGTATATGTGGCCCACCACATCAACATAAATCCCTGTTCCCCCCTCCCCTCCCTGGAAACGTACTTTTCAGGTTTCAGCAGCAAGAGGGTATGCCTCCCTGTCTGTCAGAATGGCCACCTTGCAGGCTGTAACCCTTTATAAAAAATAAAATCTCCCTTCTAAATTTATAAATTGTGTGATTTTTCAGTTGACAGCTTTCAGTCAGACTTTTCACTGACTGGGAAAAGTCATTTGCAATATATTTATTTTAAAAATGACTCCTCAGGATACAAAATTCTTGTGCAAAAATCACAAGCATTCTTATACACCAATAACAGACAAACAGAGAGCCAAATCATTAGTGAACTCCCATTCACAATTGCTTCAAAGAGAATAAAATACCTAGGAATCCAACTTACAAGGGATGTGAAGGACCTCTTCAAGGAGAACTACAAAACACTGCTCAACAAAATAAAAGAGGATACAAACAAATGGAAGAACATTCCACGCTCATGGGTAGGAAGAATCACTATCGTGAAAATGGTCATACTGCCCAAGGTAATTTATAGATTCCCTGCCATCCCCATCAAGCTACCAATGACTTTCTTCACAGAATTGGAAAAAACTACTTTAAAGTTCATATGGAACCAAAAGAGAGCCCGCATCGCCATGTCAATCCTAAGCCAAAAGAACAAAGCTGGAGGCATCACGCTACCTGACTTCAAATGATACTACAAGGCTACAGTAACCAAAACAGCATGGTACTGGTACCAAAACAGAGATATAGACCAATGGAGGAGAACAGAGCCCTCAGAAATAATGCCACACATCTACAACTATCTGATCTTTGACAAACCTGACAAAAACAAGAAATGGGGAAAGGATTCCTTATTTAATAAATGGTGCTGGGAAAACTGGCTAGCCATATGTTGAAAGCTGAAACTGGATCCCTGTTCTCATTGCTTGCACCTGGGAGACACAGGTTGCAGTGAACTGAGATTGAGCCATGGCACTCCAGCCTGGGTGACAGAACGAGACTACATCTCAATAATAATAATAATAGTAATAATTTACTGTTCTCATAAAAATTAGCGGATGGGGAATGGAGGCAAGCCGGTGCAAACCATGACAACTAGTTTAGATTTTATTGTCAACTCATGAAAAACTCGTTCTCATTTTGTGTTTTTAAAAAATTCCACTGATACAGCCGTTTTCTCTACCGAAAAAGACTATAACCGCATTATTTCATCACTGGAAGCTACAGACAGAGGGCCCTTGAGAGGCGGCATCTTCACCTACGGGAATGTTTCCTGCTCAATTGTGAGACAAAGAGCATGTCCAAGTTTTCCTATAGGCCAGGCCGCCCCCTAGTTTCTGCGCTGTGGGCTAAACTCCAGAAGCTGGCGCCCTTCAGGGCCAGAGGTTTCCTGTGCTCTCTGGAGGCTGCTAGGATTAAAGGCAAAGCAAACGACAGGTCTATTAGCCACAGTTGCAGGATAGAAAACACTACTGTGACTCAGATTAGAACAGAGGTTGTGGCAACCACAACTACAAGTATTAACCACTACACGACCACAAAGTCTGCTGACAACCATTGCACTTCTTCTATTTTTTTAATGTAAAAACACTCACACTATTTTATCTGGTTTATTCTAGGACGTCCGCAGATTTTTGTGCTTTTCTGTCTTTCATGTGCTTCTCCCTTTCTCTCCCCATTCTGCTACATAATTTAAAAAAAATCTCTTCTCTCAGGATCCAGCCACTGCCTCTACAACAAGCCTCCTGGGAGGTCTCTTTGTCCCATTGACATCTCTGCCTTCTTTCGCTGCTTTTTTTTTTTTTTTTTTTTTTGACGGAGTCTCGCTCTGTCGCCCAGGTGGAGTGCAGTAGCGCGATCTTGGCTCACTGCAACCTTTGCCTCCTGGGTTCAAGCGATTCTCCTGCCTCAGCGTCCCAAGTATAGCGTCCCAAGAATAGCAGGTGCATGCCACCACATTCGGCTAATTTTTGTATTTTTAGTAGAGATGGGATTTTTCCATGTTAGCCAGGCTGGTCTTGAACTCTTGACCTCAAGCGATCCATCCGCCTTGGCCTCACAAAATGCTGGGATTACAGGCGTGTGCCAACGTGCCCGGCCAAATTTCAGGCCAACACCTGTTGACACACATTGCCAGACACACGGAATCCCTCGCGGAACACCGATGGGCCCACAAAACACGCGGGGGCTGCGGTCGCTGATGATGTGAGCAAATTCGATTCACGGTGTCTGGGGTACAGCCCTGAGGGTTCACTGGCCACCTCTGCGCAAGGACCAGTCTCCGCCGCTCCCCTCATCTCCACGCAGATTCTTGCCCACACACCTCCCCTTTCTTTGGGCCGATGACAACTCTTGGACCTCTGAGGTGACTGTCCTGCCCGCAGCTTCTCTCCTTCCAAGAGTGTCATTTCTTGATCCTCTCCATAGTGGCTCAACGGTAAGCCCAAGGTCCAGCACGCGAATCAGGAAACTGATGGTTCTTTGGGTTTGCAGGGATCCTTCCAGTGAATAAATGAAAGTAACAGGTACCAGTATCAAAACTGCAGTGACTCACCAGAGACACTTCATGCTTGCCAGCTTGCTAAGCTGTTTGAGTCCAACAACTGCATGGGGTCCTGGGTTAGTCTCCTGCCGCTACTTTGGTGAGTGTTGTTGTCACTTTACCTTGTGGTGGCCAAGCCCCTAAATGCACTCTTGGGTTATGCAGTATAATTTTCAGCGTAAAAGACAAGTAAAGAGCCATAGCGAAGTGAAAAACAACCACGTGCAGTGGCCGGGAATTGAACCCGGGTCTCCCGCATGGGAGGCGAGAATTCTACCACTAAACCACCAACGCCTCTCTGGAACTACCCCCTGGAGGATAACAGAAAAGAGTAACCACAAAGATTTAGAAACTGTTCTAAGCGGTTTTTTCAAGTGTCGACTAAAAGCTAACAAAGACATCCAAACCAAATGTGTTTTTATAGGAAACTTTTATTAGACAACGTTATAAATATCAAAATAGCTCATTTGTCGGATCAAACTCTTAACTCTGAAAAAGGTCTTTCTACCTGCATTACAAACCCCTATAATAAAACATCAGAAATTCATTCATGTTTCTTTTTTCTAATCCTAAATCTTCCATCATCAACCTCAAACTGCTGCCTTAGAGGTTCTGAGAAGGTAACCTAACTGGTAGTTTAGGTAAGTAAAGTTCAAATCCAGGGAGGAAATAAGAAGCAGAAGCAGAATTAGAAGAAAGACGAAATAAAAGGACAGAACCACGGTAGAGATAATGAAGAAACAAAGGTTGGTCCACTAAGTTAGTCTTTTGTCGTTGGTTTTTTTTGGCAAAAGAGTAATGATCGGTCTCGTAATCATTATAATACTATTATTTGTCTGCTTGAAGATGTATAAAGCATTTGAAGGAAATGTGATGTGAAAAGATGAAGAACGCTTGCCGTCAATGTTTCATTGTTTGGGAGAATCCCATTTCCTAAGTTAATATGCTTTGATGTGTTAGCTATGTAAGCAGTAGACTAGTTTAAGGAAATATTGACGGTCAAATATTAACATATTAGTCTTTTGATGAAGTTCAAATATTAGAGAGATTTCTTTCCTCAATTTTCAATGGAGACATTCAACTGAAGAGACAAATCCAGAGTTTTCTCCACATGTTGGGTCTGGGAGTCATTATGACTTTTTCAAAGACAGGAGCTGTGACATGGAATCATGCTTCTTCTCAAGCTGAGAAGCCAAGCTAGGTCCAGGCTGAGTCATAAACTTGAGCCCACCAAGGAAATCATCCTTCACATTGACCTCGCAGAGCTTTGGCTGTTCTCTGTTCTTTGCCCAACACCCAAGACACACACCAGCTCTGGCCAACAAACCTTAACATATGATCTATATCAACCAAAGCTACATTTATTCCCAAATCTCCTTCTAAAATACAAACCTGTACTTTCTACTCTCAACTTCTAAATCTACCAAGGCCTCATATGCATCTGAGTCACAGATGCTAAAACTTAACCGGTTTTCTGAGGATTATTTGAGGAAGGGGTATGCATGCAAATGTATATACATAATTCATGTGATTTAGGAATATGGACTCTATGACTTCCAGATGCAGATTTAGAACCTTTTTAAAAAATATTTTGTTTTTGTTGTCTTGCAAATCAGCCAGATCTGCAACTTACCAGAGTAAAGCCAAACCAAGCGGGACCCTTAGGAAATGCGCTAAGATGTCATCCACTTTCAGTGTCAGCCTGTGAAAATTCAGGCGACAGAAGAGAATAAAGAGAATCTTAAGGAATTTCTGGAACCAAAGCTAATATTAAGCAGGCCTCTTGCTGGCAGACCAGTGGAAATTGTACCTGGTCAACAATCTGTCTAGATTGAGGAGGTCTAAAATGTAGCCACAGGTTCAAATACTTTTCTGTTTGTTTCCCAACCTCGATTAAACTCACAAAATTTAGGGACCAAAAAAACAAACAAACAAACAAAAAAAAAAACAAACCACGACGTTCCCACCCAGTCTCGAATCAGGGACTTTTCTCGTGTGAGGCGAACATGATAACCACTACACCACAGAAACTGCATATGCACCAAAAAAGGCAAAATATCATCATGAAAATCTTAGATCAGCCATTTCTATTATCGTTTCCAAAGTAAGAAATTCAACTGCATTTCGAAATTCGACTGAAAAAAGCCCAATAAGCACCAGCCATCAAGAAGACTATGGCTCCCAATAGGCCCAGGCTTAGCGTTCCGCGCCCACCCCCAACACGAAAACCATGGGGACCCACACCCGGGCTTCGGGGACACATACCCGGGCTTCGGGCTCCCGCATCCTCCCCTGGGTATGCAGTTCCAGAACTAAGCGCCGTGTGCGGGATCCTCCCGGCTGACACTCTTCGGCTCCCAGAAGCTGCAGGAGCCGGCGGGCTTTGAGCCTCCGAGCCCTGGGCGCCCCGTGCCTCTCAGGAGGGTGGACGCCGCCCTTCCAGGGATGCGGACCCCGCCTCGGGGCCTTTTCCCCGGCGCCGGCCGTCGGGGCTCTTGGCTCTTCTCGTCCTCCCAGGAACCGTAGAACCCTCCTTGCCCTCCCTCCCGTAGGCCGAGGGGCGTGAGCTGCGCCTGTTTCCTCACGGACCCTTTGGCCTCAGCGCCTCGATGTCTTGCAATTCTTAGCTCACGGCTCTTCCTCCTATAACAAGGCCCTTCCATGTCATGTCCCCTACTCCCTCTTAGCACCAGAGAGATGTCTCCCCTGCCCCACAGGTCACATTCCATGAGTGGTGAAGTTTCTAGAGTTGTAACCATGGCATCTCCAGCCCTGTGTGTTCCTCTCCATGCTCCCCATTGAGCAGTCTTGATCCTATATTAGCCCCAGGAAATGAAATAGAAACAGGACCCTACGTTAAAAAGTTGCAGTGGAGATGTGGTGGCCACCAGGGGCTGGAACTGTGGGGTGACTGAGAGTATCCAAAGCCCTGTGGCCAACTTACTGGTGCTGAGTGTGCTGGTGAGCCTCTCTGTCAGCTGGCTTCCCCGGGCCAGTTGCTCCCGGAAGCTCTGTCCCAGGTAGTAGTCAATGTCATTGCTCCTTAGGAGATCCTCAAAAGATTTTACTGTATCTTTTGCATGCTGGGTGAGAAGATAACAAACACCTCTCCCTTCTCGTATTTTTTGCCGTAGGTAAGACAGTTCCCGGGCCTGATCCTGAATCAGGGAATCATATTTCCTAATGCAGGACAGAAGAGGAAAGGGTGGATGATAAGTTATGGGGGCTTCTGTAGAGATTTCTATGAGAACATCTCTAAGGAACTCCCCCAAACTGAATTCTGGCACATAAGCCATAGGAGGCATTTAACAGCAAATTCTACCCTGATAAAGTATCGCACTAAAAATTTTAGTATGGGCCGGGCGTGGTGGCTCATGCCTGTAATCCCAGCACTTTGGGAGGCTGAGGCAGGCAGATCATAGGTCAAGAGTTCGTGACAAGCCTGGCCAATATGGTGAAACCCCTCCTCTACTAAAAACACACACAAAAATTAGCTGGGCATGGTGGCACATGCCTGTAATCCCAGCTACTTGGGAGGCTGAGGGAGGAGAATTGCTTGAACCTGGGAGGTAGAGGTTGCAGTGAGCCGAGATGGCACCACTGCACTCCAGCCTGGGTGACAGAGTGAGACTCTGTATCAAAACAAAACAAAACAAAAATTTACCATGCCACTGTTCTTCAACTGTTATATATATGTTAATTATATGTCCCTAGATAAATTTTTTGGGAGCTGGGCCTCCAGCTGGGATACTCTCTGGAGGAGACTCTTCAGGTCCTTTTTGGCCTGAAGTCCTGGAGAGTAGAAAGCCCCAGTGCCATCAGACAGCCACAACTCATCCTCATCAGTGACACTATGAGGTGAAGACCCCTCCAGGGTGTCAGGAGCTCTCAGCTTCCAGGGTCTTTCCAGACTAGATGAATAATCACTTGTAACCAAGAGGGACTGGACCCGGTTCTTGAGGTTTTGAATGACCTTGTTGGCATTCTGCAGCTGGGCCTTCAGATCTTTGATGTCCTTTCATAGGACCCAGATGTTTTCTGACTTTCCATATACCCAGAACTCTTCCTGCCTCCCTAGTTCATTCTCCAAGGGCTTCCTCTCAGAGGAACTAGCCAGCGTTCAGCCCCGGCGCCCCTGCTCAGAGCACAGCCCCTCCACCAGGACCATTTCCTTGCGGCTGCTGTGCTCCTCATGCTCTGAAAAAAGACAAAGATGTCTTCCTAAATAAAAGTTGGATGTGCTGTTGTGGCCACTGCCTTTGAGAGGAGGCAGGTTTGGTCATGAGGACAATAATTACTAGGGAATAAGGTGAAGTCGTACTTTATTCAACCCTGACACTGTACTAGGCATTCAAATACAGTATTTCTTATCCTCCTTATACCCACAAGTTAGGTTTCACCACTTTCTATTTTACTGACTGGGGAAACCAAAACTTAAAGAGAGGTGGTAAACCAGCTTGTTCTAGATCACTCAAACTAGCACATGGCAGAGCCTGAATTCAAATCCTCCAACGTCCTGTGTTCATTCCACACACACTGATGTTTCTCAAGCCATTAACATGGCCTTATCTAGTTAGGATAGCCACAAGAACGCAGGACAAGCTATTTCTGCATGCTGCAAGTTTAATGCTCTCTAAAGTTTACTATAATTTAAAAGTTTATTGGGTTACCACTGTGTGAAAAATAGGCATAGGAAAATAAGACTTCGAATAAATATATCAGCATGTTAACATCAGTGTATTGGGGCAGTGGTAGTCAGAATGAGAACTAATCCACAGCATTTTACCTGATGCCAGACACTGTTCTAAAGCATTTTATAAGAATTTACTCATTTAATTCACATTAGTATCTGATGGGGTAGGTAGTTCCTTTATTACTATTTTAACATATGAAGAAACTGGGGCATAGGAAAGTTTACAAATTGGGATTTGAAGCAACAAGTCTGGCCCCAGGATCTTTTCTCTTAACTGCCACACTACACTTCCTCAAGAATGAGAGAGACTGTGTTTTTCTTCTCTTCTGGTTTTCTTTTTTTTTTTTTTTAGTTTGTAAGCAAACATTTATAGCCATGATTCCACAGATGTGGTAAGTAAACCAACAGCCATTCCTAAATAAAATACAAGAATTTCCATCATGCATAGTTTACAGGCTTGGTAAGAAGCAGTCTCTTTAGGGGCTAGATGCTTAAGAAATATTCAACAAACAATGAAATCTTGGCTTTTTTTTTTTTTTTTACACAAATGTTTGGTTATTTAGCCACATTAGTGATAAAACATATTCATATTCTAACTGCAAGTGGAATAAACATTGCAACAAAAATGCAACCCAATCAAAATCATTAGTAATAACTATTACTCCCTCTTAGCAGTAAGAACCATTATTCTTGGATTTCAAACATTTTATTTTCTGTGCATAGCTTATAGCACTGTATTATAGGAATCAGAGTGTATAAGCAAAAAAATGAAATAAAACTTCTTGAAGACCATTTCCATTATTTATGATTAAATCAATGAAACTATACAATTTCCACATTAAATACAAATTAGTAAAAGAATTCCTCCAAGTAGTATTGCATATAAGCTACAACTTTACCCCAACTATTTTAATCACTATGATTCGAGATTTCCTAGGATTTAACAGCCCAAGATTGGGCTGTTACTACCTCAGCAAGAACAATCACCAGTAAATACATGAACTGGGGTTATAGCTGAATTTTTAGAAACTCTCCAGACAAACCACGTGTTAGAGGAGGTAAGTAGAAAAACTAATGTTTGAGCTGTGCTATTCCTACCAGGAACTATGTCAAATATGCAAAGTTCAAACATTCTTAGTAAAATAATATGAAAGGATCTATATATACTGTAAATTTAGCAAAAACACTTTTATGTACAGAAGCCTAAATATCTTAGGAGGTTTAGAATACCAATGAAGAGAATTGTTAATTCTTCAAGGCTGGTTTCTTATGAGGATTAAAAACCAGCCCTTAGTCTCAGATGCATTCCACCTAGATGTGTTCACGAACTCCATAGAGTAAGAAATATAAACCATGAATATGTACTCTTAATTTCCATTCTTCAACTTAATGTTCTATAGTACTTCAGATTTTTAAATCCAGAGTTTGGTGTACACTTAGGAAATTATAGTAAGAGTAGATTAGAGAAGATTTGCTTGTTTTCCTTTTGAAGCCATGTGAAGGTTTATTACCCTGTGTATTTTCATCACTGAAAAGTTCCCCGGTGACTAATAAAATAAAAGTGTCACAAGCTACATGATGGATCTCTTCTTTTAATGTTGCATACAGTTTCAGTTTGGCTAGTGAGGGCTAACTAGCTCAGCCCTAGTTTCATTTTATTAGAGTTGACCACTAAAAACTAAATAAGGAAGTTACCAGTAAAGCTAATTCCCAATACAAGCAAAAAACAAAAACAAAAAACAAAAACAAAACCATTCGCATAATAAAATATATCCTTAACACAAAATAAGGGTATAACATATTCTGCAGCATGACATTTTATTTTATTTCTCAGCTGTAGCTTTTTCATTCAGAAATTGGAGACCATCTTTTCACTGAGTTGTTATTCCTTCCTCTTCCCTTAGCTTAGGGATATGTTGAAAAAGGCTTTTCAACAAGTATTTTATTTTTTACAAGTTGCTATGAAATTAAAATTTATATATATATCTTAAGTGTTTATAAAGCACTCAAAATTGTAGCTTACATGTATATGACTTCTGAAAATAAAAATCACACTTCTAACATAATCTTTCTGCTCTGCAAAAATATTCTACATACATGCATATGATCAAAACAATCTTTTCATGTTTGGGGTATTTCTTACACATAGTAAAAGAAAAGTCAACAATTATATCAGTACTTCCCCTGTTAAGATAACTGAGTGCCACCTAGTGTTCAATTTCTGCAACTACTAAGCTTACAAATTCAATACTGCTATTAAAACCCAGGTTCTGAAAACGGCATTTTGGAAATCTTTTTTTTTTTTTTTTATGTTTACGGTGGCAAAATACGACTATGAAAAGAACATGATATCAAAATCAGTATAAAAATAGCCACAGGCTACTTAAATATGACAAACAGACTTATTTTTTTTCTTCAAATGCAGACTTCTGCCTCCCTCAAATTGTATCAAAATCTCAAGGGAATATCTAGGTAACTGGAATATACACAATGACTCTATACAATCAAGAGGCCAGGGCTTAATCAGATTCCGTGAGGACAAGGCAAATGATTTCTTCAAAACACCCATTTTCTTACTGGAAGTGGTAGGAAAAGCAGCAATGCATGGTTTTTTTTTTTTTTTTTTTTGTAATTAGTAGACATGGTCTTCTACCCATAAGCTCCATTACATTAAAAGAACAAAGTGGGCTTAACATCTCACTTAAGATAATTCAGCATTATTATCAGTTTTAAAAAAACCAAAAATATCTTAGAAACAAATCAGTCTGCTTTAACAAATTGCATTCATGCTAATGAAATTTTAATCTTCTTTGTCATGATCAAAATCCAAATTGTAGGACAATCTTCAGAAAAGATGGAATGTAAAATGTTGAGTTCAATTTAGATGTCATCAATATCTTCATCATCATCTCCAATGTCATCAAACTGAATTTCATCATCATCTCCAGGACCAAATGTATCAGTTTCATTGATTTTAGCATGCTCTGGAAGCTCGCCGTATGCCTGCAGACTTCTAGCTTCGTCTGCATTGTATTTTAAAATTACATCAGCTTTGTTATCCTGGTAGTCTCGGAGACCAACCAAAATAATGTCCGAGGTATTTATCCAAACCTTTTTTCTCAATTTTCCTCTGATGTGACATAACCTCTTTACACCATCGAAACACATTGCTTCTAGCCGTCCATTTCCCAACATTTTGATTACCTGAGCATACTCCTGACCATCCTCTTTGAATACCAGTTCTCTTTTTTCAGATTCATTCTCATTCTTACCCCTGCGTCTATTTTTACCTCCTTTACCTTTATTCTTGGGCATGGCGGTGGCGGCGACCTCGCGGCGTCTCTGACTTCTTTCCGGGTAGCGGCGACCGCGGCGGCTGCTGCTCCGAGGGGCGACACGAGGGAGCGCGCGGGACCAAGTAGGTGCTGGAGGCCAGGCAACGTGCGCGGGAGAGGCTGGCGACCCAGCTCTTCGGAGATCCGCCTGCGTCCACGCTCGGCGGCAGCAAAATGCTCTTCTGGTTTTCAATGTGGTGGGTGGCCCTATGGTTGTAGTCCTTTTATAATGCAAAACAAAATTATTTTTAACTTACGGTTTGCATGTTTCCAAAACCTCATGTGGTCTCTAAGTAGGCCTTAGTATTTCTATAATAATCAGTTGGCTAGAACTTTATATTATTATTATTATTATTATTATTATTATTATTATTAGCAGTGTGCCACAAACTAATTGTAGAAATTCAAACTTATACGCAGCCTCATTTTGGGTAAGAGTTCTCCTATTAACCTCCTGTCCTCCTCTTCCCCACTACTTGTCAGGTGTGGAATTGGCCAACAGCACCCAAATGTGATAGCTGACTCCAGGGAGGGAAGGTGAGCCCCACACCCTGTGCTCTTACCGGGACTGGTGGTTTCCTCCTGTTCAGCCTCATTCTTGCTTTGGCCACAAGTCTCATAGCCCAGGTCCTGGAGGTCCACCTGGACCTGTTTACTGTCCTGCTTCAGCAAGGGTTCACCTGCGTGGGAAGAGACAGCAGGTGTTACAGAATGTCTGAATTTCCCACATATGCCCTCAGCCTCAATGGCACATACCCTAACCTTGTGGGGCAGGGAGGGCAGATCCACAGTGCGAGAGAAGCTTCTTTGAACTGGTGGGAGAAGAGACCACCAGCTCCAGGAAGCAGAATTTCTTTCCACAGGAGGAGCCTGCATTTGCCATTGATAATCTCCCCTTCAGATAACCTAGGCCTTAGTTGGGACAAGGTATCTGTAAGTCAGGGATTGTGTACTCTCATCTCTAGCAGCCCCATTGAAGCTGGCAAGTGCTTTATCAGCAGGGGTTCAATAAATGTTGAATGGAGCTGAACTAATTTAGAGTCCCAAGACACCTAGACCTGCACTGTCCAATAAGGTAGTTAGTAGCCACATATGGCCACTTTATACTAAATTAACTAAAATTAAATAAAACCAAATGTCCAAGTTGCACTAGCCACACTTCATGTGCTCAATAACCACGTTATGTCTGTATAGAACATACAGAGCTTATAAGACGTACAGGCTAGTTCTTTACTAGTAAGTCATAGTTACCTACTAAGTATAACTCTGTATTTCTCCAGCTCGTTCGCCTGAGCAAAGACAGTGGCTTCTGATAGCAGCAGCTTCTCCTGGAGATCTTGATAGCGTTGTTTGCATTGTGACAGCTGGGAGCGCAGGTGCTGGGTGGACCCTGGTGGGCTAAACGCTGATTGGGCCCAGTGTCACAAGGCTGGGACTGGTTCTCCAACTGTGAAAGGGGCCAAGACAAGGATCAGGACAGTCCGAGGCCACCCCCATGCAGTGATGACCACGGCCCGTTGTGAACCCCGTGGACTTTACTCAAGTCTGTCACAGCACTTCTCATGCCATTTGGCAGTGACTTGCTTTCCAGATGGAGCTCCTGGAGTGCTGGGATAATGTTTTCTTCATATCTGTATCCACAGCACACAGCACAGCGCCAATCAAGTCTACAGAGGAGCTCTTAGGAAACGTTTTCTCAGTGGTCAAAAAGAGAAGGGGTGGAACCCTCCACTCATCTCCCCTCACATTCTGTGCCATCGATTCTCTCAGAATCCCCTGTATTCCCCATTTTACTGAATCTTCAGCATGGCTCCTCCCCTAAACAGGATCCCAATAACCCATCTGAGGTCCAGGAACAGACACCTGTGATGAGCTGTGACCAAAAAAAAAAAAAAAAATGGCATTGATAAGGAAGGGATGTCATTACATACTACTTGTCTGGGCTGCCTCATAACCTGATGCATCCCTATGTTACAGCAGTTACCCCCTCCTATTAAAATTACCTGTTTATGTGCCATCTTTCCTTACCATATTAAGTATCTCAAGGGCAGCCATTGGTTTTATTGCCCCATGCCAATGCCTAGTGTGTTATCTGAAAAATTAAGTACTCAAGAAATATTTATATTGTAAAAGGCTTTCTAAAGGCTGAATGTAGGCTGAATATTATTACTGTTGTTTGTGGTACAAAGAGACCTTTCTCTTGGTACCTCTTGATTCACATGGGAGAACGTTTTAAAGTAAACACTGTCATCTCGAGCCCTTCTCCAGTGGTTTTTCATTCCATCTAAGCCTACATTGACTTGGTGGGCATCCACTGTGAAGGTAGCCCCAAGGTCAAGGCTCTGGGGTCTGGGGCAAGGCCTCACAGTCACATTCCCCTCCTCTTGGTGTTGGTGCTTCCCAGGAGAACCAACCAGTTCTGTGTTTATTCTGTCGATGGTGCTGGTCAGATGCACAAGGAGCTCTGGAGTAAGTTTACTATTCCCTTCTTTGCTACTCAGCACAAGTTGTTCTTGAGGAGGTTGATGATATTGTGGGCATTCTTCAGTTTTCCCTGGAGCTTTCTGAACTCAGCCTGAAGACTACTCTCACTCAGACCCTCTTTGGCAACCACAGTCTCAACCACCACCTTGCCCTTCTCCTTGTCTTCCTCAATCTCCCATCCCTCAGACATTTCTGCTCTTTCAGCTCTGCATTCTCAAGGCAAAGATGGGTTCTGGGTCTCCACAGTTGCCAGACTTTTCTCCAAAGCCACCTTGAGGAACTAAAAGAAAATCATGCTTTGAAGAAGTTAGGCCATTAAAGAGGGCCCAAGAGAAACATGAGATTGCAAAGGTAGTTTTTGATGAGAACAAAAACAAACAAAAAAAGCAGATCTAAAATGAACTCCCTACCCAGAACCTCCTTAGTCAGGCAATAAGAGCAATAAGATCTCAAGACTAAGTTTTATTATTATTATTATTATTATTATTATTATTATTATTATTATTTGAGACAGGGTCTCGCTCTGTTGCCGGGGTGGAGCGCAGTGGTGAGATCATGGCTCACTGCAGCCACGACCTCCTGGGCTCACGTAATCCTCCCACCTCAGCCTCCCAAGTAGCTGGAACCACAGGTGTGTGCCACTACACCCAGCTAATTTTTTTTTTTTTAATCGAGACGGAGTCTCGCTCTGTCACCCAGGCTGGAGTGCAGTGGCACGATCTCGGCTCACTGCAACCTCTGCCTCCCAGGTTCAAGCGATTTTCCTGCCTCAGCCTTCTGAGTAGCTGGGATTATAGGAGCGTGCCACCATGCCCAGCTAATTTTTGTATTTTTAGTAGAGACGGGGTTTCACCATGTTGGTCAGGCTGGTCTTGAACTCCTGACCTCAGGTGATCATTCTGCCTCAGCCTCCCAAAGTGCTGGGATTACAGGCGTGAGCCACTGAGCCCGGCCCACCCAGCTAATTTTTTTTTTTTTGAAATGGAGTCTCACTCTGTTGCCCAGGCTGGAGTACAAAATGGCGTGATCCCGGCTAACTGCAACCTCCGCTTCCCAGATTCAAGTGATTCTCCTGCCTCAGCCTCCCGAGTAGCTGGGATTACAGGCATGTGCCATCACACCCACCTAATTTTTATATTTTTAGTAGAGACGGGGTTTCACCATGTTGGCCAGGCTGGTCTTGAACTCCTGACCTCAGGTGATCTACGCGCTTCAGCCTCCCAAAGTGCTGGGATTACAGGTATGATCCACTGTGTGCAGCCCCGTGCAGCTAATTAAAAAAAATTTTTTTTCGTAGGCCTGGTGTGAAGGCTCATGCCTGTAATCCCAGCACTTTGGGAGGCTGAGGCGGGTGGATCACCTGAGGTCAGGAGTTCGAGACCAGCATGACCAACATGGCAAAACCCGGCCTCTACTAAAAATACAAAAATTAGCCAGGCGTGGTGGCAGGCGCCTGTAATCCCAACTACCTGGGAGGCTGAGGCAGGAGAATCACTTGAACCCAGGAGGTAGAGGTTGCAGTGAGCCAAGATTGTGCCATTGCACTCCAGCCTGGGCAACAAGAGCAAAACTCTGTCTCAAAAAAAAAAAAAAAAAGGCCAGGCTTGATGGCTCATGCCTATAATCCCACAACTTTGGGAGGCCGAGGCGGGTGGATCACTTCAGGTCAGGAGTTTGAGACCAGTTTGGCCAACATGGTGAAACCCATCTCTACTAAAAATACAAAATTAGCTGGGTGCGGTGGCACATGCTTGTAATCCCAGCTACTTGGGAGGCTGAGGCAGGAGAATCACTTGAACCCAGGAGGCAGAGGTTGCATGAGCCCAGATCGCCACTGCACTCCAGACTGGGTGACAAGAGTGAAACCCCATCTCAAAAAAAGAAAAAAAAAATTTTTTTTTTTTTTCAGAATGAGGTCTCACTGCATTGCCCAGGCTGGTCTCAAACTTCTGGACTCAAGTGGTCCCCCTGCCTTGGCCTCTCAAAGTGCTGGGATTACATGTGTAAGCCACCATGCCTGGCCAAAGACTTACTTTTACAGGAGGAGTATAAAACATCTCATTAGTAATTTTCATAATTGATTATGTGTCGAAATAATATTTTTGATATTTTGTGTCAAGTAACACTACTAAAATTAAGCTCACCTATATCCTTCTACATTTTCACTGTGGCTACTAGAAAATTTTAAATTACATCTGTGGCTCTCATTACATTTCTATTGGACAGCACTGGGCTGGGTGAGATGACTAGGGGCAGAAAGTACATTCTGAGGGCCAGACAATCAAGGTGATTGATACTGGGGTTAGGTTAACTGAAGGGTAGAAAAGGCCAGGTTAATAGGAGGCAGGGACTGAGTAACCGGGAACAAAGTTATCAGAGCATGAGAGAGAGATTCTGGGGGTCAGCCGTCTGGGATATTATAGGGAGGAAGGAGGCTGTGCTACAAGGGCCAAGAGACAGGAGGATGCACTCAAGTTGGCCTGGATGAAGGGACGACCCTCTGCGACTTGGGTGGGGGTAAGGGTGGCAGGCTGGGGCCAGCCCTGCACTCACCGCTTCTGCTTCCTAGAAGGAGAAACAGTGTCACTTGGTACCTCCACCTCAGGGGCGCAGTCAAGACCCGCTGCCAGGCCAGCCTCTGCCTGACCGCCGGCTCACCTCTCTTCTTCCAGCTTCTTCCGCAGGAGGTCCCACCTCCAGGCGGGCATGCTGGCCAGCCGGGCCTCCTCCTCCTCCTGAAACACAACCACAAAGCTTCAGAGCCTGCAGGGGCTGGGAGATAGGGGGCACCCTCAACCTGGGGACCTGAAGGAGTCAGGGTCACAGGAAGTGACCCTTTGGATGCATTTCTGTGGGACAAGTGGATGGAGGTGCCTGGTCACACCCCCTCAGAGCTGGCCTCCTTTCTCCTAGTAACCCAGACCCTTGTGTCCTACAGGAGGCACCAGAGAGATCAGAGCTGAGTGGGACAGAAGCAGAGAAAAAGTAGCCGGGACCCAGAGGTCCTGAGCCTGATTCCCCACAGGGGCAGGTGGCCAATGGCCACAGGTCCAAGATCTCTGGGCAGACGCAGATGCGGGCCCCCACCCAGCCTCTTGGCTCAGGGAGATTCAGGCTGCCCCTGGCTCCCCTGAGAAGGACCTTCAGCCCATGGTTGCCCTCTTCCCAACAGAGTGGATACGTGCTCTACAATCGTGGGGCTGCAATGACATCAGGGGCAGGTGTGGTGTCCAACATAGGCAGTTTACAGCAAACAGTTTTATTTCCTGAATATTACAGAGGAGAAAGGGTCTGTACACCGCACACTTCACACAGAACACTGCACACGTGGCTCCCTTGACCTCAGCCAAGGAGGTAGCTGTGAACTCCAGTGGAAAACCAGAGAGCAGGCCACACTGCCCCAGGGAGGAGCCGCAGCCCCTCACTCAGAGGGGCTTCTTCTGCTGCCTGGCTCCACACAGAGCTCAGCAAGACCACGGGGCCAGAGGGGGACACCTGGTTTGTTCTGTGCCTGCCCTGCCTATCCGACCAACGCCCCACACAACCTGCTCACGATGGGACCTCAGAGGCTGAGGCAGCCTGGTCCTGGGCCCTCCGGGCTGCTCAAGGCCACAGTCCTGGGTTCTTCCCGCTGCTTCACGCCTCTGGAGGGCGTCAGACAGGCGTCCAGGCCCACGTTAAGACGCTCGAGGGTGAACTGCGAATTCCGAATTCCGCTGCTCAGATGTCAAACAGCTCTGCCTCCTTCTCCTTCCAGAAGGAGAAGCTGCGGTCGATGTAGCGGCAGATGTCCTCGTTGCTGAATTCGCCCATCTCAGACACTAGTTCCAAAGGGTCTTCGGCGGGGGCTTCGGAACCCGGAGAGTCTGAGATCCGGGGAGGCGCGGCGGGGAGGCGCGGCGGGCCGGCGGGCGGGCGGGCGGTGGCGGCGGCTGCGGCACAGGGGCCAGGGCCTCGCGCTGCCCCTTGGGCGGGTCCCCCTTCTGAACCGGAGCGGCCTCTTCGGTCCGCTCCTGTTCTTTCCCCTTCTCTTCCTTTTTCTTCGCCTGTTCTTCGGGGGCCGGCCCAGCCTCCAGGCCGTTTCCGAAGAACCTGTGCCTGAGGTCCTCGAAGCCGTCGCTCCAGCCGCGCCGGCCGGCCTCCACCTCCTCCAGCACCACGCGGTGGAAGAGGCGGATGCGCTCCCACGGGTGGCTGTCCAGCCGGTGGAACATCTCGTAGCACAGTAGGTGGCGGAACTTGCGATCCTCGCGGCTCAGGCCCATCTCCGGTAGCTGGAAGTAGCCGAGCATGAAGAGGTCGAGCGTGAGGCTTTCGTAGCGCGGGGGTGCGCCGCCGTCTAGGGGCGACAGGAAGTGCTGGGGCCAGTACACGCCGTGCGCCAGGCCCGGGCTTGGCGGCACGTGCCGCCGCAGGCTCCGCCAGTGGTGCAGCAGCTTGCCCACTGCCTGCCGCTGCCTCAGCAGCTGCCGCAGCCGTTCGTTGGGGCTGTGGGCCTCGCCCTTGCTCACCGGCAGCCGGGGGGCGTCCGTGGCCTCCAGCTCCGGCCAGCACGGGCGGCCGTCACGCCAGGGAGCAGTCTGCCTAGGCGCGCCTGGTCCGCGGAAGGCCCGGTCCGAGGAAGGCCCAGAGGCGCCAGTGCTCCAGGAAGAGGTAAACGATGCGCTCCTTGCGCAGGTCGAGGTAGTCCTGGACGCCGCGCAGTTCCGTGCAGAGGGGCGGCCGGCGCGCCAGCTGCTCGGGCTCAAGTAGCGCCGCCTGGCAATCCTGTGCCTCAGGCGGGCCCAGGGTGTCCAGGGGCTCCCAGTCGGCCAGCGGGCCGTGGGCGGCGGCGGCGCTGGGCTGGCCAGAGCCGGCCGCCACGTAGTCCTCCTACAGGATGGGCTCGCGGACCGGGGCGCCAGCGGACTGCGGGGGCTTGCGGCGCGGACAGCGCGGGGGCGCCGCGTCCAGTGCGCGCAGCTCGTAGGTGGCGCGGTGATGCTGCACGGAGACGCCGCACTCGAGGATCTCGCGCGCCACAGCCTCGCGGCACCAGTTGAGCCAGTGCGAGCGGCCCAGGCAAAGCGGCCCCGGCAGTCAGGGCGCCTCAGGCAGCGGCGCCAGCGGCTGGCCCGTGTCAGCGGTCGGCAGCTCCGCCAGGTGCGCAGGCCGGCCGCCCAGCGCGGCTAGCAGCGTGGCCATGCTCTTGAGCAGCGTGGAGATCTTGCTGCACCAGGCGGGCAGGCTGGCGGCGCGGCCATGCATTCGGCGCGGGTCGACGGTGAAGCGCGGCTCCACAGGGCGACGGAGATGGGCAGCAGCTGCTCAGCTCCAGTTGCTCCAGGCGCGCCTCCAGCTTCTGCGCCTTGTGCAGCACCTGCAGGTTCTCGATTGCTGCTCGATGCGGAGGATGTCGGCCTCGGTCATGAGCTCGCCAAAGGGCCAGAGGATGGCGTTGTGCTCGCGGGAGTACCTCCAGCCCTCGCGGGGGTACCTCCAGCCCTCGCGGGGGTAGCAGCACGAGCTGGCGGCCGTCAGCTAAGGCGGGGAAGACAAGAGAGGGGAGGGAGGCGCGTCTCCCTCTGGCCCAGCTCCCGCCGTGGCGCCAGGAACCTTTTGCATGTCCTGGGTGGTGTAATGGCTCCGCGGGGCTGCGTCTGCAGGGAGGGACCGCGTCTGGCCGGCGGGGGGTGACGCTGGGGTGAGGCTTCGGCCTGAGCCGCCGCTCCAGGCTCTGGGCAGTGTCCACTTTGGTCGCTGGCGGGGGGCACGGCCGGTTGCTGCTCGCTGCTGCGGCGGCAAGAACAGGCCAGCAGACGGGGTCTCCATGCCTGGCTTGTTCGCTCATTACACCACCCAAGGAACTTGCCAAAGGCCTTGAAGCTGAGAGGCGCGGTGGCCCGCCCCAACCCATCCGAGGGCGGCTATTGTGAGGCCTCTCCTCCCAGACTCATGACCCCTTCTCCAGCTCCCCTGTGGCCCAAGCCTTCCGCTCCCTGTGGTCAATGTTTTATGTGCAGAATGAGAGGCCACTCCTCTCTTAAAGAGGCTGCAGCTGCAGCTTCCACTGAGCTGCCCACCCTTCCCCTCCCTTCGTCGTGCTGGACAGCTGGGCACCGTAATATTCTCATTTGCTCACTTTTCTCCACCTCTGATGTCCAGTTTTCCCCCCTGGGCCTGCCATCGCCTCCACAGAGGTCCCTGATTCATCTTGGCCCTATGGGATCCACTCCCCACATACAAATAGGAAGCAGCCTCTTCCCTGCTTAACACTCCCCGCACCCGGCTCCCCAGTGCTCCAGGAGAAAGTCCGTTCTCTTCTGGGCCTCTGGCCAGGTCTTGGTAACCTGGCCCCCACTGAGGTCTCTCCAGCTCAGCGACCCCCTTCCTCCAGGACAGTCAGGGCCACATCCACTCTCACTTCCAGACTGCCCTGTCCCACCTGCGGCTCTTCAGCCCCCTCTCTGCCTGGCCACCCCTCACTCGTCTTCCAAGTGTTACCTTAGACATCACCTCCTCCTTCCCTAACACACCCCCCAGCCCACGTATAAGGTGGCCGGTTAGGGCTGCCCCAGTCCCCTGCGTTCCCCATTGCAGCTGGCTGTGTTGCATCAGCCCAGGTACTTCTCTCCACTGCCACCCACTCTCTCACACTGCCCCATTTTGTGTGCTTGGTGACTCGCACACATGTCCGCAGCCACCTTAGAGCAGGCCTTGATATGTTCACCATGAATCCCCAGAGGCTACAAGCGTGTGGGGCACATAAATGGCACTCGGGGGCCAGGCGTGGTGGCTCACGCCTGTAATCCCAGCACTTTGGGAGGCCGAGGCGGGCAGATCACTTGAGGCCAGGAGTTCAAGACCAGCCTGGCCAACATGGTGAAACCCCATCTCTACTAAGAATACAAAAATTAGCCGGGCATGGTTGGCGGGCATCTGTAGTCCCAGCTACTCGGGAGGCTGAGGCGGGAGAATCACTTGAACCCAGGAGGTGGAGGTTGCAGTGAGTCAAGATCGCACCACTGTACTCCAGCCTCAGTGACAGAGTGAGACCCTGTCTCAAAAAAATAAAAAATAATAAAAATAAATGGCATTCGGGGAATAGTTTTTGGATGAATGGAAAGCAACTCATCCTGCCAGCTGGTGCTGATCAGCTCACCTTACAGAGAAGGAAACTGAGGCTGGATGAGGCTCAGTATCGGCAGCTGGAAGGCGGCAGCGCAGCAATGGAGACCAGGTCCCTAAGACTGAGACCAAAGCTCTCTTGGCTACTCAGTGTGGTCCTTGGACCAGTGTCATCAGCAGCCTCACCCAGGAGCTGGCTAGAAATGCAGAACCTCAGCCCTGCCCAGACCTCCTGAATCCGAACAGGCCTTTTAACCAGATCCCAGGTGCTGGGCAGGTGAAGGAGAGTCTGAGAAAGGCTGCTGTCTCACTCCAAGGACAAGCTGCTGGGGGTGTGTGTGGAGACTGGGACAAGCCCCAAACGGGGTCGTGCCACCCTGATTTCCCTAAAGAAGATGGCCGGGCACAGTGGCTCATGCCTGTAATCCCAGCCCTGGCCAACATGGTGAAACCCCGTCTCTAATAAAAATACAAAAAAATTAGCTGGGCGTGGTGGCATGCGCCTGTAATCCCAGCTACCTGAGAGGCTGAGGCAGGAGAATCATTTGAACCCAGGAGACAAAGGTTGCAGTGAGCCGAGATCGCGCCACTGCACTCCAGCCTGGGCGACAGAGCAAGCCTCTGTCTCACGAAAAAGAAAAAAAGAAAAAGAAAGAAAGAAAGAAAATAGGAGGTCCCGAGGTTGGTGTTGGGGGTGGCGTGGGGGATGGGCTGTGCATCCAGATGCAGACCCCAGGGCTCCCTGGGCACCCCGCCCCACCCACTTTCCACCTCTGCTCCTCCTCCTCCTCCATCTTCAGCTGCATCTTGCCCACCATCACCTGGCGCTTCCACTCGGGCTTGGGACGGCCCTGCTCATCGTGCGTGGGGATGAGCGCCTCCACGTCCAGCTGCACCCCCGGCGCAGGAGTAGTGGGCGGCACCGGAACCAAGCTTCCGTTGAGCAGCGGCTGAAACCCCGCAGCTGGCGGTGTGGGGCTCCGGACTGGTAACAGTGCAGGTGACACAGACGGCAGCGGCCAATCGGGCTGCAGGGAGAAGCGGTGGGGCTGAGCGCCTGGTGGCCTAGGGCCAGGGAAGCCGGGTCGCAGGCTCCTGCTGGGCCCGCCTACCTGGAAGGCCGGCTGCCTGCTGCCTGAGAACACTGTGGTCAGCCCCTTGCTCTGTGGCGTCGGCTTCAGGCTCTTGCCTGCCTTAATCTCAGCCAGTAGCTCCGAGTTGTCGCCCATCGGGAACATCACGTTGAAAGACTTGGTGCCTATGCAGAGGCAGGAGATGAGGCACTGGCCAGGGTGGGGCTGCATCCCTGCCACCCCTCACCCGCCCCTCTGCAGCCCCCTTCCCAACTCCAGATTGGATGGGTGCCCATCCTCGGGGCCAGCGGGCAGCTCTCCAGATCCCAGGTCCTGCAGGCAGCTTTCAGGGCCCCCAGAGGCAGGCCCTTGGTTCCCCGACTGTGGCAACCCCACCATCCTCCCCCACCCTACTCACGGGATGGAGGGCCCCTGCCTGGAGACCCCTGGGAGTTCATGGTGGCTCTTGGGCATATATTCCTGCCCAGCCACTGACTGCCCAGCCCCAAAACACTACCTGGAATCAGCCACCGGACCTTTGTCCCAGGTTTCCTGGCTCAGCCCGGCTGGGTGGAGCCTCCCTCTGGCCCTCTCCCTACATCAGCAAAGCCTCAGTGACCCTTGAGCTGAGTCAATTGGGGCCTCCATGGACATGCAGAGTCCAGACCCCAGAGTGCCAGTACCACCTGCTCCCCTCCCTCGCCACCACACCCACAGACAGACGCACAAGCAGACACATTGGTTGCAAGCCGGGAGCACATTTATGGCAAAGCACGGCTCAGCTCTAGGGGAAAGCAGAGCCCTTACTAAGGCCACAGGAGGCACCCAGGAAGAAGGGCAGCAGGTAATATGCAAACACCCAGGGCAGAGGGTGCATTTTCTGGCTTAGCCGGAGGAGGCGAATGGAGATTTGGAGAGATAGGTCTCTTGAGTCCCGATGAAGGGGTCAGGTCTGGGAGGGAGGAATAAAATGGGCCGACAGCTCTTGGATTCCCAGGCTGGGGATCCCAGAGTGCAGTCACCGGGAGGAGAAGAGTAGGAGAAAGGGAAAATCGGTGTGGCTTACTCATTTATTTAGGCAAAACCATCAGCCAGGCGCAGAATGCTTGGGTGCATATGTGGGTATGAGGGTAGGTATGAGGTGCAAGGCCCCACCCATGCATCGAGGTTCTCTCGCCTGCCAGCCCCTGCCCCTGCCCTTTCCTCAAGGCTGGGCCCCTCCTCCCGTGCTTTTCCTGCCTCTTCCCCCCACCCCGCGCCTCAGCCTCAGCCAGGAGCCGCGCACGCAGCTACTCACTCTTCCTGTGCCTCAGGACTCTCACTTCTAGGGACCAAGAGGAGAGAAGTGACAGCGGAGTTAGGAGGGAAAGGGGGCCAGGATGAGACTGGGATAGCAGGGGACAGGGAGCGGGCCAGGGAGAGCAGGAGGGGGGAAGTGGAGAAGAGAGGAGGAGCATTTCTGCCCATCTGACCCTGGCTCAGGCTGCTCTGGGGCCCCATGAGGGTGGTCCATCGAGTTCCTGGTTTGGCTGGTGCCCCTGAGGGCTGGGCAGGGCAGGGCCACCAGTGGCTCTAGCCCCCAGCAAGGGCCTCCACCTTGGCACTGGGTTGGGGTAGGGCACCCAGCCCTGGCTGTGCTGGGTGGGGGTGTCTGGGGAAGCCCAGAGTATATTTTTCTCTGCCCTTAGCTTCAGCCCTGCTGCAGACTGTGGAGGGAAGGAGAAGGAGGCTCGGCAGGTGCTGGACATGCTTCCATGGGCTCTGGTCTGCAGGGGCTGGGGCTCCATAGGAACCATAGGGGGACAAGCTCTGCTCTGCACTCCTAGTCAGGGAGATGAAGCTTTGAGGGGTGCCACTAAGCATGATCTCTGCCCTGAGTGGCTGGGTGATGAAGGCACCCCAGCCAGGCTGGGATGGGAGCACCACATCTAGGCACCCTGTCCTGGGCCTTCTAGGTGTCCTGGCAGGGGGACACTGTCCCACCCTACAGAAAAGAAGCCCAGGAATCCTGCGCCAGTCTAGCTCTTAAAAAGGATGCCTAGGGAAGTCACCGGGGAGGGAGGGGGAAACATGGTGGGTCACAGCTTTGCCCCCATAGCCAGGCTCTGGCTGGCCCAGGGCCCCTGGCAGGAACTGGCTAGGAAGAGTTCCTGGCATATCTAAGAAGGCTTCAGGTCTGTGCTGCTTGGAAAGACAAGAGAAAGACGTGGAGAGAGGAAGAGAGGCTCAGGATAGACAGGGGCAGGGGGAAGGGTGGCCAGCTGCGGGGCCTCTCTGAAGCTGGTTCGACTTCAAGTGTCCCTCCAGTACCAGCTCATCAGAAACACCAGCACCAGCTCATGGGAAACACCAGCGCCAGAGCTGGAAGGCCCTTTCTAGCCCGTGGGAGGCAGGCCCAGAGAGGGGAGGGGACTTGTCCAGGCCACACAGCTAGAGGGTGGGAGGCAGGCCCAGACTGGGGAAGGGACTTGCCCCAGGCTGTGCAGCCCGGTCCTGCTTTGGCAGGACCTCAAGCAACCCAGAGCCCTCTCTTAGGGTCAAGTACTCAATGCGGTAGGGGTGGCCGGAAGACCATGTAGAAGAGGAAGGACCCGGGCAGTGACAGCTGGGGAGGGGGTGGTGTCTAGATTTCCCTCCCCTTTCAGGGCTAGCGCCGCCCCCCACCCCTCAACCTGCCCCTACTCACTGCCGGTGGGCGAGGAGGAGCGGCGCTGCCCGCAGCCAGGGCCAGCGCCCTCGAGGGGCAGAGGCGGGACCGGCGGCGGCGAACTCGCGGCCTCGGGCAGGGGCGGCGGCGGCGGCGGCGGCGGCAGCTGCTGCTCCCTGGACGCCTTGGGGTCCGCGGCGCAGCCGTTAGGCACGTGGTTCCCAGGGAGTTCCGCCTGCGGGGATGAAGGTGGGGGCTCACCTCCCAGCTTAGGGAGAGGCTGAGGGGTCTGGGTCACATCTGGCCGGGGGCGCGTGCAGAGCCGCGGTCAGGTGTGGCAGAGCAGTTGGGGCCCACGTAGCATCCGCGACGGCTGCGCCGCCTGCGGGGGAGCGGAGGGGCCTTCGAGCGAGCCGCGGGCGGCAGGGCCGAGGCGCGGGCAGCCGGCGGGCGCGGGCTGGCGGGCACGCACCTCCTCGCGGTGCGCCATGCCCGGGCGTGCGACCAGCGTCTCGCCGGGGCAGCGGCCCAGCTGCCGGTAGTAGTCCCCCGTGCTGGGCTGCTTGCTGAAAGCGCGGGGCTTGCGGCTGGAGTCCTGCCTCCGTAGCCCGTCGTGGCCGTCGCAGGAGCTCGGCTGCGGGAAGACAGTGACCGGTGGGGCTCGGGCAAGTGCCCGGTAGGCGCCCCCCACGCCTCCCCACCCAGCTCTTCACCTCCTGGGAACTCGCGGCCAGCGGCCGTCGGGGGGTGCAGCAGCCGACTTCCTAGACCCCCTGTTCTCACGGTGGGCAGCGGGCGAGGTTCATGGGGGCCTCGGTGGAAGGGCAGGCTCCGCCCGCCTTACAGGGAGGGGTTCTGGGCACCGGCCAAGGGGCACAGGGTCCCCCACTGAGGCCAGAAGGGGCGGGCCCAGGGGCGGGCCGGCCCAGCCCCGACGCCAGGGGGAGCTAGAGAAGGGGCACCTCCCAGCTTAGCCTTCACTAGGCCCTCGGCCGCACTCCGCTCTCGGCTGTCAGAAGGACTGCGGGTCCCCAGGGCTCCGCGGAGCCCTGTCTTTCGGGGGTCCCGGGCCGGAGGGAGCCCCCTCCAGAGCCTGTGCTCTCCGAGGCTCCGGCTTGCCCCGGACCCCGCTTGTCCGTCTAGGGGCTGCTCCAACCTGCCACGGTGCTGGTGGTCCTGCTGTGCACCTGGCGGCGGGGGCGGCAGGACCCGACACCTGCTTTACGTGATACTTCCTCTCAGGTTACAGACGCCCGCGCACGGCCAGCCTATGGGCTCCGACGGCCTGACATCACCCGGGGCCCGCCAATCCCAGGCCGAACCCCCCCCAGCCGTCGCGGATGCCACGGGGGCGCCAACTACTCTGCCACACCTGGCCGCGGCTCTGCACCCGCCCCGGGCCAGATGTGACCCCGCCCCCTGCGCCTCTCCCTAAGCTGGGAGCTGAGCCCCCACCTTCATCCCCGCCCGAGAGGAGAGAGGGCTGACCGTGGGCAGAGGGGGCCTCTCATATTTGGCTGCCGGCTCCGGGTCGCGTCCCCACCGTTTCCCTCCTGCATCTGGAAACCATCGCCATCCACGAAAGCGACACCGACACCCGCGCTCAAGCCTCGGATTTCAGGGGCCGTAAGGCGGGGTCGGGTGACAGCGCGGCTTCCCGCCCCGTCGCAGCTGCCCCCAACTAGGCCCAGCTCAGTGAGGGAGAGTGAGGCGGCCGGGCCAAAGACTGAGTGACCGGGTGGGGGCTGTCCCCTGCCCCACTCTCCAGCCCATGCGTCCCTGCGGTGGCCTCAGACCCTTCACCCCGCCCGACCTGGCTCACGTTGCAGGAAACGCGACACCGCAGGATTCGTTTTCTGGGCCAGCCCGCCGGCTCCGCGCCCCCTGCAGCCCGGAGGCTCCGACGCCACGACCCTGCTCCCACCTGCGGTCAGGCACCCGCGCGGGAGGCGCCGCGGCGACACAAAGAGCCCTTTGTAGAGCTTCCCGGCCCGGGCCCTGGCGTCTGCGGCCCAGCACGCACACAGCCGGGAGGGACGCACACAGCCGGGAGGGGGCTCGCACAGCCAGGAGGTGACCTCACAGACCTGGCACTTGGGCTCAGCGGTGGAGAGGGGGCACTGGCTGGGCCACCTGTCCTGTGGATTTGGGCGGGGCCCACAGTCTGCGCCGGGAGCTCAACGATTCCAGGGCCCCTGCAGCCCTACCCGCCCGGCCCCCTCTGCCTCCCAGAGATGAAAGGGGAAAGCCACTGTGGGAGCTTGGTCTAAGGTGGCGTGAAGAGGGCAGCTACTGGAGCTGGCCTGCAGGTTTGGTGTCCCTCCCATGCCTCCCTTGCCCACTGGCCTTGTGACCTGAGTCACCTTGTATGAATTGGCCCTGGGGTGGCTTTGCCTTGGGCTTAAGAGAGAACTGCAAGGTCCCAGGCTCCAGCAGGACCCCAGGGAGCTGCCACACCACATCTGGCCACCTGTGACCTCAGGCTGTCCCCTCACCTCTTAGACCATCCTTGCTCTGTTCCTGTGGCCAGAACGCCAGTGTTCCCCAGGGCACCCTGCCGAGGATACCCGCAATTGCTCAGACCAGACCTCTGCCCCAATCCCTGCTCCAGAGCCTCAGCCAGGCGCCTGCAGGCCCCAGACATCCCTAGGCACCTCACACTTCACCTACCCACCCTGCCCTCATCCTCTCCACACAGGCTCGCTTCCCTCCAGGGCTCCCAGCTCAGGCCTGGCCCTTTCCCCCAGGAGCTCAAGCCCTAAACTGGAACCAGCCACAGCTTCACTTCCTCCCAGCCCCTACTGCCGGTGGGCGCCCAGCCCTGCTAGTGCCTGCTCACCTTCCTCCCTCCCTCCTTCCAGCCCTTACCTCTACAGCCATGCCACTGGCACCTTCCACCTGGCAGCCACCTCCCTTGGGTGACACTCTCCGACTGAGCCTGGGGCTGTGGGGGTGGGGGGGCATGCTTGGGGAGGGGCAGTCTCCATGCATTCTCTGTCAACTCCATGACAACCCGGCCACTCCTGTGCAAGAGGTGGCACAGGCCCAGTTCCTGGTGAGGAACAGCTGTCTGGACCTGCGTCCTTCACCCCCCAGCTCCCATGGAGGGCAGTGACCTGCTCTTACTCTCCTCCCAGTCCAGTGTCCAGCCCTGACCCCTCGTGGGACTCGCCAGGAGCTTTGACTCTTGAATATGCCATGGACCCAGGGACCCCCACCCTGTGCCCACTAGTGAGGCCAGGCCTTTGGCCTGACTGGCCCCCATCAGCCCAGTACCCCTGCTGGGAGGCAGGCAGTGGGTGAGGGCTCACTACCTCCTTCTTGAGGGCCTCTGTCTCCACGTGGCGGAGTTTGTTCTTGGTCTGCATGTAGATGTCAGCTGCCTGTGGTCCCACAGGAGGCTTGGGAGATGGGTAGCTAGGTGGGGGTGGGGGCAGTTGGGTGCCTGGGGGCGGGGGTGGCGGGGGGAAGCTGGGTGGGGGTGGTGGGGGTATGGGCTTCCCAATCGTGCCCCAAGGCAGGCCCAGCTCTGGGTTCAGCATGTCCATGTAGCTCTGTATGTCTGCAGCTCTAGTGCTGGAAAGCCCTGGGGAGGCAGAAGGAAGGGCCAGATTTGGAAGCATGCAGACAGCCTTTCCCCCAAGAATGAGACTCTCCACCACCTGGAAACAACTTGCCGAGGGCCAAGGTGGGCTCCGGGCACCACTTGGTACACCTGTTGTGGCCCCTGGCGTTGCTGGGCTTCCTCTCCCTGGCCCTGCCCTGCCCCAGCCCAGCACTTATTGGGGGAAGACCAGGCACTCCGGTTTGGAGGGGAAGCACTGGAGGCTTTGGTGTGTCTAGAGGGCAGGGTCACCTGGAAGGGGAGGGTCTACTCCTTGGGAGTACAGATGGCCACATCCAATCTTTGCAGGGCACCCTGCCAGGTCTGGAGGCCACCATCTGGTGGCGTGAAGCAGGCATTGCAAGTGGATGGACGCCCATGCTCAGGGCACGGTCAGGGTGTGTGTACACACAAGCCTGCAGTCTGCCGAGGCGATTGTGAATTTGTGTATGTTTGAGTGTGTACGCATTTGTGCACATGCTTCTTTGTATTGATGAATGTGTGTGCATTGCTCTGTGGACATGGTGTGTGTGTGTGTGCATATCTGTAGTATGGAAATAGAGCATTGTGTGCTTGTGTGTAAGGTGGGTGTGTGCAGATATTAGCATGGCTCTGTATGTGTGTTCATATCTGTATGCTGTGTGTACACATGTACAAGTGTGTGCTTTTGTGTGTGAGTAGCTAAGAATAATGAATGGTGGGTGGCACACGTGGATTTTGTGGGTGGGGAGAGTACATGTGGATGTACATGTATGTCTGTGATGAGCACACACAAGTATGAGTGACATCTGTCTCTCACCAGAAAGGGTGTCGCCTCCCCATGTTTAAAAGCAAGTGATAAGAGTAGTCTCCGATATTGGCTGTGGCAGGCTGGCCCAAGGCCAACCCTCACAGCCCAGCAGTCTGGCTTCAGTCTGCTCTCCCTCCCCCTCTTCCTCCTGGGCACACTCACCACGTGGAGGGTGCTGGCCCTTGATGCTGGAGTGGCTGGAGGAGCAGGAGTCGTAGTTGGAGAGGGTGCTGGTGGGCGAGCTGAGGTCAAAGTTCAGAGGCTGGACCGACACCGTGGTGTTGGGTGAGGACATGCCTGAATCCGGCTGCTTCGCCTCCAGCTCCACGGATGGATCCCGGGAGAGCACGCAGTGCTCCATGCTCTGAAGGGGAGGCAGGGAGGCCATGAAGGCAACTGCACCCCAAGATGCGTTGCTCTCCAGGCCAGGGTCCTACTCAGCCATGCCTTTGCCGTGGGATCTTGGCCAAGCCACACCCCTCTCTGGGGTCTCTTCCCCATCGCTAGAGGGTCTTTCAGGTTCCTCCGGGTTAAGATTCAAGCCCAGCCCCGCCAGGCAGAGGACCCAGGTTCCTGGGAAACTCCCTCCCCTGGCTCCTCCCTGATTAGGAGGGTGGAGAGATCGACGAGGAGGGGGCCTTGAGCTGCACCCCAGGGGGAGAACTGCCAGGAGATCGGCCTTCTCCCTCACAGATCGGCACAGGCTCCATGGGGAAGGGCACAGCACAGGCCCATCCCTAGTGACCTGGCTGGCAAGCCAGCTCTCCTTGCCAGACCTGGGACCTGGAGCAGACTCCCAACACCAGCCCGGCCTGTCTCCTGATGGGGCCCTTGGGGTAAGGGTAGGGCCTGGATGGCCAGCTGAGCAGTGATGGGCAGCCAGAGCTCAGGCTGCCAGGCCTGCCATTCCCCCGCCCTGCCCGGTCTGTGCGTCTGACCACAGGCCTGTCCCCTCCCGGTGCAGAGGGGGCTGTGGTAGGGGCCCTGCTTACATTGCCCATGCTGCCCCTGCTGCCGGCAAGCCCGCTTGCTCCGCTGCCTCCTGCCCAGGCCTGCTCCTCCTTGCCCCGTGCCCCCTCCCTACCTAAGAAGTGTCACAGGCACCCTGGGAGAGAGAGGCAGGCCTGGCACCAGGTAACGGCTCAGCGGCCGCGCTCATTGGCCCCGTAATTAGGGGCTCTGCTGGAGTGTTTGCCTTTTCTGGGCCAGCGTCTTCTGTGGCTTGGGTCTGTCCCTGCCTCAGCTGGGCCTGCTTGAGTGAGGGGACCAGGGCACACACACCCCACCCATTCCAGGGGACCAGGCCCTGTTACCTACCGCAGGAGTCAGGGGAGCCATAGGAGGTGGCATGGGCAGCACCCAAAGGTGCTCTTTACCTGGGCAACAGCAGTGGGTGCTGAGGGCACCAAGCCCTGACCCCTGTAGGCAGCAGATAAGAGGCTGGGCCACAGCAGGTGTACTGCGCCTGGCCTGAGCCACCCAGCTCTGCAGTCTGGGACTGTGGCTTCAAACTTTCCCTCCCCGACTTACTAGCTATTTCAGGCGAGTCACCTGTGCTTTTTGTGCCTATGTTTCTTTATCTGCAAATGGGGGTAACAGCACTACTTGCTCTGCTGAGCTCCAGGACATGGCGCCCAGTAAATGCCATACTGTCAAATTTTTTTTTTTTTTTTTTTAGACGGAGTTTTGTTCTTGTTGCCCAGGCTGGAGTACAGTGGCGCGGTCTTGGCTCAGTGCAACCTCCACCTCCTGAGTTCAAGCAATTCTCCTGCCTCAGCCTCCCAAGTAGTTGGAATTAAAGGCACCCGCCACCACACCCAGCTAATTTTTGTATATTTAGTAGAGATGGGGTTTCATCATGTTGACCAGGCTGGTCTCGAACCCTGACTTCAGGTGATCCACCCGCCTCAGCTTCTCAAAGTGCAGGCATGAGCCACCACACCCGGCCTGTCAACTTTTTTATTTTATTTTATTTTATTTTTAGACGGAGTCTTGCTCTGTCACCAGGCTGGAGTGCAGTGGCGCGGTCTTGGCTTACTGCAACCTCCGCCTCCTGGGTTCAAGCGATTCTCCTGCCTCAGCCTCCCGAGTAGCTGGGACTACAGGCGTGTGCTACCACACCTGACTAATTTTTTTTTTTTTTTGTAGTTTTAGTAGATACGGGGTTTCACCATGTTGGCCAGGATGGTCTTGATCTACTGACCTCGTGATCTGCCCGCCTCGGCCTCCCAAAGTGCTGGGATTACAGGCATGAGCCACCGCGCCTGGCCTGAGCCACTGCACCCAGCCAACTATTTTTTTAATGTACTGTGAAGAGTAACTGAGATTACACCTTTAAGGCACTCGGCAGGGTACCTGCCTAAGTCAGAATCCAATGAATAGTGTTTGCTGTCCTATGACCACTAGCAGCTGCATCCAGACAGGCCCTCAGGTGCCCTGGGCTCTGGTGCCACCCCCCATGGTCCCTCGACAGAGTCACAGGCTCTCTTAACTGATGGGGACCCACCACTGATGCAGAAATGTCCTTCCCTGTGTCCATCCCGGCTTATATACCCTAGTGACAGAGTGCTGACTACCTGCTGGGCCATTCATTCTCTTCCAGAGACTCTTTCTCGGGGGGAAGTTCACCCTCAGGCCCACCTGCAGCCTCTGGCCTCTGGGCCTTGCTGTGTTCTGCAGCCCCCAGAGCCAGGACCATCCCCCTGTGCTGGCAGGGACGACAGATGGACAGACGGTGCTCAGGGCACAGACCATCTGCCTTCTTCCCTCCGGGCCTCATTTCACAGCCACTCCATGGCCAGGCTGCCCCATGGAGTTGGTCCGCATCCTTTTGGGGTTGGCTGTGAGGCCCACTCTCTTCCCTGCCTATTGCCTCAAAGCAGGCATTGTACCAGATGGTGCAGAGCCCTCACTTGGAGACATCCACAGCTGAGTTCAAGTCCCAGTAGGTCACTTCGTGGCTGTCTCACCATAAAAACATAATTTAAAAAGAGTAGCATGGGTTTCCAGTTATGACCCAGCCATGAAGTCAGCTAATATATGGTGCAGGGGCAGAGAGGTGGCTCCTGGTCAGGCCATCAAGGTAGGTTCTCCACTCTACCACTTACTGGTGATGCGATCCTGGTGCCCCGCAGACTCCCTTTACCCATATGTGGAACGGGACACTTACACTCTCTTCTGCAGAGGGTGGCTGTGAGTTATACCCAAGCTAATGTCTATGGGTAGGTGAATGAGCCTGCCTGTTCCCAATGGGGCCTGTCTTGTGATTTCTCCAGCCTTACCCCTTGGGGTGACCCTGTTCTTCCCTGTCCTCTTTCCGTTAACCTTTGTGCCTCTACTCCCTCAGTCCCCAGCAGGCAGTGGTTCTGGGCTGACAGGTCGTGTGGGGTAGCGGGCTTCACGTCTCTGAACCTCAGCTTCCTCCTTGGTAAAAGGGGTGACGACACCCACCACTGGGGTGGAGGGGCGAGAAGAGAGAATGCAACAGGAGCAGCGCAGGGATCGTACCAGGTTCTCCACCGTGCGCAGGCAGTGGGTGCAGTGGCTGTGGCCGTTGAAGTCCGACAGGTCAGCGGCCGCGTACCCGTCGCGGTCGCGGACTTCCAGCTCCGCGCCGTTCACTACCAGGATCTGGCAGCACTGTGGGGGCACGCAGTGAGGACCCGGCCGCGGCCACGAGCTGGGACCCCCGCGCCCGGGCAGGGCCGTGCGGAGAGCGCGGTGCCAGCAGAGGGCGCGCGCCCCCACCCCGGGCCCGCGCTGACCTCTAGCTCCCCGTTCTCGGCGGCGTCGTACAGCGCGGTCCCGCCCCACAGGTCAGCCGAGATCTCCCCGCCGTGCAGCAGCAGCCAGCTGAGCACCTTGCTGTGGCCGCGGCTCGCCGCGAAGTGCGTGGCGGTGGCGCCGTCTTTGTCCTGCTCCGACAGGCTCACGTCGGTGCAGCTCACCTGGGCGGGAGGGGCGGGGAGAGAGGGCCGGGGGATGGGGGCCAGGCCCCTGCAGGCCCCGCCCACGGTCCTCCGCCCCACTCCTGATGGCCCCGCTCCCTCCACTCCCCGCCCTGCCGGCTCCGCCCCGTCTCCCCTCCGCACCGCCCGGGCCCGGAGCTCACCAACCACACGATGACCGGGCTGTGGCCCATCTGCGCCGCGGCGTGCAGTGGGGTCATGCCGTCGTGGGCGCGCGCGTGCGGGTCCGCGCCGCATTCCTGCACCAGGTACTGCGTCACCTCCAGGTGGCCCTCCTGGCACGCCAGGTACAGGGGCGTGGCACCGTTCTTGGTTTGGGCATTCACTCCCCTGCGGAGACACAGCGCCCACCGTGGGCTTTCAGCGCCTCACCCCCTCCGAGGCCTCCTTACCCGCCCCCCTCCCCTCCCGGGGAGCCCTGGACGGCAGGGAGAGTGGGCGGGAGAGGGCCCTGTCACCGGCCCGCTGCCGCCCGGGGGGCTCCGCCTGGACTGAGTCCTGAGCCACCCTCCCTCAGAGGCCCCTGAGGGCGTCCCACCCAGCACTGCCCTGCCCTCAGTCCCACTTTTTTTTTTTTTTTTTTTTTTTTGAGAAGAAGTCTAGCTCTGTCGCCCAGGCTGGAGTGCAGTGGCTGGATCTTGGCTCACTGCAATCTCTGCCTCCCGGGTTCAAGCGATTCTTCTGCTTCAGCCTCCTGAGTAGCTGGGATTACAGGCATGCGCCACCACGCCCCGCTAATCTTTTGTATTTTTAGTAGAGACGGGGTTTCACCATGTTGACCAGGCTGGTCTCGAACTTCTGACCTTGTGATCCGCCCGCCTCGGCCTCCCAAAGTGCTGGGATTACAGAGCCACCGCGCCCAGCCTCAGTCCCACTTTTTAACCGAGGTCTACAAAGATGTGGTGAGCTGGCCTTTCCTCCCCTCTCGCCCACTGTCACCATGAGTCCCCACAACTGCTGTGTCTGACCTCTATCCCTTTCATCGTGTGCCCCCTCCATCTGGAATGTCCTTCCATCCTCCTCCCTCTTGAAGACTCAGTACCCATCCCTCCTCCATGAGGGCCACCCTGATTTATTTCCCCCTTGCTGGCCTCCGCCCCACACTGCCCAGGGCCACTATGAGCATGACCTGTCATGCTTGGTTGACCATAACTGATTTTGACCTTTGCCTCCCCCAGAAGACTGAGTTCCCAGCGGGCAGGGTGGTAAGGGTTGCCAGACAAAATGCAGTTCACACAGTTCAACCGGAATTTCGGATGAACGGATAATGCTTTAGTATTCTATATCCCAAATATTGCATGGGACATACTTATACTAAAATACAACTTTTTTATCTGAGATTCAAAGCTAGTCAAACATCCCGGGTTTTGTTGTTGCTGTTTTTGTTAATCTGGCAGCCCTCGGGATGTCCACTATGTACTGAATGCTTCTGCTGTGCTAGCTCTGGGCTACGGCACTGGCAAGCAGGTTCTTCTTTTTTTATTTTTATTTTTGAGACGGAGTCTTTCTCTGTCATCCAGGCTGGAATGCAATGGCGCAATCTCAGCTCACTGCACCCTCTGCCTCCTGGGTTCAAGCCATTCTCCTGCCTGAGCCTCCCAAACAGCTGGGACTACAGGCATGTGCCACCACGCCTGGCTAATTTTCGTATTTTTAGCAGAAACCCAGTTTTGCCATCTTGGCCAGGCTGGTCTCAAACTCCTGAGCTCAAGTGATCCGCCTGTCTCGGCCTCCCAAAGTGCTGGGATTACAGGTGTGAGCCACTGCGCCCGGCCATCAACTATTACTGTGACCATCAACTGAGATTACACCGGTAAGGCACCTAGCAGGGGACCTGCCAGAATCAGAATTCAGTCAATGGTGCAGCTACAGCTGGGGAGGCTCACAGGTGGGGCTGGGACTCTGTGCCATCACCCATAGTCCCACAACAGAGGCACAGACTCAGCTCTCTCCTCGGTCACACAGTTGGTAAGTGGCACTTGAACACCCATCTGTCTGTGCATGCAGGGCCTGGCTGGCAATATGGGCATGCAGGGAGTGAAGAGATGGAATGTGTCTCAGGGGCTCCTCCTAGGGCCTAGTTTTCGGCTGTCACTGTCCCTTATCCTTGCTCTGCCAGCCCAGAGGGGGCCTACCTAGGGAACAGCAGGGCTGTCCTGGCTGCTGGGCTGTTGGGTGTGAACAGCCCAGGGTGCAGTTGCCACCAAAGGACACTAGGTGGAGCCACAACCTACCCCCAGACCCAGGAGAAGTTCCAGGTTGGGGGCCACGACCTATTGGGTTCCAGTTCACCTTTTGTGCCTAGGAGGCCAATTCCTCACAGGACTTGACATCCTGCCCATCTACCTCCCCCAGTCTTTCACCCCGTAGATCAACCACATGCTCCACCCTGCATTCATCCCTCGTTCACCCATCCAACTGCCCATCCACTTGTTGCCTGCCCATCAACGTGCACCAGGCTACCCCCCTTTGCCCACCCACCCTCTTGTTCCCAACACGACTCAGCCCCTCTTCTGACCCCTGTCACGTGTGCCCTCTCCCTCCCTCTCACACACATCCTGAGCCCCTCCCAGCTGGCATCTCCCTGTCCCTAAAGCCCTGGTTCTCTGTCCACTTCCCTGACTCCTGAGACCCCAAGGCTGACTCTGACTGAGACCCCTGACTCTGCAGCCCCCATGGACCCCCACTCACTGATTTCTCCTCCCTCCCCACTCCCTAGACACAGGGCTGCCATTTGCTGGGGCTGATGCTGAGCCGGGCACTTCATGATGGTGCGGGGAGCAGGCACCATGCCTGGTGATCCAGAGGGGGTCCCGTCAACACAGATGAGGGAGACAGAAGACCCAGCTACGTATCTATCTTCAGAAACATGCTGGCTCGTGGCTGCCAGCCTCCACACCCCAGCGCCAGCGTCACCCCCACACACACTCACATACTGCTGCATCAGAACAGGCTGTTGAATATTTCATGACCGACGCTCAGCGGCCTAAATTATTCACCCCGTAACCAAGGCACAGTGAGTGCCGGGGTCTTTGGGATCAGGGGCTGGTGGGGGCCCACTGGGTTCTTTCTGCAGAGGCCCACGGCGGTGTACACAGCGGGTGGGGGGCCAGACCTGCAGTGAGCTCTGCTCTCTCAGCACTCCCTACTTGGCAGAGATCCATGACCCAGGGGTGCCCAGCCAGCCAGAGAAGGTCTGAGAAGCTGGCATCAAGCAGGATCTGAGCAGCAGGGGGAAGTGGTACCCACGGCCTCCTGCAGGGCCGCTGGCTGGCACTCCCAGCCCAAGTTCCTGGCACGGAATGAGCCCTCAGTAAGTGCTGGAGCTCATCACCATTCTCATTAGTATTCCACCATCTGCACTCATGCGCCCCATTATGGAGTCAGAGCCTCCAGCTTGGAATACCCCAGAACATGAGGCAGATATGCTGTTGGGCTGGGTGGGAAGGGGTCCTGGCTCAACATCCCCTTCCACCTTGGCCTGAGGACAAGAAGAACAATGGGCACTCTCACAGTCACTGGGGAGTATTACAAAGATATGGATGAGCATAAGGACCAAAATGAAATTCCCATCACACACCTGGAATCCAAGCACCTCGGGAGGCCAAAGCAGGAGGACTGCCTGAGCCTAGGAGTTCGAGACCAGCCTGGGCAACATAGAGAGACCTCCGTCTCTACAAACAATACAAAAATGAGCCAGGTGTGTTGGTGCACACCTGTAGTCCCAGCCACTCAGGAGGCTGAGGAGGGAGGATCACTTGAGTCCAAGAAGTTGAGGCTGCAGGGAACTATGATCATACCGCTGCACTCCAGCCTGGGTGTCAGAGCAAGAGCCTATCTCTAAAATAAATAAATAAATGAGAAAATAAACAAAATTCCCATCACTAGAGAGAGGAATTAATAAAAGTAATAATAGTAAATAATAATAATAGTGATAGCAGCCACCATTTACTGAATGATTACTCTGTCTCAAGCACTGTGATGAGTACAACACACACGTTCTCTCAGCTGGTCTTTGTAACAACCCCACAGGACAGGTGTTAGCATTGTTCTTCTGGTACAGATGAGGAAACTGAGGCACAGAGAGCTAAGATCACTCTGTGAGAAAGAGGCAGAGCCCCGATTTGAGGCTGTGTCTGATGCAGAGCCTGCTTCTGACTCCAAATGTGCCACGTCTACACCCCTTCTGCTCTTGGTCGGTCTGTCCCTCTGCCTCCCTCCCTCCCTCCCACTGCACAGACCACTGCCCTTCCCCACAGACCTCACTGCTGGGAACTCAGGAACACTCTTTGACAGCTGCTGGGGCACAGCCCCGCAGGAGGACCTGGCTCGAGTCCCGTGCCTTTGAGCTGTGCCACAGTCTTGCTTCTTGTCTCTTTGTGTTCCCAAACCCATCCATGAAATGGGGGCAACAGTTGTCATCCTGACCTCGTGCAGAGTGCCTGAGAAGTGCCTGCAGAGCCCTGAGCACAGGCCTGGTGCCTGGCGCACAGCCATTGCTGAACTTTAGGATCCTTCCCTGTGCCTGGGAGGACCAGCCACCAGGGGGGTCTATGGCTGGCCTGGCCTGTCCGGGTCCTGCCAAGTACGGGCCAGGCTGGGCATCATTTCTGCTGTGGGGAACACTACCTAGAGGGGAGAGGATGGGTCTTGGGGGAGACCTCTGACTCCCAGACCCTTGCCAGCTCTAGCCCTGACCACAGTGACAGCTGCAGAAAAGTGCTCCCAGACCAAGCCCTTGCCCTTTGCCCCGGCTTTGACCCAAACCCTCTTTGTAGGTCAGAGGCGCCCTGGCGATGATCGTATAAATCATGATTTGTTTTCTTTCTCCTGGGAACAAAGATGCTATGGATGAACTGTAACTATTCATCAAGTCACCTCTGATTACACAAAAGAAACATGGGTCCCCCGTGTGGGCTGTGGGAATCTCTGGCGGAGACTGGTGCCAGCTGACTGCCAGCACCGCCGCAGGGAGTGAGCTGCCCATGGAGCCAGAGTCGGGCTGCAGAATGATTCCCGCAGCCCGCCCCACTGCCAGTCACGCCTCCCCAGAGGGAGGCCAGGAAGAGGCTGTCCCTCCGAGGATCAGTCTGGTTGTGGCCCGTGACTGCTTTCAATTGAAATTCACGGAGCCTTTGGTGGATCTACGGCTCTCGGTGTCCTCCAGTCAAACTTCCCGGCCTATGTTAAAAGATTCCCAAGTAGGCCTGGCCCAGGGAAGAAATGCAGCCCCGATTTGAGAAAGGTTCTACACCCCAGCCCATCAGCTAGCATGGAATAGTTCCAGAAGCCTACAGTTGCCTGCAACTCTCCCAGCCTCCCAGGTCTTCCTCCTGGCCCGTAATTAGGCCAAATTTGACCCCCCCTGAGGCCTCTACACCTCCCCACATCACTGCCAGTTCCACCATGGCAGGGCTGCGAGGCCGACCCTCTTTTCATTAGGTTCTCAGCTCTCCTCCCCTCAAAGATGCCTGGCTTCCCTGACCCCTCAACTTAAAGAACCATCCCCATCGCTTCCTACCAAACTCCTCATTTCACTATATAGCACTTGCCACTCCTGAATTATCTTGTTCTCCTATTCCTCAGACCCATACATGCGTGGATAGAAGAATGTGTGGCTGACGTGATGACAGGCCGGGCAGTTGAGTGCACCCACTTGCTGTTTGTTGAATGAATAAATATGAGAAGGGACATCCAGGCCAGGAGTAGGGGATGTCTCTTCACTCATGGCCGCAGCCTGGTAGAGCAGGTTAGATCCACTTGCCAGATAGGCTCGGAAATGCCCAGAGGGGAGTTTTGTCTAGGGTCACATGCAATGAGCTGTAGGCAGAGTGGACAAGTCCCTGGGATTCCATGCCCCACTCATTCAGCAGATGTTTACTGGAGTCAGGCTCTGGGCATACAGAGCCGGGAAGACAAAGCCCCTGGCCTTATTAGTCACGGACAGACGGGATGAAAACACACATCTGTCTGTGTGATGCAGGGCCCAGCCAGAAATCCGGGCATGCAGGGAGTGAAGAGATGGAATGTGTCTCAGGGGCTTCTCCTAGGGGTTAGCTTCCGGCTGTCACGCAGGATGCACACAGAACGCAAAGCCAGGCAACCATAGGGCGGCTGGGAGGCCAGGTGCAGTGGCTCATGCCTGTAATCCCAGCACTTTGGGAGGCCGAGGTGGGCGGATCACCTGAGTTCAGGAGTTCGAGACCAGCCTGGCCAACATGGTGAAACCCCATCTCTACTAATAATACAAAAATTAGCCAGGTGTGGTGCCATATGCACCTATAATCCTGGCTACTCAGGAGGCTAAGGCAGGAGAATCACCTGAACCTGGGAGGTGGAGGTTACAGAGAGCTGTGCCACTGCACTCAAGCCTGGGCAATAGAGCAAGAGTCGAGTCTCAAGGAAAAGGGCAGCAGGGAACAAGGTCAGCGGGAAAGTGAGTGGGCATCATGGGCGCGGGTGACAATTTCAGCGAGGCTCAGGGTTGGCCTTGCTGAGGTGAGGTCTGGGCAAAGACTTGCAGGAAGGCAGGGAGCAGGCGGGGATCTCTGATCCCTGCAGAGGGATCAGCCTCTGTGAAGGCAGGGGTGCTGGCCTGTTGGAGGGGACCACAGCCCGGAGGAGGGACAGCCTCTGGGCCATTGTAAGGAAGTGAGCAGCATTCCCTGTCAGTGGCCAGAAGCCTGTGACGGGAGGTGCTCTTTTTTTTTTGTGAAACGGAGTCTTGCTCTGTTGCCCAGGCTGGAATGCAGTGGCACAATCTCAGCTCACTGTAACCGCTGCCTCCCAGGTTCAAGTGATTCTTATGCCTCAGCCTCCCAAGCAGCTGGGACTACAGGCGGGAGCCACCACACCCGGCTAACTATTTTTCCCCCTGAGATGGAGTCTTGCTCTGTCGCCCAGGCTTGAGTGCAGTGGCGCAATCTTGGTTCACTGCAACCTCCGCCTTCCGGGTTCAAGCAATTCTCCTGCCTCAGCCTCCTGAGTAGCGGGATTACAGACACCCACCACCATGCCCAGCTAATTTTTGTATTTTTTAGTAGAGACGGGGTTTCACCGTATTGGCCAAGCTGGTCTCAAGTTCCTGACCTTGTGATCCGCCCGCCTCAGCTTCCCAAAGTGCTGGGATTACAGGCATGAACCACTGCACCAGACCAGGACTTGCATTGTCTTTTCTTTTCTTTTCTTTTTCTTTTTTGAGACGGAGTCTTGCTCTGTCGCCCAGGCTGGAGTACAGTGGCTCGATCTTGGCTCACTGCAAGCTCCGCCTCCCGGGTTCCAGCAATTCTCCTGCCTCAGCCTCCCGAGTTGCTGGGACTACAGGCACGTGCCACCACACCCGGCTAATTTTTGTATTTTTTAGTAGAGACGGGGTTTCTCCATGTTGGCCAGGCTGGTCTCGAACTCCTGACCTCGTGTTCCGCCCGCCTCAGCCTCCCAAAGTGCTGGGATTACAGGTGTGAGCCACCACACCCAGCAGGACTTGTGTTTTCAAAGGCTGCGGGTGGACATGGACGGGTGAAGGCCAGGGCCTTTCAGGCTTACTGAGGACTTCCCCTTTTCCGTTCTGTAGTGCACAGCCTCACAGAGCCTTGGGCCCAGCTGAGCCCAAGGGGTTCAGGTAGCCCCCACGTGAGGCAGAAAGGGGGTTTCTCAGAAGCCCTGGGATGCCCCAGCAGCGTGCTGCTTACAGAGCCCCAGGGTCCAAGGCTCAGCTCTCCCCCTTAGAAGGGTAGGGCAGGAGCACTAGCCCCGGTTAGATGACAGCTGGGACCAGGAGCTGCTGGTGGAGACACGAGATGGTCTCCTGCTGTGAGGGGCTTCCCCGGACTCCACCAGGCCCTTCCTTTCCCAGAGCCTCCACGTGGGTCAGGGAGTCAAGGACGGCAGCCACCTCCTCAGTGTGGACACAGGCCCCGCCCCCACGCCCTGCAGCCAGGTGAACTGACAGACACCAGGGGTAGATCTGGGGCTGCTGATAAAAAGGAATGAGCCCCCACGGCCTGTGGCAGAATCAGGGACCACCCCAGGCAGAGCCTCCAGCCTTCTAAGGGGGAGAGTTGAGCCCTGGGCCCTGGGGCTCTCTAAGCTGAGAGTTGCTAGGGGCTTCCCAACAAACTCCCTTTCTGTCCCAGGTGGGGGCTGCCTGAACCCCTGGGCCGTGGGAGCAGCCAGACTCCGTGAAGCTTTGCACAAAGGAAGGGAAAAGGGGAAGTCTGCAGTGGACTTGAAAGGCCCTGAGTGATTAGGACCTGGACCAGGAGTGGGAGAGAGACCCAGAGAGGAGGTACAGCCTGCTCAAGGCCACACAGCAAGCCAGTGATGACCACAGCTGGTGAATCAGCCTCTCTAAAACACCATTTCTGTACCTGTCAGCTCCACCAGGCAGGGACGCTTGTCTGGTTCACCAGCATATCACTGGCATTTAGAATATTGCCTGGCACATAGAAGATGCTCAATAAACATTAGTTGAATGAGTCCATCTGTAAAATGGGCTGATTACATAGCTACTGCTCGGGGTGGTTGTGTGACTCAGATGACACTGGGTGGTGCCAGACCCCTAGAAGATACTCAGCACCAGGTTCTTTTTTTCTTTCCTTTCTTTTCTTTCCTTCCTTTCTTTCATTCGTTCCTTTTTTTTTTTTTTTTTTTTTTGGACAGAGTCTTGCTCTGTTGCCCAGGCTGGAATGCAATAGCATGATCTGGGCTCACTGCAACCTCCGCCTCCCTGGTTCAAGCGATTCTCCTGCCTCAGCCTCCCTAGTAGCTGGGATTACAAGCATGTGCCACCTGTACAGGCATAGCCCAGCCACACACCCAGCTAATTTTTGTATTTTTGGTAGAGACGGGGTTTCACCATGTTGGTCAGGCTGGTCTTGAACTCTTGACCTCAGGTGATCCACCTGCCTCAGCCTCCCAAAGTGCTGGGATTACAGGCGTGAGCCACCATACCCAGCCCCAGGTACTTTCCAATCCCATTCCAGTCTAGTCTGGTCAGGGGTAGGGGAGGCTTTGGGGGAAGGAGGCACCTGCTGAAGTTGATAACATCTCTGGGCTAACTGGTTTTCCAGCTTGCTGTGACTGGCAGCACCCACGAGCCCAGGGGAAGAGACTGGAGCCTCCTCACTCCCCAGCCTGGAAGCTCAAGCCTCAGGGTCCCAGCTGATCCCCAGCTCCCCGACCCACACAGCCCTGTCCAGCTGCTCAGGCCCTGGGACAGCCAGAAGCAGGTGTGAGGGGGGCAGAGTGAGCTCCTGGGCCCCAGGACCCTCCTGGGAGGGTGGCCACTGGCCTTGGGGCCACCTGCTCTTCGCCCCTCCTCACTCTGCCCTGAATGGGGGTCTGGACCCCTTGTTCCCCTCCATCAGCCACTGGAGCTCCTGCTGGGAGGGCCAACCCTCCCAACTCAATCTCCCTGAGACCCAGAGCCTGGGACTTGCCCAGCCCAGCTCCTGCCAGCCCCGTACCTCCCAACTGAGAGGTCCTTTTTCTTTTTCTTTTTTTTCCCCACCTGGAGATGGAGTTTCACTCTTGTTGCCCAGGTTGTAGTGCAATGGCGCGATCTTGGCTCACTGCAACCTCCGTCTGCCGGGTTCAAGCGATTCTCCTGCCTCAGCCTCCTGAGTGGCTGGGATTACAGGCACGCGCCACCACACCCGGCTAATTTTGTATGAGAGATCCCTTTTCTACAAGGGCTCAGAGGGAGGGTCCCACGTGGCAGCAGCCCCGAGGTCACTGTGACAAGTCCTCTGCTTCTGGGAAGACTTGGCCCCATGAACGGGATAGACAGGGAGGTGTGGGGGATGTGCAGGACATTCCTGCAATCTCAAGCACTTTCTATTATAACACCCCAAGGTGTAGCCCTGGAATTAGCTGAGCCTCCCCGAGGCTGTCCAGCCTTCCAGCTCCTCTGCAGCGTGTCACTTCCATGTCTCATGGCCACCCACAGCCCCTCCCTGGGCAGGATCGAGTTTCCCACCAGCAGGTCCGGGAGCCCTTCCTCCCTCAGCACTCACCCACGCGCCAGCGAGAGAGCTGAGCCTTGTGAATAATTCACAGCAATTCACAGCAGGCCCCAGAGGCTCGCAAGATCATGAAGCTGGGCCACCTGGGTGCCCTGATTGGGCCCTGTGGCCTGGGGCAGCTCAAGCCTCTGCCCTACCCAGCTCCCAGCCTTCATATCCACAGCCTCGGTGAGCAGGAATCCCTACCCGCAAGATAGGAGGTTAAGTGGGTACCCCAGCCCCCAACCCCAATTCCCAGCTGCTCTTCCTGCATAAGCCCAGCCTGGCAACCACAGAAAGACACCTTCTTATCAGTCGAGTCACATGCTGCTGTGGGGAACGGAGCCCAAGCCCTCTGTCCACCTCCCTGAGATTCATGGTGACTCCTGGGGGGCTGGCAGCTCATCAGTCCAGGCCATCTGGCCACTGGGTCGGCACCAGCGCCCAATCACACACAGCACCTGGCATGGCCTGGGAGGGGGTCAGGGTTCCCCAGCCCCGGAGCCCTGGAGGGCGTTCCACAGCACAGCCAGTCTTCCTAACACCTGGGATCCAGCCCACGGAGGGATCGTGGCTTCTCAGTGAGGAAGGCTTAGGGGCCGGCGGTCCCCACCAGCACTTGCATAAGGCGGGCTCAGCGTCTTCCAGTTCACACTTGGGCCATATTGGTCCCGCCATCAGGGGCACCTGCCCCTCTCAAGACCTGTCCTTCTCCTCTGCTTGAAGTGAGGGGGTGGGACAGGTGCATCAGAATCACCGCCATGAGGGTGGGGACATGTCCCAGGTGTGGCTCCCAGGCCCCAACCTGGAGAGTCTAACTCAGGAATCTGGGACAGCCTCCAAGAGGTGTTGACAGGAGCCAGTTGGAACCCTCTACTCAAGGGTCCCTGGGTCCCTCCTAGTCTAAATCCCACTGACTTTGACATGATCCAAACCCTAGTTTGTTTGGAAGTAGTGAATTCATACCAAAGCAGCCACCAAGAAGGCCTGGCAGGGCTGGTTGTGAAGCACCCCTTCCTCCGGGTGCTGCCTGTTGGGTCTCCCACTAACCAAACCAGGGAGCCCCTTCTTAGCAAGGATGGAACCAGGCCCAGCTCCCTTGTCCTGGGCTGAGGGGACCACTGGAGCCCGGCCTGGTGGGTCCTAGGGCCACCCTACATCCACGCCAGTGTGCCTGGGCCCAAGAGGCTGCAGCTGTGGCTACCTTGCCACATGGCCATATGGCCAGAACTGGCCTCCAGCTTGCTCCCTGGTGGCCAGGGGCCCTGCAGGCACACCCAGAAACTGACCAGTGGTGGGGACAGGCCAGACCCTCTCACCTCGTAGCTGCTCTCGTCCTGAGGCTGGGTCCACATTCACATTTCCATCTCAGGCTCCCACTTAGACTAACGAGGGTCACCCATCAGAGTAACCCACTCCCCGCTCAGACCCCTGTGGCATCTGGCACCCTACCCTCTCAGACAGGGCCTGGGCAGCTTTTCCCAGGATCCCTGCCTCCCCAGGCGCACCTAAGACCTGAGTCTCTTCCTCCCTCCCCAAGACTCACACATGCCACCTGCTCTGTTCGACCCCCCACCCCACCCGGGGGAGCTCCCAGACCACTCCCCAGGAGGTTTGGGATCCCCATGCTTCCCTTGATAGTGGGAATGGGCTGAGGGGCCACAGGAGATAACAAGTTGCTTTCTGGATGGCCTCCAGCCAGGGGCTCTGGGGTCAGGAGGTGGGGTGGGGGTTGGGGAGGGGCCTTTCTCCCTTAACTGCTTGGTAACTAATGGGGTTCCCTTTCTGCCTGTTTGACTAGGGCCTAGGAGGCGCTCCTGCCCTTGCTGCCCCCAACTCCATTCTGAACAGTCTTGCAAATGAGCACAGCCTGAGCCAGAGAGAGCCCCTGCGGCAGAAGCAGCCCAAGGGGAACAGGTGACCTTGGCCTGTGTGCCCAGCCTCCCAGGTCCAGCTGCGTGCGGCCGGGCAGCTGAGGATGTTGGGAGCACCTGCTTGCAGGGCTCTGGGGGCAGCCCCAGAAGGGGTTTTCCAGGAGGGGAAGATTTCATGTTGAGTGGGAGCCATTTCTCTGGCCTGGCCCTCTGGCCCCAGGATGGCTACTGGAGGGATCATTGCCCTGGAGTGCCAGAGAAGTGTGGAAAATCCCAGGCATCCCCCAAAGCCCTGGCCCGGCCCACCCAGAGGACCCCTTAAGAGGAGTGATCTTACTCAGGGTAGTGCCTGACGAGAAGCCTCAGGGAGGGGAAGTCTCCTTTGGCTGCAGCGTAGTGGATAGGCAGGGCGCCCATGTCTGTGGCCGCGGTGGGATCCCCACCGCCATGATGCAAGAGCCAGTTCACCACCTTGGGGTGGCCAAAGCGGGCAGTCAGATGCAAGACTGTGGGACCAGAATTGTCTTTGTCCTGTGGGAGGAGAGCGGGTTCAAGTCCTAAAGCCTGTTGCTGCCCCGCCCCTGGCTTGGGCCGCTCCCAGACTCCCACAGGCCTGGAAGGTAGCTCTGTGCTCTCTGTCTTCCCTGGAAGAATTGGCCAGGCCTCACTCAGCAGTGGTTTTTTTGGGTCAAGCGGATCCTGGGTTTGAATCCTGCTTCTGTCCTTGGGCAACTAATTGGCCCTCTCTGAACCGTACGTAGCCAATAGGCAGCACCGTGCAGGGTTTTCAGAGGCTGCAGGTCCTGACTGCGAGCTGCCTACACGACAGGCACCTGGTTGTCATGGCAGGAGACTGGCTCCAGGCCCAGGGCCACAGCCCTGACTCCCAGGGGCTCAGGGAATGCCTGAAGGAGTGACACAGGGTTACTGGGCTGAGCAGGGCCAGGAAGGGTGGCTGTGGGGCTGTACCAAGCTAGCATCAGGATTGGGGGGCAGCCCCTGCATCCAACACTTGCCCCCTCTCTCTCCACCCTTCCTAGGTGTCACGTGGGAACAGAGACCTCCACCTTGGTGCGCCTCCAGCAACCCAACCTCAGTGCCTTAGTCAGGCAATAAGGGCCCTGGGGACTGGTTTGGGTAGGAAGGACACACCAAATGAGCAGGAGGAATTTCCCCATAGAGGCGAAGAGAATCCAGAGATGGTGAGGGAGAAAAGCACATAAGAAATTAAAAACAAATGCAAACAAACAAGGTTGAAACAGGGCTGGAGGGTGTGAATGTGGTGATTCTTCTCTTCCTGAGGAGACAGGGTCCTGCGAGTTTTGTCACAAGTCAGGAAGCTCCATCAGCTCTGCAACACCTGAGTCCTGGATGGCGGGAGATGATGGCTTAAGATATCTGGGCGCAAAGCCTGAGGCCCTGCCTGTAACTCCGACTCCCTCAAGGGCAGCTGAGAGGGAGGACTCAGGGCACTGGGGAAAGTCAGCAGACCCAGTCACAGAATTAGAATAAGGTGGAGCTACGCAGGGAAGACAACACCAACTATTTCCTTTTTCTTATTTTATTTTATTTTATTTATTTATTTTTTTTGAGATGGAGTCTCGCTCTGTCGCCCAGGCTGGAGTGAAGTGGTGCGATCTCGGCTCACTGCAAGCTCCACCTCCTGGGTTCACGCCTTTCTCCTGCCTCAGCCTCCCGAGTGGCTGGGACTACAGGCACCTGCCACCGCGCCTGGATAATTTTTTTATTTTTGTATTTTTAGTAGAGACGGGGTTTCACCATGTTAGCCAGGATGGTCTCGATCTCCTGACCTCATGATCTGCCCACCTCAGCCTCCCAAAGTGCTGAGATCACAGGCGTGAGCCACCGTGCCCTGCCAACACCAACTATTTCATTGGCAGTAGAAGAATCACACTCTGCAGCTACTGAGAGGTGGAGGTGAAGCCACCCTGCCGAGCAGCCAACCTCACTTTTTGGTTATTATCCTTGTGCCGATGCTGCCGGACAAACTCTCTCTACAAATCTCAGCATGTGGAAGAAACAGAGGCAGGAACAATTGCCCAGCACCTTTCTATTTCTCGAGGACACTCTTGAAGTTATTCATCAATGTTTTAATTAAAGCAGATCTTATCGCTTTTCCTCAAATGGGAACTTGTTCACTTTTAGACTTTGTTATTGTTCATTTTGGGCTTATCTTTGGTCTTTTCCTGTGCTCTTAAAAGGGTGCAAATCAAAATCTGAGTTATGATAATCCACTTATCATATGACTAATTACTTCAGTACAAGGAGTTCCTGCCTGTCTGTCCAATATGAATCTTACTACGTCCCAATGTCACATTGGCTTCTTTTCCTTCTCGGTGGCAGCATTTGGAGCTTTTACTTAACTTAGGGTCAATTTCGACCTCTGAATTTTCCACCCCTCCCCCACAGCTGTTGCTGGGTCATGCTGTTTTCTTTTATCTCTATAAATATTGTGACTTGTAATTGTCACTTATAAATTCATTCTGGCTATACTGAATCATTCCCCCATTATCCAAGTCATCCAAATATTCGATGTGCATTTCCACAAATCATGTAGTGGCCCCCTGATTGGGGATGATTTGTAGAATTAATTATATGCTTTAGATCTCCATTCAGGTCTTCAGGTCACCAATACATTAAGCAGAGCAGGGCCCTGAACAGCTTATATGGATCAACGATTGACAGAGCTGTCGGGGTTGCTGCAAAGCCACTGACTTTTTGCTGTTCCCCGTAACAAAGTATGTTCAAATCTAGGTCACAGGTTTGTGGTAGGGTCGATTCACAGTATACATGTGCAACGGCGTTCAGTAGCATAGCAGTTGAGGTTGTGAAGACATGTGCACCCAGGTCAAAGAAGAAAGATCCTTAGACAAAGCCGCTCAATTCCCAGGCACCCAATCTTCCTTGGGCTTTGTGAACCTGAGATTTGACAGGCTCTTGGGAATGTCTGTCTCTAAGACTCTGTTGGCAGGCTTAATCAGGCTGGTGGCCATCTCCATATGTGCCCCCCCAGCATTTGTGACAAAATAAGGGAAGGGGGACCCAATAAAGCTACTTCTGAAAGCTTATGATCCCACCCCTCATTTAAACTATGTGATGTTGTCATTCTATATAAACTCTTTCCAAGTAACTTAACTAAAACACACTTTGCCATTAGTCTTGAGTGTGGGCACAGCATTATTCTTTTCTAGGCCTTAAGGGTTCCTTCTGCTTAAAAATAATGTCTAACTTTCATGAAGTTTACCCATGATTAAAGTGCCTTCTGAATATATATTATCTTGTTCTATTGGTTTCAATATACCTATTTTCTTTAAAAAGAAAAAAATGATGAACCATGAGTGTTAACACCAGAAAAACCTTAAGGTACATCTGATCTAATTTCCCACTTTAAAGTGAGAAAATCAAACAGTGCCTAGGGGTTTGATTTTTCCCCAGGCTAATTCGGGTTTTCATATTTCCATCTCAAAGTGGACTTTCTTTGGCTAACTTTAAGTTTTAAACGTAAAGGCCTGAAAAGTAACTCAGGATCTAGCTTTTTCATTAGTTTTGATCGTGTATGAAAGCAAATATTTCTTTCCCCCAAATGAAACCCCAGGGCTTCCAGTATTTGTAGTGATAGTGTGAATCCATTAGGTCTATTTTTAATTATATCTCTCTTATTGGTTATTTTTTTCACATTTCCTAACTCATTTGTGATATTGCTTCCATATAATTCAACTTTTTGTGCGCTGGGTTCCCATTTGCCCCACAAAGGCCTATGTGCAAATCTGATATCCTGTTTGAATGACATTGTTTTGTTTTTACCTTATTGCTTCCTATCTTTCACAACAATGTTGTCAGTTCTCAACATTAAGGCATTAAAAATTAGCTTTTCTCAAATGCTCAGCATCATTAATCATTAGGGAAATGCAAATTAAAACCATAATGAATATCATCTCACACCTGTTAGAGTGGCATTTGTCAAAAAGGTGAATGATGTGTTAGACATAATGCAGAGAAAAGGGAACACACACATTGTGAATAGGTATGTAAATTAGTACAGCTGGTGTGGAAAACAGTATGGAGTTTCCTCAAAAAACTAAAAATAGAATCTACCCTATGATCCAGGAACCCTATTTCTGGGTACATATCCAAGAGAAGCTTCAGAGAGTGCTTTGTTGGGTTTTCTGGAACCCGGCAGGGCTCAGGTGTGTGGGGATGCGCTCTGTGAGCCTGTGTTTCCTCCGCCGTGAGGGCTCCTCCCGCTCCTGTAGGAAAAGGCAGTGCCCATTTTGTCTTGTCCATGTGGGACTCCAAAGGGTCCAGACGCGACAGAAAGGCGGCGAATCCTCTCAGAGTGGGCAGGGGAGGAGATGATAGAATATGGGGAGGAGATAGAATATGGGAATGGGGCAGTAGAGGGGTGGGATTTCATGAAATTTCCTGATTCAAGGCTATCATGAAGTAGGCCTCTTTGGGAGCTCGGCCCTCCAGTCGCTGGTGAGGGTAACATCCCACCAGTCTCTGGTGAGGTCCAGTCGCCTCCGCCGACTGCATTGAAAGCCAAAAGCAGAACTAGGCCAGCACCGCGGCCTGGCGTCCAGTGACCCAGCGGTCTGCATATTCCCCAGGGTGGAAGCACTCGGACTTCAGGTTTGAAGGCAATGCGGTCACCACTGCAATAAGAAAAGCAACTAGGGAAAATGGCACCTTCTTCTCCAAACTTTTGAGACACTCTTGCTCTGTCGTCCAGGCTGGAGTGCAGTGGCACGATCTCGGCTCACTGCGACCTCTGCCTCCCGGGTTCAAGCGATTCTCCTGCCTCGGCCTCCCAAGAAGCTAATTTTTGGCATAGAGAGAGAGAGGGGGGAAGGGGGGGGGAGAGAGATTGATTTTAATGTCTTCAAGCAAAAAGAGACTCTTTCTGCCTGTTGGCCATCTGCTGCCAGGTGAACGTGAAAATCCATCGAGACGCTTTCTGTGAAAACCGCCTTTATCTCTTTGTCCCTCTTAGGTTAAAATCCGCACTCCAAAACCTTATTGAACAGAAAAATTACAAAAAGCACATATAAGACGTTTCAGTTTTGTAAAGGGTAAAATGAAACTGCCCTTCAGGAAGAATCAGAAGACCGACGAGGGAGAGAGGAGCGATCGTGAAATCTAAGTGGGCTGCCCCCGGGTCTTCCAGGGTTTTGTACTCGGTGGCTTGGCCTGAGTTGATGTGCCCATATTTTCAAACAGCCAAGTGCCCTGAGACACAGCCTTTGCTACGGTACCTGCTGAAATCTGGAAGTGTGATTAACTATTACTTAAATTGAGTGGGGCAGACTAAGAGACAGCAGCAGTGAAGGATGCCCTTTGGGAGAAAGACGTCGAGGCGCTGAGGCCAAAGGGTCCGTGAGGAAAGAGCCCGCAGCTCGCGCCCCTCGGCCTGCGGAAGGGAGGGCAAGGAGGGTCCTACGGTTCCTGGGAGGACGCGAAGAGCCAAGAGCTCTGACAGCTGGCGCCGGGGAAAAGGCCCCGAGGCGGGGTCCGCATCCCTGGAAGGGCGGCGTCCACACTCCTGCGAGGCACGGGGCGCCCGGGGCTCGGAAGCTCAAAGCCCGCCGGCTTCTGCAGCTTCTGGAGCTTCTGGGAGCCAAGAGTGTCAGCCGGAAGGATCCCGCACACGGCGCTTAGTTCTGGAACTGGATACCCGGGGGAGGATGCGGGATCCCGAAGCCCGGGTGTGGGTCCCCGTGGTCTTCGTGTTGGGGGTAGGTGCGGAACGCTAAGCCTGGGCCTACTGGGAGCCATAGTCTTCTTGATGGCTGGTGCTTATTGGGCTTTTTTCAGTCGAATTTCAAAATGCAGTTGAATTTCTTACTTTGGAAACGATAATAGAAATGGCTGACCTCAGATTTTCATGATTATGTTTTGCCTTTTCCAGTGTATGTGCAGTTTCTGTAGTATAGTGGTTATCATGTTTGCCTCACATGTGAAAGACCCTTGGCTCGAGACTGGAGGGAAACATGGTTTTTTGGTTTTTCTTTTTGTCCCTAAATTTAGTGAGTTTAATCGAGGTTGGGAAACAAACAGAAAAGTAGTTGAACCTGTGGCTACACTTTAGACCTCCTCAATCTAGACAGATTGTTGACCAGGCTACAGTTTCCACTGGTCTGCCAGCAAGAGGCCTGCTTAATGTTAGCTTTGGTTCCAGAAATTCCTTAAGATTCTCTTCATTCTCTTCTGTCGCCTGAATTTTCATAGGCTGACACTGAAAGTGGATGACATCTTAATGCATTTCCTAAGTGTCCCGCTGGGCTTCGCTTTACTCTGATAAGTTGCAGATCTGGCTGATTTGCGAGACAAAAACAAAATATTTTTTTAAAAGATTCTAAATCTGCATCTGGAACTTGTAGAGTCAATAATCTGAAACCACACGAATTATCTACATACAAAAGATTTTGAATGCATACCCCTTCCCCAAATAATCCTCAGAAAACCGGTTAAGTTTTAGCATCTATGACTCTGAGATGCATATGAGGCCTTTGTAAATTTAGAAGTTGAGAGTAGAAAGTACAGGTTTGTATTTTAGAAGGAGATTTGGGAATAAATATAGCTCTGGTGGATATAGATCATATGTTAAGGTTTGTTGGCCAGAGCTGGTGTGTGTCTTGGGTGTTGGGCAAAGAACAGAGAACAGCCAAAGCTCTGCGAGGTCAATGTGAAGGGTGATTTCCTTGGTGGGCTCAAGTTTATGACGCAGCCTGGACCTAGCTTGGCTTCTCAGCTAGAGAAGAAGCATGATTCCATGTCACAGCTCCTGTCTTTGAAAAAGTCATAATGACTCCCAGACCCAACATGTGGGGAAAACTCTGGATTTGTCTCTTCAGTTGAATGTCTCCGTTGAAAATTGAGGAAAGAAATCTCTCTACTATTTGAACTTCATCAAAAGACTAATATGTTAATATTTTGACCGTCAATATTTCCTTAAACTAGTCTACTCCTTTCATAGCTAATACATCAAAGCATATTAACTTAGGAAATGGGATTCTCCCAAACAAGGAAACATTGACGGCAAGGGTTCTTAATCTTTTCACACCACATTTCCTTCAAATGCTTTATACATCTTCAAGCAGACAAATAATAGTATTATAATGATTACGAGACCGATCATTACTCTTTTGCCAAAAAAACCAGCGACAAAAGACTAACTTAGTGGACCAACCTTTGTTTCTTCATTATCTGTACATTGATTCTGTCCTTTTATTTCGTCTTTCTTCTAATTCTGCTTCTGCTTCTTGTTTCCTCCCTGGATTTGAACTTTATTTACCTAAACTACCAGTTAGGTTACCTTCTCAGAACCTCTAAGGCAGCAGTTTGAGATTGACAATGGAAGATTTAAGATTAGAAAAAAGAAACATGAATGAATTTCTGATGTTTTATTATAGGGGTTTATAATGCAGGTAGAAAGACCTTTTTCAGACTTAAGAGTTTGATCCACCAAATGAGCTATTTTGATATTTATAACTTTGTCTAGTAAAAGTTTCCTATAAAAACATTTGGTTTGGATATGTTTGTTAGCTTTTAGTCGACACTTGAAAAAGGCGGTTGGAAGGTTCTAAGTCTTTTTGGATACTCTTTTCTCTTATCCCCCAGGCCGTGGGTGTGTAGAGGCCTTGGTGGTGCAGTGGTAGAATTCTCGCCTCCCACGTGGGAGACCCGGGTTCAATTCCCGGCCAATGCAGCAGGTACTTCTTCATTTCATTATGGCCTTTTACCCGTCTTTTACGCTGCAAAATTATACTGCATAACCTAATAGTGCATTTAGGGGCTTGGCCACCACAAGGTAAAGTGACAACATTACTCACGAGAGTAGCGGCAAGAGACATTCAGGACACTAACCCAGGACCCATGCAATTGTTGGACTCAAACAGCTTAGCAAAGTGGCAAGCACGAAGTCTTTCCGGTGAGTCACTGCAGTTTTGATATTGGTACCTGTTACTTTCATCTATTCACGGGGCGGATCCCTGCAAACCCGAAGAATCATCAGGTTCCTGATTCGCGTGCTGGACCTTGGGCTTACTGCTGAGCCACTGTAGAGAGGATCAAGAAATGACGCTCTTGGAAGGAGAGAAGCTGCGGGCAGGACAGTCACGTCAGAGGTCCAAGAGGCTTCAGCGGCCCAAAGAAAGGGAAGGTGTGTGGGGAAGAATCTGCGTGGAGATGAGGGGAGCGGCGGGGACTGGTCCTTGCGCAGAGGTGGCCAGTGGACCCTCAGGGCTGTACCCCAGACACCGTGAACCGAATTTGCTCACATCGTCAGCGGCCGCGGCCTCCGCGTGCTTTGTGGGCCCATCGGTGTTCTGCGAGGGATTCCGTGTGTCTGGCAATGTCTGTCAACAGGTGTTGGCCTGAAATTTGGCCGGGCACGTTGGCTCATGCCTGTAATCCCAGCACTGTGTGAGGCCGAGGCGGATGGATCGCTTGAGGTCAAGAGTTCAAGACCAGCCTGGCTAACATGGAAAAATCCCGTCTCTACTAAAAATACAAAAATTAGCCGAATGTGGTGGCATGCACCTGCTATTCCGGCTACTTGGGAGGCTGAGGCAGGAGAATCGCTTGAACCCAGGAGGCAGAGGTTGCAGTGAGCCAAGATTGCGCTACTGCACTCCACCTGGGCGACAGAGCGAGACTGCGTCAAAAAAAAAAAAAAAAAGCAGCGAAAGAAGGCAGAGATGTCAATGGGACAAAGAGACCTCCCAGGAGGCTTGTTGTAGAGGCAGTGGGTGGATCCTGGGAGATGAGATTTTTTTAAAATTATGTAGCAGAATGGGGAGAGAAACGGAGAAGCGCATGAAAGAGAGAAAAGCACGAAAATCGGCGGCGTCCAAGAATAAAGCAGATAAAATAGTGTGAGTGTTTTTACATTCAAAAAATAGAAGAAGTGCAATGCTTGTCAGCAGGCTTTGTGGTCGTGTAGTGGTTAATACTTGTAGTTGTGGTTGCCACAACCTGGGTTCTAATCTGAGTCACAGTAGTGTTTTCTAGCCTGCGATTGTGGCTAATAGACCTGTCGTTTGCTTTGCCTTTAATCCTAGCAGCCTCCAGAGAGCAGAGTAAACCTCTGGCCCCGAAGGGCGCCAGCTTCTGGAGTTTAGCCCACAGCGCAGAAACTAGGGGGCGGCCTGGCCGATAGGAAAACTTGGACATGCTCTTTGTCTCACAATTGAGCAGGAAAAATTCCCGTAGGTGAAGATGCCGCCTCTCAAGGGCCCTTTGTCTGTAGCTTCCACTGGTGAAATAATGCGGTTATAGTCTTTTTCGGTAGAGAAAACGGCTGTATCAGTGGAATTTTTTAAAAACACAAAACGAGAACGAGTTTTTAATGAGCTGACAATAAAATCTAAACTAGTTGTCATGGTCTGCACAGGCTTGCCTCCATTCCCCATCTGCTAATTTTTATGAGAACAGTAAATTATTACTATTATCATTATTTTTGAGACGTAGTCTTGTTCTGTCACCCAGGCTGGAGTGCCGTGGCTCAATCTCGGCTCACTGCAACCTGTGTCTCCGAGGTTCAAGCAATGAGAACAGTAAAGAAGCTACAGTTCACATAAAGTGCACAAATCTTTAGTGCAATTTGTTTAGTTTTGATCAATGTTATCACCACCCAGCTCAAGTTATAGAAAATTGCCATCATCTGAGAAAGGCCTGTTAGAGCCCCTGTCCAGGTGATTCCCACCCTGTGTCCTCTTAGTTATCACTATTCTGATGTCTATTCCCACAGGTTACAATTGCCTGTTCTTAAAGTTCACATGAGTGAATGTACATATGTTTTGTGTCTGGCCTTTTTCTCCAGTTACATTCATTATACTCATGAGATATATCCACGTAGTTTCATAGATCACTTCTCAATTTTGGGGTTATTGATTTCTTGTGCTGAATATTCTTATAACAGTCTTTGTGTGCACTTGAGATTCATGGAAGTCCTTCAATTGCTGGGTCATGACCTGAGTATAAGTTTAACATCAGTATAAATTGCCAGTCTTCTAGAATGCTTTTTCGCCAGCGATGACAGTTGAAGTGGCACCAAATTCTTGTCAGCATTTGGTGTACTAACTTTGTTAAATGTAGCTATGCTCTCAGACCAGGCTGGCCAACATGGCAAAACCCTGTCTCTACTCAAAATACAAAAATTAGCTGGGCATGGTGGCATGCACCTGTAGTCCCAGCTACTCCGGAGGGGGATGTTGCAGTGAGTCAAGATCGCACCATTGCACTCCAGCTTGCGTGACAGAATGAGACCCTGTCTCAGAAAAAAAAAAAAAGTAGCCATACACTGGTGAGTGGTTAGTGCTATCTCAGTGTGGAATTAATTTGTATTTGCCTAATGAGCAATCCTATGAAGCATATTTTCTTATGGCTTCCAGCATATAAGAAACTCTCCTTTGCAAAGGCCTATTCGAATATTTTGCCCTATTTTATTTGGCTTAGCTCTATATTACTGACTTACAAAAGTTCTCTTATATATTCAAGAATTGAGTCTTGTTTTGACGTTTTTTAAATTATACTTTAAGTTTTAAGGTACATGTGCACAACGTGCAGGTTTGTTACATATGTATACATGTGCCATGTTGGTGTGCTGCACCCATTAACTCGTCATTTACATTAGGTATATCTCCTGATGCTATCCCTCCCCCTCCCCCCACCCCACAACAGTCCCCGGTGTGTGATGTTCCCCTTCCTGTGTCCAAGTGTTCTCATTGTTGAATTCCCACCTATGAGTGAGAACATGCGGTGTTTGGTTTTTTGTCCTTGCGATAGTTTGCTGAGAATGATGGTTTCCAGCTTCATCCCTGTCCCTACAAAGGACATGAACTCATCATTTTTTATGGTTGCATAGTATTCCATGGTGTATATGTGCCACATTTTCTTAATCCAGTCTATCATTGTGGGACATTTGGGTTGGTTCCAAGTCTATGCTATTGTGAATAGTGCCGCAATAAACATACGTGTGCATGTGTCTTTATAGCAGCCTGATTTATAATCCTTTGAGTATATACCCAGTAATGGGATGGCTGGGTCAAATGGTATTTCTAGTTCTAGATCCCTGAGGAATCACCATACTGACTTCCACAATGGTTGAACTAGTTTACAGTCCCACCAACAGTGTAAAAGTGTTCCTATTTCTCCACATCCTCCCCAACACCTGTTGCTTCCTGACTTTTTAATGATCACCATTCTAACAGGTGTGAGATGGTATCTCACTGTGGTTTTGATTTGCATTTCCCTGATGGCCACTGATGATGAGGATTTTTTCATGTATCTTTTGGCTGCATAAATGTCTTCTTTTGAGAAGTGTCTGTTCATACCCTTCGCCCACTTGTTGATGGGGTTGTTTGTTCTTTTCTTGTAAATTTGTTTGAGTTCTTTGTAGATTCTGATGAAACTACAGATGAGTAGATTGCAAAAATTTTCTCCCATTCTGTAGGTTGCCTGTTCACTCTAATGACAGTTTCTTTTGCTGTGCAGAAGCCCTTAAGTTTAATTAGATCCCATTTGTCAATTTTGGCTTTTGTTGCCATTGCTTTCGGTGTTTTAGACATGAAGTACTTGCCCATGCCTATGTCCTGAATGGTATTGCCTAGGTTTTCTTCTAGGCTTTTTATGGTTTTAGGTCTGACATTTAAGTCTTTAATCCATCTTGAATTAATTTTTGTATAAGGTGTAAGGAAAGGATCCAGTTTCAGCTTTCAACATATGGCTAGCCAGTTTTCCCAGCACCATTTATTAAATAGGGAATCCTTTCCCCATTTCTTGTTTTTGTCAGGTTTGTCAAAGATCAGATAGTTGTAGATGTGTGGCATTATTTCTGAGGGCTCTGTTCTCCTCCATTGGTCTATATCTCTGTTTTGGTACCAGTACCATGCTGTTTTGGTTACTGTAGCCTTGTAGTATAGTTTGAAGTCAGGTAGCGTGATGCCTCCAGCTTTGTTCTTTTGGCTTAGGATTGACATGGCAATGCGGGCTCTTTTTTGGTTCCATATGAACTTTAAAGTAGTTTTTTCCAATTCTGTGAAGAAAGTCATTGGTAGCTTGATGGGGATGGCATGGAATCTATAAATTACCTTGGGCAGTATGACCATTTTCCCGATAGTGATTCTTCCTACCCATGAGCGTGGAATGTTCTTCCATTTGTTTGTATCCTGTTTTATTTTGTTGAGCAGTGTTTTGTAGTTCTCCTTGAAGAGGTCCTTCACATCCCTTGTAAGTTGGATTCCTAGGTATTTTATTCTCTTTGAAGCAATTGTGAATGGGAGTTCCCTCATGATTTGGCTCTCTGTTTGTCTGTTATTGGTGTATAAGAATGCTTGTGATCTTTGCACAAGAATTCTGTATGCTGAGGAGTCATTTTTAAAATAAATATATTGCAAATGACTTTTCCCAGTCAGTGAAAAGTCTGACTGAAAGCTGTCAACTGAAAAATCACACAATTTATAAATTTAGAAGGGAGATTTTATTTTTTATAAATGGTTACAGCCTGCAAGGTGGCCATTCTGACAGACAGGGAGGCATACCCTCTTGCTGCTGAAACCTGAAAAGTACGTTTCCAGGGAGGGGAGGGGGGAACAGGGATTTATGTTGATGTGGTGGGCCACATATACATATTCAACAGGGAATAGGAGGAGCTCTGAATATTCATGAAGGGATCCTGCTGCATGCATGCTGAGTAAACATGCCTGTTACATGCAACCCATGTTCATTTTGGGGTGGAGACAACATTTAAATACATTATAATTAGGCCCTATGCTTCAAAAGGGGAAGCAGGGACACAAAGGCAGTCAAGTGCACAGCCTCTGTAAACCGTCCAGAACCCGTCCACAGCCAGTGCTCTCTTATCAAGGGGAAGTTACTGAAATCAGTCTCTTGTCCAATCAAAGCTGTAGTTATGGCTTGTGTAGGGAGGGCTCAGTCAGTTTATGGTAATGGGTGAGCTGCAAGTGCTTCAGCATTGCTTATCTCAAGGCCAGTGCTTGTTTAGCTAGAGAAAAAAAGGAAGAAGAAAAAAACCTGTGGCAATTGGAACATAGTTTATTCTTTAAGTTGAGGGGCGCATGACTCCACCTTGCCTGGCGTGGCCTTAGGTCTCGTTTATCATACCATATCTTACTACTGCAAGGAGTCTGTTCTGTCAGTCTTAGGATCTCTATTTTAACAATAATGCTGGTCAGTTGTGTCTAAACCACAAAGGGAGAGAGTATAAGGAGAGGTGTCTGAGATTCCAACTACTGGGCAGGAACTCAGTAGTTAAGACTTCTCTGGGGTCTCCTTGGCCAAGAAACAGTCTGTCCAGTTGGTTGAGTGGCTTTGGATTTTAATTTTAGTTCTCAAAGCATTTAATTTGATGAAATTTTGCCATATTTTTTCTTTATTTTTAAAGCCTGTTATGTTCTATAAGAAATCTTTCTACTCAGGATAGTGAATGTATTCTCTTAATTTTATCTCTCTATGAGTTCCAGCGTTTTAGTTTTAATTTTTAAATTGATGACATCTAAAATTCTACTCCTAACCAAAACATTCCTGGGGGTGACCAAGGACAACTCCAAAAATCTTCCATAAATGGAAGTAAGACTTACTCCTTGAAGAACTTACTGGGATCTGGGCCTGCAGGGCACAGTGGCTTTAGTGCACCTCTGCTCTTACGACTATTCAGAAATTGTCTTTGTGAACCCATCAGGCTGTTTCAAAATCAGCAATTTAGGGCTTGCTTGCAACATGCAGTTATGCAGCAGCTGTTTTGTGGATCTGGTGAGTGCCTGCACGCATAGTTCCCCGGGAATTTTCTGAATTTGAATTCTCATGGTATTTCAAGTGGCTCAGTTGTCTCTTTCTTTTCTTTTCTTTTCTTTTCTTTTCTTTTTTTTTTTTTGAGTCAGAGTCTTGCTCTGTCACCCAGGCTGGAGTGCAGTGGCTGGAGTGCAGTGGCGCGATCTCAGATCACTGCAAGCTCCGCCTCCCGGGTTCACGCCATTCTCCTGCCTCTGCCTCCCCAGTAGCTGGGACTACAGGCACCCGCCACCACGCCCGGCTACTTTTTTGTATTTTTAGTAGAGACGAGGTTTTACCGTGGTCTTCATCTGACCTCGTGATCCGCCCGCCTCGGTCTCCCAAAGTGTTGGGATTACAGGCGTGAGCCACCGCGCCCGGCCAGTTGTCTCTTTCTTTTGCCTACTGCCACACACGTACCACCAAATCCTGCACTCCAAGCTGCTTCTACACCCTGGACTCCCAACCTCCAGTTAGACAATCCACATCTTCCCACACCTGCCTCAGGCTCCATCAGGCTACTGTGCCTCCTGCAGCAACCAGGCCAGGGGGAATCTGGATTCCTATTACACTTCTGAGGAAGGTGGTCAGGGAGTGTGGAGGATGTGGGTGGGAGGGGGTGAGGTTGAGGGCAGGAGTACACTGTGGTCTTCTGTCTTCTACCTCATTGGCCCAGGTGCTGCTCTCCCTCCGGTTGTCTGCTTTCAGCCCTGCCTGGGAAATCAGGCCGGCGCCCTGATCTTCCTGACTCTCATTTTGTGAGGAACCTGAACGGATGAGCCATCGCTCTTGTCCCACACGTTCTGTCCAAAAGGTGCCCTCCTCTCTGCTTGCTCGGGGGCCTGCCCTCTGAGCTCTGGCACTCAGGCTGGGATGCCGCCCAGTACAGAGGCTCTGCAGCCCTGCAGGGGTCTGACTGTTCCACACCAGCAGGATAAAGGCCACAGGGCATGCTGTGGTGGAAAAGCATTCAGAGGTGTGGGCTGAAGGCCTCTCTTTCCACAGTCCCTTTGAAGACACCATGGAAGTAGGCACCCCCTTGACAGACAAGGTGGCCCAAGGCCTGGCTTCACATGCAGGCTCTTGGGTCCCAGCGGGTCCTCTCTGTGCCTGGTATAGCCAACTGCTTCACGCATCTTACCCGGTTTCCTCTCCTCCACAACCCAAGCTCCTCCTCGACCCCCTTGCTCAGCTGTCCTCAGGACAGCAAGATCCCCAGCCCTTGGAAAAGCCCATCTCTAGTGCTTGGGGAGGGAGTTGGGTTCAGGTGGTCTAACCACAGAAGAACAGAGAACCTGAGGCAGGAGGAAATCCCTTCCCTTGCTGGGTCTCTTGGCACAGCCCATCCAGGGGTCTGGGTCAGGGTCCAGGTATACTCTACCCTCCTTGAGGACCTGGGTTTTCAGGCCCCCGAGGTTGGTCAATGTGGAGTCTTTCCCACTGTTCATCTGGGAACTGAAGGAATATCCCATGGGGCCCTCTCTTACTCATTAGAGACACCCAGAAAATACTCCATCCAGCAGAAACTGGGTGCAGTGTACCAGACCACTATAATTATAATTGCAGGATGTGGAGGTCAGATACGTTTTGTGGGTATTTTCTCTCTGTCTGTGGCTTGCTTGCCTTTTCGCTTTCTTAGTGGTATCTTTTGATGAGAAGGTGTGGCTAATGTTGATGAAGTCTCATTTATCATGTCTTTCTTATATATGTATTTTTTCTGTGTCCTGCTTGTTGGTAGGCTAATCTTTGCCTGCCAACAAGTCACAAAGTATCCTTGAAATGCTTTATATCTTTAACTTTTAAGTTTTGGTGTGTAATGCGGCTGAAATTACTTTTGTGTGTAACGTGAGGGAGAATAACATTGTTGGTCTCCCCACATCCATATAGAAGTTCATTAATTGAAATGATTTATTTTCTTTTATTGAACTGCTTTTACTGAAAACCCATTTATTGACCGTATAGCTGTGGATCAATTTCAGGTTTTCTAACTCAGGCTGTTTATCCGTTTGTCACTCTTGATGCCTTGTGTCTAATAGCTTATAGTAAACCTTAAAGTCAGATAGTACAAGTCCTTGTTCTTTTCCACACATTGCAATAAATTTTGAAATAGATAATAACTCATGAAACCATCACACACATCAGGATATGCTGTCACTTCATCCCTTTCTGACATGGTTTGGCCGTGCCCTCACCCAAATCTCAACTTGAATTGTATCTCCCAGAATTCCCATGTGTTGTGGGAGGGACTTAGGAGGAGGTAATTGAATCATGGGGGCGGGTCTTTCCTGTGCTATTCTCCTGATAGCCAGTAAGTCTCACTATCTGATGGGTTTCTCAGGGGTTTCTGCTTTGGCTTCTTCCTCATTTTCTCTTGCTGCTGCCTTGTAAGAAGTGCCTTTTGCCTCCCGCCATGATTCTGAGGCCTCCCCAGTCATATGGAAATGTAAGTCCAATTAAACCTCTTTTTGGTCCTGGACTCTGTTATGTATTTGTCAGCAGCATGAAAACGGACTAATACACTCTCATTTCTGAGTGGGACACATGCTGTCACTCACATATGCTGGTTGCTGACTTGTGACGGAAGATTCTCTATTGTACCCTCTGGGGACAATACATCTCCAGTTGCCTGCGGGGAGGATGAACCCTCAAGAGTCAATGTGTTGACTGACTCTAAATATGGGTTCCTGGTGCTCCATGCTCATGCAGCCATAGGGAAGGAAAGGGGACTATCAAGAGCCAAGGGATCCCCCATACGACTTTACTCAGATCTTGGAACTTTTAGATGCTGTCCAACTCCCAAAGAAATAACAATTACTCACTGCAGGGGACACCAGAAGGGAGACACTTTTATTATTAGAGGAAATTCCCTGGTGGAAAGAGCAGCTAAGGCCACAACTAAGGAAACCCTGGTATTTCAAGCTGCTGCGCTACTACCAGGTACTGCATCCGTGTCAGTGACACCATACTATACCCCTAAGGAAATTAAAGGGACTGAGTAAAAGGCTTCCAGGGAGACCCCTCTGGATGGTTGCTACAAAAGAACAAACTCTATTCCTGAGGCTGACAGATGGGAAATAATTAAACATTTTCATGATTCCTCACATTTGGGACGGGATTTTCCATTCAAATTAGTTTCCTAAATATTCTTCGGGAAGGGACTGTTCTAAACTATAAAAAGGGTTACCACTCAGGAAGCCACCCCATACCCCGATCCCTGCTTAAACCTGTACAACACCAAGGAACATACCATGGTGAAGACTGGCAGACAGACTTAACCCAGATGCCACCTTACAGGGAACTACAAGATTTGCTAGTATTTATAGACACTTTCACCAGGTGGATAGAAGCTTTCCCCACAAGGACAGGAAAAGTACTGGAAGTGTCTAAATTCTTAAAGAAATCATTCCAAGATTTGGATTACCAAAAGGTTTGCAAGGTGACAACTGACCTCACTTCACAGCTAAGGTGACCCAGTGAGGTCATGCCTCAGCCTTAGGCATTACCTGTCTTCATTCCTCATGGAGATCTCAGTCTTCAAATAACATAGAAAGCCAATCGCGACATTAGCAAAACTCTTTCAGTTTGGGGGCTTGCCTGCCCTGCGTCACTATCATTGTTTCCTTGGGTTTCCCAGGAATGTACATGTGTGAGACTGCCGCCCTGCTTATAGATCTGTTTCCCTGCAAGGAAACAGGAATATGTTGCCTGTGGCTTCCAGAGTTGGAGATACATGTAGTTGCACCACTGAGGGCTAACATTTAATTTTGGAATCAAGTGATGCATTCAGACTGGTTGCTATCATTCTGTGGTATATATTTAGTGAACACATTCATGATTGAGTTTCTTGCTTTTAGCTGGAGCAAGAAAGTTTTATAATTGTGATTTGTATGAAAAAATCATAGGCAAGGGAATGGATGTAAAATAAACTTTATTGTCAGAGGTTTCTAAAGGCTCATCCTTCAAGGAAAATGGACATATGCTGAAGAGCTGATAAACTGTCTACAGCAGTGTTATTCTAACCTAATCTTGATTCCAAGTTCTTGCCATTTTCCTCCAGCTACTGTTGACTCCAGTTATATATAGGATGGGGGAAAGGGGATTATCTACGAATGTAGGCATCACTTTCTCTTGGGCAGTTATCACATTGGCAGACTGAAGGGAAGTGATTTCTACAATCAAACTATCCATTTGGAGTACAAATCTGGAGTGGCTGTAAAATTCGGTTCTCAGAGATGAACTTGCAGATTCGGACTTTCAATTGTTCTGTTGTTTTAGTTTTTCTCATCAACTGGGGAACTGTTTGTGACTAAGCTTTGTTAAAAGTAGAGAAGAGCTTTTCATAATTCCAACATTAGTTGTTACCTGAAACAAACAAAAACACACACAGAGACAATTAAACAGTAATCTTTGGTGAGGTCTTGCTGATACCTGAGGCTGGAGTGAGAGCTGAGTGGTGATACAGCTCATGTGCGTGATCCAGATTGCGCACTCCTTATGAGACTGTAACTGATGCCTGATGACCTGAAGTGGAACAGTTTCATATGGAAAACATCCACCACCCCCTTCCATGGAAAAATTGTCTTCCATGAAACCAGTCCCTGGTGACAAAAAGGTTGAGGACAGCCAAAAAGGCTGCTTTAAATGATAACCTTCCCCAAAACTAAATTACCCCTGTAAAATGAATGAAAGGCCACCAAGTTAGAAGGATGAAAGGGGCCTGATTTCTACTAAGATGTATGCCTCGTTAAATAATTACCAGCCATTATTCCAGAAGTCACAAGATTGGCAGCTTCCCCAATTACTGCTGTGAAGAACATCACTATTGTAGAACCTAAGATTGGCCTCTTGAGATGTCTTTTCAGGCTTTTGCATTTCTGACTGCTGGAAGGCACCATCTGGCCCGAAAATCAACCAGTCCCTTAGCCCCCACCCAGAAGCTGACTCCATGCAGGAGGGCCATTTTCCACGCCCCTGTGATTTCATCCCCAACAATCAGCACCACGCAAGCCCTAGCCCCCTCCCCACCAAACTATCTTTGAAAAACCCCTTACCTCCAAGCCTTCAGTGAGATTGCTTTGAGTAATAACTCTGTCTCCCACATGTCGTGGCTGGCCTGTGTCAATGAAACCGTTTCCTGCAGTGCCATGGTCTCCATGAATTGAGTTTTTGTGTACATTGGTCAGGAAGAACCCATCAGGCGGTTACATCTGCAGGATGGTGCCAGTTCTTTCCACAAAGGCTGGTCAGATACCCAGAAAACATTTCTCCACTACTACCTGGACAATGTGTCTCCCTGTCAATCTCCAGGGAATGGGGCCTGGATCAAGTATTTAGTATTCAGCAGTTACTACACTGTCACCTAATCCCTCATTTTCAATATTTTGCCATGCTTCCAGTGGCCTAACTGGCCACCATGCCACAGAATCTTTACTTTATGATCTCCAAGGAGAACTCTCCACTCGATGTTTTGTGATTTGAGCAATGGAATAGAATCTGATACTGGTGGGCTGGGGGAGGTCCCTGGACACTGGTGGGATCTCGACCCCAGCCGTGGTGTCCAGGCTCTTGACACCATCGTGAGAACAAAGTCAAAGATGAGTCAGCAGATAGTGAAAGAAGAGATTTATTGCAAAGCAAAAAGTACACACTCAAGAAAGGGGAGCTTGGGCATACCCAAGAGAGAATAATGGGTTCTGGGGTTTCATCTTGATGGGTTTCTTTAACCAAGAATTGGAATATTCACGAAAATTCCTGGGTAAAGGTGGAGATTTCTTGGAACTGTGGTGCCATTTTTACATCAAACACTGGTCTCAGAACTGTCATGGCACTGGCGGGTGTGTGATTTAGTATGTTAATGAGCATATAATGAGGGCCTAGGTAAAACCTCCATCCAATCCAGCACCACGTTGGGTCCACTCAGCCTTAGCCAGCTTGGTCCACACCCTGGTTTTTCAGCGTCTTAACAGCCCACAGCCTCAAGTCATGTAAATCTGCTGCCTAGAATTTGTTATCCTGTGACCACCCTGTAGTATTCCTGTCTGAAATCTACTTGTAAATATTCAAATGGTCTTTCACTTGGGCATTCCAACTTTGCTTACTTCACAGTGTTTCCTGCGTAATATATAAGAAAAGATGATCCAGACATTTGTTAAACATCTCAAATAAGATGTAGCCCAGGTATTTGTGTCAAATTTGGATTATTTTGGTTTCGTCTTTGCAGAATATAAAAAACTAACATGAGGTAAGCACTAAGGTGTGGAGATGGCTGTGCAAGAGATGACAAAGTCCAGCACCACGCTTGAGAGTGTCCAATCATCTCTTCTGGGACAGCATATTTTTCTACAATACGGATTTTTGAAAAAAAAAACAACATCAAAAAAAAAAAAACCTACAAGATTCATGAAACTGGACAACTGTCTTTATAACATTACCAGTGATAAAACCAGTAAGGACGGCTGGTTTGCAGTCATCTAAGCAGCCTCTTTACTTTCATAAATATGGTTTCTCTCTGATATTAAACGGCTTCCAATTGCAAGCGGAATGCTGCATCACAAGGATAAGGATGTGAAGAGAACCGGTTTCTTTTGTAATCCGAAACATTCTAGTCTGCGAATTAAAAGCCATTATTTGAAGAAGGATGCCCCGGCTCCATCTGGCCACCGAAAGGTTGCTCCTTAACACAGGCTAAGGACCAGCTTCTTTGGGAGAGAACAGACGCAGGGGCGGGAGGGAAAAAGGGAGAGGCAGACGTCACTTCCCCTTGGCGGCTCTGGCAGCAGATTGGTCGGTTGAGTGGCAGAAAGGCAGACGGGGACTGGGCAAGGCACTGTCGGTGACATCACGGACAGGGCGACTTCTATGTAGATGAGGCAGCGCAGAGGCTGCTGCTTCGCCACTTGCTGCTTCGCCACGAAGGAGTTCCCGTGCCCTGGGAGCGGGTTCAGGACCGCGGATCGGAAGTGAGAATCCCAGCTGTGTGTCAGGGCTGGAAAGGGCTCGGGAGTGCGCGGGGCAAGTGACCGTGTGTGTAAAGAGTGAGGCGTATGAGGCTGTGTCGGGGCAGAGCCCGAAGATCTCATACTTACCTGGCAGGGGAGATACCATGATCACGAAGGTGGTTTTCCCAGGGCGAGGCTTATCCATTGCACTCCGGATGTGCTGACCCCTGCGATTTCCCCAAATGTGGGAAACTCGACTGCATAATTTGTGGTAGTGGGGGACTGCGTTCGCGCTTTCCCCTGACTTTCTGGAGTTTCAAAAACAGACCGTACGCCAAGGGTCATGTCTTTTTTCGTATTGGTTTGTGTCTTAGTTGTTAATCCTACAGTGGAGGCCTGGGGAATAAGAAGTAACATGTGGCCTGCACGCCATAGGAGAAAAAGCGAGCATCAGCCGTATCGGCTTTGTAACACAAATTAGCTATCGTGAAGTCCGCTCAGCTCTTCCATTTCTACCCTGGCTGCTTTTTGCAGGGATTGGTCCGTGGTCTCCAGTCTCTTGGGTTCTCACCCTGTGTGAAAATCTTCGTGTTTTTCCCTACCCCCCAAGTCACCTCTTACACAGCCTCTGCTTCCAAGCGCAGCCCCCACAGGAGTTTGTAGGATTTCTGTGCTAGCGGGGAGTGTGTTCTCACCTCATAGAGCCAGGTAGAAATTATGCAGATGGGCGCTGTTCTCTGGGAAGAAAGCAGGGCCTTTGGGGCTCTCAGTGTCCCCGTTGGGTTGTAGACATAACACTCTTACTTTGCGTAGGGGAACGGCTCTGCCGGCCCCCAGGTGCCCTAGCGCATATGCATGGAGGCCCGCAGGTCAGAACCGCAGTCTCACCTGTCTTGGCGGAAATGCCCTGCGATCCTCCCGGAGATAGAAGGCGGGAAGTTTTATGAGGAGCCGGTCCAGTTTCCCTACTATCTCCTGCAGTTCATATATCTAGTGTTTCTTTAGACTTTAAGCGACTGCTTCATGTTTGATGTCTCACTCCCACATCCTACATCCACTGCCAGCCAACTTTATAGATAGCACCGTGACCCATCCTTCCCACCCCCAAGAAGCCCTTTCCTATTTCTGGTGCCAGTGTCCTCCCCAGTCCCTCTTTCTTCAGGCCCTCGCTTATCACCTTCATGGACAGAAAATACTTAGCTCTCTCTCAACCTGAGGTTTACACCTGACACGCATCAGTGCCCTGGCAAATTCCTTAATACCCCTTCTCAAATGGCACTGTAAATCATCTCTTTTTAACTCCCAGAACTATCTAATTGGTTTTGTCCCTGCACTACATGAACACTAGTATTCCACTACAGAGGAAAACCCCAGGCCTAGCGATAGCGGTTCTGGGCATTGTGCCAGCCTCTCCCAGGGTATGTTTTCTGACCTCACCTACTTTTGATCAGCTGAGGTCAGGAGTTCAAGACCAGCCTGACCAACATGGCAAAACTCCGTCTCTACTAAAAACACATACACACGCACAATAATAATAATAATGATAATAATAATAATTGCCGGGCGCAGTGGTGTGTGTCTGTAATCCCAACTACTCGGGAGGCTGAGGCAGGAGAATCGCTTGAACCCGGGAGGTGGAGGTTACTGTGAGCCGAGATCGCGCCATTGCACCGCAGCCTGGGCAACAGAGTAAGACTCTGTCTCAAAAAGAGAAAAAAAATTAGTGCATCTGAGACATATTATTGGAGACAGTAGAATCCTGCGTCCAACAGGCACTTGGTGCAGATCTGAACCCATTGAGCTATTGGCTCATGTTCCCTATGTTCTATTAAGTATCATGAGCAGAAATTGAGCTCTTTGGCTTTTACCCACTGAGTATGGCTATAGGACAGGTCTCTCTCTCTCTCTCTCTCTCTCTCTCTCTCTCTCTTTCTCTCTCATTCTTTGCATCATTATTTTTTGCCATCAGTGTGGGTTTTTGGTTTTGAGGTTATGAAGTGAATTTCTGGGGACAATCTCTGTTGGGTCGTGTTAACAAGGATCCAGTCCCTGTTTGGTGATACATGACAGCTAATCTGGTCTGTGAGTCTTCTTTATTGTCTATTTATTGTCCTGAGAATAATGGCATTTCCTGATATTTGAGACTGCAGCAATGATAAGTTGTTCAGATCTTGTCTTTCCAATGTTTGGTAAACATTTTATAGGCCCAATTTTTGTCAATATCTGCAAGAGTGGCATCTCTGTTACAAGAGTGATCTTACTACTCGATGTCCCCCCTCCCACCCAACTTCATTTCCTAGGGGCTCTTGGCTTTAACGAATTTACTGTATCTAAAAGACATCTTAGTACAGGAAGAAAACTAAATCTGTAGCATGTAAGGAGCAGTTTTATTTGATTGGTATATTCAGGTTTCTAACCAGCTGAAAAATTCAAATACATGCCCTTTAAGGATTAAGTTTAAACCACACTACAGAAAGAGAAAAGATTTATATGATCACATATAAGCAATGGAATCAGCAATATGAGTACTTTTCACAACTATACAAATCAAATTTAATAATCTCCAGAACATTAAGGAAGTTCAGCCCTTAATGGAAATGAATGAAAAGAAATTATTCACCCACTGTTACATGCCCTGGAAAGAGAATGTCCTGCCAGACTCAAAAGAGTATCACAATATTACTCAGATTTTCAGCAATGAAGGCCCTCCGAGGATCTAATGATGTTCATATTTTCAGTTTATTTCCTTCACTGATAAACATTGTTAATAGATACCATTGCCTCTGTTTGCACTTTAAGTGATGTTACTTAGAACAATTCGTTTCTTTAGCATGCACCCTAGTTTGGTGGAAGGAATTTTCCTTCTTTTCAAATATAGGATATTTTCTCATGAAACAAATTGGCATACTCTTTCAGTGAAGTGAATAGACAAATTAGATCTCTACAATTGTAAAGGAGTCACTGCCCCAATTATCTTAGGAACAATAATAATCACTTATATAAAATTAAAATAAGAAAATTAAGCCAGGTATGGTGGCTCATAGCTACAGTCCCAGCACTTTAAGAGTTGGAGACCAGCCTGGGCAACACAGTGAAACCCCTGTCTCTACAAATTTTTAAGTATTAGCTAATTTTTTAAAGTTGGCCGGGCATGATAATGCATGACTGTAATCTCAGGCTGCAGTGAACTATGATTGTGCCACTGCCCTCCAGCCTGAGTGACAGAATGAGACTCCCAACTCAAAAAAAAAAAAAAGGAAAGAAAATTAAGAATTTGTTGAAAATTGTTTTACTACAATGCTAGGCTGCATGTCTTGCACCTGTACTCCCAGCAACTCAACAGGCTGAGGCGGAAGGATTGCTTTAGGCCAGCAGTTGGAGACCAGCCTGGGGAACAGGGCATGACATCATCTCTAAAAAAATACAAGGCAAGCTGAGCCAGGAGGATTGCCTGAGCCCAGAAGTTCCAAGTTGGTCAGCTATGATTGCCCCACTGCACTCTAGCCTGGATAACAGAGCAAGACCCTGTGCCTTATTTTTAAATTTATGTTATTTTTTTACTACTTATGCTTATTTATCTATTTATTTATTTTTGAGACAGAGTCTTGCTCTGTAGCCCAGGCTAGAGTGCAGTGGTGCCATCTCAGCTCACTGCAAGCTCTGCCTCCCAGGTTGAAGCTATTTCCCTGCCTCAGCCTCCAGAGTAGCTGGGATTATAGGCACACGCCACCACGCCCAGCTAATTTTTATATGTTTAGTAGAGACAGGGTTTCATCATGTTTGCCAGGCTAGTCTCAAACTCCTGACCTCAAGTGATACACCTGTCTCGGCCTCCCAAAGTGCTGGGATTACAGGTGTGAGCCAACTCGCCCAGGCTCCTTATGCTTGAAATGTGAGGTTTCATTAGGGAAAAATTTTCTTGTTGAATTTCTAACATGAAAAAATAATAGATTTAGCTGTAGATTAAATTAATGGTCCTGGTAGTTTGGTACAATAAAATAAATGAAGTTGATAGCAGAGAGGAATCTTTGATGCTTTTGAACAATTTAAATAATGTAATATTTTTTATATAAAGACATGAAAAAGTTCATTACATTATTATTATATTTATTTATTTATTTATTTATTTTGAGATGTAGTCTCACTCTGTCGCCTAAGCTAGAGTGCAGTGGTGCAATCTCGGCTCACTGCAACCACTGCTTCCCGGGTTCAAGCAATTCTCCTGTCTCAGCCTCCTGAGTAGCTGGGATTACAGGCACACACCACCACACTTGGCTAATTTTTGTATTTTTAGTAGACACGGGGTTTCACCATGTTGGTCAGGCTGTCTTGAACTCCTGACCTCATGATCCTCCTGCTATGGCTTCCCAAAGCGCTGGGGTTACAGGCATAGGCCACTGCACCTGGCCCATTACATTATTTTTTAAAAATCAGTGTGACTCTTTTGACAAATTAGAATGGTTTAATAATCTTGGTTAGGCTGGGCATGGTGGCTCATGCCTGTAGTCCAAGCACTTTGGGAGCCCGAGGTCAGGAGTTTGAGACCAGCCTGGCCAACATGGTGAAACCCTGTCTCTACTAAAAATACAAAAATTAGCCGGGCATGGTGGGGGGCTCCTGTAATCCCAGCTACTCAGAAGGCTGAGGCAGGAGAATTGCTTGAACTCAGGAGGCAGAGGTCGCAGTGAGCCAAGATCACGCCATTGCACTCCAGCCTGGGGGGGCAACAGAGTGAGACTCTGTCTCAAAAAAATCATAAATAAATAAAAATAAAGTATAAAAAATTAAAATTACGTGTTCAAATACATTAAATATATGGCAATGAAAAGGAGGCCTAGCATGACTGACTGCATTTTGCTCCTAACCCTTCCTACCGTGTGGTGACATCTTCCAGGCTAACTGCTTTTTCTTATTTCTGCACATAGGCCAAGCTATCTATGGGAGGGATTTAGCTTACAGTTTAACTTTAAAGCACAGATGATAATAATCCCTTCCCCAAACTAACTCCTGAGAAGATAGAGAGGTTGTATACACAAGTAACAGTGTTATGCTGAAGATTTATAAGAGAAGTGTGACCTGACAAAGGACCAACAATTTTCACCATCCCCTTGGGCTCTCACTGCAGCCCATGTCTGTCATTGTCAGACCTCTTCACCTCAATCGCCTCCTTCTTCCTCCCTTCCCTAATGTACAAGGAGCCGGAAAATAGTATTAATTTAAGATGGTTCTTCAGGATGTTACTTCACCATCTGTTCAGTTTGGTGGCTCTCTGGAATAAAGTCACCTTCCCTGCCCCTACACCTCAACTCTCGACTTATTGGCTGTCATGCAGCAAGTGGTGAGTGCAGTAAGCCGAGATCACACCACTGCACTCCAGTCTGGGTGACCCTGTCTCAAAAAAAAAAAAAAAAAAAAAACAGAGAGAGAGAGAGAAATTTGGTTTTTGAACCAGACAAATTAAATAGGAGACTTAATTCCAATGAGACCTAGAAATGTCTAAATTTCTAAAATTTCTAAAAGAACTGAGAAAATTGCCTCCATTGAGGAAGTAAGCTGAAGGAGGTAGACTGTCATGTTTTCTGATTTGAGAAATATTGAGGAGGCTTTGTCTCTTTCACCTCCAACTGCTCCTTCTCCTCCTGCCCCTGCACCTGCATAGTCTTTCTTACCTGAGCCTTCCTGTCCTGCCTTGCCTCTTCTTCCATCACCATCACCTAAGGAAAGTCCCCAGGGATCTGGTCCCTTCCCTGAAACTTCTGTTCTGACAGCCCCTTTCAAGGTAAAACCCAAACCCACAGGAAGAGGGGAGCCTACCGTTGTGTATACCACTTCACCAAAACGTGAATTAAGAATATTATAAAGGACTTCCCTGATCTAAACTTAAATACATTTCACTCTTCTGTTTCTAAAGCAGGCTCCAAGATCCTGTAGGCTTTGGCAGAAAATTTGACTTAACTGTTGAAACCTTTGAGCCCAAATATTCTGATCTTTATCAATTAACTCACATGCTGGTGAAGAAGGGAAGGCCACTAACTGGTTGCAAAAGGTAAATTGGAAGGATTTTCAAAAAGGGACTGAAGCAGAACATGAAAGGTTCACATTTTCACCAAATATCTCCAAGTTGCCATTCCCCAGGTCCTTCCTAAAAATATAGATTGGAGGATAATTCAGCATTGTACTAAAAAGCCAGACAAATCTGTCTTTGCTTAACTAAAATGGTTTGAGAGCCAGGTGTGGTAGTTCATGCCTGTAATCCCAGCACTTTGGGAGGCTGAGGCGGGTGAATCACTTGAGGTCAGGAGATTGAGACCAGCCTGCCAACATGGTGAAACCCTGTCTCCACTAAAAATACAAAAATTAGCCAGGTGGCTACTCAGGAGGCTGAAGCAAAAGAATTGCTTGAACCCAGGAGGTGGAGGTTGCAGTGAGCTGAGATCCTGCTACTGCAATACAGCCTGGGAGACAGAGCGAGACTCTGTCTCACAAAGAAAAAAATAAAAAGAAAAAAGAAAAATAGAAAAAAAAATAGCAGGGTAGTAGAAATATAATGCACACAAGAATGATAATCATGAAGACAATCTGATTCTACAAGAGTAAGGGAACCTATTCCATTAGAGAGCCAACTGAAAACATCAAATCCCAGTTCACACCCCAGGGTGTGGGGTCACGTGCCTGTAATCCCAGCTACTCGGGAGGATTAGTAAGGAGGTTTGCTTGAATTCATGAGGTCAAGGCAGGAGTAAACCCTGATCATGCCACTGCACTCCAGCCTGGGTGACAGTGAGACCTTGTCTCAAAAACAAACAAACAAACAAACAAACAAAAACCCACAAAACCAAACAACAACAAATTGCCACCTCACTCTGAAATCACAGTGGCAAACATCACTTTGCTATTGACAAATTAAAAGAAAAACACTCCCTCTTGCTATCAACCTGGCCTCTTGCTCTAACATGTCTGACCCATGGTTTAAAATGCCCAAAAGCTGATGTCCTCAAATTATAATACACTTACCTATTCTGCACCAGCATTTATTTTTGTCTGGAGGAGATCACCATCCATGGTCCTGTAAATGTCTAACAGCATGGAATGATGAAGGGCAGTGTCTTTTAGGATATTTGGTTATATCTATATATATGGCTCTGAAGAAACCCAACACTGGGCGAGTTCCCTCAAACTTTTCACTAGGCATGACCACTGCTGTATTTTAGATAGAGATTCTGTGGGGCAAAACCTGAGAATTATCTGCCTGGCTATCTAGAAGATAGCTCCTTGCATTTTTTGGGGGAGAACACTTTTGCTTCAAGGGAGTGTTTCCTCCCAGGATTAGAAATCTTTCTGTAACCTCAGGAAACATTGCTGATGAAAACCAGGCATGGTGTGCTGTACAACTTGTAGTAATAAGGCAGAAGTTAAAAGGAAAAGACAGGTTCCCTGTACTTGGCTGACTCCAAGACCTGCCATAGATAGAGCCCTAGCAGATCCTCGGTAACACGATCTGAAAAGTCAGAGCCGCGAGGAGTGAGTTCCGGAGACTCTCTCAACACAGTAAGCCCCAACAAAGATAAGAGGAAAAAACAACAAATGCCTTTACTACCTTCTCTTTCCCCCTTCCCATTTCTAATTATTCAAGTTTTGTTAAGTTCTTGATTTCCCTTCAGTGCAGCTGCAAGGTCACCAGCTATACTTGCATTGCAAGACCTGTGACAGTTTGATTAGCTGCCTTTGTTCTGCTTCTATAAGCCCTCTTGCCTGCCCCCGAGTTTCATGCCATCAAATTCCCGCCGCGCCATTCAAACTAGCCGACCCCCTTTCAGAAGTGTCTATAAAGTTAAGCCCTGTCTTTGTTCGGGGCTCAGCCTTTGGATTTTCATCTGCTGGGCCTCAGTGCAGTCAATAAATCCTCCTGTTCCACCCATTGGTCTCTCTGTTCTCCTGATTCCCACAACAGTAGTAGGGGACTGCGTTCCCACTTTCCCCTGGTCTTTCATGGTATGAATAATGGACAGCATTTTTTTTTTTCACCTATAGTCGCAGGCTCGGTCTCAGTGATTGTATGCTGTGGTCAGCTGTTTTTGTTTTTGTGAGACCTTGCTTTCTTGTTTACTGTCCTGGGACAGATGTCTGTAGTCACTTGTTTCCTCGGGAGGCAAATTTCAGTCTCTGTGGGGGAGGTCTCCCATGTTAGCTGTGGTGGTACTTGGCAGGCAGAGCTCAGGGATCTAGGCTTCCGTGCTTTGTAGATTGCTCAATGGTCCCCAAGGCCTAGTGGCTTTTAACACCACTTGAAAACCTTAGTGTTTTTCCACTGTCCCCAGAGTCACCTCTTACACAGCCTCTTTTTTTGTTTGTTTGACTTTTTCTCTGAGAGACAGTCTCACTGTATCTTGGTTGAATCGATCCTCCCACCTCAGCCTCTGGAGTAGCAGAGGCACGAGTCACCACAGCCGGCTTATATCTGTTCTTGTTTTTGTTGTTGTGGTGGCTGTCTTGTTTTTTTAAGAGTTGAAGTTTCTCCATGTTGCCCAGGCGACGTGCTCCCGGCGAAGGAGGCCGCCTGCCTGGGGGCGGGCTGGAGCCACGTCCCAGGGCTGGGGGCGCTGTGGGCACTGTGGGTGCCGCACCCACCGCTGCCCGGCACTGGAGGCCAAGAGAGCGTTCCCGACGGGCTCCGCGGATGCCCCGCCGCGTCCTGCTGCCCATCCTGCCCGGGTTGTCGCGGGCCGGGGGCACGACAAGAGGCCGGGGTCTGCCCGGACGCAGCGGCCTGCAGGGCGCAGCTGTCCCTCCACCAGCCGGGGTCCCCTCGCTCAGCCCATGAGACAAATAAATGAATACATAAATAAATAAATAAATAAAAGATGGAGTCTTGCTCTGTCGCCCAGGGTGGAGTGCAGTGGTGCGATCTCGGCTCACTTCAACCTCTGCCTCCCAGGTTCAAGTGATTCTCCTGCCTCAGCCTCCTGAGTAACTGGGATTACAGGTGCATGCCACCACACCCGGCTAATTTTTCGATTTTTAGTAGAGACGGGATTTCATCACGTTGGCCAGGCTGGTCTCGAACCCCTGACTTCAAGTGATCCACCCGCCTTGACCTCCCGAAGTGCTGGGATTACAGGCATGAGCCACTGCACCCAGCCAGAAGTGGGCATTAATATGCAGGCGCCGTATAGGGCAACATCTGTGTGCACCTCTTACAAATCTTAATGCTGTGTATATGAGGGGAGTCCTTCGTGTCCCCCTGGGGATGTTTGAGGTTGCCTGTATGTGTTATGTGTGTGCATATTTTTAAGCTCAGATATGCATAGGCGGATTGACACCTCTGTTTGAATGTATTCCCATGAGCTCATGCCATTAATTCACCATCACAAGAAATATTTACTGAGCGTGAGCCATGCCATTCCACAGACACCATTATAGCACTAAGATACAATGAGGAACAAAAAATCCAGGCTTTCTGAGCTCACACTGGGGTGGGGGCATGGTGGGAAGACACAGGCATCAATGTAATAAACAGAAACCACGACAGGGCTAAGTGTTCTGGAGGAGAGGCGCATGGTGTACTGAGGCCCCTGACGTAGACCCCAGGTGCACCTTTGAGCTTTGCTTGCATGGTTTGGGTTTGTGGGCTCACCTGCATGTGTCCATGCATGCCCCATCTGCGTGCCCGTGCATGGCTGCATCACCCCATGCACACGTGCACTGCCCCTGGGCTTGCCCACATGTGCTGCTCCCCAGGGCGCCAGGCTATCAGCCTACAAGGCATTGTGGGTCTGGGCCCAGCCTGCCACCCCCTACAGAGGCCTGAGCCTGCCTTCCCAGGAGGCCCAGGACTCTCACCCAGGGCCCTTCCCTGCAGCTGGAGCAGGCTCTGTGGCTGCAATCTGGTGAGCTGGAGACGCAAGAGCCCAGGGGGCTGGTACTCCAGAGCGTGGAGTTGCGGAGGCAGCTGCAGGAGGAGCAGGCCTCCTAGTGGCGCAAGCTGCAGGCCTACCTGGAGGGCCAGCAGCGGCAGGCCCAGCTTGTGCAGCGGCTGCAGGGCAAGGTCAGGGCCACCCATTCCTGCTCTTTCCCTCCCACGTGTTCACTTTGCCCTGCCCCCACCCCTGGGGCTCACCATCAGCTCCCAATCCCCAGATTCTCCAGTACAAGAAGAGGTTCTCGGAGCTGGAGCAGCTGTTGGAGAGATCCGGAGAGCTGGAGCAGCAGCAGCTGAGGGTGGGTGCCAGGGTGGGGCAGAGGCAGGCCCTGCCCTCCACCTGCCCAGCCTGATGCTTTAACCTCTCTGCCACCCAGGACGCAGAGCACAGCCAAGACCTGGAGAGTGCCCTCATCTGGCTGGAGGAGGAGCAGCAGGGAGGGCCAGGGCTGGCAGCATGGCCCCCTGGGCGAGCGCCTACTGATCCCCTGTGCCCCATTCAGGAGTGCCAGCCTGGCCCAGGTGAATGCCATGCTCTGAGAACAGCTGGACCAGGCAGGTTTGGCCAACCAGGCTCTGAGTGAGGAGATACGAAAGGTGACCAGTGACTGGACTCGCAGCTGCAAGGAGCTGGAGCAGTGGGAGGCGGCATGGAGGCGCGAGGAGGAGGTGGGCATGGGGGTGCAGGGAGGCCGGCGATATAAGAGGAAGATAATGCACAATTATGCTAGTGAGACTCTCTTTTCCAATAATGTTTGCACTTCTCAATACTACATTTAAAAAGGAAATAGGAGCACTTGAACGGTTAAGTAAGAAGATGAACAAAATTGAACAGAGGAAAAATAACTGTCTGAAGACATGTTGAAAATACATTTAAAGACAGTCTGTCTGAGACAGGAGCTGAGCTGGCCAATCCATCTTTTAAATCATTGAACATCATTCAGGTGTCAAGTATTTGACCTGGAGCCTGGAAGGGGAGGAGAGAGTCCAAAAAAAAGTCAAAATATAAAGAAAAAAAATTAAAGAACTTGTCCCACAAATCAGGCAACCAAGGTCTAAACTTATACCCTCTGCCTGGGTAAATTGTTGTTGCTTCTTTCTGTGACTCTTAAAAGATGTACCATATACCTCATTTAATGACTTTGCTTTATTCATGAAAACTCTATCCCCATGGGAAAAGCTGTTAAATGAAAAAAGATTTCTTTTAAGTAGAAAAATTATGAAAGGATTCCTTCCAACCCTCCATACCCAAAATATCTCAAATGAATTATGTATCTATCAATTATCAATATATATCAAAATATACCAATTAAAAATATCAGTTAAACAATACGTCAATTGAACTATGAAAGCAAGCTTATTTAAGTAGCAAAGAATAACGTGAAGGTTAGTAAGTATAGCTTATACTTAAAATACAATGAATTGAAAGCTCATGGCACTTCATAGAGTAGGAAGAAGAAACTTAATAGAAAGTGGTAGTTGGGCGAGAAGGACTGCAAGGGAGTTATTTGGAAAATGCATTTTTTATTTCTGCATCATTTTGTTCACAAATTATTCCTAATCTTTTGTGAATTTGTGGATTTCTTGAACTCAAACCAGACTTAAAAATACAGTTATAGCACAGAAAAAAATCTTTAATGGCAAAATAAAAGCTAAGCAAGAGAGCCTTTCAAAACACATGAAAATAACACACACATACAAAAAAAAAAGAATAAAGAGATGTACAAGTGACACCTCCTCAACCTTCTCACTTGGTGTACATATGCACAGTAAATTATTTTGGGCTCAGCCAAGCATGGGAGCAATTCAAATAGATCCATATGATATTCTCTGATTAGAAACTCTTGTGGAGTAAGTTGGTGAGTGTATCTTTGCCTAAAACAGTCATGTCAAAATATAGCTTCCTATAGCATATTTATTTAGTATCATTTTGGTGAAAAAGTGGTTATACAGAATAGAAAAGAGTTGTCCAAAACTAAGTGGTTGACCTTTCCAGAGCCATTACCTGCAGAATTGTTATGTAAGTCTGTTCCATACTCATAAAGGAATACTCAGCTGACCCAACTGATTTTCTCGTGTTTTTTCCTTCAAGGGCTAGTAGAAGTCTATATGTTGTGGTGGAAAACAACCTCAGCCCTATAGTCCAACATTTGCCTATCAAAACTTGTCCTATGATTTATAAAACTAGAACCTCACTGGTAAGTCACATTCCTAGAGTCTCCCCCATCCCTAACCCCAGTCACGGAAAATAAATCAAATCATTGTCACTCTTTCTTAACAAAGAGCATACATTTAAAACTTGAGTAAAATTACAGGTACCGTCTGGGTCCTTCAAGGGGGAACTTGAAGTCTCAATACCGCAGTTGTCCAATCAGAGGATCCAAGATGAATATACTCAAGGACTTTATGCTTGGCATCCTCTGGAGACAGTACATAACCACCAGCTTGGTTTAACTGGAGATTCATTTGGGTTAGGAGAAATTATGTAGGCAATGTACTTAGTCAATGGAGGCCTCATCCCTGAAGACTTACAAGAATCTGAATTCGTATGTTACTTTTCCTTTAATGGAGTGGAATTCCAAATGAAAATAATCAAACAGCATGTGCATAAACATTAGATATAATACCCACATTTACAAAGCCTTTATAGATATGCAAGTGTTATTGCGTCTGTCCCTAGCTTCTGTACAGAATTTAATGGGTAGCTGTTACTATTTTATTGCTGTATAAAAATGAGGAAACTGATAAGTTGTCTAAAGGTGCACAATCAAAACACATCAAAGCCATTGTGAAATACAGGTCCCCGGATTTCAAAAACAGATCTTCTGCTTATAAATTCAGTCTTTTTCATACTGCCATAAACTCCAGAATGGGAAAACAAAGTTACTATCAGAAAAGCTTCTTTTAGCTGGGCGTGGTGGCTCATGCCTGTAATCGCAGCATATTGGGAGGCCAAGACAGGCGGATCACTTGAGGTCGGGAGTTCGAGACCAGCCTGGCCAACATGGTGATCTCTACTAAAAATACAAAAATTAGCTGGGCATGGTGGCGGACACCTGTAATTCCAGCTACTTGGGAGGCTGAGGCAGTAGAATCGCTTGAGCTGGGGAGGCCGAGATGGCGTAGTGATCCGAGATGGCGCCACTGCACTCCAGCCTGGGTGACAGAGTGAGCCGACATCGCGCCACTGCACTCCAGCCTGGGTGACAGAGTGAGACTCCATCTCAAAAGAAAAAAGAAAGCTTATTTTTTCCCCTAATCACCATAATATTCACTATTAAGTGAGGGAAATAGAAATAATTTATTTAGCAAATCCTTTCTAGTTCAAATAATTTGTATACAGGCTGTGCAAACATAATAATGAGATTCTTTTTAGTCATCTTGCTTTATATCACTAATTACACTCTTATTTAATGATATTTTAAAGAAAAACGTGTTTATTTTCAAGTAGAAAACTCATATCTGTCCACCAAGGAAAGCTGTAACAAATGTAAAATACATAAAAAAGATAACTGCTAAATTTCTAAAGCATTCCAGAAAAAGACAAATAGAAGGGTGTCAGATTAGGAAAGTATGTCTTGTAAGGTGTAACGGACAGACTGATGAGCTTAGAGATGTGGATCTCAAAGTGGTTCTCAGAGCAACAGCATCAGGGTCACCTGGGAACGTGTTAGAAATGCAGATTCTCAGGTACCATCCCACATTTAATGAATCAGAAGCTCAGAGTAGAGACCAGCAATTTGTTTTAACAAGTCCTTCAGGGATTCTGATACAGCTGATGTTTGAGAAACACTAGCTTTAGGTAAACGTAAGAGGGTCACGTTAGTATTTTTAAATCATTGGAAGTTGGTTTGTTTTGTTTTTTCTTAAGTGGGACTCATTTATACTTCAATACACAGAATGGATATTTAGAGGAAGTCGTTTTTGACCTAACACGGATGAGCATTTCCAATTGAATAGCGCTTTCTGATAATGGGGCTGCCCACTACAAGTGAATAACTGGGTTTCTCTAGGCTGGAGCTGCAGACAGGTCACTATGTGTATGGAGGATTGTATTAATATGATCGTGGCTCTTTATAGCTCTGCATTACTAATATTCTGTTTTAAAGTCTCTCCTCAATATCCAATGTCTCTGTGTGAATGATGGTAAGGAGTGGGTAACAGTAACAATCATCCTGTTGTTGACAACAGATGATAAGAGAAAGCCCAACTTTACACTCTGTATAACCTTACACCAATGCCCCATTCCTCGTCTAATTTTTTTTACATGTTAACACATGACCTTGGCATTACTAAATAAGAAGCCCTCTCACTTAGAACCCGATGCAGTATGATAAAAATTATTTTGAGAACAATCAGGAGCTCTAGTTTTCAATTCTGCTTCTCTTCTCAAGTAGTTCTGTGCCTTAGTTTCTTCTTTGTAAATTTAAATGGTTGGAACAGAGGATCTGTTAAGTGTGATTCAAGCTGAAATTGTATGTAGCCCACACTGAGTTTCTCTGCTATACCCCTAACCCATTCAACAATCACACCACCAGTTTTCAGGACTCACAGTAGGATAGCCGTCTATCATTTGTTAATAGGTGTGCTCTTTCATCCAAACAAGAAACTCATGATTTCTGCAGTTTTTTATTCTAGCCAGGTTCTAGGTGCTGGCCTGGAACTATAAAACGAACATTTCACAAAAAGTTATGACAATATACAAAGGAAAGACAATTTCTTTGAATATCCATAATCTCAATATGCAGTCTGGCTGTGGATGGCCAAGAGATAGTTTCCTTAACTGGAAAAAGCTTTTAAATGAGGCTTGGTGGAAGATATATCTTTGCATCATTACAAAGAAGAAAAAAGAGAAATCTCACAACTGAAGAAAGTGAAATCCACTTTACTTAATGCGGACCTCTGTCTCTGGTGTGCAGGTCCTCTGTGTCCAAAGATAATTAGCACTTTATAATGCTAATTATTATAATTAGGTCTGAGAAAAAAATCATTAGGGGGTAGGCCCGTTCACTGATTTTCAACTGCCCCCTCTATTTAAAAATAAGGTCATTTTTCTATGAAATACCTTTAGGAGCTCAAAGCAGAAAGAGGGTTATAGAAAATCCTGTGTAGGTATAAGCCTGAGTTTTTAATATTCTTATAATTCTGTGATGTGTCTGGAAACTGAACCGGGAGGAAAACAGTGAACCTATTTAGTCCAGGAGACTAGAAATCAGGACTCAGAAGAGTAAACATTTCTGTAATAGTTAGTCCTCAAATAGTCATTCATTGACCTTCCACTGGGTGTCTGGCAATGTGCAAGCTGCTTCTAGATGCTACCTCATGTAACAACCATCACAGTTGCACAGAGCAAGTACTAGTACTCCACTTTCATAGATAAAGAAGTAAAATCTTAGAAATTAGCTGCCCAATGTCATGTATGTAGGAAAGGAAAGCTGGATTCTGATTCATATTTGCTGGCTCCAAAGCACTTGTTGTAAATACTTCACTATCCTGTGCTTACATGTAAATGTACCATTTCTCTTAGGGGTCTTGAAATACTGAACCAAAGAATGGTGTAGGGGAAGGGCAGTTTAGAAATACCTGGAAATTTGGTTGTTTGAAGGAAGCCCACTCTCAGATGGTAGGAGATCAAGCTAACAGAATAGCTGAGAATATTTTCTGAGGCCCCAGAAGTATAAAAACGGTCTAGGGGGGAAAATTTGGGACACAGAGTGAAAATAGCCTGCCTCTGAAGACCAGCTTCATTTCTTCCCCTCTGGGTGTTAATGAAAGAGCCTTTAACTTTGCCAGGCCTCAGTTACTAATTTCTAAAACAACTGCTGCTACTATTACTACGGATCTTACTGCTACTATGACCACCACCACCACCACATCAGTTACTGAGAACTGAACTAGATGCCAAGCAAAAATGGTAAACACTTCATATACATTATCTTTTTAAACACAAAATGTACTATTAATCCAGTTTTACATATAAGAAAACTGAGGCTCAAAGAGGCTAAGTAATTTGTATGTGAACATGCTTTACACTATGTAAAACACCTTATTAGTAGATATCACTATTATTAAGAACCTATCAGCCGGAGAGGAAGAATTGGCCTTTTATCTTTCTAAGATGCACAGTTGTCTTTCTGTTTAATGGTTTTTTAAAAATCCCCCTGTGACAAGCTCCAGAGGACAAATAATTTGTTTCTTGTGGTGTATGGCTCTCTAAATGAATTAATTGATAGGCATCCCATTGTCAGTCTCAGGGATGTGGAAATAAAACAGACATGAGATGTTTTTTACCAAACTAATTTGTGCTTTAAACACATAAATAATAAATATATATATATTAAAGTAAATGTGTATTTACCGTCTCTCCTGCTCCACTTTGAATTCAAGAACCCGTGTCTTTGTTGGGTCACTGCACTGTCAATTGAGAAGTTTGGTTTTGTTTCTTTGAGTGTTAGTAAGTGGCATTAAATGGTAAATATTGCCGGGGGAAAGAAAGGAGAAAAACAGCTCTTCCAATCCATCCCTGTTTCCATTCAATTAAAGGAGGGTAGAAAGAATACTTAAGATAATTGTAATAAGTCTAATAGAATAGCAGGAGCCACTCTTTTCCTTTCAGTAGGCCATTAGCTCAGAACTATTTTCAGAGTAATACTAAGATGATATTTGCCTTTTCACTGTGTTGGCACTTGTATTGATAAGGCAAAAACAGTGGAGTCTTAGCAAAAATTAAGACCATGAAAACAAACTGCACTAGGAATAATTCTCTTCTTCATTACTGTTTACTTGCAGGGGGAAAAACCATTTTCGTTTAAGAAAGTCCTTGGTGAAGTAGTAAAAATATTAATTTTATTAAATCTCAACCTTGAGTACAAGTCTTGTCCTTGACTGTACTTACAAGTTTTGTCCTCCCCAAAGCATATGGCGTCAAGGCTGGGCCTAACCCAGTCTCATGACCTTGTGAATCCAGTCCACAAACACAGAGACACGCGTGAAGACGGCTGGCCAGCGCGACCTTGTGCATACTCGGTTGGGGATTCTAATTCCTTTCAGGACCCAGCAGTTGTGGGTAAAGCAGGCAAGTGGGCCCCCGTAGTCACCCTGGCAGGTAGGAGAACTGATGAGGGCCCCGGGCCACAGCAATGACTAGCCTGCTTCATGATAAAATAGTTCATTTCTAGCCCCCCATACCCTTCCAGGGCTGGCCCAGGGCCCTGCCACCAACCTCACAGGCCCCCACAGGGGCCAACAGTCCCTCAGTGCACATCTCGCTCTCCCGCACATGTCCTCGGTGCTTGATGTTACACTCCTGGTTGGAGATGACGTTCAGCAAGGCCACATTTAGGACTGTGTCATTACCCGTACCTGCAGTGAGGGGAATGGGGAGAAGGAGACGGTCCTGGAGGAAGATCCAGGGCTGGGCCTCCTGGCCACCAGCAGTCCTGTGCACTATGCTCTTACCTTTGGTCTCACCCCAGCCTGCAATCTCACACTTGGTCCCTGGAGGCACCACATACCATTCAGGCGGCAGGCAGATCAGGGCCACACGCTGGTTCAGGGTCACAGATCTTTAACAAGAATGGGGGCACTCAGGGTCTGAGGCCACAAGGCTCAGCCCCACCTCACATCCTCCCAGGTTGTCCACATACCTCTCCAGCTTGAGCAGGACAAGCTGGGAGCCTGAGGGCCCACACAGCATCTTGGCTACTGGGACCCGCTGTAGGCCTGGCTCTCCATGTTGTGGGTTCTGGAACAGGGTGCCCAACCATACCTCATAGCCCGTGAGAGGCATATGGCTGGGAGAGAAGCTCTGCTAGGTCATTTGTGACTCTCAGTCCGTTGCCCCAAGGCTCACTTGTTAGCTTGCCTGGGGAAAGGGGAAAGTGGGATGAGACTGGGTCCCCAAACACAAGGGAGGCTCACCAGGAGGAGAAGCACTGCCGGGCAGTCAGTATCCACTGCTCCTTTACTAGAGACCCCGCGCAGAAATGCTGGCCCTGCCTAGAGGAGTGGGGAATTAGGACAGGGAACAGACTCCTGGGACAGATGCTAGACCTGCCATCTTCTGGCTAGGACCTCTGGGGGCAGGGATAGATTCCCAGCCCCCAGTGGCATAACCACAGAGGACACAACCTCAGCTCCTCTCTGTGGGAGACAGGCAGTTGTGCCTCACCGATTCCGCAAGCTGACTGTCCAGGGTGAGTTGCCCGGATGGCCCCCAGCCACGCGCAGCTTGGAACGACGCTGATCCAGCCGATCCACCCTCTTGCCACACTTCTCAAACTGCACCTGGTCTGTAGGATGGGGTGGGCTGGATGAAACCCAGACTGTGTGGATGTCGTGGGCTAAAGGGCCTGACCCATAACTGGCCCAACTCGTAACCTGGGGGGGTCCAGGATTGATGGCGGCTGGTCATCAGCTGAAAGACAAAGTTCACTGGGGTTAAGGGAGCCAGCCTTTGGTGGTGAGGGCTGAGGTAAGGTCATGGGGCAAGCGTCACTAGTGCTCACCGCAGCGTCGCAGGGCACAGTAGTCGAATGGGGTCCTTGGGTCCATCGTGTAGCACCAGGGCCCATGGCTATCCCCATCTGGGTCTGGCAGAAGTTCTCCTCCAGTTGTGCATGCGGTTCGGAGGTAAATGTGAACCGAGGCGGGAGCGGGAGCAAAATCGTGGCAGGGTAGTCTCAACCATTTCCAGGCTCTGGTCCCAGACATCAAAGCATGCCGCCCCAGGGTTAGGGCCCTGGCGGGGCCGGGAGCACCAGGGACTCACTGCAGCTTGTGCGGCGTCTCAGCGGACCAGCGCTGGCACTGGACACCCTTGCGGGTCTTGCTGACCGTGCCGCGGTACTGCTCCCCCGCGCCGTGGTAGCAGTCTGCGGCCGGTGCGGGCAGCCATCAGGCCGAGACCTCGCCCCGGCCCTCCGGTTCCAGGCTTCCAGCCCCGGCTCTGTAGCCCCCAAGCTTGGGCCTCACCCTGGGGCCGCACGTCGTCTGTACAACGCCGGATCTGGTAGCAAAAGCCCACGCGCGTGCCGGGCCGCAGGGTGAAGCACCAGGGCGCCTCTGAGCCGTCGAGGTTCCAGCAGAAGTTCTCCCGAAGGTCTCTAAGCAGGCGCTCCACTCAGCCCTAGCCCGCCAGCCTCCAGCCCTAAGCCCGTGACTACCCTCCTCCCGTCTCACCCGCAGCAGCACGTCCCAACGCCCGCCCCCCCGCCCACCTCACTTGCACGCGTATTTTTCTGGCGTAAATCGGTGCTGATGTGGGATTTGCGCGTCCCAACGCTGGCAAGGTACGCCGCGGTGGTGGTATTGGCTGTGCCCCGGTAGCCCTCACCCTTCCCGCGGAAGCAGCTGACACTTGTGGCCTCTTGGCGGGGCTGTGCCTCGGACCCTTAGATGGACCGAGATAGGTCGGGCCCCGAGCGACAGCTGAGATCCCTCTGGGGCTGGGACCAAACCCGCCTTTCCCAGGTGTACGGTACTCCACGGGATATGCTCTCAGGTCACGCCCAGCCCCTCTGACCTCCCCGGCCAAGCCACGCCCCTCCCCAAGGTTCCCAGGTACCCTCCCAGGCCTGGTCCCCGCCGCCTACCGCAGCGGGGGAGGTCACAGAACTCTCGCTCGATCTGCGGATCCGTAGTGTAGCACCATGGCCGCTCGGAGCCGTCAGGATTCCGGCAATAGTTGTCGTCCAGACCTTGGTCGAGGAACCTGGGGGCGGTAATGGGGCGTGAAGAAGACCCTGGTACTCTGGCTTATCTGGCCCCGCCCAGTTGCCCTACACGGAGCCCTGCCCCTGGAGTCCTGGACCTTCCCTAGCCCGGCCCCCAGGGCGCCGATACCGCCTACGCGTACTTGCCCGGCTCGAAGGGGTGCTGGTGCGGGTGCTGAAGATCCCAGCGCTGGCACTCGCGCCCTGACTCGGTGCGGTCTACCGCGCCGCGGTATTCCTCGCCATTGCACCAGACACACGCGGCTGGAGACAAAGAGCCAGTGGGTTCGTGGATGGGCGTGGGCTTGCCCCTCCACTCTCCCAGCTTGACCCGGCGCCGCTTACCCACCCGGCAGGATTTGATGCTGCAGCTCTGGAAGCGCACGGCAGGGTCTGTTGTGTGGCACCAAGGACCTCCGGGGTCGCCATCAGGGTTACGGCAGAAGTTCTCTTCCAGGCCATTCCGGAGCGTGGGCATGTACCTGAGGGCCCAGAGCATCACTATAGTGTGTGCTGGGGGAAGGTCCCAGGCCGGGACGGAGGGAAGGTGTTTGTCTCACTTGTGATCGTTCGGGAACTTGTGGCTCCAAGCCTGGCAGGACAGGCCACCCACGGTCGTGGCCATGGTGCCCCGGTACCCAACCCCATTGTTCATGATGCAGGTCCGTATGTAGTCTGGGAGCAAGAGACAGAAGATCAACTTGGGCTGAGGTCCCCTGTCTCCCACCCTGCCCCTCTCCACCCCCACTCGCCTTTCTCCTGGAAGAGGTCACAGCGCCCAGAATGCCACAGCCTTGAGTGGGGCGAGTGTTGAGTCCATGGCAGCAGTTGGCAACCATGGCTGCTCACATTGTAGTGGAACGCCCTGGAGAGAAGAAGGCACAGGGTAACGCCACGGCCCAGGCTCCCCTGCCCCCAGTCTTATCTAGGCCCAGTGGCCACTCACCAGCAGTCCATTAAGGGCCCACAGCGACCAGCACACTCTTCAGCATCTGCCACATCCTCCTGCCAAGGCCCGGGCACCACCGCATGTAGCAGGTGCTGTAGCTCTGTGCCCCGGAGCACCTGGAAGTCATTCGATGGCGAGCGCTGCCCTGCAGAGTGGGCATGAGTGGGTGCAGGTCAGGTGGGCATACATGTCAGTAATGTGTATTGGCATGTCCACACTTTGTTCATTCAGGGGATCAAAGCTACAAGGCTTCTGGGATGGACCCTGTATGCACTTTCAAGGGCCAGTCTAGCCCCCCTGCACAGATACTTGTCAAAAAAATTTCCCCTGGGAAGCAGGCCCAGACTTGGTAGTTATCACCGGTGCCTCTGTGTAGTGGCCCAGGCACTGGGCTCAGATCTAACACATACGCTCTGTGAGAGCAGTGGGTGATGGAGCTTGCCCCATCTCATCTCTCAAATGAGAATGCTAAGGCTCAGAGCCATCACATTACCCAGCCAGGGGCCCTGGCTAGGCATTCAGACTCCAAATCTGGGCTCTCACCTGCACAAAGGCATACGCTAGGTTAGAGGGGTAGATCAGGCTCAGGAGGGGTCATTTCCTGCTGTGTGCGTGCATCTGTGTGGTCCTAACACTGCTTCAGTGCTAGAGCAGACGTGCTAATAGAGGCCTAAGTGGGCCGTGTCTGTGTGTTCCTAGGGCTTCCCAGCTGTGCTCAAGAGGCCAAGGTCACTGCCCCATGCCCACTGAGCCTCTGGCTCCCCGACTTTTTTCTCATCCCAGAATAGGAGAATAGGGCCAACCCCCTCCTGAAGGCAGATGGGGATCAGGGTTGGGGGCACTCACCAGGGACCCCTAAGTATTGAGTCAGAAGCAGCAGGAGTGGGAGCCACTCCTCCAGGATGACTTCATCTTAACTAATTATATGACTATGTTGACTGCAACATATGTATGAAGTTTCATATACTCAATTCCTTTACTGCTTCCTTGAGCCTATGAACCCCCTCCTGCATCTCCTAGTCTTCACTGAACATTATGTCAATTCTCAGCCTCAGCTCTAAATGCTCATGGTTTCCAAAAACATATTTACAACCCACCATAGGTCCTGAGCACCAAAGCCTGATGTCCAGTTGCCCAGTGGACAGACATCTCCACTGGGACATCTCATAAGCACTAAAAATCTCAATGTACTGAAACCTGAATTTATATTTCTCTCCCCAAATGTGCTCCATTTCCATCTTCCCTTTCTCAACATCCATCCAGTGGAAATGTTGCTCAAACCCAAGTCCAGAGCCACCCTTGGCACGCTCATCTTCCTGAGCCCCCCACTTCCATCGGCCACCCAGGTGCTTGTCAGTTTGCCCACTTTCTCCCTCTCCACAGCCCTTTTCCTAGTTCAGACCTTCTGTCTCCCTTGTTGGGATCATGTCAACCTCTTCCTCACTCGCCTCTGGCTCTGGGCTTGTGCCTTCAACCGACTCTTCAAACCGTAGCAAGAGGGATGCCTCGAATCACAGATCAGATCCCTCTCTCCTTAAAGCCCTGCAGCAGCTTCCTGTGGCTCTCAGGATAGAATTCAAACACTTCCAGGATCTGGGCATCTCCTGCCCCTCCACAGCCCTGCCTCGCCCTGCATTCCAGCCCCACCAAACCACAGTCAGTCCCTTCCATGGTTTTGGATCTCTTGTCTGGGAACTTTGCACCTGCTGTTCTCTCTGCTTAAACTCTCGCTTTCACCCATGCGACCTGGTTCACTCCTCATTCTCCTGCATGTCTCAGCTTGGAAGTCACCTCTTCCAGAAAGCCTTCCCTGACCCTCAGGTCCAGGTTAGATCCCCCACCTGGATTCCCACAGCACCGTGTTTTTCCCCTACCACAACCCTAGTCATGCCCTTTAGCGAACAGCCAACAGTTACTAAGCACCTGCTGTGTTAGGCTGTTTCTTAGGACTTTATAAGAAAGATCACATTTAATCCTACGAAGTAGGTACTGCTATTATCCTATTTTTTAGATGAACAAACTGAGGCAAGAGCAGTCACACACACATAGAGTCAGTAAGTGGTAAAGTTGGGATAGAAACCAAGACAATCTGACTCATGGATGTTACACCGTGTGTTAGAACTAGCCTTGAAAAAAAGACACAAGCTTGTGCCCTGTGCCAAGAAAGTTTCTGATAATGGTGGCGGTGGTGGTGGTGGTGGGATTTAATCAGTTGGCAGAAGTCTGTATTTCTAACAATCTCTGATTCAAATGGGCAGGACCCATGTCCATTTCTCTTTATTGCAATTGTACTATGTTTCTTACCTTCACTCTGCAACAAGCTTGGTGAAGACAGAGAACATGTATCTGAGGCCCTTCATCTCCCCTCAGTTCCTAGACCAGCACTAGCCCATAGTCAACCCTCCATCAAAGTAGAGGGAGAAAGTAAGTGGCTTTTACCCTGTGCTTTCTGAACTCCTGGGATGCTAGGAAGAGCCAGAAAACCTTGTCCACCGAACCCACAAATTCACTCTCTTCATCCCTTCCTCACTCCACTTCCTTCCCAGTAGTTGTTGGAGTTTTTGAATTTTCCCTCTGTGAGCCCTTGCCCTCCCCTGCCATGTTCTCAGCAAAGGCCCTGGCCTCCAGGTCCATGAGAACAGGATTCCCTGTAGTAAGAGCTCTTCCCTAGCCTCCTCCACTTCCAAAGGGGCTGGAATCTTCACCCCTTGATCCCTTCCCTTTTTAGAGCACAGAGGAAGCGGAGCCCTCCTCCTGCCCTGGGCTCCCATGCCCCACATGTTCCTGGAGAGCACCCTTGGGCCACTGTTGTAACTACATGGTGACTTGCTTGCTCTCATCCTTCATGACCCCCCCTCCTCCCATGCCCCACTTTGTTAATTTCACTCTCCTCTCAAAACTCCCCACAGTGCCAGTGATGGGGTATAAATGCAGCTGGGCAACGAGGCTCCCACAGACAGACCCAAACCTATCTTCCAAGTGTTAATTTCTTTTCTCTCCTCTTCTTCAAATAGGTCTCTTCCTTACACATTTCTGCCATTCCTTTCTCTCTCTGCCTTGCCTCTCCCTTTTCTCCCGGCCACAGCCTTATCCAACCTCCCAGCCCAGCTTGGACTCAGCTTTCCTAGGAGGCTCCCAGACAATCCAGTGGGCTCTCATTTTTTTGAGTGTATTCAGCAGTTGGCTGATGCTGCATCTCCAGCACTTGCCCTAGGTTGTTTTATCTCCCTAATGGCCTGTAAACCCCTTGAGGGCAGGATCTGGCCTTTGTACTCTAAAAAGGTCTTCCTACTAGAGAATGCTCCACACATGTGTGATGCTTCGGGGAGTCCCAACCTTCATCAGAGATTCCCACTGGTGCCAGCTCATAGCTCATCATGACGTGTCCCAGATGGTGACTGGGAGTAGCCTATGCCAAGCAGGAGTTTTTCCCCGAAGTCTTCCTGTTTATTGCACCGGGCTGGCTGCAAGACATTGAGGATGCTGCCCCAGGGGCCAGCAGGGTGACTGGGGCAGGCGCCATGATGGCTGTGCCTGGGTGCTGGCCAGTGTGGCCCCAAGAAGAGGCCGGGAGCCAGAGCTGCATGCCCTCTGTCAGCACCAGCCTCCTAAAAACACTCTCGACTTTCTCCAAGCATGGATTGCCTGAGCTCCCCTCCTGCTCCCCAAAGAGGCCGGGGAACAAGTCAGACAGGGGATAAGTCAGACAGGCTCAGCTGTGGGAGGCTGGAGGAAAAAGACCAATAAAACTGACTTTATTTGTAATGTTCCCATGTTTGTGATTTTGTTATTTCTACTCTGTTTCCTCAGAGCAATGAAACAAGGAAACGGAACAAAAAATAACAAAACCCAGCTCTAAGTATACGTGAACTGTAAGGCCTCCCTCTGGCCTCCTCTCTTCCTCCTTCCTCACCAGGTTTGCCTGGCTGACCCTTCCAGCCAGTGAATTCCTTTCCCAGGTTGAGTGTTTTCCATTTTAATTTTTGTGGCATTTCCCTGGATTAATGGTTAACGCATTCATTTTCTCCCCTCCAGCCTCCATTATCAAAGAGTGCTTTGAATAACCATTAACTCTCTGGTTAAGCGAAAGAAACACGTTAATCATCTACAAGTCCTGGGGCAGGAAAATTATTCTTGGTAACCTTCTCCCAATGGCAAGAAAACCACTGTCCCTGAGCAGCTCAACTTCAGCCACACCTGGGTCTACAAGCTTGCAAAACCCCTCCGGTAACCTTGTTACAAGGACTTGGTAAACTGAGGTCATAAACTGCTGAATGGCTAAGCGCTGTGCTTTTCAACCCAGCCACCACCGGTTCTCTAGGACCCTATAAAGAGACAAGGCTGGGCTGCTGCTTCTCCCTTTACTTTTAAAAATTGTTTTGCCAGTAAAGTCTCATCTATTGTACATTCCTTGTTACGGGGAAACTCAAGTGGCTGTACAGGCTGTTCTTGGAGCCACAGTTAAAAGCGCTTTGACTCAAACACACATGTGGCGTCATCCTGAGCTCCGTTTGCGTGGGGCCGGAACACCGGACTAGGAAACCTCTCCCTGCTTTAGCAACTGAGTGTGGCTAGATTGAGGGACCACAGGGGGTGGCTCTGGATGCAGCAATCCAAGTCCCCTTTTCAGGGAGGGTGACCTCTTTCCGAAGTTCAGTGGATGGCCCCCTTCCAGGGTTAGGGAGACAGGAGGAGGAGGAAGAAGAAAAGGAGGAGGAAAGCTCTCAACAGCCCCCCACCCCCAACCCATCCAGGAGAGAAGGACTGCAGTCCCCGAGACCAGCTGGAGGAGTGGCGTGTGCATGGTGTGCCCTCAGGGTAGAGCGCGCCATCTTGGAGAGATGCCTCTTTCATTCACAAAGCGGATCTGTTGCAGAGCCCAGAGCCCCGGGGAGAGCAGGGCGGCGTCCAAGTGCTTGCTGGGTTTGGCTTGCACTCCCTCTCCCTTAAAGAAGACAGAGGCGGAAGGGAGAGGCTGTTCTTCGGAGGCGAGCCTCAGGCACTGCTAGACTTAGTAGGAAAGATATTGCTGGGGTCTTGGCAAGCCGTAGGTGCAGCGCTCCCCATCGTCATTCCGGTGCGGCTGGTTACTGTCACCCTGCCTCCTCCCCGCCGGCCTGAGAGCCTCTCTGTTCCAGATCCAAACATTTCCACATTAGGCAGCCTGCATGTGCATTTCCCTGGCAGTGGAGGGAAAGGCACCCCTGTGACCTGGGATGACCGACGACGGGGACTTGCCCTCCTCCCCCACAGGTGCACTTGCTCTTTTCTGGGCCAGCCTTGTGATCTGGTGTCCGGGCACTTGGCAGCATTTAGCAAATGTTCCTCAGTGCTCTGTTTGGTAGTTAATGCTGTTGACACGGACACCTTTGGGAGCACGTGGGAGAAGCTGCTGCCTCCGTTTCCCCCGGGTTACAGCGCCTGGCGCAGTCTGTTGTCCCCTCAGAAGTGGTGGGCGACATTATCTCCTTTTTCATCCCTAGCCCTCTCCCTTGAAGCTGTCCTGATCTCTCTTTTGGACCCAGGAACGTGAGCAGAGGTTACTACTCACTATATATACACACTGCATCTAGACTCATGCATGCCTTCTTGGTGTCAAGGACACCTCACATTTCAAAGACTTCATGAAAAAGAACGTGAGGTATCTCACACGGTGACATGATAAAGCTTTGGACAACGTGGGTTAAGCTAAAAACAGGTCATTACAATTAATTGTATCTCTGTCTTTTGACCCTTCAGTGGCTCCTGAAATCCATCACACATGTGGCTTGCAAGTATTTTGGTCGGACAACGCTGCCGTAGATTGTCCCACTCTGAAATGGTTCCCTCTGGGCTTACGGGACTGCTATAGAAGGGTCCTAAGGTCCTGTGCCTCCCTGCTTTTCAAGTGGCTGCAAACTTCTGTGCCTACCGCTTCCTCCACTGGATGTTTCCTTCCTGCCCTCCTCCCTGAGGACCTCCTAGTCCCTCTTCAGGATGCAGAGCTGGAGCCTCCACTCCAGGAAAGCCACTCATGTTGTTGCCAACACAACCCCCTGCACACATGCAGTATTAGGCATTGGTCTGCCTGGCTGTCCCTGGGCTGTGCTGTCCTTGAGGGCAGTTTTTGTGTCTAATTCCCAGAGAGTGCAAGAACACAAGCATGCTCATCCAGACGTTAGTAAGCTGCCCTAAGGGGTGGAGCAGTCAGATTCCGGTTTTATTTATTTTTCCCCTGCAAGGAGCAATCAATTATTAACCGAAGTCACGATACTTTGGTTGCTGTTATCAGCACATGAAAATATCAGTCAAGGCTGGGTTTCAGACCCGCCTGGCACTATTCAAAGGAAATTTTTTAGTAATTCTTATTTTATTAAGAGCACTAGTATATTCAGATCAAGTAAAACTTCACATATAACAGGTTCACTCTTCTATATGAAATGTTTGTGGGAAATCTATCATGCATCAGGTGCTCTCAAAAGGTGGTGAGGTGTAAATGTCAGCCTCAAAGGCTGCAGTGTCCAACATGGCACACAGCTTGTGTGGCTCTTAGCACCTGAAGCATGCCTCGTCCACAGTGAGATGTGCCGAAAATGTAATATACATCCAGATTTTGAAGACTTGGTAAAATATCTCACCAGCAATTTTTTATATTGATTACATGAGGAAGTGATAATGTTTTGGGTTGGTTAAGTTAAACGTATTATTAAAATTCATCTCACCTGTTTCTTTTTAAAAGTGGCTTCTAGAGAATTTTAAATAACATGTAGTTCACATTATATTTCTATGAGACAGTGCTGCTCTAAGGCGATTATGCTTTGTTTGTTTTGAGACACTCACAGGTGTATGTGAGCATTTCAACCGGGTTTATAACAGCTTAGGAAACTGGGAACTTTGACTTGGAACTTTCCCGCCAAGTGACAAAACATCCGTCCAGTGATAGAAGTTTTAATTCTACTTCCTCCAGCTAGATCTTGCCTGGAGGACCCACGTTGACTTACTCTCTCCAGAAACGGCCCCACTGGCTCTCTGGGGGAACTCCTGGGTTCTGCAGGGACTTGCTAGGTAGTAATTACAGGTGTGTAGAGACCCTCCTGCTTCATACGCTCAGTCATCATTATTTACTTTTACCAGGCACCAGGGGCGTGATGAGAGCTTAGCTGAAAGGAGAGAAGACTCAGCAAGCACATCACCTTGAAGCTGACCTGTCAGCCAGATTTCGCAGCACCTGCCTGTTCCAGCCTGAGGGGCTGCGATTCATTCCTTGGGAAAGAGAGCTGCAAATTCCCTCTCTAGGCCACAGTCCAAATCCTTGCTCTTCTCTCTCAGGTTCTGGAAGACAGAATGGAGGCATCTACAGAGCAAGGACATGTTTTCTACCTGAATTAGCTTTTCTGACACCTTGAAACCATCTCTAAGAAATTGATTTTTTAACATACACATATACAGGTAAACATTTAAATCTGTGCCATAATGTATTTGCACTTCGAGTCCCCCTGAAGTCCTAAGTCACATGCTTCTCTTCCTAGGGGTTCTGTCTGAAGCAGAGACCCCTGGATTGGAGCAGTGGGAAGAATCCTGATGAATCAGGTGTTCCTGCCTGTTTACATTAACTGGGCACCCTGCCTGCCCACCCCACATGCTGAATACTGCTGGGGAGAAGAGAAGAAACATTTATTAAAGGCAAGGAAAAATTAGAGCCTTTTCATTGAGGTCAGAAGATTTTTGAGGTTGGATCGGCTGGCCAGGTGCATGACCAATTTTCTTGGCTCCTTAGAAGCAGCAAAGTATTTGAAAAATAATGGAGCCCTTCGTCCTACAAGTAAAAGCCCATTTATATTGGGAATTTTTTAAAAAGTGCTGGCGATGGAAAATTTCCGATGAGATGCATTTCTTCCTGCCTGAATGTCTTGAATGCCTGCTGGATTTGTCTCCCTGCTAAGACACTCACACTTGCAAATCTGTGCTTTTCAAGGTGGGGAGATGAAAATAAAAAGTCTGTGACATGTATTTCTGGGAGGCCTGAAAACAGGAAGCAAATTGGAACCACAGCATGTGGGGCACGGATGCTGGATTCTGGGGGATATTTGCTTATTTGGAAAGGCTGCAAACATTCCATCCTACCCACTGCTAGGAGCTCTGCACTTTGCTAACGTCCCATGGAAACCAAGGTTCTCTTTAGGACTCGACAGGACTGGGTTATTTTTCTCAGCTTAAATTGTTTTTATATGGTTATCCTCAGTACTCTTTTCTGTTTTGGGATATTTTCATACTTTTTATTTTTTAAAAACCCCAGAATATCTTGATTTTGAAAAGGTACATTCACCCAAATAAAGTGCCCAGCGCATAGACAAGGCTGCCTCAATATTTCACGTGTCAACAGCCAATGCCCCCGGTACGTGCAGAAAAGCCTGAGAACAAGGAAGGAAGAAAAGGGTCTGGTCCTTGCTCTGCGGGTATTTAAGCATTTCTCAGCCCCCTCCTCTGACTTCTCAACTATGTTCACCTATATGGCCTCAAATGGAGAGAACTGGGGTTATAAAAGAGGATATTAGCTATGCCTGCTATAGAATGAGGAAGGCATTTCAGGATGTGCTTGGGGAGGAGATGGAATGAATGGCAAAGGGGATGTTTGTCCGTGAGGGTGGTCTGTGATCTGTGGGTGGGGGATGTCTGTGCAGCTCCCTTCATGGCCTCTCATGGCCCACACAGTAGGCAGTGTTTGCCACACACAGACCCTGGACAAAGTCACAGAGTGGTGTTGGTACCATTTCATAGGAGGGGTCCTAGGGGACATTCTAGGAAGTTCTTCATCAGCTTAGGAAGGTGCAGCCTCTGCAGTCATTAAACACAGTCTACCAGCCAGAGAAGCCCAAAAGCTGCTGCTCCTGCTGTTCTGCGTGGTGTGGGAAACTACGGCATTGGCACAACTTTGGGAGCTCTCTTTGATCTCTTGTTTGTCTGCATTTCCCATACTCTTCCAGTCACCAAGTGTCATCATTCTTCCCCAGGTTGTCTCTGTCTCCCTTCCTTTTCTGTCCCCATGACTCTTACCTGTATCCAAAACTATGGCGTTTAAGGTGAAAGAGCCAGTCTGTAGGAGCTGCTTCGAGGAAAGTCTTGCAAGACTGCCTTCTTGAACTTGGTGCTCAAACTCCCCTCTGGCTTCACAACCTGCATAGTTGCCTGGGTCAGAAACAGGTTCCTCAGGCAACTTGGTGTTGCATTAACCAAGTGACACTGATTGTCACTTGGAAGACACTCAGTGACTGACTATTAGAGATCATCTGCCTCTCATTTTGGGGATGTGAAGGTTGAGACTCAGAGAGGTCAGGCAACATGTCTGAGGTCATTGAGCCAACTAGCAGCAGCCCCAGAGTTGTCACCCAGATTTCCCGACTCCCCATTCATTCCAGAAAACCTACCCATGGGGAATGTTCTGCCAGGCTGTTCTACATCACCAGTAGAGAGAAGTTGCCTTGAGTATTCGGTTTGGTTTTGAAGTTAACCTATTCAGACACACTTGAGCATGCAGTGAGTCACTGACTGGATTCATTCCCAGACCTATGGACTCAGCACATCAGCTCACCAAGCCTCCTGCATACTCTGCTTCTACGCTGGACAACTGTGCATTTTGAGAAGCTGGAGGAAATTGTTTGGCATACTGTTCTAGGCCAGCAGTCATGCGATACTGAGCTAGGCCTGGCTCCTATAGGCTGGTGAAAGCCAAGTGTTAACTGTTCAGGATTTTTTTGAGTTGGTTAACTATTGATAGCTTCAAAGTCGCCATGGCAGGGGTATTTATACCATAGAAATTGGTACATGTTACAAATTAGGGTTTCATTTTTCACCATCCAGAGATCTGATTTACTAACTCACTACTGATTCTGAGGTAGGACCCCAGCTTAGGAAGGCACTTTCAGGCAAGACTGTTCTGCGGTAATTAGAAAATGGAGAGTGGCCCTGTCAGATGCAAAGGAGAATATCAAATTTGGAAAAAAGTACTGCCTATTGCACAAGAGGTAAGAGTCACTGAGACATCTTGCACCAGACCCAAGTGAGGGATGGAAGGGGCCCTGATGGTCATCTTGGGACAGCTTCTTAGGGTCACCCAGGAGCCCAGGAGCCAGGTATGCCACTCCGTGGTGGGACAGAAACCCCTGTAAAGAGCAAGCAGACACTCAGTCACCCAGGACCCTCCCCAACACTCCCATTCCCTGCAATCTATCAGCGCATCCTATCAATCCCGTCTGGAGTAGATATCTGATCATGCCTTCTCTCCCTTGTGACTGCCATCACCCAAGTCCAGGTTCCTGCTACATCCTTCCTAAAAGGCCTTCCCCTGCAAGCTTGCCTACCTCACATCGACTTTCCCCACATAGCTGCAAAAGTGGACGTCTGAGAAGAAGGGGGAGGAAGAGGAGAAGAAGGAAGAGATGAAGAAGGCGAAGATGAAGAAAAAGAAGAAGAGGAGGAAGAAGAAGAAGGAGGAAGAGGGGGAAAAGAGGAGGAGATGATGTTATGTCATCCCTTCACCCTTCCCCTGCACACACACACACACACACACACACACACACACACACACAGACACACACACACACACACACACACCACGAAAACCCTTCAAGAGCTTCCCATTGTACTTAGAATAAAATCCACGCTTGAGTAAAGCTCTGCATGATTTGGCCCCTGCAAACCTCTCCAGCCTCCTCTTGCTTGGGAGCCTCTGTGCTCACAACTCTCCTGTCACCCTGGTCTTCTTCCAGGTCCTTGAATGCCGGCTAAGCTCTTTGCTGCCCCAGGACCTTCGCACCTGGTCTTCTACTGGCAGGAATACTGTTTCCTGAGTCTTCCCCTGACTGGCTCCTTCATTTCCTTTAGGTCTCAGCTTGAGTGTAACCTCACAGGGCCATTTCCTGCTCACCTGGTGAAAAGTCAGGCCTCGTCTGTTCTCTGTTTTAGCTCCTAAGTTTCTTTATGACAATTATTTCAGCCCACAGTTCTTTTATTTACTTGTCTGCTTACATTTTGTTTTAATCTTTTCTTTACTTCCCCCCACTTCAACAGATGCTCCATGGAGAAATGGGTTAACCACTGCATTGCCAGAGCCTGGCATATAGGGGTGCTCAAATAAAGACTTGATGAGTGGGCTGGGTGTGGTGGCTCACACCTGTAATCTCAGCACTTTGGGAGGCAAAGGCGGGCAGATCACCTGAGGTCAGGAGTTCGAGACCAGCCTGGACAACATGGTGAAACCCTGTCTCTACTAAAAATACAAAAGTTAGCTGGGTGTGGTGGTGAGTGCCTGTAATCCCAGCTACTCTGGGAGGCTGAGGCAGGAGAATCGCTTGAACCTGGGAGACAGGGATTGCAGTGAGCTGAGACCGCACCACTGCACTCCAGCCTGGGAGACAGAGCGAGACTCCATCTCAAAAAAAAAAAAAGTTGATGAGTGGTTCATTCTACTGCCACCACCTATGGGAAGACAGGTCAGGAATGTTGAAATGAAAGAAGTGCTTGGCTTCCTCTGAGCCCCAGCTGGACACAGGCATCTGTGATGCATCCAGATTCAGGCTGCTCATGGACTCTGAGGACTCAACGCTCCCGGAGGGCTAGCAGGGAGCTTTGCACACATACAACCAGTTCTCACCAAGCAACTGGGGATTAATAGTGCAAGGGGTTAAATGGGTTCAAACTGTTCCTCTTAAGCTCCCCAAGATGGTGAACCGCACTTCAAAGCTGCTTGAAAATTCTTACTTGGTGAGCATGCTGTTCTGTGTCCCTTTTGGGCAGAGGATTGGGAAGGCAGCCACCAAGGCCGCCTGCCGAGTGAACAGGGGGAGGGGGCACTCCAGGTGACGTGTGTGCAGAGACCCGCTCATGCCTGACCCACAGTTAGTGCACGCTCACAGTGGTTCCAGTCTTGTCCCAGCGACCCGACTGGCCTGCTTTGTTATTGGAACTAGAGCTGATGATTCACTTTAAATAGATCCTTAACCTCACAATTTGTTTTTCTTGAAACGGTCCTGAGAGGTGCTTTCCAAGAAACAAGGAAAAAACTGACTGCACAGTGGTGACTTTGAGTCTGTCTGCAGAAAGCAGTGTGAGTGGATGGTTCATTCCCATGGCAAAGCCTTTCCCTGTCACCCGGTGTCAGGGACAGTGAAAAAAACGGGCCGTAGCTTGGGAAACAGGGGTGCTCTGCAGTTGCCGTAGCAGGTCTTCAGGGAGAGCTTACGGGAACCCACGGTGTAGGGGCGGGGGAGGGGGACTGGGTGTGTTCATTTCCCGGGGATGCTGTAACAAATTACCACAAACTGGGGGCCTTAAAACAACAGAAATGTATTGTCTCACATTTCTGGAGGCTGGAAGTCTGAAATCAATGTGTCGCAGGACCACACTTCTTCCTTGCCGCTTTCTGGCTTCTGGCGCTTGCCAGCAGTCCTTGGCAGTTCTCGGCCGGCGGTTGCATCTCTCCAGTCTCTGCCTTTGCTGTCGTGTGGCCATCTTCCCTCTGTCTCTGTCTCTGTCTCCGTATTCAAATCTTTTTCTCTTTGTGAGAACACCAGTCATTGGATTTAGGGCTTGCCCTAATCCAGTAGGATCTTATTTTAACTTGATTACATCTGCAATTATATCCTATTTTCTAATAGGGTCATATTCACAGGCATCAGAGTTAGGACATCAGCATATCTTTTGGGGCTGGGGACTCAATTCAACCCACCACAGGAGAGGTCCCCTTGCTACTAGGCGGGTAGTCATATCACACGCACATGTCGTAAACATGCTGAGCAGACGAGAACCCAAAATCTCTGATTTGGGTAAGATGTGATTCCAAAATGTAGAGTGCAGAATTTACTAAAACGTTTTGAGGCTTAGAGTAAGAGACTGCTGCAGTTTAGGAAGACTTCCTCATTAAAAGATTCCAAAAGACATATTCCATGAGTCACCAGGGTAGACTGAATAATGAGCGCTCAAAGATGTCCGTGCTGTAATCCCGGGAGCCTGTGACTATGTTACCTTGCATGACAAAAGGGACTTTACAGATGTGTTTAAATTCAGGATTTGAGATGAGATGATCCTGGATTCTCTGAATGGATCTTCTAAGAATCACAAGGGTCCTTACAGGAGGGAGGCAGGAGGGTCAGAGTTAGAGAAGGAGACGTGATGGCTGAAGCAGAGATCAGAGCGCGAGGGGTTGGAGGATGGAGGGAGGATCTAGAAGAGGAAAGCAGGCAGCTTCTAGAAACTGGAACAGGCAAGGAAATAGATTTTCCCTTCAGAGCCTCTGGAAGGAGCTGACCCTGCTGGACGCTTCAATCCTAGCCCGGTGAGACTGATTTTTTTCTTCATGACAAGTCAGTTGATGTTGTTTTAAGCTCCTAAATTTGATAATTGGTTACAGCAGCAATAGGAAGCATTGCAGTCACATAGCCCAGTTTGGCATCTTGTATTATTTTAACAAACTCTCCATCAATCCACCTGTGTATCATTTTAGTCTGCTAACACCAAGAACAATATGTTGCATGTGGAAGACCTTAATAACTACTTGTTGGATGCATACTCTGAGAGCTTATTATACACTCGGTAGTATGCTAAACCCTTTGGATACATCCCTGTCCTCCTATCTATCAGTGTGGAGGAGAATTGGACATTGAACAAATAATTTTACAAATAAAACAGACATTGATTTATGTGACAAGTGCTGTCACAGAAAAACCACAGGGAGACATGACAGGGTAGAGTCGGGGAAACCTAACTTCAACGTGGGGTCAGGCAGAGCCTTCCAGGACACTCCCAGCTGAAGCCAGGACTGGACATACCCTCGCTTGGTTCCAGTTTTAAAGACAAGACACTTTGCCCAAGGAGGTGACCCGAGTTGAGCACTCGGAGCGTCCACCATCTTTTCTGAATGGTGCGAGGTTGTCTGTTGTTCATGGAGCTCGTGTGGGGTAGGCCAATCCCTGGTCTGAACTTGAGGCGGTGACACATTTTCATCTTGGTTCTGCCGTAGGTTTAGCGGGTGACCTTTGACATATCGTCTGCCCTTCCTGCATGTCGTTTGTGCTCTGGCTGACAAACAACGATCTCACCAGCCATCAGCGCTCCACAGGAATGAAAAGAGTGAGTGACCAGGACAGGGAGGGAGGAAAGAAGAAGTTGCCTTGTTGCCACGGCCTTCCTCAGATGTGCCTCCGTGCCTTGGGTCACCCCTGGGGCTACTGGCACCTTCTGAGACAGAGCCGGGGCTGAGGGCTAGATTGTCGTTCACTGGGCACCTCTGCACCGGGGAAGGGGACGGGAGCTGAGGAGGGGGCACTGAGCAAGGCAGAATCCTTATCCCCAAGCAGTTGCTGACAGGTGGAGAGACAAATGCAAACACTCAGAATGCAAACACACAGTGTCCAAAGCAGAAGCAGCAGGAGGGGCGTGGGCTCTGCCCCAGGAATTCAGGTGCACAGAAGGAGCTGGGCCTGCAGGGATACTTTGGGGTTTGGTAAATGAAGGCGGGGTCGTGCACTCTGCGGTGGACAACAAGAGAGAAGCCTCCCCACACATCAGGGTTACACGTGGCTTGGGGTATGGCTTGCCACCTTCTCCCGTTTCTCCCCACATGAGCAAGGGCGGTGTCCATTATCTCTCAAGCAATTCCTACCTCCCTGGCACTGGTAGATGCTGGACACATGGTACCTCCTCCAGCCTCACAACAACACTGTCACATCGTCACCTCCATTTCTCAGATGAAACTCAAAGAGGTGACACTTGTCCAGTGTCAGGTGGCTGTGAAGATCCCAGCACAGTCTCCTTGCATCCAAGGCCCTAGCTCTTACCACATTGTTGATCCTGGGTTGATGGTGAAGGTGTAAGCTGGGGTTCCTCCCCAGCCCCTACCTGTCGTGTGCACACCTGGCCTTCTCTGGGGGTGCATTTCCCAGCTGAGGAGACTGTCTGCGTGTGTGGCTCCGAAGGAAGCCTAGCTGGTGAGTTCAGAACAGGCCCTGTGTGTGATGTGGTGACCTGAGGTCATAGGATACAGACTGCGTCCCAGGAGCACCTGCCATTTTAGGGGTGGCTCAGGAAAGCCTCTGAGCTCCCTGGAGGAAGTTGTCCCCTCTCCACTGCTGCAAAGGAGAGTTGGTCATGGGGCCAGGCAGACACTCTCTGGACATGCTCGTGGAAGAGCTCTTTGGGAGAAAAGACACTCGAGCATGCCAACAAGGGGACTTAGGGGCCAGAATGTTCTGCCACTTGCCACTCGCCAACCTGAAATCTGCACCTCCTAATCACCTCCTCTCAGCCCTGCCTCATCAAGTGGGGTCTTGCAGGAACTGCTGGCAGCTCGGCCACCATCGGGGAAAACACCCCAGTCAAACACAGGCTCTCCTGTGCCTTGGCATAGAGGGAAGAGCCAGCCCTGCCCCCGCCCCTGCCCACTATGGTCTCAGGATTCACTCCTTGCTGAAGCCTTTACAGGGGAGCCAAATGCCCTCTCACCCAAGGCCCTTCCAAGGCCCTCCCACATCCTTTGGGTGAATCTGTTTCAGGAGCACCCATTTGAGGGAAAACTTCGTCCCCAGGAGAAATGGCAACGGAGAGGTGAAGGGGTGGAGGTACGCTTTGGAGCAGGGCCAAGGCACATGGGGGTGGGCTCCAGCCTCGAGCCTGTCCTTCTCCATGATCCTGAACATGACTCTTCTGGAACCTGGCCGGAAGTTGCCCCTCAGGAGACAGCGGGGGAAGGAAGTTGTGGTCCAGAAACTCCAGAATGCAGGGTGCCCTTCCCATTCAATCACGGAGGCTGGTCCAGGCCAAGAGCATCCTCGGCCTTTGTTTAAGCTCCCGTGAGTTCTTGGTTGACCTGGAGAGGCTGAGAGAGGCCCACAGGACCTCTTTCCTTCTGACCCTTCATTGCCTTTGGATCCAGCTCACCTCAGTGCAAGCCTGTGGCCTGCAGGGGAGGCCCTGAGGTAGAGGCACTCAGCCCTGATACCGTGAGGGACCCTTGAAAGTTTGTGCTCTTGTTTATGGTCTCAAAGACAAGAGGCCAAATTCCTCAGCTGACATTTTTACTGTCAGGACGTGCCAATGTTGTTCACTTTTTGTTTTGCTTTGCTTATGATTGTCTGGCACCTTGAGATGATGCTGAGTATGCCAGGCTATAGGATGGAGATGTGGGTGGGAGCAGGCAACAGACTGGCCCTGATCTTCCAGAGCTGATCACATTCTCTGACGTCAGCTCTCTCTGTTCATGTCCTTTGAAGGGCAATGGACTCCGTGAGGGGAGACCCGAAGTCTGTGAATGCCCAGCTTCTGAGATACCGTCAATACTGTTGACTGCATGAATGGATGAATTGCAAGTGAGTTGTTGAACACAGTGGCAAGGAGGCTCCTTACTAGCTTGGAACCCCCTCCTCCGGCAGGGAAAGTGATTACCAACCTGGAGGTCAGCCAGGCCAAGAGGGCTTTGAGATCTACAACACCATCTCCATCTACTGGGTTTGGGTTACGTGTTTTAAGTGGCTCAACCTTCCTCTGAAATCATAGCAATAGCAATGAATGATGTCCCATCAGGCACTGCCCTGGTTTTTTTGCACACACTATCTTTCATCCCTATAAGGACGATGTGGGATGGCCATTGTCATGTTCCTTTCACAGAGGTGAAAATTAACACTCAGAGAGAGTAGGCATCTTGCTCAAGGCTAGAATGGGGTAAAGCCATTCATTTAATTTATTTATTCAACAAATATTCATTGCCAACCTGCTATAGGCCAAGCCCCTGGCACTATTCCAGGTATCGGGAAAATAGCAGTGAGCAAAATGGACGAGAATTCCTGCTCTCCGGGAGCTTCACTTCTAATGGGGGAAGCAGAGCAACACACAAGATAAAATACACAGCATGCCAGAGGTTGTTAAGTGCCAAGGAGGAAAAGTGGAGAAGGTGGAGGGGAAGGGAAGGGCTGGTGGGCAGAGGGATATGCCTACTGCTGAGGAAGCTCCCACCATGAAGGTGACATTTGCAAACAAACCTGAAGGAGGTGGAAGACTGGCCAAGCAGAGACCTCCGGGAAGAGGGGCTAGGCCCAGACCCAAGCATGAGGGTGGCCAGAGTGTTCTGGGAACACGAAGACCAGCGCTGCTGCAGGTGGGAGGGGATGTGGGGAAGATAAGATGAGACAGAGTAAGGGTGTGTTGGGGGGTGACAGATTATGGAGGGCCCCAGAGGCCATCCTGAGGATACGGGAGCCATTCTCTGAGCAGAGAAGTGACATAATCCAATTTCAGTTTCTGCAGGGTCCTTCTGGGCTCTAGGCTGAGAGTGGACTGAGGGATGAGGGTGGAGTCAGGGGCATGGATTAGGAGGCTATGGCTAGTCCAGGCAAGGGGGATGGCAGTCTAAATCAGGGCAGCAGCAGAGTCAGGTTTTGGAAATGTTTTGAAAATAGAGCCAGTAGGATTTGCCAACATTGGCAAAGATTGGATGTGAGGTGCCAGACCAAGTGTTGTCCTCAGCAACTGGGAAAAAAGAGTTAACGTTCTGCATTAGGCTGTTCCAGCATTGCCATAAAGAAATACCAGAGACTGGGAAGTCTATAAAGAACAGAGGTTTAATTGGCTCACGGTTCTGCAGGCTGTACAGGAAGCATGGTGCTGGCATCTGCTTTCCTTCTGGGGAGGCCTCAGGAAGCTTCCAATCATGGTGGAAGGCAGAGGGAGAGTGGGCATGTCACATGGCCAGAGCAGGAGCAAGACAGCAAGGGGGGAGGTGCCACACACTTTTAAACAACCAGATCTCATGAGAACTCTCTCTCTATCTGCAGGATGGCACCAAGAGAGATGGTGCTAAACCATTCATGAGAAATCTGCCCCCATGATACAATCGCCTCCCACCAGGCCCCACCTCCAACATTGGGGATTACAGTGAACATGAGGTCTGAGTGGGGACACAGATACAAACCATATCATGTTCCCTGAGATAGGATGGCTGGGGGTTGGGGGTGAACAGTATTTGGGAGGGAAAATCAGGGACTCTGTTTTGGACACAATCCATTGGAGTTGCAGGTAGACGTTCCAGTGGAGAAGACAAGTGGCTGGCTGGCTCTCTGAGCCTGGAGTTGAGGGGGTGATGTGGGCTGGAGATTGGACTTTGGCATCATCAGTGTTGGTGAGGCAGCTACAATCATGACTCTGGATGAGCTCATTGATGGGGGCAGCAAGTGTGGACAGAGAAGCAGGAGGTCTGAAGACTGAGGTCTGAGGTGTTTGGGGAGAAGAGGAGGAACCTGCAAAGGAGATAGGGAGCAAGCAAGGAGGCAGGAGGAGAGCCGGGCAGGTGGGCTGCAGCCAAGCAAGGAGAGGGGGAGGAGGAAGGGGGGAAGGGGAAAGGCGGGGAGTGGGAAGAGGGTAGGAGGGGGAGGAGGAGAGGGGGAAGAGGAGAGCAGGGGGAGTAGGGGTAGGAGGAGAAGGGGAGGAAGGGGAGGAGGAGGGGGGGAAGGGGGTGAGGGAGAGGAAGGGGAGGAAAGGAGGGGTAAGGGGGGAGGAGGAGAGGGGAAGAGGGGAGAAGGAGTGAAATATACCTGTCGTGGGATTTGACCTATATTAGAGAATCACTGTGCAGTGCACCAAGTGGCACTGGAGAAGTCATCCCCGAAATAAATTGGATTGTGTGACAAGAGATGGGTTCAGCAGATGCAACAGACAGGGAGGAGGGAAACTGGACCAGCCTTGGCTGTGGATTGGCTGCGCGATCTTGGACAAATCACCCATCATGTTTTCCTTCCGTGTTACGTGGAAATGTCTCTGATATCTACTGCCCTTACCTCACAGAGTAAAGACCCAAAGGAGATGTCATGAAAGCATTTTGAAATGCTGCTGAACACTCAGCACAGTGGCTGGCACAGAGTGGGTAGAACTCAATGGTTGGAAAATGTACTTGGCTGTTATTGTGCCTTTTTCATGAAAATATGAAAAGCTAAATAAACCTGAAACATGTTGGGGACTGAGTGAGGGGAGATGAGCACGTTCTGAGAGTCCTAGGACCATGCACTCTCAGAGTGCCTTTGCTATTGTTTCGCCTCCCGTCCTACAGAGGAAGGGCTTAGGTTTGCTGTGAATTTCCCCCTTGCCTACCAGCATTGCGCCAATTAAGGTTTCTACTTCACCGCACGTTTCAGCCAAGGATGTCAAGGGAATCCACTGCTGCTCCAGTGAGACAAATAACATATCCAGCATCAACACTGCCATCATCATTAGCATCATTGTGGCCATTAGGATGGTTGGCAAGGCAATAGGTTGGCACTACTGATGGGCAGCACCATTAGTCTTCTTAGTGATTTTTCAAAATGGACAGTCTGGAGCTAAAAGCGTGAGCCCTGGAGGAGCTCATTTCATCAGACCTGCTGCAGGCAAACACTCTTCTCTTCATACCTTTCCCGCCTGTACGTGTGGGGTGATGCCTGTCTTGGGAGGAAATATAGATGCAGTGCCTAGATATTCCAAAGCCCAGGTTCGGAATCTGTGTTCCCTTTGTTTTTTGATATTTCCCCTCCTTTCCTCCTGCCCTTTAGATCTTGTGCATTTGTGGGTTTTTCCCTTTCTGCTCAGCTCTGATCACTTATTTGCTTTTGTTTTTGGAGAGCTGCGTCCTCTCTTTACTCACCCACCTGCTTCATTAGAGATTGCTACTCACCTGCAGTATCCATGCTCACCTTCTTCCACGATAATTGAAAGAGTGTCCGGCACACGGCTGTCTACTTAAAAACTGCTTTCTCTAGTATCCCTTGCAGCCTGGTGTGGTCATGGGACTGATTTCTGCAAGAAGAGTTTGAGCTTCAGTGTGGTGTGACCTCTGGACCTTTGAAAAGAGGGGTTTATTCCTTCCATTCTCCCACCTTTCTCTTCCTTCCTCCTTGTTGGAGTGTGGCTATCATGGTGATGGTGAACCATCTTGGACCACATGGATGAGGGCCACACACTCAGGATGCTGGAGCAACAAGGTGGAAGGTACCTGGGTCTCGACTGCCCACCCTTGTGAAAGGTAAATGCAGTTCCATCTTATCTGAACCCTAGTATTTTGAGGTTCTGTTAGAATTGCTGCACCTGTATTCTAACTAATACCTTCTTTAGGCTCTTTGACCCACTTGCCAGATTGCAGGTTGCAGGAAGACAGAACATGGTTTTGCTCACCATTAGGTCATCAGGGCTGGCACAGATTGCTCAACACATAATAAATACTTGTTGGAAGTGTTAATGAGTTATGGTTTTACTCTGGTATCTGGACTTCTGCTTTCCAAAGGATGAGTGGCCCTTGACGCATTGTTCCCTTGGGCAACTGCAGCCTCTGTCATGGGCCAAGTATGGAATGTCCCTGGGAAATAAAATCTCAGAGGAAGAGAGCTCCTGCCCAGCCGAAATTCTCCCTGGAATTGTGAGCCTCCAATTAGGCTAGAAGATACAGTCTTCCCATCTGTTGTAGAAACAGAAAGTTATTTAGAGTATAAAACAATCTCCCGGCTTCATGTGTGAAGCCTATTTGAGAGTCAGAGGGTTCCAGCAGAGGGAGGAGGAACATCAGCTACACCTGGAGCTCTGGGGATGAAAGAACCCATGAGGGCCTCATAGATTATAGGGCTCTGACTCCTCCAGGGAAAGATGATCCAGTGTTCTGGCCTATCTTGGCCTGTGGTTCTTTGTGATCCATGGAGTGAGAGTGTCCACAATCGCCTGCTGTGTGGTATTTCCCTGACTTGAGCCTTTGCTCATAACCAGCATAGCCCACAAACACCAGCCGTATCCCTCAATTCCTGACTTCTGCTTTCCTGTCTTTACAGAAGAACCCCAGCTGTGCTAATGGTCCTGTAACCTCTCAGCTCAGGGCCATGAGACCTTCTCTCTGCATGAATCTCGCCTCCTCTGCACCCCACACTTCCACACCACTTCCTCATATAACGTGTTATCTGACTACACAACCCTGGAAATGATGTTCCTCCTGATGTGTTCCCAAGCATTCTTGCTATTCTGCTTCCTCTAGAAGCCAGGGAACTTTAGCTGACCAGGTCTGTGTCTTGGGCACCTGCCTTGGTGAGCGACCTCTGAGAATTTCTCACTAAACATTTGTTGAATGAACTAGGAGATATATAAGGGAATGCCTCTTCTGCCTACCATGAGCATGGCCTTAAGTGTTATCTTTGTTGCTTGGCCAAGTCATGGCCTTGAGTCCCAAGTGAGGTGCCCAGCCCTTATTCCTGATCAATAAATACTTTTAGACTCCTGATTATTCTCTTGCTTGCTTGCTTGCTTGCTAATCTCTAATAGATTAGATCTATTCCCTAATCTAATTCTCTGATCTTCCTCCTGAAACTTGGCTCCATATTGAGTTCCTTGCCCTATATCCGTACTTGCACGGCCGCTATTTGCCACCCAGAGTCCCTGTGCTGGCAAATTCAACACCCGGAGCATTATCATTTTGGTGCAATTCCTGAGCACAGCTTGCTGACTCTTCAGTACTTATTGTTTCTATCTGGAATACAAGAGGGAGTATATTATGAGGATGATGGTAAACCCAGATCATGGTGCTCAGAGCAGATCTGAAACTCTGGCAGCGTAACACCTCTCTCCAGCATGGACAGATAAGGGTGATTATTATTTAATTGGACTTTTCATTTTGAGAGAAATTGTAGGTTCACATGCAAATGTAAGAAATGATGTGGAGACCTATGTACCTTTTATACAGTTTCTCCCAAAGGTAATACCTTCAAAACTATTGTATGATTTCACAAACAGGACACTGACATTGATAGAGTCCAGATTCAGAACATGTCCGTCATCACCAAGGTCCCTCATGTTGCCCTTTTGTGGCCGCACCTGCGTCCTCTTACTCTCCCCATCTCTGCCCCATCTTTAACTCCTGACAACTACTAAACTGTTCTTTGTATAACTACTAAACTGTTCTTTGTATAACTACTAAACTGTTCTTTGTATAACTAAAGTTATAATTTTGTCATGTCAAGAATTTCATATGAATGGAATTACACAGCATGCAACCTTGACTTTTCTTACTCAGCACAACCGTCTGGAGGTTCACCCAGGTTGTGGCATGTGTCAATAGTTTTCTCTTTTGTTGCTGAGTAGTATTCCATAATAGAGATGTACTGCAGTTTGTTTAACCACTCACCTTCCACCTGAAGGGCAGCTGGTTTTTTCCACTTTGGGGGGATTACAAACAAAGCTGCTGCAGACATTCACATGTGGGTTTTTGTGGGAACCTAAGTTTTTTGTGTTTTTTTTTTTTTTTTTCCTGGGATGAATGCTCAGGAGTGCATGCCAGGTTGCACAGACCTTGCATGTTTAGTTTTATAAGAAACTGTCAGACTGTTTTCTAGAGTGATTGCACCATTTTACATTCTCACCAACAATGTATGAGGGATCCAGTTTCTCCACATCCTTGCCAGCATTTGTGGTTGTCACTCTTTTAGCCATTCAATAGTCATGTAATGATATCTCATTGTGGTTGTAATTTGTATTTTCCTAATGGCTAATGATTTTAAATTACCTCTTCATATGCTTATTTGCCACCTGTATATTTTCCTCTTCAGTTAAATATCTCTTCATGTCTTTTCTCATTTCTTCAAATTTAAAAATTCTTATTTATTTATTTTTTATTTTTTTTACTGTGGAGTTTTGAGAGTTCTTTCTATATTCTACATACTAGTCCTTTGTCAGATAGGCAGTTTGCAAGTATTTTCTCCCAGTCTGTAGCTTGACTTTTCATCCTCTTAACAGGGTCTTTCATAGAGCAAATGTTTAACTTTGATGAAGTCTAATTTAACCATTTTTCCTCTTATGGCTCATGCTTTTGGCATCAAGTCTAAGAATTCCTTGCCTGGCCCTAGCTTTCAAATATTTTCTCTTTTTTTCTCTATAAGTTTTATCGTTTTATGTTTTACATGTAAATCCATGATCAATTTGGAGTTAATTTCTGCATGAAGCGTGAGACTAGATTGAGGTTTATTTATTTATTTTTTGCTTATGAATATCGATTGCTTCCATACCATTTGTTGAAAAGGGTATCTTTCCTCCATTGAATTGCCTTTGTACCCTTATCTAAAGTCAGTTGGAAATTTTGCGTGGGCCTATTTCTATTAACTTCCACTGGTCTGTGTATCTATCCCTTCACTAATAGCATGTAGCCTTGATCACTGTAGCTATACAGTAAATCTTGACATTAGGTAGACTAATCTATCCCATTTCATTTTTCTTTTTCAAAATTGTTTTAGCTATTCTAGTTTCTCTGCCATTTTATATACATTTAGGATAATCTTGTCTAGATCTATGCAATAATATTGCTGGGATTTTGTTTGCAGTTATATTGACCCATATATCAAGATGGGGAGAATTGACATCTTTACTGTTGAGTCTTCTGATTCATGAATTTGTAATGCTTCTTCATGTATTTTAGCTCTTATTTGGTTTCTTTTGTAGGAATTTTAAGCACACAAGTACTGCACATATTTTGTTAGATTTACACCTACGTATTTCATTTCTCTTGAGTGACTGCAAATGGCATTGCATTTGTAATTTTGGTGTCCACTTGTTCATTGCAGTATACAGAAATAGAATTGAGTTCATGTGTTTATCTCTTATTCTGTAACATTGCTGAACTCATTAGTTCTAGGGTTTTTTTTTTGGTTTGTTTTATAGATTCTTTGGGATTGTCTATGTTCACAATCATAGGGATGGTTTTATTTCTTCCTTTCCAAACTATCTGCTTTTATTTTATTTTCTTATTTTATTGCACTGGCAGAACTTCCAGTAGGAAGTTGAATAGGAGTGGTAGAGTGGTCATTCTTGCCTCTCCTTGATCTTATGTGGAAAGCATTCAGCCTTTCATCATCAAGTATAATGTTAGCTATAGGGTTTTATAGATGCTTTTTAGTAAGTTGAGGAAGTCCCCCTCTATTCCTATTTTTCTGAGAGGTTTTCTAATGAATGGGTGTTGAATTTTGTCAAATGGGGCAAGAGGGTGGTAATTCTTCATTATTCCTTACTGTAATTAGTCTGTCAATGTTAATGAGCATGCTATTATTAAGCACCTATTGGATGTTCAGTGTTGTGCTAGGCCCTGTGAGACATATAGGAACCTAAAAATTTGAGCCTTGCCCTCAAGCACTAAGGAAACACACTTTCTAAACCACAATTTAGCATATACCATAAGTGCTGCAGAAGGCCCCAGGCAGCGGAGGCCAGTGTTGCCCTGGCTAGAAGGTGTCACTTAGGTTGGCCTTTGGGCTGGAGTAGAACCTAGATACACAAGAGAGGGGAGTGAATTAGAGAAAATTCAACGGCCTAAAATTCTATTTTCTAACAAGGACAATGGTAAGTTGATAATTAGTAGGATAGAGATAGCTTTTGATTAATGAAGTTGGATTATCTCTATTCTGTGGATTATCCCTGACAAATGCTTAATCCTGAACTTCCTCCCTTTTTGAGCATTTGGGCTCTCTTTTCTGCCATCCGTCAACATGTTCAGGGGAATGCAAACTAATATTACTATTAGCTAAAGAAAAACATAATTAAGGAGGGCAATCTGCTGTCCCTAAATTGTATCATCTTTTCCAAACTAAATATGAGTGATATTGGTACTATCTTTTGTTTGGAGAGATCCACACCACTTCTCTCCCTCTTAAGGCTCAAGAAGAATTGACTGTGACCATGATATACACAATACATTTATTAAGCTGTCTCTCTAACAAGGTAGCTAAACACTTGGGAAGTAAGAGTAATGCCTTAGAGAATTTGGAACCCATGACATCTGATTCATTGGTATTGTCCATATTTGTACATGTTTACTCTAATATAAAGTAATAATATAATAGTGCTGTCATTTGCAAAATTAAAAATCCTGGCACATTACTCATGGGTCATGCTTTGGGTTGTCATTCTAACGGGTTTGGTGGATTTGTATAGATCTGGTCCTCTATCTCACTTTGTCCTGCTGGTGACCAGTGGCTCCTCTTGGAGGCAGACGGCCAGGGTTAAGGGTGGAATCTGAGGCCGTGAGGGAGAGTGAAATTAACTGCTCCCTTCACAAGGGAATTGAACCCCTGACCTTCACCTCATTAGCACAGCACTCCAATGCAGCAATTCCTAACCTCAATTTTATATCACCCCAGGGTGTCTCCACTTATCTCAAGCGGGAGCTGCAGAATTCCTCCAACAAAATTAATTTTAATTCACCTTAATTTAAACATTAAATACGGACTATGAGGCAGCAACTTGCAGGAGTGGGGAAGAATGGCTGTTGTTAATAAATCCCACCACCACAATGCACTGTTATCCAAACACCCCAAAACACCCTCTCGAACCCACTGAGCCAAACAGTGTGGGGAGGAAGAAGTCTATAAGTAAGCAGCAGGCATGGAAGGCTTTTAAATTGCGGGGGAAGCAACACCCAACCCTACCAAACATCTGCATTTCATAGAGACTGTTTCATGTGGTCAGCTGGGGTGCACTCTGACATTCACTGGGCCAGATGGACATATTTCAGCTCCCGTCCAGCCAGCCCATCCCTTTTTCCTCCTAGGGACTGTGATGCTTTGCATAGTCCCAGGAGTTTGCTGCAGGAACATTTTGTGATTTACTAAGAAAATAAATTGGTCTTTGTTGCTGGGGCTTTCTCCTGGGTCAATACAAAAGATTTATCACCTCCATGCCGGCCCACGGAGAGGTTGGCTCAAAGGATTCTCTGGCCACTGGCTTATTCTGGAGACAAGCAGAGTCCCAGCAGAACCTTTGCAGGGCAGGCCAGCAGCCTGAGTGTAAGGCAGGGGAAGTAACCGTAGGAATCAGTTATTGATGAACATCCTTAAAACTCTGTTTGTTTGTTTGTTTGTTTGTTTTGAGATGGAGTCTCACTCTGTCGCCCAGGCTGGAGTGCAGTGACGCGATCTCGGCTCACTGCAAGCTCCTCCTTCCAGGTTCACACCATTCTGCCACCTCAGCCTCCCGAGTAGCTGGGACTACAGGCGCCCGCCACCATGGCCAGCTAATTCTTTTTTGTGTTTTTAGTAGAGACTGGGTTTCACCGTGTTAGCCAGGATGGTCTTGATCTCCTGACCTCATGATCCACCGGCCTTGGCCTCCCAAAGTGCTGGGATTACAGGCGTGGGCCACCGCGCCCGGCCGAACATCCTTAAAACTCTTCATGGTCTTTTACTGATAACAACATCCACATGCATTTTTTAAAGGAGAATAAGCATAGTTCCTTACCCTGGCAGTGCACTTTATATAATTTGTCAAAGAGTTTCACATGCATTGTATCTCAATTGTTTTCTACCTACCCAGAATTACCAACTTCATTTTATTGAAGAGCAAATAGACTTGGAAAAGTTAAATGCCTTGCCCAAGGTCGCATAGCTAGTAAATCATGGTTGTAGCACCAGATCCCATGTCTTCTCATATACTGCACTCTTTTCTCTATACTAATCTTATCTTGGTTTATTATCAACATCCATTTGCTTTTGGCAGGGAAGGGTCCAGAATCTTCATTTTACAGAACAACGAATTGAGGTAAGTAAGCGTTTTGGGTCCTGCCTCTTTTTCTGCTGGCACCATGTGCCTTTCTTGCTGAAGGGCAAGGAGTTCTTTTGCAGGCACACTCATTTCTGCTCTCAGAGGCCAGGCTCTCAACCATCATCATCAGTGCCATCCTGCTCATTGGGCCCCACCCTGCCCTCTGTGTCCAGTGGGGGCTTACATCTGTGATTTCTGGGCAGTGAGGGGGTCATACGTGAACAGTTCCTTCGCATCCTCTTAAAATTGCTCTTTCAGCTCCATAAGTTTCAACTAGTCAAAACACTCTCCTTCACACTTCTTCAAAGATGAGCATTTGTTCTACATATTTTTTTGTAGTCATATTCTGCGAGTGCACACTTTCCCTCTTGGGTCCTTAGACACACCCTTTTCCAGGCATGATTCACTTCCTCAAGCTCCGTTCTGGACACATACATCTGGTGCCACCTGGAAGAGGGCTTATCAGGTCCTCCCACCTGGAATACAGCTTAACCAGAGTTGATTTCTAAGGCATGCAACCAAGAAACCAGACTGATATAAATGGGATATTATTGATTTTATCTGCCTAACCGAGTCTATAAATTTCTGAAAGCCATGGAAGGAACTCTATTTTGTTGCATTCCTCATAACATCTAGAACGGTGCTTTGCATATACTGAGTGCTCAAGGCATATTTGCAGATGGTGACGAGGATGATTTGATGTCGTTTTAAAGGCCGGACATCCAAGAGGAGGTCTGTTCTCTACATGTGCATGCACGTACACTTACACACACTCTCTGACTTGTAAGATGCCCTTTGCAAGAGTCCATTTGGGAAATGCAGTGGGCCCACTGGAAGAAATTCAAGGCCATGGGCCAGCTACACCACGGAAGCCCTACACCCAGCCAAACGTGCTCACTGGCAAGTCAAACCCAAAAACTGTCATCAAATTCTGCTTCCTGGCAGCCCGGATCCAACAATACTCTGAAAGACAAAAGAAGCAGAAACTCAAGTGAAGATCACCAACGTGTCTTTTTGGGCAACTAGCAGATTGAGCAGAGGGTCAGCACAGACACCAGCAGAGAAGAACATTCTCCTGGCAGGACTCTGCCTCCAAATTCGGCACCACTTCACAGGATCTCAGCCTCACACCTTATGGGATTTATTTTTTTAAAAAAGATCCAACATTTGTTCCTAATTATTCTTAGTAAAACTGCCTTTCTTGATGTGGCACCCATTACCTCATTCATTCAGTCACTCATTCATTCATTCAATGAAACCCCTGTCATCCACGCTCTGGGCTCTTTCTACAGCCCCACGAGATGATCAAGAACTCTGGAAAACAGGTAAGCCATTATCATCAGTGTATATGAAATTATCATCAGTGTATACGAAATATGAAGAAACCCAATTAGATGGAGATATCTCCTACCACACATTGAAATCAGAACTCAGACAAGACTCAGATGTTCTAACTCCAAATTCTGAGCAGTGGCCCCTGGATAAAGGATTATGGAGAAATACTGACCAGAAAAAATACTCTTAAATGGCATATTGTGGTGTTTTAAGGCAAGGTTATTGGTAGTGCTTGTAACTCTCAAAATACTGTTTTGGAAGTTTGTAGTGATTTTGCAGAACGGCTTTGAGTTACCTCTGGGTGTTATCAATCATTGGATAGTTTTCAGAAGAAATCCACCTTAATTTGAGTTAAATAATATGTCATTTAGCCAGATTTCCTCCTGCCCCCAATCCCCATAGGAGTGAGAAGCCATGGCTTGGGGCATTATCTCAGCATCATGGGAATTGCAGAGAGGGTACCACAGCTTTAGAGTTTGAGGTGTTGAGCCTGAACAAAAGGAAAGGGTAAGAAACTTGGGGTGGATAGAACGTGGAACTACTATGAAGAGCTTATTGCATAGAAAAAGAGAAATTTGAGTTTAAAAAAAAAATGGAAGAAAGTAAAGGGAGCCCAAATGGGAACAGTTACCAGAGGAGATTCCCTGGAATTTGAAGGAACCAGGTTGAAGGATGGTTTCCCAATTTGAATAATTATAAGAATCACCTGGTACTCTTTTTAAAACTATAAGTTCCTAGAGCCCCAGTCTTAGACATTGCATTTAGTGTGTCTGGGTTGAGGCCCAGAAATCTGTATTTTTAACAGAAACCCAGGTGATTTTTATAATCAGGAAAGATTTGGGCAATGTCTGCATTTGAAGATGCTGTCTCTCAAAATGAAGAAATACCTGGACAAAGCCAAGTCCAAGACAGGGGCTCTAAGTCAAAAAGGCAAGAGCAAAAACAACATGAGCCTTTACAAAATGTGAATTGGCAAAAAAGCAGCTGTAGCTCATATTTAATAACCTCCCATGGCTTCCAAAGAAGCAGCTGGGTCTGCAGAGTCCTGTTTGTGCACAGGATGAATGGAGTCTGTGTGCCACTCGGGATGCCCCCACAATACCCACATTATCACTGAGGTGCTCCAGCGAGGCATTCATTATGCACTCCCCTGCCACCCAAAGCCTCAGGTCAGGTTTGCCTTGGACACTCTCCCTTCTCCCTTCTCTGAGGCTGAGGGGCTGCAGGGGCGGGTGCCTGAACTCCCTCCCTCTCTCAGGGATGCCTCAGCTCTATGGGACTTCCTCTGGTTCACATGATTGCATTTTCCTGCCTTGGGGCACCCTAAAGGCCTGCCTCTGGGAAGCAGGGTCTAGAGGCATGAGCTTGTCTGGACAACAGAAGCTCAATCTCAGCATCCTAAAGGCCTACCTCTGGGAAGGGGGGGGTCACAGAGGCATGAACTTGTCTGGACAACAGAAGCTCAATCTCCATCTCCAAGCAGTTCGATCCCCCAACACTCTTGGTATTAGGAGGGGAGCCTCTGCAAGTGTGAGGACCGGGGGCCTCTAAACAGGGTTTTTTTCTTTTTCTTTTTTTCTTGAGATGGAGTCTTGCTCTGTTGTCCAAGCTGGAGTGCAGTGGTACCATCTCCACTCACTGCAACCTCTGCCTCCTGGGTTCAAGAGATTTCTGGCTAATTTTTGTATTTTTAGTAGAGACGGGGTTTCACCATGTTGGCCAGGCTGGTCTCAAACTCCTGACCTCAAGTGATCTGCCCACCTCGGTCTCCCAAAGTGCTAGTATTAAAGGCGTGAGCCACCACACCAAGCCCTAAACACAGCCTGAGGCTGGTATCCCAGGAGGCCTTGAAAAATCTCAGGTTTGCTGCTGACAGGTGTGCCAGGAAGAGACCTGGCTGCTGTCTGCAAGTGGCCAAACCCTGATAATCCCGGAAATAAACAATAAAATAAACTCCTCAATGGTGATTATAAAGTACTATTGTTTATCAGCCAGGACCTGTGCTAAGCTTTTCACCTACATTATTTCATTTATATTTCAGAGCAGTCCTTTGAAGCAGTCATGTTTATATCAGTTTTATGGATGAGGTCAGAGACTTCTGCTGGTTAAGTACCTTGCCACTATCACACAGCTAGCTAGTAAATAAACTTTAAAAAATTGAAGTATTATGTACATAAAGACAGGCATAGTGTACAACTAAGTGGGTTATCATAAAAGTGAACATACCTGTGTAACCATCCACCCAAATCAAGAGCTAGACTATTACCAGCCTCAGAAAAATCCCAGACCCTCTCCAATAACCTCCTCTTCCCCAATGGTGACCATTTTTGTCACCGAGTATTAGATGGCTAGTTTGTGAATTTTATAAAAACAGAATTCTACATTATATGTTCTTTTTGTCTGACTTTTTTCTCCACTCAGTATGACATCTGTAATGCTGATCTAATGTCATTCATGTACAAGTAGTTTGGTCATTTTTAATGCTATAAAGATGTTCATAGTATGAATGTATCACAATTTATTTATACATTTTTCATTTTGCTGGTTATTTGAGTAGATTTTAATTTTGCCCCATGACAAATAATGCTACTTGGAATGTTCTTGGATAGTTGACCCTTGAACAATGAGGGTCGGAGCAGTAAAAAATTCATGTATAACTTTTGGCTCTCCCAAACTTAACTAGTAATAGCTTACTATTGACCAGAACCCTTACTGATGACATAAATAATTGATTAACACATATTTTGAATGTATATACTGTATTCTTACAGTAAAGTGAGCTAGAAAATAGAAAATACTTTTAAGAAAATTATAAGAATGAGAAAATATATTTACTATTCATTAAGTAAAAGTGAATCATCATAAAGGTCTTCATCCTCACCGTCTTCACATTGAGTAGGCTGACGAGGAGGAGGAAGAGGAGGGGTTGGTCTTGTCTCAGGGATGGCAGAGGTGGAGGAAAATCTGTGTATAAGTGGACCCACGCAGTTCAAACCCATGTTGCTCAAGGGTCACCTGTACATGTGTCTTGGTGTACATATTTCGGCATAGGATATACCAAGAAATGTAATTGATGGGTCATAAGGTGTGTGGATTTTCAGCTTTAGTAGATACTGTTTACATAGTTTTGCAAAGTGGCTGTACCAGTTCACTTTCAGCTATGAGAGTCCTGGGGGATCCACATCCTCACCAACACTTGATACTGTTGGTCTCTTTTTACTTTTGCCATCCTGATGAATGTGTTTCAGTTTGCATTTCCCTGATGACTAATGAAATTGAGCAGCTTTTCAAATGCTATTGGCCATTTGGATATCTACTGGCTTATTCAGGTCTCTTGCCTGTTTTTCTACTGGGTTTTCTGTCTTTCCAGGTGATTTGTAGGAGTTCTTTATATTTTCCGGTTATGAATCATTTGTCATTTATATGGATTGTAAACGTCTTCTCTATGGCTTTTCTTTTCATTCTTAATAGTATCTTTTGGTGAAAAGAAGACTCAAATTTTAATGTAGTCCAATTTTTCAATGTTTTCTTTTTTGATTCTGTTTTTGTTTCTGTTATATATAAGTACAACTGACTTTGTATATTGATATTTCAATCCAAGAACCTTGCTGAATTTACTTATTAATTCTGTTAGTTTTTCTATAAATTATTTTGTATTTTCTGCATATGCAGTGATATAGTCTGTCAATAATGGCAGTTTTTTTTCTTTCTATTTCTTAAAATTTTATTTGTTTTCTTGCTTTACTGCAAAGGCTAGGACCTCCAAAACAATAATGAATAGAAGTGGTGATAGATAGGAAGCATCTTTCTTTTATTCTCAGTATTAGGGGAAAAGTATCAATATTTGAACATTTATATGATATTTGCTGGAGGGTTTTTTTGTAGATACTCTATCATGTTAAGGCATTTCCCTTTTAGTCGTACTTTCCTAAATACTTCTTTTTTCCTTTTACTATCGCCAGGGGTTGAATTTTATCAAATGCCTTTTCTGAATCTATTGAGCTGATCAACGATTTTCTTCTTTATTCTGTTACTGTGGTAAATTACATAGACTGATTTCCGAACACTGAAATAATCTTGCATTTCTGGAAAAAAATATCATCTTGTTTGTGATGTATTGTCCTGTTTATATATTGCTGAATTCAGTTTGATAACATTTTGTTTAGGATTAGCATCCATGTTCAGGAGAAAGAAATCACCATTTTCTTTCCTTGTCAGGTATTAAGGTTATAAAGCTCTCAAAAATGAGTCAAGAAGTCATTTTTATTTTCTAGAAGAGCTTTTGTAAAGACTGATGTTATTTCATCTTTAAAGGTTTTGAAGAATTCACTGATGAAGCCATCTGGGCCTGGAGGTTTGTTTTTGTTTTTGTTTTGGTGGAAAGGTTTTTCATTATGGATTTTATTTCTTTAATAGGTACAAGGCTATTATATCAGATATTCTTTTTTTATTTGGGTCAGTTTTAATAAGTTGTGTTTTCCAAAGAATTTGTCTATTTCACCTAGATTTAAACATTTATCATCATAAATTGGTTCTGAACAGCTTTTTGTCTTATTTAGGAGCCACAGATTCTATTGTTAGGGCTTCCTTTCCATTCCTGATAATATTTGGGACTCTTCTTAAAAAAAATTAATCTTATGGGCTTATCGGTTGTATTAATCTCTTTTGTTGTTTGTTTGTTTGTTTGAGATGGAGTTTCGCTCTTGTTGCCCAGGCTGGAGTGCAATGGCGTGATCTTGGTTCACTGCAACCTCAGCCTCCCAGGTTCAAGCGATTCTCCTGCCTCAGCCTCCCAGGTAGCTGGGATTACAGGCGCCTGCCACCATGCCTGGCTACTTTTTTGTTTTTTTAGCAGATTTCTCCATGTCGGTCAGGCTGGTCTCAAACTCCTGACCTCAGGTGATCCGCCCCACCTTGGCCTCCCAAAGTGCTGGGATTACAGGCATGAGCCACAGCACCTGTCCCTGTATTTGTCTTTTTTAAAGACTTGTTTTTATTTTTATTTTTTCACTTTGTTGGTTTTCTTTGTTGTATTATTGTTTTCTACTTTATTAATTCCTGCTATTTATTATTTCCATTCTTATGCTATCTTAGGATTTAATATGCTGTTTTTTTATTAAAATCTTGAGATGGAAACTTAGTTCATTGTTTCTTCATCTTTTCTTCTTTTCTTGTAAAGCATTCAAGGTTTTAAATTTCTCTTAAGCATTCTTTGGCTGCATCCCTTACATTTTGATATGTTTTAGTTTTATTACCTTTTTATTGAAATATTTCCTAATTTCCACGGTAATTCTTATTTTGACTCATGGGTTGTTTAGATATGTATTAGTTCATTTTACATCACCTTAATCCGACCAAGAACTGAGCTCTTTAAAGATGGTTCAGGCTTTCTGCAGGCTGAGTTCTTCCTGGATCACCCCTTTGTGGGGAGTCTCAACAGAAGACCAGTGGTATTTAACCCAGCTCTTCCTCCTTGCTGGGCTCTGAATTCCTTTCTGTGCCTCAGCCCCATGAGAGTCCTGGCAACTCTGCTCAACTTCTCAGTTTCCGAGCCACTGCTGGGGAATCCATGCACGCCAAGGAGAAAAGTGGCTGGCACCTCTCCGCTCACGCCTTGTTTCTGGGATCTTAGTGCCTTAGTTTCTCATTGCGTTAGTAGTTTTTTTTTTTTTAAATTCTTATTCATTTATTTAGGAGACAGAGGTCTTGCTATGTTGCTCAGGCTGGCCTCAAACTCCTGGGCTCAAGTGACCCTCCCACCTCAGCCTCCTGAGTAGCAGGGACTACAGGCTACTATTAGCTGGTGGTTTTTGATGCCTTCAAATAGATTTGAAAAAGATGTTTTGTCCACATTATCCAGTGTTCTTGGCACGAAGGGCGTCTGATAAGCCAATCTATCCTTACCACCAGGGGACATCCCCTGGAACCAGGATTTAGGCACAGGTCTGTGCACACCCAGACTCCAGAGCCCACACCGCTGCGTGGCAGGGGGAGTTGCCATGTTGGAGTACAGGCCGCCAAATGCGGAGTAGAAAAGGAATGTGAAGCCCTCTTGCTCTCCAGCTCTCTTCTTCATCATCTTCATTATTCTGGATCTAGTCAAGCATTGCCATTTATCTAATCTCAGTTCTAAAATGTGTTGAACACAAATTTTCTAGTTTCTTAGTAAAATTAATCTTTTAAATCACTTACTTTCTAACGGTTGTTCACAGGGCATCTGGGACCTCTTTTTCAAGTTCACCTTCTCCTGGTCTGAAACCAAAATGAAAACAAATAGAATCCAAGTGTGCTGTAGCTCCTGACATCCCTCCGTGGGCTCCGCCAGCCCCTGCATGGAAGCCTCCACATGGGTTCACCAGGCTGTTCTTCGGGCTCTCCCAAAGTGGCTGCTTTTCCGTCAATATGAATGGCATGACTGGCCACATCTCCCTTTTTTCTTCGGGTGCCAGGAAGCCTGGACTGTTGAGCTAACTTTACGGTCCAACCATAGCAACTATGTCAGTGTGCAGATAACTGAAGGTGCCTTTCCCTCCCTGGCTTGGCTTCTCCCTCTTACTTCTCTTCCCAAGCTCTCAATTTGCTTTATTTTTGTATATTTTACCACGATATTGTCTCTCTGTGTGTCTTTATATAAAACTTGAGTTATTCCAGTTCTGCCAATCTGTGTAATCACTTGGCATTTTTATTTGTGTTCATAATTTTCAGCCATGGAGACATTTGAAAGACAACAAAATCGATCCTGGAGAAACAGAGATGTGGGCACTATTGCAATTTATAGAATTTATTGTAAAATTGGACTTTGATGAATCTTTGCCATACATATTCTGTTGCTTAAGATTTTTTGTAACAATTTATGTGTCTATTGCTTTATGTGAAAGACGCTTTTCAAAATTAAAATCAGTAAACAGTGTTCTGTGATTAACCAGGAACAAAAGTAGATGGACAACTGCTCAATGAACATGAAACGATGAAGATCAATTTTTCTTCTAGGTCATGGACAAATTAAAGTAGTTAAGTGTTAAAAACAGAGACCATGATGTCATTCCTCATGACTACAATAGACCAATATTTAACTCTAAGCGTATTTCCTTTAAAAAAAAAAAAAGTTAACTACAAAAATGTAGTTAAAGGTGCTAATCTACTACTTTTTTGGTACTGTAATATTTACTGTATTATTTATTTTTCTATTTTATGGGCATAACCATCCACAGAAGGGTCAGTAAGAGAGAAATATCACTGCTTTCCTCTTCTATCCATTATTTTTGTTGTTTCGTTTCATGGCTACTACTAAAAATAATGTTGTCACAGAGAAGCAAGGTGATAAAAGGATTCTCTCTGGGGGTCAATCCATGAAGAAAGCTGGAGAAATATCTGCTGAACAGAGTTCATGGCTTCATGTTCTATCTGAGCAAGTCTCATCCTGCAGTCAGCTCTCTTGAGGCTGAGCCAGGTCTTTGCACACCTTTCCTCTGGCTGATGCTTTTAAATTCCCTCTGTCTTCGTCTCTGCTATTGAGTTCGGTCTCCTCCGTGAGTCCCCCACGGGGCCTGGTGAGGACAGGCTCTGTGGGAGCAGCTTTCTGTTTTGAGCCTGTGATGTCTGGCCAAGGAGCGCCTGTCAGCTGCTTGGGCTCCATCTCAGCCCAGAGACGTCGTGCTGTGTGGTCTTAAAGCAGGTCACTTCACCTCTCGGTATCTCTCTCTGTAAAACCCAGATAATAATACTTCCCAAATAAAGAAAGGGTTTTCTTTAAGCCCTTTGAGCTCCTCAGATGGAGCGCACCACAGAAATGCCAAATGCGGCATTGTGATCCGCGCTGCCTCCATGTGATTAGGTAATGTGAGATTGTGGTTCATTATGCTTTGTCTGGAATGAATGCGAGCCCTGCCACAAAGCACTGGGAACTCTCAGTTACACAGAAACCCCATGGTAAGCTTGGATTGGCTTACACTTAAATAAAGCACACCAGAAAAGAGCAGTAGTTTTGACGAACCCAGCTCTGAATTAACACTCATTTGATTTCTTCTGCTGAGTGCGGGCGATAAGTAAGAGATGACCCAGTTACAGGTGCGGGGGGCACAACCAACACTGAGGTGACTGAGTCGGGGGAAGGGCAGCCCCTCTGCAAAATGCTTCAGGCTCCCAAGGAGGCAGGCCCAGAGTGGGCAGGTCTGGACTTACTGCTGTACAGACAAGGGGGAAATTCAATAGCTACCATTTATTGAGTTTCTGCTAGGTGCCAGGAACTCTGCAATGTATGCCATTCTTCTAAACCCTCCAGACAACGGTATTAAACCATATTAATATTCTGAAAACCAAAACAAACACCCACTACACTTGACACATTTTTTTTTGTACCATAATGAAAGCCTATGTGTTTGGGCCCACAGTTTCAGCCAGGATTTTGACCTGGGGCCTCCTCACTGATCCTGAGGCTTTAAGACCACACAGCATGGGTCTGCGAATTGCAAATGGGAGGCTTACTTTTCCCATTCTTATCCAAGCCTCCAGAAGTGGCTCTGGAGCTGGATCCAGCCTCCTTTCTTACGAAGCCTTGGATACATCCCACTTAGCTTGACAAACTTTTACCGGAATTCTCTGATCCCATTTCACAGCTGTTGCAAAGGTAGGGTCTTGGTTGTGTCTTCCTTCAAGCTGCTTATGAACCAGGGGTGGAGACTAGGAAGTAAGGAACCCTGGAATCAGAGAAGTCAGGAGCAAGCATCTTGTTGGCTTGAGGTTCTCCAGGCACCATAAACCAAGTAGTGCGCATACTAAGAAAACAAGCTGGACAACAAGAGGAGAGCAGGAGGGTCCTTAGGATTGGCTGCTTGTACCATGGCCCCCAGTGGCTCAGTAGAGACAAGGGGAATCCCAGGTAAGTAGACTCCTTCGCTCCCCAGAGAGGAATCTATTGTGTCAATTGCTGGGAAACACGCTCAGTTGAACTGACCCTCTATAGCCGTATGTGCATGTGGAATCCATTGTTAGGGAAACCATGGTGAGAAGGGAAGTGAGATGCTCTGGATGGGTGCTGAGCTGAGTGCTGATGGAACAGACCTTCCAGAAAAGGTTGCATATTATCCAAGGAAATATCATTGCCTGGAGAGTCCTAGGCTGACTTGCTCTCTTGGGAGCTGATGTTTAGGGAATGGGAGAAGCAGCTGGTTTAAAGCATCAAACAATGAAATGAACTTCAGAATCTGCCAAATCCTAAACATTTCTTGCTAAGCACCATTTTTTCTGTATTGTGAACCCATCTGTGCTTCAAAAGCAATTTTGTTTAAATGGCTTCTTCCCCTTACTCCTAATCCTTGGGAAGCTGTAATACACAGGTGGTAAAGGGGACTCCCCAAGAGATGCTCACTAGGACTGCTGTGAGCCAGATACTGGGCTAACACTGCATAGCACCGAGGGTGTGGGAGATCAGAAGTCAGGAGCCTGCATTCTCAGGGGAGGGACTGGATCCCTGCAAGGAAACAAAGTGTGGTGTGTGTGGCTTCATGATCCACTGGCCTAGGTCTAATAGCGGATCTTTTTGCAAATTTATTTATTTTTCTTTTCTTTTCTTTTCTTTTCTTTTTTCTTTTCTTTTCTTTTCTTTTCTTTTCTTTTCTTTTCTTTTCTTTTCTTTCTTCCTTCCTTCCTTCTTTCCTTCCTTCCCTTCTTTTTTCTTTCTTTCTTTCCTTGCTTTTTTTTTTTTTTGATGGAGTTTTGGTCTTGTCACCCAGGCTGGAGTGCAGTGGTGTGATCTTGGCTCACTGCAACCTCTGCCTCCCAGGTTCAAGCGATTCTCCTGTCTCAGTCTCCTGAGTAGTGGGGACTACAGGCAGGCAACACCAAGCCTGGCTAATTTTGTATATTTGGTAGAGACAGGGTTTCACCATGTTGGCCAGGCTAGTCTCAAACTCCTGACTTCAGGTGATCCTGACCTTGGCTTCCCAAAGTGCTAGGATTCCAGGCGTGAGCCACCGCACCTGGCTTGCAAATTTCTATTTCTAATTGAGCCAGTATTTCTTCCCAAAGGTTCACTGGAAAATCACTGACATGAAGAAGATTGATTAATAGGAAAAAAGGCATACACATTTATTTAACGTGTATACACAGGAGCCTTCAGAATGAAGACCCAAAGATAGAGGGGAAATTGTCCACTTTTACACTTAGGTTCAAGACAGTATGGATAGTCACATAGAAATATGACTGGACAAAAAGGGTCTGATGGAATGCTAGACTAGACTGAGTGGAAAGCGCAGCAAGGCCTGTCTGCCTAGATTCTTCCAGGCATCCATGCAGCATTCCTTCCTTCTGGGTATGGGACAGGATC